>NC_000001.11:21849163-23099163 GCF_000001405.40 Homo sapiens | reverse complement strand
TCTTTTTAAAAACATAAACTATAGGAGGTTTTTTCCCTCTCCGTTTTTGAGAATGAGGAAGCAGGTAGGCTGGGGAAAGGAGAAGGGGGACCAAAAGAGGCAAAGATGAGAGGACAGAGAAAGATGTACCCAGAGAAGCAGAGTGATGGACAGGGAGCAGTATTCGGGGTGGGCAGAATCTGAATGGAAGCGGAAGGCTTGGTTTTTTCAACACCTTCAAGCGTTGGTGTTTTTGAGGAGCTGAGCTTGGGCTCCATCTGGTGGTTCTAGGCTTATAGTGCAGCCATTAGAAGAATCAGGCTTGGAGAGAATTGGCATTTGGCGTCTCCTCCAGGCCCAATTTCAGTTGTTTTTCTTTTGCCCTGAGCTTTCTCATAGGATCATTGTTGGAGTCATTTCTTCCCTCTCCAGTGGTGGCTGTTTTTCTCTTATGTCTCAGACTGTTTCTTCACTCTTGTCCTTGATTTTTAAATGTGATCTTATTGGACGACATCACCTAATACTCTATCGTTGCTGCCGTCTGTCGACGCCCTGAGTCACTGCCCCTAACTTCTCAACAACTTCAGATTCTGTCTTAACGTCACTCTTTCCAGCATTATTCCTGTTAATTTATGGCGCTTACATGCTGGTGACCCTTGCAACACCTTTACCTCTCAATTATTTCTCTCTTCTAATGATCTTGTTCTCTACTTCTCCCTACTCCCCCACAGGATTCCTATGATTATACCTTCGTTTTTGACATTATCAATAACTACAGTCCCTCCATGATTTCAATTCCTTGAAGTCCCTCTCTGATTTCTTTCTTCTATATTTCAGGCTTAGTTTCCTCTGGTACCTGGTACCCTTACTCCAACAAGCCTTCAAGTCCCCTTGGGACCTTCACTTCATTAGTTTCTATTATATTTTCACTATTCTTCACCTCCTTCTGTACTGAGTGAATTTAAAGTCCCTCACACACATCCTCTGCTCTCCTGTCCTTCTTTTGCTTTGTTCTGCAGTGCTTCGATCTGGTTCAGTCCAATTCTGGTTTCTCTATTCTTTTGTCTGTTCAGCCAGCTGAACAAGACTGGAGAAAAAGAACTTTGTGGATTGGTTTCACTTTAAATCATTACCAGGAATTTCAAGTGGGCCCTTATACATCTAATATACATCTCATACACATGTCCCAAATGAGACTCCTCATCTTCCTTCTCAGACTGCTCCATCTGCGGTCATCTCCATTTGAATTGATGGTAATGCTGTCCCTCTACAAATTCAGCCCAGCCACCTTAGAGTCTACCTTAATTCCTATCTATCTATCTGTCTATCTGCTTATTTATTTAGAGATAGGGTCTTGCTCTGTCACCCTGGCTGGAGTACAGTGGCACAGTCATAGCTCACTGGAACCTTAAACTCCTGGGCTCAAGCTGTCTTCTTGCCTCAGCCTACCAAGTAGCTGGGACTACAGGTGTATGCCACTGTACCTTCTAATTTTATTTTATTTTACCTTTTTTTATAGAGACGGGATCTTACTGTGTTGTGCCCAGGCTGGTGTTGAACTCCACCTCAGCTTCTCAAAGTGCTGGGATTATAGATATGAGTCATTGCACTCGGCTTCTTAATTCCTTTCTTTGCCTCATGCTTCACATGTAGTCTAAGAGCAGATCTTTTGGTCGTGCCTTCATACGGCCAGAATTCTGACCATTTCTCAACTGTCTTGGTCACGTGCTCTTGGAACGCATGTACTGCCACCATCCTGGTCTAGGCCATAACTATGTTTTGCCTGGATTACTGCAATAGCCTCCTATTTGGTCTTCCTGCTCCCAACCTTATCCCCTGTAGTCCATTCTACTTGCCACCTACTTAAAAGTTTCTGCTGAGAAGTGGTTCAGTTGTTATTATAGATTGTTTTTGTGTTTGGGATGTTTTTGCTTCCTCCAAAATTCGTGTTGAAACGTAACCCCCAGTGCAACAGCATTAAGAGGTAGGACCTTTAAGGAGATAGTATTAGGGATCAGCACCTTTAAAAAAGGGCCTGAGGGAGCAAGTTCAACCCTTTTTGTTCCATTCCTTCTTCCCTGTGAGGAAACAGCATTCTAGGTGTCATCTTGGAAGCAGAGACTGGGCCTTCAGCAGACACTAAACCTGCTGGTGCCTTGATCTTATATTCCCAGGCTCCAGAACTGTGAGGAAATAATTTCTGTTCTTTTTGGAGATGGTGTCTTGCTCTGTCGACCAGGCTGGAGTGCAGTGGCGCGATCTCAGCTCACTGCAGCCTCCGTCCCGTGGGTTCAGGCAATTATCGTGCCCCAGCCTCCCAAGTAGCTGGGATTATAGGTGTGCACCACCACACCTGGCTAATTTTTGTATTTTTAGTAGAGATGGGGTCTCATCATGTTGTTCAGGCTGGTCTTGAACTCCTGACCTCAAGTGATCCTCCTGCCTCAGCCTCCTAAAATGTTGGGATTACAGGCGTGAGCCACCGCACCTGGCCAGTTTCTGTTCTTATAAATTACTACCTCAGGTATTTTATTACAGCAGCACAAATGGACTGAGACAATGGTCTTTTTTTCTTTTTTCTTTTTAAAGATTTTCTGTTTGTGATACATTCTTCCGTATCCTTACGAGGATTTAGGATTCTTCCGATCCTAAATCCTAGGTGCAGATTTAGTTTTCTCCTGTTGGGACATTGCTTCCTGAATGTGAGGTCCATATCTTTAATCAACTCTTGAAAATTCTTACCTGCTAGCTCTTCAAATATTGCCTGTTCCCTATTCTGTATTCTATCCTTTTGGGCTGCCTGTTAAAACTTCCTTGTTTTGGACCTTTTTAATTATTTCCCCATCTGTTAACCTCTCTTTTACCTTTTCCATCTTTTTAACTCTGTGCTGCTCTTTGTAATTACGTATCTCTCTTGACCACTATTAATATCTTCCTTTGCCTCTAATATGCCATTTCTCTTCTCTGTTTCTAGCTGTTGTATTTAGTTAACTTTCAGATCTTCTGATCTTTGTTGATAGCACCTTGTTCCTTTCTCCTGTTTTTTTTTTTTTTCATTCCTTCTTTTATGACTTTAAACATTGGAATGTACTTATTGTATGGTCTCTAGCCAATAATCTTAGTAACTTTGGTTCTTTTTTACTTGACTTGCTCTGCCCAGTCAAGTAAAAGATGGATCTTTATGTGTTTTGTAATTTTTAGTTATAAGCTCAGGTTCAGCTGGACTTTAATCTGTGGGAATCCTGTGTGACCTCTGTAGAGAGTGGCTCCCTCCAGAGTACTTTTGTTTGCTCAGCTAGGTTTCCCAGGGATATTACTAGGCTGATGGCCATTTTATGTTAGTTTCTCAGGACAGATAGGTTCTAGACCACTCAGATGGTATAAATTTGAACTCTGAATTCAAGTGAGAGCAGGTCTAAGATTATAAATTCTCTAGGGATAATCCTCCTTTAACCCCTAATAGAGCCCGGGTCCTCTTATCTCCCTATATCAGGGAGGTGACTTTTTTCACTAGTTATCCTGGAGCTGTAGTTCTTCAATAATCCTTGCTTTAGATTGGGGACTGGAGTCTCATTTTCAACTTACCACCTCTATTGAGCCCAAACTCTTGCCTCTTATACCTGCATGATTGTTAGAACCCAAACTCCTTGGTTCTGGAGATCGGCAAGACCCTAAGAAGGACAGCTCAGTGGTAGTTTAAACTTACTATTATTTTTCATTTAGTTTTCTTTTCCTCTGGTTTTAGCTGGAATGTCACTTACTTTCTATGTGATCAACTATACATTTTAAGTGATTGTTACATTTTATTCAGTATTTTTAGCTGTTTTATAGTATTAGAGGTTTTCCAGGTTATCTGGTTTGCTGTAGTGGTGGAAATGGAAGTCTGTTGTTTGCCTTTTAATTTCGTAGGACTTATTGTTCATGAAAGCTGTTTAAAATACATTTATCAATCCATTCTCCTGTTTTAAAAATGAGAAAATTACATAAAAAAACTAAACCTTCCCCTTTCTCTATTTCCTTGGGGTATTATTATATGTTTGGTATATATCCCCAGTGAAATGGCTTTCAAAGAAACAAACCAGTCTTCATACCAACCTTAACATCTGGGGCATTTCTTTTACAGTGCAAAAGGATATGTTTTGTAGAAGCTGCCTGTTGGCTGGGTCGGGCCAACTCACACCTGAATTCCACTTACAAATATACTTTTGGGAGAAGAGATGTTGAAAATGGGTGTAGAGAGATTGTTTTAGTATATTGTGAAGCTCACCATTTATAGCAAGGCAGAGGGTTAATTTGTATCACTTTTAAGTCACAATAGCTCATAAGAGATAATCTTTAAAAAAAAAAATCTTAGGATTGTTTATTGCTTTGTTACCAAGATCTTCCACATATTATCTCAGAACAACACTGGGGAGAAATACGGTAGACATCATTATGCCCATTTTACCACTAAGTAAAACTGAGACTTAGTTTCCATTGTTAATGACTCTCCTGAGATTATGCAGGTTGCAGATGGTAATGATGTTATTATACCCTGCCATGAAAATTGAGGCTTCTTATATGTCTTTTTGCCATGCTGCCACTGGTGACATTCTTTATTAGGGCGAAATGAGGTATCAACTCAATATCGGCCATAAAGAACCAGTGTTTTCTTGCAGGTTTATTCAAGTCATTCATTCAACAGGTTTGAGCCCCTGCTATGATCCAGGCACCAGGAACAGATAGGAGCACTTTTCTATAACTGGGAGCTAACGTGCAGGTTTTACATTTGCTGACTGACATGCTTTCTACTTTCCTTTTGTAGATTGATGATGGTCTCCAGCTGTCAAAGAAGATTGTGGTTGCCAAGAGAAAGGTAACCATTTCTCATCCCCTTGAGTGGAATTGGATGCCTCTAGGAGCCCACATTGGCTGGCAGTAGACATGGCCGAATTTACAAGCTACAAGGAGACGGCCTCCAGCCGCCACTTGCGGTTTAAGCTACAGAGTCTAAGCCGCCGCCTTGATGAGTTGGAGGAAGCCACAAAAAACCTCCAGAAAGCAGAGGATGAACTCCTGGATCTCCAGGACAAGGTGATTCAGGCAGAAGGTAGCAACTCCAGCATGTTGGCGGAGATTGAAGTGCTGCGCCAGCGGGTGCTGAGAATTGAAGGCAAAGACGAGGAAATTAAGAGAGCAGAGGATCTGTGTCGTCTGATGAAGGAGAAACTTGAAGAGGAAGAAAACCTCACCCGGGAGCTGAAATCTGAGATTGAGCGGCTTCAGAAACGAATGGCTGAATTAGAGAAGCTAGAAGAGGCCTTCAGCAGGAGTAAGAATGACTGTACCCAGCTGTGTCTGAGCCTGAATGAGGAGAGAAATCTGACCAAGAAAATCTCCTCTGAGCTGGAAATGCTCAGAGTCAAAGTGAAAGAACTAGAATCTTCTGAGGACCGCCTGGATAAAACTGAGCAGAGTTTAGCGTCAGAGTTAGAAAAGCTGAAATCATTAACTCTGAGCTTTGTAAGTGAGAGAAAATACTTGAATGAAAAGGAGAAAGAAAATGAGAAATTGATAAAAGAACTCACTCAAAAACTAGAGCAGAACAAAAAAATGAACCGAGATTATACAAGGAATGCTTCTAATCTGGAAAGAAATGACCTACGGATTGAGGATGGCATCTCTTCCACACTGCCGTCCAAAGAATCAAGAAGGAAGGGTGGTCTGGACTACCTAAAGCAGGTAGAGAATGAAACAAGAAACAAATCAGAAAATGAAAAGAACCGCAATCAGGAAGACAACAAAGTCAAAGACCTTAACCAAGAGATTGAGAAACTTAAGACACAAATCAAACACTTTGAATCGTTGGAAGAAGAGCTTAAGAAAATGAAGTCCAAAAATAACGACCTTCAGGATAATTACCTAAGTGAACAAAATAAAAACAAATTATTAGCCAGCCAACTGGAGGAGATAAAGCTACAAATCAAGAAACAGAAAGAGTTAGAAAATGGAGAGGTAGAAGGGGAAGATGCTTTCCTGTCCAGCAAAGGCAGACATGAGAGGACTAAGTTTAGAGGCCACGGAAGTGAAGCTTCTGTGTCCAAGCACACAGCGCGGGAACTGTCTCCTCAGCATAAGCGGGAACGACTCCGGAACAGGGAGTTTGCTCTCAACAATGAAAACTATTCTCTGAGCAACAGGCAGGTTTCTTCTCCCAGTTTCACCAACAGGAGGGCAGCAAAAGCTTCTCACATGGGGGTGAGTACAGACAGTGGGACTCAGGAGACAAAGAAAACTGAAGACCGGTTTGTACCCGGCTCCTCCCAGAGCGAAGGGAAGAAGTCTAGGGAGCAGCCCTCAGTGCTGAGTCGCTACCCCCCGGCTGCTCAGGAGCACAGTAAAGCGTGGAAGGGGACTTCCAAGCCAGGCACCGAGAGCGGACTGAAGGGAAAAGTGGAGAAGACAACACGAACGTTTAGTGACACCACCCATGGATCTGTTCCCAGTGACCCATTGGGTAGAGCTGACAAGGCTTCTGACACCTCCTCTGAGACTGTCTTTGGCAAGAGGGGACACGTGCTTGGCAACGGAAGTCAAGTAACTCAGGCTGCAAACTCTGGCTGTTCTAAGGCCATTGGAGCCCTGGCCTCATCTCGAAGATCCTCCTCAGAAGGGCTCTCTAAAGGCAAAAAGGCTGCCAATGGCCTTGAGGCTGATAACAGTTGCCCGAATTCCAAGGCTCCTGTTCTATCGAAGTATCCTTATAGCTGTAGAAGCCAAGAGAACATCCTTCAGGGATTTTCAACCTCACATAAAGAAGGGGTTAATCAACCTGCAGCAGTTGTGATGGAAGACAGCAGTCCGCATGAAGCCTTGAGGTGTCGAGTCATCAAATCCAGTGGCAGAGAGAAGCCAGACTCAGATGATGACTTGGACATAGCATCTCTTGTTACTGCCAAGTTGGTAAATACAACCATCACTCCAGAGCCAGAGCCCAAACCACAGCCTAACTCTAGAGAAAAGGCTAAAACCCGAGGGGCACCTAGAACCTCCCTATTTGAGAATGATAAAGATGCTGGAATGGAGAATGAATCTGTGAAATCTGTCAGAGCCTCCACCAATACCATGGAGCTCCCAGATACCAATGGTGCTGGGGTAAAAAGCCAAAGGCCCTTTAGCCCCAGAGAGGCGTTGCGGTCTAGAGCCATCATCAAACCTGTTATTGTTGATAAGGATGTGAAAAAAATCATGGGAGGATCTGGAACAGAGACTACGTTGGAGAAACAGAAACCCGTCTCCAAACCAGGGCCAAACAAAGTGACAAGTAGCATTACTATATATCCATCTGACAGCAGCAGCCCCAGAGCTGCTCCGGGTGAGGCCCTGAGGGAGAGGCACACATCCACTAGCAATATCCAGGTGGGGCTGGCAGAGCTCACATCAGTTAGCAACCATGTCAGCTCCCCTTTTGAGCTCTCCATTCACAAACATGACATCACCCTGCAGCTTGCAGAAGCGGAGAGAATGGCAGATGGGCCCCTGAAGGACAGGCCAGAAACAGTGGTCTCTCGGAGCAGCATTATAATCAAGCCATCGGATCCTGTGGAGAGGAATAGCCATGCACCTCCAGCGGAGACAATCAGGTGGAAAAGCCATAGTGCCCCTTCAGAAGTGGGCTTCTCAGATGCCAGACATGTTACTGTGCGGAATGCCTGGAAGAGTAGGCGAGACTTGAAATCTTTAGAAGACCCCCCAACTCGAATAGGTAAAAACGTGGAATCTACCAATAGCAATGCCTACACCCAGAGGTCTTCCACAGACTTCTCAGAACTCGAACAGCCCAGGTCCTGCCTTTTTGAGCAGGGCACTCGAAGGGTAGGACCAAGTTCAGGGGATGCCCCTGAGCCCTCCTCCAGAAGGACCCAAAGTAGCCTCACTGTGTCAGAGGTGCTTACCCGTCGGAATCGGGTAGGAGACACCATCACTGTCGCAGCCTGGAACCACTCAGCAAGCATGGTGAGTTCCAGCCTCTCTCCCCTCTCTCTTTTCTCCCTCCCTTTTCCTTCTTTGCCTTTTCCTTTTTCCCCTCTGCTCTGGCCTGTGTGACCCAGGATCTTGAGAACTGAGTAGAACTGGGTTCCTTAGAGAACTGTTGAAAAATCAGGGGGGTTTGACCTTTCTCCTAAAGAAGGTTTTTGGCAGCATCACTTTCCAAAATCCCTTTTCCAATTTGTTGTCTTCATTTTGCTCTCGTATATGAAGGTGACATAAAAAGGAAATCTGTCTTCTCTTCCCTTGGTTTGCCAGAGCAGCTAAAGGAGCTCCCCGTAGGCCCTCAGAACAGCATGAAAAGCACAAGAAGCAGCTGCAGCTGATGGGGAGCTCTGGGCAACAGGAGGAGGCCCGGTGCCCTTTCTGTAGGGCACAGTGAGGGGGAGCCAGGTCAGCAAGTTCTCGGCCGCCTCAGTTAGCAGATCTTCACAGGCTGCTGGCCTCTCAGGGATGAGGAGAGCCGGGGCTTACACTGGGCCTATTTTAGATAAGCGTATACCCAATTCCAAGTGACACTTTCTTTTGCCCCCCAGACAGCTGTCTGTCTCATATTATCAGTCTGAGGGCAGGGCTGGTTCAGTATAGCTCATTACAGCTTTGATAAATCCAGAACCACCTGCCTTATGTGAGTGTGAGGCTCAGGGTGTCAGAACAGCATCTGGAGAAGCCCCTGGGAGTGTCTTTTTGATGAGAAACCTGTGATGATGAAAAACTTCTTGGACCTGGACACAGTGCTCCCTTCTTTAAAAAAGCAGATGACTCTGTTAACTTGAAAAGCCCTGTGACTCTTTACAGGGTACTTAACACTGGACAAAAGTACTTCACTACCCACTATCTTATTCAGTCCCTTGAATATCTGCCTGGGGGCAGATATTATCCCCATTTTTCAGATGTAGAAGCTAAGGGTCAGAAACACAAAATATCTTACCTAAGGTCACCCAGCAGAATTACTGGAAGAGCGAAGACTTGAATCCAAGATTCCTGTCTCTAAATCCAATGCTCTTTCTACTCTAACCTTTCTTACTCATGCCTATGTTATTCTTTGATCTGCATTTGCTTGGGAGAACCAAGGAGAATATTAAAAAGGTAGAATTCTGGCCAGGCGTGGTGGCTCACACCTGTAATCCCAGCACTTTGGGAGGCCAAGGCAGGCGGATCACAAGGTCAGGAGTTCAAGACCAGCCTGGACAATATAGTGAAACCCCGTCTCTACTAAAAATACAAAATTAGCTGGGTGTGGTGGCACATGCCTGTAATCGCAGCTACTCAGGAGGCTGAGGCAGGAGAATCACTTGAACCCAGGAGGCGGAGGTTGCAGTGAGCCGAGATCGCACCATTGTACTCCAGCCTGGGCAACAAGAGTGAAATGACGTCTCAAAAAAAGAAAAAAAAAAAAAGCCAGGTGTGGTGGTGCGTGCTTGTAATCCCAGCTACTTGGGAGGCTGAGGCAGGAGAATCGCTTGAACCCAGGAGACGGAGGTTGCAGTGAGCTGAGACTGCGCCACTGCACTCCAGCCCGGGAGACAGTGCGAGACTTCGTCTCAAAAAAAAAGGTAGAATTCTAGGCGTAGGGAGAAAGACAGCTATTTGGGCCCCTGAAGCTTTGGACATTTAAGAGGAGAGATAAAGGATGAGAGACGGGAATGTGAGCTTTTTGGTAGTTTGTATGTGGGAAGGAGGAAGAGAGCTGTCCGGACCTCTCTTCAGCTCCCCATCAAGGATGTGGACCTCATCCCCAGAATCATGCGGCCTGCATGCATGTGCAGAACTCGGAGACTGCTGGCCCCTCCTCAGGGGTGCTAGTCCCATGCCCCCATTCCAGGCTCTATCCTCTGTAAGGCTCCTGTTGAGTTGTGAGCCTCCTCCTAGCCTACCCTGATTGTTCCCAGCAGCTTGGAGTTCCCAGTCTGCCGATTTCCAAGGAATTTACATATTGGCCCATACTCAGGCAAAAGCATATCTTTGCAGTTAACTTATGGCCTGTCTGGGCTATATCTGCCTCTGCTGGGTTGGAAAGGACCCACTATGGTAGCAGGTGAGGGTGTCTCGGTCCTCACTTTACTGACCTCCACAGCTCACTTTTGTTATTTATTGGCACAGGAGGAAGAAGGGGAAGACTGTACACTCAGTGTCTACAGGCAACTGCACAACTCCCTGGATCCGTCTGAACTGCCTGGGAAGCAGGGGCTGCCAGAGTCTGGGCGAGTACGGGCCGAGGAACGATTACGGCCAACCAGGCCCTGTGCTGAGGAGAACTGAGCCCGCTGGGTGTCTGTTGTCTGCCCTCTGCTCCTGCTTCTCAGCTCTTCCACCGTCCTGCCCCACGAAGGATCCAAGGCCAGTTAACCAGGCAAGACACAAGCCTTGGCTGGAAAACTGTGGTAGAGCCGGGCTGTGGCTCAGGTAATTTTTGCCATTTGGCCAGAGGGAATCAGAGACTACAAGCTGGACAGTCACCCAGGCCCAACCTTCCCCAATGCACGAGTCCTCTCTCTCTCCTTGTCCCTGTCCACCAAGTAGTTGGACCATTCTGGCCCCCAAACAAGGGAAGATAAAGTCCCCAGCACACAGCAGGAGTCAAAAATTCTTCTCGGCTCCTTGGTGGGTTGTTTCTGGATCCTAGGGCAGCCTCTGTCTGTGTGGTTAATGTTCTGGTTTCTCAGTCTCCTCACTATATCCACTTCACTCCTCATTTGCCCAATGGGCTCAAGTACCCCATAAGATTTACCAGCCATCAGCTCTATCTAGGGGGCTTTCATTTCTTTCCCCTTGGAGTTCTTTTCTTCAGACTTAAAGCAGAAAGGGGTCTGTGCTGCCTCTAAAGGATTATGAGACTACCCTTTAGGTTGAAGTTTGACCTGGCTCCTGGCTTACCAGTCTCCTGGAAGCAGAGCATGCAGATACTCATGCGGATACCCATTGGAATGACATCATCCCTCCCCAACCCCAGCTCTCTCTGCTCACCTTCCAAAGGCACCTGGAGGTGCAAGCCTCATGCATCTCCTTTCCTGAGCACCAGTAATGCTGCTGGCATCGCCTGCTTTCTCTCCAGTGGCTGGAGACTTCAAGCTGACTTCATTGTTTCCACCTTGGGAAAATCCCTAGGCTAAGCTGGGCCTGACCCAGCATCCTCTGCCTTCTAGGAAGTGCCCAGCAAGAGGGAAAGCAGACCCCTTTAGTCACTCCACAAGCAATAGCTCCATGAGAGGCATGGACTGTGAGACTACTCCCTCCTGTTCCTCCTTCTCCATCCCCCATGGAGGAGGCATCGCACTTTACCAAGCTGATGCATTCCTACAGAAGTGGGCCCCGGATTTCTGCAAGTCGACTATCATGATGACTTCGCTGGAGGAAAGGTGATACGTACATACGCATTGAGGGCCTCAGCTTTATATAGTTCAAAATGCAGCAAACTTTTCAGAAAGCCACGTAAATAAATTGGTTAGGTTCCTTATACCAGTCACATGGGGAAGTTGAAAAGAATTGTATATTCTTGGCAGTGCTTTTTCTTTAGCATTCTGTCAATTCAAAGAAGGGATCCTCTTTCAAAGGCTACCTTTATGAAGTAGACACTATTGCCCTCAGAATGAGAGAACATTAAACTACCAGTCTGGTAAGCTGGATTTTTTTCCCCATGGCTTTACTTCCTTGCTGTGTGACCTTGGGTGAGTCATTGTCTTCTTGGAGCCTCAGTTTCCCTGTCTGTAAAATGAGTTCTTTGAAATGGATGATCTCTAAGGGCACCAAATCTGGTATTCTAAGGTTCTCCTGTTTTCACCATCTATAATAGTATGGGATGATTTTTGCTTGTGGAAGGTATCATCCGTGTGGGTTCTTCCCTCCTGCCCTCAATTGTTTTTCTGGGCCTTGTTTTTTAGTTTCTGTATGTTTTAATCTCATGGGGATGAGCTCAGAGAAGCTCCGTGGGCCTGTTTCCCAATCTGCAAAGTGTGAAGGGATTAGATGGGATGGTCTCTGAGGCTCTTTGTGGCATCAGCCTTGCCCAGTGCCACACAGTATCTCCTGGCGTTCTAGGAGTCTAGGTATTATGGAAAGTACCCAAGTCTGTGTATCTCCTGTTCCTGTGCATCTCCTATGAATTTCCTGGCAAGAGGAAGACTCAAGACTTCCTCCAGAGGAATTTGTCTTCTCTGCCTTCACTCAGCATGGGAACCAGTGTTCATCCTGACCTTGTCTGTATCAGATTTGGCAGTGAGGAGGCTTGGGGAGCACCTACCTTACTTTCAGGGACAGGAATCTATTGCTCATACTTCTGCTTCCCAGAGTTTTGCCAATCTAAAGGCATTGTCATGTGGCCTGCCTTTCCTGTCCACATCCCCACCTCTGATGCTCAAGATGCTATTTCCAAGATCTCTTACTGCTGCTTCTCCTGGCTTACTGGCCAGAAACTAGCTCACTCAAGGCTGCCATCCTTCACTTGCAGCCTCCCTGCCATTCTCCTTCACTGGTTGGCAACCTTGAGAGTTCAAAGAAAATCAACCTCTGTGGTGGTCAACTAAAGGTATTAGGAAACTAAGTCTGTGGCTCTTCTCTGCTGATGGAAACAGAAGGGCGCCAAGCCATGCCTAAAAAGATCTCGCCAATAATTCTTGTCTTTGAGTGTTGGAGCCCTGGATTCTGGTGCTATAGCTCCTGGTGCCAAAGTCTGGATCTTTCCACATTTCAGCAGCACCAACATCTGCTGCTACTCAAAATGTCCTGTTGAAGAGGGACAGCTGTGATGCCCTTTTGCTGGGGCTGCCATCTTGAAATCTGAGTGCAATAGGATTTGCTTGTAACAGTTATTTCAGGATATTTTGTTTCTTTAATCTGCACACTTTCTAGATAGATTTTATTTTTAAGTGTCCTCAGCATTGCAGAAAATAACATTGTAATAGCAAGTAAAGGCTGGAGGCTGTTTCTCTGGGCTTCAAATGGCTGGCAAGGCTGGCTCTCAAATCCCAAAGTTGGGAGGCATGTTTCTGAAAAGCAACTGAGGTGTGACTGTTTGGACCCAGGCCTCATCATCAGGGGTCCTGGAGGAAGCCTCCAAGTAGAGGGGAGACCTGGTAGTTGAATAGTTGTTTAATCAAGCCAAATAGTCCCACTGCCCCCGGTCAACAAACCCACTTTTATGACAGTTTTCTTCCGCAGCTTGGCTCTTAAATTTTACTGGCAGGTGTATGGTTGTTGGAGGGTTCCTAGTGAGTTGGGGGACCTGGCAATAGAGCTGCTTGGTTGGAGGAAGTGAAGCTGGCTTAGTACCAGCAGCTGATCTCTTCCACGTGCTGCTGCTTTTTTTGCCACTCTGATACTAAACCAGAGAAAGCTGCAGGTGGATAAAGAAGCTGTGGCTGTTTTTTGCTTTTGGGTGGCAATGAGAAAGAGTCACAGTGTGGGTTAAAGGGATCTGCAGTGGGGCCAAGGATGCCACCCCACCCTCAGCTGTAGGCAAGCTTGCACATAAATAACCCCCGTCAGTGGAGTGTTCGGGATGCAGGGGGCACTATAGTGTTCTTGGACTTGTCGTCCTGGGGCAGTTTTAGTTCTTTATATTTAGTGGGTCAGTGCCAAGTGCTACCACTTCCCAATAAAGGAATGGGGACCCAGAGGCTGGGTCCCTGGCTACCTTGTTATGAGGTTTTGTTATTTCTCTGACAAGATTGCTTTGGAAAGAGCTGCTTTTAGGGATTATTTTTTGAATACCCCGAGTGGGGAGCAGGGTTCTCCTCAAAGCCTCACAACCATAGGATCATAGGAAAGGGGCCCTATTTTCCTGCTGCTTCCCAGCTCAGAACATATACTGAATGGAATGTATTTTTAAGAGAATAAAGTCTATTTTTTTGTATTTTAAAGATTGAGAGGGCTAAGAAAGTAGCCCTCAAATAAACTGTTATTGCATTATAGGCCCCTTTGTTGGGGGCAGCCTGTTGGTCCACACCTACTTGCTCAGGCAGGTGCTCTGGTCTCTCTCACCCCTGCCCCTTAGAGTCTAGGTGCAGCAGCTCCAAGCATGGGACCAAGGAGGCCAGAACCTGTCGCTGGAAACCAGGGCAAAGCAGTGGCTCAGGGCTCCTTGGGTGCATGTGTATCATTGGAGCTGCCTGTCTGCATGTATCCTCTGGCGCGAATGCTCTCTGTTGGCTCTGCAGTACAATATGTAACCAATAAAGCTCCCTCGTTTCCGTATACTCTGTGCGAGTCTGTGATGCCAGTTTTGTCAATGTCATCCCTGTGTATCATCTGTCTTCTATGCGTTGGCGCAGCTCTAGTATATTTATTTATTTCATTGTGTAATACTTAAAATTGGGTATTTTACCTAACCAATTACTGATACTGCAAGGACTGGAAACATTAACTGCCCTGATCCTGGTGTGCAGATTCTTTCCATTACTGCCACGAATTCTAAGACTAGGGGGGGAAAAGCCTTCTCCGTTTTCATCTTCCAGTCAGATCACCAATATATATAATGATGTCCCTTAACTCACAGTAAGAAAGAATAAAACCACATTTAAGGGACATTACTTGGATTTGCAGTAACAGTGTTTATCATCTATCTGTCAGTCAGTCAGGAGCCCCTGGGAAGGAACCAGCATGTAACATGTTTTTATCATCTTATATGGCAAAAGGGACTTTGCAGATAAGGATGCTGGGATGAGGCAGAACATCCTAGATGATCCAGGTGGGCCTTAAATGTAATCACAGGTAGTATCCTTTTAAGAGAGAGACAAAAGATTTGACTACAGGAGAAGGCAATGTGATGATGGAAGCAGAAACTGGAGTTATGTGCTCTGAGGATGGAGGAAGGAGCCACGAGCCTTCCCACACCTAGAAGCTGAAAAGAGCAAGGAAATGAACTGATCCTCCCTGCTCTGAGAGCCTCTGTAATGAATGCAGCCCTGTGTACCCATTTTAGACTTTAAGCTTCCAGAACTTTCGAATAGATTTCTGTTTTTTTAAGAGCCACTAAGTTTGTGGCAATCTGTTAAACCAGCTGTTACCTAAGCCCTTGATCCTATGTAGTGCGCTTCCCAAAATGTACACCACCACCTTTAGTAGAATTGGGAAGTTTTAGCACATACCCATGGAGGGAATCAGGAATAAAGGCAGACTGGTCTCCCAAAGGCTCAGACTTTGTTTCAGCTCTTTTGTGTTCTATCTTGAAAGTGCATCCAAAGTTTCCTAATAACCATGTTCTTGGCACACCACCACACTCCACCCCCACCCAAGTGAGGAAGCCTAGTCCGACTGACCAGGAAGTCCACTGCTTCTACAGGACCGGCCCCCCTACCTTATCTTCTGACCTGATCAAACCATTTTTCTCTTTTATATGAACATCTTCTTCCTTATTTAAACATGGAGAAAACATGTATTACTATTGCCATAGGATAAACTTGGCATTTCCAAAGGAGTAATGCCCCCATCTTGTATGTAACTCCAACTCAAAGGAACAAAAGAGAGGGCCAATTTTATATGAAGTTTTATTCTCAAAATATAAAAAAAAAACAAAAACCCCACACACCAAGGGACTAAGATGATGTTATTTCACAGCACTTGCTTGCCTCAGTCTTTACGAAGAACACAATTCCAAACTAATGGACAAGTTCCTCCCTGTGCTCTAGGTCATTCAAAGGAGGCAAGCTCCTTTGTCAAATCAGGAGCTCCATCAGCTGATCAGGAGCCCAGATGCCAGGGTGGATTTTCTCAGTGGGATCTAGTATTGCTAGAAGAGCCTTCCTTACATGGCAGAAACAGGCACATGGGCCTCTTCCCTTAGAATGCATCTGTCTCACATGCTTGGGGACTGCTGTGCAGGAACACCTGGTGTGGCCTGGCGAGGCAGCGTATACATGGCCCCCAAAAACTGGTCTGCAATTCTTCCCGCTTCTCGCAGCCCACTCAGCAGAGCACCATGCACTGTGGCTGGGTAGTTACGGATCGTATGTTCTCCCGCAAAGAAGAGTCGTGGAATCGGCTATTTTAGGGGAAAAAGAGAAAATTGGCAGGCTGCACATATACCTTTATTCTTGTACTTAAATTGCTAAGTACTTAAATTGCTGTTGACCTTTTTAAAGGCTGACCCCCCCAATTACTATTCATCATTCTATCGAAGAGTCTCCCTTATCAGTAGGCACTTTCCCAGAATTGACAAGTAGAAATGAGACAATAAAACTCTACCTAGGCTCAGTCCTAAAGTGATGCTTAACATGTGTTCTCATCAGTTTAGATACCCAGTTGTAAAGCGTCCTTCCCTCATGTATAACTACCTTCTGGGAGGGAGCCTCGCTACCCTGAAGCACAGGACATTTGGTGATCAGGGACACTTAAGCCTCGCAGCTCAGCAGGTCTGGGCTATGACACTAAGGAATTCTTACCGCTCTTTGGAGTGGGGTCTGGCATAAGGGTCTAGACAAGGACCCAGGGTTATTTCTCAGAAATGCCCTGGAAGCCCCTAGTAATTGAGACCTTACAGCAATCCTATGAGCCATTACAAAATGGAAGTGCAATTAAAAATGGTTTTGTTTTTTAGGGAGAAAACCTGAATAAGGAAAAATGTTATTTGACTTATACTCTGGACTCCTCCATTCTGAATGTAGACTGCCTAGATTTACAAAACCAAATTATGAGAAATCAGAAATGCTGCCCATCCTTTTAACTCTGCTCTTGGTTATCTGAAAGGGTCCGAAGATGGAATGACTAAAATCTGAAAAAAAAAAAAAAAATCAGGGACATCATGAGATCCTGGCCTCTTCCCAAATAAGCCCAGATAGTTTGCCAGCTTCTCACCTGTGGGGCACCTGGAATCGAGGGGCCAGGAGTGATTGGCTGAGCCATTAAATCATAGTCATTTCCAGATGATCCTGCAGCAACATAGGAATAAGAGCCCCGAGCCCAGGGATCAGCACGCCAACGAGACACCACAGTTTCTTTGGGCTAAAAGAAAAACCAGGAGCAAAAGTCATTACGAGACACCAAGCACAAATCAATCCTTGAAAGGTGGAAAAGCAGTGGTGGGTGGAGATGCAAGTGAAGAGAAAGAGGGGCAACATGTGAGAGCCAGTGATCAAGTGATGAATGCCTGCTTTAAAACACACATGGACAAAAGGACTTCAGACAGGAAGGATGCCCCTCCATGTTGCCTTCCTGTCTATGAATCCAGAGATCTACACAGGGCTTGGCCTTTATTCTCTTTTATAAATTCACAATATCCTTCCCTTCAAAGGAATCCTAAAGGGTTAAAGTATTTCAAAGAACACGAAAAAGTACCAAGAGGTTCTCTGAAAACTTCCCGGAGATACTCACTGGAGTTTGGCCATTTTGTCTAAAATGTCAGGGATCTGGTGTGACTCTAAAGCCGGAGGAGAAATGCAGCTAGCAGCCTTCAGACTCCCCAGCTCTTGTCCTGGGGGGTTTTCTGAACCCCACGCTTAGGCCATGAACTCCAAACATTAATTATTCATGTAAAAGCACAGACCTCAATTCTAGCTTAAACTGTCCTGACCAAGAACATGCTGCAAATACATTAAACCCTGGTTGAGTCTGAACCCTAGATCCCTCCTTGCCCCACCTACCTACTTACCTGAGGTACTGCACTGCTACCAAAAATCCCTTTGAGAATGGCCAGGCATCGGCCAACAATCACATCGTCACTTATGTTTTCCATGATACCAGCAGCTTCTCCTGCCACTAGTGCCAACAGTATTGGAGCTGGGGAAACAGAAAGGATAATTCTAGGGTTTTCCTACAGACTTTCCTCAAAAACTTCCTTATCAGGCCCCACCTTATTCCTGGTGCTCTGAAATCTGATGACAAGACACACGCAGTACCATTCAAATGCGAAGAGACAGATTATGTTTCTGAAACAGCATACAGAACTCTTTGTCGCCAGACACCAGCCAGTAGGAGCTGGCAGACTAGAGTGAAGTAAGATTCTCAGGCACCTCACTGCTTCTAACCTGGCAAAATACAGCAGTTCTGAAGATATAATTTCAGATCTTGCTAATAAAAGGGAATTATTAAGCATCGCTTTACTTTGGCACAGAATTCTTAACCTTGACTACCTTGGATAGCTCCATGACAATGACTACATCCCTTTTAGCCATCCCAGGCCCCTCCAAGCCCAGGACTGTCTTCAGTCACCCATCCGGTGAGTAATTATGCAACAGACTTAGGTGGTAGGCACAGTACTAGAAAAGGGGGATAAAAAATATGATATAAACTATTACTCCAATAGAGCAACAGATGCAAAATTACACAGACAATTATTAACTTAAAAGCTATGAAGAAAAACGTAGGCTACACGGAAAAGAATATGGGGTATTTAATTTACATTTGGGGCAGTGGAGATGTGTCCTGGAAGTCGTCTTTGAAATACTTTGAAATTTATGTCAAGACCTGAATGCTGAGTAAGACAGGTTGGGAAGGAAGGGGGTCGAGGGGGTGGGAGAAGCAGCACCCCCAGGCCTAGACCACAGTACACGCAGAGGCTCTGAGGCAGAAAGCAGCATGGTGCCTTCCAGGATGTGAGAACAGCCGAATGTGCCTGGAATCTGGGGATGGACAAGGAAGTAGAGATGAGCTAGATAATGAAGAACCTTAGCATGGGCCAAGATAAGGAGTTTGAACATTTTCTTTCAGCAGTAGAAAGTCACTAAAAGAAGCAGGAATAGCAGTAGTAGCTATTGGTAACCGTCCAGGCAACAGGTAAGAATGGCTTGGACTGGGAGGTAGGCAATAGAAAAAAGTAAATAGGTTTGCAAGAGATTGTAAGGCTAGCACTGACAGGACTTGACAGCCTGGATGGGGAAGGGAAAAGACACGCTGCTGCTCTCAGAAAGCAATGTGCTCAGGGAGCCAAGTTCCCCCTCTGTGAAGTTAGAGGCTCTGGGGTGTGAAAGACCATTCACCACTGGGCAGTGAGGAGTAATGGAAAGAACTGGGGATGGGGAGCAAGCCAACGGTTAGCTGATGTGTCTGCACTGACAAGGCCAATGTCTTATTTTTACAGCCTTTTCTTGGAATGAGGTGGGGTACAAATATTACAAGTCTACATACAGTTAAGTCCAATTACAAAAGAAAATAACTGAACAGGAGGTAGGAATTTCATAAACACATAGTAAGAGAAGTAATCAAAGAATCAGGGGCAAGTCAGTCTGAGAATGAGAACGCAAGCTTCCCCTGGTAGGAAGCCTCCCTGGGCCTATCCCTCCAGGCTGAGTGGACCTCCAGTAACCTGGGCGTTCAGCCCATCAGGCCACCTACTGCCCTGTTCTAAGCCTGCTTCCCCGCTTACTGTATCCCCACTAAGTTGGGAGCTCCTTGAAGGCAGGTATTTTTATACCCCAGTACCTAGAAGGTATTTCAGGAATTGTTTGTTGAGTTAATAAAGAGAGAAATTAAGGCATATATATTGAGAAAACCCAAAATATTTCAAATTCTATATTCCTGTAAGGATATGGAAAAGATTAAAATTAGAAGGCATTTACCTTTATAGAGGTTCCAGAAGAGGAAGAGCTCACCCCTGCTGGCAGTCGTACTGCCAACATGCCCGAACAAATTGACACTTGGATCCCAGAACACCCGATCAAAACACAACACCACCTACCATAAGAAAGAAGCACATGAGCCAGTGACAGGGGCCAGATAATACTGGCTTCAACAGACTTCCTTAAAGTCTCTTCTAATCTGCTTTCAAAATAAGCCCAGCAATCCTTATTATTTAGGATGACATTTACGATCCCCTTTTTATAGGCCTGAGTTTGTGAAATGACCCCATAAGACTAAGTCCATATGAACAGACACTTGATGATAGACTTAGGCACTGAAGAGAATCAACTGACACGCCTCAGCCCTGATGTCACAATTGGGAGCATAGCCAAATGCCCAAAAATGCAAGGCCACCTCCTCACCAAGTAAACAACGAAGACTGCTATTTGTACATCAGATCTGTAGACAGGAGTGTCTAGGGCAAGCTACCTTGTTAAGGTTGCCAAATCCCATCCTTTGGACTGCAGATGTTTTCCACTCAGGGAGAGGTGGCACAAACTGAACGGCTGGTGGCTGCTGCTTCAGCACACCCAGGGGAAGGGTACAGAGAACTGCGTCGCATTTATAAATAAAGGTTTGACTCGTGGAGCGGGTATTCACAGCTATCACTTCACATCCTGCAGAGGTTGGGTGGGAAAAGACTAGTGGTGATGAATATGGCACTGATAAGGACACTGAACATTTAGTGTACAACAGATGGACATCCATTTCTCAATTCTCATTTTTCTATTTTCATTACCTTCATGTTTCACATAAGAAAACTGAGGTAGAGGTGAAATAACTCATCTAAGGCTACACACGTAATAAGTGCCAGGATTCAAACCCTTGTAGTCAACTTCAGAATCCTCAACTGTCATCCCCACACTACCCTCCTGATACACTGGTGATCTAGACTAATGAAAGGACCTTATACCACTTACTCAAGTTAAGTACATTTAGACCAAAAATAAAGAATAAAGTGCTCATCCCAATAGAACCAATGTCTTCTGACTGTGGTTAGCTGCTCACTATCGACCAACAGAAGAATGCTACAAGAAGGCTGTGATGCAGATCTGGGGGATGCAGCCTAAAACTGTGGAGCGTGCTATGCTTGAGAATGCACAGTGATTCTCAGCTTGTCAGAGTATGAATGAGTTCAAAGCTGACCTCAGAGAGGGTACTGAAATTATGTTAACATCGTTTTCCTCGTTTGTTTTTTAATGAATGTCTGTTTATATACTATATATATTTTGAAATTATATATCTCAAAATAAATATGAAAGCTCAGTACATGCTCATTTTCTATGGCTGCAGAACTCGAGAAAATGGCACAACATCTATTCTCACTGTTCTCCGTCTGCCTGCAAAAGGCTCAAGGCTGCAGATCTTCTCAGCACTGTCAACTACAAGCTGCCTCTGATGGGAAAATTAAATGGAAAACTGTTTCACTGATTGTTAGTAAAAAACCAAAACATCTGTGGTGATCTCAGTAACTCCAAGGAAAGGGGCAGCGCAGGGTAAGATTGATGGCTATGTCTCCATTTCTCATGCCTACATAGTCATACATGGGTTCTCAGAGAGGGAGATGACTAGTTATCTTGAGGAGTTCAAAATCCAACAGTTGTCTGCACTTTACATCAAATGTAGCCTGAAACCAGCAATAATAATGAGCATTGAGCCTATCCCCATAGCAAGCACAGGGAAACTCTATCTCTGAAGAAGTCAACTTATTAGCAGGACTGCTCCAGAACTAGGAACCAAACGTAAGCGAATTAGCCCAAATGCATAGAAAAAGCCAAAATGAATCCAAAGACCAAAATGCGGATGGTGAAATATAAGGGGTGGGTCCTAGTGGAGCCCAGGGGCCAAAATCCTGGTATTTATGAATATACTTAACAAAACTAGATCCAAACTCACTGGGTCACCAAAATGGAAAACTTTTTGAGCACTGACATGGTGCTCAAAGGAAATGCTCACTGGGGCATTAGAGATTTCAGATTTTCAGATTAGGGATGCTCGACCAGTAATATCCAACTAGCTCATGCACAAATTGGAAACTCTAAAACTTGCTTCGATTTCCCAGTTTATAAAATGATAGGGTTAGAACCACCAAAGACTCTATAGGCTCAACTGTCTATAAATGCCAATTTTTACCTATGGTGTCATAAACACTCTATCAGGAAATGTACCTGATAGGTCGCACCTAACAAAAGATCAGTCCTGTTTCAGGAGAGTTCTCTCTTACCTTTTGTAAAGCAGTGACATACCTGAAGCCGTGTAGCGAACCTGTCGCACTGCTGTATTCAGTTTAATGTCTAGGCCTTCTGCTAAAGCCACAGGCACACACGAGTAGCCATTCCTTACTGTCAGGTGGCTGCCAGTGAACTCAAAGTCATCATCCTAAAGAGGAGAGAAAAGAACATATTTCCAACCTTTTATTAATCTGTGTCATTTGCACCTAGTTCTGTACAACAACAATGAAAACACAAGCTTGTGGAAACAGTCAATATTTTAAGGCAAACTAAAGAACAAATCACTCAGTATTTAGCTACAGTTACCAAAGGAAACTGAAGGAAAAAGAGAAAACACCAAAAAATGTCCCTAAATCTTCGGGTAGTGAGATTAGGGAAGTTTCTTTTGTCCCTGGATTTTTTTTTTTTTTTGATACAGAGTCTTGCTTTGTCATCCAGGCTGGAGTGCAGTGGCGTGCTCTCGGCTCATTGCAACCTCGGACTCCTGGGTTCAAGTGATTCTCTTGCCTCAGCCTCCCAAGTAACTGCTGGGATTACAGGCATGTACCACCACACCCCGCTAGTTTTTGTATTTTTAGTAGAGACGGGGTTTCACCACGTTGGCTAGGCTGGTCTCAAACTCCTGACCCACCCACCTCAGCCTCCTAAAGTGCTGGTATTACAGGCATGAGCCACCACGCTCGGCCTTCCCTGGATAGTTTTTATCATTCCAGTCCAATACCACTAAGTCCGGATCTTCTATGGTGGTTAGGGTAGGGAGGTGGTAGGGGGAATGATGATTCAGGAAATTCAGATGATTAAACATCATTCAAGTTTATTTATCTGGCTTTTGAATACATTACAGACTTGAAGGATATCAGGGTCACAGTCCTGATTACATTTTCTTTTACCTGAGAGCAAAATCAGTTTTTATTCTTTAAATTTACAGGTTTGAAGTTGAGGAAGATTTCCAAAACTAAGTCAGTCAAACTAGATGAAGGTAATCTAGGACCATAAAGAGTGGCCCAAGACAGTCCATACAGTAAAAAAAAAGTCAGGAATTGACCAGGAATTTAAAGATCCCCAAAATGATCTTACTTCTTTGAATTTACTGAAAATTTTTCTATGTAACATTTTTTTTGTAAGCTGGTAAGGATTTCTAATTTCATGAAATTCTTGGGGAAATTAGATCAAAATACTGGGCTGGCAGCAACACTCTACTTCAGCTGAAATCACTCATTTAAAATTTAATACTATTACAAATAGACACATATTGAAACATCAAATGATAAATCAATGACTAGAAGGGCCTAAGTTAGTATTTACATGAAAAACCACAAAGGAACTGGTAGTTCTGCAAGACTTTATCTCTAACAAGTCCAACTCTTCAAATACTAAAACTATCAGATTATAATCTAAAGATTAAGAAGTCAAAATAATTTTTTTTTTGAGATGGAGTTTTGCTCTTGTTGCCCAGGCTGCAGTGCAGTGGCGTGATCTCGGCTCACTGCAACCTCCGCCTCCTGGGTTCAAGCGATTCTCTTGCCTCAGTCTCCCAAGCAGCTGAGACTACAGGCATGCGCCACCACGCCAGGCTAATTTTGTATTTTTAGTAGAGATGGGGTTTCACCATGTTGGCCAGGCTGGTCTCGAACTCCTGACCTGAGGTGATCCGCCTGCCTTGGCCTCCCAAAGTGCTGGGATTACAGGCATGAGCCACCATGCCCAGCCTGTCAAAATAATTTTTATTAGGAAAATGTATAATGTAAACTAAAATATATAAATAAAAATTTAATAATTTACTTCTATACATTTTTTTTTTTTTTGAGATGGAGTCTTGCTCTGTTGCCCAGGCTGGAGTGCAATGGCGCGATCTCCGCTCACTGCAGCCTCTGCCTCCTGGGTTCAGGCAATTCTCGTGCCTCAGCCTCCCAAGTAGCTGGGATTACAGGTGCCCGCCACCATGCCCGGCTAATTTTTGTATTTTTAGTAGAGACAGGGCCAGGCTGGTCTTGAACTCCTGACTCAATTGATCCTCCTGCTCTGGCCTCCCAAAGTGCTGGGTTTAAAAAGGCGTGAGCCACCGTACCCAGCCTATACAGTCTTAATTCTGGCCAAAGTCTCAGATTTAGAGATTGGTCCAAGAAGCCTTGTGATTTCTCACTTGAAGAGTAAATCACACTGAAATTTAAGAAAAGATGGTATAGCCCTGCTCACTGAGAACTATAAAACATCACTGACATAAACGAAAGAAAACTATTTTTGGAGAAGTATACTGTATTTAAGGATAAGAATATTCAATATTGTTAAGATGGCAATTCACCCTAAATTGACCTAGAAATTTAATGCACTCCTAATCAAAATCCCAGAAGGTGATTTTTGTAGAAATTGACAAGTTGATTCTAAAACTGTTATGGAAATACGTACCTTAAAATAGCCAAAACAATTTCAAAAATGAACAAAGTTGGAGAACTTACAAGACAGTATGATAGTGGCATATGGATAGACAGATAAATTAACAGAAAAGACAACCCTAAATACTCATGCTTACATGCCAATTAATTTTCAACAAAGGTGCCAAGACAAATGAAGAAAAGGATAGTGCTGGAATAATAATTACATAACTATATGGAAAAACATGAACCCTTCACTTACCTTTCCTTAAACATAAAAATTAACACAAAATGGAGTATAGACCTAAACATAAGAGCTAAACCCATACAATTTCTGCAGGAGAACACAGGATAACATCTTTGTGACCACAGGTAAGACAAAGATTCTTTTCAAGATAGAAAAAGAACATGGTTTAAAAGAAAAATTTTATAAATAGGAATGGGAGTCCAAGGCAGGAAGATCACTTGAGCCCAGGAGGTAAAGGCTGCAAGGGAGCCATGATCACACCACTCCAGCCTGGGCAACAAAGCAAGACCTTGTCTCAAAAGAAAAAAATTAAAGTAAAAACTTTTACTCTTTGAGACAGATTTAGAAAATTAAAGACAAGCCACAGATGACAAGGAAATAAATATTTGTAAAACATAAATCTGACAAAGGACTTCTGCCTAGAATTTAAAGAACATAATAAACTTCAAACTCATCAACAAGCAGACAATCAGACTTTTTTAATAGGCAAAAGATCTGAGCAGACATTTACTCAAAGATGACATATGAATGGCTCATAAGCTCAGGAAGAGTTGCTCTACATCACTAGTCATCAGGGAAATGCAAATACTACTATACCTATTAGAATGGCTGACATTTTAAAAACTGGCATTACCAAGATTGGTGAGGATTTGGAGAAAATGGAATTTTCATACATTGCTGATGGGAAGGCAATTTGGAAAATAGTTTGGAAGTTGATTTATAAAGTTAAAAATCCACTTTCCATAGTACCCAGCAATTCCATTCATAAATATTTACTCAAGAGAAAGACATGAACATTCTTAAGCAGCTTCGTTCATTAGCAGTCAAAAAAGGGAAACAACCCAAATGCCCATTAAGGCACCAGTGGTATATCCACACAATGGAATTCTATTAAATAATTAAAAGGAACAAACTACTGATACAGGCAAAAAAGATGAATCTCAAAAACTTCATGCACATCTCAAAAACTATACTAAGTGAAATATATCACACACAAAAAGCTATGTACTGTATGATTCACTTTATATGAAACTGTAGAATAAACAAAATTACAGTGATAACGCAAATCAGTGGTTGTCCAGGGCCAGGAGCCAGAGCATGGGGGATTAACTACAAAGAGGCAGGAGAAAACATTTCAGGATGATGGGCATGTTCTATATTCTGATTGTGTGGGGGCTTATGACTGAAGTCTGGCAAATCAATAAACTGTTCACTTAAAATAGGTGAATTTCACTGTATGTAAATGATGTCTCTTACTAAAGCTGTTTAAAAACACACATACAAAATTAACTATTTCTCTTACAATCCCTCTCAAAGGCATGTGCAATAAAATAAACAATAAGGGAAACTTACCTGATCCCAGTGCTTAAGGGAGAGAGTTGAGAGAGGTGTGGCATTAGCAAATTCAAGATTTGCAAAATGCCAATCAAGTATTTGTCTGTCTCTTGATGAGAGATATACATCACTGCAAAAGAACAAAGGACTACAGGATTATTAAAAGATATCACTAGTTCTCTCAGTGTGATGTAGGTGATCTCAGTAACTGTGTCAGAACCTAAGCCAGGGCTGTGCCTTATATGAAGAAATTACAAATCAAAAAGTAGCATCTTATCTGTCTTATTAACCTCTTTATCTCTGATGTCTAGAGCAGTGCCAAGCTCACTACGTAAAGCAAATTACATGTAGGCCTCATTTGTCTGAAGGAAAAAAAAAAAAGAATGCTTCATATGAAATCACCTTATATCATAAAAGCTTACTAGTTGTAAAAAATGTCTTATATTTTACACACAGCATAGACTCTATAGAAAGGATGGGCAGGCTGGATGCTGTGGCTCATGCCTGTAATCCCAGCACTTTGGGAGGTCGAGGCAGGTGGATCACCTGAGGTCAGGAGTTCGAGATCAGCCTGGCCAACAGGTGAAACCCCATCTAAAAATACAAAAATTAGCTGGGCATGGTGGTGGGCACCTGTAATCCCAGCTACTCAGGAGGCTGAGGCAAGAGAATTGCTTGAACCCAGGAGGTGGATGTTGCAGTGAGCTGAGATCACATCATTGCACTCCAGCCTGGGCAACAAGAGCGAGATCCCATCTCAAAAAAAGAAAGGGTGGGTAGCATTCTTGAATACAGAACAGAACAGATTTATGTGGAGGCTGGATGCAAGTGAAAACATTTCACCAGCATTCACTGTCAAAAACCCAGTGGAAATAAAGTATAATACCCCGCTAGTTTCCAAAATTATGGAAGTGTAAAGCAACAGCAACTTCTACCCTCTCAAGAAAGATAATTTCCATCTATTACATCTTTATCCAAATATCAGATCTTACGGAGAAAGGCTCTCTCTTTAGAAACAATCTGTTTAGGTATCTAGGACACATTAAAATACAGGAGCAGGGGATTTAGAAACCTCAAAAGTAGTCACACATTCATTTATTTAACAATTTAAACCACTCACTGAACATAAATAAAAGCTCATTATGATTTAGAATTTTCCTTCCAAATCAAGCTGAAAGAACAGTAAAAGCTCTCCCTCTGAACTTTTGTGTTTGTTTTCCTTACCTTGGGGGATTCGCTTCCAACTCCTGAAGTTTTTCTTCTAGCTTTCCTTGTGTTTCAGCTAATTCATCATATTCCTGATAAAAATTAAGTGAACCTGAGTTACCCTGAAGGGTCAGATATCCACCTAGTTTCTTTGTACCACAAAGTATAAGGTCTGGATCATATTTCCTCTTCAGATCATGTACAGGAAGTGTGGCTCAATTTTAGGCTGGGGTTAGATAGAGCTGAGAGATTTTTGTTTTTGGAGACAAGTTACAGTTGGGGGCCTGGAATATTAGGGGGAGGCAAGGAGCACACAGGAGAAAATAATGGAAGAAACATACTAGTGTGCTGCAAAGTGGGGATGAAAAATCATAGCAAGCACCATTTCATAAGCATGCCATGTCCCTGGCACTGGGTAAGCACTTTATACATAATTTTATTTAAGCTTCACAATTACCCTACAAGGTAGGTGTTAAGACCATGTTACAGATGAGGCAATTAAGGAGTCCAAGGTCACATGGCTCGAGATTCCAAGTTAGGGATTTGAATCAGACAGTTTGACCCCAAATGACTCTGAAGTCCATGTTTAATACTCTTACTCTAAACTGTTAGGGCTAAATTGAGATTTAAGATAAAATGATGAGATTATTAAGACAGGATAAGAATTCTGCAGGACAAGCAGGTCTTAAACCGAACTAACCCATTAAATCCCCATGGCTCCTTATGTACCAAATCGTCTTCATTGCACTGAAGGCACTTGTGATTGGCTAGTGGCTCTCTTTTCCAAAATTCCCCAGATCTGTGCTATTTCTTAGGATTCCAAGTAAAACCAGTTAGGCATGTATGTATACCACACCTTGCATAGGGCGGTCAGATCCCTGTGTTTGCTTTTCACTAAGAACTCGGCAGTAATATCTCTGGGTGGCTTTACTTCAGATGCTTCTTTGTATTGCTGATGGAGTTCTTTAATTTTCTCTTTCAAATTTACCATCTAAGAAGGAAAAATACAAATTTACCATTCCAGATAGCAATGTAGTTTATGTCTACATCACATGTACCCTTTTTTGGCTCCTCAAAACTGCTATCCCAACAAAACAGGGCTACAATGCAAGGTCCTGAGAATTCTTAAGTACTTGTTCTAACCTACATCATTCCATTTGGGAAATAGGAAAGAAATCTTATAGGGCTTGACATAAAGGTACCACAACTCTATCTGATAAGTAAGATCAGTGCTGCCTTCTAAAACGAATGAGAAGGATGAGGAGTGTCCCATTAATTTAAACAAACAAAGAAAAAACCCAGTATTGAAATAAATTTAATCTCCACAAAAAGGAAACTGTTGCTAATGTAACTTAAACTTATTTTCGGAAACAAATTGTCATAATGTGTGTGTTTGTTTTTTTTTTTTGAGACAGAGTCTCACTCTGTCGCCCAGGCTGGAGTGCAGTGGCACCATCTCGGCTCACTGCAAGCTCTGCCTCCTGGGTTCACGCCATTCTCCTGCCTCAGCTTCCTGAGTAGCTGGGACTACAGGCACCCGCCACCATGCCCAACTAATTTTTTGTATTTTTAGTAGAGATGGGGTTTCACCATGTTAGCCAGAATGGTCTCGATCTCTTGACCTCGTGATCTGCCCTCCTCGGCCTCCCAAAGTGCTGGGATTACAGGCGTGAGCCACCATGCCTGGTCCTATAATGTGTTTTTTAAATATGTAAAAGGTCAAAGAATTTTTTTTTTTTTTCTAAGAGACACAGTCTTGTTCTGTCACCCAGGCTAGAGTGCAATGGCACAATCTCAGCTCACTGCAACCTCTGCCTCCCAGGTTCAAATGATTCTCATGCCTCAGCCTCCTGAGTAACTGGGATTACAGGTGTGTGCTACCATGCCCAGCAAATTTTTTGTATTTTAGTAGAGAAGGGGTTTCACCATTTGGCCAGGCTGATCTCGAGCTCTTGACCTCAAATGATCCACCTGCCTCAGCCTCTCAAAGTGTTGGGATTATAGGCATAAGCCACTGTGCCTGGCCAAAGAATCTTAAGGAACCATTGTTAATGTTAGCTTTTTTCAGGTTTCTGATGATACCACACAGGACAAGAGTGACAAAGCCTGAGACTGGGCCACCCTACAGGTATCCTGGCCACTTGGCAGTTCTTAAATCACTCTTCTCATTTCATCCTTACCACAATCCATGAAGACTGTGAGCTGGAGATCTCTTCATTAGACAGGATGAAGAATGAGGCACAGTGAGAGTGAGGCAAGAGTCCAGTCACAGGCACACCCAGAGTATGCACTATAAAGGCCCCCTCCAGGGGCTATTTTCTCCCTAAGCTGATGCGACCTTTGCAGCTGGCAGGGTGAGGAGAAGCAAATGGTTGGACTTTAATGCGCTGGAGCCTGGGGCTCTGGAAGGCGGTGGCAGAGAAGAGCCCTAACGGTTCAGCCCTGGGGAACAGAGGTGGGGGTGGCAGCAACTCAAGAGAAATAATTATGCCAATGAACTGGCTGCTGATTTGTTGGTCTTCACCAATGAAAACTTGGCTCCAGTACAGCTAATTCTCCTGCTAGTCCTAGAATTCAGCTGAGGGCACTGGGATAGCTTTAGAATAGCTAAACCACGCTTGTCCAACTCGTGGCCCAGGACAGTTTTGAATGCGGCCCAACACAAATTCATAAATTTTCTCAAAACACTGAATTTTCTTTTCCATTTTTTTTAAGCTCATTAGCTATCATTAGTGTTAGTGTATTTTATGTGTTGCCCAAGACAATTCTTCTTCTTCCAATGTGACTGAGGGAGGCCAAAAGACTGGACACCCCTGAGCCAAAGGGAACCAGACAAAGAGGAAAGATCTATTTCCTCTGGCAACCATTTATCAATAATGCCACACTGAAAGACTGACAGATAAAACAGTCTCTTTCGTTAGTCATTATTTTCTTAAGAATGAGTCCCAGCTGTGCAGACTTTCTCTTCCATGGAGGAAAAAATCTCGGAAATGCTTTTAAAATTTCTAAAGACTTTTTCTCCTATTAAAGCTTCTTCAGCTATGAAGAAAATACAGAATTTCACCTTATTAAGAAGTTCTTTCAATTCTTCCTGAGTTTTCACTATCTTCTTCCAATGTTCAATCTGCTCATCTTTGACATGCTTCTCTTGTAACCTAAGAGAGACAATATGTATAATCTGCTCTCAAAGCCAACTTTGCAGAATAAGACAGGTGCCCATCAAAAACATTTAAGGGCATCAAGGCCCACTGAAACTTCTGATACTTAGGAACAAGAAAGTTGGCTAGTTGGAAATTATTTCCTAGGCTATGTTAAATATAGTATAATACCATAAAAGCACTGAATTTTAGAAGTGAAAGGGGCCTTAAGGGATCATATAATTATTTTAAATAATTTTTAACTTTGGATTCAATGGTTTCATACAAAATTAAGTAAAAACTACCTCAAACAAGACTTGCAGAAAAACTTAAAACATAAATAGCAAATCTTTACACATGGAACTCACTATACAATAAGCAGTATCAAAGTACTTACTGAATGACAACTTCCAATGCCTGGCCAAGGGACACAGGCTTATTATTGAGGACATTGAAGTCTAGTTGATGACTAAGGTAAGATGTAGCTTCTAGCAACCGGTTAAACTCTTGCTCTACCATTTCATCTTTCTCTTTAGGAACCTGAAAATCCGAAGTATAGCAGAGTTGGTCCTTATAAAACTAAACATAACCATCCATGAAAACACAAATGCTCTATAGTTTATAAAGGTCAAAATATGTATCTCAAAGGGGAAACCTTTGAGCACAATGATTCAAATTTTCTTTTCTATGAAGTGGTCAGATCCATTTAAATGAGATATGAAATGTTTGGGCCCTGACAATTTCCTCTTCTTCTCCCACTACTGCCGTCAGAGCTGGGACTCCACCTCTATTAACAGCCACAAGATTTACACTGGTGCTAACTGAAGTCACATGGAGCACAAGTGGCACTGAGCTGACATGCATTAAGTTGAGCTGGCTGACATGCAAACAACACACTAGAAAAGTCCCAGAGAACAAAAACCATGTCAACAAACCTGAGGACCTTCCAAGAATAAGGGCAGGATGGGAAAATAAGAAGCCCAAGGTATCTGGCTTCCCCTCAAAGATGAATCTCAGGTGGGAAGAGGGAAAAGAGAAATGAAATTCATGGCTACTAATAAGAACACACTAGCACTTTTATTCTTTTGCACAGTAATAATATTTTATGGCACCAATAAGTTCAGAATTGAATGTACAAAGCTCTTAAGAGAGTCTATGAGTAAATGAAGGACCAGAAGGTCTGGCTCCTCATTGATGTGGATGAAGCAAACAGATTGCAAAGCAGGTCATCAAGCTGGAAGACCATGATCCTAAGCCATGCTGTGTCCCTGCCTATTGATAACATCAGTTAGTTTACAAACACCCCTCTGCTACTGCTTAATTCAGCCCCAAAGTAAACTGTATCTGCAATCCTATTGTTGAATTGATGGCAGAAGTGAGAGAAAGAAAAAATATGTTTAAGGCAAGCATTACTTGTTATAAGCTGGGCTGATATCAGCAGGGAAATGTGATTCAAAATACAGAATTTCATTATACAGTCAACCTAAAACTGGTAACACAAAAATAAAACATTGAAGCAAATTCTAGTAAACACTAAGACTCAGGAGGAGCGACCTTTTACAATCAGAGGTAACTGACTGTTGACAAGACCATCCCAGTAAGATTCTACCTCTCATTTGAAACTCCACAGTTTTTCCACTTCCCAACCCAACAGACGATTTTGAACCCTGGCCTCTGCTCCTTCACTGATAACACAAGTAACACTACGAGATGAGCCAGTGTGTGGCAGAAAGAATCTGGCAAGAAGGGCAATCTGCCCCCAAAAAGAAAGAGGACTGCAACTCTCCTTTGAACTGTAAATATGACAGATACCATAACTGATTTAAAAATCATATTCAAACAGTAAGTTCCCAAAGACTATACATGGGAGGGATCAGGGTATCTTTATAATTAAAGAATTACCCTTAGCCTAAAGAAAATCTAAATCTCTAAAAATATTCTGGTTTGTGTTAAATGAGGCAGAGAATCAGGCTTCAGATACTTGGTGCCATTTATATCAGGAAGGTACCTAAGACTGGTAGATCAAAAACCTGTGATCTACTACTCATTCAACTCAATGGCCAAAAAAAGAGCTTGTTCTTATTACACAGCTATGAGAGCTGATGGAAGAGACCCTTTGGTCAGGAATTTCATTTACTTTCTCAGCTACTTTTCCTCACTGATGTGATATGTGATGGTCATATGCAGAGCAACTCAAACAATGCTGAAATTTTGCTCAGAAACATGCTACTTCTAGTGCAAATCCTGCAATGATGCTACAAAAGATGGTTCTGGAAATCTAAATTTGGTTTTTCTTTCAAAAAGGAGAAACAATTACATTTCAATGTGAAATCTAGGTAGTTATGAGACCTTAACTGATCACAGATGCAATGCGCCTGACTGCTTTTCCTGGAGTATAAAAGTGATATTTCTATGTGTTGCTTCTAAAATGCCTAGCAAGAGGATGCTATAGCAGCCAAGAGGGACTACTAGATCACATATGCCTCTACAATAGGGCAGAATGTGTCAAACACAAGTGTGCAAATGGTACAGATTAAAGCTCTTCCAGTGTCAACTGGATGGCTTGCTTCAGACAAGCTTTAATCTTTGCAACTAGGATGACAATCACAAAGGGAAGTTCATACTGAAAAAGTACACAGCACTCAGGCTCAGTAACTGGGGTCCAGGGTGTGTGGTAGAGAAATATTTAAAGGGACACTGTCAAGGTTAGAGGGACCAAATTTGACCTGTTTCTTCCCTCTGTTTGCTGAGCAGCCCACTGGATTCATTACACTTTCCCCCTTAGTCCACCCACACCACCCACAAAAAACCTAATGTTTTACACGTGCTTTCAATGACAAAAACTCAAATGGCACCAGCCCAACATATAGGCGCAACTCTACAACAACAAACCAGTGTGAATGTATGATGGAGAGGATCTTTGAAAGGAAAAGATTTAGGTTTCAAGCTTTTAATGGGTTATTGTAAACAGTGAGGAAAATGATTTGAAAAATTATGAAAAAAATACCTTGACAGTGTCCTTTTAACCAGTGCAGCAGAGAGAGAAATAAACTGTAAATAACAGCCCAACAGCCACATCAAGTTTAGTTTTGTATGACAGCAATAAAATCAAGGCTTTAAACACATAGCATGACAGAAGCATTCTGTTAGCTCAGAAGCTGCAACCACCAGAGAAATAAGGAACAGATTGTACAGAGACCAAATGGGAAAGTCAAGGCACAGAAATGGCCAAAAGAAAGGCAGTTAACAAAAGACAGGGGAGTGAGGGGGAAGTGTCAGAAAGCAGTGAGGAATAAAGCAAAACTCAAAAGAGGAAAGGAAAAACACAGAACAGTAACAACAACAACAACAACAACAACAAAATCAAACAAACAAAAACCAAACCAAAAGATTGCTGCCACATTTGACTGACACCAGATGACAGGACTGCATCTCCGGTACACCATTCTAACCCGAGGCTCAGTTGTATGAGATTATGTGAGATTGTCAGCCACCAGGCCCCATCCATTTCCACCTAGTTAAGCAATTACAGGAATGTTGCAAGTGCAGCCAGGGATAGCTTTGAAACCTGGCTTTTTTTCCCCACTAACATTAAGATTTCACTTTGAAATTAAAGGAATATTTGGAAAATAATACATAAAATACTTGTCCCTTAGGAAATCAATACTGACTGGGAGAAAACCAAAATGTGCTTTTTAATACCTTTAAAACAGGATCATTTCTAAAAACAAGCTAGTTAGAAATATTCTATTTGACATATCCAGACAATAAAACTAACAAATGACTATCCCAACAACCCCAAACTACCCATACTTTAAGTCATTTATTTCCCCTTGATGAGAATCCTTGGATTCTATTAGTTCTACAAATTATTATGGAACAATAACAACAAAATGGAATTGAAATATTGGCAATCGCTAAACATAGGTCACAATAATTTAAATCTTACCTGACTATTCTAATCTAGATCCTTAACTTGTATCCTGAGAAAGAAACTCAACGAATGATTACAATGGGTTTTAAGTACCACATTAGAAGGCAGGTGGATTTCTACCCTGCAACACAGTGAGAACTTGTAACAGCAAACTAAGAAACATTTTTGGGGAAAGGACCAATAATGTTAAGAGCGTTCTAAGAAGCAAACAAAATGGACATCACTTTAAACAGATTTTGATTGACTTTTTGAAGCCATTTATTTCTCTATGAAAGGCTCCAGGTAAATAGTTCCTTCAAGACTAACAGGATTTGAAGAGTCTCACTATTCCAAATAGGTTCAATCCTGATTGTCTTGGTCCTGTAGATTATATGGACTGTCTCTAAATGTGTCCAGGGGAAGGGAAGCCTGTGTGTCTCGCCCATGCAGAATGTGGGAAAGCCAAACAACTTTCTGGACAAGGTCCCCAATCCTGCAAGAAGTAATCTCGAAGGAGGACAGCTCTCTTTAGTTCTTTCTACCTCTGGTATCATTCTAACAAGCTCTTTAGGTCTTCAGAAACATTGTACACCTATCTTACTTCCAGTCTTCACAAACTCTACAGCAGCAGAGCAGAATGGAGTTAAATGCAGCAATGTACGCTAGGTAATCAAAGTTCTGAGATTTAGCCAGAGAAATCCCCAGAAAGAATCAGAAAAAGGCAGTAATGGCCAAATCTGGCCAGTGGAGGCCACAGTCAATCTCCACCTCCCCATCCCATGCCATCGAGCACTTCTAGAATTATGGTAAAGCAGAAGATTAAGATTAGTTCATTTGGTAAAACCTAGAAGAAGAAATTTACTTCTGAAGAGTCTCTAATTCAGATTCTCCTCAACAGCCAAGGGAAATGAGATATAGCTATTATCCCCATAGGGCGAATATATCCTTAATCCAAATAAAATTCAATGTGATTCTAGGCTGGGAGCAGTGGCTCACATCTATAAATCCCAGCACTGTGGGAGGCTGAAGCAGGAGGATCACTTGAGCCCAGGAGTTTGAGACCAGCCTGGGCAATATAGTGAGACTCCATTTCTACAAAAAATTATTTTAAATTAGCCAGGTGTAGGGGTGTGTGCCTGTGGTCCCAGCTACTCACGAGGCTGAGGGGGAGAATCACTTTAGCCCAGGAGGGCAAGGCAACAGTGAGCCATGTTTGTGCCACTGCACTTCAGCCTGGGCAACACTGCAAGATCTGTCTCCAAAAACAAAAATAATCAATGTGATTCTATAGAGACTGTTGTCTTCCCCCCACTCCCACCCCATAAGGAATCTTTTTGACTTCCTTAAAGCAGTGATTAGAGTGTATGGAAAAGGCACACACAACATGTCTAAGTAGTTCTCTCTAGCAGTTTTTAGCATATAGTAGAGGTGCCCAGTAAATTCTTGTTAAATGAATAAATTAATATAGTTTGGAAAAGCAAAGTCAGTATTATAACTATAATTAAGGGGGCAAAAACTATTTGCAACTTCAGGACCATTAAAGGAAGGCATGAGATTTTTACATTTATAAATAAGCATGGATTGGCAGTAATGATTTCAAAGGGCAGAGAAAGACTGTCATAAAGATATTGAAGATGTTTGTTCAAAGGAAGAAAACCAAGAAGGCCAACAGACCTGTGTCAAAAGCATACTAACCTAAGCACCACTGTATAAGAACACAAATGAAAACCGGCAAAGTTACGATAGATACCTAATACACCTATAGTTAACGGTGTTTGTAAGAGACCTGACACCCATTACTTTTCACATGCTGTCTGTCATTCTTTCTCTTAACAGCTGAACCATTCTCAAGAAGCAATCAAGGCTCAGTTTCTCAAAGCAGTTACTGGAACCTGTGGATCTCAGCTGGTACACACACACACACACACACACACCCACACACACCCACCCCACACCACACCCCCCCCCCAATGCTACAGCACTGTGGGAATTTGATTAAGATACCCTTTCATTACTCCAAAAAAAGAAAAAAAAAAAGTAAAGCCCATGAGTTACTGCCTGATGTACAGGAGATGCAGAAAATATTCAGAGCCATTTCCTCTGTCTCCCCCACCAATTGTGCTTTCAGTCCCCTCAGCAGAGACCAGCAAAATGTTCCCTGAAATATGAATTACCCTATTTCCCAACCTTCCGCATGTCCAATTAAAGCTATTACTGATGACAGCATAGGTCAGAGTATAACTCCATCACCAATCAACTGAAGGCAGCTGCTATACTAGCTCTGACTGTTTTATAGGCTTAAGGTAGTGGAGATCCCTTCTATTTAGAGGGATATGCTTAGTATCCCTATATTATATCTTTATATTATATCTCTCATATTAATATCTTTACTAAGGAAGACTTTGTTGTGGTCATCCAAAGCCATAAAATAAACGTCCCTTGTCAAAAACAAGCACAGAAACTCAATATACTAGCTACAAATGTAGGAGAGAGAACAGAGAGGTAAACTTTTTGAGGGATTCTTGTGATTGTGATTAAAACAATGACATAAAATAAAAATCACTTGCTACATGATTTCTTTTCCTACAGCAGCAAAATGTCTGGGTATGGAGATATGTCCTTAAGACACTATTACTAGTGATATAACTCTGAGTAACTTTCTGGCCTTCTACAGGATGACATCATTAATTTCTACATACTAACAACAGAACCAACAAGTTACGTTTTTTGACTGAAGCTGTCCACAAAGCATGGAGAAACAGAACCCCATTTCATCCAAGTTTACTAAAGAAAAATCAATGACTGAATGAATTTTTACTTTAGGTAGGCCTTGCTGGCTCCTAGAGTAACTACAACAAAGCTCTCAGAGAAGGAGACTCAGCTGATGTCGTCACACAGGCAGTTAGAAAGAGGTGCATACACTAACCTCACCCCATCTTCCCTGAAATGTCAGCCAGGTGTAGTCAAACAAGTATGGGAATCTGAACAAGAACACCAGGCAATGGATTCTGGCTCTTCAACTTACTGATTATGATAACCTTAGGCAAACACGTGTGTGAGCTTTAGTTTCTTCTCCTGCAATAAGAGAATAAAGCTACTGACCTATCTCTTTAGATTTCTAAAGCCATCAAATGTATTTGTAATTATAAGCATAAATTAGTGGGGCTCTTTGTACTTGTCCTTTAAGCTTGTTCAAAAGCTAGTTTAGGCCAGGCACAGTGGCTCATGCTGGTAATCCTAGCACTTTGGGAGGCTAAGGTGGGTGGATTACCTGAGGTTGGGAGTTCAAGACCAGCCTGGCCAACATGGAAAAACCCTGTCTGTACTAAAAATACAAAAAAATTAGTGGGGCGTGGTGGCGCATGCCTGTAATCCCAGCTACTCAGGAGGCTGAGGCACGAGAATTACTTGAGCCCGGGAGGCAGAGGTTGCAGTGAGTCAAGATTGTGCCACTGCACTCCAGCCTGGTGACAGAGCAAGACTCTGTCTCAAAAAAAAAAAAAAAGGCTAGTTTATTAGTCAACAGTTTTCCATTCTTGCTCTGAGACAGACTACTGGAGACAGCAGTACAGAAATATTAGCATGCCTTATGTTTGATTAACTAAGGCAAGCATAACTCAAAGCTGCAAAGAATCCCTTCCCAAATTTGAGAATGGTTTAAAATCTTCCTTATCACTTGGCTACTGCACCAAATACAAATGTATCAACTTAGAAAAATCCTATACAGATCAGAGTTGAATGACAACTACCAATTTCGTTGGGAAAAATATCCCTGCATTCAAAATGCTAAAAACCACACATGAGGTTAACAACTGTTTATAGTGCTACTCAAAGGGCTGGTCCTGGTAAGATGTGGATAAATCAACGCACCACTTTCTTCACTGAGAGTTTTGCTACCAGGAAAAAAAAAAGTCACCATCTGAATTAACAGTGTGGTTAGTGGTGTAATTTCTTTATCTCATTCCACACTGGTAATTGACAGTTCACAGACTGGCAGCCAGTGCAGGCCCCACCTGAGGACAACAGTGGTACAGAAACAAATGTTTTAAAAAATGCGCTAAAGCTCATCTAATACCAAGAAAGCAGTCCATTTCTCTGGATATCTCTACTAGAAAAAAGTTCTCTCTTTACGTTAGAAAGACTTAATCAACCTGCTCTACATTCAGAAAAGTCTAAAGAAAAAGATGGCGTCTCAATGATCAGTGATTAATCTTTACTGTGGACTCTTATCACTTCTTGAGGACGGTAATAGCCACTCTGGAGACTTGCTTCCCTCCCCTCACCTCAATTCTGTACTTATTGCCTACTATTAATATTATACTTTTAACACTGACTTAATCGTGTCATTTCCCCTGTTCTCAAACCTCTCAAGTTCCAACCTACAATCAAGCCTAGCAAGTAACATCCACCACCACATGGCCCCACCCTAAACTTTCTATCTTCCTACCCTCGCTGGTATAATCCTACCCTCCTTTACAGACTTCTCTACTTAAGACTTAAACCTCCTCTGCCAGCAATGCTTTTCCCTTCCATAAACACATGTTGAAATCCTGATTTGCCATTTACAAATGCTCTCCTTCCCTCCAGATCTCTTAGTGTCCTTTCCCTTACACCTTCATACACCCTCTTGCCACCTTGGTTCTTCCATAGCAATTTGTTCTTCTATCTAATCCTTGGCTTTCACTTTATGTTACTGGTATTAATATATTTATGGATGATATGTTTGTGATCTGCTTTAAAATACTCCAGACTTCCCCTGGACTCAAAAGTGCAGGAATGGGACAGATAAAACAAGATTGGGAAAACAGAGGTTCACTATAGTACTCTTTCTACTTCAGTCCGTGTTTTTAAATTTCCATAATAAAAAGTTGGGAAAAAAGAATTATTTCTCTACAAGCACCACTATAGCAGGGACTACCTTATTCATCTCTATATCCTTTACAGATCTTGGTAGAGTAAGAGAAGTTTACTCAATTGTTGAGTTCATCTCTATTTCATCCTTTCTCTCTCATTCTGCTCAGTTTATTCTGCAAGAAGCCTCCTGTTATCCACCCCACCCAAGCCCTGGTGGGAAATTTGGACCATGATGGTGGGGATGGAAACCAAAGCATTCCCTGAGAGTCTGTCCTTCTCTGATATGAACCCCATAAAGCCTTAAGGTAGATAGGAGTAAGTGAGGATGTTCCTTGAGACATATCACACAAAATTCACGAGTTGGGATCCTACTACTTTTAGTAAGAATAGCTAAACCCACCGTATACATAGGAAATCACCATTTCCCCCAAATATAAAGACAATATGTACTTATATCCTGAGAAGTGTGGGCTCTCATTTTGATAAAGGCAGTCAGTAAAATTTTGCTAAATACAAACTTTTGAATTTCACTCACTTGTAAAAAATTAGGACTGACTTATGTAATCTAAGCTTATCTTACAGTCATTAAACTGTGCAATTCCCCATACCATTCATCACTTTCATGCTATTGTCATACTAAGTATAGGAAGCTCCTATGCCTCTGGTCAATAAATACTTTAGCCTATCTAAGCATGTGAGTAAGTACCACCATTTGGCTATTAGCCCATCAAAAATGTTAGCCTATGAACACAGAACTGAAGTCATAAAGAACACATGGAGCTAAAGCACGTGATGGAAGGCACAATACAAAAAAAACCGAAGAATCAGGTTTCAATTCCATAAGTCCCTTGGAGTAAGTGGCCACAGCCAAATAAAAAGATTAACTGTCTAGCTAGCCTTCATTAAATATCTAAAGATAAATGTTAAACAGACAGGTAAATGTGTATATATACAATAATCCTTTCCTACATAGCTCAAGAGTTAAGAAACAACCAGAATAACATCACATCATCTCTACCCTCAGTTTATATATATATACACCTCTATATGTGTATATATGTATATGCTCATCCATACCATTCTCCTAAAATTGTTTTCAAGTGAACCAAAGAAATGTTGAAAGTTCTGTTTGTCCTCGACTTACAGCTTGTCCGTTGGCTTCATAAAGTGGGCATTTTTGCTTGATCTTGGCCAGTTCCATATTTACTTGTTTGCTGACCACAGCCATAGGATTCCCTCCTAGAAAAAAACTCAAGCAATTAAATTCAATAGACCTATGAAGAGAGAACAAAAACCTTAAAGTAAAAAATATTTTTACTCAAAATATAAAAAGCTCAAAAGCTTACAGTATGTAATTATTTCTCAAAAAAAAAAGCACTCTAAGTAAAAATATGTAAGACAAACATGAAGGCAAAAAAATTACCTATAATCCCACTAATTAACATTACAGATTCTTCTAGATTTTAAGTGTATAAAATTACAGACCCACACAAAAAAGTATCATAATACGTATTGTTTTATAATATCTTTTCAACTTAGCAATATATTGTGGACATCGTTTTACGCTAATACGGAGCTACATGATTTTTAGTGGCTGTATATTTCTCATCGTATAATATTCTAATCTGTGGTTTCTAATGTTCTGCTATGAAAAACAATACCAGGGATGGGCAAGCTGGCTAATGCCCACAACCTCAACCTTCTGGAAGGCTAAGGCAGAAGAATCTCTTGAGGCCAGGAGTTCAACATCAGCCTGGGCAACAGAGCAAGACCCTGTTTCTATTAAAAACAAACAAGGCCGGGCGTTGTGGCTCATAAAGCTACTAACCTATCTCTTTAGATTTCTAAAGCCATGAAACGTATTTGTAATTACAAGCATAAATTAGTGGGGTTCTTTGTACTTGTCCTATAAGCTTGTTCAAAAGCTAGTTTAAGCCATACATGGTGGCTCATGCTGGTAATCCTAGCACTTTGGGAGGCCGAGGTGGGTGGATCACCTGAGGTCAGGAGTTTGAGACCAGTGCTGTAATTCCAGCACTTTGGGAGCACTGCTTGAGCCCAGGAATTCAGATCAGCCTGGCAATATAGTGAGACCTCATCTCTACAAAGAATTAAAAATTAACCAAGCATGGTGGCCCATGCCTGTACTCCAAGCTATTAGGGAGGCTGAGGTGAGAGGATCCTTTGAGCATGGAAGGCAAAGGTTGCAGTGAGCTGAGATCATGCCACTGCAATCCAGCCTGGGCAAAAGAGCGAGACCATGTCTCGAAACAAACAAAAACAATGCCACGTTAATCATGAGATCAGGAGATCGAGACCATCCTGGCCAACATAGTGAAACCTCGCCTCTACTAAAATACAAAAAATTAGCTGGGTATGGTGGTGTGTGCCTGTAGTCTTAGCTACTCGGGAGGCTGAGGGAGGAGACTGCAGTGAGTGGAGGTCACGCCACTGCACTCCAGCCTGGGTGACAGAGCGAGACTCTGTCTCACAAAAAAAAAAAAAAAAAAAGCTTCAAACACAACATTATCTACTTATCTTCATATGATAATTTCCTAGAACTAGAAAAAGGTACTCTAGGTCAAAAGATATGTACAATTTACATTTTCCACATACTGCTATACCTCTCACTAAACGGAAGATGACTATTCTAAACCAATACATTTTAAAATAGCATCTCTGGCTTTAAATTTCTTTTATGAGTCTTAGACCATGTACTATATAGCACAAACCAATAGCTACTTACCAAGACCTGTTACCACCATGGCTCCAAGATCAGCTACATAGTTTCCTTTGCGAAATGTGGCAACTCGTCCACCCACACGATCCTGTTTCAGAAATTAAGTAGCCAAAATCATCAATTCTGTTTTAACCACAAACCTGGCATAGTACCATACCACGGCTCTGTCTTCTATAATTTAAAAATAAAGATGTAGAGTTTACATGGAATGCAATCAACAGTACTATGGGCACAAAGAACAAATGAAGTTTAACTTGAAGACTATTTGAAGGAGAAGCAGGCAACAAATGACATATAATTAAATGTCATATAACTAAACGACACAGAATTAAATGATGTGATATAAAACAGTCTTGACAGCTGGAAGATAAATTTAGTCACAGGTACCACTCTATCCAGTTGTCTATAATACCTTTTAATGTACAGGGCCACCCATATAGAAAATATTTGTTCACAAATCCCAACACTATTTAAACACCAACTTTCTACCACTGTAATCTGACTCTTACACCCTGATCCCCAAAGTTAGCGGGGAAAAATCTGATGGATAATTTTTCTGACAAATGGTTCTCCAGTGCACCCCCATGCCCAGGGGCAGAGAGTCCATACTGAACATAGCCTGTTCACAATACCTTTTATCCCTAAATAGGCCCAGGTTTATCACTGCTGACGAGGGATTTTCAAGTATGGCTGAGTTGTAGCGATAATTTAATGATTATAAATAATGTAAGAGTACTCTGGAACTCCAAACAAACAAACAAAAATGCAAACAAAACAAAAACCTACATACTAGATTACAAACTCCTCATGGGTAGGAATCAAAATGGTCCTATTATTCCTTATTGTATTTTTTAATACAAAATGTACAAAGTGCACAAAGATGTTTTCTAAATATATAAAATTTTTAATAATAGTATATCAGGAAAATATTTAATTTCAATTTCCCCATACTCTTTTAAAAAATTAGCAGTTCAAAGCCATTAGAAGATCATTAGATTTCAAAAATTATTCATGAAAATAGCTTGAATAGTAGCATCCTAATATGATGCTCTTTTTCCTACTGTGTGCCATTATCCCTTATTGCTCCTCCTGTTTCCATTTCTCTCTCTAGGACTAACAGGAAAAAAACCAGTATCTTGGCTTCTAAAAGATGGTTCCTGCCTGAGAAGCAGCTTTTTTTCTTTATCAAAAACAGGGAATTCACTCTGTTCCACCATCAAAAATAACTGCCTCCTAACAAAGGATATGTCCATGAAGGCCCCAAATTTGAGAGCTAACTACAAGAAATAATGATCTGAAAATATCAGTCAGGAAAAGAAATACTCTAAAACCCTCTTCACAGAGTACTTTTCAAAGCATTCATTAAAAAAAAAAGCTTTTTAAAAATATAAATAACACTATCCAAAATACTCTGAGTATTATACAAATCAATTTAGCTTAGTTCAAGTTGTATAATTCTTTAATTTGCAACAGATAATTTGCTTACCATATTTCCAATAGGTCAAGCCTCTAAACTCAAAATGAAATTCTTACCCTGGCTTCCAAAAGTGTGACATCCATTCCAAAACTTTGTAACTGTCGAGCTGCTGCCAAGCCTGAGACCCCAGAGCCTATAATAATTACCTTTCCTGTCTTTTTAGCTAAAAGCAAAAAATGAAAAAAAAGATTTTGTTTTAGGTATAAAAGTTTGTACTTACAGTCTTATTTCATGAAAACCTCTAGGTTCTTAACATAATAGCTTACAAAGTAAAAAATACAGAGAGTTATTTTCAAAATATGGAAACTACCTGAAAATAAATTAACAAATATCTGAAACTTATGAATTCAAATTCAGTGTCGAACATTTATAAATCAAATCCACTATCTTAAGATTTATTTTCTCATTACCTCAGGCATGTGTTTCAGTATCTGTGATTCTTAGTTAATTTGTTAATAATCTGCTTCATTTACTTCATAATTACATTAGGACACATTCTGCATATAAGCTATTTCCCTTAACCTCTAACCTTGTAGTCTTAAGTCTCCTTTTGAAAAAATGATTAAAGCATTAAAAAATCAACTATTGACAACATAAAGAATGGGTCAATGAGAGAAAAACCTCAGAATGAACTCCTCTCATTTTTAACAAATTGTACTGTTTTATTCTTTTTTTTAAATTGGAAATCCAGTATCTTTTACTAAGTAGCTATCAAACTAGAAATTAAGGGAAATGCACATTTATTAAGAGACTATATTTTTTATTATTTATTTATTATATTTAACTTGACTTTAAGAAGATAAACTTGGAAATATTTTTAAATATAGTCTTATGAATCAAAATAAAATCCTAACGTCATCATAGATATAAAATACAGTCCTGAAACCGTAACTTAAAAATGTAAAATTTATCAGCCAGGTAGGAGGTCCTTACTTGGTAGGGGTTTTATCCTCTTATAGATGCCGAAGTTGATAAGACCATGACGCTCTAAATAACTGTGAACTCGGTGGACAAGCACAGTATCACCTACAGAATAAGTGGATTAAAAACACGGTTTTATTTTCAGCAGTTTAAACAATATTCTTCTAACTCTTCCATTTCTCCATCATGAAGTCCTTAAAACCATTAAGCTTCAAGTCATGTGACTCCTTTAAAAAAGTAATTCTAAGGCTGGGCACGGTGGCTGATGCACACAATCTTAGTGGCTTTGGGAGACTGAAGTGATAGGATCACTTGAGGCCAGGAGTTCAAGACCAGCCTGGGAAACACAGCAAGACCCTGTCTCTATAAAAAACAAAAAATTAGCCATGTATGATGGTGCATGCCCATAGTCCTAGTTACTTGGGGGGCTGAGGAAGGAGGATCACCTGAGCCCAGGAGTTCCTAGCTACAGGGAGCTATGACTGTACCTGTACGCTCTAGCCCAGGCTAGATCAGATCTCAAAAAATAAATAAATCACTGTAAAGACCCCGACTCTACAAAAAAACAAAGAATTAGCCATGCATGATGGTGCCTGGCAGATCAAGGCTGAGGTAAGCTGTGAATGCGCCACTGCACTCCAGCCTGGGCAACAGAAGGAGACACTGTCAATCACTCACTCACTCAATCAATGTGATTCTTAGAACTATTAGTCTGTGAAGCAGGCCAAAATGTGTAACACATAATTTGGAATTGTATTGATTTAATTTTTAATTTTTTTGAGAGATAGGGGTCTCACTATGTTGCCCAGGCTGAACTCAAACTCCTGGGCTCAAGAAATCCTCCCACCTTAGCCTCCTGAGTAGCTGGGACTATAGGTGCACATCACTGTGTCTGTCTAATTTAAAATTTTTAAGAATTTCATTCCACCACAAATGGAATGAGAATAAAACCAAACCTTCACAAAGTAGTTATAACACTCATTTACTTTGGCAAAAACATCACAAGACATTGTTGGTGCCAAGTCTGAAATAAGAAAACCAGATAGTGAGCCATGAAGCGCCGAAGTATTCCATGGATCAAAGCTGGACAACAGGTCTAGGAAGAGTACTTAGCAATCTCTTGAACTCATCTGTTAACACAATTTAAAGACCAGAAGATGAATAAAAACATAGAAAACAGGTTTTCTATAAGACTTATTTTTGCACAGCACAAGGTGAAATAACATGGAAATATGAATGAAAAAATTAATTATCAAGGAACCATGAGGCTCCTAGAAGAACGTATCAATTTTCACAATCCAGTACAAATTAGTCCTATTGAACACACTACTTACTGTTATAAGGTGCTTCTAATTGTTGGAGAGTAGCCTCAAATGTCAGCTGAATCTTTGGATTATCCAACCACAACTGCAGCTGCATTTAAATGACATAAATTGTATTACATACAAATAGACATATGTTATTTGACTATCTTTAAAATCATCTTTTAGCTGGCTGCAGTGGCTCACACCTATAATCCCAGCAGTTTGGGAGGCTGAGGTGGAAGGATCACTTGAGCCCAGGAGTTTGAGACCAGCTTAGGCAATATAGTGAGACCCCATCTCAACTAAAAATATAAAAACTGGCTGGGTATGGTGGCACATGCCTGTAGTCCCAGCTACTTAGGAGGCTAAGGCAGAAGGACTGCTTGAGCCCGGGACGTCGAGGCTGCAGTGAGCCATGATCGTACCACTGTACTACAGCCTGGGCAACAGAGCAAGAGCTTACCTCAAAAAATAAAAATAAAAATAAATAAAATCATCCTTTTAACTTTAAGGCCCCAAACATGGGCTTTCCTTTAATTAAAACAGTGACGTTATACTCCTGAAAAAGAAACTGATGAACACAAAGCCATATCAAATAAGTAAATTACTGAAGAAGCTGGGGTTATTTAGCCTAAAAGAGAAAACCACCTAGTAACTTGCCAAATCCATAGAGCTAGAAGGGAGCAACTAGCATTCAAACCTGGGTTATATGACTCCAGAGATACTAAGTGGATAAAATCCACAAAAATCTAATGATCAACTAGATATGTCGAGGTTGGGGAGAAAGGTGTCAAGGACAACATCTCCATTTTGGTACAACTAAGCGAGTTGGTACGCCAGACACTGAATGGAATCACTGAAAGAAGAAATAAGATAATGAGTTTAGCTCCAAGATAACAAGAAGAAATATAAAATAGATGGATATAGGGTCTGGAGCTCAGAAGAGAGAGAAGGTCTGGAGTCATCTGCTTATGGGTAATAACTGAAGTCAAATGCATTGAGAAGGGTTCCTAGAGGAAAAAATAGGGCAAGAGGAGAAGGAACTCCAAATAGTCCACATAATGGCCAATTGTTAAGGATCATCTTACAAAGCAATCAGAGAAGACACCCAGAGAGGCAGGAGAAAAACCAGATACTGAGTTATCAAATCCAAGGAAGTACTGTGTTTCAGAAGAAAGGAGCAGTCAATTATTTCAAATACTGCTGAAAAAACAGATGAGACATAAAAAAACATATGGTACAATCAATGGGCTCTAAAATGAATTCTCTTCAAAGTGAGTATATACTTGCAAAATGCATGACAAACTAAACACTACTATATTTAAGTCTTAGCTAAAAATTAATAAAGACTGCTCTATAAGACAACTTTCAACCAAGAAGAAATTAATTTGGCTATATGTAAATAAACCAAATTACTAAGGGATTATGACCAAATCCACACAGATACTCTACTCTGTGGCCACTGTAAGGTAAATGGATTTCCTCAAGTACACACTGGGCCCAAGTTCCTCACTCCCAACACAAGTCTTCCTCCTCCTCCTCCTACAAAATAACACTTAGGTCACAGTCTAGTTCAATAATCCTAAAGTTGCAGTTTTAAAGTATTATAGTTTAAGACTAGAGAACTGATAAAATTCTTGCAGTAGAGGTTGATTTACATTCTGTTTCACAGCCAGAGACCACAAATCTAACATCGGGAAACCCTTCCCCAAATCTGGATTTTTGGTGAATCAGAAAAGACAGAGATCCCTGTAAATCCATCGCTCAAATCTAAGTAAAAAGTGAAAACTCTCTTCAGATAAAACAAACAAACAAAAAAATGACAATTTTGTCTAAAAAAAAATCCACTTAGAGCAAATGTTGATATGCTATACACAGAAACTGATTCAATTATAAGACAAATCAGCGACTACACACTAAGAATTTTCTGTTCACTTTTTAAAAAACTCACCATCTTTTCTTCACTGTTCTTTTCTGTTTTACAAAAACCCAGGATAACCTATCAATTGCTTTAACAATCGAAATTAAGCAGTGGTTTTGCAATCTAATAGCCAAAACAAAGAAGCTGGTGGTGGCTAAAAAGCAGACATATCAATGACATCTCTGAGCTATATTCATATTCAAGTTAGCTGAATCACAAGGTTAATTTCTTCTGCGTTGTACCACCCTAGAGTAACATGAGCATGTTCTGAATAGCACCTTTCCCTCATCCATTTACTCTCTGGCTAAATAAGAATTCCTGATGAATAAAAGATATGAAAGAAAAATTTACAGAAGAAATACAAATGACTAATGTGAAAAGCAGTCAGTAATCCAAGAAATGAAAAAGAACTGAGATGGTTTTGGCCAATTATAGGAGCATAGATTATCACTGTTTTAATAAAAATGGGCAGGGCAATGCGGAGGGGAGGGGTTGACTGGTTCAGCCTTTCTGGGAAGCAATCTGGCAATATGTCCAAAACATTTAAAAGTGTTCATAACCCTTTGACAACGTAGTTTTCCTTCTATAATTCTATCATAAGGAAATAATAGGTAGAGTCAAGAATGCATAAGACTGTCCAGAGTTAATTATAATAAAGCAAAATCGGCAACAAATGTCCAGCAGTCAAATTATAACCCAACTGTCAGACAAAATATTATGCAGACACTGAAGTTAAATCATTCAGCCAGAGGAAGAGGCTGAACAAGATGAGCAGAACAGGGTAAAGATTTCTCTTCAGAGGGAAGGACAAAGTGATTATTATTATTATTTTTTAATGCTTAAAGGTTTTTGTTTTTTTTTGAAATGGACTCTACTCTGTTGCCCAGGCTGGATGGAGTGCAGTGGCACGATCTCGGCTCACTGCAACCTCCACCTCCTAGGTTCAAGCGATTCTCCTGCTTCAGCCTCTCAAGTAGCTGGGACTACATGTGCCTGCCACCATGCCCAGATAATTTTTGTATTTTTAGTAGAGAAAGGGTTTTGCCATGTTGGCCAGGGTGGTCTCGAACCCTTAACCTCAGGTGATCCACCTGCCTTGGCCTCCCTAAGTGCTGGGATTACAGGTGTGAGCCACCACGCCCAGCCTAAATAAATATTCTTAATGTGTATTTATGAGGTTGTGAAGTATAAAAGGGATCCAAAAGAATGTATCCAAGAAGGATCTCAATTTTATGAAAACAAAAATTATATATACATTTTTTAAATACCCAAATGAAAAATAACTATTAACAAAGGTTATCTCTGGGTAATAATAGTATTATAGATAATTTTAGAATTCTTTCTTCTCTTTTTATTTTTCCCATATTCTCTATCAAAGCCATATATACTTTTTATAATCCAGGTGAAAAAGCTGAAATGGAAACTTACTGTGCGGTTTCTAATGAAAAGAAAAACCTTCTGGGTCTGTTGTGGTCCACTGATAATATCTGGAAAACAGGCTGCTTCTTGAGAAGTCATCCGGTCATGAGGAAGTCGGCTCTGGAAAGCTGCGCCCTCCACACCTAACGAAGAAAGCAAAGGACATCTAGGAAAAGTGCAAGTGAATACAAAACGGGTAGTGATGACGCTTAAATTCCTTTGCCTCACTCACAGACTGACCTTTTTAAAAAATTTTCAATTGTCTCAAAAGCTGAAACTTCCTTAGATATTAGCCACTTATTTGAGCTTAACATTCCAAAGTTTATACTTTACTGAGTGAAACAACTACCTTATAAGACAAAGCATTTAAAATAGTTTCTTTGTCCATAAAATAACTTTATCATATTAGATGATCTAATTAAAATTAGCACTACTGACAGGTGTACAATAAAATTTAAAACTAAAGAACCAGAATAAAGGAAAATGCACTAACAGGAAAGCAAAAGAAGCTGTGGAGCGAAAAACACAATCACATGCCTTCTTTTAGGATTACAGCATGAAACAGAAAGATGACTTTAATAATCAACAGCAGAAAATCACAATCCCATCAACAGTATCATCCATTAGTAATCATAATTCAACGCTGGCAAGCAGTGAGAGAAATTAAGCAGACAACAATAAGACAGAAGAATGCAAGGAATTTACATTTGCTGGCAGAAACATTAGAAATGCTTTACTATATACTACTAATATTACTATGTATAATCTATAACACATATACATATAGTGTATACATACACTATACACTGCAAGTAAAATACGTTCTTCTCTTTTTTTTTTTTTTGAGACGAAGTTTCACTCTTATTGCCCAGGCTGGAGTGTAGTGGTGCGATCTTGGCTCACTACAACCTCTGCCTCCTGGGTTCAAGCGATTCTCCTGCCTCAGCCTCTCGAGTAGCTGGGATTACAGGCACCCGCTCCCATGCCTGGCTAATTTTTTGTATTTTTAGTAGAGACGGGGCTTCACCATGTTGGCCAGGCTTGTCTCGAACTCCTGACCTCAGGTGATCCACCTGCCTCAACCTCCCAAAAAACATGTTATTTTCAAACTCTTCAATTAATTGGGTATTGTCTTGATAGTTTTATAAATTGGTGGATAAGTACACCTTTATTAGGTGATCTTAAAAACACAAGCACAATAAATGCAAATGTATTTCTAAAATCACCTTATAGATGTACTTATCCACCAGCTTATAAAAACTATCAAGATTCAATTTAAAGAGTTTCAAAATTCCATACCATTTAAGTAATTACATATAAGTAACAAAATAGGCGCCAGATATCCATATATAATTTTTTTTTTTTTTTTTTTTTTTTGAGAGGGAGTCTCACTCTGTCGCCCAGGCTGGAAGTGCAGTAGCGCGATCTCGGCTCACTGCAACCTCTGCCTTCTGGGTTCAGGCGATTCTCCTGCCTCAGCCTCCCAAGTAGCTGGGACTACAGGCATGCACCACCATGCCTGGCTAATGTTTTTTGTATTCTTTGTAGAGACAGGGTTTCCCCATGTTGGCTAGACTAGTCTGGAACTCCTGGCCTCAAGTGATCCACCCACCTCAGCCTCCCAAAGTGCTGGGATTACAGGAGTGAGCCACCATGCTCAGCCCATATATAATCATTTTAAAGCACATAAAACAAGAAGTTGGAAGCACTGATAATGGAAGCAAAACTAATGCTAAGGTATTAGTAAGATTAGGAGAATTAAAAAAACAAGGCAGGTAAAGATGTTAACTTAGAAAATTATAGCTAAGCTATTAAGGAGTCTGTTTCCACAAAGACATTCAAATGGCAAACACTACCTAGAAAAAAATCATGTTTAACAAGTGGTCAAGCAAAAACGCCTAATGCCAATCATGGGCCACACATTAAGAAATACTATTCTTAGAGACCAGGAGAAAAAACTATCCATCTACTGTAGATAATGAGGACATAAACATTGTGTCTCACATTACTAAATCAAATCAACAATCCTTACATTTAACTAATCCATACCCAAAATTAAAGACTGTCAGGATAATTTATTCCTTGGGTAAAAAAAATAAAAAATAAAAAAATAGTAAAAGCCATATTGTAGGTGGAGCATGAAATTACAGCAAGAAAAGAAGAAATGCTTACTATTGTGGATACAGTTTATTTCAGTAATGTGAAATTTTCTAAACTATATGGCTTTGATGTCCCCAGCTCCCATTCCCAAATCAAAATAAATAAAAACTGAAAACAAAACAAAACCACCAAGACTAAAAATAACTCACATTATAAAGAACTTATCTACACATTAAATCCTGAGTATTTCAACCAAGTATCTCTAAATAGGTCAATTCTTGGTATAATTCATAAGTATATACTATTAACATGAAAATCAATGATTTCTATTAAATTCCACTTCTCCCTGCCAAAAATGGTAGTTTTCTTCCTTAGCTATGTTATCTTCTATACATTTAATAAGTAGTCACTGAACATTCTACTGCAAAATACTATTTTTCAATGACAGAAAAATCATGTAGGATAAAATACCAAATTTTATAGTACATTTGGCTGCTCACTACAGATGTTTTTTTTTTTTTTTGGCAGGGGGAAGGACAGGGTCTCCCTCTGTTGTCCAGGCTCCTGAAGTGCAGGGGCACAATCTCACACTGCAACCTTCACCTCCTGAGCTCAAGTAGCTGGGCTGCCTCAGCCTCCCAAGTAGCTGGGACTACAGGTACAAGCCACTATGTCTAATTTTTTTATATTTTGTAGAGATGGGGTTTCACCATGTTGCCCAGGCTGGTCTCAAACTCTTGAGCTCAAGCGATACACCATCTCGGCCTCCCAAAGTGCTAGGATTACAGGAATGAGCCAATGCGCCTGGCCTCAGATGTTCTTATCAAAAATCACTCTAATGTAGTTGGCTAATTTGGGGAATTTTTGAGAATATGTAATGATTAAGAAATGTTATTTATATGTCATCCAGCAGTTTCAAAGTATTTTTAAATCAAACATCAGAAGTTTAAACAAAGGCATTTAAAGAAACTAAATGTGGTGACATTAATGTATGCTTGGAATAATATTCTTCTCCATCTCTATCTTCTAAACAGCATCTAAGAAAACTAGCTATTCTCAATACTCTGATATCATTTTTAAAAATGAAAAATGGTCTCTAAAAACTCTCAATAATTATTTCCTTCCCTTTGGTGTTTAGGGATACTTATTTTAAGGAATGAAGACCATTATCAAAACCAGGGTGAAAAGCCTGCAAGATAAAAAGCTAACCTTTTCTTAAAGAAAAAAAAAATGTATGTTAATTTGTAACCTAAACTGTTGAGAAGCTAAATCAAAACATCCTTCTTATAGGATAGTACCAAAATGAAGTAATAGACACCATTTTGGATAATCTAACTCATGAGTACCTATCTCTTTCAGAGGAAAAATCTTTTAGAATACAAATGATTTTAATAACATCCTAAAAGTACCAACAGTACACATTAATTCAGAAGTAATTTACACTTGGCTCTGATAGTTTTGTACTCTGGTGTTTGCGTTTTCCATTAAGTAATGGAATCTGGTATTCTGAAAATTTAGAATGTTTCCAAAACGTTGTCTTTGAAACATTCAAAAATTATTAAAAAGCTCCAAGTTGCCTAAATACCAGTCTTACTTTCTGTTCAGTTCCTTCCTGCTCACCACCTTTATACAGGAAATTCCAGCATCACCTTTCAGAATGCAGTCACTCTAAAGCAGAACTGCCCTTTCTAATGGTCTGACTGGCTTATACTTTCTCTGAATACATAATAAATGTAGTTAAATATTTGAAGGAATAATTTAGACCTTTTGAAGTAGGTTAATTAGAAGTAGAAAAAGCGGGAGAGGCAGGTGAGATGACAGGTCCTCTATTCCATTAAATCACTTCCTCTTGATTCGTGTAAGATATAGGTAGCATCTTGACTGCAGTAAGGTAATAGAGATATAAAAATTAACAAAGAAAAGAAGGCCTCCATGAGAGTTACTTGCCTTTAATTTTTTATATCAAGTAGATAACTATAACTAGATTTCTAGCGTGAAAATAAAAGCCTGAGGTGATCTACATATTAAAGACTTTACTTAATATGAGAAAACTAGAGATGTATCATATCAAGTCCTAGAATGTTTTAAAATAAAAGGAATAAGGAATAGGGGGAGGAGAGAGAAAACGAAAAGAGAATTGTACAACCTCCTATACTTCAGAGTTTTTAATTTCTAGGGTAAACACTATTTTAAAGGATTCTAAGGGTGTAAGGAATAGTCTTTGCACTAAGAAGCAAGATCCCTGGGTTCTCCTTCTCCAGAACTGCTGGTGTATTGCTGGTCAATCTATTTAACTTCTTTGGGTTTCAGATCCTAATCCATAAAATAAGGGAGATAAAATACTGTTTGAAGGCAGGAAGTTAGACAAGATGACCTCAAGTTCTCTTCTAGCTCTAAGATTTAGGATGTGTACACCAACTTGAGGTGGGTTTTAAGAAGTCAAGATATGATCCTGGCACCAAGATACCCATGAGGGTCATCTGGCTTCATTAAGAGAAGAATGTTGATCTCTTACAAGCACATTTCTAACCCTGATTGATCATTTCACAAATGCATGCTTCTGAACGTGACAAAGATTGGAAGAGAGATCTTGAAGGTTTTACAACAGTCACCATCATTCCTGGAAACACTTAAAATTCATGTTCTACTAACAGTAATCAGCAGCACACTTTTATATGAAAGTCTGCTTTCACTTTCAGCAATATATGATATTGTTTACTTAATGCAAAAGAGCAAATAGTCACACACAAAAAAAAAACAGAAACAAAAAACAAGAAAACTCAACTTCTTTCTTCAAGATTAGAACTCTAAAGGCCATCCCTGATCTTCAACAGTTCCATGGAAGATCTAATTGTGCGTCATTTGATGAAAAGCATTCTTCAAGGTTTATATGCCACAGATCTAGACTCTGAACAGGGTTTAATTCTGCTAAGATAACCATGTACTGATTATCAACCTGCAATCCTTGGGACAGCATTTTTAAAAGTCTGCTCCTAACATTCTGGATCCCCTTATTACTAATTGCTGTATTAACAATGAACTACCTTTAGTTCAAGAGAGTGAAATAGAAACAGTCCCAGGACCTGTTATATGCAAACTGCAAAACAAATAATTTTAAAGTAGACTTAAGACAGTTGAAAAGTGACAACCTCCAAAAGTGAAGTAGTGCCTATTCCAATTCTATCAAAACGTATCTATAAACCAGCTTTGAGCAACTGGAACAAAAACATCCTTCAAGAGACAAAGGATGAAATCCAGATACGTTATTTTGGATTGCTGGGATAAATTTTAACTGTTCCAGATGGTGGCCCCTATAAATTCTTTACTTTTTCCTAGAAGTAAAAATCTCATACTGTTTGGTCTGAACAGAAAAAAGTATTTCAGACTTTTCAAAAGACATTTTTCACATGAGAAACAAAATGTTTAAACTGAAGAATGATTAACTACGTAATGTTAACTGAAAAAAGGTACCCAATACCCTGTAACAACCATTTTTAAAAAGATGTCACTTGCCCACATAGTTCCTCTGACTAGTCCTAGAATGCCTCTCAGTCCCGTTTGTTTTTGCTTTTAGACTTTTGAGCCTGTGACTTTTCCTCTCTGTGTATACTGCTGTATTTCTCTTTAAGGGTCCCATGATTCCTAAGTCTATGTTCTATATCATGTTTACTATTAATAGAAAGGCTGCTGGGGAGAAAAGTACCCGCCATCTCCTCGAAAACACAAAGAGTGGAGGGCTGAGATCGGCCTGAGGACTTCAAAAGGTTTTGCTTGCCTTTGTTCTCACTACACTCTCTCCTACTATACTATTATGTCCTGTGGGTTAAATTTCACCTGCGCTTCTGGCTAAAATGTGGATACCACAGCCAAAAACACTTGCAAGCATCAATTCCTACTTGGCGGCTCTTGCTACTAAGTGGCAAGCATCTAATGCCACCCTCACCTGATGCTTGGCCGTCTCCATACCCTCCAGAACTGTCGTCTTGAAGTCCTCCTGCTTGCCCTGTGGAAGGAAAGAGGAGAACTCAGGGACCTTACTCCATAAATTAGGATAATATCTGGACATAAAGGCCTAATAGTTGGCGACTCATGAATTCACCACCAACTAGTAAACCCATATTCAGAGAGCTCCTTCTTCTGGAATCAAGGCCCAGGGAATTACATCATAGTCTTCCAAATTCTGGTCAGGAAGTTTCAACTTTACATGTTGATTCTTGTTGAAAGGCAGTGGAACAAAGTACATAGTATTTCTAATCACTAAATCCTTGCTGTCAGTCTTATTTAATATTAATAGTCTGGATGGGGGAAAATGGATTCCGAGTGTCTTTTACTAACGGCTGCTAGACTGAAAATGGAGCTGACATAGACTCTAGAATCTGGCATTGCAATTCAGCATCAACTTAATATCCGTTTAACTTTCTAATTTTAATGAAAAATTATCTCCTTCTCTTCAAAGCAAGGAGTATAATTAAAAGACTCAGTCTCCAAAGAAGTTTCATTTACTATACACAGTAGACACTAGTACAGTTAAATATGCCAGTGCTTCCTAAATAAAACTAAAGAACACACAATAAGACACTGTGTGTGTGTGTGTGCCAAGTACTGTAGATAAACACACACTTGTGGTAACACAGAGAAAGGCAGGCAAGATCTTGAATCTTCTACTTCATGCTACATAATAAGCTTTGTTAAGAAATTTTCCTCACTGATTAATATGTAGAAGTAACTTCAAGAAAAGAATCAAAGCTTGAAAATTCAATCTGATAAAGAATAGATTGTCTTCTGAACTCTTCCAAAATCTATCATCAAGACAGATGCTATGATGCTCTTAAGCTTCTAGTCACCTGGTACACTATAGGAAAATGAGTGTGATCTTTGGAAGACATAAAATACCACCTCCCAATGATCTAGATAAACTCAGACAAGCTTCATTAAAGTTTATTTTAAAATACGTACCCCAATAAGAAAGCAGATTGATTATTCCACCATTTGAGTTAGAAGGGAACAACAAAGAGAATAAAAAGATACTTAGATATAAGAAATTATTTCTGACAATGATATTAGAATGTGTTGCTAGAAGATACATGCTCTGTTATGAAGGTAGAATAGAATCTCATTCTAAACTTATTTTACTAAGCTCTCGTCTGAAGGGTCCTTTAGGTTCAAGAAGGTTATGCTTCTCAGACAAGGCCCAAGGTATACCTATTTACAGCCCTTGGAAAAAGGCATACAATCATGAAGAGACGATCGGGTTACTAAATCCAATCTGCAAACTTATCTTGAAAATATAGGTCCTACATTTTAAACTCTACTATAAACTTAAAATCAGATATATTCACTCTTAGTAAATTCTGGCTTTATTCATAAAAAATATTTTGTAGAGCCGGGTGCAGTGGCTCAGGCCTGTAATCCCATCACTTTGGGAGGCTGAGGCAGGCAGATCACTTGAGGTCAGGAGTTCAAGACCAGCCTAGCCAACTTGGTGAAACCTTATTTCTACTAAAAACACAAAAGTTAGCCAGGTGTGGTGGTGCTCGCCTGTAATCCCAGCTACTCGGGAGGCTGAGGCAGGAGAATCACTTGAACCTGGGGGGCAGAGGCTGCAGTGAGTCAAGATCACACCATCGCACTCCAGCCTGGGCGACAGAGCAAGACTCCATCTCAAAATAATAATAATAGGCCGGGCGCGGTGGCTCACGCCTGTAATCCCAGCACTTTGGGAGGCCGAGGCGGGCGGATCACGAGGTCAGGAGATCGAGACCATCCCGGCTAAAACGGTGAAACCCCGTCTCTACTAAAAATACAAAAAATTAGCCGGGAGTAGTGGCGGGCGCCTGTAGTCCCAGCTACTTCGGAGGCTGAGGCAGGAGAATGGCGTGAACCCGGGAGGCGGAGCTTGCAGTGAGCCGAGATCCCGCCACTGCACTCCAGCCTGGGCGACAGAGCGAGACTCCGTCTCAAAAAAAAAAAAAAAAAAAAAAAAAAAAAATAATATATTTCATAGATTTTTAAAAAATGTTGCCATTGTTTCGTTTGGTTCCAAATAAAACCAAGCTGGATCAGAAAACTGAATTTTATTTGGGCAAGAAAGGGAGCAGGGAGGGACTCAGAACAATGAAACAAATAGTTTCCAAGAATCACACTTAAGATTAGGAATAATACAGCTGTTATCGTTCAAATTATGTTTCTGACTTGGCAAAAATAAAAGTGACAGTCTCTTGTCATGAAGGTATCTCACCACTAAAAACTTAGATAAAAACAGCAAAAAACCGACAAAACAAAAAACACACACTTTGAAGCTAGCCTAAGCCTGAATTACTTTATCTTTCCTATTCCTCTCATTTCCCTTCTTTTCCAACTATAATACATGTCATACAATAAACTCACTAATTTAAGCTACAGGTAGCTCTTGACTGATTTTTGTGTGTGAATCAATGGTGCTTTGATTCACAAAAAAAGATGGATTTCTTACCCCTGACTTGCGTACTCAATAGGTTAACCAGGACAAAAGGGCAACGAGGCAGTCTTTTTTGTCTTCTGGTTTTGAAGAAAGGAATTAAAAAACCTCTTAAAAAGATTTTTTTTAATTTAAAAAAATGCAGGAAAATGTAGAAAATATTCAATACCCTGCAAAGATTTTTAAAAGGGATCCCATAACAACAAAATGTCAAAAAAGAAATGAAACTCCAGGCTGGGCACAGTGGCTCACGCCTGTAATCCCAGCACTTTGGGAGGCCGAGGTGGGCGGATCACGAGGTCAGGAGTTCAAGACCAGCCTGACCAACATGGTGAAACGCTGTCTCTACTAAAAATACAAAAATTAGCCAGGCGCTATGGTATGCACCTGTAATCCCAGCTACTCAGGAGGCTGAGGCAGGAGAATCGCTTGAACTCGGGAGGTGGAGGTTGCAGTGAGCCGAGATTGCACCACTGCACTCCAGCCTGGGCAACACAGCAAGACTCGGTCTCCAAAAAAAAAAAAAAAAAAAAAAAAGCAAGAAAAGAAACTCAAAAGTATTATTTAAGCAGAGGAGTAGAAAGAAACCAAGCAGAAGGTACCACATAAGAAATGATGGAAAACAAAATTTAAAAGTGCTTAAAATTAAATTAAGAAACAAGTTATTTATCTCTTGATAATGGTTTAACTTGCTTGGAAATAAAGAATGAAGTTATTATTTTCACTCCAATCATACTTGAGAGTATTTTGAAGATGCCTACTTCTCCAAAGACAACTGAAAGATCATCTTTACTAGCAGTATATTATAGACCAATTCTTGAACATTTTCTTAAAAACAGCACATACACAACACTGCTTGCAGCTAACTTTTCATCCAAGTAGTCTCTGATTATGATATATATAAAATCCCTTATTCATCTGCTCTTTGGGTCTTTCCAGCCTAGGACTCTGTTTCTGATAGTGGCTCAGGACACATTAACAGCAGGCAAGTAGCGCTGTTAGCTTTCCATGAGTGCAAATTCAAAACAGAAAATGAAAATATTCAAAAGCAACTTTGTAATATCACCTTGATTTTGGCACCACTACACAAGAAACTCCCTTTTGTTTTTATCCCAAACCACCAAACCTACAAAATAGTCCTCAAGCTTGAAGCAGAGACTCTTTTTAATTTTTTAATTATTTTTAGAGACAAGGTCTTGCTCTGTCGCCCAGGGTGGAGTACAGTGGTGCAATCACAGTTCACTGTAACCTTGAACTCCTGAGCTCAAGGGATCCTCTTGCCTCAGCCTCCTGAGTAGCTAGGACTACAGGCATGTACCACCATACCTGGCTAATTTTTTTTTTTTTTTTGTAGAGACGAGTTCTCGATATGTTGCCCAGGCTGTTTTTGAACTCCTAGCCTCCCACTTCAGCCTCTCAAAGCAACAGGATTATGAGCGTGAGCCACCACAATCGGCCTAAAGTAGAGACTCTTCATACAGCTTATTTGTACACAGCTACTCCAAATTGAAAATGAAGATCTTTTTGATTTATCTTACATAACAGCCTTTCAGTTGTCTTCTAGACCTTCAGATCTAAGAGTCCTTCTTGAAGCGTGAAGTGTTGTAGTTATAATCACATTACTGAATGTTTTCTCATCTGAATTCAAATACTCAAGAGATCACTCTTCCAACATCTTAAAAGGAAGTCTATGTTGACTTTCAAATGCTTTTATCTGGCAAACAAACAAGGAGGTGAAAATCACTGGTTGGTTGTTTCCAGAAACACAGATTCACATTTTGACTAGTTTCTTGGAATCACATTCAAATTACAAACATTTTAAGAAACTTCTAAATCTAGGAAGCAACGATTTTCCAATAGAAGATAAATTTACCAAAATGGCCAAATTTATGGAATAAAAGTGAAGGCCAACCTACTGATTTCAATTGAATTTAATAAATTAGCAGGTGAAAGAAACATTTCAAAAGTTAAAGCCAACTTGGAATATATGTCTCTACCGTATTAACGCACTAATTGAGTTTCTTATTTAATAATCAGTGTTTACCGTATCTGCCCCAAAACTGCAAAGCACAAATACAAAAGTAGAACAGGTAGACTCTCTGTTTTCAAAAAGCTTATAATCTAGTTGAGAAAAGATGAAAAATACCTACAAGGAAACTTTTGTTGTTAAGAAACGAGAAGCTGACACAGTCTTGGAGAATCAGGGAAGCTTTCAGAACAATTCCCGAGAGATCTGGATAGACTGCGAGGCAGTGAAACCACGACTATGGTCCAGATCATTTACAAAGATAAAGAGAAAAGCACAGACATGGTATGTGCAGAGGACTGCTCGGTACCTACTTTCAGAAGGAGATGGTCTGAAAAAGCAGTGGGAGATCAAGTGGATTGGTAAAATGATCCCTTTCCAGTACCCAAACCTGAACGTGATTTTAGTAGTAATGAAGGAAAAGTGTGTGATCTTTGGCACAAAGACAACAAAACAAATGCTATTTTAGTTAAACTAATCTGGCCACTTTGTACGAGATGGATTAGAGGGAAAACCTAGATAAAGGAGATCCAATTCAAAGGCTATTGAAATAATTTACATACAAGTTGAAATTCACTAGAAAAAGGTGACAGTAAAAATGGGTAAGGCCTAAAAAATGAAAAAGACTGCACAGTAAGATGCATGACTTTACAACAGACTTGGTAAAAGGGATAAAGAACTTTCAGGATGACTCTAGGGTTTTAAGTTCAGAAGACTAGTAATGCTACAAACAAAATGGGAAATTTGGGAGACTGGCTAATACAATTAAATGGAAATGTTCTAAAGATGGTTGGAAATTAAACAATAGAACTCAGAAGTAAGAATGGGGCTAAAAGACTTCAAAATAGCATGGAAGTAATAATAGGCTCAGATAATTTGAAGCAGTCATAAATGCATGATTAATCTCATGAACATAAGGAAAGTCACAGTTTCAAAAAGGAATTGACAGTGGCTCACACCTGTAATCCCAGCACTTTGGGAGAGACCAAGTCAGGAGGATCACTTACAACAAGGAGTTCAAGACCAGCCTGAGCAACAGTCAAAATGAAATTATGAGTTCCAACTAGAATAGCAATCCCTGGGTTACAGTATCATGTAAAATACTGAAGTAAAACAGCCTTCTTAAGGTTTAGAAAAAAAGAAAAATTGTTTTGCTTGAAGCAGGAGCTTGCCTGGAACTTCCACTGAACTGCTGAAAGAACAATAACACCACAGATATGTGCTTGAAGACTTCCACTGGGTAGTAGCAAGGATCTTATCAAAAGAAAGTAAAAGGCCCTACAAGCTAGGGAGAAATGCAAAGCTTTAGAAGCCAATGGAAAGAATTTACTTTTTCACATATTATTTCCCTCCACATTCCATAGTAGAAATTTTCCTGATCCTTACTTATTTTGCTGCAGTCTTGGTTTGTGTTCACTTTTCAAAATGTTCCAGAGAAAGCTTACAATTCAGATGTTATGTGTCCAACTACCAAGCTTAAGGTGTGTCTGGTTAATAACAAAGCTTACAAAACATTTCTTATAACTCAACAGCCGATGCAAGAATTTCAATTATATTATTCTCTTAAGGAAAGAAAAAAAAACTATGTTAGAAAGTCCCAAAGTCTGTCATTCTCATGATTTAACTTAAAAGATTATTATCAAGATTTAAGTTTTACACACACACACACACACACACACACACACACACACAAACAGTTCCAGATGCTTAAAAAGTTATCTATTTCATAATCGACTCATTACTGAAAATGGCCCACCACAAACACTTTCCCAAAGTAACACAGTATGTGTGTCTGTCTGGTCTAAAGCTGCCCTGATTTTTTTCCTAAATAAAACACCAATCCACCCTATTCTTTGTTCAATCAACTCTGCTTAATAAATACAAGATGTTTATACATAAAGGTGGGTTTCGCATTTTCTCATTTGATTCTCATAACAAGTCTCATTTTGTAGACGAGAAAATCCTTACAAATCTTGTTCTTCTATTACAACATGATCAGACCCAATAAATGATGGCAACAAAAAGAATTCAAATAAATTATAAAAATAAAGGTGATCAGCTAAACAAATTACTATTTTGCCTTAATAAAAAGTACAACAAATCAATGAAATGACATCATTAAGAAAAGCAGGTCAATCTCTCAAAGACCAAACATAAACTTGTAGCATCTGATTCAAGGGTTCTTATCGACCAAAAGCAGTAAATAGTTAAAAATCAAGGATCTAAAACTGCTTCATCCTTTCATGTTTAACACAAAATTTCCAAAACCCAATTTTAGGGAGAAACATTATTTAAAAACAGCTTCTGAGAGAGCTATTATACAACATGGTGACTATTGTTAATCACAATACATTGTATTCTTGAAAAATACCAAGAAAGTGGGTAAGTGTTCTCACCACAAAAATGATAACCATGTGAGGTAATGCATGTTTATCAGCTAAATTTGGTCATTCTGCAATGTATTTATACTTCAAAACATCACGCTGTACATGATAAATACAATCTTATTTATCAATTAAAAAAATAAAAACTTCTGAGTTCTCACCATACTTTCTATACATTTCTATTGTAGTTTCTTCATTGTAGCTACTTACTAACATCTGTAACCCTAAACTGAATTGCACTTTTTTTTTTTTTTTTTTTGAGACAGGGTCTCACTCTATCACCCAGGCTGGAGTGCAGTGGTACGATCCCAGCTCACTGCAACCTCTGCCTCTCCGGTTCAAGTGATTCTGGTACCTCAGCCTCCTGAGTAGCTGAGATTACAGACATAAGCCACCACTCCCGGCTAATTTGTGTGTGTGTGTGTGTGTGTGTATATATATTTTTTTTAGTGGAGATGGGGTTTCACCATGTTGGCTGGGCTGGTCTCAAACTCCTGGCCTCAAGTGATCCCCTTGCCTCGGCCTCCCTAAGTGCTGGGATTACAGGCATGCACCACACCAGGCCACTGGACTACAAATTCTTTGCAGGTGGATGTACTCTTTCTCTTTGAACCCTTAGAATCCAGCACTGTGACTGTGACAAAATAATTATCATCGTACAATAATATTTGTAGAATAAAGTCAATGAGGAACTACTACATTTGGGGGAATCTTATTTTTTTGTAGAAAATGCCTATTTTTTAAAAAATTTGCCCTCCATACTACCAATTCTCTACTCTTCACCCTTCCTACCTCTATATGCCTCTAGAATTTTTATATTGATATCACACTTAAGAGTTTTTTGCTTTCCATTATGCATTTATGTCTACACTTGTGTCTCATACTAGGCTATAAATTATCTGAGAGTGGGGACCGTGTGTTGTATAGCGTATTTATCTTGATCCATTCATAATGCCTCAAAATATAAGAACATAAGAATTCTGTTGAATTACCTTTTCAGCTTGTCACTTTCTTCCCTCAGCCCTCCAGTAAGGTATTTTGGAGCATAGGTCCAAATCAGAACACCGAAATGTGTTCCAAAAAGGCTGGAGTGGTGAGGGGGCGGGGGAGGGGGGGGGCGTGGCAAGAAAACTAACCCTATGCCTATTTTCTGAATGTATGCATCATACTTCATAAAATGAGAATTCAAATGATTTCAGGCATTTATTTTACACTAGCATGTCAAAATGACAACACAGACAACCCCGTCAGGAATGAACTCCCTAGTCACTTCTGGTAAACCTACAAAACAGGGTCTCCTGCTGGGCCTGGGGATGTAATAGAATCCTATCATCTTCCCTGTGGTGGTAATCTGAGTCAATCCTCACTAAACCTGAAAGCTAGTCCTTCTCTCTGGCTCCATTTGCAGGCATGGAGAGAGAAATCAGAGAGAAAAGCCTGGGATTAGCCACTTGAGAATAGTTACAGCATGATTAAAAAAAAACAAAGTGGTTCACCTGAACTCTGGCCATTACTATCTATGCTGCCAAACTCAGTGCTTGGCAACCACCAGACTGCACTCAGTATGACTGCCTCACAGGGAAGAGATCAGGGTATCTTATAAACAAAGAACTACCCTAATATAAGGTGAAAATATTAGTACCACTTATTTTTTTTCTTTTAAAGTAAGACAATCTTCAACTCTTTTCTGATCAAATTCTATTATACCAAGTTCTATAGAATACTCTAGAAGATTCTGCCTTTTAATACTTTCTCTACTAAATAATTCATCAAATTTTTGGTCCTCAATCTTTTGTTATATGAAATTTTCATTATAACAGCATTTGTGATCAAATTTCATTGACTCTTTAAATTCTTCTACTCATACATTGTGTATTTTCTGTAATTTAGTATTTTTACTAATTCAGGTTAACATCACCTTTTAGGTAAATTTAAAAAATATTTTCAACCTACAGTATGATTATTATGTGAACAAGCCCCCAAATTTATTAAAACCACACAAAATTTCTTATCTTACCATTCTCTCACATCAATGATTTTTGTTAATTTATCTAACAGCCTGACCGGGCATGGTGGCTCACACCTGTAATCCCAGCACTTTGGGAGGCTGAGGCAGGTGGATCACCTGAGGTCAGGAGTTCGAGATCAGCCTGGCCAACGCGGAGAAACCTCATCTCTACTAAAAATACAAAATTAGCTAGGAGTAGTGGCGCATGCCTGTAATCCCAGCTACTTGAGAGACTAAGGCAGGAGAATTGCTTGAACCCGGGAGGCGGAGGTTGTGGTGAGCCGAGATCATGCCATTGCACTCCAGACTAGGCACCAAGAGCAAAACTCCGTCTCAAAACAAACAAACAAACAAAAACAGCCTACATCTCTTTAAAACACACACCTACAAACTTTTAAAATTACCACATATAATAGAGAAGAGGGCTTCCTCTGGTACAAATAAGAATATAAACAAGGAGATAAAGTGATTCTTCCCATGGTCATTCCATAAAATAAATTATAATACAGACTTGTTACCAATCACATCTAAAAAAATCTATTTGAAGAGTTAACCAATGACTTAATGGAAGCTTCTGGGCTTCATTAGTCTTAAGGACTAGGACATCAAGGAGCCTAGAAAAATGATACACACACTCACATGCATATACACACACACTTCTGATGTCTCTACTGAAAAATCCATTAACTTGAAAAAGGCTTAAGAAAGGCATCTTAATAACCCATTTCAAATTTCCTTTTACTTATTTTAGAATAACTTTCCATGAAAGTCTCAGGCTATGTACAACTAAGCTACTTCTAACTCAGAATGTATCTTGAGTTCTCTAGTGAAAAGTTACCCAATACACAATTTAAATCCAGGAACTAACTAGTAAGATTTTTCTGGTAAAATTTGACTGCTGAAAGGCAGTGGAGGGAAAAAAAAAATGGAGTCATGTTTCCATGTGAAAATAAAAAAGCCAAGTAAGTGTTGGAGAATCAGTTAATACAGGAATGCAAAACTCATTGAGGAAAATAATGTAAGGTACACAGGGTAACAATCTGAGCAAAGACAGGAAAGGCATTTCTCCAATAAACAGAAGGGTACTTTACTGGGGGACAATTATTCTAAATCAATGAAGTCCAACTGAAGGAGATTTGACTCTATTTCATAAACGCTCCACTATTATGTGACGCTGCTAGTAACCAAACACACTCAATTCCAAAGACAACCTGTCAAGTTTAGTTGGCATGACCTAAAAAAACTTTCATCTTCACAGAAAAGGTACTAGGAAACCAAATAAAACCATCATGTGTTAAAACAAATATATTCAAAAGTATAGTAAGTATAAAAATGCATGGAAATATTTAGGAAAACAAAATGAGGTAGTTTTTAAATATAAACAGTAATATTTGGTATGAAAAATCCATTATTTACCCATTTTGACTACCATAGGACTACAATATCACATTAACTTACGGTCAAAAATTGATAAATCTAAAAACAATATTTAGGTCAACAGAGAGAACTTCCTTCCAATTATATAAGTGCAATCAGACAAAAACACCCAAACTTTTTCTTTCCATAAAAATTCAACTTTGATATTAAGAACATTTTTCCATTGACCAATAGCCTAAATTATCTCTCCAATCTCAGCTTCTTTACTCCTTTAGTTCACGCTTAGCATGAGATTGGTCTTTCCAAAAACATATTTCAGTGTAACCCCCCTTGCTCAAAAAACCTCAGGGCTACCGCTGACACTCCTAATGCTCAAATTCCTTAGCCTGGCTTAGTCAACCAAGGCTATTCACAATATGGCTCCCACCATTCTGGCTTCCTCTCAGTACTCTCCCAGAGGAACCTTATTCAGTCAATTTGACCCACTGACTTCAGAATACCTTGTGCTTTCATAATTAACAAAATATTTACTTCCTGTTAAGATTAACACACTGCAGAAAGCAAAGCAAAAATTTCTAAACAAATTTAAAAGTTGGTAAGAATGAAATGTATGCAAACCTTACTTTTTTGTTTTGTTTTGTTTTTTGGATTTTTTTTTAAGGCGGAGTCTTGCTCTCACAAAGACTGGAGTGCAGTGGCACAATCTCAGATCACTGCAACCTCTGCCTCCCGGGTTCAAGCAATTCTCCTGCCTCAGCCTCCCAAGTAGCTGGGATTACAGGCACGTGCCACTACACCTGGCTAATTTTTCTATTTTTAGTAGAGACAGAGTTTCACTATGTTGGCCATGCTGGTCTCGAACTCCTGACCTCAGGTGATCCGCTTGCCTCAGCCTCTCAAAGTGCTGGGAGCCACCGCGCCTGGCCCTAACCTATATTTTTTGACAGAATAATTTCTAGTGATTGCCTTTTAAAAAGACTGAGAACAAGAAAAGGTTTGGTAGAGAAACAAACCCACAGGCCAGGCATGGTGGCTCATGCCTGTAATCCCAGCACTTTGGGAGGCCAAGGTGGGCCAACATGGTGAAACCCTGTCTCTACTAAAAATGCAAAAATTAGCTGGGCGTGGTGACGCACATCTGTAATCAGCTACTCAGGGGGCTGAGGCAGGAGAATTGCTTAACCCGGGAGGCAGGGGTTGCAGTGAGCCGAGATCATGCCACTGCACTCCAGCCTGGGCGACAGAGCGAGACTCCGTCTCCAAAAATATCAAAACGAAACAAACCTATATCTTCTCTCAAGCTTTTAATATAGTCATATAGCAATGCTTCCGTTCAATTTTTGACTAAAAACTCTTGTGAAAGACAAAAGACTTAGAAACCCTGCACAGTGTCCAAATATTTAACTCACCTGATAATATTTTATGATTCACCATCAGGGTCCAATCTATTGCTAAACTACATAAGTAGTTTAGGCTAGTAAGTTGACACTTTTTTCTAGGGAAAGTACATCCCTAATTCACCCCAGAAATTTTCAAAAAAAACATTAAGTTGTTTTAAAGGAAGAATCACTATTTTCATAACCACAAATAATATATTAGTAAGTTCTGGCTGTTATCAGCACATTTCTAAGCATTGAAGATATCCTCAACTTAAAATTTTAACGTCCCCCCAAAAACAAAGATAACTTAAACTAAACCACTGCATTATAATTAACTACAACACAATAAAGACAGCTCCCAAATCCTAAATCCTTTTGCTAAGACGTTTACTTTTTGTGGGAACAATACCTGACGTTTATGAAATTAAAAAAAAAAAAAAGCTTTCAGAAAAAAGCAAACAGCAACACCAACACATGGTTTAAAATTTTCAAAGAAACGTTTATCAACTTGGAACCTATGGTAAATCAATTATTTACTGGAGACACAACCACACAAAAAAGGTGAGGCAGCATCTGAGATATCAGATCATCAATGCGTAGTACTTAGAGCCCTTGAACTAAGAAGTCAGCCCACTCTTGAGCCACCGCAGACATTAAAAGGGTTATCCCCAAGTATCTCATTAGCAGGTCTACAGCAAAGGTAGAAGAAAGGTAAGAACCAAAAAGAACACAGAAGAAAAGAGCACAGGGTGAAGGGAAAGGTTGGAGGTAAGAACAGAAGGAAGAGAGCTAAATGTATAAGACTAGAAAGAGGAAGAAGAAAAATGAATAACGAGAGGTGTAAAGTAAAAAGGCAGCTACATTTGCCTGGGACATTAGCCCCAAAGGTAATATACTACTGAAACTAGAAACCTTCAAACAAGGAGTTGCCCAAGAAATCATTTTAAGAAAGTTTTAGGAAAACCACTCTTCTTAGAAAATCCCTGACTTTTGAATGAACTGAAACCAGAATCTTTTTCTGAATGTTCTCAAACTGTATTCCTTTAGTACACTTTATTACAATCCTATAAATTATAAATTTGATTTTTAAGTTTTAGCCAGACTTTGATAAGCTCCAAACCTAAGTTAACACTTGACTGGTAATGCCCTAAAGTGAAGCATCAGTACTGCTTCTGGTAATTCACAGTAACACCATAGGGGAGAAAACCCTTAAAAAAAAAAGGCTAAAACAAAAGATAAAACATCTCAAATGAAGTATGTCTTAATCTGGGTACCTACGAAAGTCATGCAAGATATAGCAGATGGGGTCTGAAACCACCATTTTGTTTTTAAAAGGTACAGGACTAAAAGAACCAGAGAGGTGTGTGGGTCTGAAGCTATTCGAAACATAAAAATTATTTCAAGAAGAGGAACTTAGTAAAAATTCAAAGTCAAAAAGAGTAAATAAAATGTCATTAAGGGCACAAGATACAAAAATTCATTAAAATACTGCTTTTGCTTGGTCTCTCCAAAACAGAAAGGCAGATATCCCTGATTGGTCCAGCCATCCTCAGAAAGCTAGTACTCAGCATTGAGGGGATGTTAGTGAGAATTCTTTAAAGCTGTTTGAAGCTCTGAAACCAAAACTATAGACTCCCATAATCTTTCTAGATTTTCTGGCCTATATATATTTTTACATTTGTTCACCAGGAAAAGGCACTTCTCAAAACCGATCCACACCGTGGAAGTTTTATCAGAAAGTATCTAACTACGTGGTAAACACATCATTTAGCCAGAACAATTTCTGAATCAGAACTGTCATTGAGAGGTCTGGTGCTTTGGATATGGCTTTCTGTATGTTTTTTCTAATCATTTATTTTCTCCTACTTTCCAACCACCTTATATTGCCACTGTCCTTCCATTCCCACCCTTTACTTTCCTCCTGTATATGTACAGACACACAAAAAGAGTATCAGTACCAGTATGTACGTATCTATGTGTATACATACACACATATACATGTATATGTATACACACACACAAAGACACACATGGCAGGAGACTCAATATCAGACTTTATTATAAACCAAAGATAAAGACATAAATAATATTGCAAAATGGAAATAAATCCATTCATTCTTATTTCTAAGATAAAACAGAACTGTGGTTGGATACTACAACTCACCCGATGGTTCTTCAGGCTCACTTTCATTTTCTTCCTCAGGTGGGGCTTGAGGGGGTGGTGGGGGAAGCTTCTTTTCCTTCTCTGCTTTGGCATTTCTCTCTTCTTCTGAATAATACTCATCTTCTGAGAGGTTGGCCAAGCTTTCATCCATCTCTCTGTACTCTACCTATATGGAGATCATACCAGGGAAAGCTAAATGCAGTGAACATTTAAAATTAGGGACTCTATTTGGAACCATCAGTCAATGTAAATTGTTAACCTCACATTTTAAGGGAAGTAAGCATACAACAAGGAACAAGGCAGCTCATAATAGGTAGTTATTAAAAACAAAGCCCTCATGAAACAATCTTGTGTCAGTTCAGGTTCAAACTAATCTGTAAGTTTTACATCATAGCACTGACATTCAAATCATTGACTCTAAGGCTCTCTACAACTCCTCAAAAACCTTTTTAATTGTGTGTATCATGCTCACATACTGGAATTTCCAACAAAAGAATAAAATGACCCTCAGACAAAAATATAGTTAACTAGAATACCAAGTCTGTCTAAAGCCAAGTCTGTGCTTCTAACTACTACTCCAGGGGAAAATAGCAAAAAAATTCCAAAAACCAAATGGAGGGCATGGAGTGGAAAATAACAACAGTCAAACTGAAACTATGAAAAGGTGCATTTGCTTTAAAAATTCACTTAGGAGAGGCCAGGTGCAGTGGCTCACGCCTATAATCCCAGCACTCTGGGGGGCTGAGGCAGGAGGATCACCTAAGGTCAGGAGTTCGAGACCAACCTAGCTAACATGGTGAAAACCCTTCTCTACTAAAAATACAAAAATTAGCTGGGTGTGTTGGCAGGCACCTGTAATCCCAGCTACTCGGGAGGCTGAGGCAGGAGAATCGCTTGAACCTGGGAGGCGGAGGTTGCAGTGAGCCAAGATCGCACCACTGCACTGCAGCCTGGGCAACAGAGTGAGACTCCATCTCAAAAAAAATAAAAATAAAAATAAGATAAATTAAGGAATAAGTGACGTGGAAATGGAGGATACAGGTCTTACTACTAATTCACACTGGCTATAAAGGAGAGGGAGGTATGTCATTAGCAAAAAGAGGAAGCAGTCTTAGTGAATGTGTCATTGAGGGTAAAGGAGTGTAAGACAGGGAAGATTATTATGGATTGGTTAGCCAAAATGTGTAATACGGTATTACAGATAGTCTTCAAAATTGGAACATTCTCAAATCATCATTGTGACTTCCTAATAAAAGAAACTACAGCTAATTATTATGGAATCAATTAAAAAATTCTAATTATTATTAATTCCATGAAAAGATAATTTATTAGATGTGGAAAAAAAGCAAAGACAACATGGTTTCCACAAATATCTAATGTTTTACATTTCCAAGATGAATAGTCCTGTGGATTATAGTGAATGTAATACATTTTAACTTGCTAAATGTCTTTGATATAGCTTTAGATGGCCAGCTGTTTTTATACTGTCTTTTTGCTCTTTTTTTTAAATGATAGGACCACAGGATTTGGGGGCGGGGGACTGGTTGCTGGAAGTACAAGAGTGTTACTGAAAACAGGGATTGGGTTAGAAAATGGAAACACAAATTAAGAAGAATGAACTGACTAGTTCTGACCCATGCTCTAAGAATCTTATTTAATACATGAATAATTGTATTCACCTACTCAAATACTGAACACTGAGTACGTGGTACAATGGAGAAAACAATTATGACTGTGTCCCTGCCCCTAAAAAGCTGAAAATCTAGTTGCAATTAAATGATCCTGATCAGGTGACCATCTCATACAGGGTCTTTGCAATAAGACTCCAGAAATGTAGATGATATTATACTAAACTTTATCCTAACTGACTGAGATAAACTGTGGAAATAGGTCTCAGGATAATGGATGAAAATGCAGCAAGGAGAAAAAAAAAAGTTTCAAAGGGGGAGAGAAGTCAGAATAGACCATAAACTTTTATAGTATGCAGTTTTCTTTCTCCTTTTACCCCTCAATAGTGCTTGACTCTTCCCCAAAGATTCAGTCCTTTGATCCTCTGCCCCATCAATCCTATTCATTCAATAATGACTTAAGTACCTAATATGGAACTGGACAATGTGCAAATTTTGAGACAAAAACAAAGACTAATACAAAATCTTTTCTATTGTAGTTCAGTTTTTCCCAAAGGATGTTCCATTGGATACTATGCCCTTTGAAGGAGTAAAGTATCCAATATCAAGTCTGGGAAACTGCAATCTTTACAGGCCCCCTCTAGGAAAGTCATAATTCACATTAAAGGTACTGAGAAGGCTGGGCGTGGTGGCTCATGCCTGTAATCCCAGCACTTTGGGAGGCTGAGGCAGGCAGATGCCAAGGCAGGAGGACCGCTTATGCCCAGGAGGCCAAGGGTGCAATCTGTGATCGCACCACTGTGCTCCAGCCTGAGCAACAGAGACAGACCCTGTCTCAAAAAAATAGAAAATAAAGGTACTGCTAAGTTTTGCATCAAAAACAATCTTTTCAACATTGTTTAATCCAATGCCTTGACAAAGAAATAATTAACAAGGAATACACTTGGAAAAGGGTGGTCTAGAAAGGGTTCTTAGTCTTTAGGAACAAAAGAGATGAGAAAAATACCTACAGGTAGAAGCAATAATATCTGATGGTATTATTAAAAACAAAACTGTTTCACAGAACCCTAGGATTCTTCAAGATTTAGAATTTTAATTTTTTAAATGTATTACACATTCATGTGTTAAAACAAATCTTAATCCTTTAGAGACAACCAACACAATTAACTTGTGCTGCTTGGGTAACTCAATTTGGGGTAGACTTCAGAATGAAGTTTCTTCTGCCATGTCTGTTCAACTGAGAGCATCCTGAGATGACAAAGCAAGCTTAAAAAAAAAAAAAAAAGGCTGGGAGCGGTGGCTCAAGCCTGTAATCTCAGTACTTTGGAAGGAAGAAAGTGTAGGATCATTTGAGCCCACTTCTAGACCAGCCTAGGCAACACAGGGAAACCCTGTGTTTACAAAAAAATAAAACAACTTAGCCTGGTGTGGTGGCATGCACCTGCAGTTCCAGCTACTAAGGAGGCTGAGGTGGATCACTTGAACCTGGTGGGGGCGGGGGGGGGTCAAGGCTACAGTGAGCTGTGATCTAAACACTGCACTCCAGCCTGCGTGACAGAGTCGAGACCCTGTCTCAAAAAAAAAAAAAAAAAAGCAAACAAAACCAACCTTCTACCTTTTGCACAATTTGTCAAATCAGTACCAGACTGCCACAATACTTCATAAACAAAGCAAAATACAGAAACAAAATTGGATTCTTCCCTGGTGGTCTAGTCGCTGGGGGAAAAAAATGGATTCTAAGGCTAAAAGAAGACTATCATGCTTAATTTCCAATCTCAAATTTGGCTTCACCTCATTTTCTCATAGACTGACAACTAAAATAAATGTTATAAATTTTAACTTCTTAATACTACTTAATAGTAGTGTGTTTTATTTTGGGATTTTTGCTTAAAATTTTATTTTATAAAAAAGGCTTTCCTCATTTAATAAAGTTTTTTTTTTTAGATAATTTTAAAATTGCCCAGAGCCAAGAAGTGACCATTTAATAAAGTTTTAAAACCATCTGAAAGAATCATACAAACTTCAATAAAAACTATTCCCCTGAGAAAAGGAATGTGTACTTTGAACCTAAAGGATTGGGACTCTCTCATCCCTAAGTAAAAACCCCAAAGACTTCAGAGATTCTACAACTACTTACAACCAAGGACATAAAGATGTCCCAACAGGCAGACTATGAGTGAGTAGGGTAATTATTCTTACTTTCACATTGATGACTCTGAAATTTAAATCTTTAGTCTCTTCCTTCTCCTCCCCACCCTTATTACAATGATTCATTCACTCCTCAATGTCCTTAAAGCATCAGTCTTTATAAAGAAATATTTCTTGGGCGGGGCATGGTGGCTCACACCTGTAATCCTAGCACTTTGGGAGGTTGAGGTGAGCAGATCACTTGATCTAAGGAGTTTGAGACCAGCCTGGGCAAAATAGCGAGACTCCATCTCTACAAAAATTAGCTGTGGGTGGTGGTGCACATCTGTAGTTCCAGCTACTTGGGGGGGCTACGGCAGGAGGACCACTTGAACCGGGGAGGTCAAGGCTGCAGTGAGCCATGATCGGGCCACTGCACTCCAGCCTGGGTGACAAAGTGAGACACTGCCTCAAAAAAAAAAAAACAAACAGACAAACAAAAAACAAAAACACACAAAAAAACAAAACTTTTTCCTTTCACGTTGCATTCCTATATCATAACATCTCATGTACCCCATAAATATATATACCTACTATGTACCACAAAAAATAAAAATTAAAAAAAAACTTTCTCCCTTTTATCTACGGCAAAGCTGCCAGATTAATTTTCCCATTATGTGATATTTTCTAATAGCTTAACAGATATGAACGTCAAATTTTTCAAACCAGCATATACACTCTCTGGCCTTGACTATTCAAACTGCCTTTTTTATTTTTATTTTTATTTTTTTAAGACAGGGTCTCACTGTCGCCAAGGCTGGAAAGCAGTGGCGTGATCTCAGCTCACTGCAACCTCTGCCTCCCAGGCTCAAGTGATTCCCCTGCCTCAGCCTCCTGAGTAGCTAGGACTACAGGCGCATGCCACCACACATGGCTAATTTTTATAATTTTGTATAAACAGGGTTTTGCCGTGTTGCCAAGGCTGATATCAAACTCCTGGGCTCAATCGATCTGTCCACCTTGGCCTCCCAAAGTGCTGGGATTACGGGCATGAACCACCATGTCTGGCCTGAATTCAAACTTAATTCTAATCACTAACACACGAGTAAAAAAGTCCTCAATGCTGCTCTACCAACCTCTAAGTTCCCTAAAGCTACTTCCATCTTTTTCTGTTAATCCAATGCCATATATTCAAGGTCCACCTCCTCTGAAGATTATTTCTTAATTATTCTAAATTTAAAAAATACACCTGCCAGGTGCAGTGGCTCATGCCTGTAATCCCAGCACTTTGGGAGGCCGAGGTGGGTGGATCACCTGAGGTAAGGAGTTCTAGACCAGCCTTACCAACATGGTGAAACCCGTCTCTGCTGAAAATACAAAAATTAGCTGGGCGTGGTGGCAGGTGCCTGTAATCCCAGCTACTCTGAGGGCTGAGGCAGAAGAATTGCTTGAACCCGGGAGGTGGAGGTTGCAATGAGCCAAGATCACACCATTGCACTCCAGCCTGAGGGAAAAGAGTGAGACTTCATCTCAAAAAAAAAAAAAAAAAATCTTTCATCTTCTCTGAAGTCTCACAGCACTTATGGTCTGCACTTCATAATCTAGTTCAAGGCTGTCTGATAGAACTTTTTGTCATAATGGAAAACTTCTCTATCTGTGCTTCCAATTCTGTGGCTTCAACATGTGCTATATTGAGCACTTATAATGTAGCTAATGTGACTGAAGAAACTGTTTTTAATTTCAATTTAAACTTAATAGCCACATGTGGCTACAGGCTACCATATTGGACAGCAAGAATCTAATGCTCACTACAACCTGGACACAACTCTACAACCCCAACGCTACTGGTCCCTTCAATCTATCTTGTTCCTAGATGATTCCTGTTTCTAATTAAATTCATTTGTCCATTGTTCTCAACATTCAGTTGTCCACTCTGGATTCCCTGATGCTTCTCAAACCACTTCCTTTTCTCCACTGGTAGTATCTTAATTACTGGTCACCTACTAATTATACGCCAAACACTGCAATAAGCATTTTGTTTATATTATATCTAAACTTTACAAGGTAGGGCTTATTTACCTGAGGAAAATGAATCAGAGGAAGATGAAATACTTAAACTCCAAAAAGTCCACCCTTTTCCAGAACACTTTTCTAAATTCTGCCATTTCATGGCCTAGCTCAAGGCCACCATTCCTAAAGGAGTATGGTGTTCGTGAAGTTCCAACCCAATTTACCAATTTAAAACCTTAAATATTTTGCCATAATTTTAGCATACACATGCCCAAAAGTGAATTTATTCTGAAACTAATGAAACTGAAGCTTCAGGGACACTCAATTACATGAACTCCTTCCAATACCCTAAACATAATTTTAATTATGTAATGATATAATTTTGTTAAAGTACAGTCCTCAAAACTGGATAAGCTCCCAAGTCATAAAATACATGCACTTTTTTCCTTGCATACACTGAAGAACTACTGAAGCATGGCCTATCTATACTGGCCTCAGCTTGCTTTTTATTCCTTAAATGGATACTCTATCCTCTAAAGTCTGTTTCCTCTGGATCCCAAGACTGGATAGTTGCTAGCTTCCTAGTAGTTGCTGCCCCAAACAAACACATAACTAATTTTTTTCCTGAAAGTTTAAGAGCTAATTACAATGGGGGATTAAAAAACAGGGTAAGTAAGATGAGTTAAAATAAACACAGGAGAATTACAAAGAAAAAAATCTTGGTTGGGTGAGGTGGCTCATGTCTGTAATCTCAGCCCTTTGGGAGGCTGAGGCAGGAGGAATGATTGAGCCCAGAAGTTCGAGGCCAGCTGGGGCAACACAGGGAGAAGCCATTTCTACAAAAAATAAAAAATTAGCCAGGCATGGTTGTGTACAGCTGTAGTCCCAGCTACTCAGGAGGCTGAGATAAGAGCATCACTTGAGCCTGGGAGGTTGAGGCTGCAGTGAGCTATGATTGAGCCACTGCACTCCAGCATGGGTGACAGAGTGAGAACCTGCCTCCAAAAAATTAATCAGTTAGCTAAAAAAAGAAATCTTTCTTGTAGGAGATAGCTTAAAAAATAACAGTAAAATCTAATAGTGTGCCCCAAACTTACAATCTGCAGATTCAACACAATCACAATCAGAATCCCAGCAGCCCTTTTTGCAGAAACTGACAAGCTGGTCCTAAAATTCATATGGAAATGCAAAGCATTCAGAACAGCCAAAATAATCTTGCAAAAGAAGAACAAAGTTGAGGAACACTTCCTAATTTCAAAATTTATTATGAAACTAAAGTAATCAGGATAGTGTGGTACTGGAATGGACGGAAATATATAATAGATCAATGGAATAGAGTTGAGAGTCCAGAAATAAACTCTTAGATTTATAGTTAATCAATGAGGGTGCCAACTATTCGCTGAGAGAAAGAATAGTCTTCAATAAACTGTGCTGGGACAACATGCAAAATAATGAAACTGAACCCCTACCTCACACCATATACAAAAATTAACTGAGAAAAGATCATCGACATAAATGCAAGAGCTAAAACTAAAAAACTCTTAGAAGAAAACATAGGAGTAAATCCTCGTGACATTGGATAAGGCAATGGTTTATTAGATATAACACCAGAAGTAAAGGGAGCAAAAGAATAAATTGGATCTCATCAAAATCACAAATTTCCGTAACCAGAATATGTAAAGAACTCTTACTAGAAAATGATGAAGACAACTCAATTTTTAAAAATGAGCCAAGGATTTGAATAGTCATTTCAACAAAAATATAAAAATGGCTAATAAACACATGAAAAGATGCCCAACATCATTAGTCATTAGGGAACTGCATATCAAAACCACAATGAGATACCACTTTACCCCCAATAGGATGGCTACAGTAAAAGACAAACAATATTAAATGTCAAGAAGGATATGGAGGCTCAACAAGGTGGCTCCACCTGTAATCCCAGCACTTTGGGAGGCCGATGTGGGTGGATGGCTTGAGGCCAGGAGTTTAAGACCATCCTGGCCAACATGGTGAAACCCTGTCTCTACTAAAAATACAAAAACTGGCCAGAGGTGGTGGCAGGTGCCTGTAATCCCAGCTACTCGGCTGGCTAAGGCAGGAGAATCGCTTGAACCCAGGAGGAGGAGGCTGTAGTAAGCCGAGATCACATCACTGCACTCCAGCCTGGGTGGTGACAGAGAGAGACTGTCTCAGCAAAAAAAAAAAAAAAAAAAAAAAAGAAGAAGAAGGCCAGGCGCAGTGGCTCATGCCTGTAATCCCAGCACTTTGGGAGGCCGAGGTGGGCAGATCACCTTGAGGTCAGGAGTTTGAAACAGCCTGACCAACATGGAGAAACCCCATCTCTACTAAAAACACAATACAAAGTTAGCCGGGCATGGTGGTGCATGCCTATAATCCCAGCTACTCGGGAGGCTGAGGCAGGAGAATCACTTGAACCTTGGAGGCGGATGTTGCAGTGAGCCGAGGTCATGCCACTGCACTCCAGCCTGGGCAACAAAAGCGAAACCCCATCTCAAAAACAACAACAACAAAAAAAAAAAAACGAAGAAGAACATTGGAGAAACTGGAACCCTCATATATTTACTAATGGGAATGTAAAATGGTGCAGCTGCTATGGGAAACTGTTTGGCTATACCTCAAAAGTAAAACCTAGAATTAACATAAAACCCAGGAATTCCTAGGCCCACACCCAAAGAGAACTGAAAACATATTCACAAAATAAACTGTACATTAATGTTCACAGCAGCATTATGTAAAATAGCCAAGACTTGGAAACAAACCCCAATGTGCGTCAAATGATGAATGGGTAAACCAAATTTGGTATATCCATACAATGGAATATTATTCAGCCATAAAGAGTTATCAAGTACTGAATGAAAGCACTACAACGTGAATGAACCCTGAAAACATGCTAAAGCCAAATACAAAAGGCTACATAAGATTTTATATAAAATGTTCAGAATAGACAAATCCATAGACAAAGAGTAGATTAGTGGTTGCCAGGGACTGGGGGTAGGGAGGACTGGGGAGTGACTGCTAATGATACAGATGTCTTTGGGGATGATGAAAAGGTTCTAAAATCAATTGTGGTGTTGGCTGTACAATCTTGTAAATATGCTAAAAACCACTGAATCATACATTTTAAAATGGTGAATATTATTATACATGCATTATCCCAATAAGCCTGTTTTTTTGTTTGCTTTTAGACAGTTTCGCTCTTGTTGCCCAGGCTGAAGTGCAGTGGCACGATCTGGGCTCACTGCAACCTCTGCCTCCCGGGTTCAAGCAATTCTCCCTAACTCAGCCTCCGGAGTAGCTGGGATTACAGGCGCCCGCCACCACGCCCGGCTAATTTTTTGTATTTTTAGTAGAGACGGGGGTTTCATCATGTTGGCCAGGCTGGTCTCGAACTCCTGACCACAGGTGATCCACCCGCCTTGGCCTCCCAAAGTGCAGGGATTACAGGAGTGAGCCACTGTGCCCAGCCAATAAATCTGTTTTTAAAAACATCTTATACGTGGCTTCTGGCCACCTGTCTATTGAAATCGTAAAATAACACTCTTGACTTCTGCCCTTTATTTCATTTCTGAGGGCTGGTGTCACCAACCTCTGTGCTTTTCTAACCCATGCTTTGGTAAAAGCTCCAGAAAGTCTTGCCTCCAAAACGGTCTTTCATCCAGCACTGGTTATACTTTAGAGAGTTGGCTCAAGTAGGCAGATAAATATGAGAGCTCTCAGACTGGGTAATACTCATCTCAAGAAGCTCCCCATACACACTGACTTGGTATTCCCACTTAAAAATTATGTAGACAATTTTTTCAGGCATAAATTATATAATCTGCAAATTTTTATTTAAATGTTGACTACACGCACATATATATCCAGGTTGTTTTTTCCAACTAGACCGACCATTAAATCTCCAGAAAAGGCCCAAGTCTAAAGTCTGCGCCCTAATACTGCCCCAGTGCCCTGCACACAGTGTCCCATGTGGTCCTTTGTTTCAAGGGCTGATGATACCCTGTAACAACATGAATGTGGGAATTACATTCCACTTCCATCACTTATTTAGCTTTGTGACTTTAGGCAAGTTGCTTAAATTGTGTGCCTCAGTTTACTCATTCCTAAAATAGGGCTAGCAATACCTGCCCGTTGATATTTAACAACAACAAAAAAAAGTAATGTTGGTGACACGCTGAATATAGCATCTAGGACACAGACATTTGAGGCAGTCACTGTCTGTATATACTGTTTGGAGTCAAATCTTTTCTTCCCATATATTTGCATTTTGACTATTATTTGCTCTCTCAATCAGCAGCTTCCTCATCTGCAAAATTCTGCGCCAAAAGATCGCTGAGAGGATTTTAAAAAAGAAAAAAAAAAAGACTAGAACTCCTACCACACAGCAGGGTTTTGCTCAAACAAAAACAAAAGCAAAAACGACCCTTTCTTTTCATCTCCCCGGCTAAGGCGATTTCTTCAGCATCAACCTACAGCCCCCTCGTGCACCCAGCTGAAACGCCATCAATATCGCCCAACAGCTTCCAGACCTATCTGTGAACAAACAAGTGAGGTCTCCAAGAACGCCAACCGTAACCCCACGTCAGGGAGCCATTTTCCAGTCAAGAAAATGAAAAGGTGTGCAAGAAAGACCTAAGGAATAAAATACCCCTCCCAGCAATCATCGATGCCCCTTCCCACGTCGCTCGGGACCCAGCACAAAGACCGCAGTCAACACCGGCAAAGACTTTTCCTTTCTCACCCCACCCGTCCAGCTAGAGGGGACGTGGCGTGCGCAGCGATACAAGGGGAGGTCTGAGTGGTCGCAGGGCCCAAGACCCGGCGGCGGCGGGGGAGGGCGGAGAAGCCTCGGGGAAGCTCGGCACCAGGCGGTGTCGTTTGAGGGAAGGGTCGAGCCTTACCTTCGCCCGCTTGCGCCGGCTGGTCCGACGCCCCTCCGGAGTCTCTGCTATTCCAGTTTCCATGGGGGTCGCAGACCCAGGCACGACAGTAGGGCCGGCCTGAGGCCCTGCGGACCCCGGCGGTTCCGCCAGGCCCCCGGGGGGCGAGGCCCGCGGAGGCTCTTTCTTGCGGGGTGTGCGCTCCCCCACCGCCCCCGGCCCGACCTCGGCTGGGCCCGACAGGCCCGCGGGCTGCGCGGCCACCTCAGACCCGTTCTCGGAGCCGCCTGCTGTCCCAGGGCCAGCCTCCGTCCCGGTTGCTGCCGCTGCAGCCGCCGCCGCCGCGGCTGCCGCCTTCTTCCCAGATAACATCTCGGGCCGCCGGGCCGCCGACGGCCGTAGGGGCCGCTCGCTCTGTCGCTCCGTGGGTCCGAAAAGCCTTGCCTCGCCTCGCTTCACGCTGCCCGCGCGCCGCCAACCGCCGTCGCGTACGCACGCGCCAAGCGCGCTCCCGCCGCGCCGGGACAAAAAGGGTCGGAGACACCCACGAGCCCCGCCCCTCCCCCGCAGCCATAGAGCGGCGTTCTCGCGGCTAGAGTGGCACCGCAGCAAAGAACGTGTAGCTTGCCTAGAGCGTCTCCCCGGCGTTTGGAGTGGGACCTGGCACAGTCCGTGGTCTTAGGGCTTCTGGGCCAGACTAAACCTCCGAAGGTGACCATTTCCTCCAGGGACTTTCGGGTTTGCATGCGTGCGTTCGTTCATTCACTCACCCAATTATTCGTTAATTCAACCAGTATTTATTAATGCTTGCCTACTACGTAACAAGGGTTACATTATGAAGTTCTAGCTTTCAAAGAACTTACAGTCTAATGGGGGAAAACACTGAAATATGTTGGTAGAGCGTCTTACTTATTCATAATTGCCCTGCTTGGACTGGGCAAAAAACTTGGAGAGCACAGCAGTTTCGATGGTAGTAAAATGGAGACAAGTTACGAAATCCAGGTTTGAGTCCAGACGGAATTGCTCTTGTCTCCAAGCCTTTGTTCATGCTTTTCCTTCTGGCTGGACCCCAACCTCATTCGCACTCCATGTCTTGCGCTTCTCCCATCCCCCATGTCCCCCATCCCCCATGTCCCCCATCCTTCATGTCCCCCATCCCCATCCACATAACACCTCTTTCTACTCCAGGTTAATTCTTTCTAATAATGATAGTAGCGGTTTATTCTTTTAATTTTTCGAGGAATCCCTTGCTAACCCAAAACTGGAACAGGTCGTGTACTTTTAGCATGCGTGTACTTATTACACAAACAATTGTCTTTTTAATAGTCTGTCTCTTCGAAGTGAAATTGTCAAAAAATTATTCCATTTACATGAAGTTCAAGAACTGGTAAAACTAATCTCCAGTAATAGGCTCCAATCAGCCCTTGCCTGAGATGGGGGTCGGGGGTTGACTGCAAAAGAACAAGAAAGAACTTGCTGGGGGTGATGGAAATGTTTTATATCTTGATTAGGGTGATGGTTACATAGGTGTATATATTTGTCAAAACTCTATGAACTATCCATGTAAAACAGGTATGTTTTATGTAACTGTAGTACTTCAGTAAAGTTGTTTTTTGTAAAAAACTAAGCAAACAGACAAAAAGGCAATCAAATGTAGAAAGGAAAAAAAGTAAAAGCTATGCAAGAAAGAAAATGTATCCGAGTGGCGTGGCACGCACTTGTAGTACCAGCTGCTCGAGAGACTGAGGTGGGAGAATCACTTGAGCCTAGGAGTTCATTCAAGTCCAGCCTGAGCAACATAGTGAAACTGCGTTTCTAAAAAAAAAGAGAAAAGAAAAAGAAAGAAAATATAATCATAGTACAACATATGGCTCAGCTGTGAACTGTATTAACATGACCATAAAAACGTAAGCAGTGAATATTGTTTTATTTATTTTTTCTGTTCTTTTGTTTGTTTGTTTCTTCTTTTTTTTTTTGAGACAGAGTCTTGCTCTGTTGCCCAGGCTGGAGTGCAGGGGTGCAATCTTGACTCAATGCAACCTCTGCCTCCCAAGTTCAAGCGATTCTCCTGCCTCAGCCTCCCCAGTAGCTGGGATTACAGGCGTGTGCCACCATGCCTGGCTAATTTTTGTATTTTTAGTAGAAACAGGGTTTCGCCATGTTGGCTAGGCTTGTCTCCAACTCCTGACCTCAAGTGATCCTCCCACCTCGGCCTCCCAAAGTGCAGGGATTACAGGTGTGAGCCACCGCGCCCCGCCGAGCAGTGAATATTGTTTTAACCAAAGTGATAGAATTACATTAAGAGAATGGAGAAAAAAGAAAGTTTGTGGGGAGAAAGATGAGAAGGTTTTAAGGATTTAGGGAAGTAGGGAGGTTGTTGGGGGAGGTGCTGCTTGGGAGCTAAATTATTTTTCACCATAAAAATATAATACATAATGTTGGCCAGGCGCGGTGGCTCATGCCTGTAATCCCAGCACTTTGGGAGGCCGAGGCGGGCAGATCACGAGGTCAGGAGATCAAGACCGTCGTGGCTAACACGGTGAAACCCCGTCTCTACTAAAAATACAAAAAAACTGGCCGGGCATGGTGGCGGGCGCCTGTAGTCCCAGCTACTCGGAGGCCGAGGCAGGAGAATGGCGTGAACCCAGGAGGCGGAGGTAGCAGTGAGCCGAGATCGCGCCGCTGCACTCCAGCCTGGGCGACAGAGCGAGACTCCGTCTCAAAAAAAGTATATATATATATATATATATATATATATATATATATATATATATATATATATATATATATAAAATACATAATGTCAAAATTGAGAAATCAAAAAATAATATAAGCATACTATTTAGAAATATCAAGGTAAATACAGAAGAAACAGCTAAAAAAGTTGGAATTGGTTGTCTCTAAGGCTTGGAACTTGACGGTGGAAAGAGGTGAGGCAGTGGATTGGAGCTTGTTTTAAATCCTGTAGTTCTATCTGACTTGTTTGCACATTTAATAGTTTGATAAAACTTGAAATTAGATGTTAAAAACATACATACCCTTTGACCAAGTAATTCTACTTTCAGGAAAGCATTCTAGGGAAAGATTCAGTATGTGTACAGATTTAACTTCAACACTGTGTATCTCAGGTTATACGTAATGACGATAAAGGAGAACTAACCTAAAAACCCAACAAAGGCCAGGCACAGTGACTTGCATCTGTAATGCCAGCATTTTGGGAAGCCGAGGTGGAAGGATTGCTTGAGCCCAGGAGTTTAAGGCTACAGTGAGCTATGGTCACGCCACTGCACTCCAGCCTGGGCAACAGAGCAAGACCCTGTCTCTAAAACAATAAAAATTTTAAAAAGCCCCAACAAGTGGTAACCAATTTGATACAATCATACACCGCATAACAATGTTTCCATCAACAACAGACTGCATATGAGATAGTGTTCCCATAAAATTATATAACACATTTTTACCATACCTTTTCTACCTTTTCTATGTTTAGACAGAATTGCTACAGTATTCAGTACAGTAACATGCCATACAGGTTTGTAGCCTATTAACAATACACTATACCATATAGCCTAGGTGTGTAGTAGGCTATACCATTTAGGTTTGTGTTAAGTATGCTCTATGATGTTCACACAACAATGAAATTGCCTAATGGCGCTTTTCTCAGAATGTATCCCATCGTTCAGTGAGGCATGGTCCTAGCAAGGCATGATTCTATATTGGAATATCACAGCCACTAAAACTGATATTTTTACATAAAGAATTCCTGGCCGGGTGTGGTGGCTCATGCCTGTAATCCCAGCACTTTGGGTGGCCGAGGCGGGTGGATCACCTGAGTTCAGGAATAGGAGACCAGCCTGGCCAACAATGGTGAAACCCCGTCTCTACTAAAAATACAAAAATTAGCCAGATGTGGTGGCACTTACCCGTTTTTTCCCCAGAAATAACTAATTCATATCAGATGTTTTTATTGTGATAAAATACACATAACATAAAATTTATGATCCTAACCATTTTGAGTATACTGTTTAGTAGTGTTAGATGCATTCACATTGTTGCATAAACAATCTCCAGAATTATTTTCATCTTGCAAAATTCTGTATACATTAAACAATGACTACATTTGCCCCTCCTTCCAGACCCTGGCAGCCACCATTCTACTCTTTGCCTCTATGAATTTGACTATTGTAGATAGCTCATGTAAGTGGAATCATACGGTATTTGTTTTTTTTTTGTGACTGACTTATTTCACTTAGCTTAATGTCCTCAAGGTTCATCTATGTTGTAACATGTTAGAATTTCCTTCCTTTTTAAGGCTGGTAATATTGCGTGTATATAACATTTTATTATCCATTCATCTGTGGATGGACACTTGGGTTACTTCCACATTTTGGCTATTGTGAATAATGCTGCTGTGAACATTGGTCTACAAATATCTCTTCAAGACTCTGCTTTCAATTCTTTGGGAATACCCAAAAGTGGAATTACTATAGCAATGTATGCTTTTTTTTTTTTTTTTTTTTTTTTTTTTTTTTGAGAAGGAGTCTTACTGTTGTCGCCCAGGCTGGAGTGCAGTGGCGCGATCTCGGCTCACTGCAACCTCTGCCTCCTGGGTTCCAGCAATTCTCCTGCCTCAGCCTCCCGAGTAGCTGAGATGACAGGCGCCCGCAACCACGCCTGGCTAATTTTTGTATTTTTGGTAGAGACGGGGTTTCACCATGTTGGCCAGTCTGGTCTGGGGTGGTCCACCCGCCTCAGCCTCCCAAAGTGCTGGGATTACAGGCGTGAGCCACCGTGCCTGGCTAGCATTTTTTAAAAGCTGATGTCTTCACTGGGCACGGGGACTCACACCTGTAATCCCAGCACTTTGGGAGGCCGAGGTGGGCAGATCATTTGAGGTCAGGAGTTCGAGACCAGCCTGACCAACATGGTGAAACCCTGTCTCCACTAAAAATACAAAAATTAGGTGGGTGTGGTGGTGCGTGCCTGTAATCCCAACTACTTGGGAGGCTAAGGCAGGAAAATCGCTTGAACCTGGGAGGCAGAGGTTGCAGGGAGCCAAGATGGTACCAGTGCACTCCAGCCTGGGCAGCAGAGTGAGAGTCTGTCTCAAAAAAGAAAATAAATAAATAAAATAAAATAATAAAAGTTAATGTCTCCAGGAGGGAGAATTGCTTGAGGCTAGGAGTTTGAGACCAGCCTGGGCAATATAGCAAGACCTTGTCTCTAAAAAAATAATTTTTTTTTTTAATTAGCTGGGCATAGTGGCACATGCCTGTAGTCTTAGCTACTCAGGAGGCTGAGGCAGGAGGATCACTTGAGCCCAGGAGTTGGAGGCTTCAGTGAGCCACAATCACACCACTGCACTCCAACCTGGGCAACACAGTGAGACCTTGTCTCAAAAATAAAATAAAATAATAATAAATAAAAAATTAATGTCTAACTATACAGAGTCCAAAACCTAATCAATATTACATATTATATTAAACAAAGTTACCTTCCCCTAAAGTATCAGGTGACCAATAGATGGGCTAGTATAACTGTGAAAGCAGTTATGTCTAAGTTTGGATAACTTTTCTTTGCCCCTATGATGGTAGGGGCTCTGTATTGGCCATTTTTTTTGCTAGTAGCGAGGCCCAGAAGTACTGGTGAATGAATGAGGAGGCCTACATCACCTGGCTATTGTGAGGACATCATGAGATAATGCTTTCAAACTGCCTGTCAAAGAGTCTGGCACATAGTGGGTGCTTCAGACAAAGGAGGAGTTATTATTATTGTTATGCGGCAGCTGGGTGGGGGGAGGGAGCTGGCTATGACTCAGAGGAGTGGGTGGCCGTGACTCTTGTCATGGAGGGGCCTGAGGCAGGGTCCTGGGGCCTGTGTGCCTCCACGCCATAATGCTGGCAGAACTGATATTTCTCTTTAGGAGTCTCCATGGGATACTTGCCTCCGCAGGCACCATAGGAGCAGTGGCAGCTTGGCTGATGAGCTATAAGCCAGCCTTGTTTGGGTTCCTATTCCTTCTGCTGTTGCTTAGCAACTGGTTGGTCAAGTATGAACACAAGCTCACCCTCCCAGAGCCCCAGCAGGTGAGCACAAGATGGGGCTTGGCTTCAGCTCAGGGATAGGGGATATTTGCAGCTAGATTAGGTGGGTAGGGAACAGGGTAGGTGTCGAAATAATGGGGCAAGACTGGGGAATCCAAGACTGGTCTAAACCACCACTCTACAGCTTCCTCTTAGGTGGTGCTGGGTAAATCACTTCCCTCCACGAGGCCTCAGTTGCCTCACCTCAGCTGTTAAATCAGGACCACCCCAGACTCTCCTATTTCATGTTTGATGTCAACATGCTTTGGCAAGAGTAACAACTACTTTAATGTGAAAAAAATAAAAAAAATTAACATGGACGAACATAGATACGTATCTAAAATAGAATAATGAAGACAGCAGAAATGTACATAGATTATGACATCTTTCATTTAATGTTAAAAAACATGCTAGGCTGGGCGCAGTGGCTCACGCCTGCAATCCCAGCACTTTGGGAGGCCGAGGCAGGTGGATCACTTGAAGTCAGGAGTTCAAGATCAGCCTGGCCAACATGGTAACACCTCGTCTCTACTAAAAATACAAAAATTAGCTGGGTGTGGTGACACACACCTGTAATACCAGCTACTCAGGAGGCTGAGGCAGGAGAATCACCTGAACCCAGGGGACTGAGGTTGCAGTGAGCTGAGATCATGCCACTGCACTCCAGCCTGGGCAACAGAGCAAGCTTCCATCTAAAAACAAAAATAAAAAGCAAAACAGCCTGGCGCAGTGGCTCACAGCTATAATCCCTGCACTTTAGGATGCCGAGGCAGGTCAACGACCACTTGAGGCCAGGAGTTTGAGAATAGCCCAGGCAACATGAGGAAACCCCATCTCTAAAAAAAATACAAAAATGAGCCAGGCATGGTGGTGCGTGCCTGTAGTCTCAGCTACTCAGGAGACTGAGGTGGGAGAATCACCTGAGCCCGAGAAGTTGAGGCTGCAGTGAGCATGCCACTGTACTACAGCCTGGATGACAGAGTGAGACTCTGTCTCAAAAAAAAAAAAAAAAAAAAGGCAAAACAATAGCCTATCTTATTTATGGATGTGTATGTGCAGTGAAAGTATTTTAAGGCAGGATGCCTCAACCTTGGCACTATTGACATATTGGGCCAGATAATTCTCCATTGTGGGAGGCTCACCTGTCACCTGTGCATTGTTAGCTTAGCGGCCACCCCGGCCCCTACCCATGAGATGCCAAGTAGCACACCTGCCATTTCATGACAATCCAAAGTATTTCCAGATATTGCCAAATGTCCCCTGGGGAAGGCAGAATGCCTCCCATTGAGAACTACTTTATAAAGAAATGCATGGAAAAATAAATTTTAAATGCAGGATTACAGTTAAGGTGATGATATTCAGGGAGGGAGGAGGATGCTGTGGGTGTGAGAGTCCACAGGGAACTTTAGTTATATTTATGATATTTTATTTCTTAAGTTGATATGGGAATATGAGTATTTGTTGTATTATTTACCTTTTTGCATGCCTGATATGTTGAATTTTTTCAGTTAACCTTTTTTTTTTTTTATGTATTTAGTTTTTTGAGACAGGGTCTCGCTCTGTGGCCCAGGCTGGATGCAGTGGCACAACCATGGCTCACTGCAGCCTCGACCTCCCTGGGATCAGGTGATCCTTCCACCTCAGCCTCCCAAGTAGCTGGGACTACAGGTGTGCACAGGGCTAATTTTTTCTAGTTTTTGTGGAGACGGGATTTTACCATGTTTCCCAGGCTGGTTTCAAACTCCTGGGCTCAAGCGATCCTCCTGCCTCGGCCTTCGAAGGTGCTGGGATTACAGCCATGAGCCACCACACCTGGCTTAATTTTTAAACATTTTTAAAGACCATTAGTTTGTAGCTGAATCCAAAAAGAAAAAAAAAATAAGTGTTATTAACCAGGGGAGGGAGAGATGAGGATCATAGAGATAAAAGCATGTCATGAGACCATTGAGACTTCGCAGTTTGAGATCGTACTGAGCCTGACAAAATGCTCAGAGAGGCATGTTGGAAAAACGGGCTCTGGAGATAGATATATTTAGGCTAAGGGCTTTATGTCCACTGTGACTGGCAGATTAGCGGGCCATCTCATGCATTCCTATGAACCAAAGGCAAGTGGAGGACTCGGGAATTTGAGGCTGTATGATGCTGAGAAAGTGACCTCCCAAGCTGGGCCTGGTGGCTCACGCCTGTAATCCCAGCACCTTGGGAGGCCAAGGCGGGCAGATCACCTGAGGTCGGGAGTTCGAGACCAGCCTGGTCAACATGGTGAAACCCTGCCTCTATTAATAATTACAAATACAAATACAAAAATTTCTACTAATACAAAAAGTTAGCTGGGTGTGGTGGCACGTGCCTGTAATCCCAGCTACTCTGGAGGCTGAGGCAGAAGAATCGTTTGAACCCGGGAGGTGGAGGTTGCAGTGAGCCGAGATCACACCATTGCACTCCAGCCTGGGCAACAAGAGTGAAACTCAGTCTCAAAAAAAAAAAAAAAAAGAAAGTGACTTCCCGTTACTGGGTCCCAAGTCTCCACAAAATGAGGCAATGATGCTCCCCTTGCAGGCAGTTGTGAGACTCTGTTAAGATAATGTTTGTAAACCACCTGGCACAGAGCAGGTGTTCAAGCAAGGAAGGGATTATCATTATTAACCAACTTTCCCCTTTTCCTGGTGCTGGGGAGCTTAAAAGGAGGAAGAGAAACCAAAGACTTCTGAAAACGACTCCAAGAACAGCAAGGCCGTGAACACAAAAGAAGTCAATAGAACGCATGCCTGCTTTGCCCTCCAGGACGAGATCCTCCAACGGCTGTTGTTCAGTGAAATGAAGATGAAGGTCCTAGAAAATCAGATGTTCATCATATGGAATAAAATGAATCACCACGGGCGGTCAAGCAGACATCGGAATTTTCCCATGAAAAAACACAGAATGAGGAGGCATGAGTCAATTTGCCCCACCCTGTCTGACTGTACTTCGAGTTCCCCCAGCTAATGAGGCCGAGGCGGGCTGGCCTCTGCCGATGTTACCTTTTACCTCAGTAAAACCCAGTCACAGCCTATTGAATGTTCATAGTAAGTCATAACAGAAAGGTGCCTAGGAGCCAGGAAGAGGATCAGAGGCTGAAAGATTGCCTCTGGAAAAGAAATCTGTACACACCAGGTCTACCAGGTAGCACGTAGTGACACGGCCTGATGGGGCTCTAGAACCATCCCTTTCTAGAGTCTTCTATTTCAGTTGGTTCTACCCTGGTTCCTCCCTGGCCCTGTGCTGTTCACTCTGAGTCTCCCCACTCCTGCCCTAGCCCCTAGTTTCCCCTCTCATCCTGTACCCAGAGGCCGAAGCCAGCCCTGCCAAGCCTGGCTCTGACCATGTCCATTGCTCATTCTTTTTTTTTTTTTTTTTTTTGAGACAGAGTTTCGCTCTTGTCACCCAGACTGGAGTGCAGTGGCACGATCTTGGGTCACTGCAACTTCCACCTCCCAGGTTCAAGTGATTCTCCAGTCTCATCCTTCCAAGTAGCTGGGATTACAGGCACCCGCCACCATGTGTGGCTCATTTTTGTATTTTTAGTAGAGACAGGGTTTCACCATGTTGGCCAGGCTGATCTCAAACTCCTGACCTCAGGTGATCCATCTGCTTTGGCCTCCCAAAGTGCTGGGATTACAGGCATAAGCCACCACGCCCGGCTCGTGTTACTGCATTTCAACCAGAGCTCGGTTGCCCACTGACAGATCTGAGCCGGTGTTCTGTGTTAAAAAGTGAGATCAGCAAGTGTTAGCGTTTGAAAGACAAGCAAGCACCTAGCCGAGACTTTTCTTCATAATGAAAACTGGAAAGGAAATCATTATCTCACTGTTTGATTCAGTGTGACTTAGTGTTAGGTTGGTGTTCTACCTAAAATCGTCTCTCTCATGCAAGTCTCATGCATTCTAACCAAACCAGAGAACTTGCCATCCCCCAAATGCATCCACATAAGCTTACATTGTTTCTTCACGTGATCCCTAATTTTCTCCTTTCTGCTGTTACAATTCTTCACTTCTTCCAAAGCCATCACCTCTAGGAAGCTCCCCTCAAGCCAGCTATAATGAATCTTTTTCCTTAGCATTGTTTCCACATTTTATGTGTAGTTCTACAATAGAATGTTTCACAGTCTGCTGGGATTTGATTTGTACACATTACTACAGTCCCTCCCCATGCTTCAACTAGACTATAAGCTCTTTGAAGACAAGCACAGAATATTGTTCATCTGTATATCCCTCCCCCACCCGTAGCACCTAACACAGTGGCTAGTATACAAGCAGTGCTCAATAAAGAATACCTAGGCCAGGCGTGGTGGCTCACACCTATAATCCTAGCAGGGGTGGGCAGATCACCTGAAGTCAGGAGTTCGAGACCAGCCTGGCCAACATGGTGGAACTCCGTCTCTACTAAAAATACAAAAATTAGTCAGGTGTGATGGCACATGCCTGTAGTCCCAGCTACTCAGGAGGCTGAAGCAGGAGAATTGCTTGAACCTGGGAGGTGAAGGTTGCAGTGAGCCAAGATCATGCCACTGCACTGCACTCCAGCCAGCCTGAGCAACAGAGTGAGACTTCATCTCAAAAAAAAAAAAAAAAAAAAGAATATGATTGCTTATCAGTGTCTTACGTGTCCAGACATTTTCTCACCCCTTTCATTTTATGATGATTCTCCTATATCCTACTTTGTTTTAAAAGCAGAATCTCTGGGGCTAAACTGCCTGGGCTTAAATCCTAACTCACCAACTCTCTGTTGTGTGATCTTGGACAACTCTTGATTGTTTATTCTTCCTGTACCTCAGTGTCCTTAACTGTAAAATGGGCAGATTAAGACTATGAATCTTATAAAATTTATAGATGGTGTCTTAGTCTGTTTGTGCTTCTATAACAAAATTTCTGGCTGGGCCTGGTGGCTCACGCCTATGATCTCAGCACTTTGGGAGGCAGAGGCAGGAGGATCACCTGAGCCCAGGAGTTTGAGACCAGCATGGACAACGTGGTGAAACCCTGTCTCTATAAAAAATACAAAAGAACTAGCTGGACATGGTGGTGCACGCCTGTGGTCCCAGCTACTCGAGAGGCTGAGGTGGGAGAATCACCTGAGCCTGGGAGGTCAAGGATGCAATGAGCCATGATTGTACCACTGCACTCCAGCCTGGGTGACAGAGTGAGATCCCATCTCAAGAAACAAAAACAAAAAAATTAGCCGGGTCTGGTGGTGTGCACCTGTAGTCCCAGCTACTCGGGAGGCCGAGGTGGAAGGATCACTTGAGCCTGGAAGGCCGAATTCACAATGAGCCAAGATCGCACCGCTGCACACCAGCCTAGGTGACAGAGTGACACCCTGTCTCCACACATACACACAAATACCTGAGACAGGATAATTTATTTTAAAAAACACACAGATACTTATTTCTCACAGTTCTGGAGGCTGGGAGGTCCAAGATCAAGGCTCTGGCATCTGGTGAGGTTGGCTCTCTGCTTCCGAGATGGCACCTTGAAAGCTAGATCTCTGGAGAGGAGGAATGTTGTGCCCTTATAAGGCATAAGTGGAAGGGCAAAAAGGAACAAACTCCTTCTATGAAGCATTTTTTTTTTTTGAGGCAGAGTCTCGCTCTGTCGCCCAGGCTGGAGTGCACTGGCGCAATCTGGGCTCACTGCAAGCTCTGCCTCCCGGGTTCATGCCATTCTCTTGTCTCAGCCTCCCAAGTAGCTGGGACTACAGGCGCCTGCTACCATGCCCAGCTAATTTTTTTTTTTTTTTTTTTTTTGTTTTTTTTTTTTGAGACGGAGTCTCGCTCTGTCACCCAGGCTGGAGTGCAGTGGCCTGATCTCTGCTTACTGCAAGCTCCGCCTCCCGGGTTCACGCCATTCTCCTGCCTCAGCCTCCCGAGTAGCTCGGACTACAGGCGCCCGCCACTATGCCTGGCTAATTTTTTTTTGTATTTTTAGTAGAGATGGGGTTTCACCGTGTTAGCCAGGGTGGTCTCAATCTCCTGACCTCGTGATCCGCCCGCCTCGGCCTCCCAAAGTGCTGGGATTACAGGCGTGAGCCACCGTGCCCGGCCGCTATTTTTTTTTTTTTTTTGTATTTTTAGTAGAGATGGGGTTTCACCGTGTTAGCCAGGATGGTCTCGATCTCCTGACCTCGTGATCTGCCTGCCTCGGCCTCCGAAAGTGCTGGGATTACAGGCATGAGCCACTGCGCCCAGCCCTATCAAGCATTTTATAGTGGCATTGACCCATTCATAAGGGCGGAGCCCTCATGACCTAAATACCTCCCCAAAGGCCACACTTCTCAATACCATTCCATTGGAGATTTTTTTCAACACATGTATTTTGGGAGACACGTTCAGACCACAACATTCTTTCCCTGGTCCCCCAAATTTATGTCCTTCTCATGTGCAAAATATATTTAGTCCATCCAGATAGCCCCCAAAGTCTTCACTCATTCTAACATCAACTCAAAAGTCTGGAATCTCATCTAAATCAGATACGGGTGAGACTCAAGGTACAATTACCCTGAGGCAAATTTCCCTCCAGCTGTAAACCTGTGAAATCGAACAAATTATGTGCTTGCAAAATACAGTGGTGGGGCAGGCATAGGATAGATATTTCCATTCCAAAAGGGAGAAATAGAAAAGAAGACAGGAGTAACAGGCCCCAAGTAAGTCCAAAACTTTTTTTTTTTTTTTGAGACAAGATCTGGCTCTATCGTCCAGGCTGGAGTGCAGTGGTATGATCTCAGCTCACTGCAACCTCGTCCTCCCTGTCTCAAGCCATCCTCCCACGTCAGCCTCCCAAGTAGCTGGGACTACAGGTGCGCACCACCACACCTGGCTAATTTTTTGTATCTTTTGTAGAGACAGGGTTTCACCACGTTGCCCAGGGTGGTCTCAAACTCACGAGCTCACGATCTGCCTGCCTTGGCCTCCCAAAGTGCTGAGATTACAGGCGTGAGCTACTGTACCTGGCCTCTAAGTACAAAACTTAACTGTGCAAACAACATTAAATCTTAAGGCTTGCATAATCTTTGAGTCCATGTTCTGCCTCCCAGACACACTGGTATGAAGGTTGGGCCTCCAAGACTTTGGGCAACTCTACCCCCGTGGCTTTGCTAGCTGCAGTTGTCACACACATCGAAGGTGGGTGCTTGGAGTAGCACACTAATGCTCTACAATTCTGAGGTCTTCCCACTCCTATGGCTCCACTAGGCACTGCCCTAATCGGGACTCTCTGCAGAGGTCCCAACCCCACAGTTCTGCCGGGCATTGCTCTGGGTTTGGGGGGCGGCTCTCTGTAGTGTAGTGGCTCTAGGTCTCTGCCTAAGTCCCCAGGCTCTCTGAGGCATCCCTTAAAATCTGGGTGGAGGAAGCTATGGCTTCACAGATCCTGCACTCTGCACACCTGCAGAATCAGCACCACACGGATGCTGCCAAGACTCACTGATTATGCCCTCTGGAGCAGTGGCCCCAGCTGCACTTAGACTTGCTTTAGCCACACCAGCAGAGGCTGGTGTGCTGCACCAGAACACAGGGAGGTGGTCCTGGAAAGCAAGCCCTGATGTCCCACAGGGTCCCCTGGGCAACTCCTCCAAAACTGTTCTGCCTCCAAAGTCCTAGCACTCTGAGCCTGTGATGGATTTGGCAGTGCCCGAAGATCTTCGAGATGCCTTTGGGGTCATTCTCCCATTGTCTTGATGAATAGCATCTGGCTTCCTTCTATCCATAGTGATCTTACCAAATGGTCCTTTGCTTGGTTTAGTGTTCTCTCCTAAAAACACTTTTTAATTCTTTACATGGCCAGGCCTGAGAAATTTCCAAATATTTATATTCTGCTTCCCCCTTACCAACTCCCTTTTTTTGAGACAGAGTTGGAGTCTTGCTTTGTCATCCAGGCTGGAGTGCATGGCGCAATCTTGGCTCCCTGCAACCTCTGCCTTCCGGTTTGAAGCAATTCTCCCGCCTCAGCCTCCTGAATAGCTGGCATTACAGGTGCCCGCCACCACACCTGGCTAATTTTTGTATTTTTAGTAGAGATGAGGTTTCACCATATTGGCCGGGCTGGTCTCGAACTCCTAGTCTCATGGTGGCTGCCTGCCTGGGCCTCCCAAAATGCTGAGATTACAGGTGTGAGCCATGGTGCCTGGCCTGCTTCCCTTTTAATTATAAGTTCCGCCTTTAAATCATTTCTCTCTTCTTGGACTTTACTGAAAGCAGTTAATAGAAGCCATGCAGCGTCCTGAACACTTTGCTGCTTAAGGATTTCTTCTACTAAATATCCTAGTTAATCAACTCTTGTAAACCAAAAAGTATCTGAGACAAGTCTCAATCAATTTAGAAAGTTTATTTTGCCAAGTTTAAGGATGCATTCATGACACAGCCTCAGGAAGTTCTGACAACATGTATGCCCAAGGTGGTCGGGGTACAGCCTGGTTTTATACATGTTAGGAAGTCATGATACATCAATCAATATGCATAAGTTGTACATTGGCTTTGGGAGGCCAAGGTGGGGAGATCACTTGAGGTCAGGAGTTTGAAACCAGCCTGGCCACTGTGGTGAAACCCTGTCTCTACTAAAAATACAAAAAAATTAGCTGGGTGTAGTGGTGGGCACCTGTAATCCCAGCTACTCAGAAGGCTGAGGCAGGACAATCGCTTGAACCTGGGAGGTGGAGGTTGCAGTGAGCTGAGATTGTGCCACTGCACTCCAGCCTGGGTGACAGAGCAAGACTCCGTTCTCAAAAAAAAAAATAATAATAATAATACATTGGTTCAGTCCAGAAAGGTGGAACAGCGGAACAACTCAAAGCAGGGAGGGAGCTTCCAGGTCATAGGTTAGAAACAAACAATTGCATTCTTTTGAGTTTCTGATTACCCTTTCACTGAATACACACTTTCCGGGAATAACCACTTATGCCTTAGTCTGGCTTAGTGAAACAATAGGGCAAAGGAAGCAATCAGATATGCATTTGTCTCATGTGAGCAGAGGGATGACTTTGAGTTCTGTCTGTTCTTTGTCCACAGTGAATTTCCTTGTGGGTAAATTGTGAGGGAGGTATGTAGCTTTTTAATCTTTGTAGCTATCTCATTTAGGAATAGAATGGGAGGCATGTTTGCCTAACACAGTTCCCAGCTTGACTTTTCCTTTTGGCTTAGTGGTTTGGGGATTTGGAGATTTATTTTTCCTTTCACACTTTCCCCCTTTTCTTTTTGAAACCTTCTGGAGAAAGCATTTCAGAAGAAAATGAGTCTCTGGTCTCAGGTTTATTTTTATTTTTTAGAGGCAAGGTCTTACTATGTTTCTCAGGCTGGTCTTGAACTCCTGGGCTCAAGTGATCCACCCACCTCAGCCTCCCAAAGTGCTGGGATTATAGGAGTGAACCACCGCACCTGCCCTGGTCTCAGGTTTTGTCTGATCTTTCATGGCTAGGATGGTTTATTCCTAGATGGGAAGGTCCCATTTTATTAGTGTCAGGTCTCTGAGCACAAGCTAAGCCATTATAACCCCTGTGACCTGCACGTATACATCCAGATGGCCTGGAGCAAGTGAAGAACCACAAAAGATGACATTCCACCATTGTGATTTCTTCCTACCCCAGCCCAACTAATAAATCAACCTTGTGACATTTCTCCCCTGGACAATGAGTCTTAGGATTTCCCCACCCTGCACCTGGTGACCCCCACCCCTGCCCGCAAGAGATAACCACTTTTAACTGTAATTGTCCACTACCTACCCAAATCCTATAAAACTGCCCCACCCCTATCTCCCTTTGTTGACTCATTTTTTGGCCTCAGCCTGCCTGCACCCAGGTGAAATAAACAGCTTTATTGCTTACACAAAGCCTGTTTGGTGATCTCTTCACATGGACGTGCGTGAAAACTTGGTGCCGAAGACCCAGGACAGGAGGACTGCTTCGGGAGACTGGTCCCCTGTCCTCACCCTCACTCCGTGAGGAGATCCACCTACGACCTCAGGTCCTCAGACCAACCAACCCAAGGAACATCTCATGAATTTCAAGTCGGGTAAGCGGTCTTTTCACTCTCTTCTCTAGCCTCTCTCACTACCCTTCAATCTCCCTGTCCTTCCAATTCCAGTTCTTTTTCCTCTCTAGTAGAGACAAAAGAGACACATTTTATCCGTGGACCCAAAACTCCGGTGCTGGTCACGGACTCGGGAAGACAGTGTTCCCTTGGTGTTTAATCACTGTGGGGACGCCTGCCTGATTATTCACCCACATTTCAGAGGTGTCTGATCACCACGGGGACACCTGCGTTGATCCTTCACCTTGGTGGCAAGTACCACCTCTCCTTGGCGGCAAGTACCACCTACCCTGGGTGGCAAGTACCACCTCCTCTGGGCGGGAAGTACCACCCCCCTCTCTCCGTGTCTCTACCCTCTCTTTTCTCTAAACTTACCGTTTTATTGTGGGCAACCTTCCTCCCTCCATTCCTCCTTCTCCCTTAGCCTGTGTTCTAAAAAACTTAAAACCCCTTCAACTCACAACTGACCTAAAACCTAAATGCCTTATTTTCTTCTGCAATACTGCTAGGCCCCAATACAAACTTGAAAATGGCTCTAAATGGCCAGAAAATGGCACTTTCAGTTTCTCCATCCTACAAGAGCTAGATAATTTTTGTCGAAAAATGGGCAAATGGTCTGAGGTGCCTGACGTCCAGGCATTCTTTTACACATCGGTCCCTCCCTAGCCTCTGCTCCTAATGCAACTCATCCCAAATCTTTCTTCTTTTTCTCCTGTCTGTTCCTTCAGTCTCCACCCCAAGCTGTGGGTCCTTTGAATCCTCCTTTTCTATGAACCCATCTGACCTCTCCCCTCTTTCCCAGGCTGCTCCTTTCGAGGTCCCAATTCTTCCTCAGCCTCCGCTCCCCCACCCTATAATCCTTCTATCACCTCCTCTCCTCACACCCGGTCCAGCTTACAGTTTTGTTCTGCGACTAGCCCTCCCCAGCCTGCCCAACAATTTCCTCTTAGAGAGGTGACTAGAGCTGAAGGCACAGTCAAGGTTAATGCTCCTTTTTCTTCATCCGACCTCTCCCAAATCAGTTAGTGTTTAGGCTTTTTTTAATCAAATATGAAAACCCAGCCCAGTTCATGGCCCATTTGGCAACAACCCTTAGATGCCTTACTGCCCTAGACACAGAGGGGCTAGAAGGCTGACTAATTCTCAATATGCATTTTATCACTCAGTCCACTCCTGACATTAGAAAAAGCTCCAAAAATTAAATTCTGGCCCTCAAACCCCACAACAGGACTTAATTAACCTCACCTTCAAGGTCTGCAGTAATAGAGAAGAGGCAGCCAAGTGGCAACCTATTTCTGAGTTGCAATTACTTGCCTCCGCTGTGAGAGAAACCCCAGCCACATCTCCAGCACACAAGAACTTCAAAACACCTAAACCGCAGTGGCCAGGCGTTCCTCCAGGACCTCCTCCCCCAGGATCTTGCTTCAAGTGCCAGAAATCTGGCCACCAGGCCAAGGAATGCCCGCAGCCCGGGATTCCTCCTAAGCCGTGTCCCATCTGTGCAGGACCCCACTAGAAATCAGACTGTCCAACTTGCCCAGCAGCCACTCCTGTAGCCCCTGGAACTCTAGCCCAAGGCTCTCGGACTGACTCCTTCCCAGATCTCCTCAGCTCAGTGGCTGAAGAGTGACACTGCCTGATTGCCTCAGAAGCCTCCTAGACCATCACAGATGCTTTGGGTAACCCTTACAGTGGAGGGTAAGTCCGTCCCCTTCTTAATCAATATGGAGGCTACACACTCCACATTACCTTCTTTTCAAGGGCCTGTTTCCCTTGCCTCCATAACTGTTGTGGGTATTGATGGCCAGGCTGCTAGACCCCTTAAAACTCCCCAACTCTGGTGCCAACTTGGACAACATTCTTTTATGCACTCCTCTTTAGTTATCCCCACCTGCCCAGTTCCCTTATTAGGTCAAGACATTTTAACAAAATTATCCGCTACCCTGACTATTCCTGGACTTATAGCCACATCTCATTGCTGCCCTTCTCCCCAACCAAAAGCCTCCTTTGTGTCTTCCTCTTGTATCCCCCCCCCAACTTAACCCACAAGTATGGGACACCTCTACTCCCTCCCTGGCAACCGATCACATGCCCATTACTATCCCAATAAAACCTAATCAACTTTACTCCACTCAGTGCCAGCATCCCATCCCACGACAGGCTTTAAGGGGACTAAAGCCTGTTATCACTCACCTGCTACAGCATGGGCTTCTAAAGCCTATAAACTCTCCTTCCAATTCCCCCATTATACCTGTCCAAAAACCAGACAAGTCTTACAGGTTAGTTCAGGATCTGTGCCTTATCAACCAAATTGTCTTGCCTATCCACCCCATGGTGCCAAACCCATATACTCTCCTATTTTCAATACCTCCCTTCACAACCCATTATTCGGTTCTGGATCTCAAAGATGCTTTCTTTACTATTCCTTTGCACCCTTCATCCCGCCTCTCTTTGCTTTTACTTGGACTGACCCTGACACCAATCATTCTCAGCAACTTACCTGGGCTGTATTTCCACAAGGCTTCAGGGACAGCCCTCATTACTTCAGCCAAGCTCTTTCTCATGGTTTACTTTCTTTCCACCACTCTGCTTCTCACCTTATTCAATATATTGATGACCTTCTACTTTGTAGCCCTTCCTTTGAATCTTCTCAACAAGACACCCTCCTGCTCCTTCAACATTTATTCTCCAAGGGATATCGGGTATTCCCCTCCAAAGCTCAAATTTCTTCTCCATCCATTACCTACCTCAGCATAATTCTTCATGAAAACACGCATGCTCTCCCTGCCAATTGTGTCTGGCTGATCTCTCAAACCCCAACCCCTTCTACAAAGCAACAACTCCTTTCCTTGCTGGGCATGGTTGGATACTTTTGCGTTTGGATACCTGGTTTTGCCATCCTAACAAAACCATTATATAAACTCACAAATAGAAAACTAGCTGACCCCATAGATCCTAAATCCTTTCCCCACTCCTCTTTCCATTCCTTGAAAGCAGCTTGAGAAACTGCTCCCACACTAGCTGTCCCTAACTCATCCCAACCCTTTTTCATTACATACAGCCAAAGCATAGGGCTGTGCGGTTGGAATTCTTACACAAGAGCTGGGACCATGTCCTGTAGCCTTTCTGTCCAAACAACTTGACCTTACTGTTTTAGGCTGGACCCCACATTATTCCTGATACCACACCTGACCCCCATGACTGTATCTCTCTGATCCACCTGGCATTCACTCCATTTCCCCATATTTCCTTCTTTCCTGTCCCTCACCCTGATCACACTTGGTTTATTGATGGCAGTTCCACCATGCATAATTGCCACTCACCAGCAAAGGCAGGCTATGCTATAGTATCTTCCACATCTATCATTGAGGCCACCACTCTGCCCTATTCCACTACCTCTCAGCAAGCCGAACTCATTGCCCTAACTTGAGCCCTCACTCTTGCAAAAAGACTACGCATCAATATTTATACTGACTTTATATGCCTTCCATATCCTGCACCACCATGCTGTTATATGGGCTGAAAGAGGTTTCCTCACTATTCAAGGGTCCTCCATCATTAATGCCTCTTTAATAAAAACTCTTCTCAAGGCCGCTTTACTTCCAAAGGAAGCTGGAGTCCTTCACTGCAAAGGCCATCAAAGGGCCTCAGACCCCATTGCTGATAAGACAGCTAAAGATGCAGCCAGTATTCCTATTTCTGTCCCTCATGACCAGTTTTTCTCCTTCTCATCAGTCACTCCTACTTATTCTCCCACTGAAGTTTCTACCTATCAATCACTCCCCACTCAGGGCAAATGGTTCTTGGACCAAGGAAAATATCTCCTTCCAGCCTCACAGGCCCATTCCATTCTGTTGTCATTTCATAACCTCTTCCATGTAAGTTACAAGCCACTAGCCTGTCTCTTAGAACCTCTCATTTCCTTTCCATCGTGGAAATCTGTCCTCAAGGAAATCACTTCTCAGTGTTCCATCTGCTATTCTACTACTCCTCAGGGATTTCTCAGTCCCCCTCCCTTCCCTACACATCAAGCTCGGAGATTTGCCCCTGCCCAGGACTGGCAAATTGACTTTACTCACATGCCCCAAGTCAGGAAACTAAAATACCTCTTGGTCTGGGTAGACACTTTCACTGGATGGGTAGAGGCCTTTCCCACAGGGTCTTCGAAGGCCACCACAGTCATTTCTTCCCTTCAGTCAGACATAATTCCTTGGTTTGGCCTTCCCACCTCTATACAGTCCGATAATGGACCGGCCTTGGTATTCAGTGGAAACTTCATACCCCTTACTGTCCTCAATCTTCAGGAAAGGTAGAATGGACTAATGGTCTTTTAAAGACACACCTCACCAAGCTCAGCCTCCAACTTAAAAAGGACTGGACAGTACTTTTACCTCTTGCCCTTCTCAGAATTAGAGCCTGTCCTCAAGATGTACAGTCCATTTGAACTTTTATATGGATGCACTTTCTTGCTCGGCCCCAACTTCATCCCAGACACCAGCCCTCTAGGTGACTATCTTCCAGTCCTCCAGCAGGCTAGACAGAAAATTCGCCAGGCTGCTAATCTTCTTTTGCCTACTCCAGATTCCCAGCCACATGAAGACACCCTAGCTGGACGATCAGTTCTTGTTAAGAATCTGACCCCTCAAACTCTACAACCTCGATGGACCAGACCCTACTTAGTCATCTATAGTACCCTACGTACCATCTGCCTGCAGGACCCTCCCCATTAGGTTCACTGATCCAGAATAAAGCTGTGTCCATCAGACAGCCAGCCTGATCTCTCCTCTTCCTCCTGGAAGTTGCAAGTACTCACCCCTACTTCCCTTAAACTCACTCACATTCCTAAAGGATAATAGTAACCCTTATAATCCTAACACATCCTTTCATTCTTATTAGGTCTCTTCTTCCTTACCCTACTCTTTGCAACAGGGCTTTATGCAGTCACCCCCCAACTTGGACTGCACCCCAAAAACTAGTCATCCCTACTCTCTTCTGTCCAGTCATACTCCTATTCACCATTTTCAACTACTCATAAATGCCCTGCCCCTGTTTACACTGCTGGTCTACACTTTTCCTCCAAACCATCATAGTGGATATCTCCTGGTACTATCCCCAATCTGCCACTCTTGACTCCTTCTTGGAGTGGATAGATGATCTTTGCTGACAGGGCACCCTCTGACACTTTCACCCTGATAAAGTCCTATTATTTACTTTTATACTCCCTCTTATTCTTGTTCCCGTTCTTATGCCACCCTCTACCTCTCCCCAGCTATCTCCACCACACTATCAATCTTACTCACTCTCTCCTAGCCATTTCTAATCCTTCTTTAACAAACAATTGCTGGCTTTGCATTTCTCTTTCCTCCAAAACCACTGAGGCCTTGACGTACTCACTGCTAAAAAAAGGGGACTCTGTATATTTTTAAATGAAGAGTGTTGTTTTTACCTAAATCAATCTGGCCTGGTATATGACAAAAGAAAAAAAAAAAACACTCAAGGATAGAGCTCAAAAACTCGCTACTCAGACAACTGATTAAACTGGACCCACCTGGCCACTCTCTAACTGGGTATCCTGGCTTCTTCCGATCGTTAGTCTGATACCTATCTTCCTCTTTCTCTTATTCAGGCCTTGTGTCTTCTGATTAATCTCTCAATTCATACAAAACCGCATCCAGGCCACCACCAATCATTCTATACAAATGCTCTTTCTAATAACTCCACAATATTACCCCTTACCCCAAAATCTTTCTTCAGTTTAATCTCTCCCACTCAAGTTTCCCACATTGCCCCAATCCTGCTCGAAGCAGCCCTGAGAAACATCACCCATTATCTCTCCATACCACCCTCAAAAATTTTCGCCGCCCCAACACTTCACCACTATTTCATTTTGTTTTTCTTATTAATATAAAAAGACAGGAATGTCAGGCCTCTGAGCCCACGCTAAGCCATCATAACCCCTGTGACCTGCACGTATACATCCAGATGGCCTGGGGCAACTGAAGAACCACAAAAGATGACATTCCACCATTGTGATTTCTTCCTACCCCAGCCCAACTAATCAGTCAACCTTGTGACATTCCCCCGCTGGACAATGAGTCTCATGATCTCCCCACCCTGCACCTTGTGACCCCCACCCCTGCCCGCAAGAGATAACCACCTTTAACTGTAATTTTCCACTACCTACCCCAATCCTATAAAACTGCCCCACCCCATCTCCCTTTGCTGACTCCTTTTTCGGCCTCAGCCTGCCTCAGCCAGGTGAAATAAACAGCATTATTGCTCATACAAAGCCTGTTTGGTGGTCTCTTCACACGGATGCACATGACAACTAGGAAAGCTCATTTTTAGCAGATTGTGGAGTCTCACATCCTACAAAGAGAAAATAGGAGGAAGAAGGGAGAAAAACAACAACAAACAAACAAAAAGAAACAAAGAACAATTCTGGAAAATCAATATAGGCCATACTACTCTTAAGTCCATACATCAGCAGGCAGGTATAAAAGTGGTTTATGTATGCAAATAGGTTGCCATTATTCTCTTCTGAAGTTTAAGTTGTCTGGCTTTAGTTTACAGGGCTTTAAGAAAGCACAGCTTAATTTTTAGTGATTTCAAATAAGGAAAAATAGGAGGGAAAAGGAAAGGAAAGAAGGAAAAAAAGGAAAACATTACTTTGTAGACTTTTAGCCTGGAAAATTTAAGAATTCAGTCCAAACTGTAGAAAATAATAAAAATTGAAAAACATTAGGCAAGACTAGACTCTAACAACAGGTGTACTATAGTTTATTTTGAAACATAATTTTTCTATCTCCAGTTCCATTCTCACTAAAGACAATTCATAGGTCAAATTCATCTTCAAAATAAGTTTTAGTCGTCTTATACTTGGCCAGAGTATTTGCATAAATCAGCAAGAATAATTATTTGCCATATAGGCTCCCCCCCTTTTTTAATTGGCTTTGCTGGAACTTTATCCCATAAGGAATCTCAGGTTCAACTTTAATGCCTTAAGCCAAGCCTGTGCCTGTAAATACCTGTATTAATTGGGTGATTTCCTCACCTCAAGGTCCCAAGAAAACTTGGGACTCCTGGGCCTGTCAGAAAGTGACATTCTTTAGTTACCACAGGTCAGGAACCTGTACAGGGACTGTGTAGACAAGGTATGAGTCCAGCTTTCCCAAGGGGCTTTTATTGACTCTGTAAGTCAACTTTGATTTCTTTTTCTTTTCTTTTCTTTTTTTTTTTTTTGAGATGGAGTCTCGTTCTGTCACCCAGGCTGGAGTGCAGTGGTGTGATCTCGGCTCACTGCTACCTCCGCCTCCTGAGTTCAAGCAATTCTCCTGCCTCAGCCTCCTGAGTAGCTGGGATTACAGGTGCATGCCACCACACCTGGCTTATTTTTGTATTTGTAGTAGAGACAGGGTTTCACCATGTTGATCAGGCTGGTCTCAAACTCCTGACCTTGTGATCTGCCCACCTCGGCCTCCCAAAGTACTGGGATTACAGGCATGAGCCACCATGCCTGGCCAAATTTGATTGTTTAAAGGAGCCTATATCTGAAAACATGCCATTCCAGTCAAAACCTTGGTAAAATAACCAGTGTCTCCAATTGGGTCCTGTTACAAAAGAAAACAGATTCTTATTGCACTTATGCAAATAACTATATTGTCATAAGTTAAGAATACTCACATCTAGTTTCCACATTTTGGAGAAATCAGGTAGAGAGAAATATGCTCCAAATGTTGTTTATAGAAGTAGACTTTACTGAATTATTAACAGCTGTAAATAGCTCAAAAGAGAAGTTTTCTTGGTTCTGAAAAACAAAGGATCAAACATTTTAAGCAATAAGTCATAAAAGGGTTACTTCAGTTATCTATTAGTTCAGTCTATGCAATTAACTCCTGTTCTGCTTGATATTCATGAACAATTTAGCTCTCCATGGAAGTCTTGGAAGTGTTTCCTCTATTCTAGAGTCACAATCTCCAAAGTTATCAGAAACCTGCATTCAGAAGCACCTGTGAGAGTCCTCTGCTGATTATAAAACCACCTTTTGAAAAGGATAAAAGTAAAACACAAGTCTTAGAACAGTCAAAAAGACACAATTGACAAGGAAATTTGGCTACTTCTGTGGCATACAACAATTTTACACAATAATCTTAATTATTACTGGCAAGATATGCTAAGACATAACAGAATCACAGGAATTTCAGAAAATTCTAGAACACATACTAACAGCACATTTATATAAATGTAATCCAAAGAAAGTTAAACACTGTTTCATATTTGACAATACTTTCTGTACAATATTATTATATTGAATAAGCTCAATATGTCTCTTTTGGACTTCAGGACACTAGTATAAAACAATTAATGAAGACCATAGTTAGAATTTGATTTTGGAAAGTTTGTCAAATATAAAAAAGTTTAAAACACTTCACATCACAAAATAGGATCACAAATCTTTGTAAAATAAGTCATTCATTTTGAGAAAGTAATAAAGCTTTCAAAAAAAGGCAAAAACCTTCATTCTTTGAGAGAGACTTAATTTCCCAAACAATAAACCCTAATAATGACAGAATGAGGCCAATTAAATTTGTTTCTCAAAATTTTATAAACAATCTATACAATTTTAATCATCTTGACCATAAGATATAATTTCCATGAGCCTTTTTATAACCTTTACAATCTTTTATGAAGGAGTAAGTTAATGCTCCAAGAAAACCTTGTTAATTGGACACAGGGGCCCATATGCTGGTCTTGCATCAGTGTGCCTTTGATAAGGATGGTTAATTTATAGAGAAACTGAACTTATTTTATCTCTCAAAATCGACCCTTACAATCTCACATGCCCACCTCTTCCACGATAGTCCCTGGGCCTTGAGGAGTTGAATAGTTTTTATTGCTGGCCCTGTGTCTCATGAATGTGGTTTATTTTGATTGGCATCTTCTACAGGGTCTGAAGATGAGGCTTTAATTGCTGCCAGTAGTTAAGATTTAGCAGGACTTGGTGTTCTTTTTAGATGCAGGAGTCAAAGCCCTGTAACTTAATGACACAGGGACTTTGAAAGTACAGGCCAGGAGTGGTGGCTCACACCTGTAATCCCAGCACTTTGGGAGGCTGAGGCAGGTGGATCATGAGGTCAGGAGTTCAAGACCATCCTGACCAACATGGTGAAACCCTGTCTCTACTAAAATACAAAAAATTAGCTGGGGGTGGTGGTGCATGCCTGTAGTCCCAGCTACTCAGGAGGCTGAGGCAGGGGAATCGCTTGAACCCGGGACGCGGAGGTTGCAGTGAGCCGAGATCATACCGCTGCACTCCAGCCTGGTGACAAAAGGAGACTCCATCTCAAAAAAAAAAAAAAAGTACATACGGAAAGTTACATGGATGTAATAACCTTAATTAATTTTTTAAAATCTCAATTTATTCTAAGCAAACAAAAACTTCATAATAATTACACAGGAATTATTTCAATAAAGCGTAAAATCTGTTTGTTAGGTCAGTTACCCAAAGGCAACTGCAGTGTGACTGCTGTTCCCTCTGGGGAGTCCATTTAGATAACTGTAAGTTTTTGCAAGCACCATTAAGGAGTCAAAACTTGTAGTTATCTAAATGGACTCCCCATAGGGAACAAACCTTCAGTGGTGTGACTGCTGTTCCCTATAAGGAGTCCATTTAGGTAACTGCAATTCAAAACTCATGTAAAGGGTACTTGAATTAGTTAGACATAGGAAGAGTGTTTCCTGCATCATAAGTGAAAATTTTTGGATCCATAGAACAACTTAAAGCTGAGAGCACAGAATATTATGTTGGAAGGAAACATTTCCTTTAGACCTTTAAGATAAAACATTTTTAGCATCAGGCCACAATCATTAGAACCCAAGGAAAAAAAAACAGGAGCTGAAAGTGAGTTGAAGGATAGAGCTATTATTTTAGGCCATTTAAAAGAGGAGGAGAAAGCTGAAAACAGAAATAAAAGTTGAACTTTGCATAATAAAAGTATAATGTCTTGTAATTTTATTAACAGTAAAGCAATACCTTAAGAAAATTTTATTGTTCTAATTATTTACTGTATAAGTGGTTTTTTAAAAATATCAAAACCTGTGCTTTGGGAGGCCAAGGCAGGCAGATCACTTGAGGTCAGGAGTTTGAGACCAGCCTGGCCAACATGGCAAAAACTTGTCTCTACTAAACATACAAAAATTAGCCAGACGTGGTGGTGGGTACCTGTAATCCTAGCTGCTCGGGAGGCTGAGGCAGGAGAGTCGCTTGAACCTGGGAGGCGGAGGTTGCAGTGAGCCGAGATTGCACCATTGCACTCCAGCCTGGGCAACAGAGTGAGACACGATCTCAAAAAAAAAATCAAAGCCCAATCTGTAGAAAGACCATTATAAATAATTTCCCTTCAATTATAGACAACTTGATCATATAAAAGTTTTTTCCATAAATCTTATTATGACTTACACAGACCATTCATGATATGCTTAGACTTTCTGGTTTGACCTGAACATCCCTCTTTCTTAAACAACCAGTCATTTTATTCTAGGACAGAAATTTATTATACAAGATTTTTTCTCATATAAAATTATTTTTCTTTAAGCCTTCTTACCAAAAAATACCTCTTTATTTCTATAATTTTCTTTACATCTCTCTTATTTTCTAGTTCCTTTTACCTTGTTTTATGCATAATCTTTAAATAAGCTTTGAATTAGACAAAAATTATTCACCTTTTAACAAGTACACACATTTTTTAGAAAGAATGTTATCGTACTATATATACATATTTTAATTGGAAAATACCCATTTAATGAAATATCTATTATTTAATTTAAAATAACTTTAGATTGTAAATTATGTTTGTCTAGAAATATTTATCCCATTACATTTACCACATTATTTTATTTCATTTTATATTTTGAGACAGAGTTTCGCTCTTGTCATCCAGCCTAGAATGCAGTGGTGCAATCTCAACTCACTGCAACCTCGACCTCCCAGATTCAAGTGATTCTTCTGCCTCAGCCTCCTGAGTAGCTAGGATTACAGGTGCTCACCACCATGTCCAGCTAATTTTTGTATTTTTAGAAGAGATGGAGTTTCACTATGTTGGCCAGGCTGGTCTTGAACTCCTGACCTCAGGTGATCTACCTGCCTCGCCTTCCAAATTGCTGGGATTACAGGTGTGAGCCACCATGCCTGGCCTTACCTAATTATTTTATTTTAATAGTTTACCTAGATTATTTATGAAAACTGCAATGGTCATCATTTAAAGTTATTTCCCTGTCAACCATTTTATATCTTGTGAATTTCAAGTGTTTATCTAAGTAAGAACCATAAAATTAAATATACGGTCATTTCACTAAACAATTCAAGTTTTAGCTGTTTTCATTAAATCAATATTAATGTCTTATTTATCAAAAATTACTCAAGCAACGATCATTCTCTTTTGGGCTGGGTTTAATTTAATAACCCTTAGGCCAAATTTTGACACCACATAGTATTTGACAGGGATAAATATGAAATCTCTTCATCAATTAATGAAAACAAAAATGTATGCTGACATTCTTTTTTTTTTTTTTTTTTTTTTGAGACGGAGTCTTGCTCGTTCACCCAGGCCGGGCTGCAGTGGTGCTATCTCGGCTCACTGCAAGCTCTGCCTCCTGGGTTCACGCCATTCTCCTGCCTCAGCCTCCCAAGTAGCTGGGACTACAGGTGCCCGCCACCGTGCCTAGCTAATTTTTTGTATTTTTAGTAGAGACGGGGTTTCACCGTGTTAGCCAGGATGGTCTCGATCTCTTGACCTTGTGATCTGCCCGGCTCGGCCTCCCGAAGTGCTGGGATTATAGGCGTGAGCCACCGCGCCTGGCCCTGACATTCTTAAGACATTTCTAATATTACTTTACCAACAATAGTTTGATTTATTTTATTTTATTTTATTTTATTTTATTTTATTTTATTTTATTTTATTTGAGATGGAGTCTTGCTCTGTCACCCAGGCTGGAGTGCAGTGGCATGATCTCAGCTCACTGCAAGCTCCGCTTCCTGGGTTTAAGCTATTCTCCTGCCTCAGCCTCCCCAAGTAGCTGGGATTACAGGCATGTGCCACCATGCCCGGCTAATTTTTGTATTTTTAGTAGAGACGGAGTTTCACCATGTTGGCCAGGCTGGTCTTGAACTCCTGACCTCAAATGATCTGCCAGAGTTGGCCTCCCAAAGTGCTGGGATTACAGGCATGAGCCACCGTGCCCAGCCTGCTTTACCAATAATTTTAAAGCTAGCTTATTAAAGATTTTACTTAAGTCTTATGACTTAAGTAAAATAAGTAAATAATAAGCCCAAATACTTTTCAAGTTCAAGGAATTGGGCTTATTATTTACTTTTTGAGTACTCTTTAAGGCAGTTTGGTACCTTGTGGCCAAAACCATATAAGAAAATATGGATACATATATGTAAAGACACACATACACACACATACAAAGATCCTATAGCTTTTACTTCAGAACTCTAGCCGTGAGATATTAACACAAACTCACCAGTTTGCAAACAATAACAAAACCAAAAAGAAGTGGTTGGATGCAAACAGTGGATTTTATCTCAGTAGAAAAGTTACAGCAGACTTAAGGCAAGCAGAAAAGAAAGAAGAGAGATAGCGAACTTGGGAACTTTATAGTTAGTTGTAGGCTGACCTTCAGGCTCCAAATTTTCCTTGATGTAATTTGCCTCTCAGTTTGAAATGTGCACGGGAATAGACCTAATGTGTAACCAGCTGGAGTTTGAGAAAATGGGGCATGCCCTTCCATTTACACAACCACTTGCAAGTAGAGGCACCACAAAACGAAATGGGGTGCCCGTCCTTGTCTATCCTCATTCTTAAATGATTTGTCTCCCACATTTTTTCTTTTCTTTTCTTTTTTTGAGATGGAGTCTTGCTCTGTCGACCAGGCTGGAGTGCAGTGATGCAATCTCGGCTCACTGCAACCTCCGCCTCCCAGGTTCAAGCAATTCTCCTGCCTCAGCCTCCTGAGTAGCTGGGACTATAGCCACTACACCTGGCTAATTTTTTTGTATTTTAGTAGAGACAGGGTTTCACCGTGTTGCCCAGGCTGGTCTCAAACTCCTGATCTCAGGTAATCCGCCCGCCTTGGCCTTCCAAAGTGCTGGGATTATAGGCGTGAACCACTGTGCCTGGCTGCATATTTTTTTTCTTAAAAGGAGGAACTGAGCAGTGGCCTAGGGTTTAGAGGAGTGGGTCAAAGTGTGCTGGTTGTGGGCAGGATTCCACAGTGTGTCACCACTGAGACATTTCTGCCCTTTTATGTGTCTGTTTCTCTCTCCAGAGGTCTAGCACCTCCAGGAGGGCTCAAAGCGTGGAGTGACCAGCTCCTCATTGCTTCCTGGATGAGCCTTTTTGTTTGTTTTTCTGTTTTTTTGAGATGGAGTCTTGCTCTGTCACCCAGGCTGGAGTACAGTGGCGTGATCTTGGCTCACTGCAACCTCCACCTCCTGGGTTCAAACGATTCTCTTGCCTCAGCCTCCCGAGTACCTGGGACTACAGGCATGTGCCACCATGTCCAGCTAATTTTTGTATTTTTAGTAGAGATGGGGTTTCACCATATTGGCCAGGCTGGTCTCGAACTCCTGACTTCAAGTGATCTGCCTGTCTCGGCCTTCCAAAGTGCTGGGATTACAGGCATGAGCCACTGAGGCCAGCCTGGATTAGCCTTTTAAAACTAATTTTGTTAGGTGTTTCCTACAGGGCCATGGCACATTGCTGGGAGTCAATCTCCCAGACACTCCCACTCAGCCACCAGTGACCCAGGGGTGCCTTTTGGCTGGGAGGAGCAAAATGCCCTTTCTCTTTGGAGCTGAAGAAACTGTCTCTCATTTTTCTATAAACACCACAGTTCAGTTCTTCATGCACATGCTCACACGAGCCAATTGAGATTAATTTCCAGAGGAAAGACAATGGAGAAGACTCTTTAGAATGCACCTGTGAACTAGAATTAGAATCCGAATCCTAAACAACAACTTCCTATCAGGAAAAAAAAAAAGAAAAAGAAAAACCAGCTAAGACCACTTCCTGTAAACTGTCCTCAGTCGCCCCTAACTTGGTAGCTCTGGTCCACCATTACACACGCCAAGATCAAATCCTCTTACAGTACAAGGTAATCTCTTGTACTCCCCCAAAAGCCAAAGAGGTCAGGTAATGCAATGCAGGAAAGTAGAGCTTTAGACTTAAGAAGAATCTGCCCATGACTCTTGAAACTCCACGAAGAAAACAGAACACTCCAAAAAGGGGTTAGTGGTGCTTTTGTTTTGAGTTCTTTGAGGGGTTTGAGTCTTTAGAAGCCTTCCCTAGATTTTTTCTTGGTACCAACGATGGTGAAGGGAAGGGGGAATAGGGTAGAAGAAAAGTAAGACGAGAAGCAAACACAGAAACCAAACATATGGTGTTTTTTTTCTTTCTGTGGCTGTGGGGAAATTTTACCCAACTCAGAGGCCTTGTTCCCCATAATTTGTAATTCTCATTTGGATTTGATAAAGTTAAGGAGAGTTGGTAAAATCTGATGGGATAAAGACTGGAACAACAACAAAAAATCCAACTTGATCACTGAGTGTTCTAATGGTAAGGAGAAATTAAGACCAGCTGGTGGTCAATTTTATTTTTTTTCTTTTTGAGACAGGGTGTCACTCCCATCACCCAGGCTGGAGTACAGTGGTGTGATCATGGCTCATTGCAGCCTTGACTTCCCAGGCTCAGGTGATCCTCCCACCTCAGCCTCCCAAGTAGCTGGAACTACAGGTGTGTGCCACCATGCCTGACTAATTTTTTGTATTTTCTTTTTGTAGAGACAGGATTTTGCCATGTTGTCCAGGCTGGTCTTGAACTCCTGGGCTCAAGCTGTCTACCTGTCTTGGCCTCCCACAGTGCTGGGATTGCAGGCGTGAGCCACCGTGCCTAGCTGCCAATTTTAACCCTTAGTCATTAAGGAGAATTTCCAAGACCAAAAAAAAAAAAAAAAAAAAAAAAAACCCAAAAAACCAATTCAGCTAGTTTCCTAGAAATGAATCTCAGGCGGAAGACTGCTCTTTACCATCCTAGAAGCGGGAAGAAACTCCAACTCAGCTTCCCTATTGGAAGTGAGCTTAACGTCCAGAGTTACCTGCCTTCTATTGCCATGGAAGCAAGAAAACTTGCCTTCCTTGTTGCAAGCAAGTAAAACTTCAGAAAAGGAGTTGTACAGCAAAATAAACTTTAGATCTCAACCAAATTTTGGGAGATCAGGAATTCCCTGGAAGGAGGGGAGCTCCCAGGCCTCAGCAAATTGTCCTATTGGGTTGAGCCATAAAGACAGCTTAAGCTGGTGCAAAGCACCAATAGGAGATTTGTCAAAAGTCAGGGCCATCTCCATTCAGAATCCCTTCATGATTGCCAATTTGTAAACCAAAAAGTATCTGAGACAAGTCTCAATCAATTTAGAAAGTTTACTTTGCCAAGGTTAAGGACATGCCTGTAACAGAGCCTCAGGATGTCCTGATGACATGTGCCCAAGGTGGTCAGGGCACAGCTTGGGTTTATACATTTTAGGGAGGCATGAGACATCAATCAATATATGTAACATGTATGTTGGTTCAGTCTGGAAAGGCAGGGCAACTCAAAGTGGGTAGGGGGCTTCCAGGTTATAGGTAGGTAAGAGACAAATGATTGTATTCTTTTGAGTTTCTGATTAGACTTTCACTGAATACACAATTTACTCATGAGAGGAGGGTAAAGGAATAGTCACTTATGCCTTAGTCTGGCTTAGTGAAACAATAGGGCAAAGGAAGAAATCAGATATGCATTTGTCTCATGTGAGCAGAGGGATGACTTTGAGTTCTGCCTGTTCTTTATTCACAGGGAATTTCCTTGTGGGTAAATTGTGAGGGAGGTATGTAGCTTTTTAATCTTTGTAGCTATCTTATTTAGGAATAGAATGGGAGGCAGGTTTGCCATCGCAGTTCTCAGCTTGACTTTTCCCTTTGGCTTAGTGATTTTGGAGTTCTGAGATTTATTTTCCTTTCACACTCTTAAGTTCTGCCTTCCATAAAGTTCTAGGACATGAATACAATTCAGCCAAATGGACTTTCCTTCAGTTTCAAATACCTTGCTCCTCATTTTCATCTGGTATCTTATCAGAATGGCCTTTGCTGTCCATCTGTCTACCAGCATTCTGATCAGCACCAGTTAGGCAATCTCTAAGAAGACTGAGGCTTTCCCTGGGGCTCTTCTCTTCTGATTCCTTATCAGAATCCCCTCAATATTTCATCCATGACAATACAGATTTTCCCAGCATTCACTTCAAAACTGTTTCAGGCTGGGCGCGGTGGCTCACGCCTGTAATCCCAGCACTTTGGGAGGCTGAGGCGGGAGGATCACTTGAGGTCAGGAGTTCGAGACCAGCCTGGCCAACATGGCAAAACTCGGTCTCTATCAAAAATAGAAAAATTAGCCAGGAGTGGTGTTGGGCGCCTGTAATCCCAGCTACTTGGGAGGCTGAGGCAGGAGAATAGCTTGAACCTGGGAGGTGAAGGTTGCAGTGAGCCAAGATCGTGCCACTGCACTCCAGCCTGGGCAACAGAGCAAGACTCCATCTAAAAAAAAAAGAAAAAAAGAAAAGATCTGGAGTCAATGGTAAATAAAGGCCGAGTGTGGTGGCTCACGCCTGTAATCCCAGCACTTTGTGAGGCTGAGGCGGGGGTATCACTTGAGTCCAGGAGTTCCAAGACCAGCTTGGGCAACATGGCAAAATCCTGTCTCTACAAAAAAAAAAAAAAAAAAAAAAAAAAAAAAAAAGCCAGGTGTGTGCCTGTAATCCCAGCTACTTGGGAGGCTGAGGTGAGAAAATCCCTTGAACCCGGGAGGCTGAGGTTGCAGTGAGCTGAGATTGTGCCATTGCACTCCAGCCTCAGTGACAAAGTGAGACTCCATCTCAAACAAAAAACAAACAAACAAACAAAAACCAACAATAAAAAAACTGTTTTCAGCCTCTACCCATGACCCAGTTCCAAAGCCACTTCTATGTTTTTAGGTGTTTATTATAGCAACACCCCACTCCTCTGCTACCAGTTTCTGACGTAGTCCATTTTGTGCTGCTATAGCAAAATACCACAGATTGGGTAATATTTTTTCTTGATATGGGGTCTTGCTATGTTGCCCAGGCTGGCCTCAAACTCCTGGACTTAAGCAATCCTTGACAGACTGGGTAATTCATAAGAACAGAAATGTATTTCTCACAGTGCTGAAGGCTGGGAAGTCCAAGAACAAGGCACCATAGATTCAATGTCTAGTGAGGGCCCGGTGTCTGCTTTCAAGATGGCGCCTTGAACTCTGTGTCCTCTGGAAGGAAGGAATGCTGTGTCTTCACACTGCAGAAGGTGGAAAGGCAAAAGGGAACAAACTCCCTCTGTCAAGCCCTTTCATGATGGTATTAATCCATTCTTGAGGGCAGAGCCCTCATGACCTAACCACCTCCCAGAAGGCTATATATTTCTGTGTTGTATAACTATTGCACTGGGGATTAAGTTTCCAACACACTAATTTTGGGTGACACATTCAGGCCATAGCAGATGGGTTACTGCACTCCTTCAGATCTTTGCTCGAATAACTTCTTCTTAGTGAGGACTCCCTTCACCTTCCTATTTTGAGTCACACCTCTCTCTCGTGTGTCAGTTTTCTTCTTCTTGCTGTTCCAGGTCCACTCTCCATCCCTCCCCTGCTTCTTCTGCCAGTGGGCCAATCTGTATGAATTACATCATTGTGTTCCCTTGCACTGTGGCTTCCAGTTGGGTTTGGCCAACAGGGGATCTCTGGAAAAAGATTGGAGGGAAGGAGGAGGTTGAAGTGGTTACTCCCCCAGCTTCCTCCTGTGGGCTCACCTTAGGCAAGTTTTGGGCTGGTTGGGTCCCAGGGAGCCTCCCTCTACATGATTCTCCTCTTTCAGGTTTCCTTTACAGATCATTGACTGATCCCCGGGGACATGACAGACCCCAGTTATTTATATGGTAATCCCTGCCACGGAAACAAATGCAGCAATTCAACCACAAACTCAATCTGCATGTGACATATACACAAGCCACAATAAGGCACTGCATCTCGAAGAGAGCATCTGGAATGAAAAAGCTGATCAAGATGATGGGGCGTCACATCCCCTTTGGTGCACTAGATCCGTGCTTGGATCTACTGTAATAGCCAAATCTCCATGGAGGTCTGAGGTGACCCAATAAGGATTCATTTGACCTATGAAGAAGATGCTGGTGCTCATGGAGAGTGTATTACTTGCCAGCAACATTGGCCTATGGCTCAAAGTGAACTAGGCATAATAACTTGTTGTCTGACCAATTCACAATTGATAGTTGGTTACAATGTATTCTGATTACCATGGGCATGCTATAGATATATAAGTGGCTGTTGTTCTTTTCCAACAAGCAGATAGCATCCAAACTCTTTTTTTTTTTTTTTTTTTTTTTTTTGAGATGGAGTTTCACTCTTATGCCCAGGCTGGAGTGCAGTGGCGTGATCTTAGCTCACTGCAACCTCCGCCTTCTGGTTTCAAGCGATTCTCCTGCCTCAGCCTCCTGAGTAGCTGGGATTACGGGCATGCGCCACCACGCCCAGCTAATTTTTGTATTTTTAGTAGAGACGAGGTTTCACCATGTTGGCCAGGCTGGTCTCAAACTCCTGACCTCGTGATCCAGCCGCCTCGGCCTCCCAAAGTGCTGGGATTACAGGCATGAGCCACCACGCCTGGCCGATAGCACCCAAACTCTTAAGACTGTGATGATTATCTTTGTCATGTGTTAGAGTTTCCTGGTATGACACAAGCTGACAATAGAATGCTGTTTACAGCTTTGGGCCCTGAATTCCATTTCAACATGGAATTCTCCTTTCCACTTGCAGGTGGCGGGTAGAATCAAGCTTTAGTATGGCTGGTTACGGGAGCAGCTATATCAGCCACTACTTCATCATTCTTTGCAGGCACATGGGATGGGGAAGAGTCTACTCAATGTGCCAGGACCCCAGAATCTCTGTCCCTAACTGCCCCTTCTTTTTTGAGCAAGAACTTTGACCATTGGCTGGTAAGTTCACATTGCTCTAGTTGAGGCTAACTGGGTGGACATGACTTTGGGTCTTTTTTTTTCCTTTTTTTTTGTTTGTTTGTTTTCAGACGAAGTCTCGCTCTTGTCCCCCAAGCTGGAGTGCAATGGCGCGATCTCGGCTCACTGCAACCTCCGCCTCCCGGGTTCAAGCAATTCTCCTGCCTCAGCCTCCCGATTACAGGTGCCTGCTGGGATTACAGGCGCCTGCTACCACGCCTGGCTAATTTTTGTATTCTTTTTAAGTAGAGACAGGGTTTCATCATTTTGGCCAGGCTGGTCTCGGCCTCCTGACCTCAGGTGATCCGCCCACCTCAGCCTCCCAAAGTGCTGGGATTACAAGCGTGAGCCACCACGACTGGCCTTTTTTTCCTTTTTTGAAGGGCACTTGATGGACACACACCCTGGGCAGGCAACTCTGACACTGCCTTTACCTAGAGGAAGGCAGTGTTCCTACCATCCATCTCCTCTGCAAATGGAGAACATTGCTGTGGTCACTATGCCTGTGCAACAGGTTCCTTCTGCTCTGCAACCACCATCCTCAGTCTCAAGGGATTGCCTTTGAGGGCAGAATAGTGACTGCTGGGTTCCTGTGAGGTCAATGCTCTAAGAAAAAGTACAGATCGTTTGGCTGATTCTGGGGACATGACAAGCCTCAGCTGATGTAGCAAGAACATACGCAAGCGATATCAGGAAACAGATCAGGGTCGAAGAGTAAATAACCTCTCACCTGCTCTTCCAGGTTCAGACAGAAAAAGCTTCAACAGCCTCTAGCAGCTGCCTAGGCCAGGCTCCATTCCACAAACCTACAGTATTGAACGTATCACCACCACTACCCCTGTCCTCCATACCCAGCTATGGGAGACCTTGTTGGTGTCTCCCTCTCTGACCATGGCAAGGGAATTGCTCCTAGCTGGCCATTGCCAAAAACTGCTGTGCTTTAGGGTGTGAAAGGAAAATAAATCTTGGGATCCCAAAACTACTAAGCCAAAGGAAAAAGTCAAGCTGGGAACTGTTAGGCAAACCCACCTCTCATTCTATTCCTACAAAGATTAAAAAGCTACATATGGCCAGGCACAGTGGCTCACACCTATAATCCCAGCCCTTTGCAAGGCTGAGGCAGGTGGATCACCTGAGGTCAGGAGTTCGAGACCAGCCTGGCCAACATGGTGAAACCCCGTCTCTACTAAAAATACAAAAATTAGCCGGACGTGGTGGCGGGCACCTGTAATCCCAGCTACTTGGGAGGCTGAGGCAGGGAGAATTGCTTGAACCTGGTAGGTGAAGTGAGCCAAGATCATGCCAGGGCACTCCAGCCTGGGCAAGAGAGGGAGACTCTGTCTCAAACAAATAAAAAAAAAACAAAACTGCCTACCTCTCTCACAATTTGCCCACAAGGAAATTCCTTGTGAATAAAGGACAAACAGAACTCAAAGTCATCCCTCTGCTCACATGAGACAAATGCATATCTGATTGCTTCCTTTGCCCTATTGTTTCACTAAGCCAGACTAAGGCATAAGTGACTATACCTCTATGCTCCTCTCATGAGTTAATTGTATATTCAGTGAAAGGCTAATCAGAAACTCAAAAGAATGCAATCGTTTGTCTCTTACCTACCTATGACCTGGAAGCCCCCTCCCCGCTTCGAGTTGTCCTGCCTTTCTGGACTGAACCAACATACATCTTACATAATCGATTAATATCTCATGTCTCCCTAAAATGTATAAAACCAAGCTGCGCCCCGACCACGTTGGGCACATGTTGTCAGGACCTCCTGAGGCTGTGTCATGGGTGCGTCCTTAACCTTGGCAAAATAAACTTTCTAAATTGATTGAGACCTGTCTCAGATATTTTTGGTTCACAGGGGGAATTTAGTTGGGAGAAATCAGGCCACAGCTACAAATGGCACAACCATGTTCCCATCCCCTGCATGGAAGGTGTGGAGGTGAACTGGCAGAATATTGAGCAGTCCTGTGTATCCCCCAGGACTTGATTTGTACTCTGGATATAGGTCCTTCCTTGCTTTCTGTTTGGAAAGAATACCACCTGCATATGAGCCCTCATGATAACCCAAGACCTGTGGGCACAGCAGTGTTCCCAGTCCCAGCCTCTAGTGCTTTTGACAAGACATTCCTGGGTATTCAGTACATAGATTTCACCATTTTATGCAGATTTTCCTCCTATTATAGGTAGAATCTACAATCCACAGGGGCTCAGGTATCCTGAAGGGAATTGCCACAGGGACAGCCAAGGTTCTCACTGGCGAGGTTATCATGAACTCAGGTCATGCGGGATAACCACATAGCTTTGCACTCTTTTTGGCCAGCCAGGAGAGTAGCTAGCTTCACTGGACAATATCCTCTGCTGTTTCTGGATGAATACCTTTGGCTAAGTCCAGAAGCCCAAAGCTACCACGGGAACATGCCTCATGGCTCCAGGCTACTCCTCTGTCTGAGCCTTGGGCTCTTTCCTCAGACTTCACATGGTCTCCATGTCCAGGTGCCTCAGGCCTCCATGGTGGGTTTGTACTATGACTCCAGGCCTCCCTCCTTCTGCAGTGTCTCCTCCAGCATTGCCAACAATCACTGGAAATCCCATTATAAGCCCAATTGATTTCTACTCCTGTTGGGCATGCTTATATTTGGTGAGTCCCATGTTTGATGAGCCCGTAGATAAGGGGATGAACCTTGGAAAACCAAGTTGCACTGTATAGGAAGCCCCTGGGGGCTCACTCCAGGCTCCTAGCAAACAGATAGCAGATGGATTCCAGAGAGGGCGCCTTTCCCAAAAGCAGAAATGACTCTACCTGGCCTCTACATCCCACAGGGGCTCCAGGTGTCCTCAGCACTGTAAGCAATTCCCCTAGAGTCTAAGCTTGGACCTGTTTTTCTTTACTTACAAGACTAACCTCACAATTGCCTATACAAAAAGTAGAGTAGCTAGCAAGGTGGGGTTCCCCTTCTGGAGCACACTCCACGGTGTCTCCTGCTGTGCCCTGGTTCCCTCTACCTCTCTCCAAACAATGATGAGCGGTTGAACAACTCAATGCCTCATTCGGCTTCCACCCTCTGTTTGTGCGTTTCTCCAGTAAAGGCTTTTCTGAGCCCACACTTAATGACTTTGTGGTATTTGCCTTCACTTAATGCCCACATCTCTCGCACTTTAGAGCTCTGTCCTCAGATCCCTTCTTTTCTCCATCTCACTACCTTGGTGATGGCTGTACATATCATCTAAATGCCAGTGATTTTCTTTTCTTTTTTTTTTTTTTTTTGAGATGGAGTCTTGCTGTGTCACCCAGGCTGGAGTGCCATGGCCTGATCTTAGCTCACTGCAACCTCTGCCTCCCAGGTTCAAGCGATTCTCCTGCCTCAGTCTCCTGAGTAGCTGGGCTTACAAGCACCCGCCACCACACCTGGCTAATTTTTGTATTTTTGGTAGAGATGGGGTTTCGCCATGTTGGCCTGGCTGGACTCAAACTCCTGACCTCCACCTGCCTCAGCCTCCCAAAGTCCTGGGATTACAGGCATGAGCCACCACGTGCCTGGCCCAGACTTCTTTTTTCTCGTCGTTATTCCCTAAACAATACAGTATAACAACTAAGTATATAGCATTTACATTGTGTTAAGTGTTATAAGTAATCTGGAGATGATTTAAAGTATGCAGGAGGATGTGTGTCAGTGATATGCAAATATTATGTCATTTTACATTAGGGCTTAAGCATCTGTGGAGGGGTCCTGAAACCAATCCCCATGGAGACAGAGGGACAACTGTATATCCAGAATCTGACACTTTCCCACTGTCCCTGCTGAGGTCCAAGCCACCACCATACCTCGCCTGAACAAGAGTGGCAATCTCAACTGGCCTCCCCACTCCCACTTCTGCCCTCTAGCCAGTTATCAGCACTGAAGCCAGAGTGCACCTTTATTTTATTTTAATAATTTAAAAATCTTTTTGAGACAGGCATGTGCCACCACACCTGGATAATTTTTGTAGTTTTTGCAGAGAACAAGGTCTCACTATGCTGCCCAGGGTGGCCTTGAACCAGAGTGCTCCTTTAAAAATAAGTCAGCTGGGCATGGTGACTCATGCCTATAATCCCAGCACTTTGGGAGGCTGAAGCAGGTGGATCACCCGAGGTCAGGAGCTTGAGACCAGCCTGGCCAACTTGGTGAAACCCCACCTCTACTAAAAATACAAAAATTAGCAAGCTGTGGTGGTGCGTGCCTGTAATCCCGTCCACTTGGAAGGCTGAGGCAGGAGAACCGCTTGAACCTGGAGAAGGAGGTTGCAGTGAGCCGAGATTGCGCCACTGCACTCCAGCCTGGGCAACAGAGCAAGACTCCATCTCAAAATAAATAAATAAATAAATAAATAAATAAATAAATAAATAAATAAGTAATAAAACAAAAAGTGTCAGCTGGGCGTGGTGGCTCATGCCTGTAATCCTAGCACTTTGGAAGGCCAAGGTGGGACAATGGCTTGAGCCCAGGAGTTTGAGACCAGACTGGTCAACATAGCAAGACTCCATCTCTACAAATAATCAAACAATTAGCCAGGCAAAGTGGTGCACACCAGTAGTCTCAGTTGCCCAGAAGACTGAGGTGGGAGGATCACTTGAGCCCAGGAGGTTGAAGTTGCAGTGAGCTGTGATTGCGCCATTGCCTCGGTGACAAAGCAAGACCCTGTCTCAAAAAAAAAAAAAAAAAAAAGGAAACAAAATAAATAAAAATATGAGTCATGGCCGGGTGCCTGTAATCCCAGTGTTTTGGGAGGCCGAGGTGGGAGGATCCCTTGAACCCAGGTGTTTGAGGCTGCAGTGAGCTATGATCATACCACTACACTCCAGCCTGGGCAACAGAGTAAGACCCTGCCTTAAAAAAAATGTGAGTCAGATTGTGCTACTCCTCTGCTTTCAAACTCTGCAAAGGCTCCCACTTCACTCAGAGGGGAGCCAAAGTCCTTCCTGTGGCCTAGAAGGTTCTATGTGACCATCCTGACCTCTTACTTCCCTACCTCACCTACTACTTTGCCCTTTGCTTAGTCTGCTCCAGCCACTGGCTTCCTTGCTATTCTTTTAACACACCAGGCACATTCCACCCTAAGGCCTGAGCACTGGCTGTTCCCTCTACTGTGAACACTATTCCTCTGTTGTCCATATAGCTAACTCTCTTATTTCCCTTAGGTGATTTGCTAAATGCTTCTTTCTCAATGAGGCCCATTCTGATCTCCCAATTTAATACTCTAATCTACCCCTCTTACCCAGCTCTATTTATTTTACCATGACATATATTATTTTATTTTTAATTTATTTTTATTTTTGGAAACAGGTTTTCTTCTGCTACCCTGGCTGGATTGCAGTGGCGTGCTCATGGTTCACTGAAGCCTTGACCTCCTAGGCTCAAGTGATCCTCACTCATTAGCTTCCTTGAGTAGCTGGGACTACAGGCATGCGCCACCACGCCTGGCTAATTTTGTTGTTTCTTTTTTTTGTTTGTTTTGTTTTTTTTGTTTTTGTTTTTTGAGACAGAGTCTCGCTCTGTCACCCAGGCTGGAGTGCAGCGGTGTGATCTCGGCTCACTGCAAGCTCTGCCTCCCGGGTTCACGCCATTCTCCTGCCTCAGCCTCCCGAGTAGCTGGGACTACAGGCGCCCGCCACCATGCCCAGCTAATTTTTTTGTATTTTTTTTTTAGTAGAGATGGGGTTTCACCGTGTTAGCCAGGATGGTCTTGATCTCCTGACCTCACGATCTGCCTGCCTTGGCCTCCTAAAGTGCTGGGATTACAGGCGTAAGCCACTGCACCCGGCCAATTTTGTTTTTTTAAAAAAATGTTGTATAGAGACAGAGTCTCCCCTGTGTTGCCTAGGCTGGTCTGGAGCTCATGGCCTCAAGTGATCCACCTGCTTCAGCCTCTCAAAGTATTGAGATTACAGGCGTGAGCCACTGTGCCTGGTCATGTATCACTTTGTAATGCAGCATTTAACTTATTTATCCTGTTGCCCCTGCTAGAAGATGGGCTCTACCAGGTCAGGGACCTTTGTGTTGTTCACTGATATATCTGAAGCACCAAGAACAGTGCCTAGCGCTGAGTAGGTGCTCAATAAAAATGCACTGACAATGAATATCTGTTACTATATCTGCTTTGCCCCACACCCAAGTGTAAGACCCAGGGAATGGCAGATGTTCAGTAAATGTCTGTTGCATGACTCAGTGGGTAAGTGAGTGAATGGATGAATCAATGAATCAATCAAAGCCTGACTGCTGAAAATGCTAAGTATCTTCATATATCCTTTAGGAGGAACATTTTCCTTTGTAAAGTTTTTTTTTTTTTTTTGAGATGGAGTATGTCTCTGTTGCCCAGGCTGGAGTGCAGTGGCGCAATCTTGGCTCGCTGCAACCTCTGCCTCCTGGGTTCAAGAGATTCTCCTGCCTCAGCCTCCTGAGTAGCTGGGACTACAGGCGCATGCCACTACACCTGGCTAATTTTTTATATTTTTAGTAGAGATGAGGTTTCACTGTGTTAGCCAGGATGGTCTCCATCTCCTGACCTCATGATCCCACCCACCTCGGCCTCCCAAAGTGCTGGGATTACAGGCATGAGCTACCACATCTGGCCCTTTTTAAAGTTTAATTTGCCTTTGATTTGATATCTTTTCAACCTCTTTCTTCCTTCCTTTCTCTTTCTTTTTCTTTCTTCCTTCCTTTCTTTCTTTCTTTCTTTCTTTCTTTCTTTCTTTCTTTCTTTCTTTCTTTCATCTTTCTTTCTCTTTTTCTTTCCTTCCTTCCTTCCTTCTTTCCTTCTTTCTTTCTTTTCTTTCTCTCCTTCCCTCTTTCTCTCTTTATTTCTCTTGCTCTGTCACCCAGGATGGAGTGAAGTGGTGTGATCTCGGCTTGCTGCAACTTCTGCCTCTCGAGTTCAAGGGATTCTTGTGCCTCAGCCTCCCAAGTAGCTGGGACTACAGGCACCCGCCACCATGCCAGGCTAATTTTTGTATTTTTAGTAGAGATGGGGTTTTGCCATGTTGGCCAGGCTGGTCTCGAACTCCTGACCTCAAGAGATCTGCCCACCTCTGGCTCCCAAAGTGCTGGGATTACAGGCTTGAGCCACTGTGCCTGGCCCACATTCTTCTTCCTTCCTTCCTTCCTTCCTTGCTTCCTTCCTTCTTTCCTTCCTTCCTTCCTTCCTTTTTTTTTTTTTCTCTCTCTTTCTCTCTTTCTTTCTTTCAACAGAGTCTTGCTGTCACCCAGCCTGGAGGGCAATGACGTGATCTCGGTTCACTGCAACCTCTGCCTTCTGGGTTCGCGATTTTCCAGCCTTAGCCTCCCAAGTAGCTGGGACTACAGGTGCCCACCACCACGCCTGGCTAATTTTTGTATTTTTAGTAGAGATGGGGTTTCGCCATATTGGCCAGGCTGGTCTCAAACTCCTGACCTCCAGTGATCCGCCTGCCTTGGCCTCCCAAAGTGCTGGGATTATAGGCATGAGCCATCATGCCCGGCCCACATTCTTCTTTCTTAAAGGTCCTGATGCAGAGGGTGAGGACAATTAGTTTCTCCCAGGAGGAGAGGCCAATGAGACTCATGGTAATAAGAGTGACTAACATTTGCTGAGCACTTGCTGCGTGCCAGCTACTGGATTGTACATTTTAGGTGTATTATTTCATGCAATCCTCACTCCTCCCTGCAAGGAGGTGGGTTCTACTTCATTACCCCATTTTATGGATGAGCACATTGAGGTCCAAGAGAAGCCAAGAAATCCAACCAAAGTCACACCGGTAATAAGTGGGGAAGCTGGAATTTGAACTCTTGCAGCCTGACCCATAGGGACATCTACTGGATAGGTTTAAACTACGCATGTAAGGTTTTTGGTTTTTCCCCAAAGAGTAGGAAGCGGCCATGAAGGGCAAAGGATGAACATGATCTTTCGTGTGTAAATGATGGTGAATAATTCCTCCCTATGGGGATATTGTGGGGAATATCTTGGTTCATGGATGGAAAGCCCCTGGACAAGGGCCTGGAGGAAGAGACACATGCAAGTAAATTACCCTTTAAAGGAGGCTCAGGCTGGGCCAGAGATCTTACACATGGGCATCTACTGCCATCCTGGGGCCACTGTGCTGTATGACACGCTGTGGGTTCCCGTCTAGTTAAATTCGGGAGGGGCAGGGCTGGTCTCTGCAGTGAAAAATGGCTGCCTTCAGAACTGGGCTAGGAGCAAGGGAGTGGTTCTCAGGGAGGGGGTGGTGTCCTGGGGGCAAGGACTGCAGAACCCAGGAGTGCTAGGTCTGGGGACATAGACCTGAATAAGACACAGTCTTTGCCCATAGACTGATTAGTGTTAGGTAGTGTTAGTGAGACCTTGTCTCAAAAACAAACAAACAAACAAACAAACAAAAAAACCCGAGTCATTGTAGGAAGCCGAACTTCATGGAGCCCTTAGTAGGTGCCAGGCTCTCTCTGGGCTGCTTGCTTCATGAGCACATTCCATTTAATCCTCACAGCAACCGAGGAGTCTTGTCAGTGTCTGGGGAACGACAGGACTCCTGGGTCCAAACCCAGTTCTGCCATTTCTTGGGGACCTCCCTTTCCGGAGCATCAGTTTCCTCGGATGTAAAATGGAGACAGAATAGAAGCTGCCTCCTGGGATTGTGGAGACCAGAGGACATAGCACAGGGGGCTCTAAAGACCGTATGTGGTACATTGTCAACAGGCAGTCTGTGTCCAAGAAGCGGGCTGCCAGTTCTGAGCCACAGAGAAGATTAACCAAACAGCCAAGTGCAATGAAAAAGACCTGGGTCCCAGATCAATTGTTGTCAGTAAACTTGCTATGTGACCTTGGTGAGTCATTTCCCCTCTGTGAGCCTCTTTTGCCAGCCATACAATGTGAAGTTTGGACAAAATCACTCAGATTTTTGGCTATGGGGGCTACAGAAGAAGATCTAGAAGGCTTGCCTCCATCCATCCCCAATCCTGAGCATTAGTAGAAGGAGATAGCAATTCAAGGCTCCGTTGAAATAATGAGGTGGAGGCTGGTGTGATCCGTGAGTTGCAGAGGAGCCTCGCTCCTCAAAGTGTGGTCTTTACACCAGCCTCAGCATCACCTAGGAGCTTGTTAGAAATGTAGGCTCTCAGATACCACCCCGACTCACTGGCTCAGAACCTACCATGTAACACAATCGCTAGGATGCTCCTACCCACAAGTAAGTGGGACACACACTGATCTGGGGCACTGATTCTCAACCTTGGCCACACAGTCGAATCACCAAGGAGTCTTCAAAGGCTGCGGCATCCAAGCTGCGCCTCTGGGGATCTCTGCAGTGGGACCCAGACACCAGTGGTTTTTAAGAGCTCTCCAAGTAACCCCAATGTGCAACCTCATCTAATGTTGAGAAGGAATATATGTTTTATCTTTTGTATCAACTAAAATCAATAGAAAATCTTCTAGAATGTTCACAGAGAGAGATCTGATATCTGCCATAGGGGCCAGGTAGAAGTTTGACATAAAAGCCAGGTCATGGCTGGGAGTGGTGGCTCACACCTATGTCGACAAAAAGAGTCAAACTCTATAAAATACTTGAAGAGAAATATTAGGTAAATATGAGTGACCATGGCCCATGACACAGCCCTCAGGAGGTCCTGAGATTATGTGCCCAAGGTGGTTGGGGTGCAGCTTTTTTTTTGTTTTGTCTTGTTTTTGAGACAGTCTTGCTCTGTTGCCCAGGCTGGACAGCACTGGCATGATCTCAGCTCGCTGCAACCTCCGCTTCCCAGGTTCAAGTGATTCTCCTGCCTTAGCCTCCCAAGTAGCTGGGATTACAGGTGCACACTACCACGCCTGGGTAATGTTTTGTATTTTCAGTAGAGACAGGGTTTTGTTATGTTGCTCTGGCTGATCTTGAACTCCTGAGCTCAGGCAATCTGCCCGCCTCGGCCTCCCAAAGTGCTAGGATTACAGACGTGAGCCACCGCGCCTGGCTGATTTTATACATTTTAGGGAGGCATGAGACATCAGTCAAATACATTTAAGATGTACATTGGTTTGGTTTAGAAAGGTGGGACAACTCGATATGGGGGCTTCCAGGCTATAGGTAAATTTTAAAATGTTCTAGTTGACAATTGGTTGAGTTTGAGGACCTGAGATCAATAGAAAGGAAATGTTTGGGTTAAGATAAAAGACTGGGGAGGCCAAAGTTTTATTGTGCAGAAGAAGTTTATAGCTAGCAGGCTTCAGAGAGAATAGGTTATAAAATGTTTTCTTATGGGACTTAAAAGGGTTCCTGACTGTTGATTATCTCCTGGGTCTGCAAATGGAAGAGGAAAAGGAGGATTCTCTACAGAATGTAGATTTTTCCCACAAGAGTCAAACTTTGCAGGGCAATTTCAAGATATAACAAGGAAATATATTTGGGGTTAAACTATTTTGATTTCTTTCCTTATTTGTTATGTGATGTTATGCTGGAGAAGTATGATGAGGCACGTTTGACCCCTACTCCCCGTCAAGGCCTAAACCAGTCTTTCGGTCTTTCAGGTTAAATTTTAAGAATGTGCTGGCTGAGGAGGAAGTCCATTCAGACGGTTGGGGGCCTTAGAATTTTATTTTTGGTTTACACTTATAATCCCAGCACTTTGGGAGGCAGAGATGGGAGGATCACTTGAGGCCAAGAGTTTAAGACTAGCCTGGGCAAAAAAGGGAGACCCCCATCTGTACCAAAAGCAATTAAAAAATAATAATTAGCTGGGCATAGTAGTGCATGCTTGTAGTCTCAGATACTCAGGAGGCTGAGGCAGGAGGGTCGCTTGAGCCCAGGAGTTGGAGGCTGCAGTGAGTTTTGATTGCACCGCTGCACTCCAGCCTAGGTGACAGAGCACAACTTTGTCTTTTTTTTTTTTTTTTTTTTTTAGACAGAGTCTCACTCTGTCATCCAGGATGGAGCACACTGGCATAATCTTATCTCGGCTCACTGCAGCCTTCACCTCCCAGGCTCAAACAATGCTTCAGCTTCAACCTCCAGAGTAGCTGGGACTACAGGGCAACACCACCACACTTGGCCATTTTTAAATTTTTTGTAGAGACGAGGTCTCAGCCCAGGCTGATGTCGAACGCCTAGGTTCAAGCCATCCTCCTGCCTTGGCCTCCCAAAGTGCTGGGATTACAGGCATAAGCCACCATGCTCAGCTGTTCTTGTCTTTAAAAAAAAAAAAGCCAAGTCCATGACAAGAAGCCAAAATTTATGGAGCACTTACTAGGTGCCGGGTTCTGGGCTGCCTGCTTCAAGAGCGCATTCCATTTAACTTGCACGCTAACCAAGCTAGTATTATTGTCCCCATTTTATAGATGTGAGGCAAAGAGGTTATGATCCCTGGTCACACAGGCTCACACTGGCAGTGACAGACTAAGATTTGGACCCAGGTTACCTGAATATTTCACAACTAGGCTGACCCCAGTGGTCCTTAAACTGGGTTCCTTTGTGCTCCAGTTTCCTCAGAGGTGCCTGAGGAGCTTGTGTGGGGTCAGACCAAGCCTGGAAATCTCTCTCCTTTCCCTTCCCAGCTGGAAATGACCCTGGTGGCCTCCTGACATCCCTTTTCCACACTGGGTTTGGCAGACACTCCTTTTGGAGAGAGTGTTCCTTTCTTCACCAGCCTGGAGCACTCGGGTCACATGATGTTACCCAATGCTCCCTGACAGATCTCCCCCGCTTCCCCGCTGCTTGGGGACCCCAGAAGCTAATCCCCATGGCAGCAGGCACTCTGAGGGATTAGCACCGGGGAAATTAGGCGCCACATCTGCCAGCCCCTGGAGAGCTTGGTAAAGCCTGTGCCTCAGAGCCCAGGAAGCCATTCCTGTCCTCTGGAACACAGGGGACTCCCAGAGGCACTGTCAGCCAAACTGGGGCCCTAACTGCCCTGTTCTTGCTGGTACCTTCTGGAGAGGGTAAGTTGTGGCCAAGAGCCTGAGGGCCTGACCAGATTGTTCTCTGCAGGCTGGGGGTGGGGAAGAGGAGCTGGAATTCAATGCGGGGCACACAGGGTAACCAATGGTCCCATTTGCCTAGGACTGAGGGGTTTCTGGGAATGCAGGACTTTCAGTGCTAAAATCAAGACAGTCCTGGACAAACTGGGATGCCGGGTCACCTGGCAGGGGTTTCTGAGCTTGCTGTTTCTCTCACCTGGGAGGGGGAGCCATGGGAAGAGGAGGGCTGCTTTGATCCCCCGCATCCTCGTCTACCCTCCTTGTTTTCTAGCTTTTCTCTGTCCCCCTCCTCTTTTTCCAGCCCCTCAGGACCTCTTTTTGCCTTCACTCCTCTGACTCAGTTTCCTGCTTACGGGATCTCCTGTGGTGTAGACCTGAATCCTCAAAGAGCCAGAATCTTCCATGCCTTGGAGAGAATGAAGACCCAGGTGAGGCACAGCCTCAAGAAGCTGTCACCATGTGTCAGCTTCTGACACATGTCTGACCATGCCACCGTCCTTCTGGCTTCAAATATTGGGCTAAATCCCCCCCACGTTACCTTCATCATCATCATCATCATCATCATCATCATCATCATCATCATCATCATCATCTCTAGAGCTTGCACCTGCAGGCCAGGAACAGTTTCAAATGTTTTACATAAACTCACTGAATTATCAAAACAAACCAGAAACTAACTCCTCTTCCTTTTTACATCCCCAGAGGCCTCTGCCTGGAGTGACCCAAGCTCATTCCTAACTACCTGTTCAATGACTCTCTCCTCCTCCTCCCTCCCCCTAGGCTGAGCTCATCTGTATCTGTGAGCCCTGAAGCCCTTTATTACACCTCTAGCTACCAACTGGTGAACAGCTCTCTATGGGCTTTGCATGCACTATCTTATTTATTCTCAACTAAACCCTATAAGATGTAGGAACAATTGTTATCTGCATTATGCAGATGAGAAATCTGAGACTCAAAAGGGTGAGGTCATTTGTCCAGAACTAGTAACGGCAGAGCCAGAGTCAAGTCCTACTTCCCTGGCCCCAGGCCCTTGTGTCTGATTATGCCACTGTCCTTCTGGCTCCTTGGGGGCAGATGTGGCCCAGAGCACAGCAAGCCCTCGGGGATTGTTTTCTGAATGAATAACTGGACAAAGAGTAGTTGTCCCAGAGTGGGCCGTGAGCATGAGGAAGGAGGTGAGGGTGATTGGGGCACAGAACACCTGAGAAGGAGCAGGGGTTGGGGGGTGGTGGAGCCGTGTTATAGGTGGGGTTTGGGAGAGCCTGGTTCTTCCTGGGCCCTCCCCTACTGCCAGCAATTTCCAGCTGGGAAGGGAAAGGAAAGAGATTTCTAGTGGCTACTGCAAGTCAAACTGTGAGCAGCTGGCAAGCAGCTTAGAGATTAAATACTGACCCATCTTCGGGTCTGCTGGAATAAATCCTGAGATTGGAGACAGACGAGATGAGGCTAGGCCCCAGAGGAGGGCTACAAATTGGGGGTGTAGAGATCCCAGCTGCATTTTGAGGAGGAGGGGGGTGGTGCATCTTACAGAGCTTGAATCTCAGCTCTGCCATTCACTGCCCATGGACTCAGCAAGTCAATTAATGCCTCTGAATTTTATTCTTCACCTAAAAATAAGCTAAGGATCTGCTGGTTACACCTTAGGTGCCAGTTAGGGGATAGCAGGCTGCCTTCCCACCAAGGGGTCCTCACTGCCCCTGCAGCTCTGTGTTCATGCCAGGAGGGGAGTATCTTCCATATGATCCAGTGGCAATATCTGAGAGCCTTCCATTCACTCCTTTGTATCTGGGGTTACTCCTCCAACAGGTAGAGAATCCCAATGCTTTTGGGATCTTTAATTGCTTTATTTTATAACAATTGAGGTATCATTTACATGAAATAAAATCTGTGCAGTTCTAAGAGTTGTTTTTTTTTTTTTTTTTTGAGACAGGGTCTTGCGCTGTTGCCCAGGCTGGAGTGCAGTGGCATGATCATAGCTCACTACGGCCTCTAATTCCTGGGCTCAAGCAATCCTCACACCTCAGCCTTCCAAGTAGCTGGGACTACAGGTGCATGCCAGCATGCCTGGCAATTTTTTTCTATTTTTTTGTACAGGCAGAGTCTTGCTATGTTGCCCAGCCTGGTCTTGAACTCCTGGACTCAAGTGATCCTCCTGCCTCGGCCTCCCAGAGTTCTATGACTTTCAACAAATGTATAAAATCCCATAACCACCACCACGATAAACATATAGCACAGTTCCATGACCTCCCCAAAGTCCCTTCTGCTCTTTTGTAGTCTACCTCATCCCTACCTCCAGACAACCATTGAGTTGTTTTCTGTTCCTATCATTTTGCTTTTTCCAGAATGTTCTATGAGTTGTATTCTATAGTCTGTAACCATTTAGTCTGGCTTATTTCACTTAGCATCATGCTTTGAGGTTCATCCACATTATTGCATGTATCAGTAGCTCGTTCCTTTACATTGCTGAGTAGTATTCCCTTGTACAGACGTACTATAGTTTGTCTATTTACTCACCAATTGAGGAGCATTTGGGTTGTTTCCAGTCTTTGAATATTATGACCAAAGATGATTTCAGTGAGAACCCTAGATTCTACAGCTGAAAGACACTTTTGAAATCACACAAGATTTCCAGATGTAAAAGTAAACTCTTTACAAGTAGCCAACCCTCTTCAACACCTGGAGAAGTAGAGGCTCAGAGAGGGGAAGAGACTTGTCCAGAGTTACAACTGACTCAGGAGTGGAGTTAAGATTTGAACCCAAGTCTTTCAACTTGCAGAACCATGTAAAGTTCAAAAGAATTTCCTGAGAACCTGCTAGTGCCAGGTGGGGTACTAGGTGTCCAAGGCATAAGAGCCAGGAGGGAATTCTCTGCTGGTGCTGGAGAGAATCCTTACCTTGTAGGGACCCAGACAAAGAAGCCAGTAGTAGCCAGTTACCATGAGCGGCTCTGCCTGGGGAAGAATGAGAAGGCTTCACAGATGCCTATGGGTGTTAAGGGAAGAACACAGTTTTTCTGATGGAAAAGGATAAAAGGAAACCACAGCCCCAAGGAATGGCAGGTGCAAAAGTACAGAGAGGGGCAATGATGCGGGAGGTGGGGGCATAAAGACACAGGGGGCAGGGGAGGGGCAGGGAATGGGCTGGCGGAGTTCGCTGGAGTCGGATCATAGAAAGTCTCTCTTGCCAGATTGTTTCCTGTAGAACAGCGTCTGGCACACTGTGCTCAACATGTGAGAGATCTTTGTTGTGGAAGAGAGTGCAGGGTTGGACAGGGAGGGATGGAACATAAACTCAGCAAGACTCTCCTGGAACAGAGCCCAGAAGGCAGATGTCAGTATGTACAGACTGTTGATATACTTCAGAGTTGGCATATGAGTCAGTGGGGGACAGGTTGGTGTATTTAATAAATAGTGCTGGACTATTGATTATCCAAATGGAAAAATAAAATTGGATCCCTACTTTATTCTATAACCAAAAATTCTTTTGTGTGTAAAAGTACAAAAACCTCTATTTCTGACCTCTGTGAAAAGAAAGATTTCTTAAGCACACACACGCACCATATACACAATGCAAACCAAAAAGACAATACTGATAAATTTGGCAACAACCAAAATCAAAACCAAAAGCCCTCCTATTCAAAAATACTGTAATAGTTGGCCAGGCACAGTGATTCATGCCTGTAATCCCAGCACTTTCAGAAGTCAAGGTGGGAGGATTGCTTGAGCCCAGGAGTTTGAGACCAGCCTGAGCAACATAGTGAGACCCTGTCTCTACAAAAAATGCAAAAACTGATCACATCACTGCGCTCCAGCCTGGGTGACAGAGTGAGACTGTCTCAAAACAATCCCCAAATACCGTAATAGCTAACAGGGCTTACAATGTGTCAGACAATGTTATTTTTATACATCAACTCATCTAATCCTTACAAATTTATGAGTTAGGCACTATTATCGTCCCCATTTTACAGGTGAGGAAACAGAAGCACAGGGAGGTTAAGTGATTTTCTTAAGGTCACGCAGTGGTAAGTGGCTGAGCTAAGATTGCAAATCAGGCAATCTGGCCATGGATTCACCACTACACTATTCTGTCTCTCCACAAAAGTTATCAACACAGAGTGAAAATCAAGCCACAAACAAGAGTATATGAAGAACTCTAATAAGTAAAGAAAAGAGAATAGAAAAAGACCAGGCAAGGGAGAACAGTCCAACTGCAGAAAATCAAACCCAAATACATACAATAAATACATGAAAAGGTATTCAACATTATTAGTCACCAAGAAGATGCAGATTAGAAATATTAATAGCAATGAGAATCAAAGGTGGGACGAGCATAAATTGGAATGACAACTTTAGAGAGGAACAGAATAGTATGTGGCTAAGTTGAAGATGGCTGTACCTTGCTACCCAGAAATTTCACTTCTAGCACAGGATTCCCAACTGGACTGTGAAATAGTCACGTTTTTAAGGTAGTCTGGCCCCGGGCTCTAACTACTACACTACCCAGTATGTTTATACAACAACACACTCCACAGAAGTCAAAATGAATAACCCAGAATTGTAGTTAGCTAACTGAATAAAAAGCAAGTTGCAGGAGGATTATACAGTATGAAATCATTTATTTACGTTCAAAAAAAACAATACTACATGCTGTTTATGGAAACATAAACACATAGTAAAAGAATAAACACGTGCATAATTATGATAAACACCAAGATCAAGCATGGGTGTTACATTTGGGGAGAGCAGGAAGGGACTGAGATCCATGAAAGGTACACAGAGGACTTCAACTCCACCTAGGATGTTTTATTTTCATCCAGTCAGGCATTTAACAAATATTTATTAGGGTCTGCTATGTTCCAGGAACTGCTTTGGGTACTGGGAATACCTCAGTAAACAAAACAAACAACAATCCTTATGGGATGGGGAAACTGAACAGACAAAGTAAATAAGCAAGGACATAGCATATTTGAAAAATGTAAATATATGAGAAAATATGATAAAATGTTGAGATTCAACAAAGTCGAGTGTTGAGTGCCCAAGGATTCATTACATTATAAGTCTGTCTGTCTGTCTCTCTCTCTCTCTCTCTATATATATATGTATGGAACCATTATATATATGTGTATATGTGTGTGTATATCTATGTATGTGTGTGTGTGTGTGTGTATATATATGGAGAGAGAGAGAGAAACAGGGTCTTGCTCTGTCATCCAGGCTGGCATGTAGTGGTGCAATCATGGCTCACTGCAGCCTCGACGACCTCCCAGGTTCAAGCAATCCTCCCACCTCAGACTCCCGAGTAGCTGGGACCACAGGTATATACCACCACACCTGGCTAATTTTTATTTTTATATTTATTTATTTTGAGACAGGGTCTCACTCTGTCATCTAGGCTGGAGTGCAGTGGTGTGATCTTGGCTCACAGCAACCTCCACCTCCCAGGCTCAAGTGATTTTCCCACCTCAGCCTCTTGAGTAGCTGGGATTACAGGCACACACCACTATACCTGGCTAATTTTTGTATTTTTTGTAGAGGCGAAGATTTGCCATGTTGCCCAGGCTGGTTTTGAACTCCTGGGCTCAAGTGATCCACCCGCCTTGGCCTCTCAAAGTGCTAGGATTACAGGTGTGAGCCACTTCACCCAGCCAATGTTTAATTTTTTTGTAGAGAAAGGGTCTTACTATGTTGCCCAGGCTGGCCTCAAACTCCTGGGCTCAAGTGATCCTCCCATCTTGGCCTCCCAAAGTGCTAGGATAATAGGAGTGAGCCACTGGGCCCAGTGTATTTTTTTCAGTAAGCTTGAAATATTTTCTAATTGTAACAGGCCAGGAGGGCTTGATGACTGGCTGGAGGTAGGGATTGAAGGAGATAGAGGGGCCCAGGCAGACCCTGAAGCATGACTAAGTGGAGGCAGGTGCCATGAGGTGATGTTGAAAATAAGAGAGAAGGAGGAGGGGGTGAAACAAGTGAGTTTTCTGTTTTGGATGTTGAGTTCCAGGTGCTTGAGGACTTCCAGGTGGAAATGCTCGGAAGGCAGTTGAAATGGGAGTCTGAAGTAGAGGGGAGAGAGCTGGGCAGAAGAGAATCGGAAACCATGAGCATGTGGCTGGTGTCCTTGTGCATGAGATCACCTGGGGATTGTGTCTTTCAGGGAATTTGTCCACATTTAAACTGTCAAATGGATTGGTACAAAGTTGTTCATAATATTTCTCTGTAAGATCTGTAGTGATGTCTCCTTTCATTTCTCATTTGGTAACTCACCACTGAGGGATTGCGTGTGTACTGAGGACAGAGGAGGGAAGGGGGAGAAATACCACGTTTGTAGGACAGAAGTGGAAGATGTGCCTTTGAGAAAGGGAGGTAGGCAAGGAGGAGTTAATGCAATGTATTTGGTTAACACCCATCTCCTCGTAAAACTGTAAACCTCCAAAAGGCAGGAAAGAGTCCCTTTCTGTTCATCAGTATATCCTCAATATCTGGCTCAGTGCCTAGCACATAGGAGGCAATCAATAATAGCTAACACATATGTAGTGTTACCGTGTGCCAGCTACTGTTCTAATTTATTAACTCATTTAATCCTTGCAACTGAATACAAGTAGGTACTATTATTTTCAAGGAATTGTATTGAGATATAATTCATATGACATAAAATTCACCATTGTTAAGTGTACAATTCAGTGGTTATAGCATATTTACAAGATTGTGCCATTAGCACCATAATCAATTTTAGAACATTTTCATCACCCCCACAAAAACTCATAGCCATTAGCAGTGACTCTTCATTCCTTGCTACCCCCATCCCCTGGCAACCTGTAATGTACTTTCTGTCTCTATGGGTTGTCTATCTAGACATTTTATATAAGTAGAAGAATGAAATATGTGCCATACTTGCAAGTTTTCTGAGGCCTCCCCAACCATGTTGAACTGTGAGTCAACTAAACCTCTTTCCTTTATAAATTACTCAGTCTTGGGTATGCCTTTATTAGCAGCGTGAGAACAGACTAATACAGGAGAGTTGAGGAAAGCTTCCTGGAGGAGGTGGCATTTCAGCTGGTCTTACGATATTTCACTAAGTCCATAGGGGAACAAGGTACAGCAAGCAAAGGGGTGGGTGCTCTTGGAGGGCAGAACTATTGAAAGAGTCACACTGGGAAGGGCATTGGTTTCACAACTGTGAAATTTATCCAAAGCTGTGGGCTCTTGTGATGTCTGGCTAACTTGAGGCCTAGGAGGGGCCAGGGTTAGGGTCCCTCTCTTCCCTCTGACTGACCCCCAAGGGGACTGTACCTTATGTCCTTGCTCTCCCAGGATGGCTGGTGGCCCAACTTGCTGAAAGTGAAGAAGAAGTGGCTCCTCCCGGCCATCTGCAGCTTCTTCTGCCTGCTCTCAGTGGTCATGACTGGCTGCTTCCTGTGGCAGTATCACCTCCCCAAGCTGAAGACCGGTGAGTGCAGAGACAGCCTTGAGTTCCTCCCCATAGCCCCCTGGGTCCTCCTGGGCTTTGAGCTGCCACCCCTGATTCTAGTGTGTAGGGGAGGACCATAAGATTTAGACTCAGAAGCTCTGGACTCCATTCTGAGTCCAGCTCTCACTAGCTGTGCATCTTTGGGACAGTCTTGTTGCCTCTCTGTGCCTCGATGTCCTCGTGTATAAAATGAGGATCCTGATGCCACTGGGGTTTCTTCAAGACACCCAGTTTGGGGGTAAAATTCAAGGACACCAAAGGAAGAGCAAACGGTGTTTCCCTTCCTCTGCCTTTGGCCACCATGATGGAATCTCCAGGCTCCAGCCCCCTTTCAAGACCTTCCTGCAGCTGTATCTAAGACCTCAATAGGAACAACTCACAGGTGTTCAGGGGCAGCAGCTGCCAAGCCTTGGAGCCTCTCCTTCCTGAACGGGTCAAGGCCCAATAAAGGAGCCACCACTGACAGTGATAACTACCAGGCCCTTTGTTTGCCAATTAAAGCAGGAGGAGCACCACTGTGGACACTAGCCCCTACCTGGGTCCCAGGCTGAGCAAAGCCTAGGCTCTAGCTGGGACCACCCTATTCTGTGAAACCCATGTCATGGGGTTGTTGAGAAATCCTCCCTAAGGTTTGTAATTTTCCTGTTTGGGTCTGCGTCAGTTATCTATTGTTAAGTAACAAACCACCCCAAAGCCTACTGGCTTCAGACAAAGCAAGTGATTATTTCCCATGATTCTGTGGGCTGGCTGGCAGCTCTGCTGCTGGTCTAGCTTGGGCTCTCTCTGGTGCACTGGGCAAGTCGGCTTGGGGGTCGGGTTGAGGGGGGCGGTGTCTCCCTCAGCGTGGACTCCTGCTCTCAAGACCGCTATCCCAGACCTGTCCACAAGGTGGCAGTGTTCGCAGGGAGTAAGCCCCTTAAGGTTTAGCCTAGAAAGGTCGCAATTTGTTCCGCCTCATTCTTTTGGCCAAAGCAAGTCACAAAGCCAGCCAGCTTCGAAGGTGGAAGGAGCTGACAGAATTTATGGTCTTATGGCTGAGCACGGTGGCTCATGCCTGTAATCTCAGCACTTTGGGAGGCCGAGGCAGGTGGATCACCTGAGGTCAGGAGTTCAAGACTAGCCTGACCAACATAGTGAAACCTTGGCTTTACTAAAAATACAAAAATGAGCCGGGCGTGGTGGTGGACGCCTGTAGTCCCAGCTACTCGGGAGGCTGAGGCAGGAGAATCGCTTGAACCCGGGAGGCAGAGGTTGAAGTGAGCTGAGATCGCAGTGAGCTGAGATCGCACCATTGTACTCCAGCCTGGGCAACAGGGTGAGACTCTGTCTCAAGAATTTATGGTCATATGAAACCTACCGCAGGGACCTTGTCTCAGTTTTGGGGTGGAGTCTCAGGGCACAGTGGAAGACGAGGAGGATGTATTAATAGTCCTGGAGGATGCTCATCCCCCTTCACACCCCACTCCAGCCTTAGAGGAAGAGGCTTGGGTGCTGCTGTGATGATATCACAGCCTGAATCCTGTCCTGCCAGCACTTCACCTTCTCGCCTGAGGTGCCGAGGAAGCCACACACCCGGACAAAGGCAGAACAGACTCAGGCCCCCAAAGCCCTGATGCTCAGCTCTGGTGAGAGAATGAGTTGTCGCTGTGGTTTAGGCCTGGGTCCTAAGTGGGGCTCGAAGTCCACCCAAACACATAATCAGGACGACAGCAGGTCAGACAGACAGATGTGGCTGAGCCTGCCCCACGCAGCCAGAATGGTCTAAGTCCACTGACCACAGGAGATGGGAAGCTGGTTAAGCAAGAGAGAGGGGAGTACAGTGACCACCAACCAGGAGCTGTGGCCTGCAGGGCTGTGCCTCCTCCCCAAGGGCACACTTTGCTCCCTAGGCCCCTCAGGGGCTAGGGCTGGTCTCTGGACCCTGATATCCCCCGGCTCGGCTCGGCTGGGGAGGGCTGTCCTTGAGGCACTGCTCTGGCCTTTGCTGCCACTTTCCCCCTAGATTCCTATCCTGATCTCTGTCCCCTCCTCACCATGTGATGTTCCCTCCAGGTTCCCTGGGACCAGAGGAGACCTCTGCCCCTGTGAGGATGTGTCCCCGGCACCCTGAGCCCGTGCCCCTGGCTCACCCACTCCCCGTGTTGAAGGAGGCCCTGGAAAAGGTCAGTGATGACCCAGGAGGAAACTGGGCATATGGGCTGGGCCTGGGTGATGAAGGGGAGGGCAGTCCCTCTGTGCTGGCAGTGGCATTCATTCATTCATCCGTCCAACATGTATTTCTTGAGCATCTACTCTGTGCGAGGCACTATGGATATGGCAGGAAGAAGACACTGACCTGCTCTCAAGAAATTACTAATCTGGAAGCGAGAGGAACGGTGAAGATACCAAACATTTATAATCCTGGGGCAAGAGTGAGGGTAAGAAAAGTTTAGGGGACTTTGGGGGCACAAAGGAACAGGCCTTAGGGTCAGTTCCTCCTTCTGGAGGAAGTGGTGTCTAGGCTGAGATGTGAATAAGTAGCAGACACCCAGATGACATGTGTGTGGTGAGGGACCCTGGGGATGGAGAGGTGTGCTCCAGACAGATGGAACAGCACGTGGAAGGGCCTGGAGGCTGCAGAAAGTATATGACACATACAGAGAACTGAGAGGCCATAGGTGGGAAGTAGGGAAGCTGAGACAGGAGAGGATGACAGAGCCCACATTGCAGAGGCCACCGCGATATGATTAAACACTCCATGCTCCCCAACACAAAATTTACCATTGCAGGATGGCCAAACCCTAGAGGCAGGTGTCAGTCAGCTCTAGTCTGTGCCAGTCAGAGCCCAGCCACTTGGGTCACCCACCATGGGAGACATGGAGATGAGTGAAACATGATCAGAAGAATATGAGCCGCAGCATGGTGGGGGAGACTCAAAACTATCATCCGAGGAATAGTTAAAGGGAAAGGGCTGTTGAGTGCTGAGAAGGGAACGTGTGGGCCAATGCAGAGACAAAAATCACTGCTTGCAAATACCTGAAAGGTTTTTGTGAAGGGGAGAGAGCAGAAGGGTGCTATGTGGCTTTCAGGAGTTATAGCAAATTTTCATAAAAGCAACAATAATAACCATGCTGCCTTCTGTTGAGCACCTGGAATGCGCCATTGCCATGTAACCACTTACATGCATTCCTCATGAGTCCCTATCTATAGAGAAGGAGACAGAGGCTCAGAAAGGCAAAGTTAGAGCCAGGCGCGGTGGCTCACACCTGTAACCCCAGCACTTTGGGAGGCCGAGATGGGTGGATCATGAGGTCAGGAGTTCAAGAGCAGCCTGACCAACATGGTGAAAGCCTGTCTCTACTAAAAATATAAAACATCAGCCGGGCATGGTGGCATATGCCTGTAATCCCAGCTCCTCAGGAGGCTGAGGCAGAAGAATCGCTTGAACCCAGGAGGCGGAGGTTGCAGTGAGCCGAGATCGTGCCACTGCACTCCAGCCAGGGTGACAAAGCGAGGAAAAGAAAGGCAAAGTTAGTGCAGGGATGGGAAGTGGAGGTGGACCGAGCTCAGCCAAGGATATGTAAAATCACGTGGCAAGGTGGTCCAGCAGTTAATTAAGACGTAGGGGCCAGGTGCGGTGGCTCGTGCCTATAATCCCAGCACTTTGGGAGGCTGAGGCAGCCGGATCACCTGAGGTCAGGAGTTCAAGACCAGCCTGGTCAATATGGTGAAACCCTGTCTCTACTAAAAATACAAAAATTAGCCACACGTGGTGGCATATGACTGTAATCCCAGCTACTCGGGGGGCTGAGGCAGGAGAATCGCTTGAACCCGGGAGGTGGAGTTTACGGTGAGTGGAAATGATGTCACTAAACTCCAGCCTGGGTGACAGAGCGAGACTCTGGTCTCAAAAAACAAAAAACCAAAACAACAAAAAAAGAAGTGGGGCTGGACTTAGCACAGGGTTCCAATCTTGATTCCATCAGCCAGTAGCCACTTGGGCAAGTCACCTCATATCTCATAGGCTCTCATTTCTCATCTGTAAAATGGGCAGAAATTAGCACTGACTCACGAGGATGAAAGGAGACAATGTATGAAAATCACTTTATGCCATGCCTGGCACATTCTAAATGTCCAATAAATGTCAGCTGTTATCGTCATCATTGCACTTCATCATTGAAAATGATGAGGTATTTTCAATAAATGTTCAGGCTAGGTGAGGCGGCTCACACCTGTAATCACAGCATGTTGGGAGGCTGAGGTGGGAAGACTGCTTGAGGTCAGGAGTTGGAGACCACCCTGGTCTACACGGTGAGACGCCGTCTCTACAAAAAATTAAAAAATTAACTGGGTGTGGTAGCATGTGCCTGTACTTCTAGCTACTCCACAGGTTGAGGCGGGAGGATCACTTGAGCCTGGAAGGTTGAGGCTGCAGTGAGCTGTGCTTGAGCCACTGCACTCTAGCCTGGGTGACATGGTGAGACTTCATCTAAAAACAAATAAAATAAATAAATAACCAAACAAACGTGCAAAGAGGGCCTACAGGCACTGTATTAATAGTGAATTCCCCAACACTAGGGGTTCAGGCTAGGCCTATTGGAGGTTTTTTAGGGCGTCAGACATGGGTTTGACTAAAGCAGTAGCTGGTTTTTTTTTTTTTTTTTTTTTTTTTGAGACGGAGTTTCGCTCTTGCTGCCTGGGCTGGAGTACAGTGGCGAGATCTTGGCTCACTGCAACCTCCGCCTCCTGGGTTCAAGTGATTCTCCTGCCTCAGCCTCCCAAGTAGCTGGGATTACAGGCGCCCGCCACCATGCCCAGCTAATTTTTTGTATTTTTAGTAGAGACAGGGTTTCACCATGTTGGCCAGGCTGGCCTTGAACTCCTGACCTCAGGTGATCTGCCCGCCTTGGCTTCCCAAAGTGCTAAGATTACAGGCATGAGCCACCATGCCCAGCCTTAAAGCAGTCGTTTTAACCCCCTCTCCTTTTTTATTTTGCTAAGAAACTGTTTCTTTGAGAAAACATCTTATGAAGAAGCCCAACAGTGGGGGCCCCAGCCCATGGGGCATAGCTGGGAGGCTCACTGGGGTGCTGCATGCAGGGTGTGACTATGGACGAGGGTGGCTTTGCAGATGATTACTGAGGGTGAGGGCAGGGGGGCCTGTCACTGCACCCGTTCTTTTCCCTCAAGGTGGACCAGATCCTGCGCCAGGCAATGTCTGCCCCAGGCGTGGCTGCCATGTCTGCAGTTGTCATCCACAATGATACTGTGCTCTGGACAGGGAACTTTGGGAAGAAGAATGGCTCAGACCCGGCTTCTGGGGCCCCCAATGAGTACACCATGTACAGGTCAGCTGGGTGATCTCTAGGGTCCTGTGGAGGGGTAAGGGATGGGAGGGCAAGGGAGACCTAGGAGGTAAGGATACTGAAGAGAATCATGGCTGGGGTCTAATCTGCCAGGGCCTATTATGAAGTCTTGACAGTTTTATAGAAGAGGAGACCGAAGTCCAGAGAGGACTGAAGTCCAGTGAGTTCCCAATGTTACATCACAGGGGTAAAAGGTCAGGAAGGAATCCCTTCTGGAAAGAACCTTAGCCCTAAACCTCCCAAACTAGAAAAGGCTACCTTGTGCCCATCCCCCCAACCCTGACCATGTGCCACAAAGGAACCATAACCAGTTCCTAGGTCCTTGCCCCAGGTCCCTGTCAAGTGGCAGCAGTGGCCCAGATGCAAACAGATGGGGACATTCTGTTGCATATCTGGAGTCTCCCCTTCTGCATGCTGCCTGCAGGATCCTCAAAGTTCATGATGCAGAGTGAACACATTTGTTCCTGGGGACACTGTGGGTTTTACAGGAGTCCTGAGGGAATTGCATTTAAATTGCACCTGCTTTGTGCCAGGCATGGGGCCAACAGTTATATGTGCTAACATGTACTGAGCACTTACCACCTCCTAGGAACGTAGACAGGCACTTTGCATGCACAACCTCGTTCCATTCTTTTATTAATACAACCGGTGAAGCAGACAATGAAACTGAATCTTAGATGGGTCTAGAAACTTGCCTAAGGCCACATGGCCAGTGAGAGGCAGAGACACCATCCAAACTCAGGTCTGTCCCTGAATGGGAAATGGCTGGAAAAGAGCCTGGCCCAGGATATCCATCCCACCTCAGCCCCTCGGCTTCTGGTTACGTTCTCAAGCATCCCAAAGGCAGCTCCACAGAGGCTGGTTAATTTCTGTTGGAGATGTTGACTTAAGCAGGGATGCAGTGCTTTTCTAGAACACTAAAAAGTTGCAGGATGGGGGCAGGAGGTGGGTTGTGGGGCCAACAGGATGCCCTTTGACTGCTTGTATTCCCAACATTATCTAGGATCTCCAGCATCTCCAAGATCTTTCCTGTCCTCATGCTGTACCGTCTGTGGGAGGAGGGCATCGTGGCCTCCCTAGATGACCCTCTGGAGCGGTATGCCAGCACCTTCACCATTAACAACCCGCTGGGCCTGGCATCAGCCGAACAGCAGGGCCTGATGGACGGGCTGGAGCAGGTGGGCCCCGCCCCAAGGCCTTCACCTGTCACCCTTCGAAGGATGGCCAGCCAGCTCTCAGGTGAGTCTCAGAACTGACTCAGGCTGACCCAAACCATTTCAGGTGGGGAAGCTGAGGAACAGGTTCTCATCCAGCCAGGCTGGGCTCACTCTTGGCTCTGCTTCCTGAACTGGCCCTACGTCCCTCTCATGGGATGTGGGTGGTGGGCCAGGGAAAGAAACATCTCTCGAGGTAAAAGCTGAACTGAAGCCTGGAAATTTAGACCAAGTAGAAACATCAAGATGAGTTGGCAGGTCTTACCCATCAGTGCAGGTCAAAATGAAGTTGATAAGGCAAGAGCAAGTCAACGAGTCAATATGTGGCCAGGCTCAGTGGCTCATGCCTGTCACCCCAGTGCTTTGGGAGGCCGAGGTGGGAGGATCACTCGAGCCCAGTAATTCTAAGCCAGTCTGGGCAACATAGTAAGACCCCGTCTCTAAAAATTTTAAAAAATAGCCCAGGCATGGTGGTACACACTTGTAGTCTTAGCTACTCGGGAGGCTGAGGTGGGAGGATCACTTGAGCCCAGGAGTTGAAGGCTGCACCGAGCTATGATTAATGACATAGTAAGATCCAGTCTCTAAAAAGAAAAAAAGTTTATATTTGTAAACAATTCTACACAGAAGACCTAATTTCCCTTAATATATAAAAGTCACCTACAAATTATTACAAAGACCAACAGCCCAGCAGAAAAATGGGTAAAGGAGAGGAACAGAATTGAGAGCTCACAGAAAATACTCTTAAGAATATTAAGGGCTGGGCGTGGTGGCTCACGCCTTTAATCCCAGCACTTTGGAAGGTTGAGGCGGGCGGACCACCTGAGCTCAGGAATTCCAGACCAGCCTGGCCAACATGGTGAAACGCTGTCTCTACTAAAAATACAAAAAATTATCTGGGTGTGGTGGCTTGCGCCTGTAATCCCAGCTACTCCAGAGGCTGAGGCAGGAGAATCTCTTGAACCTGGAAGGCGGAGGTTGCAGTGAGCTGAGATCGCGTCATTGCACTCCAGCCTGGGTGACTAGAGAGAAACTCTGTCTCAAAAAAAAAAAAAAAAAAAAAAAAAAAGAATATTAAGAAATATTAAAAGGTGCTCAACTTCATTCATAACAACATAAATGTAAATTAAAACTACACTGAGACATGTTTTCCCCCATCAGATTGGCAAAGATGAACATGATGACGCCCTGAGTTGCTGAGGTTGTGGTAAAACAGACCTTCTTACCCATCAATGCTGGGAATTTAAATTGGTGCAGCCGTATGGAGGGCAATTGGTAATATCACAATTTAAAACGTATGTCCCCCTTGACTCAGCAATTTCATTTCTAGGAAATTCTCTTACAGATGTACTCACCTATGTCTGGCATGGGGGATGTATAATACACAGTTGATCACTACAGCACTGTTTGTAATAGCAAAAGGCTGAAACAACCTAAATGTCCATCAATAGGGGAGTGGCTAAATGAACTATGACACAGCTGTACAATCAAACACTGTATAGACCTAAAAAAAGGATAATCATGTTCTGCGTGTACTGAGATGGAATAAGATAGAATACTAAGTAGGAAAAAAGCATGTAACAGCATATTTTGTATGCTACCATATAAATAATTAAAATAATATATACATATATAATGGATATGTGTATATGAATATGTGTAATGTACATATTATATAACACAAGTATGTAGTATATATTAGCTTATATATGCATCAAATATCTTTGGAAGGGAGCTAAAGAGATTGAAACATTAGGTTGCCTCTAGGGAGGGGAAATGGGTAGCTAGGGAGAAGGGTAAGACGAAAATTTTCCATTGTATACTCTTTGATTTCCTTTGAATCTTAAATCATGTAAATTAATTACTTATTATAATAAATTATTTTATAATCATAAAGCTATGATAACAAGTCAAGATGAAGTCGACAAGGTTGGGGGCAGGAGCAGGCTGGCACTGGAAGATGAAGCTGGGGCACGGGAATTGGGCAGGGCGGGATCAGGAACAGAGCAAGGCAGGTGCGGAGGGATTGCTCTGAAAGCTTCTGAAGGACCCTCTGTTGGTCTTTAGAGGGAGGGGTGCTGGGTTTTGCTGTGATTGACACAGGTAAGGGGGTGAAGACAGGTACTATCTGCCCTGCCCCAGACGCCTTTGGTCATATCTGCAGTCATAAACCCATCAACTCCAAAAGGTAGGAATCCCTCAAGTGCCCACCATGTCATCATTTTACAAAGTGTGTTCAGGCCTGAGTCTCAGTCAATGGATGTGGTTGGTGTCACTCCCACACACAGAACTGGGGCTCCTTCCTCCTCCTCCTCTTTCTCCTTCTCCTTCTCCTTTTTTTGGCAGGGTCTCACTCTGTTTCCCATGCTGGAGTGCAGTGGCATGAATATGGCCCACTGCAACCTGGCTTCCTGGGCTCAAGCAATCCTCCTGCCTCAGCCTCCCAAGAAGCTAGGACTATAGGCACGTGCCACTGAGTCCAGCTAATTATTTATTTTTTGTAGACATAGGGTCTTGCTATGGTGCCAAGGCTGGTCTCAAACTCCAGGCCTCAAGTGATCCTCCCGCCTCAGCCTCCCAGAGTGCTGGGATTACAGGTGTGAGCCACCACACCTGGACCAAACTCTTTTTTTTTTTTTTTTTTTTGAGATGGAGTTTCACTCTGTCACCCAGGCTGGAGTGCAGTGGTGCGATCTCAGCTCACTGCAACCTCCACCTCTCAGGTTCAAGCAATTCCCCTGCCTCAACCTCCTGAGTAGCTGGGATTACAGGCGCATGCCAAGACGTCCAGCTAATTTTTTTGTATTTTTAGAAGAGATGGGGTTTCACCATGTTGGCCAGCGTGGTCTTGAACTCCGACCTCAGGCAATCCGCCCACCTTGGCCTCCCAAAGTGCTGGGATTACAGGTGTGAGCCACCGCGCCCGGCCCCAAACTTTCTATAGTTGATGATAGCAATTATTTTTTGAGCAGTTAGTATGTGCCAGGCACCATACTAAACATTTTATCCAATCTAATCTAATCAGCCCTTGGGTACAAGGATTATTTCCCTTATATTACAGATGAAGGACTGGGACTCAGAGAGGCCCAGTGACCTGCCCAGTGACACACAGGCAGGAAGAGAAGGCAGGACTGGAGTCCACGCTAGGCTGATTTTCTTTTTTAAAAAACTGATTTGTTGTTGTTATCTCTCAACTCACGGAAGGTGGGGAGGGAGTGCACCCAGGGGCCCACCATCCCACCCTCAGCCGGGCCCGGTAAGTCTGACCACTGCTCCTCCCTAGGGCTGCCCAGAAGGCTGCGCTCCACTTCACTGCTGTGGAAGGGCAGCACCCAGGAGGCCCTGAACCTGCTCAAGGACGATGTGCTGGTAGTGGACCCGGGAACCAGGTGAGGAGCATACCCTGATGCCCAGCCTCATGTTAGGAGCCTCCTGGGGAGACACACCTGCCTGGCAAAGAGCCCACATCACCTCATCCTAGGTTGGCAGAGCCGGGAGAGACCTGCTCCCCAGCTGCAAAGGGCAAGACCTAGAGAGGGGAGGCCAGCAAGACAGGGGAGAGCTGGGCCCAGAATCCTGTTCTGTTTGAATGGAATGTTTTTTCCATTTACCCACTTAACATTTATTGAGCACCTACTTTGCCCAGAAGGTGATAAACACCCGGTTTGCTCCTCGTGGAGTTTGCACTCTTGTGAGGGAGACACCGTGAGCAAATAAGCAAGGTGAATACAGATTTTGCCAGGTTGGAAATAAACGGGTTGCTGACCAGATGGGGAGTGGATAGCTGGGTGGCCACTGAACAGAGAAGCCCCACTCTGGGAGCAGTGGGGCTGTGGGGCTGGACAGAGGACAGCTGGCACTCCCCAGCTTCAGGGGCCCCCTTCTGAGCCGCTGGTCAGTGACCCTTTTCCAAATTTGTCCCTCTGCTTCTCCAAATGCTGAACCTCAGGCCCCACTTCCCTTAAGGAAGAAATGATCCAGGAGATGCAGAGAGAGGAGATGCTTGGACATCTTCAGGCTGGAGTCCTCCTCTCAGCTCTGCAAATAACTATGGCAATGTGACCTTGGGTGGTGCACTTTATCTCTGTGAAACTCATCTAACTAATCTTCCTCATCTGCAAAAATAAGGAAGTTGGCCCAGAGTTCAGGAATGCCTAGGAGAATTTGTGAATTTTCACACATCCTTGCACCTTTCTGTTTTAGAGATTCTGAAACTGTATTTGCTCTGGGAAAGAAAAGAGGCCTCTTGCTGGTTACTGGTGTCTGCTACAGCCTGGAAGAAGGGAGGGGTGAGACCTTGCCTCATACATGGTCACTATCATTTTTGTTTCCCCAGAGCAGTGTAAGCCTTTAATTTTCCATTAGATAAGGTAAATCATACTAAAGTGTGAAGGACCAATAAGATTTGTGTGACAGCTTTCCCAGGTGCACCGCTGAGCTCAGCTCTCCTCCATCCTGCTGTATGACCCTGGGCAATTCCCCGCCCCTCTCTGGGCCTTGGTCTTCCCAGATGTAGAAGAGAGTCAGAGTCAGTGCTCCAAAGTCTCTTCCAGGTCTGACCACCTGGGATGCAGGGGAGCAGGTTCCTTCCCAGCCCCGCCCAGTCCCATGAAACTGGTGGCATTTCAGACAGCGCGGGCGGGTGAGGAAGGGCCCCGTCCCACTTGCCACTGCTCTCCTTCCAGATGCCATTACAGCACGCTGGCCTTCTCGCTCCTGGCCCACGTCCTGGCAGCTCACACCGCCCAGGGCGACTACCAGCGCTGGGTCTCGGAGAACGTGCTGGAGCCGCTGGGGATGGCAGACACGGGCTTTGACCTCACGCCCGACGTGCGCGCGCGCCTGGCCGCGGGCTTCTACGGCAGCGGGCGGCCGGCGCCACTCTATGACCTGGGCTGGTACCGGCCGTCGGGCCAGATGTACTCTACCGCCGCCGACCTGGCCAAGCTGGCCGTGGCGCTCCTGGGCGGCGGGCCCCGGCGGCTCCTGCGGCCCGACGCGGCCAAGACGCTGCTGGCGCCGCTGCTGGCCTGCCCGGGCGCCTACTTCGCCAACGAGACGGGCACGCCGTGGGAGTTCCACGCGCAGCGGGGCTACCGCGTGGTGCGCAAGGACGGCGATCTGGACGGCTACGCCGCCACCTTCTCGCTGGTGCCCCCGCTGCGTCTGGGCCTGGTGCTGCTGCTGGCAGGGCCACGGCCGCCCGGGCCCGACCTGGTGGCGCGGGCCTACGATGAGCTCCTGCCCGCCCTGGAGCGCGCCCTCCGGGAGGCCGAGCCCGGCCCGGCTCCGCCGCCCACCGCGCACCCCTTCGCCGGCTACTTCACCTTCGCCAACCTGACCTTCTACGAGGTGCGCGCCGGGCCGGCGGGCGAGCTGCGCCTGCGCCAGTTCGGGCCGCGCGTGGAGGCGCTGGTGCCTCCAGCGTTCCGCACCCTGGCGCTGCGCCACCTGCACGGCCGCGTCTTCCAGCTGCACGTGGCCCACGAGTTCCCCTGCGCACTGCCACTCGGCGACGCGTGGCTCTCGCTCGAGGCCCAGCACGGGCAGCTGGTCAACTTCTACCCCTTGGATCACCACGGGCTGTCACCCGGCTTCGACGTGCCCGGCCTCAACACGTACAGAGTGCTGCGGCTGCGGGGCAAGCCGGTGTTCAAGACCCAGTGACCCCGGGCTCTGCCTGGACCCCCCTGTCCCTGGCCTCCCAGCTTTCTAGAGTAAGGTTTGGAAGGGGAGCCTGTGGGAATGCCTGTTGGAGAACCCGGGTAGTTGGCAAAGTGGAGTAGGGTGATGCTACTCAAAGTGTGGTCTTGGACCACAGCCAGAAATTCAAATTTCTCCACATCTATAGGGGAGGAAGGATTAAGTACAGGCATTAAGAGTAAGCATTTAGAAACTAACAGGCAACCAAAAATTTAAGCATCGAAACAGTAGTTTTGTGCCTGTTGAATCTAAAACAAAATATGGGCTTGTATTTTGTCTTTTAAAAATAAACCTAAGCAACTGGGCGCGGTGGCTCACGCCTGTAATCCCAGCACTTTGGGAGGCCTTGGCGGGCGGATCACTTGAGGTCAGGAGTTCGAGACCAGCCAGGCCAACATGGTGAAACCCCGGCTGTACTAAAAATACAAAAATTAGCCAGGCATGGTGGAGGGTGCCTGTAATCCCAGCTAATGGGGAGGCTGAGACAGGAGAAACGCTTGAACCTGGAAGGCGGAGGTTGCAGTGAGCCAAGATTGCGCCATTGCCTCCAGCCTGGGCAACAGAGTGGGACTCCATCTCAAAAAAAAAAAAAATCAACCTAAGCCTGGGCAACATGGTGAGACCCCCATCTCTACAGAAATAAAATAAAAATTAGCTGGGTGTGGTGTCCTGTAGTCCCAGCTACTCAGGAGGCTGAGGCAGGAGGATCACTTGAGTCTAGGAGTTGGAAGCTGCAGTGACTCGTGTTCGTGCCACTGCACTCCAGCATGAGTGACAGAGCAATACCCTGTCAAAAAAATAAAAATGAAAATCAACCTTATTGAATTATAACTTACATAAAATGAAATACACATGTCTGGAGTACCATTGGGTGATTTTGACAAATATTTATACCCACCACCACAATCAAGATATAGAAAATTTCATCACCCCCAAGATTTCCCCCTACTCCTTTGGAGTCAGTTCTCTTTCTCCCCTAGCCTCAGGCAACTACCGATCTGCTTCCTGTCACTATAGATTAGCTTTGCCTGTTCTAGAATTTCATACAAATGGAACCATATGGTGGAGTCTTTTGTGTCTGTCTTCTTTTGCTCACCACGCTGGTTTTGAGGTTCATTCATGTCTGTGTGTGTATCAATAGTTTATTGCTTTTGTTTTTGTTTTTGTTTTTTTTTTGAGGGAGTCTCACTCTGTCGCCCAGGCTGGAGTGCAGTGGCGCGATCTCGGCTCACTGCAACCTCCGCCACCCTGGTTCAAGCAATTCCCCTGCCTCAGCCCCGAGAGTAGCTGGGACTACAGGCGCGCACCACCACGCCCAGCTAGTTTTTGTATTTTTAGTAGAGACGGGGTTTCACCATGTTAGCCAGGCTGGTCTCGATCTCTTGGCCTTGTGATCTGCCTGCCTTGGCCTCCCACACTGCTGGGATTACAGGTGTGAGCCACCACGCCCAGCCAATAGTTTATTGTTTTTATTCTATTGCTCATATATGCCACAATTTGTTTATCCATTTCTCTGTTGGTGAACATTTGGGTTGTCTCCAGATTAGGGCCATTATGAAAAAGCATTCCTATACAAGTCTGTGTGTCAATACATGCTTTCATTTCTCTCGGGTAGCTATCTAGGTGTGACTGCTACACAGTTTTCCAAAATATGTGTATCATTTTATATTCTTTTTTTGTTTTTTTTTTAGACGGAGTCTCACTCTGTTACCCAGGCTGGATTGCAGTGGTGTGATCTCAGCTCACTGCAAGCTCCGCCTCCCAGGTTCATGCCATTGTCCTGCCTCAGCTTCCCAAGTAGCTGGGACTACAGGTGCCCACCACCATGCCTGGCTAATTTTTTTTGGATTTTTTTTAGTAGAGACGGGGTTTCAACGTGTTAGCCAGGATGGTTTCGATCTCCTGACCTTGTGATCCACCTGCCTCGGCCTCCCAAAGTGCTGGGATTTACAGGCATGAGCCACTGCACCCAGCCACCATTTTATATTCTTAACAGTCATATGTGGCAGTTCGCTTGCCCTACATTTTTGCTAACACTTGTTATTGTCAGACTTTTGCATTTTAGCCATTTTCATGGTTGTGAAGTCATATCTCACTGTGGTTTTAATTGCATTTATTGAATTGTGAAAGCTCTTTATATAGTACGGATACTAGTCCTTTGTTAGATATATGCATTGCAAGTATTTTCCCCCAGTGTCTGGCTTAATTTTTCATTTTCTTAACGGTGTCTTTTGAAGAAGAGAATTTTAAAGTTTTGATGAATTTCATGCCTATGAAATCTAGTATAAAATTTGGGCATGCATTTTGTATATCTTTTTAAACAATTAAACTTTTGACTTTGAGATAATTGTAAATTTGACATAATTGTAGATAGTTTCCTCCAATGGGAACATCTTGCAAAACTCTAATACAATAGCACCAGCAAAATATTGATATTAATACAGTCAAGGCTGGGCAAGGTGGCTCATGCCTGTGATCCCAGCACTTTGAGAGGCCAAGGCAGGTGGGTCATCTGAGCCCAGGAGTTCAAGTGCAGTGGTGCAATCACAGCTCACTGCACTCTACTCTACTCTGGATGGCAGAGTGAGACCCTGTCTCAAAATAATAATAATAATAATAATAATAATAATAATAAAATACAGCCAAGGTCCAGAACATTTTCACCAGCACAGGAATCCCTCTTTCTCCTTTCCTAACCACACCCATTTGCTCCCCAACCACGCCCTCCCCTTAACCTCTGGCAACCACCAATCTGTTCTCCATTTCTGTAATTTTGTCATTCAAGAACGTTATGTAAATAGAGTCATATAATATGTAAGCTTTAAGGATTCTTTTTACCACTTGGTGTAATTCTCTGCAGAGTCATCCAAATATCAATAGTTTGTTTCTTTTTGTTACAGAATAGTGGTTCCGTGTATGGATATAGCACAATTTGTTTAACCATCCACTTGTTGAAGGACATCTGGGTTGTTTACGATTTGGGGCTATTATGAATAAAGCTGCTATGAACATTTGTTTATAGGTGTTTGTATGAACATAAGTTTTTATTTCTCTGGGATAAATGCCCAGAAGTGCAACTGATGGTTCCAATGGTAGTTGCGTGTTTAGTTTTTACAGAAACTGCCAAACTGTTCCCCAGTGGCTATGCCCTTTTACATTCTAGCCAGCAGTGTATGCATGATTGAGTTTCCCTGTATTTTCTGGCTAACATTTGGTATTGTCACTATTTTTTTTTATTTTAGTAATTCTAATAGGTGTGTACTGATGTATCATTATGGTTTTAATTTGCACTTTCCTCATAGCTAATGATGTTGAACATTTTTATATGCTTTTTTGCCATCTGTATATCCTCTTCAGTGAAATATCTCTTTATGTCTTTTGCCCATTTTCTAATTGGATTTTTTAAAAACTTGTTGAGTTTTGAGGGTTCTTTATACATTCCAGAAACCAGTCCTTTGTCAGGTACCTAAGTTTGAAAATCTTTTCTATTCTGTAGCTTGTCTTTTCATCCTCTTGGGTCTTCTGCAGAGCAAAAATTTAAAATTTTGATCAAGTCCAATTGTGGTAGGCTGAATAGTGGCCCCTCAAAATATGTATACATCCTAATCCCTGGAACATGTAAAGGCTACATTTTATGGCAGATAAAGGAACTTTGCAGATGTGATCGCAGATGTGATTACGTTAAAGTTTTTTTTTTTTTTTTTGATAGGGTTTTACTCTGTCACTCGGGCTGGAGTGCAATGGTGCAGCTGCAGCTCACTGCAGCCTCAACCTCAGGCTTATGCGTTCCTCTCACGCCAGCCTCCTGAGTAGTTGGGACTACAGGTGGGCACCACCATGCCTGGCTAAAATTTTAAAATTTTTTTGTAGAGACTGGGTCTTGCTATGTTGCCCAGGCTGGTCTCGAACTCCTGGGCTCAAGTGATCCTCCTGCCTCAGCCTCCCAAAGTACTGCGATTACAGGCATGAACCACCATGCCCAGCAGGTTAAAGATCTTGAATTGAAAAGGTTATCTTGGATTATTGGGATGGGCCCTAAGTGCAATCACAAGTATCCTTATAAGAGAGAGGTAGAGGATGATTCAGTCCCGATGGAAGAGGGAAAGGCAATGTGACTGTGGAGGCAGAGATTGGAATGATATAACCACAAGCTATAGAACTCTGGTAGCCACCAGAAACTGGAAGAAGCAAGGAATGCATCCTTTCTTATAACCGACAAGGGCAGTATAGACCTACTGACATTTTGATTTGGGCCCAGTAATATTGATTTCAGACTCCTGGCTTCTGGAACTGTGAGAGAATATATTTCTGTTGTTTTAAACCACTAATTTTGTAGTAATTATTATAGTTCCCACAGGAAATTAATATATCACTTTGTCAACTTTTTCTCTTATGGATCATGCTTTTGGTCTTAAGTCTGCAAACTCTTTGCCTAGCCCTAGATCCCAGAGATTTTCTTCTATGGTGTTTTTTAAAAGTCTATCATTATGTGTTTTAGATTTAAGTTTGTGATCTATTTTGAGTTAATTTTGTATTAAGGTGTGAGGTTTAAGTTGGGGTTCATGTTTTTGCCCATGGGTGTCCTGTTATTCCAGCATCATTTATTGAAATGGCTATCTTTCCTCCTGTTTTAGTCAATTTGTGATGCTATAACAAAAATACTGGAGACTAGGTAATTTATAAAGAATGGAACTTTATTTCTCATAAGCTAAATTTTATTTAGTTCTGGAGGCTGAGAAGTCCAAGATCAAGGTGTTGGCAGGTTTAGTTGTCTGGTGAGGGCTGCCATCTGCTTCCAAGATGGTGCTATGTTGCTGCATCCTCCGGAGGGGAGGAACACTGTATCCTCACATGGTGGAAGGCAGAAGGGCAAGCAAGCTGAATGCTGCATGAAGAGAAGATTCTTTTATACAGGCCTTAATCCCATTCACCAGAGGAGCCCTCATGAACTAATCACCTCTTAAAGGCCCCACCTATTAATACAACCACTTTGGCCATAAAATGTTAATACCTGGATTTTGGAAGGAACACATTCAAACCACAGCACCTCTGTTGAATTGCTTTTGCACCTTTGACAAAAATCAGTTGGGCCAGGCATGGTGGCTCACGCCTGTAATCCCAGCACTTTGGGAGGTCAAGGCAAGCAGGTCTCTTGAGCCCAGGAGTTCAAGACCAGCCTGAGCAACATGGCAAAACCCCGTCTCTACAAAAACCAAAACCAAAACCAAAACAAAAAACAAAAACAAAAAAACCATAAAAATTAGCTGGGCACAGTGGCACGTGCCTGTAGTCCCAGCTACTTGGGAGACTGAGAGATGGGAGGAACACTTGAGCCCAGGAAGAGGAGACTGCAGTGAGCCATGATTACACCACTGCAACTCCAGTCTGGGCAACAGAGCAAGACCCTGTCTCAAAAATAAAAAAGAAAATCAGTTGGGCATATTTGTGTGGGACTATTCCTGGGTTCTTTATCCTATTTTACTGAACTATGTGTCTATCCCTCAACCAGGTGCTGTGGTTTGAATGCGTTCCTTCCAATACAGCATAGTCTTGATCACTATAGCTGTATATAAATCTTGAAGTTATAAACTGGGTAGACTGATTTCTCCCACTTTATCCTTCTTTTTCAAAATTGTTTTAGCTATTATAGGTCCTTTGCTTTCCATACAAATGTTATAGAAATCTTGTCTACATCTACTACAAAATAGCATGCTGGGATTTTGATAGAAATTTTATTAAATCTGAATATCAATTTGAGAAGACTCGCATCTTTTGAGTCTTCTAATTCATGAACACAATATATCTCTCTTTTGACATCTTCTTTGGTTTCTTTTATAAGTTTATAATTTTCAGCATATTATTTCAGTATATGTTTTGTTAGATTTAAACCTAAGCATTTCATTATTTTGGAGTGTTTATAAATGGTCTTATATTTTTAATTTTACTGGTCACTTGTTTATTGCTAGTATACAGAAATATAATTGTTTTTTGTATGTTAATCCTGTATTCTGTGACCTTACTGTACCCACTTATTCATTCTAGGAGTCTTTTGGTTTTGGTTTTGTTTTTTGGTAGATTCCTTGGTATTTTCTACGTAGATAATCATGTTATCTGTAAATATGAATAGTTTTATTTCTTTCTTGCTAGTCTGTATACTTTTTACTTACTTTTCTTGCCTTATTTCATTGGCTGGAATTCCCAATATTATGTTGAATAAGAATGGTGAGAGTGGACATCTTTTCTTTTTTTTTTTTTTTTTTTTTTGAGACGGTGTCTTGCTCTGTCGCCCAGGCTGGAGTGCAGTGGCGTGATCTCGGCTTACTGCAAGCTCTGCCTCCCGGGCTCATGCCATTCTCCTGCCTCAGCCTCCCGAGTAGCTGGGACTACAGGCGCCTGCCGCCACGCCCGGCTAATTTTTTGTATTTTTAGTAGAGACGGAGTTTCACCCTGTTAGCCAGGATGGTCTCGATCTCCTGACCTCATGATCCGCCCGCCTCAGCCTCCCAGAGCGCTGGGATTATAGGCGTGAGCCACCACGCCCGACCCTGAGAGTGGACATCTTTGCCTTGTTCCTGATGTTAGAGGAAAACATTCGGTCTTTTTCCACTAAGTGTAATGTTAGCTGTAGGTTTGTTTTTTGTTTGTTTGTTTTTTGAGATGGAGTCTTGCTCTGTCACCCAGGCTATAGTGCAGTGGCACGATCTCAGCTCACTGCAACCTCTGCCTCCCGTGTTCAAGTGATTCTCCAGCCGCAGGCTCCTGAGTAGCTGGGATTACAGGTGTGTGCCACCACGCCCGGCTAATTTTTGTATTTTTAGTAGAGACGGGGTTTCACCATGTTGGTCAGGCTGGTCTCAAACTCCTGACCTCGTGATCTGCTCGCCTCGGCCTCCCAAAGTGCTGGGATTACAGGCGTGAGCCACTGTGCCCGGCCTTTAGCTGTAAGCTTTTTGCAGGTTTTAAAAAATCAAATTGAGGAAATTATTCTCTTATTCCTAGTTTTCTGAGAGTATTTTTTAAAAATCATAACTGGATTTTGAATTTTGTAAATTTTTTTCTGTATAAATTGACATAATCATGTAATTTTTCTTCTTTAGCCTATTAATCTGGTAGATTACATTGGTTGATTTAAAAATATCGAACCAGCCTTGAATCCCTAGAAAAAAATCCCACTGGTCATGGCAGGGCAAGGGGCAAGACCTTTTCCCAGGTAAGATTTGTCTCGTGGCGAACTTTAGAAAGCAACTCCTCGATGTCTTATGTATTCTTTCAGTCTTTCCAGAAGATTGGGGTCTCCAAGACAAATGCAGTTTCTAATTGACACTCAGAAGCTGCCATACTTCCTGGGTTATTTGGGCTATAAAAGCGGCTTCATGGCCGGGCGCAGTGGCTCACGCCTGTAATCCCAGCACTTTGGGAGGCCGAGGCGGGTGATCATGAGGTCAGGAGTTTGAGACAAGCCTGGCCAACCTAGTAAAACCCTGTCTCTGCTAAAAATACAAAAATTAGCCAGGTGTGGTGTCACGCACCTGTAGTCCCAGCTACTTGGGAGGCTGAGGTGGGAGAATCGCTTGAACCCAGGAGGTGGAAGTTGCAGTGAGCCAAGACTGCGCCATTGCACTCCAGCCTGGGTGACAGAGTGAGACTCCGTCTCAAAACAACAACAACAAGAAAAGTGGCTTCATGCTGGGTGTGGTGGCTCACACCTGTAATCCCAGCACTTTTGGTGGCCAAGGCGGGTGGATTGTTTGAGCTCAGGAGTTTGAGACCAGTCTGGGCAACATGGCAAGACCCTGTCTCTACAAAAAATACAAAAATTATCCAGGTGTGGTGGTGCGTGACTGTAGTTCCAGCAACTAGGGAGGTTGAGGTGGAAGGGTCCCCTGAGCCGGGGAGGTTGAGGTTGTAGTGAGCTGTGATTGCAGCACTGCAGTGCAGCCTGGATGACAGAGTGAAACTCTGTTAAAAAAAAAAAAAAGTGGCTTCATTGTCACTATGGAGAGTTTGTGGGAATCCATATGGAGGAATTATTTCCTTCATTAGAGCCTTTACAACTTCGGCAGGTTTTTCAGTTCTGCTGAGTTAAACCTCAACCCAGCTGGCCCTCCCGACTCCTTGTTCCATGAAATTGCTTCCCTCGGTGAAGAATTCTTGGTTGGGTTCTGTTAATGGCAAATCTGTGGGGCCCAGTCTGCTGGAGTAAACTTGATCAATTATTTGAATGCAATCCTCAACAGGAGGCTGGAGGTTCCTTGGTAGCCGGGTGGCAGGATTAGGAGTAGAAATAACTTTAAGAGTTATATTTGGTTTATCTAGAAGCATGGTTTGGTGCTTTTCCAGCCCTGGCAGTCCACAATAGCCCCCTTCTGCTTGGGCAGGGGAAACACATAATGCATAGTATGTACCTTCATGGGCTGCTGAAAGGTGAACTTCTCAGCTTCCTGCAATATATCACAGGTGGCAGCCACTGCCCTTAGGCAGGTAGGCCAGCCCTTAGTTACCTTGTCAAGCTGTTTTATAAAGTAGGCCATGGGACATTTTAAGGTCCCAAGGTCTTGAGTTAATTCTCCAAGTCCAATTCCCTGTTTTTCTTGAACAAATAAATCAAAAGGTTGGTGTAGGTCAGGGAGACTCAGGGCAGGGGCTGTCATCAATTTCTCTTTAATGGTTAGAAAGGCATTTTGGCATTCTCTACTCCAAGAAAGGGGTTCCCTTTCTTCTTCTTTTAAAGTCTCCTAGAGAGGTTTGGCTATTAACCTGAAGTTAGGGATCTAAATTTGACAAAATCCAGGCATCCCTAAAGGACCACGTAGTTGTTTAAGGATACTGGAGACTGCCACCTGATTTATTGCCTCTGTGATCTGGGAGAAGATTGTGAGTCCCTTGAATCCCAGGTACTGAATGGTGGGATGAGAGATCTATGCCTCTTTCTTAGAAACCTTGTACCCTTTATCTGCCAGGAAATTTAAGACTTTGATGGCATGGAGGATGGAGTTACCCTCCATTTCACTGGCTATCAAGATATCATCTGCGTATTACAAAATAGTTCACATTAATTAACATGGAATTCTTAGGACTGTCGGATCTACATCTGTATATTTGTTTTCTTTTCTTTCTTTCTTTTCTTTTTCTTTTTCTTTTTTTTTTTTTTTGAGACAGAGTCTCGTTCTGTCACCCAGGCTGGAGTGCAGTGGTGCGATCTCGGCTCACTGCAACCTCTGCCTTCTGGGTTCAAGAGATTCTCCTGCCACAGCCTCCTGAGTAGCTAGGACTGCAGGCGTGCACCACCATGCCCAGCTAATTTTTTGTATTTTTAGTAGAGACGGGGTTTCACCATGCTGGCCAGGTTTGTCTCGAACTCCTGACCTCAAGCAATCCACCTGCCTTGACCTCCCTAAGTGCTGGGATTACAGGTGTGAGCCTCTGTGCCCGGCCTACATCTGTATATTTCTGATAAGCCTCCAAAATTCTTTCCAAAATGCTAATGGGTTCTCATCCACTTCTTGTCTAGATATAGTCATGGGAAATCAAAATTTGACCTCCCCCCAAAAAATAATAATAAAACAAAATTCAACCCCAGAATGCAGCCTGCTTGAGTAAATTATTCAAAATTGATAAATTATATCTTACAACTAGTTTCATTTTGCTATCAAATGGGAAAGTAGGATGAAATCCCTGATGTCTAAGCTTTTATACTCCTTTATCAGAACAAACCAATCAAGTTAAATGTAAAATTCTGATGCAATGGATGGAGGCTTTTAAGAAGGGTGGTGAGTCTGCACTTTTCCCTATGATCCCCATGTCACCAGCAAAGAAGAATTCTCCTTAGAGCCTACTACAACTTCTATAACCCCAGCCCAGCCATCTCAGCACTCTCCACCAGCTGCCTTGGGGTCAGCTTCAGCCTCTTTGATGGCCCCAACCCCTGAGACTTCCAAACCCTGCAAAACCCTTTCCTGACTCCTGCTAGCCCTCTCACTTATGGACCCAGGACCCGTACCTGAGTTCTGCCAGGTCTTCCCCCATATTTTCCTTTGCTCTCTCCTTTCACCAAGGAGACATCTGGGAACTCCAGAGAAATGGTCTCATCCTCTTGGACCCATCAGGGGACACAATTTGGCTGGGTTCTGCTACCCTTCTCTACAGGGCAGTTCCCTCTGAGACAGGTCCCTGTTGGGGGTTTAGCTGAAGAAGGACAGCCCGCTGGAATGATGCAAACTTACATAATTGTAAGCAGACCAAACCTGCTTATAGGGATGACCTGAAATGTATAACTAACCTCTTTGAGTCTATTTTCATGACTCATGGCCCTACATGGGCTGATGTTCAGAGCCTCCTTAAAGTCTTGCTGACATCTGAAGAGTGTCATACAGTGCTAGAAAAGGCTCAGGAAAAGGCTGATCGGTTACACACAGAAGATCCTAATAATGGGGTGAGGACTGGTTACAGTCTGGCAGTGCCCCTCCATGACCCCAGCTGGAAGCTGATCAACAGGGGTTCTGGACTGTTTTCTGGTGGGGCTCAGGAAGGGAGTCCCTCAAACCAAAAGTTTAAAGAAGGTGCAGGAAATAGACACACACGTACACACATGCGCACGTGCGCGCACACACACACACACACACACACACACACAAACACTTATCAAAATACAATCTAGGCCGGGTGTGGTGGCTCATGCCTATAATCTCAGCACTTTGGGAGGCCAAGGCAGGTGGATTACTTGAGGTCAGGAGTTCGAGACCAGTCTGGCCAACATGGCGAAACCCTGTCTCTATTAAAAATACAAAAATTAGCTGGGTATGGTGGTGCATGCCTGTGGTCCAAACTACTTGAGAGGCTGAGGCAGGAGAATCACTTGAACCCAGGAGGTGGAGGTTGCAGTGAGCCAAGATCACGCCACTGCACTCAAGCCTGGGTGACAGACTGAAACTCAGTCTCAAACCAAAACAGAACAAAAATCAATCTAACTGCAGTAGTGATTAACAAGCCCCCAAAGTGTCTGAACTGAAATAGAGTGCTTTCCACTCTCACATTAGTGGGTTGGGCTTGTTTAACCTGCAACAAATGGAAATTCTTCAGAATTTCCCAATTTGACAGGAGCAGCTCCTACTGTCTAGTACCCACAAAGGACACTCACCTGTCCAGATGCAGATGTCAAATTTCAAAGAATATTCTTCCTAGGCAATCAGGACTGCAGTTGGGGCCAAAGAGAGAGAGACTGAAACCTCTGGCCAAATATGGCTGGGCATCTGCTAGAAGGGTTTTCAAAACTCTCCCAGCCTGTGGCTGCCAAGTCACAAGCAATGCAATCCAAGTCAGGACACCAGAATTTTGTTGCTGAATGCCAGGGGTTTGACCTAGGTCCAGTTCTCACCCACAGAAAGCCAATCACTGAGACAACGAGTATTGCCAAGGAAGAAAGGCTTTATTGTGGGTGATGTCAGCCAGGAGATGAGAGACAAGTCTCAAATCTCTCTCCCCAACCAACTAAAGTTAGGGGTTTATATAGGAGTTGGTCAACAGGCATCAGGGAGTCAGATAAGGGGTCTGGCACCTCACCGTCCAGATGCAGTGATGTGGAAAGTTTCAGCTCCCTGATAGCCAATTTCCTGTGAAAGGAACTCAGATAAGAAAAATGTAAGTTTCTCAAGCTTCAAGACTGGAAGGGTCAATTTCTATCTTATTAAAAACACTTGTAAACATCAGTTCTGAGAAAATTGGGTCTGTTCAATGGTATATAATTGTTTTGATATGTTGCTGACTTCTATTTGCTAATATTTTGTTAAGAATTTTTGCATCTATACTCATGAGGAATATTGGTCTGTAGTTTTCTTTCTTTTTTTGTATATTATCTTTGTTTGGTTTTGGTATCAGGATAATATTAGCTTCATAAAATGAATTGGGAAGTGTTTCTGCCTCTTCTATTTTCTGGAAGAGATTGTGTAGATGGTATTAATTCTTCTCTAAACACTTGGTAGTATTCTCCAGTGAAACTACCTGGCTCTGGAGATTTTCTTTTTTGGTAATTAAAAAACATTGTTAATTCAATTTCCTAAATGGTTATGGGGCTATTCAATATGAGCAAGTTGTGGTAGTTTTGGCTTTTCCCAGAATTGGTCTATTTCATCAAAATTGTTGAATTTATGTCTGTAGAGTTATACATAGTGTTCTCTTATTATTTTTTTGATATCTGCAGGGCCTAAAGTGACATCCCGTTTCATTCTTCATATTGATAATTTATATCTTCTCTCTTTTTTCCTGTTAGTCTTTCTAGAAGTTTGTCAATTTTGAAACAGTGAAGCAAACCAGTTTTTTGTTTCATTGGTTTTCTTTCTTGCTTTTCTGTTTTTAATGTTATGCTGTTATTTTATTATTTCAATCTTCTGCTTGCTTTGAGTTTATTGTGTTCCTTTTTTCCTAGATTTTTTTTTCTGGATTCTTGACATGGGAACTTAGATTATTGATTTGATAATGCAATTACTGTTTGTTTTAGGCCAGTAAATATTGAAGTTCTTTATTACACGACAAGAGAAAGCTGGAACAGTTATGAGGTACCCAACCGAAATTGAGTCATGAACAGCACTGATGTAAACTGCACTGAGCCTTTGCATTTATGAGTGTGGAGCAGGATAATATATCAAGAATTAGGCCAGACACAATGGCATATGTCTGTAATCCCAGCACTTTGACAGGCCAAGGCCCAGGAGTTTGAGACCAGCCTAGGCCACATAGTGAGACCCTGTGTCTAGAAAATTAAAAAAAAATTTAGCTGGGTGTGGTGATGCACACCTGTGGTCCCAGCTATTAGGAAGTCTAAGGTGGGAGGACTGCTTCCTCTTTTCTGATGTAAGCATTTATTGCTATCAATTTCCCTCTTACCACTGCTTTAGCTATGCCCCACATGTGTTAATATGGAGTATTCTTATTCTCATTAAAGTAAATATATTGTTAAATTTCTTTTGAGATCTATTCTTTGACCACATGAATTATTTATAAGTGTATAGCTTTGTTTCAAAGGGTTCAGAGATTTTCATGTTATCTCTATACTGTTGATTTCTAGTTTGATTCCACTGTGGTCAGAGAACACATTTTGTATGATTTCAGTTGTTTTTTTAGTTTGTTGAGGTTTGTTTTGTGGCTCAGGGTGTGGTCTATCTTGGTATATATTTCATTGGTGCTTGAAAACAATGTGTGTTCTGCTATTGTTGGGTGGATTGTTGGATGCCGATTAGATCCTGTTGGTTGTAGGTATTGAATTCTGTATCCTTCATGATTTTCCATCTGTTGTTCTATGAATTGTTAAGAGGGAAATGATATCGTGAAAATGGTGATACTACCCAAGGTAATTTATAGATTCAATGCCATCCCCATCAAGCTACCAATGACTTTCTTCACAGACTTGGAAAAAACTACTTTAAAGTTCATATGGAACCAAAAAAGAGCCCGCATTGCCAAGTCAATCCTAAGCCAAAAGAACAAAGCTGGAGGCATCACGCTACCTGACTTCAAACTATACTACAAGGCTACAGTAACCAAAACAGCATGGTACTGGTACCAAAACAGAGATATAGACCAATGGAACAGAACAGAGCCCTCAGAATTAATGCCGCATATCTACAACTATCTGATCTTTGACAAACCTGACAAAAACAAGCAATGGGGAAAGGATTCTCTATTTAATAAATGGTGCTGGGAAAACTGGCTAGCCATATGTAGAAAGCTGAAACTGGATCCCTTCCTTACACCTTATACAAAAATTAATTCAAGATGGATTAAAGAGTTACATGTTAGACCTAAAACCATAAAATCCCTAGAAGAAAACCTAGGCAATACCATTCAGGACATAGGCATGGGCAAGGACTTCATGTCTAAAACACCAAAAGCAATGGCAACAAAAGCCAAAATTGACAAATGGGATCTAATTAAACTAAAGAGCTTCTGCACAGCAAAAGAAACCACCATCAGAGTGAACAGGCAACCTACAGAATGGGAGAAAATTTTTGCAACCTACTCATCTGACAAAGGACTAATATCCAGAATCTACAATGAACTGAAACAAATTTACAAGAAAAAAACAAACAACCCCATCAAAAAGTGGGCGAAGGATATGAACAGACACTTCTCAAAAGAAGCCATTTATGCAGCCAAAAAACACATGAAAAAATGCTCATCATCACTGGCCATCAGAGAAATGCAAATCAAAACCACAGTGAGATACCATCTCAAACCAGTTAGAATGGCGATCATTAAAAAGTCAGGAAACAACAGGTGCTGGAGAGGATGTGGAGAAATAGGAACACTTTTACACTGTTGGTGGGACTGTAAACTAGTTCAACCATTGTGGAAGTCGGTGTGGCGATTCCTCAGGGATCTAGAACTAGAAATGCCATTTGACCCAGCAATCCCATTACTGAGTATATACCCAAAGGATTATAAATCTGGCTGCTATAAAGACACATGCACACATATGTTTATTGCGGCACTATTCACAATAGCAAAGACTTGGAACCAACCCAAATGTCCAACAATGATAGACTGGATTAAGAAAATGTGGCACATATACACCATGGAATACTATGCAGCCATAAAAAATGATGAGTTCATGTCCTTTGTAGGGACATGGATGAAGCTGGAAACTATCATTCTCAGCAAACTATCGCAAGGACAAAAAACCAAACACCGCCTTGTCTCACTCATAGGTGGGAATTGAACAATGAGAACACATGGACACAGGAAGGGGAACATCACACACTGGGGACTGTTGTGGGGTGGGGGAAGGGGGAGGGATAGCATTAGGAGATATACCTAATGCTAAATGATGAGTTAATGGGTGCAGCACACCAACATGGCACACATGTATACATATGTAACAAACCTGCACGTTGTGCACATGTACCCTAAAACTTAAAGTATAATAAGAAAAAATAAAATAATTAATATGAATAATAATGCAATGAATGAATTACAATAACAACATTCAACTAGTTGATAATTAATAATGCAATTACTGTTTGTTTTAAGTCACTAAGTATTGAAGTTCTTTATTACACGACAAGAGAAAACTGGAACAGTTATGAGGTACCCAACCAAAATTGAGTCATGAACAGCACTGATGTAAACTGCACTGAGCCTTTGCGTTTATGAGTGTGGAGCAGGATAATATATCAAGAATTAGGCCAGGCATAATGGCACATGTCTGTAATCCCAGCACTTTGAGAGGCCAAGGTCCAGGAGTTTGAGACTAGCCTAGGCCATATAGTGAGACCTTGTGTCTAGAAAATTTTTTTAAAAAATTAGCTGGGTGTGGTGATGCACACCTGTGGTCCCAGCTATTAGGGAGGCTAAGGTAGGGGGATTACTTGAGCCTGGAAGATTAAGGCTGCAGTGAGCATTGATCTCACCACGACACTCCAGCCTGGGCAACAGAAGGAGACCCTGTCTCAAAAAGAAAAAAAGTTAATTTGTGTTTGTTCTCACTATATTTTTTTCTTTTTGAAAATTATTTTATTTTGTTTTTATGTTTTTGAGACAGGATATCGCTTTGTTTTGTTTTTATTTTTTTGAGACAGGCACGATTATGGCTCACTGCAGCCTCAAGCTGCTGGGCTCAAGCAATCCTACCCTAGTCTCCCATGTAGCTGGCATCACAGGCTCATGCCATGCTTGGCTAATTTAGAAAATTTTTTTTTGTTGAGACAAAGTGTCACTTTGTTGCCTAAGCTGGTCTCGAACTCCTGGGCTTAAGCAGTCCTCCTGCCTTGGCCTCCCAGAGTGCTGGGATCACAGGTGTGAGCCACTGCGCCAGGCCATCTTTCTCTTTTTTAAAGGAAACTGCCAGGGCTTTAGTATTTTTTCTTCTCACTCTGGGAATCTTGCTGGGTGGAAGAGAAGCTACTTACAGGCAGTTGCTCTACTCTTTTGGTCAGAGCCTAAACTTGCAAAAAGAGCTCTGCAAGGTAGGCAGGGAGGGGAGCACCTTTGGAAGGCACTGAGGGAGAGAAGGAGATATCCTCAGACTGGAGTGAGGTGGAGGCAGGCAGCTTCCAGAGCAGCACCCAGGGTGCCCAGTGGGAATGCAGGGGCTGAATTCCAGCCCATATGCCACTTGGCATGTGTCCTGGTGCAAATCCAGGTCCTCCCAGAGCAGGCATCCATATGGGCCAATGGTGGCTCTGCAAAAGGCCCCTGGACCTTTGCACAAGTCTGAGGAGGAGTCCAGTAATTACAAAGGTCAAGTTTTCTACCAGCCCGGTAGGATGGGGGCTCGCTGGATTTAATTGCATCAAAGGACATACAAATGTGTCTTTTGTTTCATACCTGCACTTGTGCACTGAGACTGGTCATCTCAGCTGCATGTGGAGGGCAGATGTCTTCTTCTTCTTGGACCTTGCAAAGGTTAGGTGTGGCTCAGAAAGTGGGGCAGCTCCAGGTACCCCTTGTTGGTGGGGTGGGCCGTCCACTGCCTCATGCGTGGAGTATGTGTGTGGGAGGGAGGGGTCCAAGGCTGGGGCTGGGCCTGGGGGGCCTGAGACCCACTCTCTGGTGGTCCTGGGGTTGTGTTCTCCCTGCTGAACATTGCTCCATTATTCTTGGACCTTCAGTAAGGCCTTGTCAAAAATGCCAGTCTGGTTGGTGATCTGGGTTGTGGGGAATTAAGAATCTGTTTACAGAGGGACAAAGGTTCCTCGGGCCTGTGTTGGGCAGGACAGTGTATTGTCAGTCCTGGCTCCACCACTTAGTGGTTCTCTGGTAGACTACTTAACCTCTCTGAGCTTCAGTTTCCTCACCTATAAAATGAGAATAGCACTAATACTGCTCCCTTCGTTGGCTGTGAGGATTAAATGAGATCATGTATTTAAAACCCATAGCACAATGTCTAGCACAAGTCAGAGTTAAATAGCTACTGTGGCTACCTGAGGCAGCTGAAGGAGACCTGGACTTTGTAGGAATAATTACAGGTTGTGGTTGGAGAGGGGAGCGGGGACAGAAAGATGGGGGCATGTGCGGAATGACACTATCCCGGGCCCTTCCCTAGAGATACTGGTGTTTGCAGGGGCCTCCCCAGGGGGATCAAAGTGTTACCAGATGGAAGGTCTTGACTGTGAGTTGTCCAGGTTCTTGGCATGTTGAATGAAGAATTGAACAGGATACACAAAGCAACAAAAGAACAGAGTAACGGAAGCACAGATTTCTTGAAGCAAAAGTACATTCCGCAGAGTAAGTGCAGGCCGGAGCAAGTGGCTCAAGAGGCACTCCCCCACCATTAGGGTTTTTATTAAGCTAAAAGAATTTGGTAACACCCCTAGGTGCCATTTAGAGGCCTCCAATTGGCTACAGCCTATGAAGGATTGGCCAGAGACCAATCAGAGATTGAAGTGGAGGCTTGGCCCTCAGTCAATCAGAGGCTGACATGGAAACTTCTGTCTTGTTACCACCTGAGTGAGGATGTGGCCTGTCTGTTGGCTAATCTTGCCTAGAACTGGCTGCACCTGCTCTTCTTTTGCTTATGCCTTAACCCCTGGTTACCCTATTTCCCTATTTTCCTGACTCAAAAGGAGGCTCTGTTATTGAGCAGGTTGGAGAGTGCTCTGATATCATGGGAAAGTAACCCCGTGTGGTGGGCAGAATAATGGTGCCTCAAAGATGTCCATGTCCTTATCTCCAGATTCTGAATATGTTAGGGTTCATGCAAAGGGAAATATAGGTAGAATTCAGTTGCTAACCAGCTGACTTTTATTTTTATTTATTTATTTATTTATCTTTCAGACAGGGTCTTGCTTTGTTGTTCAGGTTAGGGTGCAGTGGTAAGATCCATGGCTCACTGCAACTTTGACCTCTTGGGCTCAAGTGATCCTCCTGCCTCAGCCTCCTGAGTAGCTGGGACCACAGGCGTGCACCACTACACTCAGCTAATTTTTTATTTTTGCAGAGATGGGGGATCTCACTTTGTTGTCCAGGCTGGTCTTGAGCTCCTGGCCTCAAGTGATCCTCCTACCTCAGCCTCTCAAAGTGCTGGGAGTACAGGAGTGCCACTGTGCCCATCCCTTAGCTGACTTTTAAAATAGGGAGATTATCCTGGATTATCGGGATGGGCTCAATGTAATCATAAAGGTCCTTAAAAGTGGAAGATGCAGGCAGAAGGAAATACGAGATACAGAACAGTTAGAGAGAAATGCAACATTGCTGGTTTTGAAGGAAGAAGGGGCCATGAGCCAAGGAATGCAGGAAGCCTCTAGATGCTGGAAAAGGCAAGGGAATAGATTCTCCCCTACAGCCCCTAGAACCTCAAGCTCCGCTGACACCTTGAGGTTAGCCTGTCGGGTCTTGCACTGGACTTCTAACCCATAGAACTATAAGATAATACATTTGTGTAGTTCGAGCCACCGTATTTGTGGTGATTTGTGATAGCAGCAGTAGGGAATATACACCCATGTGTCAAGGGAGAGGAAACTGAGATCCAGGAAGGTTCAGCAATTTGTTCGAGGTCACACAGCTGGAAGCTCTTTGATTCTTCCAGAATCTACTACTCAAGTAGCCATGGACAAGAGGTTCACCTGCCCTGCCCCATCCTTCCAAGAGCATCTGCAATATTCTCCCTCCCTTTCCTGTGACCTGACAGTCTTTCTTTTATGAATGCAGATTTTTTTTTTTTTTTTTTTTGAGATGGAGTTTTACTCTTGTTGCCCAGGCTGGAATGCAATAGCATGATCTCGGCTCACTGCAACCTCTGCCTCCCAGGTTTAAGTTCAACCTCCTGCCGCAGCCTCTCGAGTAGCTGGGATTACAGGTGCATGCCACCACGCACAGCTAATTTTTTGTATTTTTAGTAGAGACAGGGTTTCACCATGTTGGCCAGGCTTGACTTGAACTCCTGACCTCAGGTGATCCACCTGCCTCGGCCTCCCAAAGTGCTGAGATTACAGGCATGAGCCACCACTCCCAGTCTGAATGCAGAAATTCTAAGACTTAGAGCTGGAAGTGTCCTTAGCAAACATCTCATCACTAGTGAAACGGATTCTAGTGGTTTTTGAATATTTTTTTCTTTTTCCTGCCAAGACATAGATGTGGTAGGTTTTTGAATATTTTTAAGCTATGTAATTTTTGTTTCAAACAACATGTAAATCTGATTTTTTGTTTCTGCTTTTTTTTGAGACAAGGCCTTACTCTGTTGCTGAGGTTGGAGTGCACTGGTGCACAGCTCACTGCAGCCTCATGACCTCCTGGGCTCAAACAGTCCTCCCGCCTCAGCCTCCCAAGTAGCTGGGACCATAGACATGTGCCACCACACCCTGCTATTTTTTCTTTTCTTTTCTTTTCTTTTTTTTTGTAGAGACAGTCTCACTATGTTGCCCAGCTGGTCTCAGACTCCTGAGCTTAAGCGATCCTCCCACTGGGCGTATCCCAGCTACTTGAGAGGCTGAGGCAGGAGAATTGCTTGAACCTGGGAGGTGGCAGTTGTAGTGAGTCGAGATCGCGCCACTGCTTCAACCTGGGTGACAGAGTGAGACTCCGTCTCAAAAAAAAAAACAAAAAAAAAAAAAAGAAGAAAAAAAAAAGACAGAAAAGAAAAGGAGCCCTTCAGAAAACCTGGGGGCCCTGCAGGGGAAGAGGAAAAGCAAGGGGTTAGGATTCCTTTCCCCACCTGGGGAGATTAAGACTCCGTGGAGGGAAGACCCAAGCCAAGGACTCTGGCTGTGGCCTCCAGCTGGGAGGTCAGGCTTCAGCCCCTTCCCACCTGGGGGAGGAAGAGAGATGGTGAAGGGGAAGACCCCAGGGCCTCGGGCAGGGAGGAAGCCTGGATCAACTCACTCCTAAGGGTGCGCAGGATTTATCAGCTATTTCTCCAGGAGTGGTAGGATTGAAAAAGAACAGATGAAAGAAGGCAGTGCTAAAAACCCAAGATATGACCCTTTAATGGTGCAATTCCAGACATTGGGGATAAGTGAGGGGCCCCTGGCACCCAGTGAATCACACCATTTAAGGACACTGGGGAAAGAAGGAAGGCAGCTGTTAGATAATTGTCATAGCAATCCCGAGGGTGGGGATTAGAAACCCCATTTTGCTCAGAGAAGTGAGCTGACTTGCCAAGGTCACAAGTTTATCAGTGGGATCCCAACACAGGTCTCTAGGTCTCTATAACTCTCTGTACCAATCCTTGTGGGATTTAGGAGTGTGAACTGAAGATGGGTTTATTGGGTCACCTGAGTGTGTGCTGGCTGGGCTGGGCACCTGTCATTCTCCCTTGGGCCCAGGGGCTCCTTCATGGCCCCTGAGGCTCACTCCAGAGTTAGTGACCCTGTAAAGCTGCGAAGAAGGATTCAGCCTCAGGCTGCGTTTGCCAGAAATTTGGTTTCTAAGAGGGAGGAGGAGGAAGAAGAAATTCTGTGTATCGCACTGAAGAGCTCTAGGGATGCAGAGAAGACATGGGGAGAGAAGATGCTGGAATTTTCTGAGAAGGGAGTTTGAAAATCTAGGAAACAGTTGAAAGAACTCAGCGTAAGAGCAAAATGTACCTGGGTGTTGCCCCAACCAGGCCACATTCAGCTTGACCTTCAGCGCTTGAGATACCCCATCTCTGTGAGCCTCAGTTTCCACCATTGTGAAATGGGAGAACAGCCCGGTGTTGCATGAGAGATAGTTCACACTGGATATTGAGAGCCAACTGGTACATTTCCAGGAATTTTGGGAGCCAGTTGTTAATGTCATCTTTAAAAATTAAATTCTAGGCCGGGTGCGGTGGCTCATGCCTGTAATCCCAGCACTTTGGGAGGCCGAGGGGGGTGGATCACGAGGTCAGGAGTTCAAGACCAGCCTGGCCAACATGGTGAAACCCCGTCTCTACTAAAAATACAAAAATTAGCTGGGAAGGTGACACGTGCCTGTAATCCCAGCTACTAGGGAGGCTGAGGCAGGAGAATTGCTTGAACGGGGCCCCGGGAGGCGGAGGTAGCAGTGAGCGAGATTGCACCACTGTACTCCAGCCTGGGCTACAGGTGAGACTCTGTCTCAAAATAAATAAATAAGTAAATAAAAATTAAATTCTGTAATAGAAATCACTTATGTCACTGAGGAATGAATGAAGTTCCAACATAATCTTTATTGTTTCACTTTTTTTTTGAGACAGGGTCTTAGCCTGTCGCCCAGGCTGGAGTGCAGTGGCACGATCATGGCTCCTTGCAGCCTTGACCTGGGCTCACATGATCCTCCCACCTCAGTCTCCTGAGTAGCTGGGATTACAGGCACATGTCACCATGCCCAGTTAATTAAAAAAAATGTTTTTTTTTTTTTTTTTTTTTTTTTTGGTAGAGATAGGGTCCCACTATGTTTCCCAGGCTGGTCTCAAACTCCTGGGCTCAAGCTATCCTCCTGCTTTGGCCTCCCGAAATATTGAGACTACAGGCATGAGCCATTGCACCTGGCCTATTTCACTTTTTATGTTTTTTTTTTTTTTTTTTTGAGACAGAGTCTTGCTCTGTTGCCAGGCTATAGTGCAGTGACACGATCTCAGCTCACTGCAACCTCCGCTTCCTGGGTTCAAGCAATTCTTCTGCCTCAGCCTCTCGAGTAGCTGGGACTACAGGCGCGCGCCATCATGCCCGGCTAATTTTTGTATTTTCAGTAGAGACAGGGTTTCACCATGTTGGCCAGGATGGTCTCGATCTCTTGATCTCGTGATCTGTCTGCCTTGGCCTCCCAAAGTGCTGGGATTACAGGCGTGAGCCACCACACCCGGCCTCACTTTTTATCTTACCTTCTTAACTTAAACAGGAATGTCAACCAGCATCCAGTAACTACAGTCGGAAGTTGGTTATTAAACCTGAAATAGTCCACCCTGGTAGTAACCATCTAGGTGGTCATAACATTCAGTGATGAAATATGATGGAGGTGTCATGGTTGGCGGGGTCCATTGGCTGACCCTCCCCAGACTGCCTCCAACAAACTCGCCATCTGAAGACAAACAGCACCCTGGCTAGGTAACTCCAACTGCAAGACCAGTCTCCTAGTTCTTCACCCCAGTGACTGGCTGCTCCCGAGTTCTTCATGTAGAGAAATTCTGAGGCCAGTAGCCTGGAGCTGGCATACATTATTATTACTATTATTTCTCATTTTTAAAAATTTCTGTAGAGACAGGGTTTCACCACATTGCCCAGGCCGGTCTTGAACTCCTGGCCTCAAGTGATGCTCCTGCCTTGGCCTCCCGAAGTGCTGGGATTACAGGTGTAAGCCACCGGGCCCAACCAGTATTATTAATTAATAAGTCAGAAGTGGGGCCTTTGAAAGGGGTACCCAGGGCAGCTGATAGGGGAATAATCTTTGATTCGACCTTCTCTGCTTCCTGCCCCATCACTGTATCTCTAGCTCCTCACACATTGGCCTGGCTCCCAGTCAGGGTAGGGGCGGGGGCAGGGAGTCAAATACCCACCGCTCCCCACCTACCCCAGGATATTATAAAATACTTCTCTCTGGGGCTCAGCTCCGGCCATTGCCTGCCCCATCCCCCAGGGGGCAGAACGGCTCCATGGAAAAAAGGCCAAACTCAGCCTCCATCCCTGCCCCGCCTCCCATCCCCCACTGTCAGTGCAGGGCTGCTTCTAGGGGGTCACAGGGAGTAGCGCTTACAGAGCCTTTACTATGTGCCAGGCTGTCTGCTGGGCACTGTGGCCACCCATTAGCCCTATTTAGCCCTCCCTACATAGTGTGGGCCTATTTAGCCCTCACGAAGGCCTTGCAAGGTGGAGGGTTAGCACTCCCAGCTTGACTCTCAGGCCATCAGGGAGACTTTCCACCCCCCTGCCCTTCCTGCCTCCTCCTCCTACCTGAGCCTCCCGAGTAGCTGGGACTACAGGTGCACACCACCACACCTGGCTAATTTTTTGTCTTGGTGTTTTTTTTTTTTGTTTGTTTTTTTGGTAGAGATGAGGTTTTGCCATGTTGCCCAGGCTGGTCTTGAACTCCTGGGCTCAAATGATCTGCCCCCCTCGGTCTCCCAAAGTGCTGAGATTACAGGTGTGAGTCACCACGCCTGGCTGGGTCTGAATTCTTGGTGCTTTTAATAACCATCTAGGATGATGCTGCTGACACCCTGCCCCTGGGTTCCTTGAGCTCCTTGCTTGCCATCTATCCTACCTCCTGTGTCCTGTGGTCATTCCCTTGACTTAACAACAGCAGCCTCTCAATCATCTTAATTTTAAGGACCCCGATTTCCAACTACTACCTCTCATATTCCTAAGTCACTTCCTCCAGCTTCCTCTTTCCAACAATCTCCCCCTGCACCCCAATAACAAATGCACTGGTCCCACACCTTTGCCTTGTCCTCATCCGTCATGCTGCCTTGCGCTCTGTACCTACCTTTGGCCCCAAGGTGTATTGCTATTGTCACTCATTTTTTTTTTTTTTTGAGACAGAGTTTCACTCTGTAACCCAGGCTGGAGTGTAGTGGCATGATCTTGGCTCACTGCAACCTCCGCCTCCCAGGTTCAAGCGATTCTCCTGCCTCAGCCTCCCAAGTAGCTGGGATTACAGGTGCACGCCACCACGCCTGGCTAATTTTTGTATTTTTAGTAGAGATGGGGTTTCGCCGTGTTGGCCAGGCCGGTCTTGAACTCCTGACCTCAGGTGATCCGCCTGCCTCGGCCTCCTAAAGGGCAGGGATTACAGCGTGAGCCCGCGCCCGGCCGCTATTGTCACCCTCGCATTTACTCTTATCTCCTTGGTTCCGCTCTGGCTTTGCCAGACTCATCTGGCTAAATCCCAGACTCCAGATTTACTCCTCTGCCTCCAGACTCATATATTCAATTGCCTGCTTGATGTTTAAGAGGCATCTCTAACTTATGTCTAAAATGGAATTCTCCATCTTCCCCTAAACCGGCTCCTCCTGCAGTCTGCCTCATTTTAGTTAGTGGCAGCTCCATGTTTCCTGTTGCTCAGGTCAGACACTTTGGAGGACTTTTTGGTCCCGTTTCTCTCACACCCACATCCAATCCATCAGCAAATCCTGCTGGCTTGACCTTCATACTGTGCCTGGAACCCATCGCTTTTCACCACTTCTGCTCCTGCTGCCCTGTTCCAAGCCACTCTCCTCTCCCTCTAGGGTTATTACCGTTATATCCTAACTGTCTCCCTGCTTCTCCCCTGGCTCCCCGTGATGGTTGGTTTTCTGTGTCATCTTGGCTAAGCTGTAGAACCCAATAATTCAAACACTAATCCAGGTGTTGCTGTGAAGGTATTTGTAGATGTAGCTCACATCTACAGTCAGTGGACTTTAAGTAAAGGAGATTATCCTCAGTAATTTGGGTGGGCCTCATCCAATCAGCAAAAGGCGCCTTAAGAACAAAATTGAGGTTTCCCTAAGGAAGGAGAAATTCTGCCTCTGTACTGCAGCATCAGCTCCTGCCTGAGAGATTCCAGCCTGCTGGTCCACCCAACGGATTCTGGATGTGCTAGCTGATTTGGGTAAGTCAATTCCTTGAAATAAATCTTTTAATGTATATCGTACCGGTTTTGTTTCTCTGGAGAATCCTGACTGATACATCCCCCCACCATCATTCTGCAAGGCAATCAGAGCAATCCTTTTAAAAGTCAGATCACGGCACTGGTGCTCTCAGACACTCCACAAGCTTTCATCTCATGCGGAGAAAAGTGCAAGTTCCCCTCATGGTCCACAGAGGACCCCAGCTCTCCATACTCTCCCCCTTATTCTTTCTGCTCCAGGCATCCTGGCCTCTTTGCGGATCCTTGAGCACTCCAGGCATCCTCTGGCCTCAGGGCCTTTGCTCCTGCTGTCCCCTCTGTCTGGAAAGCACTTCCCCGGTGAGCCACTCGCTTGCTCCCTCACCCTTTCAGCCATTTCTTTTTTTTTTTTTTTTTTTTTGAGACAGAGTCTTGCTCTGTTGCCCAGGCTGGAGTGCAGTGGTGCTATCTCAGCTCACTGCAACCTCCACCTCCCGGGTTCAGGTGATTCTCCTGCCTCAGTCTCCTCAGTAGCTGGGATCACAGGCATGCCTACCACATCCAGCTAATTTTTCTACTTTTAATAGAGATGGGATTTCGTCAAGTTGGCTAGGCTGGTCTCAAACACTTGGCCTCAAGTGATCCACCCGCCTTGGCCGCCCAAAGTGCTAGGATTACAGGTGCAAGCCACCATACCTGGCCCCCTTCAGTCATTTCTTTGTTCATATGTCATCTTCTCAATGAGACCTTCCCTGACCATCCTGTTTTTGTAAACTGAGGGATAATGTACAAAAATGTGTCTGGTGCACTAATCTTTGTGCCTGTTTTTTTTTTCTTTTTTACGTATGCCTGTACCTGTGCAACCACCAACTAGGTCAAGAAGTAGAACATTTCCAGCCCCTCTGTAAGGTTCCACTCCACACTTCCCAGAAGTAACTATTCTTATGAATTCTATCACCATTGATGAACTCTTCTTGATCTTCATACAAACGGGATCTTAGATTATGTGCTCTTCTGTGTCCATTCTGTCTATTTTAAAATTGCAATCCCGCTCAAGAACTCCCCAAAGCCTTTCCTGCTAATTTTTTCGTGGCCTCCTCCCCACCTAATATATTGTGTTTGATTGTTTAAGTGCCTATCTGCCCCTAGTAGGACATGAGCTCTGTGTGTGCAAGCGTTTTTGTCTGTTTTGCTCACTGCTCTATTTCCAGTACCTGGTGAACTGACCATCGCTTATGGGCAGCCAATAAATATTTGCTCAGAAAATAATGAATTAGGCTGGGTGTGGTGGCTCATGCTTGTAATCCCAGCACTTTGGGGGGCCGAGGTAGGCAGATCACTTGGGGTCAGGAGTTCAAGACCAGCCTGGCCAACACGGTGAAACCCCATCTTTACTAAAAAACAAAAAAACAAAGATTAGCCGGGTGTGGTGGTGTGTGCCTGTAATCCTAGCTACTTGGGAGGTTAAGGCATGAGAATCGTTTGAACCTGAGAAGCAGAAGTTGTAGTGAGCCGAGATTGCACCACTGCACTCCAGCCTTGGCAACAGAGGAGACTCCGTCTAAAAAATTAAAAAAATGAATTAATCTCCATTTTCTAGATGATGACATTGAGGCTTAGAGAAGTGAAGTGACTTCCCTGTGTCACACAGCATTAATGATGGAGACAGGATTTGAACTGTCATATACCTGAACCCAAAGACTGCTCTTAACCCGCTGTTTAGTCCATGGAACCCTCCCTGAATGTCTCCATGCATGAGAGTCTGTGCACATGTGTTCATGTGTCATCGTGGGTAGGAAGGTGAATGAGCACAAGGGTATTGATTTATTTGGAAATATTTTCTAAGTGCCTACTGTGTGTCAGCCACTGTGCCGGCACTGGGGAACTTCTTGGTTAGCAAAACAGACACATCTGTTTACTTGTGGCTGTATGTCTTTGTGTGTACGTGTGTTTACTGCAGTGGATGGATACATGCTTGTATGTGTGTGCTTATGTTGGGAGTGCTTGCCCCTCTCTGTTTGCAGGTGTCTTCTGTTGTGTGTGTGAGTGGAACTCTGTGTCCAAGTGTGGAGGGACCTGAGATAGCGGAGTTTTAGAGCAGACCACTGGGTTCGAATCCTGGCTCCTGCCCTTGCTAGCTGTGTAACTGTGGGCAAGTTTCTTCAAAATGCTACACCTCAGCTGGGCGCAGTGGCTCATGATTGTAATCCCAGCACTTTGGGAGGCCGAGGCGGGTGGATCACGAGGTCAGGAGTTCGAGACCAGCCTGGCCAACATGGTGAAACCCCATCTCTACTAAAATTACAAAAAATTAGCCGTGCATGATGGCGCGCACCTGTAGTCCCAGCTACTCGGGAGGCTGAGGCAGGAGAATTGCTTGAATCCGGGAGGCGGAGGTTGTGGTGAGCCAAGATCGTGCCGCTGGACTCCAGCCTGGGCAACAGAGTGAGACTCCGTCTCAAAAAAAAACCCCAAAAAACAAAAAACAAAACGCTGCACCTCAGTTTTCCCATCTGTGAGATGGGGATGATAACAGTTGTTTACTTTCTTGGGTGCTTTAGGGCAGTGCCACTTAAAATATAGGCAGGAATGTTGCCTGTCCTAGAACTATTTGTTACCCGTGTACGACACAAGATAGGTACAGACATTTTAGAACCTAGTGTGACATCCTGACATTGCCAGGGCATCCAAACATGTGACTGGTGGACTCTGGCCTTGTGGAACAGGGTTTGGGTGTTGGACAAGTTTGGGTGTTGATTTCACAGTCATACCACCTAGTGGATCCTCAACAGGTTGGGGGAAAAAAAAGCTGGGCATGGTGGGGTACACCTGTAGTCCCAGCTCCTCGAGAGGCTGAGGTGGTGAGGATCACTTGAGCCTGGATCTCGAGGCTACAGTGAGCTATGATGATGCCACTGCACACCATCCTGGGCGACAGTGTGAGATGTCATCTCTAAAAATAATAAAAAATGTTAAATAAAAAAGGAAAAACAAATCTAGTCTTCCACCACAAATAATTTGAAAAGCACGAGTTTAGAGGATTAAGCAGGATGATACAGGGAAAACACTCAGAACGGTGCCTGATGTGGAGTAGTGTTGGAGAATGTTCTCTGTTGTGATGACAGAGGCTGAGTATGTGTACATGTGATGCGAGCAGAGTGCGGGGCTGAGTTTGAGCATGAGCCTGCATCTGTGTGCCTGTGTGTACACGCGGATGTGGGGCGGGAGGGATGTCACGGCTTTGTGTGTGAATGTGTGTCTGTGTGCAGCTGACAACATGACTGTGTGCACCGTAGGAGTTGCTTACAAATGAGTGTGTGTAAATGTGCAGTGCCTCTGGCTGAAAGTGGGTGTTTATGGATGTGTGTGAGTGTGTAGGGCTGGGGGGCTGAGGGAAGGAGATGGGGTCAACTCCAGCACGGTTTCTGCTGCCTGGGGACTCACCATCACCAGGGACAGTGCTGTAGCAATAGAGTCTTTTTTTTTTTTTTTTTTTTTTTTTTTTTTTTTTGAGATGGAGTGTCTCTCTGTTGCCCAGGCTGGAGTGCAGTGGTGTGATCTCGGCTCACTGCAACCTCTGCCTCCCGGGTTCAAGCGATTCTCCTGCCTCAGCCTCTCAAGTAGCTGGGATTACAGGCGCCCACCACCACACCTGGCTAATTTTTGTATTTTTAGTAGAGACAGCGTTTTACCATGTTGGCCACGCAGGTCTCAAACTCCTGACCTCAAGATATCCACCCGCCTCAACCTCCCAAAGCGCTGGGATTACAGGCGTGAGCCACCGTGCCTGGCTTGTAGCAATAGAGTCTTGGTTTTACCTTTGTGCCATCCACAGGGGCAGCAAGGAAGGAGGTGCTCGCAGCAAGTGTGATTGGTAGAGGGTAGGGGGTGCTGGTGGCTCCAGGGTCCCCTGCACTGTGTCATCAGGGTTTCTGGGGCAGGGCTGATCCAGGCAGACACTTTGATCTGATGGGTTTGGTGGAGGAGTGGAGGGGGGCGGGGCGGTGGGGAGGGGCAGAGCATTTCTATAGTCCCATGGGGGTGGGGGTGGGGTCTCCATAGCCATGACTCCAAACCCAGTGAGACACTATGGGAAACAGCCCCTCCCTTGTTTCTCTTTTTCTCCTTGATGACATTTTGTTGTGGCAGCCATGATGCCCCTGTGTCTGAGAAATGACTGAACTTGTGGATGCCCATTTGGAGCCTGGAGGGGCAAAGATTGGTCTCAGCTGTCCCAGGGGTGAGAGAGAAGGGTGAGAAGAAGGTTGAGAGGAGCCAATAAGGGTTAGATGAGAGAGCTGGGAGTTGGGGACCTGGGTCAGGGTCCCTGAGCAGGGAGTAGACCCCTGTGAGATTGTACTGGATCTCAGAATGGGAAGGAGAGTCTAAGGAAAGCCCAGTTTGGTCCAGGAACTGGGGCAGGTGGAAATAGAAAGGGGATCCAGGCTTCTCAGAGGAACCAGGCTGGGAGACAGAAGTCATCTTGGGTGATGGGTCAGAGGCCCCAGGACACCTAAGGAAGGCCTGGAATTTGCAAGCTGAGCCACCCGTGCTGTGTGCCTGTGTGTGGTGCCTGAACCAGCTGACCTCACCATGAGCTGTCACAGACTGTCCTCCTTAAGGGATCTGGTGGCATTGCCAGCCTGCTTTATGAACAGCCATAAGGGGTCATATATTACGTTTGATCTAGCAATCACTTCTGTGCCAGTGTTACTTACATAGTGTCTTAGTCTGTTTCTGCTGCTATGACAAAATACCCAAGACCGGGTAACTTGTAAACAGCAGAAATTGATTTCTCACAGTTCTGGAGGCTGGGAAGTCCAAGATCAAGGCACCAACAGGCTCAGTGTCTGATGAGGGCCTGCTCCTTATAGACGGTGCCTTCTCTGTGTCTTCACTTGGTGGAAGGGATGGAAGGGCCAAAGGGGACAAACTCTGTGTCCTCATGTGGCAGAAGAGCAGAACAAGCAAGCTGACCAAGATGTGAAGCCTCTTTTCAGAGGGCCTCAATCCCCTTCACCAGGGCTCTGCCCTCATGGTTCAATCACCTCCTAAAGGTCCCCACTAAATACTATTGCATTTGTGATTATGTCTCAACACAGGAATTTTTGCGGACATTCAGACCATAGCACGTAGAAATTCACAAAAGATATTACGTCAGTGTTTGACTTCATACCTTTGCATCTGCCATTCCCTCGACCTGGAATACTCATCTCCATCCTCTCTCAGCTTCCTGGAGAGCTCCCAGTCATGCTCTGGAACCCTGCTCAGCTCCTCAAAGGGGTGTCCTTCAGGGTTAGTTGCTCCCTTCCCGGAAGCTGTCGACACCTTGAATGCCATGCACATCACCTGCGTTGTAGTGACCCATGTACCTGCTGGTCTCTTCCACTGACTGAGCACTTCCACGAGGGCAGGCATGGGTCTCATTCACTGCAGCGCTCCCAGCACCAGCCTAGTGCTTGGCTTTCCATGGGTGCCTGATTCATGGGCAGTGAAGTGGCCCAAATGCCCTGATAAGCTCTTGGGGGCAGGAGTCATTTGTTTCCCCCACGGCATCTAATGCAGTACTTTTGTGCAGTAGGAATTCAGTAAGTACTTCTTGAATGAATGAATGAATGAATGAGTGAGTTATGATTCACTCATAGCTCACAATTCTGCAAGGCTGTACAGGAAGCATGGTTCTGGCATCTGCTTGGCCCCTGGGAAGGCCTCAGGAAACTTACAATTATGGTGAATCAGAGGACAGCCTCCTGGTTCCCATCCCTTTCTGGGCTCTATGCCATGGTGTTTTCCAGGCCTAACTTTAACCCCTAGCTCCAGATCAACCTGCAACTCCCAGAGCATTACCCAAGTGTGTTCCCAGGGACACTGGTCCCATGAGATGCTCTCCCAGAGGGAAAGCCTGCAAATGGTAACACCTTCTTAGAGATTCACATTGCACTTTTACCATATTTAAGACTCTGCAATATCCTGGGACAAAGAAATCTGATTAACTTGCCTTACCCCAGAATTTGCCAAATGTATTTGACCATGGAACCCTCACTGAATGTCTCTGATATCTACTTGACAAATATGTATTGAGTGTCTAGCATGAGGCAAGTGATATGGTTTGGATCTGTGTCCCCACCAAATCTCATGGCGAATTGTAATTCCCATTGTTGGAGGTGAGGCCTGGTAGGAGGTGATTGGGTCATGGGGGCAGAGTTCTCATGAATGGGTTAGCACCATCCCCACCATGCTGTTATCGTGATGGTGAGTGAGTTATGGTGAGATCTGGTTGTTTAAAAGAGTGTGGCACCTCCTCCCTCTCTCTCTTGCCCCTGCTTCCACCAGGTGACATGTGTGCTCCCCCTTTGCCTTCCATCATGATTGTAAGTTTCCTGAGGCCTTCCCAGGAGCCCAGCAGACGCGAGAATCATGCTTCCCGTACAGCCTTGCAGAACCGTGAGCCAATTAAGCCTCTTTTCTTTATAAATTACCTAGTTTTGGGTATTTCTTTATAGCAATGTGAGAATGAACTAGTTCAGCAGGCATCGTCTTGGTTGCAAAGAACACAGCAAAAGTGTATGATAGACATTGGCCCTGCCGTCGCGGGCCTCCTGCTCAGCACAATAATAATAGCTCATGTCTGTGAGTGCCAAGGCTTTCCATGCTCTATCTCACTGACTCCTCACCCACACTCTAGGAGTTAGAAACAATTGCCCTTGTTTTACAGACATGAAAATGAAGCTCAGCACAGTTATGTGACCTCTGCAAGGCAGCTAACAAATGGCAGAGTTGGGATATGAACTCTAAGCCCCTGACAGCAGAGCTGAAACTGTTAAAACACAACGGAGTGTTCTTAGAACACTTAAAAGCTGCTTTATGTCAACACTCCACCCTAGCCCAGGCCAAATCCGCACCCCAACTCCAGCTCCAGGCCCAGCCCTAGCCTAGCTCCATTCTTAGCCCTGGAAAACTCCTAGTCATACTTCAGAACCCTGCCCAGGGCCTCTGAGAGCTCCTACTTGTTCTCTGGGGAACCTCAGAGGAAAAATAAATACTGAGTCCAAGTGATAATTTTTACAATTCACATTTATTTTGGGAAAAAAACGGTTCTGCTAAAAATACTCCTACAAAGGCATTGGAGTAACAGGGTCAGGGTTGATCTTGGACACAGCTGGTGAGATTTCCTTGGTCACAGCAGTGGGGTCCGGAGGAGCCAGGTCTGACCCACGGCGGTTGGAACCCCAGCTGTATCAGTCCCTGACCTCCCAACATTGTCAGGAAAACCCATATTTATGACCACAGGAAACAGGGTTCTGGGAAACCCTGCCAGACAGCCCCATACCCTGGTTGAGAGCTCCGGTCTGCATAGCTCAGGCTGGGGCAGACACTTCAGGAGAAGGAGTGTGCACACTCACTCCCACAGCCCATGGCTCTGACAGCAGCTCCAGGGAGGCCACGCTCAAAGAGGGTGCCACAGTGCCCCCCCGGGGATCTGGGATTTGACTGGCAAAGGATCTGACAGTGGAGAGGGGCTGAGTGTGTACCACTGGTAGCAGCATAGCATGGTGATTAAGTGGGGGGTACTGGGGTCAGAGGCCACTTACTGGCTGTGTGACCTGGGAGAGCCACCATGTCACGTCTCTGAGTTTGCTAGTCTGTGGAATGGGAGTAATAATTGTACCTGTCTCACAGAGGTGTGAGGATTAGGCAAGACATTGTGTATAAAAAGTTGGGCACGGTGCCTGGCACATTGCTGGCACTCAAGAAATAGCAGCTATGATTATGATTTGGGGGCTGGGCATGACCAAGTGGTAATTACTCTTCTCTAGAGTCCAAAAAGGCTGGTTGTGAGTGAATGTCCCTGCCTGGCCTATGCTGGGCCAGCCTCAGAGGCTCAACTTGGTGCCCCCTGCCCATCAGAGTCCCTCTCCACAGAGGGGAAAGCGGCCAGGCTGATGACGGAGTGATTCACAGGCACCTCTGCCGTGTGGCCTCCCAGCTCTGGAAGGCAGTGACTAAGATTAGAAAGGTCAAGGGGGGTCTTGGAAGGGGGCGAAGGCTGTGTGGCCATGGAAGCTATGTCCCAAATGTCAGAGGGAAGGCACCTGGCTCTGGAGTTTGCAGCAACACCCTGTGGTTGTCCAGTGTTAAGACTCTGGCTCTGAATAGGAAGGGGTTCTGCTTCGGAAATATTCCTCAGTGGGGGTCTCCCAAGGCAAATTCCTGGCCCTGCAGCTTCCTTGCTGCAGGGAGGGAAATTCCACCCCAGATGAGTCCCTCCCCAGACTGAGCCAGTGGGGCCCTGCTTGGTTCCTAGGTCCACCAGCCAGTGGGCACTGTGGCCTGTGTGGGGCTTTACTCAGCTGTAGCCTGGAACAGCCAGCCCCTTTTACCCCCAGGAAGGCCTGATGCATGCAATTCTGCCACTCTACCAGGGAAAGACGTTCTGCACCCCACTCAAAAGGAGGGTCTTTGGCCCTTGCCAAGGTGCATCTGTAACTCAGATCCAAGGGATGGAGCTTTTCTTAGTATCTGTTTTCAGCTGTCTCCCTCCCCATCTCTTTCTCTCTTTCTTGCTCTTTTTTTTTTGTGCTTTTAAAAAAATGCTAGGGCCCACAGGTCTGGGGAACAGCAACGAACAATGAGACTCGAAATTTCAAGAATTAGCAGCATAGAATCATAGTGTGATGGAATCTTAGAAACATGGAATCATTCCATTGGAATCTTAGAATGATGGGGTTTTGCAATCCTAGAATCTTGGAATCTTTCACCTGTGGAACGTTAGAATTCATGACTCTTGCAGTCTCAGCAGGGCCCCCAAGAGTGTATGTGGTCCTGGCTGTGACCTCCTCCCTCCTCCCTCTCCTGCTCCCTCTCCTTCAACAGGGGCCGTTAGGTCTTGGGTAGAGACAGGGCCTTTGCTCTCTCTCTCCTCCAGGAAAAGCCGTGTCTTGGTCTGGGTAGCCGGGCTTGGTAGTGGTGGTGGGGCATCTGTAGCTCTAGGTCCAGCTGGAGGCCCCGCCTGGCCAGGTGTTGAGTGAACAGGTCTGGACCATAGCCTTGGGGTCTGTGGGGTCTCCCAGGGTGGCCCTGAGTGGGTTGCTGGGCCCCTCCAAAGTATTAAATTTCTGCTGCTTCTTGTTATATCAGCTTTCTCAAGGCAGCCTTCATGCTGCGAAGCTAAACTCAGACAGACTCTGGGTCTGAGGGTCTTTCTAATTTTCCTGAAAGCTTAGCTCTGTCTGGGCACATTCCTGAGGGTCAGCTCTACCCCCTACTTCATGGGTCCTAATCTGCGTCTGGGTTTGGGCATCCTATCTGAAAATGTCCTGCTTTTTCTTAATCCCTGTCTACAGCAGACCCTCTCTCTGCAGACATCAGGGCAGTTTGTTATGGGGGAAGAGTCAAGTGAGGATTTCCATGTCTGGAGGAATCTCCTGGAGGAGCTTGTCAAAAAATGGAGACTCTTGGGCCCAACCCCAGGGATTCTGATTTAGGGGGTTGGGGTGGCGCCCAGGAGTCTGCAAGTTAAACAATAAATAGCCCAGGAGATTCTGATACAGGTGGGCGATGGCAAACATTTTGAGAAATCCCAGGAGGTGGGAAGGAAGGACTACAGACAGATGGCCTGGTTGGAATCTTCTGGGAATCACCTCTGGGAATCAGTTTCCTCACTCATAAAGTGGAGAGGATAATGCTTTGGCACCTGGCATATGGTAAGTATTCAGCGATTATTGCAATCCCTGTGGTTCCAACCTCCTGAGATTAGCCTCCGAGGGGGTGTGCCCGGAGTTGACTCTCTTTCCTGTTATGTGACAAAGGCCAAGTCCTTTTCTGCAGCCAACACTCTGACCTTAGTTTCTCTGAAGGAAAAACTGGCAGCTGCAAGACCATTCTCCACCTTAAGTTTGATGGCAGAAGCCATTTTGCAGAAGGCTGGGTCAAGGCCACCCGGTGGTGTATTCGCATGCGTATGTAGCATCACACAGCACAGTGGGGCTCCCTCAACTTCCCTCTGGGTTTCCCCAGGATAACACATTATTGGAAAAGACAGGACCCCAGACTCATTCCAACATGTCTGGGTGATCTCTCCAGGACTAGGGTGACCAGGGCAGGGATGGGTTTCCTGAGCAATTTCTCATGCCCACCCGCACGCCCGCCCCCGCCAGGCTCAGCTCCTTTGGTGTCTGGCAGCTTTCTCCCCACCCCACCCCTGCCACCTCTAGAGAAGCCTGGAGGAAATGGGGTAGACATCAGCCAAATTAAGAATCAGGTAGCACAAGACCCAACCCTGCTGTTCCAAGCAGCTGAAGTGACTCTTTGGATTATCTGCGTCAGTGAGGATGGAAACTGAAGCAGCAGGGCCTGGCTTCTCCTGGAATAAATGAGGGCCGCTCCGGGGGCAATTCCTTCTCGGGGAGAGGAGTAGCTGGGAGGCATCCTGCCCCATCTGATGGCTGAACTGGTGCTTCTTCCTAGAACCTGATGCTCACTATGCTACCCTCCTGCTCAAGAACCTGCTGTGGCTGGACTGTACATCACGCCTAAACTGCCTCAACCTCCACTTATATCAACCTTCACTTCCCCCGTTCCACTGGCCCATCCAGACACAACTCCTCACTGTGTTGGACCATTCTGGCAGCTGCGTCTTGGAGTGACCTTTCTTTTGACCTCTGTCATTTTCAAGACAGCCTCTCCATGAAGCCCTCCCTGACAGCCCCAGCCCACTTGAGCTTTCTTTTCTCTTATTGGCCAGCATCAGACACCAACTGTTTCTCATCATCTAATTGAGCACGGTAGAGGAGACATTGGAAACAGAAAAATCCAAAGCTCATGGCCTTGCTCTGCTCCTTCCTGGCTGTGTTACCCTGAGCAAAGTACTTCATCCCCCTGAGCCTCAGTTTCCCCCCAAAATATGCAGGGGGAATACTCCTTCCTCATGGGACTAAGGTGTATAAGTGTTTTGCACAGCCTGCCTCACCCAGTCCAATGCTCTCATTTTACAGATGGCTCAGTGAGGGGAAGTGTCTCCCCAGATTCACATCCCTAGTGACAGGAGCAGGCTGCTACCCTGCGGTCATGACGCACTTTCCCTAGCATCATGTGGTACCCTGTCTTTTGAATGCATTTACGTTATCTTCCCTAGCAAGAGTCTTCCAGCCTTTGGTACCATCTTCAAACAACAGGGGCCCTGGAGTGAGCCAGGAGTGGCCCAGGGCCCAGCCCTGGGGTGGGTGATGGTCTGGGGCCTGGGTCCTTCCTGTGCTTCAGTGAGGCAGGAGGATTAACTGGGCAGGGCGGGAGCTCCCAGCCTTTTGGAGATGAGCCCCTGATGGGAGAGGAGTGTGAGGCTAGCAACTGCTCACAAGGTGGTGGCAGAGAAGCCCCTAGATGGTGGCAGGGTGGGGACCAACTAGAAATGATGGGGAAAGTTCAGCTGATGCCATCTGAGTAAGAGGCACTGCTGGTTAGTAAACAGCCATAGCCCTGAGTCCCTTAAGTGTCTCCTACTGCCCCGCCACCCGGGTCCCTGCTCTGAGGCCTCTGGTCCAGCACTCAGGCCATCATCTATTCTGATTGGTCTGCCCGAGTCTTCGCAGTTGATATTTTGGATATCATCCCCGAGGGAGAGGACTGCTGAGCACCAACAATGACCCATTCTGGGGGCTTCGTAGCAGTAGGGGTGCGGGTGGGTAGCATGGCTCTCTCCTACCCAGCCTGGCGCTGCACAGCTCTGCTAGCTGCACCCTCCCAGAGCAGCTGGTCCCCATTTCCACGGTGCCCTGGCCTGTGTTTACAAGGCAGCTTTCTTTCCTGCAGTACCAACTGTGTGCAGAGCAGCCGGAAACTCCCCTAACACTGCTGGGCAGGCGGGGGCTGGCACTTGGGGAGGTTGAGCCAGGAAAGGATTAGTAACCAGGCAGCGGGTGGCTCAGAGCTGTGTGCCTGGGTGAGCGGGTGGTGTAAGTGGAAGGCGCTTGGCAACATGGCCTGCCACTCCCCGCTGAGCAGCAAGCAAGAGGTTGGGGCGGGGCGACTGCCCCGGTAGCGGGTGGGGTGGGTGGGTGGGGGTGGAAGAGATGTGAGCAGCGCCTGTACCCCTGGGACAGTCACAGTGACATCTGTTTGTTACCCTGAAGTGGAGACACAGAGGTCTGGTAGCACCTGTGCTCTGGGAAGCAGGTTTGCAGGGGGCCATGGCCACTGAGGACCTCGGCCCTGGAGGGTGGAGGGGCAGACATGCTGGCTAGTGGTCACCAGCTCAGCGGCTTAGGACAGGAAGCCATCTGACGGGAAGCACCGACTGCCAGCCCCATGTGGGGCCCCAGAACAGTTGGGGGGTGGGCTGGGGAGACAGAACTAATCTAAAGAGCATCAGGGCAGCTCCCACCAGAAGGTGACCTTGTGTGCCGAGACAGCTGCCACCCGCGCAGGGCACCTTTGGGGCACAAAGTGAAGGCCAGTGGGCCACTGCCGGCCAGTTTGTGGGAAACCTGCCAATGCTTTCCCTGTGGCTTGCCCTGCTGTCCCCATGGGGGGCCCACACTTCTCTCTAATCCCTTCCTTCCCTTTGCAGCTCAGGCTCCCGGAACAGGTGAGTGACAGACGATGGGCTGTGCTGTGCTGGATGTTCACTCTGACCGTGGCGCTTCTAGCTGGCTGCCTGTGGCCCGAATCTTTCTCACTGGCCATCTCCTCGGATCTGGGAAAGGTCCCGAGAGGTAGTCTCCTTGGCTCCCCTTCCTCAGCCAGACCCGATATCCATGGCACATCCATCTCCCTGCCTCCTCCTGCCACGTGGACAATTCTGATTTTAATGTGAGCAAGAGCTCATTTGCACAGAGAAAACCAGAGTTGGCTGTGCCTGGGGGTACATGAGCACTCTAAGACCCTCACGTTCCCACTATGACAGCTCACCTGACACTCAGACCCTCTTCCGAGTGCACTCTCGTCAATTCTCTGCTACTTATGTACCTGCAGGGGCTCACCCTGATTCCCAGGGCATCGAAGGCTGAGTTCTGAGCCACTTCCAACTCACTTCCTTTGTTGCCTGTGCTTTTGACAAGCCAGGGCCAGAAAGGCCACGTGGAGCTGTCGTTCTCCATGTGTTTTCTCTGCCCTGGGCTTTCTGGAAGCCTGAGGGAGGAAGGGCTGCTTAGAAGAGCAACCCTTAGCACCTGGGTCACGTGCATCCCAAGGGTACCAAGGTCTCCCTTGGAACTTACAGAGAACAGGGGTCATATTATAACTAAAGCGTTTATTTCCATTCAATTCACTAACTGATTGCTCTGCTTGGGTGTCTGTGTTGGTTCACAGGAGGGAGTCTGTGGCCAGATCCCTAGACTGAGGGCGTCCCCATGGCCAAGACCTTTAGGCCCAGCAAAGGTCTGGTGGGGGGAAGGAGGTGGGAGAGAAATCACACACTTTCTCTCCAGGGAAGGGAAGAGGCATGCTTGCCCGTGTCTCTGAGCGCACCCTCTGGAGGGCAGGGTATCACAGTGAATGATCCGGGTCCTGGCCTCCGATGCAGCCTGGTTTAGGCTCCCAGAGGGAAAACTGGGTTTTGACCATCTGAGGGCACTCAGGAGCCTCAAAGGGGCCTATTTGCCTGGGAAGTACTAGATAGATTGGGGCAGGAGAGTGGGAAGTGGGCAAGGACTTCCAGCCCTGCAGCCTCAGAGCCCACTTCCTCCTCAATCTGTCCCTTTCATCAACAGTCCTGGAGTGGGAAGCTCCTCCACCTTGGCGCCTCCCCCTCCACACCCAAATCTCACTCCAGTCTCTGAATGGCCCAGATGGCCCCATGGCAGTGGGCTTTGGTGAGGCCTGGTGGCAGGTGGGAGGAGGGAAGAGTGTCAATGAAAACCGTATAAAAAAATCCAGAAATGTGCATATAAAATCTCGCCCTTGGTGTATTGCCTAAGTCAGTAAGCAGAAAGCACCTTCTTCCTGGAGAAGGATCAAGTCCTCAAAAGGTAGGAAATGTCAAAGTGTCACTTCATTGTCATTAAAAAAAACCAAAAAACAAAAAACAACCCAACAAACAAACCCCCTAAACCAAAACCACCCTGTGACCAAAATACCCCCGAGTCCAGGAATTGCTGTAAACAAACCCAGATGCAGGATCAACCCTTCTCAGCGGCAGTCGGAGCTGACGGCAGTCACTGCAGTATCAGTCCTCGAGGCAGGGGCTGGCGGGAGTGGGCACCAGGAGGGCCAGGCTGCCAGGCTGTGCGCGTGATATGTACCTGGAGCTGCAGACCTGGGGGTTGCCCATCCTCAGGAAGGCTGACCTTTCTGGGGTCCCCGCGTTCTCCCTGACCCAGGAGGACAAAAGCCCCTTTCAGCCCTGTGAGCCAACAGGAGAAACAGTGTCTTTCATTGGAGTTTCTAAAATACTCTCCAAAGACAGAAAAATTCTTCTGTTTGCCCAGTGGTGGCAGGAATAGATTTTCCCAGAGGGGTTCTCAGGGTGGCTGTCTGTCCATCTGTCCCGTCCTCCAGGCGCTTGGTTGTTGAGTGAGGCCTAGAGGAGCAGCAGGGACAGGAGCCAAGGGCGGCCCCTGTCTCTCCCCTTCACATTTGTTTTTCTGAAAGTGTTTCTTGGCTCTGGCCAGGTCACCTTCCCAGAGGGAGTTGGAGAGAAACTGCTTTTGTCTCCGATTGGACACATCGCATGAATCTCCCAAGCCCTTTTTTATCCCCCGCAAGAACAGTCATTGCTTTCCTTATGAGAATCCTCTTTAAAAAATATTCCTTGTATTTCCCGCCCCCTCCCAGGATCTGTTTTCTTTTTTCCCATTCCCTTTTTTTTTCCGTCGTTTGAGTTGCATGTTTTCTTGGTGACGTCTCGTGGCTGGCACCGCTTGGTTCTTCCCGTGGCCCGTGGCCTCCTGGCGAGTGGCTGGCCCTGCAGTGGATAGAGCACCAGGAGGGCCGGCACGTGGGGCAGAGGGGGCGGGGCTTGGAGGAAGAGGTGAGCCGAGGCAGGTGAATGTCAAACCTCCACAGACTGAATCTGGTTCATCTGCGCCCGCATCACCTGGATACTGTTCAGGATTTTTTTCTGGTGGCCAGCCAAAGTGACCCCAACCCGGAGAATGTCCCTTTGGGAGAGAAGCACGTGTGTTAGGGAAATATGCGGGTGAAGGGGTCCTGTGCCTGGTAGAGAGCTGCCTGGGCTTCCCCGGGAGGAAGATGGCAAAGCAAGGAGTACTGGGGAGTGGGGAGTGGGGAGTGGGCAGGCAGCCACAGCTGGAGGGAGCGACTATGGTGTGAGGTGGAAGAGCACTTGAGTCGGAATCAGGGTCCCTAGGGGGCCTTCTCTCCCCTGCTATTGGGAGGGGGAAGCCAGCTTACATTTTCTTTCTTTTTCGAGACAGAGTCTCGCTCTGTCACCCAGGCTGGTGTGCAGTGGCGTGATCTCAGCTCACTGCAACCTCTACCTCCTTGGTTCAAGCAATTCCCCTGCCTCAGCCTCCCGAGTAGCTGGCATTACAGGTGCATGCCACCTTGCGTGGCTAATTTTTTGCATTTTAGTAGAGACGGGGTTTCACCATGTTGGTCAGGCTGGTCTTGAACTCCTGACCTTGTGATCTGCCCGCCTCGGCCTCCCAATGTACTAAGATTACAGGCATGAGCCACTGTGCCCGGCTGCCAGCTTGCATTTTCTAAGCACCCGCTTCCTTTATATCTCCCTCAACCTTCCTACCAACCCCCAGTTTGTAGGTGAGAAAACGGAGGCTGAGGGAGGTGCTATGATTTGACCAAGGTCACAGAGCTTGTAGGTGGCAGGCAGACCTGGGTATCAGTCCACAGGTGACTCCAAAGTTGGCCATCTTGCCCCTTGGTCCCTGCTTCCCTATTGGGACATGATCTATTCCTCACCCTCCAGATCACCCCACTTGGCTGGTGGGGCCGGTGGAGAGGGGGTGCTAAGGTGACAAGCAGAAGTGGCTGGGCACTTACTCCATCATCATCTGAGACACGACGTCAAAGGAGGTGAAGCCGGCATTGGCGAAGCTCTCCTTGTACTGCCCCATCTTGATGGCCTCCAGCCACTCGTCCACCGTGTTAAAGCTGGTGTAGTCGGGGATCGTGCGGTCCAGCAGCGGCAGGTTGATGCTGGGGTTGGGGGTGGGCGACAGAGATGGTCAGGGCACCTGTTTGCAGGGAGCGTGCAGGGACATGCCTGTAGGCTGCGTATGCGTGAATGTGCACGTGTGCATCCATTTATGTGAACACAGGTGAAGGGGTATGTACGTGAGTATTTCTGCATGATTGCGGGCATGGGTTTGAACCTGTGGAAACATGCACGCATATATATGTGAGCATGCGAGAGTGAGTGTGTGTGCAGAACTCAAAGCTGGGGCCAACTGGGAAGTCTAGGGAAGGCACTGCAGGGATGGCCAAGAGGCTGGACCTCGGAAGTGAGGAGGGGAAGACGCAGCTCCATGCTTATTTTCAGGAGGAGGGATTTCAGCTAGACTAACTATTCTGGTTATTCACAGTTTCCTCTCCCAGTGCCATTCTCCATCCTTCTCCACCCTGGTTTGTGCTATAGGAAGCTCACCTTCTGGACTGTCCAGAGACTGTATCTCCAAAGCCCAGCTAAGGCTGGTGGCGCTAATGGGAATGACTTCTTGGCTGGCAAGGAGTGAAATGGCTCTCATGAGGTTTAAAGCTCAGAGGGATTTGATCTGGAGAGTTAGGGGTGGCTGACACAGGGTCATGGTGAGGAGAGACAGGCAGAGGGAAGCATGATGATCTCCCACTCATAAGAACATGCTGGAAGAAGGACTTTGGCCCAAGTCCTTCCTAAGGACTTGGCTACAGCCAGCCCTAGATCCTAAGTATACCTGGCCAGATGCCCCTCTGAAACCCTGTGGGGTTGTGGGTCCTGAGGAGTAAGTGTGTGCAGGGGCAGCAGTGTGACCTGTGACAGCCACCCAAGGAAGGCAGAGGAGAGCTGCTGCCTCATGGAGCCTGCCCTGGGAGGCTTGAGCCTTGAGGAGAAGGGAGGCACCAGGTCCCCAAGTGAACACCCCTCAGGCTGAGCCCGTCTCTCAGGCATGGGGATGCTGACTCAGTGTGGGGGCACAGATGGGTGTATGGTGAGTACAAACTTCTGAATGGGTGTGTGTGTGCAGGTGCCTATGGATGTGTGTAGGTGTGAGAGCCTGAGACTGTGTGTGTGAAGAGGCATGAGTGTTTGTGCCTAATTGTGTGTTCATCTGTGCATGTAGGACTGGATTTGTGTTAGCATGTGTGTGATGAAGTTATAAATGGAAGTTAGAGGGTCCAGGTTTGAGCGTGAGGGTAGCTAGGAAGGAAACTTAGTGACAGGCATATCTATTCACGAACTAAGATTCTGGATCCTTTGGTAATTATTTATTTATTTATTTATTTATTTATTTATTTATTTTTTTAGATGGAGTTTCACTCTTGCCACTCAGGTTGGAGTGCAGTGGCACGATCTCAGCTCACTGCAACCTCTGCCTCCTGGGTTCAAGCGATTCTCCTGCCTCAGCCTCCTGAGTAGCTGGGATTACAGGTGCACACCACCAGGGGCTGGCTAATTTTTATAAATTTTAGTAGAGAAGGGGTTTCACCATGTTGGCCAGGCTAGTCTTGAACTCCTGTCCTCAGGCGATCCACCCACTTCAGCCTCCCAAAGTGCTGGGATTACAGGCGTGAGCCATCTCTCCCGGCCTTCCTTTGGTAATTTTTCTTCATTGTCCTCTCTGACCATGCTTTAAAAGATGCCTCCTCTGCACCCACAGGGTATATGTCCTTTTCTTCCTCTGGGCAGTCTGCGTCCTCTGCTCTCCTGCACCCCTAAGGCAGGGCAGGTACCCAATAAACACTAGTCCTGTCCTTCCCCATCCCAAGCTGCAGTAAGGAAGAGCATTTGCCTGAAGTGGGGGCAGAAGGGATGGGAGACGGGAAGAGGGGCAGGGCCTGGCTGGGGCAGGGCCAGGGTGGGGCCTTACCCAGAGGAGAGGGGCGCCATGGCTTTGAGGCTGTTGGGATTGCGGATCATCTTGTCTAGCGTGTTGACAATTTGGCCGAACTTGGGCCGGTGGTTGCGGTCCTTCTGCCAACAGTCCAGCATGAGTTGGTGCAGGGCGCTCGGGCAGTCCATGGGCGGTGGCAGCCGATAGTCCTGCTCAATGGCATTGATTACCTGGGACAATGCAGGAGTGCAGTGGGGTTGGGTGGATGGGCTGAGGGCGTCTACCCTCTGCCAGGCCCATCTTACCCCCAGTACATTGCACGTCTGACCTATTTAGTTGCTGTGGCAACCACTTTCACCTCCTGGAGGCAGCCCCAGGGATGGGATGACCTGGGTTTCCACCATCTAGACCCTCAATCTGACATGGCAGCTGGGTTCCTGCCCCACCCTTTGCCAATCTTGGGAAATCCAGTGCCCTGAGATAGCTTCTCCCCAGGGTCCACCAAGATGATCCTCCTGTGCCTGGTTCCACCAGCTCCTCCCATCCTGTGAGCCCCCTCTTGGCTTGGATGACCCCAAGGCCTCCCCAGTCTGCCTCCTTGCTTGACCCCACATGGCCACATGCTTGATTTTAGTGCCATTTACAGCTCCAGGTGTGAGATACCTCCCTCTATCAGGCCCACACCATGGCCTCAAGCCTGGCTGGGGCTCCCTCCCACCATCTCCACCTGCTTCTCTGTCAAGGAAATGCATCCAAACACCCCTCTCAGCCTGTCCTGCCACCATGGCCAGATTCACCTTCCACAGCTCAACTGTGGGTCACCCTCCCTGTGTAAGAAGTTTCTTCGAGTCCTTCCTGTCTTCATTTTTGCTAATGGAGATCCCTTGGTTTGGCTTCAACCCCGCATTAGCCAACCCCAGCCTTTGCACACACTGTTCTTTCCCACTGGAAGCCCTCAAGTCTCCATGTCCTGCGACCTTTCGAACCCCACTTGTCCTGCGATCACTTCCTGGCTGATCTTGCCCATGCTGCCGGTGCCTCAGTGCCTCCAGGCTACTCTGATTTAGCACCTGATCGTAAAAGCTCCTGATCATAACATCTGGTTCCCTGAATAATCGTCTTGTCCCCCAGTTAGGTGGTGAACACCTGAAGGGCAGATGTGGTCTCATTTGGGGCTGGCCACAGGTGCATGCGTCCTGAAGACGTGCTGATGTGTGGATGGGTGGCCTTTCCTACTTCCTACCCCCTGGAGAGTCCAGAGTCCTGTGCAGACATTCGAATCAGCCACCATTGGGCTGGCAGCTGCCCTGGGAGCCAGGCCCATGATCTCAGAAGCCTATGTCCCACACTCTGGGAGACTGGCACAAGGCCAGGAGCCCCGATCTTCCCTCTCCCATCTGGTGGGCCAGAGAGGCCTTGCCTATCCCCTTGGAGACTTACATCCTGGTTGGTCATGTCCCAGTAGGGCCGCTCCCCATAGGACATCACCTCCCACATGACAATGCCGTAGCTCCACACATCACTGGCCGAGGTGAACTTCCGGTACTGGATGGCTTCCGGGGCTGTCCAGCGGATGGGGATCTTTCCGCCCTGGGAGACAGAAAGAGGAGGGTTTGTGGGTGGGAGGCTGGCCTGTCTGACCTCTTCTCTTAATCCTCCCACCCTGTGCCCTGTGATGCCCCAATCTCATGAGGCACCTCATTGTGCCCCAAACTTACCATGCAGCTTCAGACCACTGGGCATTTGCGCCCTCTGCATGAAGTGCCTTTTCCCACTCTGCCATCTGGAAACCTCCTTCTCATCCTCAAGTCCCTCCAAAAGCCTTTCTGAGCTCCCAAAGAATTGTCAGCTGCCCTCAATCCCACAGCTGTGCCTTATGTCTCCCCATCAAGGAGGCATGTCTCACATGGCACAGTACTCAAGTGACTTGCCTACTTGCACCCATCTCTGGGCTCTTTGTCCTTTCAGTTTAAACCTTCAACAACCCTTGCTGCTTTCAGGAGAGAGTCCTGAACCTGGGCATTCCAGGAGCTCCAAGGTCCAGCCCTGTCTACCTCTCCAGCGTGACTGCTCACTACCACTGCCCCTACAGCCTGTATTCCTGTCACAGGACTTTGCCATGAGAACATGGCATCTGACAAACGTTTCCGGGCCCTTCTGCTCTCAGCTCAGATATCAACCTCTCTAGCAAGCCTTCCTCTGCCTCCAAGGCTGGCTGTCCTGGCTTACAGCCCTGTCACTCCACATGGCTCTGCACATTTGTTCCCCACCAGTGTGGGAATTGCAAGAGGGCAGGAGCTGTGGTTCCTGTCTTCCTGTCTCCAGGGCCCAGGACAGTGCTTGGCCCAATTGGGCGTTAGTGAAAGTGTCTTGCAGGGAGAGATGGACACTCATGCCCTCTTCTCTGGCTCTGTGACTCCGGTGTTCCCTGCCTCCATCTTACCAGGGCACTGGTGTAGGTGGGGTCTGAGGTATCGTCCTCTAGAAAGCGTGAGAGCCCAAAGTCCGACACCTTGCAGACCAGGTTGCTGTTGACGAGGATGTTGCGGGCAGCCAGGTCACGGTGAACATAGTTCATGTCTGCCAGGTACTTCATGCCAGCTGCGATGCCCCGAAGCATGCCCACCAGCTGGATGACTGTGAACTGCCCATCGTTTTGCTTTGGGAGAAGTGGGGAAAACACAGAGTAAACAGAAGAGCAGGCATCAGAGCTCTGCATCATCCTCATAATGGGAAACCAGAGCAGGGCCCTGCCAGCCTGGCTCTGGGCTCCCCTGGGGAAGGACTCAGATGCTTTGGGACCCCAGAGAGGCCCGTCAGAGGCCAACTTCAGAGTGGTGGTGAGAACACAGGCTTTGAAGCAGACACGCTTGGTTTGACTCTGGCTTTGTTCCTTCTCGGCTGTGCAACCTTGGACATGTGACCTAATACCTCTGAGTCTCAGTTTCCTCATCTGTGTGTTAAATGGGCCTAAATCACACCCATCCCCCAGGGCTATTCTGGGTTATACAAGAAGGTGTATGGAAGGTGCCTGGCACATGTTAGGTGCTTCACAAATATTTACTGAATGGCAGCTGGTCCACTGGCCTGCTTCTGATGTCCAGTCTGGTGCTTTGTCTGGTTGGTTGACTTGGTCTCCTGGGAGGCCTATACACTTTCCTCTGTTGGCCTTGTGCTCTGAACTCCTCCCACCAGCCTATAGAGCTTTGGAGAACTCCAAAATCTGGTGAAAACCTGGATGAGAGGTCAAGACACTTGGTTCCAGTCCAGGCCTCATCTTGACCCTCTGGGTGACTCTGGGCAAATCCTACCTCTCTTTGAGCCCGTTTTCTCCTGTGCATAATGAGAAGGCTGGCTAAGAGCAGGAATGGAAACAGATTTCAGATGTGTGCCAACTCTGATCAACTGATTGTGGCTTCCTGGGGAACCATACTGAGAAGAATTCTGGGACTGCCTCTGGGCTTAGTGGATGAGAGTGCTGGGATTGATTAGCAGTGCCTGCCATGGATAAGGGAATGGAAAGTGACAGCCTGCAAGCCATTCCTGACCTAGAGCTTTTCCAAGACCCCTTCAGGCTCTGACAGTATGAAGCTATGTCCATCGTTCCTTTTCCTGCCCCATTCATGGGCCCCTGGCCCTCTTGGCTTCCCCTACCCGGAGAAAGGAGTCCAGGGAGCCATTCTCCATGAACTCGGTGATGATCATCACAGGTGTGCTCTTGGTCACGACACCCTCCAGGTGGATGACGTTGGGATGGTCGAACTGGCCCATGATGGAGGCTTCGCTCAGGAAGTCCCGGCGCTGCTTCTCCGTGTAGCCCGACTTGAGCGTCTTGATGGCCACAAAGATCTCTCTCTTGCCTGGCAGCTTCAGGTGGCCACTGCAGACCTCGCCAAACTCCCCTGAGAGAGAAACACCAAGACAGACAGGATGTCACTTGCCAGGTGGAAGGGCCACCTTCCTGTTCCCTGTCATGTCCACTCACGGGGCCTGCAGGTACATTTTCTTCTCAATGGCCCACTCATCCTTGCAGACACAGAACCCCTTCAAGAATGTCAGGGGTCCAGAAAAGTTCCAGTCACCTCTGGGAGAGGACAGTAAATTCCTCATGGTTGTTCTCTGGTTATCCCTGGCTGGGCATGGGGGTGAGGGTGCAGGGGAACCTGGGAGATGGGAAAAGGCACTGGGATACATGGGGGGAGGAAGGAAAAGCACTGGACCAAGAGTCCAGAGAACTGGGCTCCAGACCCAGCTCAATCTCTGACTCACTGTGCATGTCCCCTCCCAGCCCTGTGCCTCAGTTTCCTCTTTTGTCAGTGAGGTGGTTTTACTGGATGACCTTTGAGGGCCCTTCTTTCATGGTCATTCTGAACCTTCAGGCCTTGGGGGGTCCTTTGAGGCGCCTGTCCCACATCCTACCTTCTGCCCCAAGGGTATACATTGGGGTGGTCTCACCAGCCATGGCTAAGGTCATAGTACATGTGAGAGTACCAGCCACCTACCTGCTCCGATCACCTGCTCAATTTTGACACAGGAGATGTCAATTTCCTTGGCAAACTCCCGCACTGCCTCGTTGGGGTCCTCGTAGGTGAAAGGATCGATGTAGATCTTCATGCCTGGGGTCACTGGGGGACAAGACCAGGCTCTGTCATATGGACTGACTCAAGATGCACACAAAAAGGAAAAGCGGGAGCCAGTCCCTCCGTGGAGGGAAATCCACTCCCATGTGGCCCCCATAAGAACTGGGCAACTCCCTGCAGGTCACTTGACCTCTCTGGGGCTTACTGAGCAGATGGGCGTGAACTGAGTAGGAGGTGAGGGGAACAGAGACCAGCAGGGGTGGCAGATAGGTCTTAGCTCTTGTTCCAACTCTCACTGATCAACAGTGGTTTTCTGGAGCAGCTGAGACTGTCAGGACTGATAAGCAATGTCTGGTATGGGCATGGGCACAGATGGATAAACGGATCGATAGGTGATACAGAATCAAGGGGTGCAACGTAAACGAAGAAGGGGGCAAAAAGGAAGGGAGCGAATTGGAACTAAAATACAGAAACAGCAGGCAATAGACCGTGTTGTCTTTGGGGTTCTGCTAAGGAGAGCTCCTCCTTGTCTCTCCAGGCCTAATTCAAGCCTCCTCTTCCCCCAGGGTCCCTTTCTAGCTGCCCAGCCTTCCCAAATGGGCCCCCAGAGCCTTGAGGGGCCGCCCCACTCACCAGGGACTGAGTGTCCACAGCTGCTGGGCCACCTCCCAGGTCCCCCTCTAGCCAAGTCTTAACCCCTTCTGGATCCCTGATTTTCTGGTAATCAGCATGAAGCTAGACATGGGGCATTTGATTCCTGATCTGATGCATATTTTAGTTTTATTATTATTATTATTTTTTGTTCTCCCTCTCTTCTGTCCAACACTTATTTTTTTATGCACTAAGAGAAGAAGGTAACCTGGATGTCAAAGACCCAATTCTGAACAGCCAGCACTGAGTCGGCAAAATGCTTTGAAAGAAGGGAAAGATGACCCATCCATCTTCCGCCTCCCAGATAGGCAGCTGGTCTTCCAACATCCAGACCTCCCAGTCCTCCCTGAGCCCAGGCTTTCCTCTGGCTCTTCCAGCATCCTGCTCACATTCTCCTGCCACTCCGGGAGCTGCAAATTTGGAGGCAGAAGTTCTAGGAGTTGGCAGTTGAAATCCTTGGGTCACCATAAGGCTTGGCTGGTTGGTGCGTGAGGCCATCAACCCTGCTCAGCTGTGTGACCTTGGACATATGAGTTGACCACTCTTGGCCTCTATTTTAGACATTCCAGGAATCTAGGCATTAGAGCATGTAATATAGGGGTTGGCGAATTGGCTTATAGCCTATTTTGTAAATAAAGTATTATTGGAACACAACCATGCTCATTCCTTTGCCTGTGGCTGTTATTAAGCTATGACAGCAGAGTTGGGTAGTTACAAGAGAGACCCATAAGGCCTAAAATATTTACTATCTGTTCCCTTACAGAAAAATTTGTCAACCGCTGCTCTAACACGTTAGCTTTATTTGGGATTATTTGTGTGGGTATTTGTTTAACCCTTGAGGTCAGGGTTTCTTAATTTGGGTCTGTGAGCTACTTAGCAGTCCTAAGTATGAGCAGTAGGAGATCTGGTAACCTCCTGAGATGGGATGCATTTATTATGATTGTCCTTTTCTATTCAAAAAGTAATTCATGCTGCTTCTAAAGTCCAAAAGTTATGGAAATAAATATTGTCAAAAATAAAAGTTCTCAAAAAATCCAACCTTGAGTATAGACCTCTGGATTTTTTTTAATTAATTTTTTTTTTTTTTTGAGACAGGTTCTTGCTCTGTCACCCAGGCTGGAGTGCAGTGGCACAATCTCAGCTCACTGCAACCTCCGCCTCCAGGGTTCAAGTGATTCTCCCACCTTAGCCTTCCAAGTAGTTGGGATTACAGCCATGTGCCACAACACTCAGCTTATTTTTTGTATTTTTCATAGAGTTTTAATAGGTTTTGCCATGTTGGCCAGGCTGGTCTCTAACTCCTGACCTCAAATGATCCACTTGCCTCGGCCTCCCGAAGTGCTGGGATTACAGGCATGAGCCACCGCGCCTGGCCTGACCTCTGGACTTTTAATAATTTTATACATGTATATGTTTTTCTGGCCATAGGCTCCAAAACTTTCAGCAGAGTCTCCCAGGAGTCTGAGGCCCCCAAAGAGGTTAAGAACCACCATCCAAGACTGTGAGTGCCTGGGAGGAGGAAATGGACACATGTTTTTTTTCTGATTTCTCCCTCCCCTGGCACACGCATAAAGCTCTGCACACAGCAGACACTCAATGTCTATAGGGCTGAGCAGAATCCAAATGACACAGACAGAATCATAATAGCAGCTGTCACTTACTGAGCCCTTTGTGCCCAACACCATGCCAGGCTCTTTATATGCCTTAGCTTCTCCACTCAAAAACTCTTGGAGGAAAGGACCATTATTCCCATTTCACACATAAGGAAATTGTGGCTCTGAGAAGCTAAGTCATCTGGCCAAGGCCACACAGCTAGCAAATGGCACAGCCAGGATTTGAAGCCAGGTCTGTTAGACTTGAGCCTGGGGCCAGTACTCCTAATCACCATGTTCACTGCCTCCTGGATGAAATACAACCAGAATCTGGTCCATGCTGCCTGCTGGAGTATTCCGCCATGATCACCTCTTTCCCCATCAGCCTTCTCAGAGCCAGGGCATCGGCTTCCTGGGGATGCTCTCTTGCTTGCTCAGACTCAATGCATGCCCTGTGGTTCTTGACAACTGGCTTTCAGCCTCCCTCCCAACATGACTCAGGGAGGCCCTTTCTGATGGGGATAGAGGACAGGAATGGGTTGACTCAGGGAGGTAAGAGGAAGTACAGCAGCTCAAACCCTCCTTGGTCACCTCCACTGCCAAGCAACTGGATGCCATCGTCATGCTGTGGCCAGCAGCACTGGTCAAGAGGGCCTCTGTTGCTTGCAGGACAAAGCTGCATGCCCCTGCCTGGCATTCCCAGCTCTCCGTGGATTGGCCTCACTTCCAGCTCCCTGCTCCCTAGATGCCTGCTCACAGGACTTATTGACCCAGGGGTTTCAGACACACTTCATTATTTCCTGCCTCCATGCTTTTGTTCATGTTGTGCTCTCTACCTGGAACACTCTCTCTTTCTTTTTGTGACCAGATCAAATGCCATCCCCTCTGTGAAGACTGCCTGGATTGCTCCAGTGGAGACCTGTACCCTCTCCTCAGGCTCCCACAGTCCTGAGTCCACACCCACTCTTATGATCTTGATGTCTGTGTGGCTTTTCTACCTTGTACCGGGGTTCCCAGATACTCATGCCCACAGCCCCCTGACACTCCTTTCTGGAAGACTCTGCTGCCCGTGAGGGCTTAGTTTACCCTTTTCCCCAGGAAGACCGAGGCTGTGTCTGTCTTGTTCATGCTGAATCCCAGGGCCTGGCACACAGTGGGTGCCCAATAAGTAAAAAGTGCTTATTGAACACATAATAGCATTACTACGTGTCTTGAATGTCTTTGAGAATTTGATGAAAATTATGAATCTGCTCCTTGGAAAAGTATTCCTGTGTGTGTATGCTCCCATATTTCACATATAATTTTGGGGTATTGGAAGCTCTAGGGGTCTTTAGACCCAAAGCTATAAGCCCTTGCTTTAGAATGTTGGCTCTGGAGTACTTATGTGAAGGTGGTATACAGTAGATGCTTAGTAAACACTTATTGAATATACATTCAGCGTAGATTTACTGGGTGCCAGGCCTTGTTCTAGGCACTTTATAGTTTTTAATCCAATTAATCCTCCTAACAACCCTACCAGGTAAGTGCCATTATTAGGCTGATACCTTATGAAACTGTCAATATTTAACTGTTTCTGACCTACAAAAATAGCAATTTCATTTGGTACAATCACATGTGATGCCTGTTTTTCAGACGAGGAAATTGGCATAAGAAAGGTTAAATGAGTTGGACACTGTGGCTCAAGCCCATAATCCCAGCCCTTTGGGAGGCTGAGGCAGGAGGATTGCCTGAACCCAGAAGTTCAAGACCAGCCTGGGTAACATGGCAGAAACCCATCTCTACAAAAAATAAATAAGTTAGCCAGGCATGGCAGTGCAGGCTTGTGATCCCAGCTACCTGGGAGGCTGAGGCAGGAGGATTGCTTGAGTCCAGGAGGTAGAGGCTGCAGTAAGCCGTGTTTGTGCCACTGCACTCCAGTGTGGTGACAAAGTGAGACCCTGTTACACACACACACACACACACACACACTCACACACACACACACGAAGTTAAATGACATCAAAACAGCTAATAAATGGCAGAAGTGGGGTTTGAACCCAGGCCGGCTACAGAGTCTCCACTTGTAACCCTCAGGCTGCCAATTTCTCCCAGGTGCTTCCCCAGTCTGTCTCTTGGAATAGAAGGTGAGTGAGTGCCTGGTGGCCAGAGCCTCCAACAAGCCTGGCTCTCAGAAGGGGCACTTGCTGAACCGAGGTCGGGTGAGGACCTCTGCAGGCAAAGGCTACAGAAAATCCTGGGCTGTTGTTTGGATGATTTACGGGTGTCGGCCACTGGCTGTTGCTCTGCCCTCAAATGCGAAATTCACAAGGAGGGAAGAGGAACCAGTGTACAGAGTTCTGGGTCTGAATTCTGGCACCGCTGCTAATTCTGGTCACAAATCAGCTGCTTTGTGAGTTTGAAGCCAGGATCAACCACTGTGTTGATCCAGCAGTGTGCCCTTGGGCAAGTTACTTAACCTCTGTGTCTCACTTTTTTCACCTACCCGATGGGTATAATAAACAATACCTACCTCCTAAGGGGGTTGCAAGATTAAACGAGAGTATCTTTTTAAAGGGCTCAGTACAGTAGTTGGCAAAAGGAAAGTGCTGAATAATTGTAAACTGTTGCAAAGAAGAGCTGGCTATTATTAAATATTATTCCAAAGCACTTTAATGTCCCTTAATTCATTTAATCCTCACAATTCTGTGACAAAAGTATCATTCTTGCTACTTCCCATATAAAGATGTCAAGGCTCAGAGAGGTTTGATGGCTTCCCCGAGGTCACCCAGCTGGCCAGTGGCAGAATAGGGATGAAAACCAGGTCAGTCCCTCTGGCTCCATATCCAGGCATCACAGACCTTGGTACTCACTCAGCACCTGCTGAATGATGGAAACCATGGGGCCGTGTGGGTGATTACAGGCCAGTCACATGGATCTCTGGGCCTCAGCTTCCTCCTCTGTCCTGACCACGCAGGGTGGCTGGGTGGATATGGGATCACAGGGCTGGCAGTGCTTTGAACAGAACAAAGTTCTGCTTGGATCTAACGTTAGAGCTTAGGATGCAGGGAGGGGGATCTTAGGCCTTAAAATGTGCTGATCTAGGAACAAACCCTGGGGTCTCTCTTAAAAATAGACCCCACCTGTTTCCTTATTACTGACTCACAAACCACATAGCAATGCTCCCCAGTGGCTCCAGGAGACGGAGCATGGGAGCCTATCCCATTCCAGCTCAGCAGAATGGAGCCAGCACAGGATGCCAGCTCTTCAGCCAGACAGCTGGAGTTCATACCCCTGCTCCATCCCTGAGCAGCTGTGCAACCTCTGTGCCTCAGTTTCCCCCTATTCAAAGTGAGAAATTATAAGGATCAAATGAATAAATACATGTAAAGCATTGAAACAATTCTTGGCACACAGAATGCACGCAGTACGTCTAGCCACATCTATGATCACGATTTCATTACTTGGGGCAATAAGAGGGGATGACATAATTTATAATCTTTCTTTTTCTTTTTTTTGTTTGAGGAGTCTTGCTCTGTTCCCCAGGCTGGAGTGCAGTGACGTGATCTCAGCTCACTGCAACCTTCGCCTCCCAGGTTCAAGCAATTCTCCTGCCTCAGCCTCCTGAGTAGCTGGGATTACAGGCGTGCACCACCACACCCAGCTAATTTTTGTATTTTTAGTAGAGACGGGGTTTTACCATGTTGGCCAGGCTGGTCTTGAATTCCTGACCTCAGGTAATCCACCCGCCTTGGCCTCCTAAAGTGCTGGGATTACAGGCGTGAGCTACCGCACCCGGCCTTATTTTTCATTTTTCTTGGGACAGGGTCTCACTCTGTCACCCAGGCTGGAGTGCAGTGGTGAGACCATGGTTCACTGCAGCCTTGACCTCCTGGGCTTGAATGATCCTCTCACCTCAGCCTCCTGAGTAGCTTGGGACTACAGGTGTGTGCCACCATGCCTGGCTAATTTTTACATTTTTTGTAGATATGGGGTTTTGCTATGTTGCCCAGGCTGGTCTCGAACTCCTGGACTCAAGTGATCCTCCCACCTCAGCCTCCCAAAGTGCTGGGAATACAGGCATGAACCATGGCACCTGGCCTATGACCTTTATTTTTAATGTACAGGTGACTTTTATTTCTGTGTAGTTAAATGTGTCCATCTTTTTCTTAGGAGTTATCAATTGCTTTCATGTTTAGAAGGTCCTTTTCTATTTCTGTATTGGTTAATAGTTGCCTAAATTATCTTCTGGAAATTTTAATGGCTTAACTAGTTTTACATATATGCCCCAAACTATTTTTCTTTTTTTTTGAGATGGAGTTTCACTCTTGTTGCCTAGGCTGGAGTGCAATGGCATGATCTCGGCTCACTGCAACCTTCACCTCCCGGGTTCAAGGGATTCTCCTGCCTCAGCCTCTGAAGTAGCTGGGATTACAGGCACACACCACCACGCCAGGCTAATTTTCTATTTTTAGTAGAGATGGGGTTTCACCATGTTGGTAGGGCTGGTCTTGAACTCCCGACCTCAGGTGATCCGCTCATCTTGGCCTCCCAAAGTTCTAGGATTATAGGGGTGAGCCACTGCGCCTGGCCCCAAACTATTTTTTTTTTTTTTTTTTGAGATGGCGTTTTGTACTTGCTGCCCAGGCTGGAGTGCAATGGCACAATCTCGGCTCACCACAATCTCTGCCTCCCGGGTTCAAGCAATTCTCCTGCCTCAGCCTCCCGAGTGGCTGGGATTACAGGCATGCACCACCACACCCGGCTAATTTTGTATTTTCAGTAGAGACGGGGTTTCTCTGTGTTGGTCAGGCTGGTCTTGAACTCCCGACCTTGGCCTCCTAAAGTGTTGGGATTACAGGCGTGAGCCACCGTGCCTGGCCAGCCCCAAACTATTTTTAAGCCCAGGAACTTTTACTTCAAACCATGTCTTACCCAGAGGCTTCGTACCTGGAGCTCCTAGACTCTGCTCATTCTTACGTATCCACATCCAGTCCTGCAGCAAATCTAGTGGCTCTGCTTTTGAAATATGTCAGAATCCAACCACTTCCCACTACCTTCTCCCTGCCACTCGGTCTGGCCACCATCATGTCTTCCCTGGATTCTTCCAACAGCCACCCCACTGGTCTCCTTGCATCAGCCCCGTTGGTCCATTCTCCAGACAGCAGCCAGAGAAGTCCCGCCAAGGCCGTAACTTGGAGCATGTCATCCCTCTGCTCAGAACCTTCCAGCAGCTCCCCATTTCACTCAGGGAAAAGCCAAGGCTTTGCTGAGCCTGATGAGCATCTGCACGTTGGACTCCCTCAAAGCTTCCATTTCTCTCTTTGCTCTGCTCCAGTCACACTGGCCTCTGCTGTTCCCGAAACCTGCCAGGAAGCTCCAGCCTCAAGACCTTTGTATTGGCTGTTCCCTCTTCCTGGAATGCTTTTCCCTCAGATACCTCTGAGCAGCTCACTCTCTCAGCTCCTCTGTATCTTTGTGCAAGTCAAACCCTGTCAGTGAGGCCAACCCAAGCTGTCCTATTTAAAAACGCCACCCTGATCCCCACAACTCTCGGTCCGTTACTGTTCCACTTTGTCTTTTTCCTATAGCACTTTCATCTTCAAATATACCACACGCTTCTGCATTTATGACATGTATTTCTCTTTTCTTTCTTTCTTTTCTTCTTTTTTCTTTTGTTTTTTTTTTTTTTTTGAGACTGGGTCTTGCTCTGTCACCCAGGCTGGACTGCAGTGGTGCGATCTGGGCTCACTGCAACCTCGGCTCACTGCAACCTCCGCCTCCTGGGCTTAAGCTATTCTCCCACCTCAACCTCCCAAGTAGCTGGAACTACAGACGTACATGACCACACCCAGCTAATTTTTGAACTTTTTTTGGTAGAGACAGGGTTTCATCATGTTTCCCAGGCTGGTCTTGAACTTCTGTGTTCAAGTGATCCACCTGCCTTGGCATCCCAAAGTGGTGGGATTACAGGCGTGAGCCACTGTGCCTGGCCTTATATGTTTATTTATTTATTTTTTTATTTTGAGACAGAGTCTTGCTCTGTCACCCAGGCTGGAGTGCAGTGGCACGATCTCTGCTCACTGCAACCTCTGCTTCCCGGGTTCAAGCAATTTACCTGCCTCAGCCTCCTGAGTAGCTGGGATTACAGGCACACACCACCATGCCTGGCTAAATTTTGTATTTTTAGTAGAGACAGCATTTCTCCATGTTGGCAAGGCTGGTCTCAACTCCTGGCCTCAAGTGATCTGCCTGCCTCAGCCTCCCAAAGTGCTGGGATTACAGGTGTGAGCTACTGTGCCTGGCCTTATGACCAGGTGCTGGGATCCCCAGCACCTAGAACAGTGCCTGGCATATGTGGTAGGCCCACGACAGTTGTGTGACAAGGGCAGGGATATGATGATGGGCCTCTGTACCCAGAGGCAGGCACCTGAGGAACCTCAGGGCGTCACACTGAGTACAGTTTGAGAATGAATGTTGGACCCATTTAGAACTCCTTTTTGCTGAGTGAGCTGAAGTAAGGACTAAGGTTCTTGCTCTCCCCCGACTCCCTGATTACTGGTTCTGCCCAGGTCAAGTGGAGAGAGGAATCTATGATCTACTTTTCTCTCTGGCCCTTCAGGAGGGGACATCTCTGTGTGTGTGGCACATACATCCCCAGCCCTGGCCTGATATAGGATGGGACGGTGGGAGAAATGAGGGCACTGGGTAAGGGGAAGAGGCCACCAGAGGAGTCACTGGGGAAGAACAGGGGTCTGGAGCCACAGAGTGAGAGGAAGAGAAGGAAGGAGGGACTCCTGCTGCTTTTCTCACCTCCTGGGCCAGAGCCCAGAGTCCTCATCATCTTATTTATTCAGTTTGATTCATTTATTTATTCTGCAAATATGTCTAGTGCCTACTATGTGCTGGGCACCACGCTGGTGCTGGGGAGACACGGTAAATATCAGACACAATTCCAGGTCTCCAGCGGCCACCACTATCACGGTGGTGAGACAAGAAACAGCCACCTCAATGCAGCCTGCGAGCACAGATGCAGCCCCTAAACCCAGGATGGGGTGGGGTCGGGGAAGGCTGCTTGGAGGAGTGTGTGTATGGTGAGGCCTGAGGGATGAGTAAGAGCTACATGGGTAAAGGGAAAGGGGGAGAGCGCTTGAGGCAGAGGGAACCGCACTTGCAAAGGCCTAGAGGTGAGAGTGAGCTTAGTGCAACCAGGCAACCACTTGACATTGTCTGCCTGCAGCATGGCAGAAGGAGGTCAAAGATGGCTTAAGAGGTCACTGGGGAACCGACAGTGAAGGGCCCAAGGGTTCCAGCCCGCTTGGGTGTGTACATACTGTGGCCACTGGTGTAGTGTTGCAGCTTGTCCGTGTACTCCGAGTCAGCACGCTCAAACCCCCGTCTTCTGGAACAAGAGCAAAGGGCTGGAGCCACCTGAAGGCGCCCAGGGAGCTGGGAGCCACAGTAGGTGATAGGGAGAGGGTGGGCAGGCCCTAGAAGCCACACCCCTGCCAGAGGGCTCCCTGCCTGCCCCTTTTGGCCCCACTTGTCCCTTCCCACTCCTCCCACCTCAAGTCCAGGTTCTCATCTTCCCCAGTTCCTCCCCCTCCAGCCAAGCCCCCTTCAAAAAGTAAAGTCATCTTCCAGCCACGGCTTCTGGCCCCAGAAACCCCAGGGGCTTCTGTCCACCTGAACTTATGGTTCAGTCTATTCTGAAATGGGGAACTCTTTAAAGAAGAAGAGAATCTTTCTTTGCATTATACCCAGCAGAAGTCAAGGAACTGGCCCCACCCTCTTGCCTTTGCTTGTACCGTCCTAGCCACTTGGGAGGTCCCTCCCCCCTCCTCCTCCTAAGTCCTCCCTGTCTTTCCAGCACCTCAGCCAGGGGGCCTGAACTCATGCAGAAAGCAGGACAATCTGTATACCCCTTCCACCACCCACTAAACTCCTAGCATCCTGCAATCTTTCTTGCCCACTGCATTAGTGTCTCAATGTGCCACCTCTTTCAATAGTGGGCTTGTCAGGGGCGATGCCTATCCCAAAGGGATGGATTGCACATGGTGGCCGCTTAGGTAGTGGGAAGCCACTTGAAGCCTTCCACTTCCTACCCACATCTCTCCCTGCAATTGTGAGAATGCCTCCTCGGTTCACCAGCACTGTAGAGGGATGACTGAATAGAGAGAGAGAAGCCATCTGGGACAGCCAGGCCTGGCCAAGCCTGGAGACCCCACCCACCTGTTACACACGATGGCGATGACAACCACAGCAATGAGGAAGACCAGGCCAGCGGCCGAGGAGCCGATGATGAGTGGCAACTTCTCCTGGATGCTTGTCTGGTACTCGGCTGGGGAGAAAGCATGGTAGGGCATTCTCAGCCTGGCTGTGGGAGTCGTAATACCCTTGTCCCCTACCCCCTGCCATGCTGCTGGGTCTCCTGGGATCCCTAGACTCTGTTCCTGCCCCTGACAGAGCACCTGTTACATGCCCATGCAGAAAAGGGGCTGTCACTGTCTCACAAGTAACCCTGGACAAGTCCATGAACTGCTCCAATCCTCAACTTCTCATCCATAAAATGGGCATAATTCCTGCATCTCAATGTTGATGTGAAAACCAACAATAATAACAGCTGACACACACACAGGCAGTTAAAAGCGCAGACTCTGGAGACAGACTCTCCGGGTTTGACTCCCGATGGTGCCACTTACTATCTGTGTGATAGTAAGGCAAAGTGACTTAGTAAGGCAAAGTGACTGTGTGATAAGGCAAAGTGACTTACCTCTTTGTGCCTCAGTTGCCTTATCTGTAAAATGGGGAGAATAATATTTCCTATCTCAGGATTGTTGGGTAAAGCACTTAGAACAACACCTGGCACCTAAGCAAGCATTCAATCAATATTAACTATTCTTGTCCCTGAGTGTTTTATGTGTCACTCACTGTGCTAAGTATGTTACGTATCTCGGAACAGTCCTATGATTACCCCATTTTACAGATGAAGAAACTGGGCTTAGTGAGGTCATGATGTGCCTGAGGTCACAAAGAAAGTAGCACCCCAGCCAGGCATTTGAACCCAGGTCTGCTTGATCCAAGGGTGGGAGTTGAATTGGAAGAATGCAGAAGATACACTTGGCATTAGCCTGGCTCTTGGAAACCACCACTCAATGCCATTAACACTATCATTGATTTACATTTTATTATTTTTACTTCTTTTTTTTTTTTTTGGAGTGGGAGTTTCACTCTTGTCACTAGGCTGGAGTGAAATGGCACGATCTCGGCTCACTGCAACCTCTGCTTCCCGGGTTCAAGCGATTCTCCTGTCTCAGTCTCTCCAGCAGCTGTGACTACAGGTGCCTGCCATCACGCCCAGCTGATTTTGTAGTTTTAGTAGAGATGAGGTTTCACCATGTTGGCCAGGCTGGTCTCGAACTCCTGACCTCAGGTGATCCACCCGCCTTGGCTTCCCATAGTGCTGGGATTACAGGTGTGAGCCACCGCGCCTAGCTATTTTTACTTCTCAACTGTCTCACTGACCAGAACAGGAACTTGCTGAGATCAGGGACGCGCTCTGGGACCTTAGTGCCCACACTTGGCCTGGTAAGTGGCAAGGCCTCAGCCACATTTGTTGAATTAATAAAAGGATCTTGGGACAGTCTCCTAGTTCCCAGTCAATGACACTCACCCAACATGGAAAAAGGCTTAGAGAGGTGAAAAAAGCTGCCACGAGGAACAGAAAGATTACAGAGGAGGTGAGTGCTGGAAGAGATGGTAGAGCCATAGGGAGGATTTTTGTGATAAGGCAAGAATTTAGGAGTCCAGGAGCCTCTGAAATGTTCAACCAGGCAAAGGCCAAGGCACGCCTAGTGGTTAGAACAGATACTAAGAGAGGATGCTGGAATCTGGTCAGACAGAGTCACCCTGGAGTTTGACTGGCTGGTAAAAGGGATTCCAGACACACAGCAATGACAAACTATGACTTATCTACAATCTGGTGAGTGCTGAAATGCTTGGGACTTAGTGCCAACCCTGTGCTAGGTCTCTTATTCTTACACTAGTTTGATAATGATAGTGATAATGAGATCATTGTTATCACCCCCATTTATAAATGAGAAAGCTGAGGGTTGGAGAGGTAAGGTGACTTGTTCAGGCACATACAGTTAGGGCTAAATCAGAAATGGAATCCTCATTTCTTTGGCTTCAGAGCCCACATTCTTTAAACTGTGCTGCTTCTAAAGATTATTAGAGCAGGAATGGTGCTTAGAGACCATGTAGTTCCAGAGTGGGAAACGTAGCACACAGGTTACGATCTCCCATTCCCTTGCCTGGAGCAGACAGTACTAATCTATCCCAGAACTTCTTCCTGCTGAACTCGGATGCAGCTTCAGAATCCTTCTCAGTCCAGTTGTAAGTCACTGGAGTTGTGTATGGATAAAATATGCTTACTTTCTCAGATTGAATGTGATGCTTTCATTTTATAGATGAGAAAAAATTGGACCAAGGAATGCATGACTTGCTCAGAGTGGCTCTGGAAGTTAGGGCTGAGCTCCCCAGAGTCCTGGGAAAGGAAGTGGCCTGGCTGACACAACGGGAACAGAAACAGGGCTTTTATATATGGTTGTGCACAAAGGTTCGAAATTAGGAGGGAGGGAGGGCTGACATCTAGAAGGGAGTGCCTTTTCTAATCTGCACAAAGGTGCTTCATGAGAATGGTGACCCTTGAGTTTGTTCTGTTTGTGGAGTCTGTGCCCTCCTCTTGCCCGCTGGACTCTGCTCACCTTCTGTCATGGTCTGGAAGTACATCTTGCCGCTGTAGCGCCCGTAACCTGCCACGGTGCGTGCCCGCACCTGGAAGACATAGATGGCGCCGGCTTTGAGGCCCTGCACGGTGACCGTGTTGGTGGGGCTTTTTATGGCTGTGGCGTTGTACTCACTGAGCTCCTGCCGAGGAACAGAGAAGAAAATTAGTGAGGTTGTGGCTCATAGTGGGTCCAGAGCCCACTGCCTGCTCCTGCCACATTGGGGGCAGGTCTGGCCATTGGATAAACATCTATGGTTCCCAATTCTTCATCCCCTCCCTTTAATAGAATTATGCCTTTTGCCATGTTACTTTTCAACACTGCCCACAAAGGTAGGCAGAGTATATGTCTCTGTCTTATGGATGTTGAATTTGTCCACATGACTTGTGTTGGCCACTGGAACATTCTAGTGGACATGATGCAAGCAGAGGCTTTACAGATCCCTGCCAATTTGTCTTGGCCTCTTGTGCTTCTGCCATGAGAGGAACTTGCACTGGGTAACCACTGGCTCCAGCATGAGAAACAGGAGGAGACCATGACCCAACTCTTAGGATGAAACAGGGCCACCCCTATTGACCCACAGACATAAACCCATGGTCAAGAAAAATAGCCACTTGTTGGAAGGTGTTGGATTTTTGGAATTGTTTGTTTTGCAGTGTTATCTCAGGAAAAGCTGACTAATATGCATGTATTGAGTGGTTCCTATGTGCAGATCCTGAGGACTATACTGTGAGTTCTTGGAGACCGAAGGGAGAAGGCCCACCTCATTCACTTCTGTATCCCCTTCCCTGCCCTATGCCTTGATGAGTTAAGCGTAAGAGCCCTTGTTCAGCCTCAGCACACTTGGGTGAGTCAAGAACTAAGGTCCAGATGGGAAAATGATGCTCAGGGTCACTATCAGTTCAGGGTTGCTTTGAGATTCAAAACCAGGCTGGATACGGTGGCTCACACCTGTAATCCCAGAACTCTGGGAGACCAGGGTGGGAGGATCACTTGAGCCCAGTAGTTTGAGACCAGTCTGGGCAACATACCAAGACCCTTTCTCTAAAAAAAAAAAAAAAAAATTAGCTGGGCATGGAGATACATGCTTGTGGTCCCAGCTACTTGGGAGGCTGAGGTTAAAGGATCACTTGAGCTTGGGAGGTCAAGGCCACAGTAAGCCATGATTATGCCACTGCACTGTAGCCTGGGCAACAGAGCAAAACCCTATCTAAAAAAATACAACAACAACAAAAAAAAAAGAAACCAGACTCTTGCATGGAGCCACCTCTATCTAATGTCCATGCCTTTGGGTACCCCAAACCTAGTGTCTTCTCCTTTGAGAGATGAAGAACACCAATTTTGGCTTCCTGAATGTTACCCAGGGCGATCCAAGGAATCTAGGACAGGACAAAGATCCAGCTGCTGCAGTGGGAGTGGAGATGTGGTTGGATCAGATACAGATGATGCTCGTTTAGGCATCTGTCAGCCGCCCGGCAAAACTTCCCCAAATATCCTCTTTGCACTAGGCTGGGACTGGGGTTCTACAGGGAGCTAAGGCACAGGCCCTGGCCTTGGAGAGCTCAGTCCAGAAAAGTAAGCATGTGAGGATCCCAACCCTTTGAAGATCATGAAGCTCCTGAGACAATTTTTTTCTGACGAAAATCTGTGAATGCTTATCCAGAAAAACACACACCTAGTTGTACATGCCAGTCACACACACATCACAGAGTGCACGGAGCCCTTGAAAACCTTCCCAAAACAATGAAGATTCAGTGCGTGCAATGTTATTACAGGCTTTATAGCATGGAGGTTAAGATCACAAGCTGGAGCCAGACTTCTTGGGTTCAAATCCTGGCTCTAGTATATATGACCTCTGTGACCTTGGGCAAGTTCCTTAACTTCTCTGTGTCTTCATCTGTAAAAGGGGGATAGTAACAGTAGCTACCTCAGAGTTTGTTCAGATAATAAAATGAATCAATAGGTATAACAGGCTCACACTGATAGGGTAAGCACATACCGAGGGACATGTGACCTGGTCTGGGACGGGGGCTGCATTAGTCCCTTCTCATGCTGCTATACACACATACCCAAGACTAGGTAATTTATAAAGGAAAGAAGTGAAATTGACCCACAGTTCCTCATGCCTGGGGAGGCCTCAGGAAACTTACAACCATGGCAGAAGAAGAAGCAAACACATACTTCTTCACATGGTGGCAGGAGAGAGAAGTGCCGAGCAAAGGGGGAAAAGCCCCTTATAAAACCATCAGATCTTGTGCAAACTCACTCACTATCATGAGAAAAGCATGGGGGTAACCACCCCCGTGATTCAATTACCTCCTACTAGGTCCCTCTCACAACAGGTGGGGATTATGGGAACTTCAATTCAAGATGAGATTTGGGCGGGGACACAGCCAAACCATATCAGGGGCTACCAGGTGAAGTCAGGAAAGCTCCCTCGTGAGTGGGGGTCACTGGAATGGGATCTCAAAGAACAAACAGGAACCACCCAGACAAAGATGTGCATGCCTGGCAGAAGGGGCAGCAGGTTCAGAGGAAAGGAGAGGAGAAAAAGCTTGGGATGTAGGGGATATGAAGGGGGCTGACTTGAAGATGTGTCTCTACCACCCCCATAACAGGGGGAGGCAGGGATAGCTGGGTGGGGCAGCAGCAGAGAGGAAGTCTCTTTTGCCAAGCCAGATCATCTGCCTCCTCCTCCAGGAAGCCTCCTTGACATCCCAGCCAGATGCACCTCTTCCTTCTCAGTCCCAGAGCACTTGCTGTGGGTGCCACAGGAGGGGGTTTCTGCTATGCCCCCTCAACTTCCAGCTGAGGCTCCTCTCGCCCCCTTAACTCTAAGCCCATGAGGGAGGGCTTGTGTTTGTTCCCCTGTACCAAGTTTGGGGTCCCTCACACAAAGTCCTTCTCCAGTGCCCACAGGGTGAAGGCCGACTCCTTAGCCTGGCATTCCAGACCCTTCATGACCCACCATTTTGCAGTCTCTCCTGCAACATCCCTAATGTTTCCTAGGTTCCTGCCATCCCTAACTCTTTCCCCCTTCCTTGGTAGAGCTGCCAGATTTAGCAAACACAAATATAGGATGCTGCTCAGTCAAATTTAAATTTCAGATGAACAACAAATACATTTTGGTATAAGTACGCCCCGTGCAATATTTGGGACATATTTGTACTAAAACATTTATTTTTAAAAAATTCAAATGTAATCATGTGTCTTCTATTTTATCTAGCAACTCTACCTTCCATGGACACTCTTGAGTTTTTGCAAGCACTGTTGCCCCTGTCTGAAATACCCTTTCCTCACTTGTCTTGCAGTGTCCTACTCATCGTTCAAGACTCAGCGCAAGTGCCACCTCTGCTGGGGAGACTTCCCAGATGTCCCAGCCAGGGGTTGTGGGTCCAAATTGTCTCCCCTCCCACCTATTGTCCTAATATACCTGTCCATCTTCTTTAAGGATGTGGATTTCCTGAGGCCAGGGACCATGTCTTGCTCATCTCTGGATCCCCCCAGGTTTGCCACACAGTAAGTGTTCACTAATTATTGACATAATGAATGAACATTAAACTGGTATTCAAAAATCTACAAAACCTGGGATGCAGTACCAGACATGGACACTAAGTGCCACTGTACAACATGGGCTCTGCTCAGACTTGAAAACAGGTTAGATTCTGTAAACTGGGTGGGTGCCCACTTAGAGATGTTGGAGGTTTTAAGCCCCTGATTATGTGAGGGAGATGAGAGGCGGCTGCTGGTTCCATAGGTGCCTCATGAGAGTGAGGAACCAACCTGAGCAGCTCCCTTCATTAAAGCTGGGCAAGGGATTGGAAGCTGTTTCATTTTTCATTTTTGTCTCTCTCTGTCTGACTATATTTTTGAGACAGGGTGTTGCTCTGTGACCCAGGCTGGAGTGCAGTGGCGCGATTATGGCCCATTGCAGCCTCGACCTCCCAGACACAAGCGATCCTCCCACCTCAGCCTCCCTAGTAGCTAGGACTACAGGCACATACCATCACACCCGGCTAATTTTTGTATTTTTGGTAGAGACAGGGTTTCATCATGTTACCCAGGCTGGTCTGGAGCTCCTGGACTCAAATGATCCACCCGTCTCAGCTTCCCAAAGTGCTGGGATTACAGACATGAGTCACTGTACCCAGCTGGAAGCTGCTTCATATCCTTGTTTTTTCACTTGATTGCACTGTGACCTTGGGAAAGACCCTTCACTTCCCTGAGCCCCTGTTTTCTATTCCAAATAAATGGAACAATAAATGCCAAGCTCTCAGGGCTGTTGTGAAGATAAAATTTGATCAGGTAGTGCCTGGCACATTGGAGATGCCCGAGAGACGCCAATTCCCTTCGGTCTCTCCTCTCCCTGGGGTACCTTTATCTGAACAGTGATTAAGCACCAAGGGACGATGGGAAGAGATTCAGTATGAAATCCACTAGTCCTTAGTCTGAGCACTTACCTGGTAGCTTAGGGCCAGTGAGGCATTGGGTGCATGTCTTAAGCCTTCCAGGCCTCAGTTTTCTCATCTCTAAAGTGGGTTAATGCAAGTAGGTACCATAAAAGGTGGTTTTGGAGATTTAAAAGGAAAATACAGGTAAAGCTTTTTAGCACAGTCTCTAGCACATAAAAAGACTTAATAAATGTTGGCTCCCACCATCACTGTTATCATCAAAACCATTATAGAGGCCAGGCGCAGTGGCTCATGCCTGTAATCCCAGCACTTTGTGAGGCCGAGGGCTGGATCACCTGAGGTCAGGAGTTCGAGAACAGCCTGACCAACATGGTGAAACCCCATCTCTACTAAAAATACAAAAAATTAGCCGAGCGTGGTGGCACATGCCTGTAATCCCAGCTACTTGGGAGACTGAGGCTGGAGAATCACTTGAACCCGGGAGACGGAGGTTGCAGTGAGCTTGCGTCATGACACTCCAGCCTGGGCAACAAGAGCAAAACTCTGTTGTCACACACACAAAAAAAACCCCCAAAAAACAAACAAACAAAAAAACCATTATAGAGTAAGCCCTTTCCCATGTTCATTAAATGGATGGATGAATGCAAAAGTGAATGAATGAGTGGACAAACCTCTCCAGGTAGATCCTACTCCAGGTACTGGGCAACAAGCTGAATATGGCCTGAACTTTCATAGTTTCACCCCCCATCCTCCAACCTTTGCTCCTTCTGCCTGGAATGTCCTTCCTCTTCATTTTCTGTTAAATAAATTCTAAAATTGATGTGGGCTACCAGGGGCCATCGACCACAGGTGGCCTCATGAATGGCTCTTCTCCTTGAGTTCTTGGGGGACCAGTGGGATCCTGAACCTGTGTGCTTTGGGGTAGCTGCCAAAGGAGGCCACCTCCCCTGGGGCGTTGGAACTGACGGAAGCAGCCAGGCCTGGGTCTGCACAAGGCCACCGCCATTCATCAGTGGCCTCCAGAAGCCATCTAGCAACGCAGTTGTCAGCTCTGGACTCCAGGCAGGCTGGGAAATCCCAGTGGGGCTTGGGGAAGGCCAAACGGAGGGCCCGCTCCTAGAGAGCCCTTTCTGAAGAAGGAAAGGAGTGGGAAAGAGGTGGAGGTGGGGGCCACACAGGCCTGCAGGGCTCAGTATCTGACTTCCCTTCCTAGGAAGACTGGAGCATTCAGGAAAGAATCTAATAGCAGACACAAGGAGGATTCCTGTGTTAGGTAACAGCCGGCTGTGGACTTGCTGGAATAAATCCTACCACCTGCAGCCTAGCTGTCCCTTCCTGGTGGTGGTGGCTGGCATATCACAGACTTGTCTGAGAGGTCAGGGAGAGACATGACTCTTGGTTCTGCTCCTACCCCTCTGCCAGCACCTCCTCTAATATTTTCATCAACTCCGCTTTCTTCCCCTCCTTAAACCCTGGCATTCTCCAGGATCCTATCTTCTGGTTCTTCCTCTGCACACTCTCCTGGCTGCTGTTCTCTATCCTCCCTGAACCCCAACCCCTTTGCCCCAGTAAGCACCACACCTACAAATCACAAACCTGCATCTGCCCCAGGAAAAGGCACCTCCATCTCCTAGGAGTCACCCTTCACATTTCCTGGGTCCTCCGGGCTTTAAAATATAGACTTTGCTGGCCGGGCGCGGTGGCTCACCCCTGTAATCCCAGCACTTTGGGTGGCTGAGGTGGGCGGATCACCTGAGGTCAGAAGTTTGAGACCAGCCTGATCAACATGGAGAAACCCCGTCTCTACTTAAAATACAAAATTAGCCGGGCATGGTGGTGCATGCCTGTAATTCCAGCTACTTGCAAGGCTGAGGCAGGAGAATCGCTTGAATCCGGGAGGCAGAGGTTGTGGTGAGCCGAGATTGTGCCACTGCACTCCAGCCTGGGCAACAAGTGCGAAACTCTGTCTCAAAAAAAAAAAAAAAAAAAAAAAGACTCTGCTGGCATTTGCCATCTCCACTGCCAACTCCCCCAGCCCATGCTACCTACCATCATTTCTCACTTAGCGTCCCCTGGGAGCCCTGTACAGGCGCTCCCTGTGTCTCCATGTCTCCCTGGAATGCATTCTCCACACAGCAAGCTACAGGGATCTTTAAAGGAATCTGAGTCAGATTGCATAATTCCAGAGCCATCCGATCATACTTTAAATCGAATCCAGACTCCCAAGGCTGGAAGGCCCTTGACAATTAGCCCAGCCTCCCTCCCAACCTCCTCCCCTGATGCTCCCGCTTCTGCTTCTGCCACACTTGCCTTGTCTGTTTCCTGAATGCAGCCCACACATCCCTGCCCTAGGGCCTTTGCACCTGCGATTCCTGATGCCTAGAACAACTGTGTTCCCACCTGCGCGTTTGGTGAACTCCTAGCATCTTTCAAGACTCAGCTTAAGTGTCACTGAATGAAGGCTTTCCCTCACTCATGCCAGGACTGTGGGCCCCTATTGGTGCCCTCCTGGGACCTTTGCTGACCCTTCTGTGGCTAGTGTCAAACCTTGTCTCATGGCTCTCAGTGTCTGACTCTTTCTCCCTGGACTGTGAAGTCCCTGAGGCCTCCGAGCCACCTGGCACCCTCAGGATTCCTGGTACCCAGCTTAGTGCCTGACCCAAAGCTGGTGAGAGTGAAAGTTGACTGAACCAGTGTCCATCTCCCCACTGGCAGATGCCAAGCTGTCCCTCTCTGTACCCCAGGCCCTGGGGGAGGGACTGAAAGAAGTAGGGCCACGTCTCATCACAGGTGTACCTCAGGCTGTCACACCTTCAGCCTCTTACCACCTGACCCCCCTCACCATTTATGCCTAAACGTTCTCCATGGCAGGGACTGGTCCTGTCTACCTCTTAAAGGTCATCCCAGAAGCATCCCTGGGGAAAAAAATCTGGGAGGCAGGAGAGCCAAGTAAAGAGTGAGACCATAGGTACAAATCCTTGCTGGATCCTCTTGGGCAAGTTATGGAACTTCTCCGTGCCTCAGTTTCCCCTTCCATCCAATGGGGTGAAGAACCATGTGGTGAGGATAAATGAGATGCTAGAGGTGACGTGCTTAGCACATAGCAAGTGCTCATGAAATGTGAGCAGATGGTAACCTTGGCTGCTGCAGATCCTGCAGGTCCTGCCAACCCCAGCAGCGGCCTGGGGATGCTCGGGCAGCGGCGGAAAGTAGGGCAGAGCTGCCTCCCGGTTCACACCTCCAGCAGCCTCCCCAGGCCTGCCCGCTGTGGTAGGAAATGGGTCGCAGGCAGGACCTGCCCTGGGATTCCTCATTTCCGTTGCCCGTCTTTGGGGACTAACACTTTCAGTTTCATTTAATCACAAAGCTTCTTAATTAGTTTTTTTTTTGCCTTTTGGGGTTCTGAGTTGCTAAGCTATTCCTGCTGCGGGGAGCAGAGATGCTGGCTCCTGCAGAGCCTGGGAGCGGCTGGTTTGGTGACCCAGGACTCCTGCTCCTTCGAGGCCCTCCAGGGCCCACTGAGGGGTGGGGCTGCTTCCCTCACACCACCCACAGCTCAGGCCCTCGTGTGTCCACTTCCTGAGTCATCCAACAAACAGCTCTTGAGTACCTACTGTGTGCCAGGCGCTGGGGACACAGCAGAGATCATGGCAAGATCTTCACCCTCAAGGAACTTACTTTCTAGCTCAATGTAGAGGTAGTAAATACCCAATTACTCCATAACACTTAAAAAATGATAATTGTGATAAATGCTATGCAGAAGGGCAAGACACAAGGAGAAGATGAAATGGGGCGCTGGATGGCATCTGGGCAGTGATGGAGGGCTTCTCTGAGGAGGTGATGTTAGGCTGAGATCTGGAAGGTTGAGTCAGACCTGGCCAGGTGGAGAATGTAGGGATAGGAGCAGTTTAGACAGAAGGAATTCATCCATTTATCTACCCATCCATATCCAGCCACCCATTGGTTCCCTCTTTTTTTTTTTTTTTTTTTTTTTGAGACAGCATCTCACTCTGTCACCCAGGCTGGAGTGCAGTGGTGCGATCTTGGCTCACTGCAACCTCCGTCTCCTGGGTTCAAGTGATTCTCCTGCTTCAGCTTCCTGAGTAGCTGGGATTACAGGTGTGCACCACCACGCCGGGCTAATTTTTGTATTTTCAGTAGAGATGGGGTTTCACCATGTTGGTCAGGCCCGTGATCCACCCACCTTGGCCTCCCAAAGTGCTGGGATTACAGGTGTGCGCCACCATGCCCAGATAATTTTTGTATTTTTAGTAGAGATGGGGTTTTGCTATGTTGGCCAGGCTGGTCTCGAACTCCTGACCTCAGGTGATCCGCCTGTCTCAGCCTCCCAAAGTGCTGGGATTACAGGCGTGAGCCACCGCGCCCAGCCAGTTCCCTTTTTCATTCACAGGCTCCATCACTCATGTCTCTCATTCATTCACACAATTCATTCCTTCAGTGTCCATGGTCCCCTGCGGGAGACACAGGCACCCTCCGCCCGCATGCGGTGCTCTAAGAGAGGGGCAGAGTCCATGTTCACTTGTGGCGGAGGTGACATTTGGGAGGGACCCTGAAGATTCCAACAGGCAGAGATGAGGGGAGGATGAGGGAAAAGGGTGGGCAGTGAGGTGGGTGGGTGGGGGGACGGCAGGCATGAAGTCCCAGGAGGTGTTTGGGGGCCAGGGCACAAGGGAAAGGATTCATTCACTTGTTCATTCAACTGATATTGATCAAGTGTCTCCTTGGTGCCAGGCCTGGATGCCGGGGAGAAGGTGGTGAATGGAGACGTAGCCCCTGACCTCTTGGAATGCACTGCCTAGGGGACGGGATGAACACGCACGCAAGCAATGGTAAGACGGCCGGCAAAGGCTGGGTAAGTGTTTGAAAGGCCCTGGAGACCGGCCTGGTTAGCCGATCCAGCAGTTAACAGAGTGGGAAGGCCGGGCTGGGCTCTAGAAAGTTGGGCTCCAGCAGGACTGGCTGCAATTGACTGCACTCTTCCTCTCAGCCTTCAGGGAGAGCCCTTCCATCCATCTGCAGTTCCCCGTGGGCTTGCCCTCAACCAAAGGCCTCCCTGTCAGTCATTGACACCTAGTCTGAATGGAAGCCCCGCGATGCCTTTCCCAGGTGCCCTTGCAGCCTCTGTGGCTGTTTGTTGCCTCCTGGAGCAGGTAAGAGAAGTGATCATTCAAAGGAGAGGCTTCCTGGGGCCTCTGATGTCCAGCCATGTGGGTGGGCAATTGTGCTGTCTACCTCCTGGCCCCTGTACTGTGCAGACCCCACATCCACTTGGCCTCCCATCCTGTCACCATTGCCCACTGTGCAGCAGGCAGGGCAGAGGAGGAAGGCCAGGGACACACATGGCCTCTGCTGAGGGCCAGGTCCCATTCTGGGTGCTGTGCTGCCTTTTCTCCGTAACCTGCATAGCTCCCCGCGAGGGGTCTCACCCACACTCGACACAGGTGGAAACTGAGGTTCAGAGGGAGAAAGACGCCTGCCCAAGGTCACATAGCTGGTGAAGGACGGAGCTGGGATTTGAACCTACGGCTTCTCACTCTTAGTCCAGTGATCCTTCTACCATCCCAGGGGCTTCCACCCAAAGGGAGTAATTAAGGTCTGATTTAAAAGCTCAAAGTGAAATCACCTCTCCCCATGCAAAGGGCATGCAGGCGAGTGAAAGTGGGTGTTTTAGCAGGACTCAGAGCAGGGCAGGCGGAAGCTCTCTTGAGCTGTTTCAAATCTCTGTCGAAGAAGAGGTGAGTGACTAATTATCACTTCATAAGTGCAGCTTTTTGGAAACCCAGTTTTTCCCAACATCAAGCCACTGAGGTCAAGATGAAAGGGTCGTGGTAGGGAAAGGGATGTGACTGTTGCATTTCACTGAGATTGCTGGGTGTATCCTCCAGACCAGAAAAGTGAGATCCAGAGAGGTCAAGGCACCTGCCTGAGGTCTCACAGTGGGAAGGAGCGGAGCTGGATTGGGAGCCAGGCAGCCTGACTCCAAGGCCAGTGCTCTTTCTGCTGCACCAGTGCGTCTCATCTTGCGGTGGGGCAGAACTCCCAGGCCTCAGCCTGGGAGAGGGGCCCTCAGGGAGGTGGGTGATGGGGACAGCACCCAGCCAATAGGTACCTTCTCATAGTACTGCAGCTCATAGTCCAGGATCACGCCATTGGGCTGGTCCGGCTGGGACCACGACAGGGTAATGCTGTCCACGGTGCGGCTCACCTGATGCATGATGGACACTGCCGATGGAGCTGGAAGAGAGGCCAGAGGTCAGGGATCAGGGAGGCATGAGAAGGTGCAGCTTCTGGCCCACCCTCAGAGGTACTCGGACAGGTGGGGCACTGTGGGATCAGAGAGGGAAGGGCATCTGGCTGAGGCCACAGAGCCAGTCTCGGGGAGCCGACAGGGGGCAGAGGGGCTCATGCAGGGCTATGGGTGCTGCTGCTGAGCTCTCATGGGGCACCTTCAGGTCAGACACTGACGACTTCACCAGCCCTGGGGAAGCTCAGGCCACATCAAGTTGAGAGACAGTAGAGATAGAAATGGTTAATTGTATGTCATGTGAATTTCATCTCAATAAAATCAATCAGTTATTTCCGCCTCCCATTCCTCCCACCAGTGCTGTGAGTGCTCTCACAGAGGTGGTTAGATGAAGAGACAAGCAGTCAGGGGGCTGTGTGCAGTGCTAGAAGGATGCTTAGAAATACCTTAGTACATGGCTGGGTGCAGCGGCTCACATCTGTAATCCCAGCACTTTGGGAGGCTGAGGTGGGCAGATCACCTGAGGTCAGGAGTTCAAGACCAGCCTTGCCAACATGGTGAAACCCCGTGTCTACTAAAAATACAAAATTAGCCAGGCATGGTGGTGCATGCTTGTAATCCCAGCACTCAGGAGGCTGAGGCAGGAGAATCGCTTCAGTGCGGGAGGCAGAAGTTTCTGTGAGCCGAGATCATGCCATTGCACTCCAGCCTGGGCAACAAGAGTGAAACTCTGTCGCAAAGAGTGGGGAGAAGAAATACCTTAGTACAATTCCCTCATTTGATTTTATGATTGTTATTTTTTGAGACTCTGTTGCCCAGGCTGGAGTGCAGTGGCATGAACACAGCTCACTGTAGCCTCAACTTCCTGGGCTCAAGTGACCCTCCCACCTCAGCCTCCCAGGTAGCTGGGACCACAGGTGTGCGCCACCATGCCTGGCTAATTTTTTTTTTGAGATGGAGTCTCGCTCTGCCACCCTAGCTAGAGTGCAGTGGCATGATCTTGGCTCACTGCAACCTCTGCCTCCTGGGTTCAAGCGATTCTCCTACCTCAGTCTCCTGAGTAGCTGGGATTACAGGTGTGCACCACCACACCTGGTTAATTTTGTATTTTTAGTAGACAGAGTTTCACCATGTTGGCCAGGCTGGTCTCAAACTCCTGACCTCAGGTGATCTGCCTGCCTCAGTCTCCCAGAGTGCTGGGGTTATAGGCATGAGACACTGTGCCTGGTGTAATTTTTGTAGAGGCGGGGTTTCGCCATGTTGCCCAGGTTGGTCTCGAACTCCTGGGCTTAAGTGATCCCCTCCTGCATCAGCCTCTCAAAGTGCTGGGATTACAGGCGTGAGCCACCATGCCTGCCATGCCTGGCCCAGTTCCCTTATTTTGCAGTCGTGGAAACTGAGGTCAAGAGAGGGGGTGTGAGCTGCCTGAGGTGCCGAGGTAGGTCCATGGCACACAGCCTGTTCTTGAGTCCTTATTTCATAATGCATCCGGCCTGCTGTCTTTTGCCTCCTTCTCACATGGAGCAAACCTCCAGAAAGCATCACCTCTGTGTAGACATGGCCCTGGGCCCTTTACACACGCTTCCTGAGTTGACTGTTGATGAGAGGGTGTATCACCCCTGCTGACAGGTGAAGACATTGAAGTTCCGAGGTGCACACGGCTTCCTGAGATCACACAGTCAGTGGGGGAGCCGGGATTTGGACCCAGGTCTGCATCTTGCCAGAGCAGTTGTTTGCTCCAGAGTGGGACTGGCCAGAGAGGGACTCTCAATGTGGTCCCCACACCCGTGGTGTGACGCTGGCAAGCCTCCTTGCTTCTCTGGGCCCGAGATTTTTGTGGTCCCAGGAGGGGCTGAGGACTCACCAGGGTGAAGGGAGCACCTCCTGCATTCTTTCCTCATTCCTGGGCGGGTCTGTGACAAGCAGACGTCCTGTCTCAGCCAATACAAGGACACTGGAAAGTGGAGGCTGACACTTCTCCTAGCCCCAAGTCCTGCTCTGCAGGGGCTCTGACCATATGGGATGTGAGTGTGGAGCAGGCCTGGTAGGAGTTCAGGGGAACCTGAACATCAGCTGTGGGGTTTGAAGGCTGGAGCTGACTCACCCATTTCCTGCTCTGTGTCTGTCCCTAGACTGCCTCTCTGCCTTGCTGCTAACTGGCTGTGTGACCTAGGCGATCTGCCTCCCCTCTGGACCTGGCTTCCTCCTGGGCACCCCTGGCCAGGCTAGAAGATCTCTGAGGCCTCGAGGCTCCAATGTTCCCTGCCAGTCCTTCCTCTGCAGCCCTTGACACCGAGAATGAGCCTGGGGACCAGCGTGGGCCTGGGCAGGTCCAGACTCCCCTCCCGCACCCCAAGGAGCTATGGAAAATTGTCCCGAGACACTCCAGATGAGGTGGCAGCACCTGCAAGAAGGACTTAGACCCTGGTCCATGCGGCCCTGATGAGCCTCTGTTCCTTTTACACCCAGGGGAGGCTGCCTGACCCTCAGCTCGGCTCCTTGCCCTGCCAGGGGCATTGGCCTCTTGGGATCAGGGGTCTGGTTGTGTGCTCAGTGTAGCACCTGGCATGTTGTCAGTGCTGTGGGTGTTTGCAGGTGTCACCTGCCACAGTGCACTGAGCATGGACTTGCAGCATCTCATTTAACCCCCTCAACAATCATGTAGGATGAGGGTCAATATCTGCACTTTGCAGAAGAGGCTCAGAGAGGCACAGTGACTTCCCCAAGGTCACACAGCTGGCGAGGAGCTGAGGTGGGCTTGGAGCTGAGTCATCCTGCCCTAGCTATGACCCCCTCTGGGTCTCAAAGCAGTTCCTACTTCCCACCTGCCTTCAGCCCCAGCGCCATCCCTCCCCGTGGAACTGCCTTTGTGAGGAGTTGAGTGTTCTGCTCTCCTGGACTGCCGAGGATCCAGCTTCTTTATGAAGTCCAGGCTGTCTGCCCATCACGGGCTTGTCAGTGGTCGGTGTCCCAGTGAAACAACAAAATAAGGCCCTTCTGGAGTGTCACTGACCAGGGCCAATCTGGGGGCTCATCCCTTGTGCTGGCCCGGGAAGCACCCCAATCCCCATGCCTCCCCACAGCTTCTCTGCCCCTCTCATCCAACCCACAGGGGCTGACCACTGGGTCTGTGTGTGTGGTGGAGGTGGGGGTGCGACAGGGTGCTCTGAGAAGCTAAGGAGGATGCTTGAAACTCAGCTGCCAGAGATTCTGGGAGAGATGCCTCCCACCCCTGCCTCCAGGGGCCTGAGGACAGTTCTGGGGTGAGAGGCTGGGTAAGGCAGCCTCCAGGGCTCCTTGAAATACTGGGTCTGTCTCCCAGAGGGCCGGCCAAGCAGGTGGGGAGGGATGTGTGAAGGGTGGAGTCAGAGGCGTGCTGCTGTCTTACAGCACGTTGATATGTGTTACATTAATGGAGCATCAGACACACAGAGCCCGCAAGGGCAAGGACGGGTGAGGAGTATTTGGATTGCGCTGCTGCCAGGTGTGCTCGCTCACCTACTGCTTCATGCCTAGACCCGCACAGTGCCCAGGTCAAGACGCTCCCATCCAGTCCCTGGCAAGGCCGTCTAGCCTAGCGGTGGGGAGCCCTGAGGGTGGAGTCCAACAGACCCGTATGCAGCTCCCTGCTCCTCCACTCACTCACGTGTGGCCTTAAGCAGGTACTTTTAGCCTTGCTGAGCCTCAGTTTTCACACCTATCAAGTAGGAACCCTCACCTGGCCAGGACGCTGTGAGAAGGCAGTGGAAATGCATGTGAAGGTCTGAGTGGGGTGCTGGGCGCCCCTCAGGAGGGAGACATTGTGAAGAATTCTTCAGTTTGTGGAGTTGCTATGATGCCAACCACATGATACGGGGTGCTGGGGCTCCGGAGAGGAACCTCACAGCATCCCAGCCTTCCAGGGACTTGCAGCTTAATGGGAGGAAGCATACTGTTTTTCAACTAAATGAGTGCCTGTCCCAGGATGGGCACCATGCTAGGCACTGGGGAAGCTGTAAGACTCAGAAGTGGCATGGAGCTCTGGGGTCCAAGCTCCCATTTTAGGACTTGGTCAAAGTGATTCAGCCTTGAACAAGAGCAGGGGCTGCTCCATTCACACTTCTCCCTGGGAGTTCAGCAGAGGCTGCTCCGTTCACACCACCTTCAGGGATTTCAGCAGGGGCTGCTCTGTTCACACCTCTCCCTGGGAATTCATCAGGATCTGCTCCATTCACACCACCTTCAGGGAGTTCAGCAGAGCTGCTCTGTTCACATCACCCTCTGGGATTTCAGCAGAGGCTGTTCTGTTCACACCTCTCTCTGGAGTTTCACCTCCCAACAAAGGACAATTGTAGAATGTATCTCTCTAGATTGCAGCACTTTTAAAACTTGAATGGGCATAAGGATAACCAGGAGAGTTTATTAAAATTCACATTGCTGGCCTCCCCACAACACCCCCCACTGAGATTCTACTTCAGCAGGTCTGGAGTGGGGCCTGAGAATGTGCATTTCTAGCAAACTCCCAGGTGATGTTGATACTGCTGGTCTGTGGACCACATTTTGAGGACTAGTGGATTCAGGGCCAGAGAAAGAAAGTGACTTGTCCAAGGCTACACAGCTGGTAGTGGTAAAGCTGGACTAGAGCCAGGAGCAGCTGAGTCCTGGTCTAGTATATGATCCACCTGCCACGCGGCTGCTTGCAGCCTGGCTTCTGCTGAGCCTGCCCCCCTCACCTGCCTGGGCTACACTCTTTATATACGGCCCTGGAGCTCAGAGGGTCTTGGAGCAGCCATACAAAGAGTTCCATGAGAGGTGAAGAGACAAGGCTGCCGAGGAAGGTGGGGGCCAAACTTCCAGTCCTGAGGCACTGGGGAGCCACAGAAGGACTAGTAGGGGTGGCAACCTGCTCCTCAACTAAAACAAGCTTGTCATTCAGCTTGCCATTCTGATAACCCCCGTATGCCCCATGGTGCCCAGAAAAAGGGAAAGGCCGCGCAGCTAACAGCAAACCACATGCTTCACATCCGTTAACTCACTTCATGCTCCTATCAACCCTACAAGGCTGGTATTACTGTTATACCCATTTTACAGATGAGGACATGGACGCACGGAAGTGTGAAGTAACTTGCCCAAGGCCACACAGCAAGCAGTGGAGCTGGGATTCAAACCAGGCTCACCCAGGTCCAACACATCCTTTCCCCTCCACTGGCTGTGGCTGATGCCGGCTGACCAGGGAGTTCTGGAAACCAGCGGACCTCCGAGGGCCCCTGAGGACATCCTGGTCCAGCTCCCTTCCTGCTGCTGCAGAGCTAACCCCGCCTGGTTCCCGCTGACTCACCTACCACCCACCCGGCCCGCCCCAGCTCTGGGAACTCAGCTGCTGGTGGAGGCAGGTCCCACGCGGCCTTGGGGGTCTGGGCCTGGCAGGCGTAGCTGGCAGGCTTGGGTTACAGGCAGCTAACCTGGGCTCTGATCCCATAAGCCCTGTAACCCCAGGCGTGGCAAGGAGGCAGCATTTGCCAGGAAGATGATCAAGGCGGGCCAGTGGGGGCCAGCAGGGCTAGCCTTTCTCCTGGAATCCAGGGGGATTAACGGCGGAGAAAAGGGAACAGCTGGATGCTCTCCCACCCCTCCTGCTGCCCACCGCCCACCCTGGGGTGTCAGGTTTCCCTGTAAGTTGGTCATCAGGGAATTCTGGTATTTTCAATTACTAGCCGGGCACGCTGACAGGGGGATGGGGTCAGTGGTGCCCTGTGACCCCTGCAAGGAGATGGAGCCCCAGGGAGTAAGCACAAAAGAGGCTTGTGGCCGAGAGGGGCAGGGGGAGGCCGGCCAGGCGGGGCCTGCTTGTCTGGAGCAGGTGGTCAGGGGCCCTGCTGCCCTCAGTGAACCCCAGAGGGGAGTTCAGCCCCTTCCTTGGCTGAGACTTGGGGAAGGAGCCTTCCCTCTGTGTGCCTCCGTTTCCTTCTCAGGGCATGCAGGGGTTGTACGGGGTGGTCTCTCAGGGTCTTCTGGGACTAGGATCCCAGGACAGGACAGGAAGCCAGCAGCCTGTGCCCCTGGTTGCTGCAAGAGGTGGGTGGGCTTGGGGATTGGCTCAGCTTCCCCTCACAACCCGGAGCTACGACCCTTTCACTGGTCCGAAGATCCCTGAGCTCCAAGGGAGTGGGGGAGAGGTCGCTGGGCACAGGACAGCTGGAGACCCCATCCCAAGCCCCAGACTTGCAGATCCCAATGTCTCCCTGATGTCTTCACTCCCTGTTGATGACCCTCAGCGGCTTCCCACTGCACCCAGAATAAGACACAGACACACTACTGTGGCCCACAAGGCCCAGCTGCCTGGCGTCTGCCACCTCCCTCTGCCTGCCCCCTCTCTCCCAAGCTGTCCACACTGGCAGCCTTTCTGTTCTGCCTCAGGGCCTTGGCCCTATGGTGTTTCTGCTTGGAAACCTCTTCCCCCACATCTTCCATGGCCAAATCCTCCTCTTCATTGAAGTCTCAGCTCAAATGTCAACTCCTCCGAGATGCCCTCCTGAACTACCTCTCCCCTCCAGTAGCCCCTTCTCATACTCATTTTATTTTTGTCATAGCACCAACACTATCTGAGGTCAGGGACCTTGTCTCTCATTCAATCCTTTATCCCCAGAGCCTGAAACAGTGTGTGGCTTGGAGTAGGTGCATGACCAATATTTACTGGAGGAAGAAACGAAGACAGGAAGGAGGAAGGAAGGGAGAAAGTGAGGAAGGAAGGAGGAAGGAAGGGAGAAAGGGAAAAGCGGGGACCAGACAGATTCTCCCCTTTTCTGGCGCCCTCAGGAACCCGAGTCTACCGACCTTGTGGGCTGGCCACTAAAACAAAGGCCCCAGGCAGTACTTCCCAAGCAGCCAGCGGAAGGCAGTTTCCCTCTCCCCCAGGCCCTGTGCCCACCCACAGTTGGGAACTGCTGCAGTGACGTGGGGCCTCTTGCCACCAGCTAGCTAACAGTTCCATGACAATTGCTTGTCACTGCGCTAGTCCTCTCCAGGGTCTGTAGCAGGGACAGTTTACTTGGGACGGGACTCTTAGAATTCCCAGCTCATCATGGGACAGCTGCTTTTTGAGTGTTTGTCCCTTAAACCCGTAGCAACGCAGTTAACCCCCGATGATCTGGCTGCAATTCTGGATGACCTGACGATAATTCTCACAACCGAATTTCTGCAAATAAAACTTCCAGAAAGTGGGCCTTTGATTCTTTCTGATGGGCCTCTTAGAGAGTGGTATGGGACAGAAAAAAGGAAAAGCTGACAACTGGTGCTAGGGTGGCACTGCGTATTCTGTGGCTAAGAAAGTTTGAGGAACGCAGAGTTGTAGCCCGTCTGCTTGTGGAGACTCACACTGCACATGTGTTTAATTCAAGGCTCTGAGAAGTCCCGCAGGGGAGACATCCAGTTAACTCGGTTTAACCCAGTGGTCGCAGGCTCATTTGGCCTCAGAAACCTTTTCTCACATGATAGTTCTTAACGTTTTTGGGAACTACCAATCTGTGGAACATATGAAAAAAATAAAACAAAAAACTGGGTCCAGGAGACATTATTATTATTTTTTCCTTGAACTTGAGAAGAGCCCCTCTCTAGGGTGGCAATTGGCTGTTCATGTGCTCATTTGCTCTCCCCTTGATCCAGCATATGTTTAGCAGAGCCTGCCCAGTGCCAGGCCCCTTCGTCACAATCAGATGGAGTAGGGGTTAATCCCTCCCTTTTTACCAATGAGGAAAGGAAGAGACCGACAGGATGCCCCCACACCCCAGGCAGCAGGGCTGAGATGGGGACCCAGGTCTGTCTGACTGTAAGGCCCAGGTTGGTTTCTTCTACCCCTGGTTACCTGGCCCTACCCATAAGTAGCCTATGAGTGGGCTGAGGCGAGGCCCTGGGCTTTGTGCTGGGGAAACATCCAATCACCCATCTCCTAGTGGGTTGTGGAATCGTCTTGACCTCACCTTTGGCCTCCTGGTGGGACAGTCCTACCCCAGCACCTGGACTAGCAAGATGCTAAAAGCCTGGGCCTCAAAGCAGGTGGTCTGGGCAGCCTACCTCCACCTCCTGTGCGTCAGTTTCTCCTCTGTGAATGGGCAAGGAAGGTTAAATGAAGACCTGTTTGTAAAGTGATTAGCACAGGACTTGGCCCAGATTAAGGGGTCAGAGGATGATGTGAGCCAAATGCAGCTGTCTGGGCTGCTCAGATTCTCAAACAGCACCATGAGTAGCTGAGTGCTCTGGAATAGTGGTGGCGGTGAAGGTGAGAAAAGGTGGTGTTCAGGGTTCAGATGCCAGCTGTTCTACTAGGCCAATGTGTGACTGCAGGCAAGTTACCTCTCTCTGAGCCTGGGTTCCTTACCTGTAAAATGGGATGTGGCAGACGCTACAACTATCCATTCTCTCTTTTTCTCAACTTAACAAAATCCTGGTTCTTAGCTAGGTACATTGTGCCCAAATAGAAGACAACATTTTCTGAACCTCTCTGGCAGCTAGAAGTGGCCGTGAAATATAAACTGAAGCATGTGTGGGACTTCTAGGAAGTTTCCTTAAAAGGGAGGGCCCTACCCTTCTCACCCTCCTTCCACTGCAACCTGAGACATGGATGTGATAGCCAGAGACCTTGCAGCCATTTTGGTCCATGAGGACATGAAGCTGTGTGCTGAGGAGTGTGGATCTCTGATGGCTCCACGGAGTTGCTGTACTCCTATCTTCTGACACGCTTCACACATGAGAAAAAGAAACCTCCCTTTAGTCTAAGCCATGCTGTTAGACCAGTTGTATTAATCACCCCCCTGTATCTACACCCTTTGCCCTGTAACTTATGTAGTTCTCTCTCTCTCTCTGACTCTCGCTTGGCCACGTGTCTTGTGGTGGCCAATAGGATATAAGCCAACATGATATAAGCAGAGGCTTGCAAAAGCCCTTGCGAGTGTCTGCCTGCTGCCTTGGTTCCCTGTGATTGCCATGAGAAAACATGCACAGGTGGACTTGCTGGAGGCTGAGACATGTTGGAGCAGAGTTGTTGCTCCAGTTGTCCCCTCCAGGGCCACTCCAGACCAGTGGACAGCAGTCAACCCCCAAACGTGACAAAACCCAAAGAGCTGCCGAGTGACCCGGAGCAGATGAACTACAAACCTAAGAATGCACCTCGCCAAGACCAGCGTTGCTGTCCAGTCGACCCTGAGACTCCCCAGCTAGCTAAGTGCTTCTTGTTCCATGCTGTCGGCTTTGTGGTTAATGGTTGATTGTTAACCAGCACTACTGTGGCAGTGGCTATCTGTTATTTTTCTTCCTAGAATATGCAGCCAAAACCAATCTTAAATGATACTCTAGGTCAGCAATGCCTTCCCTGCAGAATGCTTGGGAGGATCAAAGAGGAAGATGCGCGGAGAGGGCTCGGCCCAGGGAGGGAAGTGCCCTCTCCCTCTATCTCCCTCTCGAACCTCGTGGTCTCAGGCATAAGCACACAGGGGGCTCTCTTGGCCCATTTCTCTCTGATCCTCTTGGTCCCCCAGGGAGAGAAGTAGGTGAGTACACGTTCATGCCAGTTCCAGAGGCTGAGCCATTGTGTGCCCGCCCCACAGCAGGGCAGGAGGATCAGAGAACACAAGTGGCAGAAAAGGCTTTGGAGAGTTGAAAGTCTTTCCACGAGAAAGCCATGTGGAGTGGTGTCACAGACACCCGGTCAGGATGCTGGGGACCTGCTGTGGGATCTTGGGTAGCCACTAAGGAACCTCTGTGGACCTCAGTTTTCTTCTAAAAGGAGGTGTTTGCCCTAGGTGAACTCCAAGGCCTCTACCAACACTGCTGAGTTGTAATTTGATGTAGGTTTAACTTCTGTGATAGGCAGAATAATGACCCCCCAAAGATGTTCACGTCTTAATTCCCGGGATCTGTGAATATGTTACCTTACATGACAAAAGGGACTTTGCAGGTGTGATGAAGGTTATGACCCTTGAGATGGAGAGATTTTCCTAGATTATCCAGGTAGCTTGAACTTCATCTCTTGAGTGCTTACATGAAGAGAACCTTTCCCAGCAGAGAGTCAAAGAACCAGTGAGTTGGAGAGTGGGAAGACTCAATGCCCTGCTGCTGCTTCTGAGATGTCAGGGTTCTGTGGAAGGACCCAAGAGAGGCCTTGAGGAGCTCAGGCAGCCCCCAGCTGATGGTCAGCAAGGGGAGAGAGGCCTCACTCCCACAGCCACGTGGAATTGAATTCTGCTAACAACCCCTCTAAGCAAGAAAACGGATTGTCCCTTAGCACCATCAGAAAGGACACATCCTGCCAACACTGCTTTTAGCTTGATGAGATCCATGCTAGATTTTTTTTTTTTTCTTTGAGATGGAGTCTCGCTCTGTTACCCAGGCTGGAGTGCAATGGCACGATCTCTGCTCACTGCAACCTCCGCCTCCTGGGTTCAAGCAATTCTCCTGCCTCAGCCTTCTGAGTAGCTGGGATGACAGGTGTGCGCCACCATGCCCAGCTAATTTTTGTAATTTTAGTAGAGATGGGGTTTCACCATGTTGGTCAGGCTGGTCTCGAACTCCTGACCTCGTGATCCACCCGCCTCAGCCTCCTAAAGTGCTGGGATTACAGGCATGAGCCACTGCACCCGGCCCACGCTAGGCTTCTGAACCTGCAGAACAATAAGATAATAAATGTGTATTGTGTTAAGTTGCTAGGTTTGAGGTATTTTGTTCTGGCAGCAATAGGGAACTAAGCCAAGCTGCCATGTACTGTCCATCTATGTTCCAGGTGCTGTTCACATTCTTGTTAATGTCCACAACCATCTAGCAAAGCTGTAATGATAGATAAATGCCCATTTTGTAGGTGATGGAACTGAGGCTCAGAGAAATGAGGTCTTCTCACATCCTGGCTACACAGCTTGGAAGGGGCCATGTGGGATGGGGGCTGAATTTGTCAGGCCCCGCTCTGATGCCCTTTCTGCAACATGAGCTCCTAGGATATGCTGATGGTAGAGCTTCCTAAGTGGCTGACCCTGTTAATTACAGGGGGCCTCAAAGGCTGGGGATACCCAGCCAGGCTGTGGTATGGATGGAGCATATGGACTGCCTGCCCCATCTCTGTAGAAGGCATGGGTCTGGTCAACATTGGGCCCTGAGGATGCAGAGATACAATTATTCAGGTTCTGTTACTTCCTGGCCTGGGATAGAGCAGAGTAAGTCACTTACCTCTCAATGCCTCGCTTTCCTTTCATCTATAAAACAGGATGACAACAGGACCTACCTCGTATCGTTGTGAGGATTCAGTGTTAAGGGCTTAGCACGGTGCCTGGCACACAGTTAGCACTTGACAAATGTGAGCCGTTTTGGGGATTAGAGTGAATAGAGAATGATCTCTGTGTTTTAGGCGCCTACCTGTGCCAGCAACCTGGGAGGCACCTTGCATAGCTTAGCTGAAATCCTCACAGCTAAATCCTCCTGTAAGGAGAGGGCGAAGCTATCCATGAGGAAGATGCAATCAGACATGAGCTGAGTGACTTGTCCAAGGTTGCATGCTGGTGAGCGGCCAGGCTTGACTCAAAGCCAGGTTCGGCTGCCTGATTCCAAAGCACAGACCCTTCCCACTACTTCCGGAAGCTGGCAGAGGTGGGGGTGTTCTGGGCTTGCTCAGGGTGAGATCCTTAAAGGGCTTAGGCTGTGTCCGGGGCAGCCCTGGAGAATGGCCAAGGGCGCTGGATAGAAGCCCGGGATCAGTGAAATGCTACACCTCCCAGCCCCCAGGTCTGCAGGGCTGTCTGCTTGTCATTCGGACCTCAGCTTAAACACCACCTCCTCAGAGAAGCTCTCCTCTGACTGCCCACCCTAAGGCTCAGCCTCTGTCCCTCCCTCCTGCCCCTCTCTGCTATGGTCTTGTCTGTGGGTGTGGAGAGGCAGGAGGGTAGCGTGGCTCACTCTGAACAGCCAGACTGACTCCTGGGTCTGCCACTGTCCAGCGGAGTACACCTGAGTATGTGGCATGACCTCTCCCAACCCGTTTCCTTATCCCTCAAGCCCAGCCCAGCCTCCTTCCTCGGGGCCATGAGCACGACTCATGAATATGAGGCAGAAAGGTGCTCTGGAAAGGCAGAGCGTGGTTCAAAGGCGGCATGATGGCTGGATGAAGTCAGAAGACAGTTCTGGCCCCGGTGAATGCCAAGGGATTGCGAGCAAGGCCCAGTCACTTGCCCAGAAGAAACACTTTTTCCTTTTAAGGCAATGAGCTAGATATTTATATATTGAATTTTAGGGTCTGTTTAAAACCGACCACTGAATGCATTTGTCTGGAAATTGAGTCCCCAGCCTTGTTTCCCAGCCCGATTGCACTTCTCCACACCCCACCTCACCCCACGCTTCTCCGAACCCTTCTGCAAATGTTCGCTGAATGTTCACTGTGGTGCAGCCCCCTCTAGGTGCCGGGAAAACCATGGTGAGGAAAAGCAGACCCATTGTGTGCTGCGAGTGCCGATGATGGGGGAGACGAACAAGAACTAAATGATCAATGACACAAGGTAAAATTTCAACCACGGGAACTAGAAGGCCATGGTGCTGGGGTTGGGGAGGGAGGTGTCCCACCAAGTCAGGAAGGTCAGTGAAATGAGCTGAGGCCTGAAGGAAGAATGGGATAAGAAAGCCTTTCCAGGCAGAGGGAACAGCATGTGCCAAGACTCTGCGTCAGGGGAACCTGATACTTAGGAGGAACAGAAAGAAGAATCCCTCCCTCCAGTTGCCTGCTGTACTTCCCTCCCCCAGGCCATCTTCCTTCCTGTATGATTCCATCTCTGCTTGCTAGAAGCCTCTCCATTCTTCAAAGTCAAGCTCAAATGCCTCCTCTTCCAGGAAGCCTTCCAGGACATACCCTTTGCTCATTCCCTAGGAGGATGATTTCTCCTGCCTGTGATCTCCCTCATCTCCCCCAGCACCTCTTGGGCCCTCATCCATGCCATCTTGTATGTAGGCTCTGTGTCTGTGTTTTATTTTTCCAACTAGGACATACATCCTCAAGGGCAGATACTGTGTCTACACTATACTGCAGAACAGTGTAGACTTGGAGTCACATGGTCCTGGGTTTAAATATTAGTAGAAGTCACTTAAGTAGTAGGACCTAGCATAAATGACTCTACCTCTCTGGGCTTCAGTTTCCTCACCTGGCAAAGGGGGATAATGGGGTGGGGGTGTGGTGAGGTTGCACAGCCCCCAGCTGGGCTCTGAGCAGCTGTAAGACAAGGGGCTTGGAATAAAGAGGAGGGGGAAAGACTTGTTATAATTTCAAAAGCCTCAGGGCTTTGAGGGCTTCAGGGGGTTTAGACTTACTCAGACCTGAGTTTCCCAAATTTGTCCGATGGTAAGAAACACCTGACTCACTTGTTAACAATGCATATTCCCAGGGTCTGCGGCTGGGGTTCTGATTCAGCAGGACTGGGGTAGAGAGAAATCTGTGTTCTGGAAGTCATGCTTACATATAGTTCTTATGTACAATTTGGTGGGGAAACTGAGGCCTCAGAGGAAGTGATTTTCACGTGCATGGTAGATTAGAACAATGACCCCAGTTCTTCCTTTTCTGTGATAGGATTAGGTACCCACATCCTTTACCAAGTAAATCTGCAGGGCCCACTCACTGTGGGCAGAGTATACTTCTCCATCCCACTGATGCTGGGCTTGGCCGTGGGACTTGTTTTGGCCAATGAGATATGGTTGGCTCCCTCCATGCTCCTACACTTCACCTTGAGAGAAACAAGCCTGGGGTGGCTGCCAGTCCAAGGAGAATGAGGAGACACATGAAATAGGCTGAACCCAAATCACATTCTGGAGACCTGCCCAGCACAGAGAGCATGGCCAAGATTAGTCAAACCCTAGCTGACCCACACACTAGTGAGTGAGAAAATAAATATTTATTGTTTAAACTACTGAGTTGTGGGGTGATTTTGTTATGCAGCATTATTGCAGGAGTAGCTGACTCATACACTGACTAAATGAATGCCGTTCATTTGCTAATGTCATGCAGCAAATGAACGGCAAAGCCAAGCCTCGGTCTCTGCTCCTAATCCAGTGCTTGTTTCTCATTGCTTCTCTGTCTTTCGATCCTGAGGGCTCTCCCTGTGTGCCTATTCCCCGGAAACCCCTCACGTCCATACTCCGCCCCATCTCTACTCCTGGGTACATCCAGCTCCAGACAGCAGGGTCCATCCCAGCAGCCCAGAACCACTCCTAGCTACAAATAAGCTGAGGCGTCTTGAGTAGGCAGTTCCACCTGCAGAGCTCCCAAATGGATGTAGGAGAGTTCCCCGCAACCAGGGAAAGGGCTCCAGGAGCTTCCTTCTGGCTTCTACCAGTTAGAAAGAGTTCCCTCTCCACCACCCCCTTTGGGGGCCTGGGTTTCTCCAGCTCAGAGCTTTGTCAAGCCAGAGAGACGCACAGCTGAGGTTTTCTAATCTGTTAGGGGTCTTTTCTATCACTTGTTGACTTTTTTTTTCTTCTTCTTCGAGATGGAATCTCGCTTTGTCATTCAGGCTGGAGTGCAGTGGCACGATCTCAGCTCATTGCAAGCTCTGCCTCCCAGGTTCAAGTGATTCTCCTGTCTCAGCCTCTCGAGTAGCTGGGATTGCAGGTGCTCACCACCACGCCTGGCTAATTTTTGTATTTTTAGTAGAGATGGGGTTTCACCATGTTTTCCAGGCTGGTCTTGAACTCCTAACCTCATGTGATCCACCCACCTTGGCCTCCCAAAGTGCTGGGATTACAGGCATGAGCCACTGTGACCGGCTGGTTTTTGAGGGTTTTCTCAGATTGCCTCCTTTGAGTCAGCTCCCTCTGGACCCCAATCTGAGCAGGGCTTAAATCCACCCAGGGCCCCAAAAGAACTATAGGCAGTCAGTCACAAACATACCCTCTCAGCCACAGCAACACCACCAACATTCCCAAACAAAACCACACTCCTCAGACACAAACACACAGACAGGCAGAGCCACATTTGGATGTACAAACTCATGCTCAAATACACAATATCCCCTACCCCTGTCCCCAAGGCCCTGCAGGTTGATACATCCATGCTCACAAATGCATGTATACAGAACCCACATGGCCACAGTCATATGCGTTGTAAACACATGTTCACCAAACACATATGACAGCACACTCACAAATACACAGACTTACATGCGCAATCAGACCCATAGTCAAGCTCAAGGTGCCGTGGACACATCAAGGACTTCGCCCAAGAACTGGAGTCTGTCAGACCTAGTCAATTCTTGCCTCTCACTCTTCCTGGTTTTGTGACTCAACTTGTCTGAGCATCATCTGTGAAATGGGGACATGGATGCTTCCTTCTCAGAGAGGCCACAAGGATGCAGTGAGGTCATGCATGGAAACACCCCTCAACCAGGTGGAGTCAGTTGCTCTCTCCTCTCTCTTGTTTTTACTTAGACAGAATTTTGCTCTTGTCACCCAGGCTGGAGTGCAATGGCATGATCTCGGCTCACTGCAACATTCACCTCCCGGGTTCAAGCGATTCTTCTGCCTCAGCCTCCTGAGTAGCTGGGATTACAGGTGCCCGCGACCATACCTGGCTAATTTTTGTATTTTTAATAGAGATGGGGCTTCACCATGTTGGCCAGGTTGGTCTTGAACTCTTGACCTCAGGTGATCCTCCCGCCTTGGCCTCCCAAAGTACTGGGATTACAGATGTGAGCCACTGTGCCCAGCCAGTTGCCCTCTCTCTTTCAATGTCCTTGGCATGCCCTTCCTCCCTTCTGAATTCCATTTTTTTCTATTGTTCCCTTCAACATTCTACTGGCTGGGTGAAGCAGCTCTTGTTTGTAATCCCAGCACTTTGGGAGGCTGAGGCAGGAGGATCACTTGAGGCCAGGAGTTCAAGATGAGCCTGGGCAACATACAAGACTCCATCTCTAAAGAAAAAATTTCGACTGGTCCTTCAAACTGCAAGTCAAATTCCACCTCCTCCAGGAAGACTTCCTGGGCCTGGACTTCCACAACTGGATCCCTGCATGCTTACCATGTGGGCCCCACCCTACATCAGAAAGATCAGCTCGGGAGCCCAGTCACTTTCCCTCTTGCAGCCTGGCCTCCCTTAGCTCTTCCATGGACATGGCCCTGACCATGCTTACTGTAGGGGTTTGGCAAAGGTTGCTGAGTGAATAACTGAGGGGCACACTCACAGTGCCAACCATGAGATCTTCTACCCACAGATAGCATAATGTCCTCGATAATCTCATGTGGCCCTCAGGTGGGGGGATGAGGCTGGGAAGCATCTCTAGGACTTAGCCTCCTATGACACTGAGGACAGTGGTCCTGGTAGAGAGGGGAGGCTAGGAGCCCAAGTGGAGTGGGGACTAGAGAGAGAACAGGGTGGAGGGGAGACTGTGGTGGCCGGCAACTTCCTTTTTTGCCGTGAAGGAAAGAAGGGTGGGGGGTGGAGGATGACGTGAGGCCACAGAAAAGGTTACTAAAGGTGAGCTTGAGGAGAGTTTTGCTGGAGTTAAGACTGGAGTGGGCTGAACTTCACAGAAAGCACTTGTGATGGAGGTACAAGTTAGGCTGCAAGAGATGACATCTCTGGGCTCTCCTGGGTCTCAGTGAGGCCACGTGACTGAGGCCCTGCCCGTGGAATGCATGCAAAAGAGAAAGATGCTGCCTCTACCTACCTTGCTTCAAACATCATTGCTGCCCTGTCTTCCCTCTCTTCGCACAGACATGCCTGAGACTCAGCTTGAATCATACAGACAAGGAGCAGGGGACGTGGGGAAATGACACGGAAATAACCTGGGTCCCTGAGTCTCTGAGTGGATCAGAGTCACCACGCTGACGTGGACTGCTCACCTCTGGATTCTCCCATGAGAGAGAAATACATTCCACTCCTTTAAGTCACCTAATGTTGGATCTTTTTGTTACAGCAGCTTAACTTTTACCTTCAATAATATGCACTCAACAAATGGGAGCAATTGTTATTAATACCACTACAATGAAGAGGTAGCACTTACTCTCCCAGGTGGACCGATCACATGAAAAGCCTTTGAAAAGAAGAAATCACTCCATAGATGTGAAGGAGTCTTTTGTGAGGACTGCAGGACCCTCCCTGGCACAGCGCGATGGGGCACTCCCCTGGCCCACGTCGGAAGCACTTACCTGCCTGGTTGGTGGTGATGTTCACAGAGGCGAACTGAGGCGAGAAGGGGCTCTGGTCAGTAACGCCGTTCACAGCCTGGATCTCGAAGGTGTACTGGGTGTGGGCCAGCAGGTCACTGATGTAAATGCGTGGCTCGGTCAGGCCTAGCTGGCGTGGTGCGTACTGTACATTGTCCCCGCAGCGGGTGCAGGCACCCCGGCCCGAGCCACAGCTCTTGCAGATGATGTTGTAGACGAGGTCCTCTCGGCCTCCGGAGTCGCGGGGAGGGGTCCACTCCAGCATGAGGGAGGTCTCATTGACACTGGAAATCACAGCCTGGGGCGCGGAGGGGATGGCTGGGGCGGGGGAGAGGTGTTGGTCAGTGGGGGGCTCAGGGGGTACTATTCCCCATGTGACCACTCTGTGCCCGCTGCTCTGGCTCAGCCCCTCTGAAAGGACTTCCTTAAATTCTTTGTCCTGTCTCCCCACCAGAGAAATGTTTCTAGAATACAAGTTAGCCTGCTGTACATCTGCCCAAACCTTTCTCTCCTCCCAGCTTACAAACTGCTCAGTGTTTGTTACTGAGGATAGTATTTTTGCGTTTGGAATTATACCTGCCCAGTATCTATTTTCTCCTTCTTCCTTAGAACAGCCCAGCTTTATTCATGGTGGCAATATGTCCAGCTAAAAGATGGCATTTCCCAGCCTCCTGTGTTTAAGTGCTTGCCACTGATATAGAGCAGAAGTTGTTGACTAGGGCTGTTTCTTTAAAAAGAGACAGACAGCTATGGCGTGTCCCTTTGTCCTTTCCCTGCTTCTGCTGCCTAAAATGTGGGTGATGGCTGGGACTTCAGCAGCTATGCTGGACTATGAAGTGACGTTAAGAACAGAAACAACAGTGGCTAACACCTGTAATCCCAGCACTTTGGGAGGCCGAGGCAGGCGGATCACCTGAGGTCAGGAGTTCAAGACCAGCCTGGCCAACATAGGAAACCCCGTCTCTACTAAAAATACAAAAAATTAGCCGGGCATGATGGCGGATGCCTGTAATCCCAGTTACTCGGGAGGCTGAGGTGGGAGAACCACTTGAACCCGGGAGGTGGAAGTTGCCATGAGCTGAGATCATGATGCCATTGCATTCCAGAGCCTGGGCGACAGAGTGAAACTCCATCTCAAAAAAAAAAAAAAAAAAAAAAAAGAACAGAAACTAGGTTGGGCGTGGTGGCTCATGCCTGTAATCCAGCACTTTGGGAGGATGCGGGAAGATTCCTTGAGCCCGGGAGTTCAAATCTAGCCTTGGCAACATAGCGAGACCCTGTCTCTACAAAAAATTAGAAAAATTAGCTGGGTGTGGTGGTGCACGCCTGTAATCCCAGGTATTCAGGAGGCTGAGGGCAGAAGGCTGAGGGCACCTGAGCCCAGGAGGTTGAGGCTGCAGTGAGCTAGGATTATGCCATTCTGAATGGCAGAAAGAGCCAGGCCCCAAAGGCCATCGTGGATTGCCCATACTGTCCCAGGACTGTCTACCTTGGGCTCCTTTTGGGTGAGAGAATAAATCCGTACAGTTTCAGCCATAGGGCTCAGCTCTGTTACTTACAGCTGAATGCCATCCCTGACAGATACAGGGGTTGTGACGCTGCGTTCTCAGGCAGTGCCTTCCTAGAGGACCTTGGGCTGTGATTCAGGCAGCTGCTGCCAGGTTAGAACACTGGGCAGCCTTTTCTGCCACATATACTACCTGTGTTGCTTCATCTCCTGCCAAGCCTCCCATCCCCTGTCCCTTTGTGAATCCAGACCTTGACTTTATCTTCCATGTGACTCAGCAGAAGGGGGTAAGGAGCCAGATGCCAGCACTGTGGTGTCTGCAAGGTGGGAGCATGGCCACCCCAGGATGCCCCTTTCTTGAGCACTTTTCCATTTCTCTTCCCACCAGGGAAAGACTGGCTGTAACCGGACGGCACCCAATCCTCACTCTGAGCTTTTCTGCAGGTAGACCTGGGACTCGGCCAGCCATCGCCCTTGAGGGGCCCTAGGACTTACTTGTGCAGGGCATGTCCAGGGGGTCCAGGTCTGCTCTGTAGTAGCCATTGCGGCAGACACAGTTGGTGGCCCCTTCAGAAGTGGTCCGGCTGTTGATGGGACAGTGGGTACAGGCCTCATCCCCTTGGTTGGCCTTGAAAGTCCCAGATGGACAACCTGAGAGAGAAGACAAGGAGAGTCACCAGGAAACTGGATGAAGACTCAGAGAGGTCACGAGCCACGCAGCCTCACGGAGGGGCCACACAGCCTCGCGGAGGGGCCATGCAGCACCACTGCTGGAAAATCTCATCTCTTGAAGGGTTTGAAGTCTCCAGGCCCCAACGTGGGAGTTCTAATTCTGTCAGGGCTCCCTAGTTTCTTGTCCGTGAGCTGTCTAGGGCTCCCAGCAATCTTCCCTCACCTATCCCAGCTTGGCTGTGTCATGGTCTCTAGAATCAATCCTGACCTAGTTAGGAGGCACATCTGAAGATGTCTGGGGCAGTGTGCATGGGTCCTGGTCTTGCTTAATAATGTCTGGCTGGGCCCTGATTCTTAGAACTAGATCCTTGGGTTACAGACAATTAAGATGATTATACGGCAGAAGAAAAGTCCTAGGGCAGTGTAGAGAGGTGATGTGGTAGAATAGAGGAGGACACTACTTTTGGAATAAGACCGACCTGGCTTTGAGTACTGGCTAGGCCTTTTACTAGCTGTGCAGCCCCAGACAAGCTGCTTAACTACTCAGACTCAGTTTTCTTATTTGTAAAATTAGGATTCTAAGGCCCATCTCTGCAGGGTCATTGTGAGTATTCTGCTTAAGCGTAAGGCCCATGGCACAAGGCCTTGCACAGTATAGGTGCCCAATGAATATGTGATCAATTTATTAAAATATTAATAAAAGGCGGGCCTGCAGTACCAGGGCCAGCCTAAGGAGGGCACTGCTTGCACTCGGCCCTCATTTGGCTTCTCCCATGGGCTGTGGCCATCATCCCTGATATGGAGTCCACCCCCACTGTAGCTCTGAGTATGAGGTTAGGGCCTATAAGAGGCAACTGCCTTGTGTGCACACATATTCAAATCCACCTTCCTCTTCTTGCTGGCCCTGGGCTGAGAATCAGGAGGCTGAGGGTCTAGGCCCTGCCCCTCTCCCAGCTTCAGCCTGCTGGGTTCATGAACCCAGCTCTGCTATGATACCTGGAAGAGATTGTGCAATGGGTAAGTGGGTGGACAGGAAACAGCTTTGCAACAAACATTTCATCTCCTTGGGATGAAATGCAGCTAAACCATCCACAGGCCCCCAGGCCCTCACCGGGAGTACATTTTATGCCTGGGTGCTGTGGGTTCTTCAGCAAGTGACTCAGCTTCTCTGGACATTAGTTTCTGTGTATGTAAACAATTAACATAAATTTCCCTAGTTCATTTTTTCCAGCTCTAGTCTTCAAGGCTTATCTTCCCAGTCCAAGTCTTAGCAAACCACCCTCCCTCAACCCTCAACCAGCTCTGGCCTCAGAGACCCTGCCTTTCTTGGGGCCCAGAACATTGCTTGGGTTCAGAGTGCTTTACTTACCCACCAAAATTATTTTTCTGGGGGTCTCCTGGCCATGCTCTCAACTCCCCCAGGATCAGAGCCATGTCTGACTCACAGCTGCTTGTCCTGTGCCTAGCTTAGAATCTGCACCCAGCAAGTGCTCTGTAAATACTTCTTTTGTTGTTGTTATTAATTTTATTTTTATTTTTGTAGAGATGGGGGGTCTCACTATGTTGCTCAGGCTGGTCTTGAACTCCTGGGCTCAAGCAGTCCTCCTGCCTCAGCCTCCCAGAGTGCTGGGATTACAAGCAAAAGCCACCACACCTGGCCCATAAATACATCTTGGAGCTGCCTCCTTAAGTGGAATGAGCATGGGCTTTGGAGGCCATGCAAGCAGGAGGGCAGTGAACATAGTGGTTAGTGTGCAGGCTGCTGGCAAACCCAGACCCACCTGTGTGAGCAGTGTGGCCTCGGGGAAGTCACTTAAACTGTTTCCTTATCTGTAAAATGGGACAACAGTATCTACCTCCTAGAGTTGTTGTCAGTTTATATTGCTTAACTTATGTAAAAACACTTGTAACAGTTCCTGGCAGTACTAAGCCATCTGGTTCAAAAGCAATTTGCTGAGAGACCTTAGACAAGTTATTTGACCTCTCTGAGCTACATTGTTCTCATTGGTAAGAGCATCTACCACATAAAGTAATCATGAGGATTACTGCACTGGGTCTGGGTCCCCTGAGTCGTCCTGCCCTCCCTCTCGCCTTCCTCTTGGGCACCGACCTTTCCCTGATGGCTGGATGAAGGGGCAGCCTCACCATCTTGGCACTGCCCAGAGCTTCTGGGCAGTCAGGACATGCAGGCTGCAGCCCCAGCTCTGGTCGAGCAGTCGGCCTCTCTGAACGGGTTTCCTCCTCTGCAGAATGGGGGCACAAGGCTTCCAGGAAGGTCTAGAACCATCCTTAGAGATGCCAAAGGGTTTTGGCCCCAAGATCAGGCTCCTCCTGCTCCCTCTCTGGAGACAGCCTGCCCAGCTCAGCATCCCTCCTCCATCTGCGGGGCATTCCCGGGGGGGCCGCCAGTGGGTGGCTGCTCTCTCTCCCCTCTGTGCGGTGCCAGCCTCTCCATCTGGACTGCCTTTCTGGCTGCCCTCTCCCCCTTGCAGTGTCCTGGCTCCCTCTCAGACTCCCCAGGCTGCCCCTGCCCTAAGCCGCCCTTCATTTGCTCTGTTGCCTGGCCAGGTTCGACCCCCACCACCGGGCACTGTATCATTTCTGTATCTATGGCACTGCTTCATGAAACTCACTCTTCTCTGCCCTGGGAAGTGGCATCACTCTCCACCCTGTCCCCCCACAGCCAATCAATTACTAGGTCTTCCCTCCTCAGCAGTCTCTGGTCTGGTCTTGGCCGCTCCCCCCGCTGCCAGCATCTAGAAAGCTCTTTCCACCCACTCCTCAGCCTCTCACGCCATCTGGCCTCCTCCCACCCACCCACTCTCCAAACTAGCTCTCTGGAGTGCAGACCTTTCCAAGTCTTAAAAATCCACAATGGCACATACGTTGGAATACTATTCGGCCATAAAAAGGAACGAAGCATTGACACATGCTACGGTACAGGTGAACCCTGGACACATCGTGCTCAGTGAAAGAAGCCAGCCATGAAAGCAGGATTCCATTTATATGAAACAGGCCCAGCACAGGCACATCGAAAGAGACAGAAAGTCGATGCGTGGTTGCCAATGGCTGGGGATAGGGGAGCAGGGGGAGGAGGTGCTAATGGGGAACAGGGCTTCTTTTTGGGGTGATGAGTATGTTCTAAAATTGATTGTGGTGATGGTTGCACAATTCTGTGAATACACTAGAAACCACTGATTTGTATAATTTGTTTTTCTTTTTTGAGATGGAGTCTCGCTCTGTCACCCAGGCTGGAGTGCAGTGGCACAATCTCGGCTCACTGCAGCCTCCATCTCCCGGGTTCAAGCGATTCTCCTGCCTCAGCCTCCCGAGTAGCTGGGACTACAGGCGCGTGCCACCATGCCTGGCTAATTTGTATTTTTAGTAGACACGGGGTTTCACCATGTTGGCCAGGCTGGTCACGAACTCCTGACCTCAAGTGATCCACCCGCCTTGGCTCCCAAAGTGCTGGGATTACAGACATGAGCCACTGAGCCCAGCCTTATTTGTACAATTTAAATAGGCAAATTGTCTGGTATGTGAATTTTATCTCAATGAAGCCACTATCTTAAAATGTCCACATCAGCTCCCCAAGCAGACATGGGAAGCCCAAACTCTGCAGGGCCCCTGGGCCCCAGGGGGCTGGTACTTGCCCACCACTCCTACCTCAGTGTCTGGTGCTCTCTCACACTCACCTAGGTACAATACCCCCCCCCCCACCAGGCCCACCCCACACCCCTGGCTTTTGTCCATCTGCCCTCATTGCTTAGAATGCCTTCCCTTCACCATCAGGCAAACTCCTAGACCCCTTTAAGACATCATCTCTTCTAGGAAGTCTTCCCTGAGCCCCCTGGCAGGGTCTATTTTATTTATTTATTGAGACGGAGTCTCGCTGTGTTGACCAGGCTGGAGTGCAGTGGCATGATCTTGGCTCATTGCAACCTCTGCCTCCCAGGTTCAAGTGATTCTCCTGCCTCCGCCTCCCAAGTAGCTGGGATTACAGGCATGCACCACCACGCCGGGCTAATTTTTTTGTATACAGTGCCTATTTTAATTACTTGCTTATGAATGTGTCTACCTGGCTGGACTGTAAACTCCCAGTATAATGCTGGGTTTCTAGTGGGTGATGGGTGGATGAATGAGGGGCTGGAAGGGGATCGAGCCCCACCCCCTTAGTTGACATTTGAGGAAACTGAGGCCCAGAGAGGAACAGACAGACATAGCTCTTCAGTAGCAGAGGCCAATTCTGATCCCAAGTCTACTGTGTGACTGTGGGGTGCACTGGGGCCTCAGCTCCCATCAGCTACCTCTGAGAGGTCTGGGTGGCCACTGCCCACAGTGCCCGGGGGGCCACACCACTCCCAACTTCTGGGTGGGAAGGGAACCTGTCCTGCTGGCACCTGCATGTCACGTGCAGAAGTGGGAAGAAGACAATGAGACCTGAAACACAGGAAGGCAGTTGTACCTCTGACGGGCGTGTGGGCTTGGGAAGGCCTCCTCCCCTTTGAAACTCAGTCTCCTCATCTGGAAAGGGGGCTGATGATCCCTGCATGGAATAATGACAGAGAGAGCCATCGAATGGGTCTCTGCTCCACTGTGGCCTCTCTGCCAATCTTCCACAGTCCCTGGAGTGATCTGTTTAAAATGAATCAGACCTGCGGCATCTTGTCTAAACTCCCTCGTGCACCATTTATCCCCACTGCACTTAGAATAGACCCACATGCCTAGCCTGGCTACAAGGCCTGTGAGGTTGGTCCTGATGGTCTCCTGGACGCTTCCCCCTCCTCCTCTCACTCACTGCGCTCCTGCCTGTGGTCATCGAATGCGCTCTCACCTCCAGGCCTTTGGCCAAGCTGTTCCCTCTGCCCGGAAGGCTTTCCCTGCTCTTCCCGTCGCTGGCTCCTTTTCCTCCTTCAGACCCCAGCTTAAATGCCACCTCCTCCGAGAGGCCCACCCTGACCACCCTGGCTAAAGCAATTGTCTCTTGCTGTGTTCTGTCTCAGTCTCAGTTTCCTTTACTGACCCTCATCACAATTTGTAATTATATTAGAAAACGGTTTGTAAACTTGTGTGTTGTGTTTTTTCATGCACTGAAAGTACCTGGAAAGGGGAGGAGGAGCCGGGTCTGTCTGGCTTTCATTGTTTCTCCAGCCCCTAGCAGAGCCGCGGGCCGGTCGTAGGCACTTGATGTGTACAGGTTGATTGAATCAATGTGCCTCTTACAAGGTACCATCACAATCAGATAAGAAGGTGGGTGAGAAAATATTTAGCTGAGTCTGTGCCTGTCTGGGTACCACCAGAGTCATCCCGATCTTGCCAGCCCATCATCAGGCTCACATTCCTCTCTGCCTCCCATTTGTTCTCCCCATGGTCTTCCCAGGGACCTGTTGAACAGGGTACTGACCAAAGCATCTCGGTTTTCAAACTGCAAGTCCTGTATCCCAGAAACTCCCTTAGTCTTGGGCAAACTGGGAGGATTGACCATCCTACTGTAAGCTCTCCAGCCCCATCTGTCACCTCTCTCATCTGCTTGCAGCTCCCTGGACATCGGGCCACATATGCTGGTCCCTTTGCCCGAATGCCCTTCTCCTTCATCTCCCTGGCCCCTTGGATTGGTGAGTCTGATGTGTGTGCCCACTTTTAGGCGGCCTGCCCTCCATTCTCCTACAGCGCCAGCTCACATCTCCGCTGTAGCACCCAAGACATGCTCCATATGCAGTGGTGTGCTATTAAACTGGCAGTTGAGGGGAAAAGAAGCCCTGATTGGTTGTGTTTGCCAATTTGTGTGGTGTAAATACTCCCACCAGAGCAAATGCCAAGGTACCAACTTGAGATCATTAAACCCTGACTTGGGAAAGAATGTGCACAGTCGGCTCTTGCAAGTCAAGCTCCAGACCACCACTGGACTTACATGGCACGTGATTTTGTTCTGCCCACTGGTTGGTGAACCTTGGTTGGGGTAGGGGCTGAGTCTTTCACTTCTGCATCCCCAGCACCTATCCCAGGACTTGGCACATGGTAGGTGTTCAGCCAATTTAGTTTTGCTGAATGAAGGCAGGTCTATCTCCCTGGTTGGACAGTGAGTGACTTGAGGGGAGGGGCTGTGGATTTGAATGGATTGATATACACAAAGCACTTAGAACACAAGGTAAGTGCCATGTAAATGGCTATTATTACTCATCCAGCATGGAATGACAAAAATAATTCCATTAGGTACTTTCCAGGTGGCAGGCCCAGTGCTGTGTCTTACATGGATTCTTTCACTTATTCCACAAAGCACCCACCCAACTAGGTACCATTATCATTCCCATTTTACAGATAAGGAAACTGAGGCTCAGGGAGAGTGAAGTGACCGCCCTAAGGTCACATAGCAAGTCAGTGGCACAGCTGGGGTTGACCTCAGATCTTCGTGATCCAGAACAGCTTGTGTCCAAATACTACTGGTCCCAGAAATTAGTGAGTGGTGAGTGTCACAGCTGGACACCATCTTGTCAGGCCTGCCGAGGGGACGGGATTTGCTGGAGCCTCTCAGAAGGGCAGAAGTAACGCCTGGTCCTCAAACTCAGGTCTCAGGGCTCGAAGCAGCCAGCCAGCGCCGGCCTTCTGCAATCGCCCAGAGCCCTTGGCCAGGCAACCCAGGGCAGGATGGCAGCAAGCCGAAGAAAGGAGGGAGGATTACAGGGAAACAGATTTTCTCCCCGCCTGCCCCTGGGCTCTGGGGATAGGTGATAATTGACCAAGTGAGCCCTGAGTCAGGCCGAGGCAGGACTCCATCTGGGCCTGGCACGGTGGGGCTGTTAATTGGCATCAGGTGATCCTCAAAACCTCAATGGCTGGCCTGCTGCCTCTGCTCCCCCCTCTCCTCCCAGGGACTCTGGCTTAATCCCAAAGACAACTGATGCCACCTCAGAGTCAATCGCTGGGTCAGGCCCAGTGTGTCAGGCTGCCGAGGCTTGGAAGGAGCATCTCTGTCTTCCTTGGGGTTCTGTAGACCAGAGGGCGCTGTCTGTGGCTCTGGGTAGAGGTGGCATCTGAAAAGGTCTGCACCCTGGGGTTGAGTTCCTACTCCCCAGACCTGAGCAGGAGGTCTGATGAAATTGAACCTGGGCATGGACTGTGGAGCTACGGCCAGGGCTTAATTCCAGTCCTGCCTCTCATTAACTGTGTGACCATGAGCAAGTTACCTAACCTCTCTGTGCCTAAGTTTCTTGTCTGTACAATGGGAATAATAATATTGATTATATTTGTTGGGAAGATTAAACAAGTTAATGAAAGTAAAGCACCCATAACAGTGTCTGTCTGGCTCATGTTAAGTGCTATGTAAGTGTTGGCTATTATTATATTCATTTATTCTTGGCCTCCATTTGCTATGTGCTAAGCACTGGAGATAATACTGAGATAAAGAAGACATAGTCCTTGTCTTCAGAAGTTCAGGTCTAGTTAGGGAGACAGTGAGTTGTAAATTTATTCTACAGGCATTTACTGAGTCCCCAGTAGGTGCCAGGTACTGGGACTTTGAAACAAAAAGCCTCAGCCCTGGAACATAAGAGACCATGACTAAGCAGGGGGCTGAGATGCCTTCCTTGAACCAGGCTTACCTGCTGGCTGCTGTGGGCAGAGGGGCCAGGGAGCGGGTTCTGGGGTCAGCAGTGGCAGGTTTGAAGTGCAGCCAGCTCGCTTTCCTGCCTTGGAATCTCTAGGAAGTCAGTTCTGGGTTTCAGTTGGGGAGAGGAGTTTGACTGGATGGAGAAAAGAGTCTTGGTCCCAGAGTAGGGGGGCTGGCGGCTTCACTGCCATTTGCTCTGTGAACCCAGGCTACTTCCTGCCCACTCTGGGCCTCAGCTCTACTGGATTTGAACGGATTGATACACACAATTCAATCCAATCATTCAATCCACAATCCAAGGAAGGCGCTGCCTGGCACCCCCTCTAGGGCTTCTTCCAGCTTGGGACTCCAGCTGTGGGTGGCTCAGACACCCAGTGCTGGGCTCTTACATTCTCTTTGAACTGTGGAAAGACTGATTTGCATATTTTCAGGGGTTTGTGCCATGTGTAGGGCAGGGCTGGGCTTGCTGGGTTGAGTGGGTGGGGTTTTGGGGTCTGCCTCATGCAAAGTGGCTTTTATATTTTGCCTGCTTCCTGCTTTTGCTGTAAGGTTAACCCAGCAGAGTCAGTCCCTCTGGGCTGGGCTGGGCTGGGCATGATGCCTGGTCCTCCTCCGTACTGTGGGCAAAGCTGCACTGAAAGTAGGCAGCTACCTCCTGAGATGGAGAGGAGGTGCTTCTAAGCACTGTGTGCCTAGGATGTGCCCAGTGCTGGGCCAGGAGCCTCCCTGGTCCATGGCCTCCTTGGACCACCCTGTGCAATGGGAGGTGTTATTCCCATTTTAGAGATGAGGAAACTGAGGCTCACAGAAAGGAAGCACTCTGTCCAAATCACATAGAGACTTAGGGTCAGAACATGTGCCTCCACAGTCCATGTTCTTAATTTTTTTTCTTTCTTTTGAGACAGGTTCTCACTCTATCACCCAGGCTGCAGTGCAGTGGTGCAATCACGGCTCACTGCAGCCTCGACTTCCTGGGCTCATGTGATCCTCCCACTTCAGCCTTCCAAGTAGCTGGGGCTACAGGTGCACACCACCATGCCTGGCTAATTTTTGGTATATTTTGTAGAGATGGGGTTTCATTATGTCGTCCAGGCTGGTCTTGAACTCTTGGGCTCAAGTGATCCTCCTACCCTGACCTCCCTAAGTGCTGGGATTACAGGTGTGAGCCACTATGCCCAGCCTTAGTCCATGTTCTTTCTAAAACCCCCATCCTTAAGGTCCCTGGAGCTCCTTCCCACTTGATGAAGGGTTTCCCTTCTTGCCCGTTTACTCCTTCCCTTCCTCCATCTTCCCCCTTCCTAGACAAGACAGCTTAAGTCCAGCAAGTGCCTCAGGGCCGGTAGCTCCCACTGGGACCACCCAGGGGCTGTCAGTCATCCTGCCCCAATGCCCAGGTTCCTCCTGTCTGCCCCTGCTGGGACCCGGCTTTGTGGAACCCAGCCAGCAGCTGACAGGACAAGGCTGAGGTGGGTAGCTGCATGAGCATGCCTCCCCTTTGCCCAAGGGGGCACCCAGGCCTCGCCAGCCAGGCCCCCACCCCTGCCATCTGTTGAGTCACTCCTCTGCTCAGGACCCTTCGGTGGCTCCCTCATGCCCAGGGAGAGTCCGGCCTGCTTCAGCCTCCCCTTCCACGGTCCACCTGGCCAGCTTCAGCTCCCTCATGCTCCCAGTCACACCTTGAGCTCCAGCCACCGCAGGCACTGCCAGTTCCTGGAACAAGCTGTGCTTGGTCTCGCCTCTGGGCCTTTGCTCAGGCAGTTCCCTCTGCCTCATATGCTGTCCCAGCTCCCACCCAGCTCCTTCTTGTCCTTCTTCAAATCTCACTCCAGCCCGAATCAACTGTTGGTCCTTTTCTAGGATGTCCCCTGCCAGGGCTGGGTCTGGGGGTGCTCTTCTGTGCTCCAGGAGTGCCTGGCACTGTACCTCTGCCACTGCATGAGTATACAGGATGGTGACTGTCTGCCTCTCCTAGGAGGCTGTGAGCACAGTGACAGTGATGGTGGGTAACCCCGAGGTCTGGCACCAGCCCCAGTGTCTGGCTGAGAGGTGATCGATAGAGGCTTCAGGAATTGTTTGTCGCCCAGGCTGGAGTGCAGCGGCGCGATCTTGGCTCACTGCAAGCTCCGCCTCCCAAGTTCACGCCATTCTCCTGGCTCAGCCTCCTGAGTAGCTGGGACTACAGGCGTCCGCCACCACACCCGGCTAATTTTTTATCATATTTTTAGTAGAGACGGGATTTCACTGTGTTAGCCAGGATGGTTTCGATCTCCTGACCTCGTGATCTGCCCGCCTTGGCCTCCCAAAGTGCTGGGATTACAGGCATGAGCCACCGTGCCCGGCCGAAAGGCGGAATCTTGTGCTTAAGCTCATTCAACTTGTGTGTGGACTGGAGATTTTGCTCGAGGCCTCTGGAATCCTCTGAGCTCCTCCTGGAGCCCCTGGTGACAGGCTCTCAAGGCATCCTACCTTTGTCCCTGGCATTTGATTAACATCTGTCTCTCCACCTCCCATCTCCCCTCCTCCTACCAGCTGTGAGCTCCATGAGGGCAGCCACTGCACCTGCCCTGCTGACTGCCTGGTACAGAGCTGGCACAGAGCAGATGCTCCATAACGGCTCTCTGAGTGACAGGCTGCAAGGTCCCCTGGCCCCAAGGCCGGAGCAACCGGGACTTTCATGACTGCTGTGTGTTCCCCAGTTGTAGGGGGAGCTCACAGTCTCCCAGGGGAGCCAGACACTGAACCCCACAGTCTGTAAAGGCTGGTGAGCTGGTGAGGGTGTTTCATGGCCTGGCTCTCCCAGCCCCTGGACCCCCGCATTGCCCCCAGCCCCAGGTCTGGCCTCCCTTCATGATATCCCAGCTTCCCCACAGTGGGGGCTGAGAGCTCCCGCCCTCCCAGCAGGCAGCCCCATTCCTCCAATTTCCTCCCAATTAATCAAGCTCTGAACTTTTTAATTATCTGCCTGCAGGGTGGCTCCCCACTCTGGTGAAGCAATTAAGGAAGGACATTTCCAAGTGTTGTGTGGCTGCCGGCAGGCAGCGTTGACCAAGCCCTGATATCAGGAGGAGCTGGTGACAGGAGGGGTGGGCAGGAACCCCCTCCCCAAAATGGGCTGCTGGGAGGTTGTCCTGGGGTCCGAGCTGGAACTCTTCTGGGAATCTGGGGCCACACTATACAGGGTAACCCTCTCCCATTCATTCAATGGCTCTTTCTCTGTAGCTAGAATCTGACTTCAAAAATCCTGGCTACCACGTGCTAGGCACTGGGGTAGGTGCTTAACAATGTTGCTGCATCTTCACCTTGACTCTGGGAGGAAGAATATGATGATCTCTGTTTCACAGACGAGGACATGGAGGCTCAAAAACATGAACAACTCCAGATAGGTAGCTGGAATTTGAGGCCAGCTCTGACTCCACAGCCTCTTCATTCTATTGTCTTCTGAAAATCAGTGTGTGGTCTGTAAAAGTGCTCAGGGCACTGAGAAAGGGGAGTGGGTCAACCTCTGGAGGAGATGCCCCCAAGCTGGAGACCTGCTGAAGAACACAGGCCATCTGTGTGCAGGGCTGCTGCTGGGACAGGGTGTTGCAGGGAGAGGGAGTGTGCAAAGGCACAGAGGCGTGAAACAGCATGGTGTGCGTGCAGAGAGCTACAAATAGTTCAGGGTTGCTAGCACGTGAGGTTCAAGGCCAGGAGAGGAAGGAGATGAGGCTGGAGAGTAAGGCAGGGTCTCAGACATTGGAAGTCAGCAGAATCTTCACGATCTTCTGGGCTAAGTTCCTTATTTTATGACTACAAAATACAAGACCCAGACAGGGACAGGGACTTGCCTAAGGTCACACAATAAATGAGTGGCCAGCAGAGCTGGGGTTGCAGCCCAGCTATGCTGATGCCCACATTGGAGGGAAGAGAAGGGGCAGAGGAGTGGGAGCATCCTCACATCACGGCAAAAGCCTAACTGGCTTCCTGGCTTTCTCCCTTGCTCTCCCATGTCCTTGCCCTCCTCCAGCTGCATTCAGCCTTCCACAGCAGCCAGGATCCTGCAGAACAGCCATCAGCTCATGTCGCCCAAAGGCCTCCAACAGTTTCCATCTCACTTGGAGTAAAAACCAATAGCCTGGGCACGGTGGCTCACACCTGTAATCCCAGCACTTTGGGAGGCCAAGGCGGGAGGATCGCTTGAGCTGAGGAGTTTGAGACCAGTCTGAGCAACATAGTGAGACCTTGACTCTACAAAAAAATTTTAAAAAATGAGCTGGGCGTGGTGGCACAAGCCTGTGGTCCCAGTTACTTGGGAGGCTGAGGTGGGAGGATCTCTTGAGCCTGGGAGGTTCAGGTTGCAGTGAGCTGAGAGCCCACCACTGCACTCCAATCTGGGCAACAGAGCAAGACCCTGTATCTAAACAAAGATGAATTTCCAAAAAGAAACAAAAACCCACAAAACAATAGCCTACAAAGCTTCCTTTTTCCTCTCTGAACTCCCCTCCACCCGCCTGGCCTCTTGCCCACTCCAGCTGAGCCACACTGACCTCTTGGCTGCCCTGAGAACACCAGCCTTCTGCTAGCCTCAGGGCCTGTGCATGCGCCGTTTCTCCTGCCTGGTTCAAGTCCTGGTTCCATCAGTTCTTCCCTGAGCCTCTCTCCGGGCCTCATCTCCTCATCTATATTTGGGGTTCATGCCACATCCCTCACCCTCCTGAGAAAATGGGGACCGATCGAGTATCCCCTTCTCCCCAGCTGGAGACTATCACTGCCAGTGGGCTCATCAGGCTGCAGCCTCCCAGCCTGTAATCCCTGGGACTCACAGATGCAGGAATAGCGAGTGTTAAACAATAATCACGATGTGCCCGAGGGGAAGTCGGATGTGTTTGCAAAGCTTGACACATCTGGCAGGGCCAGGCCCAGGCCCCTCCCGCACATCTGGCTGCTGTATTGACAGGTGGTGTAGTGGGCCACCGAGGTAAGGCCTGGCAGGCCCAGTCCTGGTACCGTGAGGGTGAGATGGACCTGGCGGAGCTGGGGAGCATCTCCCAAACCGCCCCACGTGCGGGTCCCCTGTTCAGGCCATCCACTGTACCTTGTTGGCTGTGTTCTCAGAGAAGAACTTAGGGCCCAGAACCCTGGCCCTCAGATTCCTAAATCCCTACATCATTCTGTCGGTGTCTGGTACTGGCCACCCCTGCTGGGATTTGGGGAGCCTGGGAAAGCCCCCTCCCCCTCCAGAAGGGAGGGTGCTTTTTCAGGGTCACCTCATGTAGCACTTCCCCTTCTATGGGATCCAGAAATGTGGTCATCAGCTGCACCTGAGGGAGCCCCTCCGGGCTGAGACTGGCCTCCTCCCTCCTCCCACCTGCCCCAAGAAAGCCATGGTCATTAATAAAGGACACAATTAGCTGTCAGCAGAGAACATGTCTGGAATTTTTTACCTGCTTGGTGAGCTCGGTTAAGGCAACAAACCCCCGGACCCCCCGGGGATGCAGCTGCCACACACCTTTCAGGGCCCCTTTACCCGGGCCCAGGGCAGGAGGGCACCTGTGAACTTTTTCAGTGTGGGTTCTGCAGGCCTGGGCCTGTGCAGGGCAGTTTTTTTTCCAGGCCAGTGGAGAAAGTGACAGAGCAAGAGAGATTCCTAGCAGAAGTTGTTTTTTTTCAATCCAAGAGGCAATACCATTCAATACAATTTTCTCCCACTTCCTGTGCCGACTTAGAGTCTTTTAGGGCTCGAAGGACTTTAGAGAAAAAGTTAGTCTCTTTATCATTTCATTTTACAGCTAGGGAAACTGAGGCCTTGCTCAGGGCAGAGAGGACTAAACATGCTTCTGTCTTTGGTTCTATATGGATCCCCTGGTCCGCTGGATCCCACAGTTAGAATTTGTTGCCAAAGTCTGAGAGAACATTCTGAAATCTGCAACGGTTGTTCCACATAGACTGCTCGGTTCTGGTTATGTGCTGGGGCTGGGGACCAGTGAGGACTGAGGAGACACAGGCCCTGACCTCAGGGAGCTGATAGTCTAGTGGGTGAGAGAAGGAGGGAAAGAAGCAATAGACAGATGGAAATGACACACACACCTCGCGATGGGTCACGAAGGAGACGGACAAGGGCTGAGATCGGTCCTCAGAGGGATCACTTTAGGGACTGTGGGCAGAAAAGGCCTTTCTGCAAAAGTGACCTTGAAGAGGCAACACCTGAGGAGAAGAGCATTCAGCTCAGCAGTAACAATATTTGCAAAGGTGGGAAAATCTCAGCACCACAGATCCTCATCAGTGCAGCAGCAGTGGGAGTGGGGTATTAACAGAGACTTAATACCCATTTGCTCTTAACCCCAGCTGCCCGTGATCCCAGACAGAAAGAAGTACTAAGCTCTGGGAGGGACGTCCTGCTTGGGCACCTTTGTTCTAACAGTGCTATGATGTTGGAGATTTGTCACCCCCATTGTACAGATGAGAAACGGAGGCTCCAAGCAATGAAGTGCCATCCCCAGCGCACATGGACACCAAGCTCAGAAGATTGAGCCTCCACCACCTGCCTCTCTCTCCCTGCCTTGTCTAAGTGTCTTCCAGAACCACTGTATCCCCCGGAAACCTGGAAGGTTGCTCTGCTTGTGCCCCAGTGGCCTGTGACTTGAATGCTAATGAAAATCCCACTCGAGGTCCCAGCATTTGGCATCTCTGGGAGAAGGGATTAGGAAATACAAACAACAAGGATCTTGATTGGGAGGCCTGGAATCACTCTCCCTCCTAGGGGTACAGAACCCGTCACCTTCCTCCTGTTGACTTCTGGGGAGCAGGAGAAGGCCTCAGCTAACCCAAGCCATAAATCAAATGCACAAGATGTGGCTTGGCAGCCACCCCAGTGAAAAAGACCTGGGGGTTTGAGTTGACCACAAGCCAAAAGCTGCTGAAAAAGCCAATGTGATTGTAGGCTGTAAGAGTAGAAGTAGAGTGACAGCCAGCATCCTCCTGGTAGCTCAGGCAGGGCTAGTTTTGGGCTCCACATTTTAAGGAGGTCCACCGAGCGATAGTGGACAGGCCATCTCAGGCCTCCAGCTTGTTTTCCACTATCTCTGAGTGGTGCTGGAGTGGATCGGGGTGAGGTCCCAGGTATGAATTCTCTCAGCAGCAGTCACGGGCACACAGCAGAGTTCTGGAGGCCTACTTGTCCTGGAAAATTCCCTAGTCTGGATCCCTAAGAAGTATGAGTTCTCTTCTTAATCTCACTTGGCTCCTACCTCCAAATCTAAGCCCTCCTGGACACTGAGGATTTGAGATCGTGTGTGTGGTTCCATGAGGGCCTGCCCTTGATTTGAGGATAGACTTACTCCATAAAAACTCAACAAGCTGTTTCTCAATGATCACTTTGTGCCCAGCTCTGTGTCAGGCACTAGGCACAGAGTTGAATAAGACATAGTCCCTGGCCTTGAGGCTCACCGTCTAGCAGGGGAGAGAGAGTATGATTAGCTAGGGGTACCCAGGAAGGCTCTCCAGAACAGGAGCCACTTGAATAGGGTATTAAAGGATGAGTAGGAGTCTGTCAGGGTCAGAAGAGACCAAGGACATTTCAGACAGGCAGAACAGCATGTGCTGGAGGCATGGAGGGACTGGAGCACAGGGTGTATGGGGGGAAGGGTTCAGACACGAGGTGAGACAGTTGATCTGGGATTATGTCACAAAGGGTTTTGTGTGCTTGGTGATGGAGTTTGGGGTTTTATTTTCCAAGAGCAGGGAAGCCAGGGGAGATCCTATTCCAGTGCCCAAATGGCCACATAGCCCTGGTGCCCTCAGCCCTTTCCTCCAGCAGCCTGCCTGGGCCCTGGGCCCCTCACACTCCAGCCCACCTGCCCTGGCCTCAGATGGCCCTCTCCCCCGTTTCAAAGCTTTCCTGTTTCCTTTTTGTTTCCTCCAGTTCTCTCCCTTCCCTAGGTCTTGAGCCCTTCCTCCCCTGTTGTGTCCAGCCCCACCTCTTTACCATTAAAAACGAACTGAGCACCTATTAACAACAGCAGCCACCATTTATTGAGCAGCTGCTGTGTTCCAGGCTTCATATAAGTTATCAGGGGGCTGTGCTTCCCAGTGGTTAGGGGCACAGGCTCTGCAACAGGGTCCTTCTGGCCTTGAACTCTGAGTCTGCCACTGACCTTGGGCAAGCTCCTCAAACTGTCTTTGCATCTCCGTTTCCTCATCTGAAAAATCGATTAATGAATAGGACTTACCTGCAGTGAAGACTTGGAGTTAATAAGCATAGAGTGTGTGCTTGCATCATCAATTCCTACAGCAACCCCATGAGTACTATTGATATTCCCACATCTAGAAGAGGTGATGGAGGTTCTGCGGGGCTGAGTAACCCACTCCAGCTAGTGTTGGAACTGGGAGGGGAGTGTGGGAGCATTACATCTGAGGCCAAAGGCAGGGTCTTAACTACTCTATCACATGGCCTCACCTCCTCAAGGCTGGTGCCTGGGCTGGGCTTAGGGATCCACAGCTCAAGGGGCTCCCAGCCTGGTGGGGAAGATGCCCCGGTCAGTAAGCAGTTTCCAAACAATGTCTGGGGAAGCCTGTGGGGAAGAGGCGCTGGGTCTGGAAGCCCAGAGGAGGGGTCTCTACCACTGTGGTTTCCTGGAGGTGCAAACACTTGAGCTGCGTTGGAAGACTAAGAATGACAAGACAAAAGCAAGAAAGGAGAAGCATGCGAGGCTGAGGGAGCAGCGTGGGCGGAGGGGTGGAGATGGGAAACTGCATGGCAAGGCTGAGGACCTGCTGCTCGTTTGAGGCAGCTGGAACCCAGAGTCTATGGTTGCAGAGATGCAGGACACGAGGCTGGAGAGGCAACAAGCCGCCTACCCAGCAACAGGTGCGTGCCAACCTCTCCATGCCCAAGGCCTGCAGATCGGGCAGTTCTGTCTTTGGCAGGGCGGTCTGTGAACCTCTGGAGAAATCAGGAAGAAGTCTGCCCGGTCCCTGACCTAGGACTTTCTTTTCTTTTTTTTTTTTTTTGAGACAGAGTCTCACTCTCACTCTGTGGCCCAGGCTGGAGTGCAGTGGCACAATCTCGGCTCACTGCAACCTCCACCTCCCGGGTTCAAGTGATTCTCCTGCCTCAGCCTCCCTAGTAGCTGGGATTACAGGCGCACGTCACTATGCCCGACTATTTTATATTTTTAGTCGAGATGGCGTTTCACCATGTTGGCCAGGCTGGTCTCGAACTCCTGACCCAAGAGATCCGCCTGCCACAGGCTCCCAAATTGCTAGGATTACAGGTGTGAACCACCGCACCTGGCCACGCCCTGGGACATTCTTGAATCATTAAGTCCTTTGCAGCAGAGCAGGTACCTGGGCATCCTGGGCTCCTCTGCAGGGATCCTTAGGGTCTAACTGATCCCAAACTTTCCCAGGGCCAAATGGCTTCTTAACAAGTTACTTTAAAATACTCCCATCCCCAAAACTCACCAAGATCCCACACCTTCTCAGTTTTAAAGGGTCAAAAGTTGAAAATTACAAGACAACAGCAAGATTTGCAGCAAAAGTGATCTCTGGCCAACAGCCGGGAGACTTTATGACAAATTGCCTAGACATGGCCATTTAGAGCAATCACCTTTAAATGGTGCTTCAGACTTCCCCTAAATGTCTCCTTTATTTGAACAATGTGTTTATAGGGCCTGGGGCTGCTGTGCTGTCTGTGTACGTGTGTGTGTGGGTGTGTGTGTGTAAAGAGAGAGAGAGAATCAAAGCAGAGGAAAATGACAAACCTCTAATCTTACAGACCATTCTTATCTCAGCCCTTATAAAAATGAGGAGTCCTGGTTGTTTCTAAAAATGGCTCTGAAAGTTCATAAACTTGACAAGCACTTAGCTCTAGCACCCACAGACAAGGACTAATCCTCGAGAAAACTGGAGATGAGGAGTCGGGAGGCAACTTGTGGTGAAGGGCAGCCTGCAAAGATAGCCCACACTGTCACCAAGTGAGGGCTTGAGACCACAACTTCCTAGCTTATTTTCTCTGACCTCATGGGAACTCTGCTTAGAAGGGTCTCTTTAGTTCCAAAAGCGGCCAGAACTAATGTTTTAACATTTATCTTCTATTAAATGACGGTTCACACTTAGTGCTTACCGTGGGGCAGATGCTGTTTTAAGTGCGTTATATGGATTAATCATGTAATCTCAAATTATACTATAATTATCCCCACTTACAAGGGATACAGGCACAGAGAGGTAAGTCGCTTGTCCAATGTCACTGATGCAGTGAGTGGTAGAGGAGGGATCTAAATTGAGCTGGACACCATGTGCTTTCAGCCACTGCTCGCTCACCACTCAGGAGGTGGGACTCCACGCTGGATGGAGCCTAACTCATCATCGTCACCTCCTCTGCTCTCATCGCAACATCCTGATGAACTCCTGGCCCTGTTTTATAGCTGAGGAAACTGAGGCTCTGAGCATTCAAGTGGCCTGGCCAGGAGCACACAAATCCGGGTGTGGGCAGAGCCAGGGTCTACTCCTGCTGCCTGGTTCCAGGGCCCGAGTACCTTGCAGGGTATGGAGCTGCCAAAGGCCTTCAGCTGCAGGCAGGACCTAATGCCCTCTTGATCTGACCAAGGACCCCAAAGGACTGGGATCAGTCAAGGTCCCAAGGATGCTGGCCCCAGGCTATAGGCTTCCTTCTTGGGGGCTTCCTGGGGGATCCGGTGCCTGGCCCAGCTTCGTCTCCTCAGAGAAACAGTGCTGTGCTGTGGTTAGCAGTGTGTGCTCTGGAGCCGGCATCACCACTTCCTAGCTGAGTGACCTTGGGTAAATAATATAACTTTTCTGTGCCTCAGTTTTTCCACCTGCAAAATGGGGATAATAACACTCTCCCTCCTAAGGTTGTTGAGAAGACAGCTAATACTCATGAAGCACTTAGACCCTGCTGTCAAACTGGACAGGCTCCTGCCTACCCCTAAGACCCCTCTCACTATAGACAGCTGCCTGGCTGGGCCAGCCTCTCAGCTGCCTGGGTCTCCTGCCAGCCCCTGCCCCTGCAGAGACAGCAGCAGCACTCTGGGTTCCAATCCCAGCCCTGCTCTTCCTGGCTGAGGCTTTTGGGCACATGAGCATATACCTCTCTGAGTCTCTGTCTTCTTATGTGTTAAACAAGGGCAATAAGCCTGTTTTAATAACAGTGTGGCAATGTACGTTAGCTCAGCCATTGTGGAAAGCAGTGTGGAAATTTCTCAAAGAGCTTAAAACAGATGTACCATTTGACCCAACAATCCGAATATTAGGTAGATGCTCAAAGGAATATAAATTGTTCTACCACAGAGACACATGCACATGTATGTTCACTGCAGCATTATTCACAACAGCAAAGCCATGGGATCAACCTAAATGTCCATGAACAGTAGAATGAATAAAGAAAAGGTGGTACATATACACCATGGAATACTACACAGCCATAAAAAAGCCTTTGCAACAGCGTGGATGGAGCTGGAGGCCATTATCCTAAGTGAACTAACATAGGAACACAAAACCAAATACCACATGTTCTCACTTATAAGCGGAAGCTAAACATTGAATACACATGGACACAAAGAAGGGAACAAGAGGCTGGGTACGGTGGCCCACGCCTGTAATCCCAGCACTTTGGGAAACTGAGGTGGGCAGATCACTTGAGGTCAGGAGTTCGAGAGCAGCCTGGCCAACATGGTAAAACCCTGTCTCTATTAAAAATACAAAAATTAGCCAGGCATAGCGGCAGGTGGCTGTAATCCCAGCTACTCGGGAGGCTGAGACAGAAGAATCACTTGAATCTGCGAGGTACAGGTTGCAGTGAGCTGAGATTGCACCACTGCACTCCAGCTTGGGCAACAGAGTGAGACTAAGTCTCCAGAAAAAAAGAAAAAGAAGAAGGGAACAAAAGACACTGGGGCCTACTTGAGGGTGGAGGGTGGGAGGAGAGAGAGGATCGAAAAACTACCTATTGGGTACTATGCTTATCACCGGGGTGATGAAATAATCTGTACACCAAATCCCCATGACATGCAATTTATCTATATGACAAATCTTCACATGTACTCCTAAAATAAAAGTTAGGAGAAAAAAAACACAGTGGCAAGAGCAAGGACTTAGAATTAGACAGACCTGGGTCTCTGCTTCTTGCTTTCTGCATGGTCTTGGGAAAGTTGCTTGAACCCCCAGAGCCTCAGTTTCCTCAGGTGTAAAATGGGGACACTCCCTTGCAAGGTTTTATACTGTGAGGACAAAATGAGGTTACAGTTGGATGGTGCCATGTACTTGCAGGGGCTCAGTAAGTGGCCATTAGTATTACCTATTTCTCCTTGCAGGGATCCTTCACTCAACAGATACGATACCCTACCATGTGTTCTAATTGCTCAGATTCAGCCACAAGCAAAACAGCTAGGTTCCTACTTGAGAATTTATCATCAAATGGGGAAAATGAAAAATAAACAGGTATTAGATAAATACAGGGGGATGTGCTAGAGAGTGCTGGGGGGCTGCTTTGGCTGGTGGTCAGAGGAGGCTTCTCTGAGGATGTGGCATCTGAGCTGAGACCTGAAGGACAAGAAGGTGCCAGTTAGGGGGAGTTAGAGGGGGAGTGCAGGGAAGGGTATTCCAGGCAGAGGGAACAGAATGTACAAAGGCTCTTCCTCAGAGGGAATGAATAAGCCTGGGGCTCAGTTTCAGGCTGTACAGAGGTCTGGCCGCTGAAGCAGGTGAATATGGGGGAACTGAGTGGGAAACAGGGCAGAGCAGGAGGAAGGAGCCAAAACTGTGGGCCCCATGGCCACAGAAAGGAGGCTGAGGGTGGCTCTAGGTGTGATGGCAAACCATGGGAGGGTTTTGGTGGGGCTGGGAAGTGGCTTGTGATGTGAACAGTTCCCTCTGTCTGCTGAGTGAGGAATGGGCTATGGGGGCACAGGGTGGCCAGGGAGGAGGCTGCACCATGGTTCAGGCACGGATGACTATGGATGGACAGGGTGGTGACAGTGAGGGGTGGAAAGGGGCGGTCAGATCTAACAGGGACCCATAAGTAAGTTCTTCAGCCTTCGGTAACACCCCACGCGAATGCGAGGTAGTGACGAGTGAGATGCTGTGTTATCCTTCTGCAAAGGAATAAACGTATTTCCTTTGGAATATTTCATGATTTCAGCACCGCCTCTCTGCAAGGACTCGCAATCAGTGAGCTGGCTGCCCATCGAGAGCTAGTAATTAGACTTCTGGGACAGGTGCCTGGGGGGCTGGCAGAGCCTCCTCTCTGGGCTATGCAGAGTCTGTAGCCACGCTGCTCCTTGGCAAAAAGTTGAAAGAGAAGAAAGTTACTCCCGACAGCTCTTTGCTCCATTTTTAGGGTTCTCCTGTTGCCCCTCACCCAACCCCAGGCATGTGGCTCCTCCAGCTGTCCCGAGGCCCCATGGGACCCCTGCTGGAAGTCTCAGATCTTGCCCGGCTCCTGGCATCGGCCCTCTGTCTCCAGCCCTGCCCCATTCTCTCTGATGTCAGCTCATGCTGAGAGAGGCCAGGGATGTGTCTTTGCCAGGGAATCAAAATGTTACACTGTCTGTACCCCGCATGCATTAAAACAGGATCCCTCCTGGAGACAGCAGGCCTTCATCCCAGATGTTCATCAAATGATGGACACTTCCGGCACTGTGACATATACAGCAGGAGTGACCATGGGGCCGACAGGGCATGGGGCTGCCATTCACATCTCGCCATGGCCTCCCCCTGCTCCCACCTTCAAGACTGAGTCACCCCCGAAACCAGCCTGACAATCGCCTCTTTCTAGAACAATCCTACCTTCTGCTTCTGTGTTTCCTAAATGTGGCCACGTGCATGCCTTCCACCCCCACAGCCTCGAGGGAGATGCCATCTCTATTCCCCTGTCCTGATGAGGGGAGTGAGGCTCAGAGAGGGAAGTCTCTGTCCAGGGATATATGGGGTGTTGGTGGCAGAAGTGGGCCAAGGTCCCCACTGGCTTGGAGTTGAGCATGGCCTCCTTTGCACTGAGCCCTCCCTGCAGTCCAGACTCCCTCCTGCCCTACAAGGACTTAAACGACAGCAAGAGGCCCTGGTTAAGATCACAGGAACAACAAGAGGCCATTTATGGGTAGTGACACACAGGAATGGACAGCAAAGCATGTGTCCTCCACAAGCTTTATAACTGACCATGACAACTACTTAGATAAGACACAGTAATCTTGGATCATTCAGGCACTAACCTGCTGCCATTCGTCTACTAATACCATGATTAGAGCCCGTCACACTGCTCTAGAGTTGGTGGTATGCAGATTCATTCATTTGTTTATTCATTCATTCATTCCACAGATACTGATTGAGAACCTGCTATGTGGTGGGCACCTTGCTGGGGACAGAGATGCAATCTCTGCTCCTAGTAATTGCTACTTAGTCTCCTCTGTCAGACAGTGAGCTCCTCAGGTGGCTAAAAGAGTGGCTTTGGGAGTCAGACCACTTCCTGGCTGTGAGACTTTGGGTATCTTTCTGTGCCTCAGTTTCCCTATATGATAAATGAGGGTAATAACAGTACCTAACACAGGGGGTTGTTGTGGGGATTAAATAAATTAACATGTGTAAAGTGCTAGGATAATGTGTCTGCACGGAATGGGTGGTTAGCTCCATTCTTCCATGTTCTAAAATGACTTGGGGAGCCGGGCATGGTGGCTTATGTGTGTAATCCCAGCACTTCGGGAGGCAAAGGTGGGCGGATTGCTTGAGGCCAGGAGTTCCAGACCAACCTGGGCAACATGGCAAGATCCCATCTCTGCTAAAAATACAAAAATTAGCCAGGCGTGGTTGTGTGTGCCTGTAATCACAGCTACTTGGGAGGCTGAGGCACGAGAATCGCTTGCGCCCAGGAAGTGGAGGTTACAGTGAGCCAAGGTCACATCGTTGCACTCCAGCCTGGGCGATAGAGCAAGACTCCACCAAATAAATAAAATAAAAAATAAAATGATTTGGGGCATTTTCCATCCAAGGTTTTACCACCCTGATGGTCACTACTAGGCTTGATTTCTAACAATTGTGTCCCAGACTTCCTCCTCTTTTAATCATCCTGGTAGAGTATGCAAAATTTATTCATCAGGAGCTTATCTATCAAGAGTATCTTTACACTTGTGCTTAAGTAGTCATCGTTATTCCTTCAATAAATATTATTTTTTGAATGCCACACACCACGCTAGAGGCTTTAGTGACATCATCTCATTTAATCCTTATAACATCCCTATGAGTTTGGCACTATTTCTCCCATTTTGCAAAGGAGAAAACAGGCTTAGAGAGAGGCTGCATGACATCTCTCTGTCCATCCATCCATCCATTCATCCATCCATCCATCCATCCACATATCCGTCCAAGATTTACTGAGTACTTACAATGAAGCAGCCAGGCACTGCGCCAGGGCTACGTTCAAGTCCCAGCTAGTAACAAATGAGATCCAGTCCCTGCCCTATCCGGGCTCCCAGCCTAGACCTATGTTAAATAATTAGCAGTATGATGAGGGCTACAAGTGAAGGAGTGTAGGGTACGATAGGTGAGTTCAGTAGGGGCTTGACCGTCTAGTTCACTGGGCTTCAGCTCAAAACAGCCTAGAAACTTCCCTTCCTACCTCCTGAGTTTCTCCTCCCAAGTCCCAACTTTGCCCATTCACCAGGGTTGGTGGCCCTGCTACGATGCCTTCTAATGTCAGTTCATAGATGTCCTTCATCCTCAGACACCTGAGGCATCTGGACCCTATCCAGGACCCCATGTTTGCCATGTATTTGCTGGCTGAGTGCTGATTTCAATGTCCTTTCCTTTGGGAAGCCTTCCTTAACCACCACCCTGCCCCCTAACCCTGTCCTTGAATAGCCAGGTTGTTCTCTTCTCCAAATTCCCACAGGGATTTGTGTATATCCCTGACTTTCTCCCCATATCACAATTACTTCCCCTTTGACTTTCTTCTCCCCCAGACTTTGAGCCTCTTGCTGACGGTCACCAGGCCTTACTCATCTTTGGTGGATACTCCATAAGAGTTGCTTTCAGGAGCAAATGGAGATGCAGAGTGAGTGAAAGACCCTGCGTCTGAGTGTCAGAACAGATCGTTCTGGCCAAATGGCCTTGGGCAAGTCCAGGGTTAGGATTTAGGGTTGGTATGCATAGTTTCAGATTGCCCTCCAACTCTGACCAATTGACTGGTGGTTGCCCAGAGTGTTGCGTTGAGATTCAGAAGATCCTGAAGTAGCATGTGGGTTGGCAGGAAGAGCATCGTGATTGATTGGTACTGTCTGCCTCGGATTCAGCAGAGAAGTGGCAACAGGTGTTCCTCATTTCTGATATCCTGGGAAAGCTGTTTTGCTTTTTAGGGCTTTGTTTTTCCTATCTGCAAAATGAGCAGACTAGACTCAATTATACCTGACCCTCTAGGATTCTGAACCCCACACCCTTCTCTAGTATGATTTTTCTTTTTTTCTTTTTTTCTTTTTTTGTTTTGTTTTTATTTTTGAGACAGAGTCTCACTCTGTCGCCCAGGCTGGAGAGCAGTGGTGCCATCTCGGCTCACTGCAAGCTCTGCCTCCCGGGTTCACACCATTTTCCTGCCTCAGCCTCCCAAGTAGCTGGGACTACAGGCACCTGCCACCACGCCCGGCTAATTTTTTGTATTTTTTTTAGTAGAGACGGGGTTTCACCATGTTAGCCAGGATGGGCTCGATCTCCTGACCTCGTGATCCATCCGCCTCGGCCTCCCAAAGTGCTGGGATTACAGGCGTGAGCCACGCACCTGGCCTCTAGTATCATTTTCCGAAAAATCATACTAGATTTTCGGGGACAGGAGCTACATGCTAGCTTACCCCAGGGCCTGGTGCATGGAAGGTCTTGAGTAAATGCTGGTTGGATGAATAATCTTACTTGGTCACCATAAGACTCTGTAGGGAGAACAGGGCTTATGATTCCATTTTAACGTAAGCGGAGCTAAAAGGGATAATGAAGCAAAAGCGCATGCCCAGGGCCACACAGTTAATGCCTATACTATTCCCTGGGTCTTCTGACTCCTGGCCTATGCCCCTTCCCCTGATTAGTTTAATGTGCCTTTCTGAACAGATATGTTCCCTTATGTCAATCTAATAATGACTGTAATCACCAACCTTATTGCATTTTGACTCTACAAAGCATTTTTACATTGGTTATTGCACTTGAGCTTCACTGGGATCGGGGGTGACCATTGCCCTGAGATGGCAGAGTGGAACATGGATGTCCAGAGAGGGCATGGGATCTGCTAGGGTCACACAGATCTGGGACTCAAACCCAGGTTTTTCAGTGCCAAACCCCGGGCTCTGTTTATCTGCCCCTTACTAACTAGCTCTTAAGTTTGATTCCATCTCTTTCCTCGTGGCCACCTCTGCTTTTTCAGGAAAGATGAAAGAACAGAGACATAAAGGGATGAAATAGGAGCCAAGCTCCCCTATTCCTTGAGGCCAAGCCCCACCTTGGGTCACCTCTTTGGGGGAGGCCTAGAAAGGGAGGGAAGGGGTCATTAGACCCAAGCAGTGGGGCACCAGCTGGACGACAGGCATCCTCGGTCTTCCTGGTGACCCCAGCCTGGGTTCACACCAGCTGGGTAAACAAGAGCCAGCCCTTCCAAGGAATGGGGGTGGGCTGGGGGATTCCAGCCCCTCTCAGGCTGCCGGTCTGTTGCTAAGAATTCTGGGAAGGAGTGGGGAAGGCCAAGGTGAGAAGCTGAATGGGAAGGACTGGTCTGGGACTGTCCTGAGGAAGACAGGGATGATCTGGAAACAGATGGGAAAATGGCTGAAACTTGGCGTTCACCTTCTCCCTCTCCTTGCTTCATACACGCCTAGTTTAATCTACTAAACAATGTGCAACTCTGGGTATGTTACTTGGTCTCCTGTGACTCAACTTTCTCATCTGTAAAATGGGCCCAAATTCTTCAGGACTAGAGAAACTCTTTTATCTCTCCCACCTACACTCATGTTAGAGAACCCCCATCCCTCTCATAAACTTGTGACTCTGTAAACATCACATCCTCCCCACCCCGCACAGCAGCTGGCCAGCACAAGGAAAGCAGGCATCTATGTGTGTGCAGGGAGTCATACTAGTAAGTCTCTCTCCCCGACTGTGGAAATGGCCCTAGAAAGGGGACTGGGGGTCCCAGGGGCCCCTGTGACAGTGGGAGAATGGCTTCCCCCCTTCAGGCCTGAGCTGCTTTCTTTATAACATTGGGAGCTGAAATAATTAGGACCCTCTGGTTGGGACGTCTTTTGAATGACTGACAGCTCTCCCATCCCTGACGTTGCTGATCCAGTGCCCAAGCCTGTCTGCAGACTTCTCCATCTCTGCACACTCAAATCCAGTTCAGGCCCCCCTCCCCCGCCGTGTAGGGCCTCTCCTGGTCTTGCTCCAGCCACTTGGAACCACAAAGGCCCTCTTCCCACCTCCTGTACCTCACAGGACTTTGTCTGCATCTTTGAGGAAACAAAAAGTTTTCTACCAGGGCCCTGGGCTGTCTACCTCCTGAGCCTGTGGGCTCTTTAAAGAAAGCTCTGTCTTCTCCTCCGTTTCCCCAGTGCCCAGCACAGGGCCCAGAGCACAGCAGGTGCCCACCACAGCTTTGTCCATTGGACAGAAGAAATGAACAAGAGGGCTGGCCTCATTTCTGCCCCCTTCCTGGCCCTGGTGCATGCTACAAAAGGCCAGGGGTCACTGCGGCTCTGAAATCTACTCATTTTCTTGAAACACACAGAAAAGGTGAGACAAAAGGTGGGAGAGGGCTAGGGATTTCAGCCATCTGGCGGGATCTGAGGCTGCAGGCCACGCACAGGCCCCCAGAAGGTCAAGTTCAATTACTGGCTGGCTGTTAAGACCTTACCTGGTTGATCCCTGACCTAGCAGTAGCCATTACGCACTCCCTCCTGCATGCAGGATAAAAATGTCCAACGCACAACATTCTACGGCTTCTACGGATCAATGTACCAAAATACATGCCCATTGAAGCAACTGCTCACAAAACCACAATAGCTGTCTTCCTCCAGTGTTTTCAAACAATGGGAAGATGGGGACAAGTGAAAGGGCCTCGGCGCACTCCTTGTCTGGTTCATCTTTGTGCCTCCGAGAGCCTGGTGTAGAGTTGGACTCAGCACAGTCTGAGGAATGAGCGGCTCTCCCCCACCCTGGTGCAAGCCGAGCTCTCTCTTGGACGCACATGCTCTGTGGAGTGTAGACGATCAGAAGGCTTTGGGGAAATCAAAAGCGGCTACGCTGGAAAGGCCGGGGCCCCTCTGGAGAGGCTGCTCTGTGGGGCCCCCGAGCCCCTGGGCCGGTGATTCATGTCTCGCTTGCTCCGGGTGGGAGCACAGGCCGAGTACGAGCTGAATTCATAAGACCTTTCTCTGTTTCATCTCACAGATGTTTCTGGGATGGATGTGTCAAGGAAAAAAAAAAAAGGCTGAAGTTGAGAATTCCAGCTCAGCACATGTCCTCCAGCCCTCACAGACATGACGAGGGATTAAAACGCCTTTTCTCCTCATTTGCCCAACATCTCAGGAGAAAGCCAAGTGGCGTCCCCATCAGGGCTGTCCTGGGCACCCGCTGGCTACGAAGACAACCTCCTCATTAGCCTGGCTTTCCTCTGAAAATGAGCTCACACAGACTGCATTGTGCGTGCCTGTGTGAACGTGTGTGGTGTCAGGTACCCCTTACCGTGCTCCAGACCCATTCCCATATGGAATAAAGCTGACTTCCGAGTACTTACAATGGGCTAGGCATTGCACGGAGCACCATGGACTCGTTCACTCACAACCCCATGAGGTCCATGTTCTTATCCCATTTTCTAGATGATTTGCCTACATGTATGAAAGCATGCCCACATGCATGCATGTCTACTCGTGCATAAAATGTGCTTACATGTGCAACCCAGTCTTTATATATCCATATGCAAACATATGTGCATGTCTGTGTGTCTCTGTACACATATGTGTGTATGTGTGTACACATCTTCCTGTTATGTCCTCTTTCAAAATGGGTACTCTTTTTTCTTTGAGATGGGGTCTTGCTCTGTCACCCAGGCTGGAGGGTAGTGGTGTGATCATGGCTCACTGTAGCATTGATCTCCCAGGCTCAAGCGACCCTCTGGCCTTAGCCTCCTGAGTAGCTGGGACTACAGGCACATGCCACCATGCCCAGCTAATTTTTGTATGTTTTGTAGAGATGAGGTTTCGCCATGTCACCCAGGCTGGTCTCAGAACTCCTGGACTCAAGCAATCTGCCTGCCTTGGCCTCCCAAAGTGCTGGGACTACAGGTGTGAGCCACTGTGCCCGGCCAATAGGTACCCCTTTTTTGAACTCCTGTGCTGTATACAATGCTTTCCTTTTCTTATCATTCTCTATGTCATCGCCAATCCTGGCAAGGCAAATGGTATTAGGTTGACAAACTATGCCCCCACAGGCCAATTTGGGCTTGCCTTTTTTTTATTTTTTATTTTTTTATTTTTTTGAGACAGAGTCTTGCTCTGTCGCTCAGGCTGGAGTGCAGTGGTGTGATCTCGGCTCACTGCAACCTCTGCCTCGCTGGTTCAAGTGATTCTCCCACCTCAGCCTCCCAAGTAGCTGGGTTACAGGTGCATGCCACCACACCTGGCTACTTTTTGTATTTTTTGGTAGAGACAGGCTTTCACCATGTTGGCCAGGCTGGTCTCAAACTCTTGCCCTCAAGTGATCCGCCCACCTCAGCCTCCCAAAGTGCTGGAATTACAGGCATGAGCCACCGTGCCTGGCCTTGCCATTTTTTTTTTTGAAAATAAAGTTTTATTGGCACACAGCCAGGCTCATTTGTTTACATGTTGCCTATGGCTGATTTTATGTCACAATGGCAGAGTTGAGTGGTTGCAACAGAGATTGTAAAACCCACAAAGGCTAAAATTTTAACTTTCTGGCCCTTTACAGTCTGCTGTCCCCAAATTGACATGTTTTACATAAGGAAACTAAGATTCAGACAAGGTATTTTAATCGTCCGAAGTCATGGAATTGTTTAGTTAGCTAAACACCTTGGCCACCATACAAGACCCCCTCTCATATCTGGATGTCTTTGGGAGAGTTAACTGTTCCTACACACTTGTCACTCTGTCCTCAGGTACTTACACACCTGGGGAAGGTTTGTGGTCCTGTATGAGACATTCTGTGTGGTAAATCTGAGGGGGAAAAAGTGTAATTTTTCTTTGTTGAGAGCAGGGCTCTTATTAGTTAGCTCATTTGAGTCTAATAATTTGTGTCTACTTACTCCATTGATTTTTGAGAAAGCTATGCTAAAATATCCCACCAATTGGATCTGATTTGACATTTTCTTCTTACAAGTGTATCTTTTTTTTTTAAAGTGTTTTGAGACTAAGTTCAGGATTATTATATCTTGTCATTACAAGATATAATGACCTTCTTTGTCCCTAATAATGCTGTTTTGTCTTAAAGTCTTTTTATCCTCTGAAATGTATCTTGCTACCTATTTTATTCTAGAGAATATTTGCTGATACATAATTTTCTCTCCTTTTACCCTTTGTGCCTCATTATCTCTTAGGCTTGTCTGCAGTAAACAGATAGAGCTGTACTGTTTTTCCTCATCCAAACTATGAATTTCTGTTTTTTAACAGTTTTGAACCCATTTTCATTTATTGTGAACACTAACACGTATTTGACTTTATACTCTTGTATGTTTTATTTATAATCCATTTAAAACTTTTTTCTCCTTTCTTAATTCTGTGGAATTGATTGTATTTGCTGTATGCCTTTTTATTCCCTCTGCTGCTTCAGAAGTTATATATTCTGTCTTTCATGGGTACCCTGTCATTTTTAACACTCACATTGGCCTCAACCAAGCCAAAAGTTAATTGCTATCCCTATCTACCTCCCAAACAATTTTAGTATGTTGTAATTCCAATCCTATTCCTCCCAGCTTCTATTTTATGGCTGTATTTTTGTTCCACCTACTATTTCAAAAATCTCTTAAATGAGGCCGGGCATGGTGGCTCACGCCTGTAATCCCAGCACTTTGGGAGGCCGAGGAGGCTAGATCATGGGGTCAGGAGTTCGAGACCAGCCTGGCCAATATGGTGAAACCCTGTCTCTACCAAAAAATACAAAAATTAGCCAGGCATGGTGGCGTGCACCTGTAGTCCTAGCTACTCAGGAGGCTGAAGGCAGGAGAATCGCTGGAACCTGGGAGGCAGAGGTTGCAGCGAGCCGAGACTGCGCCACTGAACTCCAGCCTGGGCAAAAGAGCGAGACTCTGTCTCAAAAAAAGAAAAAGAAAAAGAAAAAAAAATCCCTTAAATGAAAAACCAAGTCACCCAAGGATTTTCCTTTCTCTCTTACCAGGTTGTATCAATATCATCTCTAGTATTTTTATGTGTTTATATGGGGGTGGGGGGATGGGGCATCCACATGAGCACAATTCATGTTCCAGAACATTCTCCCTGTCTGTATACATGTGTATTCACTAAGCCACATGTGCATGGCTGTGCATGCATGACTGTTACTTATACATGTGAGTCTGTGGACACCTATCTGTCCCTTTGTACAGGTGCTGTAGTCATTAACAAAATATTTATTGTACCCCCTCTTCTTCTATTATAAAGTATTGGCTGAACCCTCAAAGTCTTAGGTGGGAGCACCTAACGGTTGTGATGACTGCTGATAAACACTCTGATAAATGTCTCAAAGGTTGTGGGAAAGCAGAGAGTTGTACTAACCAGGCTCTTGTGTGGTCAGGGAGGGATTCCTGGAGGAAGAGGCATCTGACGTGAATCATGGCAGAGGAATAGCAACCACCCAGACTGAAGAAGAGTGGCGTAGCCTGGCTGGGATGGCCCACTCCATGACAATCACTAGGGGTGCATCCCAGGCCAAGGGTTAGAAGCTGTGTGATTCTGAACAAGTCCCTTAACCTCTCTGGTAAGAATCCTGGACACCTTGCAGAAGTATTGTGAGGCTCCAAGGAGAAAAAGGATGAATGTGGCTTGCAAGCTGAGAAGGGATACATGGGGTCAAGATTGTAAAATTATAGCATTGGCAACAGCCACCATTTCTTGAGGCCCGGTATTGTGAATCAGCCCAGCAACACTGAGAGGTGGCATTGGTTTGCCCTTACTATTGAGGAAGAACCCACAGCTCAGAGAAGTGACATGACTCACCCAGGGCCATGCAGGGCTGGGCAGGCACAGAGTGACTCAGGACCCATTGTTCTGATGACGTGCACCCTGTTCCTGCTATTCCTGCTGTTGCACCCCAGCCTGGAGTCTCTTGTCCCTACTTTCTGGCTCTCCATCGCTCTCCCTATTCCCCGCTCAAACAGCCAGGGGCCTCGAAGGTCCTCCTGGACTGCAAGAGAGGAAACTAGCACCACTGGCTGCTCCATTTGGGGCCTGGGGAAGCCCAATTCTTCCTCTCCCCAGTACCCCTCCCTCCAGGGGCTCCCTTTGCAGGTTTATGTGGGGCAGAGAATCAGGTTAATGGAATCCTGGCTGCCTCTGGCTAGGTAGGGGGGTGGATAGCTCCCTCTGGAACCCATGATGGTCAGCCCTCTGTTTCCAGCCCAGCCTAACACAGCCCCTCTTGAGCCCTTGAAGAGCCCAAGGGGAGGGTGTCAACATTTCACACCTTTCTGAGGAAGCCCAGGTCAGCATCTCCCACCTACTGCCACGGGGATTGGATTCCCACGATCATTTTGGCCCTCCCCTTATAATCATCTCCAACAACTCTTGCTATCTCTGCCAGCACAGTGTGGCATGGTGTTAAGGCTCTGAATTTGGAAAGCCCTGGATTCCTGCCCTGCTCTGCTTGACCTTAGGCAAACCACTCAGGCTCCTTGAGCCTCAGTTTCTTCATCCATAAAATGGAAATAATAGTAGACTGACTTGTAAGGGTTCCTGGGTTGAAATGAGAGGATTCACGCAAAAGGCTTCACAGGCTGCCTGGCACACAGTAGGCACTCAATATTTTTGGATAGATCAATGCTATTACACAATGCCTACAGCTGAGTTTTTGTGCAAAATGCTTTCACTTTCTGCTAAGGGGGGAGGTAGCAAGGGGCAGCCACTCCCCATCCCAGTTCTGGGTTTGTATCTGGTGCTCACTTACCTCCCAGGACCTGAACACCTTCTATGTGCAAGACACTCTGTAAGTTGCCCTATATAAATCACCTCACTCAATGCCCATCACCATCCCTGCAGCCGCCCTTCATCCCCAGTGGACCTGCTGTTCTTCAAAGTGTACAGGCTGCCAGTGTGGACCTGCAAAGATGCAGTCAGTACTGCTGGGTTGATCTGGGGAGCCCCTGGGTTTACTGCCTGCCTGGCATCCCAGGTTCAGACTTTCAGACTCTGGTAGTCAACGTGGAGCATTACCCCTCTTCCTTCATCTAGCTTCCTCTTCCTGACACCCACACACTTGGCCATTCTACATTTGAAATGTCTGCTGTCGTTCTTGGAGCCTCTGTTTTCCTACCTGTAAAATGGGGTGATTGGACTAAATGCTTCTTGTTGATCTAAGACCGTTGGCATAAAGAAATGAATATGAGGCAGGGTGCGGTGGCTCATGCCTGTAATTCTAGGACTTTGGGAGGCCAAGGCGGGTGGATCATGAGGTCAGGAGTTCGAGATCAGCCTGGCCAAGATGGTGAAACCCCATCTCTACTAAAAATACAAAATGAGCCAGGCGTGGTGGTGGGCGCCTGTAATCCCAGCTACTCGAGAGGCTGAGGCAGGAGAATCACTTGCACCCGGGAGGTGGAGGTTGCAGTGAGCTGAGATTGCACCACTGCAATCTAGTCTGGGCAAGACTCCGTCTCAAACAAACAAACAAAAGAAATGAATATGAATTTTGAACACATTAAGGGCCAGGTATCCCTTGCCTCCTGGTGGCCCTGTGAGGGAGGTTCTGCTGTTAGTTCCTACATTACAGATTGAGAAACCAAGGCCTGGGGAGATAATATCACTTGCCCAGTGTACTCAGCAATATGAGGCCAGTCAGGGATTCAAGCACAGGCCTGTCTGGCCCTTTCCCTGGTGCGCATGGCCTCCTCCTCTGAGCAGGCTTCTACAGAGACTGCAAAGAACTTGAAGGAATCACGTGGGTCCCCTTCAGTGTCTGCGAACCGCCCCTCTCCTCAGAGCATGGCGTCTGATGCCAGCCTCTGGGGACAAAGGCTGGGCAGCCAGCACCCCTCAGTGCAGCCCTGGAATTCCCGCCAAAGCCCTTTCTCTGTATTTTTGGAGCCCAGCCCAGGGTTGGCCCACCAGTCCTGGGAAGGAATTTGCAGTTTCTTGTTTCTAAAGGAAGGAAAAGCAAATTGTCAGCCCTAGTCCCCCCTTCCCACCAGTCAAACTTGAGCATGATCATGAACTCGCACAGCCATTTATTGTTTACAAATCCTGACCTCCTTAGCCTGGCACTCAAAAGCCTCTGCTCGGTGCCTCGACTTACCTCTCCTGCCCCATTGCCATCACTTGGAGCCTTCATTGCTGCCCAAACAAAAGCTCCTAATGATTCCTGAACACATCACATGCGGCTGTCTCCTGGGCCTTTTGTCCTGTCACTTCCTCTGCCTGGAATGCCCCTGCCATCCGTCATCCCTACGGAGCCAAATTCTGCCTAGTCTGAGACCCAGCCTCACCTCCAGGAAGCCCTCCGTGATGCCCTGGCCATCCCCACCATCCCCAACCCCCACAGCACTTCCTCTGTGTCCCCAAATGGCCCTACCATTCCATTCCTTAGAGCAGGGGGCTGTCTTGATTCACGTCCACCTCCCCAGTGACCTCAGAAGGTGATCTGAAAATGACAACTGACAGAATGGATGAATGATGGATGGGGGAAGGGTGTTTGATGAAAATCAATGTGGCTATTTGTGCACTAGACAGGCAGGTGAGGGTCAAGGCCAGTTGTAGGGAGGCCTCTGGGGACCACGCACCCATGGTCTTACACCCTGGCTTGGAATCTGGGTGGGGCCTGTAGAGCCGACCCCATCAGGCTGCAGGCATCCTGCCCATAAGCTGGAAGCTGATCTGGTGGGCCCCTAAGACACACATTAACAAAAGGAGAGACGCTGACCGGGAGCCTCTCCCGGCTGGGTGTGTGCTAGGGGTGGGGAGGGGCCAACTGCAGGCCCAGGCAACTGCTCCCACCTTCCCTGCCAAGGCTCCAGGGCCTGGGGGCTGCATGTGGCTCCTACCTCCCAGCCCCATAGTGGATCCGCCCACTTCACCAGCGCTCTGAGGAGTAACGAGTCAGTCAGTGTCACGTGCTTTGCACAGGATCTGGCACAAGACACGTAAAATGTTCTTGCAGCACTCACAATCTCTAATTCTTGATGTGACACTACGGCACCTGAATATTGAATATTCCACAGTTCTTGACTATGACATTCTATTACTATAGCATTCTATAATTCCTGCCTGTAAGTCTACAAGTGAATATTCTATGCGTGTGTGTTTACTGTAACAGTCTACAGTTCTGTGACTGCACCGTTCTAAAATTCCTGCTTGTGAGGCTACAATTTTAATAGTCTATGGTGGTACAATTCTGTAATTCTATGATTTTAACCCTTTTATGCCTACAACATTCTAAAGCTCCTGCCTCTTGGCCTCTCTGTGCCTAGTCGTCTTAGTGCTTCAATGATTAAATGATTGCAACATTCTATAATTCTATGATTACAACCTTTCTAGGCCTGTAACATTCTAAAATTCTTGCTTGACTGTGATTTTAACACTGTGCATTTCTGTGGCCGTGACAGGCGGTGACTGTGATGTCACGTGAGCCTGTCATCTTGGGTTGTCTGACCTCGTCACCTTCCCCTACTGCTAGCCCCTGGCTGCTTGACCGTTCTATCAGTGTTCACAGTTCTCTCCGAAAGGTCTCCAGCTTTCTTTTACAGTCTGGACCCTCTGGCCTCTTCCTGCCAGAACAAGGATTGGGTCAACTCAATGCTCATCCGTGCAGATGTAGAAGAGGCTCCAGGAGCTGCTAGGTGGGGTGGGCACGGCTGGGCTGGGGAGCTGGAGGGGCCCGGATGCCTCGACTGCTTCCCAAGCCACAGTGTTGGGTGAGTCATGGACCAGTGTAGGCCCTGCTGCTACTTCTGCCAGGGTCCATGGAGAGGCATATGCACCCACTCATGAACCCCACACTGCAGTCCCTGAGGAGCTCAGCCCCTGGTGGTGTCCCTGCTCTAGTCACTGACACAAGATCTAAAACAGCCATGAGCCTGGGCAGCTGGCTCAACCCAGAGAGAACTGAGTGGGGGTGGCTATAGCCCATCAGTGGCCCAGGGCTGGGGAAGCAGAACAGAGATCCCCCATGGCCACCTCTGCTTTGAAATGTTTGTCTTTGCTTGGGCATCAAAAGTGGCCTCTTTCTCCTTATTCTGAGTGTGTGGCTGTGTGGACACACACATGACTGTGAGTGCTCACGTTTATAGCCCTGGCTCTGTCTCTGTATCACTGTGCATGTCCCTCACGTGCAGGTCTCTAAATGCATGTGGATGGTGAAGGCCCCTGGAGCAAGGCCAAGGGTCTGTCACCTTTTGGCTTGTTATCTCTGCAGTCGCCTGAGTCCTGGCGGAGCCATTTCCAGGCGTGAGTGAGACAGGGAACAGGAGGGTTAGCAGGTAGCACTCAGAATTAGGCTTCTTTTAACTCTTCTGACTCTGTGTAAAGCACTCTGGGCTCTAGCACTTCACCACCATCATCACTGGCATGGTTTGATTGAGGACTTACTATGACCCAGGCGCTTTACATGAGTCTCCTAAATTAAGTCTTCACAGTGACCTCACGAGGTAAGTGCCATCATTACCCATTTTCTAGATGAGAAAATTGAGATTTCAGGAGATGCATCCCAAAGTCACTGGCTGGTTAGCAGTCAGGTTGCATGCAGGCTTGACGGACAGCAAAGCCACTACTATGTATAACACTACCATGCTAAAGGCCAGGCTGGCGGCCACTGGACCCTTGCGGAGAATACACTGGGGACGAGGGGCACCTCTCTTCCACCTGCTCCTGCGGGCCCCTGCTGTGAGCCAGGTTGGGAGCAGAGCACACACAGATGGGAGCAATCCAGTTCCTGCCATGAATATATTCAATGCAAGACAAAAGAGAGGACCTGGGCCTGGGGGCGGCACATGTTCCAGGGGCTCCGAGGACAGACTGACACATTCATCTGGGGAAGCCAGGGAGGGCTCTCTGCAGGTGGCCTGGTCTGAGCTGGATCTGAAGAAATGTGAGGAGTTTCCATGAGCAAGGGAGGGGAATCGAGAAAGGTGAGGGGTTCTTCTCCTTTCATAGAAATCTTGTGCTCTGGTAGGGAGGAAGCGGGGCAGGAGCTCTGGATTCCATACTCATTTACTAAGAATTTCAGGAAAAACTGGTTTAGCTCAGACTGGACTGAAAGCAAAGATCAACTGGAGGTCAAAGGCAGGGGGAGGGGACTGTGGGACATCCAGAAAGAACCTGGCTCAATTTATAAACCCTCTCTAGGTTTGGACCTGTGTCAGGCCACGGGGACACAGTGAGCCAGACTGGCTCCAGCATTGCTGGAAGAGCTTGCTGTCCTGGGGGAGGCAGGCGTGACAGCATTTCTCAGGGCCAGACAAGGAGGGAGCTGTGGGACATCCAGAAAGAACCTGCCTCAATTCATAAACCCTCCCTGGGTCCGGACCTGTGTCAGGCTGCGGAGACACAGTGAGCCAGACCAGCTCCAGCACGGCTGGAAGAGCTCACTGTCCTGGGGGAGGCAGGCGTGACAGCATTTCTCAGGGCTGGACAAGAACAGACTCTTTAGAAACGGAAATGGTCTTTTGTGGCCCTTGGAGACTACCTCTCCAGTCCTCCGATGCCAGGAGCAAGGATGCCTTCCCCCTTGAGAGATCACTGGGAGAGAAGTGTTGCTTTAGAACTGGTCAAAACCAAATTGTCTGTTAGAATCAGCATCCAAATCTAAACATCAAAAGTTTAAATTCTCCTAGAATTCCTGGGCCCCTGAGAATATATTTGGGACCCTCTCCCCATTCTGGGGTTTGCAGACCCCAGTTGCAGAAAGTGTGAGCTATATTCTGGGAACTGGTACTACAAGGAAATGCCAAACATACTCCTTAAGCCCAAGGCCGTGGGGAGAGGCAGGTGCGCCCACCTTTTTCTAAAGAGTGCACTATCTATGCTTCTGGAGGTCACACTGAACGCACTTAGTAGACTCACTGCCTGAAGGAAGGCAGCCTCCCTGCCTCCTGCTTCCTCACTCCAATTCACTCCCGCACTGCCAGTGGCCAATCAGCTGATCTAGCTACTCTCCTGCTCAGAATCTGGCCGTGGCTCCCCAGTGCCCTCAGGGTTACAGCTTAAATCCCTGAGCTGGCATCCAGCCTCAGCAGGGGCCTCCTCACTCCTCAGGCCTCAGCCTTCAACCCACCCTGCACTCTTAGCTCCCAGCCACTCTGGGACAAGGGATCTGACTCAGATCCTGGACTCTCCCCTCCCCACCTCAGACACCAGCCAGCATCCCCCCAGACGATCCTCATTTGTCTAACTCTCTTGGCAGATGCTTCTCTGGCTCCTGCCAGGGGCAGACATGTTGATTTGGTTTCCCACCTGCAGCAGGGTCCTGGTGACCAAGGCAGCCACTGCCTCCTCAGCTAGTTCCTGCTTTGCCTTGCAAAAGGCAGAGGCCACACCTGGCCCCCAGGGTGGCCCTAGCCCCTGGCTCCCACTTAGTTCTCCTGCTCCAGATGTCAGGTTTTCTGAGCCAGCTGTACATCTATTCTCTAACTCTGGCCAACGCATGAGGGGGTTCAGAGAGCATCTTGTTCTCCCTCTTCCTGCCCCTTCCAACTTATGGATGGGAGTGAGGTGTAAGCCCAGAGAGGGTGAGAGACTTGAAGGTAGCAGCAAAGCTAGGCCTGAGACCTGGGTATCCTGAGTCCTGGACCAGTGCTCCGCTCACCCCCTGATCTAGGCTCCTTCCCAGCCCTCTCCACTCTTGACCCAAGGGTGGCTGTCATAGTGTGTGTTCCAACTGGATCATCCGAGGAGTTAGGTGTGTATGCAGATCACCCCTGAAAAACTGCATCTTTGGTGAAAGCGGGATGCCAGCATCTAGGTTATCAGCCCCATCTCATTAGCCCCATCCATGGATTAGATCTTCCTTCCTTCTGACCATCTATCCAACTGTATAACTAACGAATGGGGCTGATAACCTAGAATGGCTCAGAGAGGTCAAGTGCTTTTCCTAAGGTCACACAGGAATCCAGGTTTACCTGAATCGGAGCTTATGTCCAGAAAGTATGGTCAGTTTACGGGGTCTTCTTGAGATCAAGGTGCAGTCACAGACTATGCTCCTGACCTATGAATGTTCTAGGAGCTCCTGATGACTTGAGAATACTTCCTTGAGAAGATGAGGAAAGTGTCCCATCCCCAAGTCCCCTTCCCGCAGGGCTGCAGAGGAGCCAGGCTCTGTTACCAGCTCTGCCCATCGCTGGGCTGTCTGGCAATGCCCCTGGGAACCTGGCACTGGCCAACCCACCCTGCCCTGGCCACAGGTGCCCTGGGACGGAATGCTCACGGGGCTGCCATCCCAGGCTGGAGCTGAAAATTAAATTAAAACCACGACAGGGACAGTTAATTAAAGCAGATTAGCGCGAGACTAATTAGGGACACTGACACTGGAACCATCGCACTCCAAGATGTTAATTAGCTGTTCATTAATGTCAGCTCCCTGTTCAAGGTAGAAATATGAACAGCCCTTCTCCGGGGCTTCATTCTGGAGCTGAGTAAACAGGGGCGGCTGCCCAATGGCAGGCCCAGCCTCCACCCGTCTTCCCTCCCTCCTTCTGGCCCTGGTATCTGCCTACTCCCTTTGTCTCCATCCTATACCAGTTTCTGAATATTGGCACCGCCAGAGAGACCCTGGACCCATGGAAAGGAAGAGCGCAGCTGGGGCCCAATACACAACAGCTCTGGAAGGTGGCTTACCTGCTCTGTAAGCCAGCCTTGTTCACAGGAAACTCTCTGTCTCTGCCTTCCTACTCACTGGCCTGAGTTGGATGGAGGCCTTTCTTCTTCTTTTCTTCTTTCTTTCCTTCTTTCTTTCTTTCCTTCCTTCCTTCTTCCCTCCCTCCCTTCCTTCCCCCATCCATCAGTTAGACCTTCCTTCCTTCCATCCATCTATCCAATCATATATCTACACATGCATTCACAAATCCATCTATGATCCATGTATTCATCATTTTCTCCCATCCACTGATGATTTTATAAAAAACCTACCTACCTATCCAGCCCCTCCCAAATACTTAAGTTTCCCTTTGCTGAGCCATTCATCTAGCCATTTATTTAGCATGAATATGTCCACTCACTCTCTCCACCCATCCATCAACCTATCTTCCTAGGCACTGTTTTACCTGTCCAGCCAGTGAACCTACCAACACATCCACTGGGTCTTCTCTCCACATAGTGGATAGCAGCCACTCACTCGCTCACTGTCATTCATTCATCTAAACACTGATTCTTCCACCTGCCTACCAATCGCTCATCTTTCCATTCCTCTCATACATATCTATGAACACCTACTATGTGCCAGGCACTATGCTAGGTGCTGGGGTAGAGAAGGAAAACAGAGATGAGGAAAAGCTTAGATAGTGGAATCCTCACTTTTGTTCCCATTTTATAGATGAGAAAATCAAGATTGAAAGAGGTGAAGTTACTTGCCTAAGGTCACCCCGCAAATTATTCATCCAATGTTCATTTAATTAATATTTATTATATCACCTACTTCTATTATTATATATCACTTGAGGAGACAGTGACAGACACAGTTCCTAACTGTATGAGCATCACAGTCTAGAGTGGTAATTCTCAAAACAATCTGATGAAAGTTATTACTGCTGCCCACTCAAATGCACATATATACACACAGGAAGCATTTTGTGAACAATTTCACAAAGGAGGTTCACAAACCTCCTTAAAGGCCATCCACACATTAGTTCAAGATACAGGGCACTGGCTGAAGAGACACACAAGTAAAGAGAAAGCCAAACCCAGTGTTCTATACATTATAATACAGACTTGAAGAGGAGTCAGCGAAGGCTTCCTGGAGGAGGTGATACCCAAGTTGAGTTATGAAGGATGGGCCAGGTTAGCTACATAGGCCAGCTAACCGCCATTTGCACGTTGTGTTTCGTGTGCAAAACTTAGAGGAGCGAGGCAGTTGAGGGTGCTTTTTGGGAGCCGTGGTGGGTCCATCTGGGATGACTGGAGCCTGATGTGTGCAGGGGATGTGGCAGAGCTAACTTGGACCCAGGTCTCCTGTCTGGCTCTTCCTAAGAAACAATGAGGACCTGCCTCTGGCCCCACTGTTGCCCTTGCTCTGGGAATGGATAGGGTATATGTAGGTCTCAGTGGCTCCTAGCTTAGGGCTCAGCCGAACCACAGCCAAACTGTCTCCTGGAGGCCTCAGGCCTGCTGTTCTCTGCCACGCAGAGGGAACTACATTCCAGGCATGAACCTTAGCCATGTGGCTCTGTGGGACGGGTCCTCTATCATCTCAGCCTCTGCCTGAGACTAGGGATTGGAAGGCAGGGAGTGGAGACCCCTGTGGGCACTGGGCCTGAAACTGGACGGCAGGCCATAGCAGCACATGGCTGGCTCTCTGAGAGTTGGTCCAGGCTCTGGCCCAGATGCCAGTGCATGTCCTGACCCAGGACTGGTCCCTTTGGCCAACAGGGCCTTCCTTTCACTTTTGCCTGCTCCAGCCTGCTCTGTGATGGTGGCTCCAGACCCGTATCCCATCAGGGCAAGGTCACAATGCTGGCCAACTTCACTGGAGGCAACCAGACATTCCCAAGGAAGAAGGAATTTAAGAGACAGAAAGACCTGGCTTCAAATCACACCTCTGCCAGTTAGGGGCTAGATGACTTCAGGTGAGTTACTTTATCATTCTGAGCCTCAACTGTGAAATATGCATTATATTAACATTGCCACTTTTGTTTTCTTTTCTCATCTTCATTTTAAATTTATTTTTAGCATTGTTTGGTAGGTCTTTTCCATCACTTTCCTTTTTTTTTTAAATTAAAAAATAGAGATGGGGTTTCGCCATGTTGCCCAGGCTGGTCTCAAACTCCTGGCCTCAAGTGATCCTCCTGCCTTGGCCTCCCAAAGTGTTGGGATTACAGGTATAAGCCACTGAGCCCGGCTCATCCCTTCACCTTTGACCCTTCTCCATTTTGCTTTAGATGTGTCCTTTCAAAAGATCACATAGCTGGACTTACTCTATTTTTTAACCCTATCTAAGAGCCATTGTCTAGCAATAAGGAGATACTTACTTACATTTATTGTAGCACTGTAATTGGTACATAGTAGATGTCTAATAAAGATTATTCTTTCCTCCCAGCATCATCCAAGGACCTTAGTTTTTTTTCTCCCTTATCCATTGCCCCTTCCACAAGTACCACCACCGGAGCCTCATATGCTGAGGAATATATGGATCTATTGGTACCAGTAACCACATTCACTAAGCAAAAACCACCCCTAGCTTCAGAGTATCTCGTAAACTGACTGTCCGAGCAGGAAAGACCTTTAAGATCCTCAGACCAGAATGCTAAAGGCCAAGGTCAGACATCTTTTGTATCCATGTTGGGAACAGAATCAGATCCTCTGTTACTCAATCCAAAGGTTAACAGAAGCCCCAAAGGGCAACTACCCTAAGGCCCAGACAAGGGAGAGAGGAAAATGGGAAAGTGAGAGGAACAATCCAAGAACCAGAAGAAATGTCCCAGAATGTAGGAGGGACAGAGGGCATTTCTTGTGCCAATAACTCAGGTTTTGTGATTACTGAGACAGGCTTCCGAACATGATTCTGCCCCCATTTTTTGTTCAATTCTGGGTGAGTGCCTTCCTCTCTTTGGGCTTCAGGTTCCTTTTCTGGGATACCAGAAAGCTGGATTTGATGACTTACTAGACTGCACTGTAAATTTCCATCTAAACATCAGCATTAGAATAATGCTGATGGAAGTCACTGATGATTGTCCCAATATCTGACCTCTCCTTATTCCTTAACAATAGGCTCTACTTTTTAGCTGGGCACATGGCATTCCAGAATCAAGCTTATGCTTCCTGACTGTCTTGCATCTGGGTAGTATAGTCATGTGATTTCGTTCTGGCTGATGAGATGTTAGCAGAAATGGTAGCTGCAATTTCTGGGAATTGTCCTTAAAAGAAGCATGCGTGTCTATCTTTACCGCTTCCTCTTTCCTCCTGGCTGGAATGTGGATGCGATGGTTGGAGGGTTAGCAGCCAGCTTAGATCTTGGGACCAAGACAGGAACCTGAGTCCTTCACGATTATGGAGCTGTACCAGCTGCCTACTTCTGGATTTCATTTACTTGAGGGAAGAATAAACTCCAATCTTGTTTAAGCCACCATTATTTTTATTTTCTGTTACTCATAATCCAAACTGATGCAAATGGTTAAAAGTGCATGCCGTGGATTCAAACATACTTAGTTTGAGTCCTAGTTCTACTAGCACCAATAATCTGAGCGATCTTATGCAAGTCACTTAACCTCTAAGTCTTGGTTTCTCTATCTGTGAAATGGTTATAATAACAAATACTTCTTGGTGTAGTTCCAAGGAGAAAATAAAACATTTATGTAAACCCATTGGCATAGTCTGTGTTTCATAATTAAGGGCTCAGTAAATAATAGTTGCTAATTTTTTTTCTTTTTTTTGAGACAAGCTCTCACTCTGTCACCCCGGCTGGAGTGCATGGAGTGCAGTGGTGCAATCATGACTCACTGCAGCCTCAACCTCCTGGGCTCAAGTGATCCTCCCACCTCAGCCTCCTGAGTAGTTGGGACCATAGGCACACACCACCACACCCGGCTAATTTTTTTGTATTTTGTGTAGAGATGGGGTCTCACTATGTTGCCCAGGCTGGTCTCAAACTCCTGGGCTCAAGTGATCCTCCTGCCTCAGCCTCCCAAAGTGCTGGGATTACAGGCGTGAGCCACCGCGCTCAGCAATAGCTGCTATTGTTACAGCTATCATTATTATTATTCTCATCAGCTAATCTCTGCCCTAGGAGCCCCATGAAAGCTGTCACTCCTGTTGCTCTCTGGCTTTCAGGGGAACCATCTTCACTCTCTGTTATACGTGGGATGACACATGTAAGAATGGGAACACCGAGGCTTCAATGCCAGAAAGACCTGGGTTCAAATCTCAACTTTACCATTTATTAACCGTGTGATCTTAGCTAGGTCTCACCACCTTTCTGAGCCTGCCTCCCCTTTTCCTGGGGATGGTGAGATATATCTCAACAGGGTTGTTTTGCAGTTTCAACCTGATAACCTTGGGGAGGGTCTGGGGTGGGGTTACTGCTGGAGAAATGGGAGCTGTAGCTATGGCTTCAGGAAGTGCCTGTCTTCAGCATGGAGGATACATGAGTGGTGTGGGTATGACCAGGCTGGTCTCGGCTCTTCCAGAGAAGAAAGTCATGCCATCACTCATCTTTTGGTCTAACTGGCCCTGAGGGGGTGGTTAAGACACGGAGAGGAAAACCAAAGCTCCATTAAAAAAAAAAAAAATCATCAATTTGTAGTAATCCAAATAAAAGCCATTAGATGTGGCTTCCTCACTGGAGGTACCCAGGGGCCTCTTCCTCACCAGGCTCCCAGGAAATTGATTGGCAATTACTGACACTAATGGGGGCTGGGGAGGCCTGGTGATTTCCCCATCACTCTCCAGGGACAGTGACGACATGTCAAGATCTGTCAGGCTGAGTCTGTCCCGGGGTGGTCAGGACCCCAGATCTGGCCAGAGATAGGGCAGCCAGCTGGGGTTGAGTGCCCTTGGGGACCCTCACCCCTTTACTTATTTATAACTTGGTTTGACTCATGGTGACTTAATGGCCCTACTGGGGCTATGCAGATGGCAGGTCCCAAGACAGGAGGATGAATGGGGGTACCAGGAGGCTTCCAGGACTGCCCTTCGACCTGGATCCGGAATTCCATAAAGAAGACCTCAGTCTTCACAAGAAGTCTTGGGGCAGAAAGGGAAAGGAGGGGCTGCCAGAGAGACTGGAACAGAGGTTGTGAGAGGCGGTGGCCGGAGATGGAGTTTCAAGGCAGAATGAAAAGACACAAAGACCAGCAGAGAGAGAGAGAGAGAGAGAGAGAGAGAGAGAGAGAGAGAGAGACATCTGCTGGGCGACCAGGCTGTGGAACTGCAGAGCTGGCAAGGCCCTGAGAAGTCATCTAATTCAGGCTTGTCTTTTTATAGCTCCTCGGCAGCAAAGGCACAGAGAGGGGAAGACACTATCCTAAGGTCTCACAGCATGGCTCCGGGGGAGGTGGGACTAGGACTTCATTAGCTGCCCCCAGTGAGCCAGGAAGTAAGAATTCCCCTGGGAGGGGGGAGCCTAGGTTGGGGTTGGGGGGCATTCACTCTAACCTATGGGGGCCATCTCTGAGCCTGGGGGCGGGGACTCTGTGTAGTGGAGAGAAAGACACATAAACAGATGGTGACAATTCAGAGTGACAGGGGAGGCATGAAGCGTGGGAGCTCAGGGGATGGTCAACTACCCCAGTCTTGGGGGAGGGAGTGGTTAAGGGAAGATTCTTGGAGGTGACGTCAAAACTGAGACCTGACGGATAAACGGATGCTAAGATGAACGGTGCAGGGGAGGGAAGAGAAAGAGGGGAATTCTAGGCCTAGAGAACAGCATGTGCCAAGGCTCAGAGGTAGGACTCAGCACATCCCAGTTGCACAGCATGGCTGAAGGCAGAATGGGAAGGCTGGGCCGGAGGGTGTCAGGCTTTCCTTGTGGGATAGGAAGGAGTTTGACCTTTATCCTGTGTGTAATCAGGACATGTTTTAGGTAGATACACACCATGACCAGATTTCCATTTTAGAAAGATGGTTCTGGAGCTGCCAGAGGGGAATGGCTGGATGGGGAAGAGGGCAGGCAGGGGGCGCAGGGAGACCACTGCCCAAATCCAGAATGATGACAAGGTCTGCAGAGCCAGGGCGGTGGTTCATGGGGCCAGGAGGGAAGGTAACTACTCAGGGATATTTAGGAGAGAAAATGGGCAGGACTTGGTGTCTGTCCCCATAGCCAGCCTGAGGTGAGGGAGGGCTGGAGGATGACTCGGGGTGGGACTGGAAGAAGAGGTCGTGGGGGGCTGGCCAGGTACACTGAGCTTGAGACAGATGGATCGAGCACAAGGACCTGAAGGCAGGTGGACCACGTGGTCTGGCAGAGGGTGAAAGGGTCAGCTGTAGTAAGGGAAGCGACAGACTAAGGATCAGAGAGGTTAAGTGTCTAAGCCCAGATGACACAGAAGGCAGGGGCTTTGCTGGCTTGAATCCCAAAGCCCAGACATTTCCTATCACTCGGGCTGCCCTTCAGGGAAAAGATAAATGGGCTGGGCCCTTCCCATTCAGCAGTTCCACAGCTTATACGCTGACCTCTGTCCCACCTCCCAGTCTAACCCCAGGAAGCTCAGGGATGGAGTCCTCTTCCCGTCCCGCCCTTTAGGAAGGCCCATCTTTGGCTATGGCTATGCAGGCCCCTAGCCGATGGGCAGTGAGGCTGAGACCACTGCAGTCCAAGGGCTCGGATCCCTGAGAGTTCATGCCAAGCAGGGGGTCACTCATGCCCAGAGTGTCTATGGGGACCAGGCTCGCCTTTAGCCTGCCTGCTCTGAGCTCTAGAAGAATGAGGGAGCATGGGCATCTGCTAGGTACGTGTCTATACATGTCCAGGAGCTCTTGGCTAAAGCACAGTCCAAGCTCTGAAAACTCCAAGAAGCTCAGGCACTGAAGACCCCTGTGCCCAAAGCACACCGGGGGCTGGAGACAAGGCCCCTGATTTGCCATTTCTGAACAGGAAGGAGCCTGTGGGCATGTGTGGCCACAGGATGGTCCATATGACTAAAAAGGCAGCAGACTATCCCAGCAGCAGGCATGGGCTCTGACCCAGGCAACTGCGGGTTCTAATCTAGCTGTGTGACCTTCGGTGAGTCACAAGCCTTTCTGTGCCACATTTCATCTGTAAAATGGGAATAATATCAGGACCTGCTTCAGAGCGTGGTTATGAGGATTCAGTGAGTTTACACATGTCAGGAACAAACAAGTTTAGAAGAGTTTATGGTCTAATCATGTTGCTTGGGATGATGATGATAATGCCACAGGTGGTCCCATCAAAGCTACAGCATTTTCATCTGGCCTGGTCTGACCCTGTGGAGGGAGCAGGCCTGGTTATATTTATTCTTGGCCCATTCTCACCCTTGGGGGCTGGCTGTGGCATCCAGCGAGGCTGCCCATCCACCTTGGTATTGATCTTCCTGTCTACCAGGAAGGCACGATGCATTTAACACCTCAGCCAGCGGCCAGTGATTATCCCAGCTGGGAGCCAGCCTGCCTGCTTGCAGCTCTGCAAGTGGGTCAGGGAGTTGGAGAAAAGTAAAACTTCTCAGAGGGGCACCCATGATGGTCTGGGGCTCTAGTGGTCGACGTCCTGGCCAGGAGACCTGGACTGAGGTCCTGGCTTGGCCCCCATCTCCCCCAGGGTGACCTTAGGCAAATCACTCAGCCACCATTAGCCTCATCACTTTAGACTTTATACATCTCCTGCCTATCCATCATCTCATCTGACCTTCATGACCACCCTGGGAGTCAGGCCTATATCCTACAGTTGCTGTGAGGGGCTACCTGGTGGCAAGGAGGCAACGCAGACCTGGAGGGTAGACTGTGCCACTCTAATCAGCAACGTGAGACAGGGTGGAGGCTGGAGGAGAGGGAACCGCAAGGGGTCCAGGTGGGAGGGTGGCAGGGGGAACGGCAGAGATGGGACAGGCAGAGGGAACAGCGTGAGCCAAGGCCCAGAGGATGGCAAGGGCAAGTTTGAGACCTAAGGTACTGGTGGGTGGGGATGGGGGAGTTGGGCCAATGGGCTTGGAAGGAAGAGTGCTGGAGAAGGCAATGCGGTATGAAGAAGGCAGGAGGCAGGACTGGGATTGTGACCAGCCAGAAACTTCCACGGGGCATGGGTAGGAACAGACATCCTGGTCAACCAGGGCCTTTGGCACAGTGCATGGCTCCTCCCCAGTGACAGACACAGCAGGGCTGGGGCTCAGAGAGGTCTGGTTTTAGGAGGGCCGGCAGGGCTATTACAGAAGGCCAGGCTTCCACCCTGGATAGAGACACCAAGTCCACACCCAGGAACAGTGTTAACTAGTTCTGGATGGGGATGTTCTCTGACTAATCCGACAGATGCCTGAGATGAGATGGGTGGTGGACAGTTAGGCTTGCAGCACAGGTGGTCTAAGTCCCATTGTATAGATGGGGGAAAAGAAGGCCCAGAGAGGTTAAGTAATTGGCTCCAGGTGACACAGCACGTGAATGGTAAAGTTGGATTTTAAATCCTCTCCTGCTGCTGCCAACACCCACACACCTTCTGCCTCTCAGAACAGCAGATGCCCGATGGACATGGTGGCTTCATAGACTGAGCCCTTGGAGAGAAAACTGGGAGCTTAGACAGCCGTCAGTTCCACTTCCAGCACCGCCCCGGGCTCCCAGCCATGCTTCCAGCCCCAGACCCCCACACTGCCTCCGGACCTTCGCCCAGGGCCTGCAAACCACTCTGGAAACTATGAACAACAGCCCTTGCAAATATAACAGATTCTGGAATCTTTAAACAGTCTTTGGAGCCTCCAAGCAGCTTCCAGGACTGACAAATTGCTTCCAAAATGTTCACATGCCTTCGGAATCTTTGAACGGCCCCTGAGACTTGGACCAAAATTGAGAGCCAAGAAGGGCCTGGGGCCAATGCAGGGCTCAGGCCAGCCTCCAGCGTGGGCTGGCTGCACCCAACACGGCCTGATCCTGGGCCCAGCCCCACCTCAGGTTTCACTGAGAAGCTTCATGGTGGCCTGGAGGGAGCACTGAACTCGGAGCCAGGGTCCAGCCAGGCTTCCTCTGGCCTCTACCTTGATGGGTGGCCTTGGGCAACTCATTTCTTTTCTATGGGCCTTGGTTTCCCTATTTGGAAAATGGGATTTCGGTGTGAGGGTCTTAGGCTGTGTGGGGCTGCACTTTGGGACTCAAACCCAGCCTCCTGTACCCCCCACAACCACCCCCCACCTTCCATCTCTAGCCTGTCCTGATTCCAAGGGCGGCGGGCTAAGGGAAGGCTCACATTTACCCAGGAAGAGCAGGCACGTGGTGGGCCAGAGAGGTGGTCTTGGCCCACATGGCTCTGCCGTCAATGAAGCAGACTTGACCTTTTCACTTTTCCTGGGAACTGGATTTAAACCCTCACCCCTTGGCATCCACAAGCACCTCTCAGGAAAGGCCTCTATGGGTGCCCTGCCCAGCGTGGTGACGGCCCCAGCACCTGGCAGCCTTCACGCGTGGCCATAGAGGGCGACTGGTTCCAGCCACCCAGAGCTGTCTCCATGGTTACAGGCACAGAGCCGAGCTGGGCTTTTGAAGAACACTCATAAAGGCGCAAATGTACCCCAGATGAGCCGGCGTGCATTTGTGAAGCAAAGCAGTCAGGCCAGCCCCATGCCTTGTAAACCACGGCTGCCAGTGGCCTCGGCTGGCCTGGTGAGAACATAGCTCCTGGGCCACTGGGCTCGGAGCCCATGCTTCTTCCCCGCCTCCCTGGGCCCTACCTCAGGCCCACTCAACCAACCTCAGTGGCTTTGAGGGTAGATACACCTCAGCTGCGGTTGGCTTTGTGGCTGTGTGACCTTAAGCAGTGCATTCACCTTTCTGAGCCTCAGTGGCCTCATCTGTAAAGTGGGCATGAGGAGACTACCATGATGCAGTGCAAGGAGGCTTGACAGGGAAATGGATGGAAAGGGCAGAGCGTGGTACAGAGTAGGTGCTTAGTGGGTGTCTGTTTCCCTCCATTTGCACCCCCCCACTTTCCAGCATCACCCTGCATAGGTATATAAGCCCACCTCCTCCAGGCAGTGTTGGGGACACCGCCTCCTGCTCCCACTGCACCCTGAATGTCGACTTGCATTAGGGCAGTCATCACCCTGAGCTGCAATGGCCTCTTCGTTGTTTCTCAGATAAGCTTGAGCACCTGGACCCAGTGCCCTACTAGCCTCACTGAGCAATGTTCAAGTTCGGCACTCAATGGGTCCTCAGTAAATACATAAAGATAAGCCAACAAATCCATGTGGTGAGTATCATTTCTTTTTCCTTTATTTTTTTTTGAGATGGAGTTTCGCTCTCGTTGCCCAGGCTGGAGTGCAATGGCGCGATCTCGGCTCACTGCAACCTCTGCCTCCCAGGTTCAAGAGTCTCCTGCCTCAGCCTCCTGAGTAGCTGGGATTACAGGTGCCCGCCACCCTGTCCTACTAATTTTTGTATTTTCAGTAGAGAGGGTTTCACCATGTTGGCCGGCTGGTCTTGAACCCCTGACCTCAAGTGATCTGCTCACCTCAGCCTCCCAAAGCGATGGGATTACAGGCGTGAGTCACTGTGCCCAGCCATGTGACTATCATTTCTGAGCCTCAGATACAGGGGTGTGGTCTTTGGAGGGCCAGAGGGCATATTTCAGGGGGGATGAATAGAATACTGGCCAGCCAGGGTGCCCAGTGCTCTGGGCAAAGGGCTGTGAAGGCTCCCTAACTTCTCTCATTGTAGCCCCCATTTTGCAGAGGAAGAAACCAGCGTTCAGAGAGTGAAGTCACTTGCTGTGGTCACATGGCTGGTGGACAGTGATGCTTCATCTGGGACACTTCATTCAGGAAAATCCGGGCATGCCCACCCATCTCCCAATGCCTCGTGGTGCCTACTGCTGACCCTACCTCCCAGATGGCCCCTCCACAGCCTCTGCCAGCACCCACCTCAGCTGCTCATCTCGAGGTCAACCTCCTGTGGCACAGGCCCTTTGTGCTCCCACAAGGAGCCGGACTGCACCACAGATAAGGCCTTGAGCTTTTTTCCCCACCCTCAGCCTCTGATCTCAGATGCCCAACTTCACCCCATTCTTCTTGATCCCATGCCTAGTGGACCCCTCACCCTACTCTACACCTTCAAGTCAGGCTCCAGATCACCAGAAATATCCTAGCCCTGCCGGCAGTGCCCCAGGAAGACAAAATACCCAGAGTGTGAATTCTGGTCCTGCCACTCAGGAGCTGTGTGACCTGTGACAAGTTACTGAACCTCTCTGAGCTTGGGTTTCCTCACCTCAAAACAAGAGAACCTGCCTGACTGGCAAGTTGAAGGGTCTAGATATGCTTTGTAAACAGAAAAGTACTAGGTAGGTGCTAGACTTTATAGAATTATAACAGAGTATGATACTGAAGTATAACGCAAGTATATAATATGCCAAATTATAATAAATTACAAATCATCAATTAAAAGGGTACTAGATGTCAGCAGCCAGCTGGGGGCTTGTGGGTGACAGAAGAAAAATACAAGACACAGATTTAGGCTCCTGTGGCCAGTGAAGGTGGTTTGTAGTCATTCACTCATCCCTTTACCTGTCTGTCAGTCCATCCACCAAGTCGTCAATCTGGTCATTCTACCAACACTCATCAAACTCCTGCCAGCCTCAGATGGGTTGAAGACGGCAATGCTCGACTCCCACCCACGATGAACAGCAATGCCAGCTGCTGTTTATGGAGTCCCATCTAACCAGGCTTGCTCCAACTTCTTTCATCCCTATAGCTGTTACTATGCCCATTTTACAGATGAGGACGCCGAGGCTCAGAGAGCCTGAGGCCAGGACCCAGCTCAACATGAGTGGCCCTTCTGGCTGTGGGGCCACGTCCCTCTCCCTCTGGCTGCCCTGAAGTCCCCTCCCTCCTGCCTTCACAGGCAACGTCTCGCTCTCCACAGCCCCCGCCCCCAATTTCCTTCATTCTGAGGGTCCCCCCACTCAACCGGGTGGGTCTGGCACCTCTGAGTACCACACCCCTCCTGCTGTGGTTTCCAAGGGTTCATAATTTCCATCTTCATCCGTTTCTTATTAATTTTCTTACAAAATGTGTTCCATGATTTCACTGACATCATTGCTGCCCACTCCGAGTGGAAGCCTCATGGAAAATCCCCAGGTGGGCCCAAGGTGCGCCAGCCTCCAGCAGCTCAGGCCCCGCGGGCAGGGCCGCAGCTTCACTGCTCCCCTGGAAGCTCCCCTTCCCTCCCTGGCCAGGCAGGACAAGTGGGGTATGACTGGTGGTGCCTACATTCACTACAATTTCATCCTCCTAGTATCTGGAGAGGTAGATGTGGCGCCTCCATTTCACAACAAATATCTGGGGGCTCAGAGAAGTGAACTGACTTGCCCCGGGCCACACAGCTAAGCAGGGCTGTGGCTGGGGTTTTTATTTCGTTTTTTGAGACAAGCTCTTGCTCTGTTGCCTAGGGTAGAGTTTGGCAGTGTGATCATGGCTCACTGCAGCCTCGACCTCTTAGGCTCAAGTGATCCACCTACCTCAGCCTCCTGAGGAGCTGGGATTATAGGTGCATGCCATCATGTCTGTCTGGTTTTTAAATTTTGTGTAGAGATGGGGTCTCACTATGTTGCCCAGGCTGGTCTGGAACTCTGGGACTCACACGATCCTCCTGCCTTGGCCTCCCAAAGAGTTGGGATTCCAGGCATGAGCCACTGCCCCCGGCCAAGGGGCTGGGATTTTAAGCCCAGGCCTGACTCTGCAGGCTCCCTCCCCTCTGCCTCCTGTACATGGTCCGAAAGAACTACACTTCTTTCCCGGTCTTGGGGTGGGATGACAGGGACCAGGTGACATTTCAGGGGAAATTAGGTGACAAGGAATCATATGGGGCCTGGATGGGAGTGGGATGGGAAGGCAGAGAGACTGGAAGATAAACTTTCTGCCCTCCATCCCCAGTGCCCAGGCAATTATCTTTAGCCCCTTATCTCACCACCCATGAGGACAGACAAGCTTGGGGACAGCCATCCTGAGAGTGAAAGAGAAGGGAAAAGATGACTTTCTGCCTAAACCTGGCCTGGACATCGTAAGTATGGTGGGGACTGATGGAGTGGGCGCTGTCTTGCTCTGTGGTGCTTGCTGGTCATTAGGGTCCGAGGAATTAAACAGAGAAGCACAGAGAATCTGGACCTAATGCAGAGTTCACAAACGTTGGACCCGAACTTGGCCCTCAGGGATCTCCTACGCCAGTGGTACCCAAAGCACAGGATGGCTGGTCCCATTCTCAGACCAACAGCATCAGACATGGGATTGGGGGCCTCGGAGATTCTCATACACACATGGGCTACGGATCATTCATCTTTCCAACCCCTCTCATTTTACAAATGAAGAAAAAGAGGCTCAGGGAGGGCAAGGGACTTACCCAGGTCACGCAGCACATGGGTTGTCAAGCTGAGACAGGACCCTTTCTTCTGACTCCCTAGTTTAGGTCCTTGACACCTCACTCCAAGGGGCAGGGAACAGGGTGTTTTAATAAGAGCCTGTTTGGGAGCTGCCAGTGGGCTGGGTGGCACTGAGGAGGGGGACTTGGGGCTGCCAGGGCCTCTTGGGTGTGTTAGGGTGCCTGAAAGTCCCTCATTCGAACTATACTTCTTTCCCGGCCTTGGGGTGGGATGACAGGGACCAGGTGACATTTCAGGGGAAATTAAGTGACAAGGAATCAGATGGGGCCTGGATGGGAGTGGGATGGGAAGGCAGAGAGACTGGAAGATAAACTTCCTGCCCTGGCAGCTCTGCTGGGGTCGGTTGTGTCCCTGAATGTGCCCCTTGTCATGGGAAGTCCCTGCACCCCCTGCCCTGATCCCCACCCACTGGGAAACTCCCAAGAGGTGGGGATTTACCACTCATTCTCTCAGAGAACTCTAGGATGCAGAGGTGTAAGGACAACCTCTGGTTTAGTGCCTTCTTTGACTTTTGGGGAACCCAGGCCCAGAGAGAGGTGACTTGCCTCAGGTCACAGAGTGAGTTAGTAATGGCCCAATGTGGGGTGGTGCCAGACAGGTGGATGTGAAGCTCCTGGAGGGCAGCACGAAGGGGAGGCTCAATGGCCAAGCAATCCACCAGCTCCCTCCACCCCACCACTGTGGGGCACAGGAAACAGGAGAACAGTGGAGGGCTGGGGGACCCCTGGCCGAGCCCAGGGCCCCTGCTGCATGGTGTTGAGCAGGCCCTTCCTGCCGTAGGATCATGTTGGCAGTGGCAGGGTCCCGCTCCCATCTCCTGTGTCTCTTCTTGGCTGGTGCCCAGGTCTCCCGCACAAGAGCTGCCTAGTCCAACCCTCTAAGTCCCCCAACCCCACCGATCTTACCAAACACCCCATCAGGCTGAACTCCGGGTCACTTCCCTAGCACGCAAAGCACTATAATGTCCATGCTGAATTCTCCACCTGGAATGCCCTTTGACCCATCTCCACCAGGCAGACTCCTATTCAACCTTCAAAGCCCAGCACAAGGTTTGTTTCCTAAGTGAAGCCCTACCCTACCTTCAGAACCAGTCAAGCTGACCAGACCTTGGGCTCACATATTGGCCAACATATATCTTCAAAATGATACTTCTCAGAGCAGGGAAGGGGTCTCATGCTCTTATTCTTCTCTGTGCCTGCTGTGGAGCACCACATAAGTCCACAGCACACACTGGGTTTTCTCTTGCTCCTCGCGCAGTCTTGGTGCCTAATACAGTGCTACATACAATCAACCAGAGACCAAGAGGGAGGTCTGTTCTATGCAAGAAGCAGAAGCTTAGAGTTAGACAGTCCTGGGTTCAAATCCTGGCTCTCCTGTGTGACCTGGCAGATGCCTCCTAACCTTGCTGGGAGTCAGTTTCCTCATCTGTAAAATGGGGATAATGATGTCTACCTTGCAGAGAGATGGTGAGGATTCAACAAGGATCCTGGCACACAGTGAATGCTAAATAATTAAATGAGTATGTATATAACATATACGTTATGTATATTAATATATCAGATACTAATAAGGATGAATAAAGACTGTATTTCCCTGGAAACTTGTTCTTAGGCACTGATCTCTTGGAAAAACATCTTAGGAAGGTTTCTGTCTGATCTGTAGACATCTCTGCACCCCAACCTAAGCTCCACTTAATTGTCTTGCTCTGAGGGTGCCGAGTAAATACTCCAGGCCAGCTGGTGCCTGGAAACTGCCAATTGCCGGGGAGCAGCTCGTTAATTTTCCCTTCTCTGCACAGACCCTGCAGCTTCTGCAACTCATCTTGGGAAACTGAGCGGAGTGGGTCAGGCCAGGGCCAGGGGTCACAGGAAGTGGGGCTGAGGGTGCCAGGGGACTTAAAAGGGCCTGCAGAGGCACCGCCGGGAAGCTGTCTGGGCCCGAGGAAATGGGCCCAGAGGCTGCTGAAAGGCAGATGGATCCCAGGCCTGGCCCGGCCCCACCAGCTCTGACTCAGCTGTCTGTTCTCCACTGGAGTGGGAGAAGCCAAGGCCTTATAGCAAGGCAGGATGCCCAGCAGCCCGCAGGGTGGCCAGCTCTGGGGGCCACGAGGTCCCATGACGATGGAGGACAGGACATATGGCATAGTGGTTGAGAGCATGACTCTGGAGTGAGGTTCCTTGGGTTTGAATCTTGGCCCTGCACATCCCGTACTGATGTGTGGTGTTGGGTAAGTTACTTAACTGCTTTGTGCCTCAGCTTTTCTCGTTGTAAAATGAGAAGATGAAGATTAATACCCGTGTCATAAGGGTGTTACGGGAATTAAATATACATTAAGAGCTTAGAACTGTGCCTGGTATATAAATATCACTCAGTAAATGTTAAGCTATTAATCTTATTATCTCTTCCTCCCCATTCAGAAGCATACTATTTGGATGTTCTCATCTGCAAAATGTGAGCATTGGACTTGACTCTGCGGTGACACGTCAGTTTCACCACACTCACCAGCTCCCAGGAGTTGGCCTCGGGCCCCTTCTGGACTGGGTGGAAGAGGGCCGTGGTTAATTTGGTATGTCTGCCCTGTGCCCGGGAAGGGAGACAGGTAGCTTGTGGGCCTCTCACTTGCCATCATTGGGACATTTTATTTACTCAGCAGATATGTCCCCAACCCTTGCTCTGTGCCAGGCACTGGCTGAGGTCCTGGGATTCAAAGGAGAGTGAGCACAGTCATGGTTTCCTGCAGGAGCTGAGAAATGGGGTGGGTGCAGCACCGCATTCAGGTTTGGGGAACCTCAGTCCCCTCATCCACAATGGGCCCAGTGATACCCCTCCTGCCTGAACTGCTCACCTTTCCTGGAATTTGCTTTTCTTTTCTTTTTCTTTTTCTTTTTTTTTTGTGACAGTCTTGCTCTGCCGGCCAGGCTGGAGTGCAGTGGCACCATCTCGGCTCACTGCAACCTCCGTCTCCCAGGCTCAAGCAATTCTCCTGCCTCAGCCTCCCAAGTGGCTGGGACCACAGGCATACGCCACCATGCCCAGCTAATTTTTGCATTTTTAGTAGAGACAGGGTTTCACCATGTTGGCCAGGCTGGTATCAAACTCCTGACCTCAGCTAATCCGCCTGCCTCGGCCTCCTAAAGTGCTGGGATTACAGTCATGAGCCACTGTGCCTGGCCAGAATTTGCTTTTCTTTTATGCCCCTGGCCTTTGGCTAGAATACTTTTGCCCCACTGTCCTCTTTGAGAACCATTCACCTTTTGAGAACCAGCTCAAATGTTCCACCTCTCCCTGCAAAGTCACTCCCTCCTCTGTGCTGTCCGGGAATTCTGTAGAGCCCTCCACCATTGTAGGGCACTGCCACTGTGTAAGGGTCTGTTGGTGGCATCTTCCCTTTACTGGGAGCATCTGGAGGGCATGGATGTGGCTGTGACTTCCCTAGTACACATGGCACATGCTCAGACCATGGGGGTAGAGGCTGGGAGGGAGCTGGACCAGCTGACCTTTTGACTTCTAGGAGGCTGGGCTCCTCATATGCGTAGATCCAACCAGTATGCTCAGGCCAGAAAGCTTGACCTTAAATGCTGGTTCTGCTATGTCCTTGTCATGCCTGACCAAGTCACCAAGCCGTTCTGAGCGCCTTGGCAGCTCCATCTATAAAATGGGGATATTTCAGAATGATGGTGTGTAGAGCCAGAGTCTAGCAAGCGCCCTAACATACAGCAGGTGCTCAATAAAAGCCATTTCTCCCTTTTCCTTCCTTCCTAAGGTAGTACTCAGGGCCAGCATCTACACCCTACAGTGCCCAAGTCAGAGACAAGATTCTGGGAGAAAACATGTGGACAGCCCAAATTCCAGGAAGCAGGCCCAGAGGAGCAGAGGAGACAGAAGGGGAGAAGGGGAGGTGACAGGTCCCTCAGAGGTGCCCCAAGTGGCTGTTCCTCGAAGCGTGGGACCCATGGCCCACATGTGCCAGGCCACCCCAGGGTCCTCAACTATTCCTGCTCCCCCGCCTAGCTGGGAAGCGTTCCCATCCTTCCTTTAAGCAGAGGCGCCTGCCTCTTGGTGCTGCAGCCGGAGTGCTGATAATAAAGGCACCTCTGTGTGTCTCTGGGGAAGTAGGGCTGGGGGGTGGTGACGAGGGGGGGCCCACAAAGCTCCCGCAGCTGTGTGTTTGCAAACAGGGGAGCTGAGCTGTGCAGAGGGGCTGAAAGCACTAATTGTCTTTAATTAAAGGAGGTTGGAGGCAGTGCAGGCTTTGACAAAAGAGATTTCCAGCCTGTTAGCAGCTTCAGCCTATGCAGGCGCTGGGCCGCCCAGGCGCGCCCTCGGCTTTGTCCCTGTGGGGCCTGGCCCTGTGGAGGGCACAGCTAACACCTGCCTGGCGGGGGTGGGAATAGGGGCGGCAGGAGCCAAGCACACGCAGTAGGACCTTACTGTGCTGAGAAGCTGGGATCCTGGGGCCTGGGAAGCCATCCTCATGGTGAACTCCTTTCCCATCCATCCATCCATCCATCCATCCATCCGTCCGTCCGTCCGTCCGTCCGTCCGTCCATCCATCCATCCACTCATTGACTCAGCAAGCACTGTTGAGCATTTGCTATGTGCCTAGCCAGTGCTCAGAGCCGGGGGCACAGAAATGTGGCAATTCCTGCGGTTCAAGGACTTGGTATTCTAAGAGGTACAGTGAGCACAGACTCTGGAACCTGCTGGCTTGAATCCTGGCTCTGCCACTTATTAGCTGTATAAACTTGGGCAAGTTACATCACTTCTGTGCACCTCAGTTTTTCCACCTGTAAAAGGGGGGTGATTACTGAGTTATAAAGTGTTTGCCCTGTGCACTTTACAAACATCAATGGCTATTATTCATTCTTTCATTTATCCAACTTTGTACCTGGCTGGAGTCTCTAGCATTCCATTGATGGGAAGAACCGTGGTCTAGGAGGCTGGTTGGGTTCCAGTCCCAGCTCTGCCAGTCACTTGCTATGTGACTTCCCAGCCTCAGTTTCCCCACCTGCACAATTAGGGCTGGACAGGATGGAGTGTGAGGGAGGGCTCTGCGGGCATGGATGGTCTCAGCTCCCTCCAGAGTCCTGGGAATGGAGGCTCCCTTGCTGGGCTCCTGCCCCCTGCTGCATACAAATGGGCTCGGCCTCCCACCCCAGGCGGCTGCTTTAGCTCATTCCATTCTTTTGTCTTCTCTTTCACCAGGCTCACCCTCAGACACATCTGCAGCCCCCCTGGCAGGCACATATGCGCTAGTGAGCTCCCTCTCCCTCCCAATCTCTCTCTCTCTCTCATACACACATGTACATGCACCTGCCTGATTCTCACCCTCACCCCCATTCCCACCCAAAAGAATCACAGCCTTTGCACCCCCACCCGCTCCTTGCTGACCCTGGGTCCAGGATGGGTGGGAGGTGGCTGCTCACAGTCTCTGATCCCCTCCAGCCCAGCTGTCTGGACTGGGTGGTTGTAGAGAGGTGGGGAGAGGGGCAGAGGGTGAGAGCATCCTGTGCCAGAGTCCTCAGGCAGTGGGAGGGAGGTCAGCTCCTGAAAGGGAGGGCCTGAGTCAGGCCACAGGGGAGTGGCAGGTCTGGAATGTTCACCTTGGGGAGTACCACAGGAGGTCAGGAGACATTTATCTCAGCCCACTCTGGGCTGGCAGCCCCTCGTTTAATTTATTCAAGGGCCTGGGGGGGAAACTGAGGCTGAGAGAGACTGCGTACGGCTCAGAGACACACAAATGGGGTCACCTCGAACCAGGACACACTTCTGTCCCTTTAGAATCCATTTTCTGAAGTCCTTCAGAATCAACAGGCCAGGCCCCCTGTGGGACATGGATTTGACAGATGTCTGGTGTGGACTCCGGGTGCATGGCTCATCCCGTACCTGCAGGATGCCAGCCCTGGGAGGTGGTGGGGGCAAGGAGAGGGGGCAAGGTGTGGCCCTGGTATGTAGGTACCTGTGCCCCTTGCTAGAGGGGGAGGTTGGGGGGCATGTCCTGACCCCAATGTGTCTGGGTTGAGGAGGGAGGATTCACTCTCTAGCCCACAATTTGCCCAGGGTCCCTGGCATGTCCAGGCACAGGCAAGTGGTCCCCTTAGAGAAGGAAATGGGGAGGGAGCTAGAGAGACGGGGAGAGAGACAAGTGGGGAGGCAGGGGAGGGAGAGAGAGAAACAGAGAGGAGGGGAGATGGAGAGACTAAGACAAGGAAAAGGAAGACAAGAGGACACTGAAGGAGCAGGGGACAGAGGCGGGGGCAAAGAGACAAGGGGAGGAAGGAGAGAAGAGGCAGGTGGGAGGGAAGAGTCAAGTTCAGAGAGCTGGGAGGGGCGGGAAGGGTGTGGGATGGGAAAGAGCTGGGCCAGTGGTGGCCCAGAGAAGCCTGACCTGGAAGGGGCCCAACTGAGCAGGGCAGGGTGGGGCGGGGAGGTTCCTAGAGGGGCTAAGGAGGGTGGCTGAGGACTGTGAGTGAGTCTGCATGACTGTGAGAATGCACTTCCAAGTGTGAGTGGGTGTGAGCGTGCGCTTTCAGGCCCAGGCAGACTGGGGTGTCTCGTCTTGATCTCTTGGCTTCACACACCCTCTGCATTTTATATTCATGAGAACTGAGCTGAAAGATTAATTCATATTTAATACAGCCTTCGCTGGCAGGATGGGGGGTGGTGCAGATTTTTTCCTTAAAGGCACTAGGTAAGGAAGAATTGATTGATTGATTGATTGGTTTTCTCCATCCATGCATCCATCCCCCACCCACTAAGCACCTCCTGTGTGGCAGGCACAGTGCTGGGCAGGAGGACCAAACCAGCCAACCCAATAAGCTCATTCCTACACTGGCCGCGGCAGCCTGGGATGGTGGGAAAGGTCTAATGCGGTCCTGAGTGTAAAAGGCAGTTCCATTAATGTGCTCTGTGAGACCGCACAAGCCCTTCTGCCTCTTGGAACCTGTTTTCTCACTTGTAAGACGGGGTGGGCAACTCCTGCTCCCAGGGATTGGTGAAGATGTGTATGGAATGTGCCTAGCACCACCACAGAAATTCCAGATCTCTAAGGTTGGCTTGTGGCACTGTGGCCTCCTAACCACTATCTCTAAACACTTTTTTTTTTTCTCTTGAGACAGGGTCTCACTCTGTTGCCCAGGCTGGAGTGCACTGGTGCAATCACAGCTCACTGCAGCCTAGAACCCCTAGGCTCAAGTGATCTTCCCACCTCAGCCTCCCTAGTAGCTGGAACCACAAACATGCATCGTCACACCCCAGCTAATTTATATATATATATATATACACACACACACACATATACATATATATACACATATACATATATATACACACATATATATACATATATACACACATATATATACACATATATATATATACACATATATATACACATATATATATATATTATTTTTTTTTGAGACAGGGTCTCACTCTATTGCCCAGGTTAGAGTGCAGTGGTGAGATCATGGCTCACGGCAGCTTGGACCTCCTGGCCCAAGTGATCCTCCCACCTCAGCCTCCCTAGTAGCTGGGACTACAAGTGCGTACCACCACACCTGGCTAATTTTTAATTTTTTTGTAGAGATGGGGTTTCACCATGTTGCCCAGGCTAGTCTTGAACCCCTGGGCTCAAGTGATCCTCCAGCTTCAGCCTCCCAAAGTGCTGAGATTACAGGTGTGTGCCACTGTGCCCGGCCTAACCACGATTCTTACAGAAGATCCTGAACATCCAGTGGCTGCCAACTCCACAGCGGCTGCAGCTGTGCAGCCTCACTAGGGCAGCGGGTGGGAGGTGGGTCAGTCCTGCCCGGCCCAGGCAGCTATGGAATGAGCACAAAGATTTGAGGGACAGGAGATGCCCTTCCCCTAGAAGCCCCACAACTACCCTGCCTCTCAGGTTAGGATAGCCAGAGCCTCCTCAGGCTATTTCTTGCTTGTCCTCCAGGTCTCTGTGCTGGTGGCCCTTCCTCTAGAAAGGCCTCTGGGACTCCCAGGCTCAGGGTGGTCCCATCCCCACATCCTAGTCCTAGTCTCCCCAGTGGGTCCCCATAGTCCTTACTGCTCCATGCACACACTCCACCCTCTCTGTGCACCAGGGGCTCCTTGTCTCTGTCCACTGTGGGCTCCTGGGGGCAGAGGCCATGGCAGATCCCACTGTGTTCTGGCCCAGCACAAGGCCTGACACATTTCTAGAGGGGCAGGGGCATTTGCTGGTCCGTGAGCTGAGAGTCAGACCATATTCTACCTGATACTGCTTCCCCTGAGGGCCTGAAATCCACCTCCTCAGATGCCATATCCCTCTGTGGGGAAGGGCATCAGGGACTCTCATCACTCAGGAGGTCCAGGGAGTTGGGGGTGGGGCTGGGTGGTGCGGGTGGACAGGGGGATGAGACATCTCTGCTACGGACTACCCTTGTGTCCTCGAGCCAGACCTTTCTCCTCTCGGAGCCTCAGTTTCCACAGCTGTAAACCAGAAGGGTAACTTTCATGGTGCTGGCTGGGGAAGGGCATAGTCTTTGGCCTTAGACTGGTGGCCCTGCCAAGGGGTGGCTGGTGGTGGCAGATTCTCTAGACACATCTCTCAAAGCCTGCCACCTCCCCATTCTTAGGGTCCCCACCTCCATCATACATAAAGTGTTTTGCAAATGAAGAGTCAATACCCACCCCTGCAATCCAATCAATCCCCCAAAGCCCCTCCCAGGTGGAAATCCTTCTGGTGCCCACTCCACTGTAGACACAGCTGAGCTTGGCTGCCAGCTCTACCCTCCAACCCTCAAATGGGGAACCAAATAACCCAACTGGGCCATCATTTCCCCCATGGGCCTCCTATAGGCCAGGCTAGTCTGCCCCCTAGCCCCCTTCTCTTCTCTTCCCCAAGCTGGATTCAACACTGGGCGGGCCCCCTCCTCCACTCTCTGCCTGGACGTGACATTCACCAGCATCACTTCTGGTCCCATCTGCGAGCACCCCACCCCCCAGCAGCTAATCCCCACAAAGCCCTGCGCAGGGCCCAGCATGACAAGCAGGCCCCGCGCTGCTTGCAGCTTGGCTGAGCGTGCTCGGAGGGGCTGAGGCGGGATTCGGCGCGGCTGTCACTCTCCCTGTCCGCTCCTCTAATTGGATTCCCAACACGCAGAGGTCAGCAGAAACGCTGGGTAGAGGAGAATCAAAGGGAAGGGGCGTCTGGGAGATAAAGAGAGGCATTCTTCCTGGGCCACAAAGACTGCAGCACGAGGGGGCGGGAGGGGACCCCACGAGGGGCTGCCCATCTGGAGGGGGAAGGGGATGGGATGGGAGAGCCCAAGGCAAGTGACAGAGGCTGAGGGCCTATTTCCTCTAGGCTGGAGTTTCCCTATGCTGCACCTCTGCCCACATGGTGCCTTGGGCCTGTAGGCCATCCCCTCGTGTGGGGTCTGGGCATCCTCTAAGGCCTGGCCTCTCACTCCTGCTTGCTGGAGGAAGCGTTCTTGGAATGCGGTGGGAAGGTTCCGGAGTCCACTGGACCTGGGTCCCAATCCTGGCTTGCCACCTGCTCTCGGTGAAGTTCGACAAAGCCCTTGCAGTTCTCTGGGGCTCGGTTTCCCCTCTGTGGAAGGCGGATAACACCAGCTGCCACCCAGGGCGGTGGCTGGGATAAAAATGAAGGGATGTCAGCAAAATGCTTGGAGCAGAGGGCCCACAGGAAGGGGGGCATTCATGGGTGTCCCTTCCCAAAGCTCCTCTGCTGGCCTGGCGAGGACAGACACAAGCCTCTCTCCCCAGATGAAAGTGCTTCGTAAACGTAACAGCCGGGACAGATGAGAGAGAACCTCCAGCCTTGGCAGGGGCTTCACCACTCACATCTTCACCACCACCCTGTGCCTATCGGGCAGAGGAGGAACCCGAGGCTCAGGAAATGACGGGAAATGGCCAAGGCCATACAGCTAGAAAGCAGCAGAGTCTGGCCAGGGAGCCTGCCCCCTGTACCCCTGCAGGGCTGCTGTGCCCACCTGAGCACGACAAGCAGGTCCTGTGGGTATATGTGTGTGTGCAGGCACAACCGGTGGAGGAGATGGGCGGGCCAGGGATGGAGCGTTGCGCAAAACAGGCCTGGTTTGCTTTAAGAACACTGGAACCACTGATTTTGCTTCATGAAAGAGGCATGAATAGGACCTCAAAGGGAATTTCTAAGAGACAGAAAATCAATGGCCCTGACATATCTTGGTCCCCAGAAAGAGAGAGAGAGTGTGTGTGTGTGTGTGTGTGTGTGTCACATACACACGCACACACTCCACAAATTGATCCAGCCATGTGCGTGCACACACACACACACACACACATATACTCACACAGATAGGGCTCACATATGCTAACAAGTACCCATTTTCACGTACATCTGGCTTGATAAAATATACAGATGTACACATGAATCTGAATACTCTGGCTGATTTCCCTGTGAGTGGGTGGGCACCCATGCAAACACACACCTGCATGACCCAGTGAGCGTACTCAACAGCAGTGGCGTGTACACACAGATGGGGACCTCCCTCCACGGCTGCACCCACACATTCTTAGGTGTGTGCTTTGATCCAGCACACTCATGAGTGTGCTCCTCCCTGCACACATATGCTGGGGCAGGTCAGGCAGACACAGGAACACACCAATACAGGGAGAGGAATGGCTCCCAGCAGGCTCCAGTGTCACCCACACAGGCAAGCTCTGTGCGCAGCCCGCCCCTGAAATGTACGTACATGCCCATAGATCCGAGACGTTCCAACAGCATGTGCAGAGGCTGGCTCAGTGGGTACGCTAGTGCACGTATGGGCACACAAACAACTCCCAGCAGGCCCAGCGCACACGCATGCGTACAGGGACGCTCTGTGCTGACCCAGCACATGCGTGCACATCCCTCCCGGGTCTCCGGGGAGCTCCCACAGACAGACAGCTCTGACAGCAGGGTGTGGGGGAGGGCAGCTCAGGGCCAGGGTTGCCAGGGATACGGATGTGGGGCTCTCAAAGCTGCATGGCCTGCCCAGGCAGCACAGACACGCCAGTGACCACTCTTAGGTCTTTAAAATGTTGCTAATCAGATGGCAATGCCTTTAAGGGAGGGAACTGGGAACTTGAGGCTGGTTTCCTAGAAGGAGCCAGTATAACCCTGACAGGTCCCAGGTCAGGCCTGCAAAGACCCCAGGGCGGAATCTTTTCTCTCTAAGGCTGCCATGAGGCTCTGGGCCCAAAATTTGCTGGGGACACAGCGACAGACATAGCTCTGCATGGCCCCTAAGCCTCACCCAGGTCATACCTCCTGCTCCACCAAACGACCTGTGTTCAGTGACAACCACTTACTTGCTGTGTGGACTGGAGCAAGTCACTTGGCTTCTCTGAACCCCAGTTCCCTCATCTGCAAAAGGGGATGGTCATGACTTCGAGCATTTAGATCGCAGGGGCCAGGCTGTGTCAAACAGGGCAAACATTTACTGACCACACACCTCATGTCAGGTGCTGTGCAGACACTTTCTTTTCATTATCTCCTTGAGTCTTCACAACTTGCTCTGTCATATTCCATTTATTACTGAACCCATTTTAGAGATGAGGCGATCAAGGCTTGGGTAGGTGAGTCACCTGTCCAGGGCCACATAGGTAGCAGATGTCAGAGCCAGTATTTGAACCCAGGTGGCTGGCTCTTACCTATTTTGCTAAACCTTCCTGCTTGTGGGTGTCTGGAGTGGTGGGAGGCAACACAGGGTCCTTATCCTCATGTCACAGAAGGTCACAGCTGTCCTGATGGCTTCTCGAGGAGTGCCACAAGGACCAGGTAGAATGGAATCAGGGACTGTTAGGCACATTCTACAGACGGTGACACTGAGCTCCACAGGAGGGAGGAGCGAGGGGAAGTGCTCTGCTGGGGTCCCAGAACTCAAATTTGTACCCAGGGATTCTGACTTTGTGAGCTGCTCCTGCACTATTCAATCAATGCACCCTGGCTGGTTAAAACAGTGCCGTGACACACGCACATATTAGGTACCTGCTGTGTGCTCGGACTTGCTTAAAACTGAAGGCTCATCCATTACCATGTCCCCCCCACCTTAGACATGTAGATACTGCCTTGCTTTCTAGAAACTCTGCCAGCACTGGGCTGGTGTCCACCCTGAGAAACCATCCATCCTGCGGCCGGACAATGCCTCCCTTCTCATCCTGCTCCTGCCTTCTGAGCTCCTTTGACTCCTCGGAGCCTCTTCAAACCTTCAAACCTGTTGTTAAATGAGACTACTGGTCTCATTTAACAACAGGGAAACTGAGGCTCAGGAAAAGGACGTAACCAAGTCAGTCAGTCTCATGGGTGGCTAGTGGCAGGGCGGGGAGCTCTCTCTGTGCAAGGCTCCCCCTGGCAACTTCCAATTCCGGGTCTGCACAGACCCAGACACACGGTGGGCTCCCACCAGCTCCTTATGAGAGAATCGAGTCCCACAGCAGCCTCTGGTCTAGGACCACACTGCAGAGATTCAGAACATGGTCATGCCAGGGCAAAGAAGGGAGCAGGAGCTGAAACTATAGTGGTTTATGTTAAAAAAAAAAAAATGGGTAAGACTGAAAAATGCTCTCTAAGGCCTCTAGCTCCAAGAGGGATTTGAGATCTTAGGGAAACCCTGAGTATCAGGAATAAGGAGTCTCCATCCGTGCTTAGAAACATCTATCCCAGCCACAGACAGACCTGTGGGGCGCCCTGGCCATGTCAGTCCCTCAGGAGCCCTCCAGAGGTGGCAGGAAGAACCCCAGCCTCTCCATGGGCCTTGGTTAGTAGCGTTACTCCCAGCAGGATTGAAAGGGTCCATGTCTGAGACTGGGGTGGGTGGGACTCTGCAACAAGTATTTATTGAGAACCTTCTGTGAGCTCAGCACCATCCTAGAACCTGGAAATACAATGGTGAACAAAACAGATGAAATAGCTGCTCTGGTGGAGTCCACACTCCACCTGGGAAAGACAGGCAGTTGGGGAACACAGTGGGAAATACATAGTACGTCAGATGGTGATTAGGACGATGGTGATTAGGGAAGGGGACAGGCTGCGTGCCTGTATAAAAATTGGGTGATGCGGGATCTCAGTGAGCAGGTGACATTTGGGCAGAGACCTGAAGAAGACGATGGAGCAACCACTGTGGATATCTAGGGAAAGAACATTCCCGGCAGAAGGAGGTCAGAGTGCCTAGAGAGCGGGAGGGAAGGAGGAAACGGGAGGAGACCGGTCAGAAAGGTGAGAGAAGGGAAAGATGATGAAGGGCCTTGTGAGCCATTTTTAGGAGCTTGGCTTTTGCACTGTGCAGGATGGGGAGTCTTAAAGATTCTGGCCAGACCAAGCATCCTAGGGACCCCAGACTGGAGGAGGCAGGGTGGGAGCAGGGTGGAGGCGGCCAGGAGACAGTGGAGTGAGTCTGGACTTCAGAATAGAGGTCTGGGCTAGAGATCAGCCCAGAGAAGGCATTTGAAGCTGTGGGGCTGGGTGGAGTCATCAGGGAGAGAGAAGAGGAGGCCAAGGACACAGCACTGGGGCCCTCCAAGGTGGAGAGGTCGGGAGATGAACAGGAACTAGCCACAAAGGGCTCAGAGCGAGAGGTGGAGGGGGGTGGGACCCTGGGAGCCAGTGAGGTCCCAGAAGAGGGAGCAGTCACTTTGTCAGATGCTGCTGGCAGGTCGAAGAAGATGAGGTCTGGGACATTACGTCCATGTCTCCCACTGACTTGGCAACATGGACATCACTGGAGGCCTCGATGATGAGCTGTTTTAGTGGAATGAAGGGGACGAATGTCTGATATCAATGTGTTCATGAGCCCTAGGAACGGGAGTCAGCAGCAAGGGGGCTTCAGAATCAAACCAACCCGGTGACCCCCGTTCCAGTCCCAGCTCTGACCCTTTCTAGCAGTAAGCCTTGGGCAGGTCACTTCACCATGCTAAGATTTCCTCATCTGAAGAATGGGGACAATAGCCCTTTTACTTCCTAGAGTCCTTGAGAATCCAATGAGATAACAGTCATGAAAAAAATGTACTAATGATGAGACACTGCGAATATTCCAGCAGGACAAGTACAGGCTTTGGATTTCACTTCTGGCTCCTCTGTCCATTAGCTGTGTGACCTTGGCTTGGTTATTTAACCTCTCTGAACTTCTGCTTCCTGTTCTGCAATAGTTGTACCCAGCTTCTGGGGACTGTAAGGATTCAGCAGAGTGTTCACCAAGCTCAAGGCAGCAGCCTGGCACAGAGTGAGCACCCAATTGATAAGAGCCTGTGCCTGCCTCCTCCGGGTATTCTTATTCTGTTACTTACAAGTAGATTCCAGCAAGAGGCACAGAGTCAGGCGTCAGACCCTGAGTTTGAGTGCCGGTCCCCAGACAAGTCATTTCATCTAACTTCTTGGGCCTCAGTTTTTACAGCTGTGAAGCTGGCAAGCTGTGGCCTTGGCCCCCTTTGTTTGGGGGATGGGGGGGACAGAGAGGACAGGAGACAAAGCTCACGGATTGCAAGTGAGATGGAAATGGCCGTGCACTCACAGCCCTCTCCTTGGCCTGTTGTCTCATTGGGCAAGCAGGTTACTGTGACCAGAAAACAAAATCCTCGTTATGAAAACAGTAACTTAAACCAACCTCCACCAGGTCCCATGGGAAGAGACTGGGAAGGCCCGAGGAAGGAGCAGAAAGCCCAGGATACCAGCAAGAGCAGCAGTCCCAGGCCAGCCCACCCCGCAGGATAACCCCTGGCCCCCCAGCCATGGGGGCTACGCAGCCCATCCCCTTCCCTGATTTGTTTCTCCCCGTCGTCCTAATCACCGCCTGACATACTGTGTATTTCCCACTGTATTCCCCAACTGCCTGTCTTTCCCAGGTGGAGTGTGGGGTCCAAAAGAGCAGCTATTTTGTCTGTTTTGTTCACCACTGTATTTCCAGGTTCTAGGATGGTGCTGAGCTCACAGAAGGTGCTCAATAAATACTTGTTGCACCCACTTCCACCTTAGCAGGAGTGAGACCCCTGGGCTCCCCTGAGACCTTGGTCTCTGCCCTGGGTGGGAAGAGGCAGGCCAGCCTCAGTGTGAGCTCCTCACAGACCTGAGAACACGTGGCTCGTGTGAAGAGGAGTGTGTGGATGGGTTGGCGGGATGGTAACAGGTCCCGGAAAACCTCCCCCGGCGGGGGGAGCTGTCTGATTGGACATCTTAGAGATGACAAGGGGCTCCAGAAAGAGCCAGGTCTAGGAGCCTGCAGCACTGGGTTCTAGTCCCGGCTTCTGCCTGACAAAGTATATGGGACGCTGAGAAAGTCATGCCTCCTCGTGTCCTCAGTTTTCCTTGTCTCTAGAATGGTGCCAATAACCTTTGCCATGCTTCTCTCATGTGGGTATCATTTAGATCAAAATATCTCATGGAGTGAATCCGAATGTTACACAAAAGCAGCCTCCAATCTTTTCTGGAATAAAGCAGGGTGTAAGTAAATAAATACTGTACATATGTAAGACATTATCATTACAAATGGCATTTCTCCCACCAAGCTATGGGGGCAAAACAAAACAAAACAAAACAAAACAAAACGGAAACCAGTTCAGTATGGCGTGAAGAATTCTCATTAGGATTTCAGGAGGCCTGAGTTTTGATTTCAGCTCCGTATGTACCTGATAAGGTGAGTGAGCCTGGGCGAGCCACCTCCGACTCCCTGCCTTGGAGCCCTGGTAGGGAATCAAACAGATGTTGATTTTAGGGAGGCTCTGCAAGTTCTGCCAATAAAGAATTAACAATAGAATGTTCCCTCCTCTCCAGGGACTCAGGCAGGTCTTGGTTTAAGTCTCTCACTTGCCATGCAGCCTTGGGTAACTTTCTTCCCCTCTCTGGGCCTCGGTTCCTCTTGTGAGGTATGAGGTGTAGGGCTTAGGGTGGGGGGAGTGAGGATAACAGGCCCCAGGGACGGGGGTGCCCAAACAGGGTGGGGTGAGGCCAGAGTGGGCCAGTGGGGCCTGTGCCAGCTGCCGCAGAGCAATGAAAAGCTCTTAACCACACAGAATTGTTAACAGCTCCCAAATCCTGTTGTACCAGAGGCTTAGAAAGGCTTAAACTGTTAAATGCATAAACTTCCTCAATCAACGGGCCTCTCTTGCCAGATTCTAAAGCCCAGCCAGATGAAAAGGCAGTGGCTGGAGGGCGGGGAACTTCCCAGCTGTTTATGGTCCTGCTGGAGTGATCTGGAGGCAGCCTATGTGTTTTCAGGGTCCAGATGAGCCAGTCTGGGGCCGAGAGAGGACAGTGCAGGGCTCCAGGGTCAGATGCCCTGGGTTCTAACCCTACTTCTTCCTAGCTGGGTCATCTTGGACTTTTCCCCTCAATTTCCTCTTCTGTGAAATAGGGATGACCTTATCTAACCCTGTAGGGTGACTGAGGGCCAGTGGATACTGCTTGTATCAGAAGAAATCAGAAGTGGAAGGCACAAAGGCATAGACCTGTCCCTGCCACCTAAGAGGGGTGTGACATTGGCCAAGTCTCAGTTTCCTAGTCTGATGAGAGGATTCAAGGAGGTGACTGGGCAGGAACGGCCCATCCGGGTGAGCATTTGGTATGTGCGGTGTGGGACAGACTGGGGGCTTTTCTCTCTGGCCAGAGGTCAGCCAGGGTGGGGAAGCCTCCTTCCCTGAGGCTTCCTTATTCCCGAGCCTTCGTCCTGGGACTGTGTTCCATCCTGCCTTGCATCGCTTGATAGGAAAGCACCTCGTCATTCAAGGCCCAGACCCGGGTCTCCTCCTCTCCCAAGAAGCCCTCCTGGTTACCCCAGTAGGGTCAGCCCCCTCTTTCCTTTGAGGTCCCACAGTCCTAAACATGAGCCCCTTAGCCGGTTATCTGCCAAGCTCTTTTCACTTCCACCATCTCAGGGGATCCTCCGTCATCTGGAGGTAGGCAGGCCAGGGTGTAATGTTTCCATTTCCCAGGTAAGCAAACTGAGGTTCTTTCTATCACACCCTGCTGGTCACTCTCCATAGGGTCTACAGGATTGGGACTCAATGACCATGTGGATAAGACATGGGCCTCAGGTATAAAAGGTGAGTACATTCAGGTATAAAAGGTGAGTACATCTGGACAACTTATTAATCTCTTCAGGTTAATAAGTTGTCCCAGCAAGCTGCAGAAAGCCAGGTTCAAATTCTAGCTTGGCTACTTAGTGGCTGTGTGGCCTTGGGCAGCTTGATGACCCTCTCTGGGCCTCAGTCTCATCATTTGTAAAATAGAGCTAATAATACCAACAGAAGTTTCAATAAGATAATGGAAGCATAGCATATACCACAGTGCGGGACACACAGGTGGCACCTTTCACCTCCCTGTCTCGGGCCTCCTCCAGGCCTCTCAGGACTACCCTCAGCCTGCGAGGGCAGTAGAACTGAAACCCTGGCAGCACTTCCACCATCCTCCCTTGGCCAAGAACACCTTTCTTCTGCTCTTCCCTGGATGGCTGCACCTTGTCTGGGGATAAGCAAGAGGCTAGGGTTTAAAAAGAAAAAAACCACCACCATTTCCAACCATTTTTTTCCTGGACTAATTGCCCTTTCAGCCCTTGGTTCTTCTCATCCTCCAAAGCCCTGGGAAAATGGCTCCTCCTCCAGGAAGCCTTCTTGGCTCTCTCCCCATTCCCTCCTAAGCACCCCAAGTCTGTAGTTATGGATAGAGCTCTCTCCTGCGCCCTAGACTGGCAGCCCGAGGGACGGTACGGAGGGCCTTCAGCATCTGGGCAGCTCCCACACCTGGCCTAGGAACTGGTACACAGCAGGTGTCCTGGAAGTGGTATTTGAGTGAAAAATGAATGAGCTGTTCTGAAGCCCAAATTGTCCCATATTTCCTACCCAGATCACTAGGAATTTGAAGACCAGAGAGAAAGAATCATCTCATGTCCTGAGATCCAGAACCTTCCATTTAGCTGACTCAGAGAGGAGAGAGGACTGAGGTGACTGACCCCCACCCTTCCCAGGAGCATGCACTCTGGCTGCCTCCAGGCCTTTCCACCTCCTCCTCACCTGCCTAACTCTTGCTCCTCGCTCAGCTTCCACCGCAGTGGCCCCTCCTCCTGGAGGCCGTCCTCTGACCGCCTGTTCCTGGCTGACGCTCCCCTGGATGGGCTGGGTGCCTCCGTCAGCTTCCACAGACCCTCCCTGCCTGCTCTGCTTTCCTCAGCACAACCCCAGTCCCCCTGCACCTTCACTGTCTGTAGATGTATCTGTCACCATCTCTAGGCTGGGTGGGCCTTGGGGGCAGGGGTCATCATGGCCATTTCCAAGGCCCCCTAATGCCTGGCACATGACACTCAACAAGTGTTAGCTTCCTGGTCCTCAATGAAGACATCACTGAGCCCTCCAAGAAGAAGAAAAATCAAGAGCTGAATGATTTCAGTGGATGTCTGATGGATGGATGTATCATGGACAGATGGATGGATGGATGGATGGATGGATGGACCAATGGATGGATAGGAAAGGGGAAGTTGGGGAGGGTGTAGAATTTTTCCTATTTTTAAGAGCAAAGGCCTGAATCACTTGAGTACATTGGCCAGGGTCCCTATCTAATTCCCTTCACAAAAGGCTGGCCTGTGTGGTCTCAGCCCTGGCCTGAGCCTGGGGGTCTGCAGGAGTTGTCTGTCCCCCCTCCTTCTCCCTCAACTGGGTGTCTCCACCCTGTCCTTGAAGAGAAGCAGCAGAATTTCTATGTGGGGGTCTGGGCCTCCCCTCCCACCCAGCATTCCAACCCTCACACCCTTCCCCAGTCAGCATAGCACAGGCTGCCAGCTGGCGGCCTCCCTCCCAGAGCCCACCCCATTGACCGCACCCCACCCCCGCAGACTCCCCCAGACACTTCTGGGCCACTGGTCCAGCCTCTGTAAGAAGGGCTCGAGCTGAAAGCAGGGTGGGAAGGAGGATCCAACTCTGAAGGCCCAGAAAGGACCCCTGGCCCCTCCCTCCCTTGGCTGGGAAGCACAGGATTCTGGAGTGAAACAGAAAATAAAGCCACAGGCATAACATCCCATGCTGGAGAGCATGCCAGCAAACAGGCACTCTCAAAGGCAGCTGCTTGGAGGGTAACTTGGTCCAGCCTTTCTGGAGGGTAATTTGGCAATGTTTGTCAAAAGCTCTAAAAAAAGTACATGCCCTTTGACCCTACAATTCCACGCCTAGAAATGTATCCTACGCAAATATCAGCAGCAATGCAAAAAGACAGAGAAACAATGAGGCTCACCCCAGCATTTGTTTAAGATAGTGAAATACTGCAAGCAATCTATCTGTCAATCAACAGAGCAGTAGTAAATAAATTACGGTACATTTATTCTATGGGATCCTAAGAGCTTCTCCACAATGATGTTATAGCTCTGACATGATATGCAAAGATGTCCACAAAATATTATTATCAAAAATTCTCCTCCTGGGCATGGTGGTTCATGCCTATAATTCCAACACTTTGGGAGGCTGAGGTGGGAGGATCATTTGTGGCCACGAGTTCAAGACCAGCCTGGACAACATAGTGAGATCCTGTCTCTCTGAAAGGAAAAAAAAAAAAAAAAAAAGAAAGAAAGAAAGAAAGAAAGAAAGAAACCCATGTAATTTAAGCAGAAGTCCATTTTTTTCTTAAAACAAAAAATCAGTATGTGTAAATACACATAAATCCACCTGGAAGAACCTATACCAGTTTGTTTCACAGTGCTTATTTCTGGATGATAGGATTATGGGTGATTTTAATTTCTTCCTTTTTGCTTATCAGTAATTTCTAAAGATTCTACAAATAACCTGCATTGCTTTTGTGATAAGGAAAAGTTATTTTTTCCTCAAAATAAAAAGCTCACCAGGAAAAAAAAAAAGTTCACAGGCAAAGACAGTGTTCATAAAAGTCCTTAATCTTATTTTTATAACACTCTTCTGGGTATTTTCTCATTTACTCTGTATAACAGCCCTCTGTTTATTCTGTTTTGCAGATGAGAAAACAAAGGTTGGGAGAGGGTCAGTGGCTCACCCAAGGTCACACAGCTAGTGAGAGGTAGGGCTGGGGTTTGAAAGCAGGTCTCTGAAGCCAAGGTCAAGGAGAGGCCATGAGCTGGGGAGAGAGCAGGGGCTGCACAGCAGGGCAGGGCAGACAAGAGGGAGAGGCTGGGAGGAGAAACCCAGCAGCTGGGAACTGGGGAGTCTGAGCTGGAGCCAGCGAATCAACATGTGCGTGCAACCACCCCGAGCTGGCTAGCAGCCCCTCTCCCCATCCAAGCTAAATATTAAAAATCCCATTACGTCCGATAGCATCGCAGCAATCATGCTCACTGCGGAACTGCCTCCAGATCCCTCGCAGATGCGGGTTGGCCACTGGGAGAGAACAGAGCAAGGTCCCCAAAGAAGGCTAGGTTGGGGGTTCCTGCTGGGCAGGCAGAAGTGGGACTGAGGTGGGTAAGGAGAGACCAAGGAGAACAGGGATCTGGAGACAGGCAGGCTTGGAGAAACTGGGGCAGGGGAACATTCACAATCACACCTATCATACTCTAGAAAGAGTCAGAGAAACAGACTTGGGTGCGGGCAGCTGCTGCAAAGAAGGCATTCCAGGGACACCTTCTGCCACTCCCAGCAGACCTGCTGGCAGGAAGCCCCAGCGGGGACTGGGGTTGGGGAGGGAACAGGGCTCTTCTAAAGGAAGTCCCAGGAATCCTCACCTGGCAGCTGTATGCCCAGTGTAGACCCCGATTAGGCATGCGATAAAAAATGAACAGGTGAATAAATAGGGGAAAATTGTGTCCTAATCCCTATACACTGCAAAGCCCTTTCTACCCATCAAATATGCCTTGTACTGTCACACCTTGGGGCCTTTATTCGTATAGTTCTCTCTGCCTACAATTCCCTTCCTCCCTACCTTCACCCATCCAAATCCTACTCACTCTTCAAGGCCTAATTCAAATGCTACTCCCTCCTTGAAGCCTTCTGAGATACCCAGTCATACAAGATGGCTTTTTCCTCATATTCTCAAAGCACTTTGCCTGGATGGATCTCATTTGTGGCAGCACCATACTCTGCCTCGTTCCCTGGGTGTCTGAGTCCCCTGCTCACCCAGGAGCCACTTCAGACCAAGCCCTGAGTGTCAGGGTTTCTCAGGGACCCTCTGCCTGGAATGCTTTCCCCACAGCCTTCTCAGGCCCATCAGCTCAATGATACCTCTTCCAGGAAGCCCTTCCTGAAGCACGGCCACTTTTTGATCTCTATTGTTGCACAATTCTTTCCCCCTTCACTCATCACATTCTGCAACTAGTTTATTTATTTGCTCACTGACTTTTTCTTCTGTCTTCTCCTATCCACCCACTCAGACAAAAAACTCTGGGAGGGCACTGATGTGTCCGTCTTGTTCATTTCCGTATCTCCCTGCACCTGGAATGTGTCTGGCTCACAGCAGGTATGCAACGCATATTTGTTAGAGGGCTAAATGACCCACAGAGGTTACTCAAAACATGCATGTTGAATGGTTGGCTTCCCCAGGCCCCTCCCCTCTCCCGCTGTGCCCTGTACACAGTAGGCACCAGAGAAGTTGGTCAGATTGAATCAGTTTAGCCCACTCACTGCACTGGGAACTAGTAAGCCTTTGTTCACCATCACTGCCCACACCAGGAATGGTGGCCACTCCCTCTGAGGACTCCCCCACTCTCCATCTGCCAAGAAGACTTAATCCAGCCTTATTTTCTCTAATTTATATTAACAAAGCAATGGATGTTTTCCTATTAAATTATATCTCAATATTAAATGCATCTTTTCAAACCACATCCTCTTAGAGATTCTGCTAATGTTCCACTGCCCCAGGGAGGACAATCCCTGGGGTGGTGTTGGGGCTGGGCTAGTGTCCTTTCTTTGGCCTTAGGTCCCAGCTTGGTCCAGCCAAACATGTGTTATCACATCGTGCGTCTGAGCTCATGGTCCTGGTACAGAATCATCAGGACTGCTTGTTTAAAAATGCTGATTCCAGCTGGGCACGGTGGCTCATGCCTGTAATCCCAGCTTTAGGGAGGCTAAGGCAGGTGGATCACTTGAGTCCAGGAGTTCGAGACCAGCCTGGTCAACATGGTGAAACCCCATCTCTACTAAAAATACAAAAATTAGCTGGGCATGATGGTGCACGCCTGTAATCCCAGCTACTCAGGAGGCTGAGGCACAAGAATTGCTTGAACCCAGGAGGCAGAGCTTGCAGTGAGTTGAGACTGCACCACTACGCTCCAGCCTGAGTGATAAAGTGAGACCCTGTCACAAAAAAAAAAAAAAAAAAACAAAAACAAAAGACAAAAAAACAAAACAAAATAAACCCTGCTGATTCTTGGCCCCATCTCAGAGCCACATTCCCAGACCTGGGGGAGAGGTTTGAGTCAGACCCAGAAACCTGCACTTTAACCAACTAACCAGGTGACTCTGATCCACAATAAAGGTTGAGAAGCCCTAAGCTAGAGGACGAGAAAGCACTTGGCCAATGTTACTTGGATGTGAGCTGGAATCACCATTCCTGCACGTCCTGCTCCAGCAGGGCCAGTGCCTATGGGGCTTGGGCTGCAGCAGCCTCACATCTGGGTGACAGCAGCACAGGCCACAGCAACAGCTGGTGTCCTTCTGGGCTCCCTGAGCTCATTAATCACACCCTGACTGGACCCCACTCACACTCAGTGGATGGCTGGGCTGGGCTGAGGCCTTGGGGAGGCTTTCAGGTCCAGGGGAAGATGAGAGTGGAAGGGAGCCTGGAAGGGAGCCAGGGCTGGGCACACCTTAACCCTGCCCCACCTTGCACCCTCACCATCTGCAAGGAGTAGCTCTGACTCTGAGAACCTGCCTATGCCAGGCAGCCTCTAACATGGCCCCATGATCCCACCTCCTGGCATTCACACCCTGTGTAATTCCCTCCCCTGGGGTATGGGCTGAATTGGGTGACTTGCTTTTAATGCAGAGAATATGGCAGAAGTGGCAAGATGTCACTTCTGGATTAGGTTATAAAAGATTGTGGCTTCTGTCTTGGGTGTTTGCTGGTATTCTCTCTTGGCTCTCTCACTCTGGGGAATGTCACTGCACATGCAAGAGGCCCATGTGGTGAGGGACAGAGTCCTGCCAACAACCCCGTGAGTGACCTTAAAAGCAGACCCCTCCCTGGTCCAGCCTTCAGAAGAAACTGCAGCCCCAGGCCACACCTTGAGTGCAACCTCATGGGAAAATCTGAGCCAGAAGAACCCAGCTAAACCACACCTGGATTCCTGACCCTCAGAAACTATGAGATAATGCATGTTTGTTGTTGTTTAGAGACAGGGTCTTGCTCTGTCACCCAGGCTGGAGTGCAGTGGCATAATCATAGCCCACTACAGCCTCAAGCGATCCTCCCACCTCAGCCTCCTAAGTAGCTGGAACTACAGATGCACATCACCACACCTGGCTAATTTTTTTCTTTTTCTTTCTTTGTAGAGACAGGGTCTCACTATGTTGCCCAGGTTGGTCTGAAACTCCTGGGCTCAAGCAATCTTCCTGCCTCAGCCTCCCAAAGTGCTAGGATTACAGGCATGAGCCACCATACCTGATCTGTTGGTTGTTTTTTATGCAGCAATAGGTAATGAATATACCTTCTCATCTGAACACCCCGCCTGTCACAGTTCTTCCTACATCCCTCCTCCAGCCCTTAGCCATGGCCATACCAAAACTGCCTCCCTAATGGGCCAAGTTGATTCATGTTCCCAGGCCTTTATTCATGCAGCTCCATCCTCCAGCATTCCTGGGCCACCCACCCAAGACTCAGCTCCAATGTCACCTCCTCTGTGAAGCCTTCTGTCATTTTCTGCGCCCACTGTAGCCTGAGCAGTTCCTATTAAAACAAGTCTAACACATCACCACCTTTGTACATTTATTTGTCTGTCTCCCTTGCTAGACTCTGAGCTCCAGAAGGCAGAGCCACAGTCTGATTCTTCTCTGTACTGCCTGATGCTCAACATAAGGTCTAACACAGAGCAGGCTCAGTAAAAGTTTGATGACTGAACAAACCATCAACAGTGAGTGGCTGGTTTCCCATTCACTTGTTCTGCCACCCACACACTGTCTCACCACTGCCACCTTCCAAGGCTGTGCACTTTTATACCCAAGGACGTAAAACCAAATTTGTTATCTTCCCCAAGAAACCAGCCCTTTCTCCTAACTTGCCCATTTCTTTTCTAGAACCATCACCTTTCTGCAAGCTGGAATGCCCTGTTCCCTGTGACTCTTACCTCTCCTCCCTTTCCATCCTGTCTTCCTTCCCATCCTATCCCTTTCATTGGCAAAACATCCTTTGATCTCGCCTCTCCTCTTCCCCAGCACAGGTGGATGCCCCACTCCAGGCTGTCTCTTGAGATGAAAACAATGGTTCCCTTATAGGCCCCTTCCTCCTGTCTCTGGCACCCCCATCTGTCCTTCTAGGTATCTTGAAAAGCTGCCTTGCTTGTCTCCGAGGGAGGAAGCACAGAGCTGGTAGATTTAACAAGCATTTTATCACGTAAGGATCACTGCAACCACCCCCAGGCTAAAGTATCCCTGGCCTTCTCCAAGGCCACTGGATTAGGGTCCAAACCTTTAACCTGGCATCTGAGGCACCCCAGGATCTGGCCCCAACCTCTGAATCCAATGGGGAATGCAAGAGGACATGACACAAGTAGCTTCAAGTCCCCTATACCCCCAGCACCACCATTGCAGCTCACAGGCTGAGCATCTGGGCTTTGTACACATCATCTCATTTAGTTAACATCTATTAAGCACTTCCTGTGTACTGGAAACCATTACAAGTACTTTGCATGCCTCAAGTTCCTGACTCCTCACACCAGCCTAGGAAGGAGGGTTTTACACTTGGCCAAGGTGATACCGCTAGTGAGTGGAAGGGGTGATTTAACCCAGGTCCTTCAACCTTCACAGCCTTCTTAGCACCAGGGTGTACCTCTCACAAACTTCTCGTGTTTGCAAAGCTTGTTTGCAGACCACCTTCATGGTTCTTTACCATATTCAAACACCACTTATACTTACTTAATAGTTTTCCTTAAGCTAACAGTGTGGCATGGTGGTTAAGAGGGTGGGCTTTGGAATCCCAGATCCTCTACTTAGTCCCTGTTTAAGCTCTCTGAGCCTCAGCTTCTTCATATACAACAGTACTTTCTGTCACAGGGTCCTTGTGAGGATTAAATGAATTAAGTCATAGAAGTGCTCAGCACATAGTACAAGGGGGAGTCGTGGGCCTGGCTCACAGTAAAATTGCACTTCTCCATCTCTTTGAATAGGAAGTAACCTTGTGACTTGCTTTGGCCCGTGAAATGTGCACAGAGGTTATGGCGGGGGCGCATTCCAGGTGGAAGCTTTAAAGCCAGTATTCCAACTGCCACACTCCTTCCATCTGTCTGCCCTGCAGATGGCAACATCCCGAATGGTGGTGCTCCATCCATTTGGCTCTCAGAGGGAGGAGTCCCAAGCTGATCCACAATGGACATGGAGCATTAAGGGGAGAAATAAACTTTTATTGTTTGGTCACTTCAGCATTGTCTGGTCTATACTGACAGAGTAAAAGCTCAAAATATGTTAACTTATTAATATATAAATGTTACTTACTATAACATACGTTTTCTTAAAAGGGGAACCATATCACCTTTGTAAAGGAAGAAATTGACACCACTTGACATACTCATATGATGATGTAAACAAAAAACCTTTATCCTGTGCCAACCCAGATTATCTGGTATACCACCTGCGGCATGTGCGCGGATCGTTTTCAGAAAGTGCTATATTCAAGTGCCTCCCTCTAAGAAGCTGAACGATGGTTGCTGGTTTGGAAACCCTGGCCCTAGAGTGCCTCATGGTCAGCTCTAAGCTTCAGAGGCCAGGCCCAAGTCTGCAGCCCGAGTCTGCAGCCAAGACCAGTTCTATGCATTTGCAGGGGCACGTGCCCCACCCTGGCCCTTACCTCGGCAGACGGTGCCATTCTCAACGGCCTCGAAGCCTGCTTTGCACATGCAGCGCCCGATGGGCACCAGCCACTCGCCGTCCCCGTTACAGTAGAGCTTGATGGGTACATCCACCTCTTCCGCATTGGCGATGCAGCTGCCCCGGGCAGCCACCAGCGATGTGCTCTCAGCCCCCGACAGGGTTTCCTGGAAGATGGCGCCATTCTGGATGATGCGGGGGCACTTGCGGTAGAAGACACGCACGGCGATGAGGGACATGCAGCCGCCATAGTCCTGGAAGGCCAGGTAGAAGCCGCTGCGGGACACAGGTCCGAAGCTCCGCACCTCGGTGTTGATTTTCATGACGCGGCCACCCAGGTCCACCTGGGAGAAGCTCTCGTCGGCTGCAATGGTATCCACCTTCACCCATGGATTCTCCATCCAGTTGGGGAAGGTCTTGGTGGCCGAGTCAAAGTCAGCCTCATAGTAATAGAGGTTGAAGGTCTCCTTGCAGGAGCCAGGCACGCTGGGGATGCTGCTGCAGTCACGCACCGAAAACTTCATCTCCACGTGGATGCGGTGGGCGCCACGGCGCCGGATAAACTTGGTCCGTAGCCAGTTGTTCTGGCTTGACTCAAACACGTTGCACACCTGGTACGTGCGGATCGTGTTCATGTTCTCATCGTAGCCACTCACCTCTTCCCACTGTGGGTAAAATGCTCGTCAGGTGGGGAGGTAAGGGCTCAGCCCCAGCACACACTCAGTCTAAGGTGGAAGACACAGACTCTGCCTTAGGGAACCCTCCAGTCTAATGGTGAAGACATCAGAGAATTCCCAATCTGATGGGGGAGACATGCCAATCAGGTGGGAAAGGCACACATCCTGCTCTTGGTATTCTGCTAGCTGACAGGGGAGACATTGCCCTTACTGTCAGGGGTACACTAATCTGATAAAGGAGACAGGGACCCTGGCCAGGAAGTTCCCACCTGGAAGGGGAAAATAGGGAGAACCCTTCCCCACTTAGGGAGCTCCTTCTGATGAAAGTAGACATAGCTTTGTGGTTGTGGGGGCTACCAGTCTGATGGAGGAGACAGGACCTCTGCCCTCGGGGAGCTCCCTGTCTGACCAGGGAGAGACAGCCCTTGCCCTTGGGAACTCTCGGTCTGATGGAGGAAGACAGTCCTCATCCTCAATGAACGCCTAGGATGATGGGGAAGACAGGGTCCTTCCCCATGAGAACAGCTCTGCTCTGGGGCTTTCAGCTGCTAACATTTCCTCTTGGGTACCTGGAGGGAGGCCGCCCACCCTTCCTGCCTGGGGAGAGTACTCCTGTACCCTCACTGGGGCAGTCTGGGCTCTCACAAACCCAGCAGAGAGATGCTAAGCCTCACCGCTGCAAGGGGCTGGGCCAGGTGGTGGAAAGTTGGGGCAGGAAGGGCCTAGGGCCCGGGTTATCTCCTCACACTCACGGACCAGGCTCCTTCCCACTGCTGAGTCTTTTGCACACTTCTGTGCCCTCCTGGGGCATCGTCTCTGGTCTCCTCTGCAGCAGGCTCTCTGGCTGCCTGCTGTTTGCATTCACCAACTTTCCCGAGGGCCTTCGGGAACAATCTCCCTGCGTGAGTGCCCAGTACACTCAGCCCTCTTGGGCCAGTGTCAGTGGGACTGAGAGCTTGCTGAGGGAAACCACCCCTCCTGTCCTTCTCCCGTGCCCCCTTTGGTGTTGGCTGGCTTCACCTGGGGTAGACCCAAAGGAGCCCCAACAGCAGAGTCCCCTCTCCTATCCATGTCTGGGGATGGGCACCCTAACAGGATCTCATTTCTTTGGTGTGATTATCGCACATGGTCTGTATGGTTAGACCCCTTTTACAGAGGATGAGGGAGTAGAGACTAGAAGTGAGGTCATTTGACCCAGGTCACACAGACCCAGAGCTGTTCGTGTGGTTGCCTGTGCTGCCTGGAAACACAAGGACACCAAGTGTGCCCTAGGAGTCCTGGGTTCTAGTCCCAGCTCTACTAACTTGATGAGTGGCCTTGGGCAAGTCATTTCTCCCTCCTGGGCCTCCAGTTGCCAAATGTGACTGTGGGGGTGGCAGCTGATGGAAGAGGTGTCACCCTCAAGTGGGTGTCCTTTATCCTGTGCCACTCAGATTCCCTGGGCCAAGTCTGTGCGTGTGGAGCAGGGGCTGGCAGCCTGGGGAGGGTCAGGTGCGATGAAGGGTGAGTACACATGGGGAGGGCAGGTCTGGAGCTGACTGGCTCAGCCTCTTCTTCAATGGCGACTCTGAAGCTCCCTACATTGCATTAATTTTTTTTTTTCTTTTTGGTGGCACCATGTGACAAAGTCAGCCCCTTGTTACAACCGCTGCTCTTCTTCAGAACTTAATTAGAACACTTAATTAGAGCACTCTGCCTTTCTCCCCTCTCTCTAATTAACATGCGGAGGCCCTGCAGCCTAAACACCCCAAATAATTGCGTCCGGGGGCCCTGCAGCCCAGCCTGGCCTCATTACTGGCAAGGTGGGGCTGTGGGCCCAGCCGCCTTCGCAGATGGAAAATTGGTGACAAGAAAGAGCCACAGAAAGCGGCCTGACCCTGGGGCCCTGCCTATTGAGAGCACAGGCCTGGGGGGTGGGGGGAATGCAGTTCCCTGGGGCAGCAGCTGAGTCCCAGCGGAGGAACTGGGGTGGGGGGAAGGGAAGGGCTGGGTTATAGAGTCCAGAGACGGCGGGGATGAGGGATGAATATTCAACTTCATGACAATGACAATGATGATGATGATTATAGCTACTCTTGACTGGGAGCCCAATCTATGCCAGGCATTGTGTTAGACACTTTGCAGGAAAACCTCGCAACAGTCTTGTGAGGTCTAAAACATCATCACCATTTTATAGATGAAGAAACTGAAGCTCAGAGAGATTAAGGAAGTGCCCCAAATCACACAGCTGGTGAGTGGCAGAGCTAAGACACATTTTCAGGAGTATTTGACCCCACAGTCTGTAACTTATGCCAGATTTTGCTCTTGGAGAGCTCACAGCATAGACCCTAGGATGATAAGAACCAAAGGAGGGGGAGCTTTGTGTTATGGGGACCCAGAAAGCGGGCAGAGAGCTCAGTCATAGTCCTGAATACAAACCTTAGCCCTTTCACTTATTATCTATAGGGCCCTGGGCAGGTGGCTACACCTTTCTGAGCCTCGGTTTTCTCATCTGTAAAATGGAGATAATTCCTCTCCATGGGATCAGAGATGATGTGTATAAAGGTACTTAATACAGTATCTGACATAGAATGGGTACTCAGGAAACGACAGTTCACTTTCTTCATCTGTAAAACGGGGGTAGTGAGAGCACCTACTTCTCAGCCTTGCCCTAAGGATTCCACGGGATAAAGGCTGAAAGCATCCAGCCTGTTGTCATGGTAACTGGCTCCATCAATGGTAGGGGATCATGGCTCCATCAATGGTAGGGGATTGGGAGGGTGGGGCTGAGAGAGGCCTGGCTCTGGGTCCTGAAGAGGGGGAAAGGGGTTAGAATATGAGGGGGCATTCGGGCCCTGCAGCAGGGCTTGAGGGATCCTGGGGACCAATGCAAGGTTTGGGGACCACTGACTCACCCCTGATGGAGGATGCACCATCCAGCCCAGCTCAGCAGTCGCTGTAGTGGAGTCCATTAGCGTTTCTGTGGGGAGAGCAAAGAGTCACCACCCCGCCCCACCTACCAGGCGCTGTCAATCTTTCTGTTGGGCCCTCATCCTTCTTCTTCTTTTTTTTTTTTTTTTTTAGACGGAGTCTGGCTCTGTCGCCCAGGCTGGAGTGCAGTGGTGTGATCTCGGCTCACTGCAAGCTCCGCCTCCCACGTTCAGGCCATTCTCCTGCCTCAGCCTCCCGAGTAGCTGGGACTACAGGCGCCTCCAACCACGCCCGGCTAATTTTTTGTATTTTTAGTAGAGACAGGGTTTCACCGTGTTAGCCAGGACGGTCTCGATCTCCTGACCTCGTGATCCGCCCGCCTCGCCCTCCCAAAGTGCTGGGAGTACAGGCGTGAGCCACCGTGCCCGGCCAGACCCTCACGGCCGGGCCCTCATCCTTCTTTACTGAGAGCCCCGCCTACTTCCATTGCCCCAGTCATCTGACTCTAACTCTCCAGACTGCCCTCGGTTTAGACTCCGCCTCTCTACTCCATTATCCCGCCTACCCCCACAGCCTAGCCAATCATCTGATGCCACTCCTCTAGGCCCCGCCCCTCCAGGCCAAGTCCACCCTTACATCATGGTCAGGCTCTACCTCTAGGCCAGTCTAGTCTCACTAACCTAGGTACTGTCCTTCCCTTCCTTTTCTGGACGAGGAGGGTCTTACATCCACTAAACCTGGAGTCTACTGGATGGGTTTCCGAGGCTCTGCCACTAAACCCTTGATATTTTACATCAAACTCTGGGATCTGTTTGCTTTTCAGCTTGCATCAAACTCTCAAAAACGAACTTGGGCCTTAGAGGGGCTGTGCTTGTGTCCCAGCTGAGACCCCTCAGTTTCCCCTCGTTGCTCCTCTGGCGCACACATCTTGTCAGGACACTCTCCCTTTCTCTAGAAACCTGGAGCCTTCCATCATGTTCCTATCACTGGGGCCCCTCCCCCAGGGCTCAGGCAACTCTGCCCCCAGGACAGGGTCCCAGGAGTGGAGAAGTGTTGAGAGCAAGCACTGCACCCAGTAGGGGCCAACTGTCACATGGCCTGTGGGGGTTCAGGAGACATGTCAGCACCTGGACCATCCTGGGCCCCACTTGCCTCCCCCGATTCCAGCAGCTGCAGGGAGCCATGTGGCCTAGGGGGAAGAAGAGCCACATGGCCCTAGAGACCCCCATTCTCCCCAGGTCAGGTTCAGGACCCCTGTCCTCTACCCTTTCCTTGCCTCTCTGGCTTCCAAACACTTTCTGAATGGAATTGCAATACACCGAATGAATTTAAATGGACCCCTTTCAAGCGTTCATTCAACAAAATATCCTGATGCCCATTATGTACCAGGCGCTGCACTGGGTGCCCTGAGAGAGAAAACCGTGGCTAGCAAGACCCTACCATGGAGCAGTTCCTGGTCTGGTAGTGGAGATGAGGTGTGAATATAAATAGCTATGAGAGAGTAGGGGGAGAGACCTAGAAGGTCACAGTGACACCACCTTGCTCAGTGAGAGTGGGTGAGAGGTATGCTTGTTGCCATGCTCCAATTCTGTGCCCAGGGCAGGCATCACTCATCAGTCCCCATACTGTGGCCACATGATGCTTCTTGCCACAGTGTTCCAGGAAACAAATACGAACCATTTGAGATGCTATCCCTGGTCCAGCCCAACCGCCTCCTTTTGGAGACAGGGCAACTGAAGCACAGGGATGGGAAGGGGCTTCCAAAGATTGCATAGGAGTTGGTGACACAGTGGGAAGTGCAGGTGTCTTGCCTCCTAGCCTATAAACTTTCAGTCACTTGAAACAATTAGTTTGATGGTCTGGGCTAAATGACAAGGACCAGGAGACTGGGGCTGTGTGCCCAGTGTCTAGGCAGCTGAGAAGGTCCAAATGGCAGATAATTAGGGTTTGAACTATGGCAGGGGTGGAGGGGATAAAGGGTGGGGACAGGAGGAAGCATTTGGTCAGAGGTGACCCCAGTCAGACCCATGAGCTGACAAGAGAGGATGCAGAAGTGTCCCCACAACTGCCTGTGGCTTGTGTCCCTGTGCACTGGCATCCCCATGACTGCCTGTGGTCACTGTGTCCCTTTGCACTGGGGGCTGGCACAGGGAGGGGGTGTGGGGTAAGGGTGCCAGGGATGGTAGAGCCAGTGCCAAGGGCATCTTTTTGATGGCAAATTGGAGGGAAGTTCTATTATGCAGCTTTGGAGCTGAAAAAAGGGTTCCTTTTCACACTCCGAATGCTACAGATTTTTCTTCCTGGAGAGAACAAGGGCTGAACTTTTAACCTGTTTTCTCTCATCGGCCTCAGCCAGAGACGCGCCAAGCCGGGCTCTCTGCCTGGGCCCAGGGAACAGCTGCTGGGAGCTGTGTCGAACAAGGCAGAGGAGAGACTGTGCTTGGGACAAGAAGAGGGTCGGGCAGGGGAGGCAAGGCTGCCAAGCAGGTGGCCCCATCCCTTGGCTAGATTCCTGGGCTGACCCAGAGGCCAAACACTAGAGGATTCCATGGCCCAGAGAAGGAGGGGCCAGGAACTGACATCCTCATCGTACGGGTGGAAACTTGGGCTCAAGGAGGGCAAATGGCTTGCCAAAGTCACACACTAAAAGTTGGTGCTCATACTCTGGGCTCCCAAGAAGCTTAGGGTGGGGGGCCCCACTGTCCCCCTGTGTCTTCTACCTCTCCTGGCCCAAAGCAGTGGCCCAAAGCAGTGGGAGGATCTCAGAAGGACTGGAAGTAAATGGGCTGGCTGGTTTGCAGACACAAAGGGAACGCAAAGGACATGAAGTTTGCAGATCCCCTTGGGAGGAGGTAGAGGGCCGGCATCTCCTCTGCTCCCTTCTCCTGTGCCACTCCTGGCTTTGCCTGGAGGCCTGGCTCTGGGAAACCTGTCACCCCTCTGGGTTGTGGCAGGAGGCAGCACAAGCATGCTCTCTCCCCAACCTGGTCTTTTGCTTTTCAATTTTAACCCCTCCCTCTACCTCTGCACAAAAGGCAAATGAGCAGATGAGCAGAGCAGACAGACCTGGGCTCTGGAGGTAACAGAGATCTGGATTCTAACACCAGTTCTGTCCCTTCCTTGCTTGGTAACCAATATCACTTGCCATAAAAGGAAGGAAAATAAACACAGACTATTACAAATGGACCTTTTGAGGGGGGGAGATCACTTGAGGTCAGGAGTTCGAGACAAGCCTGGCCAACATGGTCAAACCCCGTCTCTACTAAAAATACAAAAATTAGTCAGGCATGGTGATGCACACCTGTAATCCCAGCTACCCTGGAGGCTGAGGCATGAAAATTGCTTGAACCCAGGAGGCAGAGGTTGCAGTGAGCTGAGATTGCACCATTGCACGCCAGCCTGGGCGACAGAGCAAGACTATGTCTAAGAAGACAAAACAAAACAAAACAAACAAACAAACAAACGGACCTTTATTTGTTCTACCTCTTGTTAAGCCTCAGTTTCCTCACCTGGAAAATGGCCAAAATACCTTCCGAGTCTGGAAGTATAGCAGCTTGGAGCCCAGCACAAAGTAGATCCTCACTTAGTAATAGCTGCTGTTTTTAGATGGTGTGCAGTGCTTTTTGGCCCACCCAGTGCCTGCACATACTGCTTCCTCCTTTGGGCTTACTAGGTGCCCCTGAAAGCAAAGGCAGGCCCAAGAGGCTCCAACTTAGTCTGCCTGGCCTCCCCCACCTCCCAGATATGCCTGCCAACATCTGACAAGCATCAGTCTCTTGCTCCGTGGCTACAGCCTCCATGGAGCCCGTCCCAGTCCATCTGATGCTGCTTTCCCTGGGGTGCCCTGAGTTTCCTCTTTGTTCCTCTCAAACTAAGCACAAAAGTCAAATTCTGTTCTCTGGGGAATCTGGAGTTAATAGTTATTGCCTCAAGAACTTAGTGGGTTCAGGAAACCAAGCTCTGTTTCCACCACCATCACATCCTTTTTCCACCCTGTAACACACCAGACGTCTCCCGTCCAATCCCAAAAATCTACAAAGGGAGAGAACTCACGTCTGCTGAGACCCTATTAGGAGCCAGAATCTCTCACCAACATTCTCACAACAATGCCAAGAGGTACTTGATACTGTCCCATTTCATAGATGAGAAAGTTGAGGCTTCCAAAGCCCCAGGAACTTGCCCAAGATCACACATCTATTCCACCCTCAAGCTGCACTCCAGTTAGCTATGAGTAGGTGGAGAGACTGGCCGTCTCACTCCGCACAGACAATGTGGTGTTTTCTCACCCTTGTACCTCACACATACTGTTCCTTCTGACCTTCTCACCTCTACATCTTCTTGGCCTGCCCTAATGTTCATCTGTGAAGTCTCGACTCAGGTCACCTCCTCTAGCAAGTCCTCTTAAATCCATTCTGCCCCAAAGCTCTGCAGCCACGGGTGCTTCGAGATATCCCGGCACTTGAAGATATTCTGGGTGGTAACTACCCCTATTTGCTATCATCTCCCAAAGCTCTGTGGTCCCCTGAGAGGTGGTGCTGGGTCCTGGTCCTGGGATCCCTAAGACCTAGCACAGGGCTTGGCACACGGGCCTCCTCTCCCCATCTGCCAGACTTGAGCATACGCCAGTGTTCTGCTCCACTAGGGTTGGCCAGGCTTGAGCCTTTCATACAGACAACATTAATGACTTTAGCCATTTCCAACTACAACCTGTACAATTATTTAGTTACTACTTTTTCTTCCACTTGACTCCTTTTCTTTCTTAAATGCATCTTAAAGAGGAAAAAGCGTAATCATGATTATAAATGGAAAACCAATATCTCTTGCCATGACAGGAAGGAAAATAAACACAGACTACTACAATTAAAAATGTTTGTCTGCAAAGTACGGAACATCATTTCACTTCCCATACTTTGGGAGCTGCTGGGCTCCCTCGAGCTGCCTCTGAAGCTCTGGAAATGTTTCTATCTCCATCCCCACTGTGACGGTGACAATCTCTCCTGCAGGGGAAGCTGTTGTCACTGTACACAGATAATTAATCACCACACTATGTGGCTAAGATCACAATGAGGATGTACATGGTTTATTGCAGGTTACAGGAAATGAATACGGAAGGAGGGGAAGAAAATGCCAAATTTAGGGATGGCTTCCAGGAGAACGTGACGCCTGCATGGAGGCTTAAAGACTGGGTGAGTGGGGAGTGACTGATGTGGAGTGGGAGGGGCACGCTAGGCAGAGGGGAAGCAGAGGCAAAGGCCAGGAGGTGAGCTGAGCCACAGCGGGGTTTGTGGGAATCAAGCGCTGGCTGAAGGGTGGGGCTGGAAGTGGTGGGAGCTAAGAGCTGAGCCTGGAGGGGTTAAGCAGGGGCTGCCCAGGTAGCACAGGACAGGGCCATGAACGGTTAGCAGCTCTCTGAGGCCCCTCTGCTGGATCATCCCTGTCTCCCCACATCCTTGCCAGCCTCGCTGGTACCACCCACCTCCCACTCTGCCAACTTTGCCGTTTCACCTGCCCTTAGGCCCTCCCACCCTGTTGAAATGTCCGGTTCCCAGACCTTGGCTGCTCTTAGTGCCCATTTAAAAGAATCCCAATGGATAGATGAAGAAAGAGGCTACACAGATTCTTAGCATCCAGGCAAAAGCTGGAACTAGGGCCACCAGCCCAGAGCATCTTCCTCAGTGTGAAAACAGGGGCCCAGCCATGGGAGTGACTTTGGCCCTATCCCTACCGTACCCACACCCCCTCTCCTTCCTGGAGGCTGCACAGAAGAAAGCAATCAGGAGGCCCTGACTGCCGGGCTGGGGAGGCCCGATGGCCCCTCTGGCTATGTGTGAATGAGCAGTGTACATTTCAGAAATATTTGAACTTAAAGGGGAGACACACTGAAGTCGTTAGCGTTGGGCTGAAAGGAGGTGGCTGCAGGGGGCCTGCCTGCTCTCAGGCTGGAGCGGGTGGTTGCTCCCTATTCTCCGATCCACCCCTAGCCAGCTCTGTCTGATCCCCTTGTGGGCTGTAATTCTCTAGGACCACAGATGCTGTTTGTCTGCACTAATGACAGTATGTGAGTGTTCCAAAGTCATGAAGAAGAAACTTTCATTAAGCACCTATACATGCCAAGCGCTGGCCAGGGCCCTCTAAATGCCATTTCAGGCGCAACCTCCAGAAGTATATACTATTATTAACCCCATTTCACAGACGAGGAAACTGAGGCCAGACAGGAGAACCAACCTGCATAAGTGCACACAGGCAGGGCTAGGACTGGAACCCACATCCATCTATTTTCACAACTGTGTTATTTTTAAGATGCCATGGCCATAGCCTTAAAAAACAGACAACACAAAACAACAAAGTCATCAGGGCTTGTGTGTGTGCATTTATCTTCTCTCTCTGCATGGGCCTGTGTGAGAATAGCAAGGGGCAGGAGGAGGGCAGCAGGGGAGTGGGACATAGACTGCCCAGGCCAGAATCTTGGCTCTGGCACTCTAGTGTACAATTGCAGGAATGCCAGTTCTGCTCTCTGGGCCTCAGTTTCCACATCTGTAAAATGGGTCATTGTGAGAATTAAATGACACCATGTAGGTGAATCCTGTTCTTCTGATGTCTCCCAGGGCCCACATGTAGGGGAGGTCTGCATCCACCTTGTTCACCGCTGTACCCTCAACACTGAGAACTAGGCCTGGCACTAGCACATGCATCCAACCTCCACACAGCAGCTGGGTGATGTTCCTAAAGTCCATGTGTGATCGCCCTTCAGAGCTCCTGCTGCCTGAAGGATCAAGTCCTAGCTCTTAACAAGGTACTCGAGGCCCCTGCCAAGCAGGCCAGCTAATTACCTTCCAGCCACCGTCTTCCGTGTCTCTCGTATCCAGCCATCCAAAATTTCCTCCTGCTTGCAGAAGTCACTTTACCTCCCTGAACACTGGTGACTTGACCTTTCTAGATTTTTCTGCCTGGAACGCCTGGCCCTTCTTGCTTTGTTAGCCTGGCTAACTTCTCTTCCAAAACTGAGCTCAAAGCCTCCTTCTTCCTTCTTCCTGGCAGCTGTCCTGACTCCTCCTGCTCTGGCTGGGTTAAGTAACAAAGTCATGGTCATTCAATGAACATCTCCTCCACCCGATGTGTGCCAGGCCCTGAGCCAGGCACTGGAGACACAGAGGCAGATCAGCAGGCCCTTCCCTCAAAAAGCTCCCAGACTAGTGCCCGACGTGTGAACTTACTGCAGGGAGAGGCGGAGTGAGACGGCTGGTCCCGGCCAGGAGCCAGGAAACCCAGAGGAAGAAGGGAGTAGCTTTGAGCAGGAAATTTGGAAAGGCATCTCAGAGGAGGTGGCATGTGAGCTGGGAGGAGAGGGAAGGGCACGCCACATACAGGGCCCAGCAGAATCAAAGGCACAGAAGTGTAAGACATCGGGGAAGGCTGGGCAATCGTAAAACTGATGACTGGCTCTCAGTGGTGGGCTCTAGGCCAAGCGCTTAGCACTCATTATCCCATTTCATCGTTAACTATTTGTGAAGTAAGTACTTTAGGATCTCCCTTTACAGATGGAGAAATCAAAGTTTGGAGAGGTTGTTCAAGGTTTCCATGGCCAGGAAGCGATGGAGCCGGGTCTGCCTCGCACCAAAGCCCATGTCCTTAGCCACTGCGCCATGCTGGAGTGTCCGTCCCATGTAGTGGGAGCAAAATGCTTCACAGAAGGAGATGGTAGCACAGGACAGGGCGCCAGAATGTGGAGGGCCTCTCAAATGTGGGGCTAAGGAGGTTGGGTCTTCTCCCATAAGCAGCAGGGAGCTATGGAAGATTCTTGAAGAGGGTAGTGATGTGGTCTGCTCTGAGAACCGCTGGGTCACAGAGTGGTCTTGGCAGAGGAAATTAGGCTAGAATTGGGGGCCAGCTGGGGGAAGGGTTGAAGCTGAAGATGAACAGACACCTCATAGCTACACCCACGGGTCTTCGCCTACAGACTGACCAGTGGCCTGTAGCCTAGGCAGCAAATCAGCCTGGTGTGAGACCCATGCAGCAGATGCCAGCCCAGGCTCTTCCCAGCGGTTCCTGTTGCACCCTGTCTGGGGCTGGTGGGGCTGAGGTGGCCTGAAGCTAGGCCTGGCTGGGATCTCGTGGCCTGGTAAGATGCCATTCACAGCCTGGAGGCCTGACCCGGACTGTCCATGGTCACAGCACTCTTTTCATGGTCCAAGTTAGAAATTCCAGGAGAAGACAAGGACACTGACAAGCTTGGAAGAGTCACTTCTCCTCTCTGAGCCTCTGTTTCCTCATCTGTAAAATGGAGATGACAAAATCCTTGCTCTGTATACTTCACTGCGTTGTTTTGAGGATCAAAGGAGGCATTGGGAGCCAAAGGTTTTTACAGTATGCAAAGGCTGGACCATACAGAACCATAGGGAAAGGTGGTGGAGGCCACCTAGGGGCAGGCACTTCATCGATATTGTCTCATTTACATCCCAGAGCAAACTTATGGGGAAACCAAGGCTCAGAGAGATCAAGGACTTCCAAAAGGCCACAAGGCCAGTAAGGGGCAGGGTAAAATTTGATCCCTTTGGTCTGATCCCAGAAGCCACTAGACTATGCTGCCTCAGGAAAGGGAAGGAAGAATCACTGCTTTCATCTACCAGTGCTATCGTTGCCAGGCTCTGAGCTAAACCCTCTGCACGCCCTGTAAAGCCCATACCTTTATCCCACTGTACAGATGAGGAAACTGAGACTGCAGAGGCTCAGAGATCTGCCCCAAGTCCTATAGCCAGAAAGAAGCCAAGCTGAGATTTGAACCCAGGCCAGCCTGACTGAGTTTCCTGAGCCCTCTCCTCTATAAACATCATGAGAATGGGAGCCCAGGATGGCCTTGGGTTCACTGGCCCAAAGCAAGGCAAGAGGTGGAGATGCCAGAGAAGCCCCCGACTAGCTCCTAGAAGAATGCAGATTTTCTAAAGTGAAATCTACCAACTAGCAGCACGTTGTTTTTCTACCTCGGCCCCCTGCTCAGCCCTCAGTCTCGAGGAAAGAGAACCCAGCTAATGTAAAATCCTTCTGCCCGAGGACTCTCATAGCACACACCCCTTCTCGTCCTCCCACCACTCAGAGGCCCTTCTCTGCCTCGGTTGCCTGCTTGGAGCCTGCTCTTGTTTTCTCAGGCCTAGGCGGAGGAGTCCCTGTGACGCCAGCTCCTCTGCTCTGTCCCCTGCCTGCCTGCCGCTGGCCTGGGCATCCGCCAGCACTGGCCGCCCCGGCTGAAACCCAATCCTCCGGGCCAGCCTGGCTGCTCACTAACAGCGGGCCACATTGTGCAGCCAGGGCTTTGGGAGAGTTTGGATTCGCTACTTGGGGACCCACTTAACCTCGGCAAAGGACAGGATGATGGATGGGGGTCTGGGACGGGGTTGCTGGGGGTGGGGTGGGTGGTAAATGAACACCAGGGCTTGCTGGGGAAGGGAAAGAAGGGAGGCAGGGACGGGAACAGCCCTGGACACATTAAGTGCTCCTTTAGTTCCCATGACAACCCTGAGGGACGCCTGCTACTGGTCCCATTTTAGGTGACTTGACCAAGGCCACATAGTAAATCAGAAACTGAACCCAGGCCAGTCGCCCTCAAGCCTTCCCGACATACCAGGCTGCATCTCACAGCCAGCATTTGCCCAGTGATTCTTTAATTTTTAAAGCCTTTTTACTTAAATGAACCCACAGTTTTCACATCTATTCAGCAGGTAAAGAAGTATCATCATGGCAGCTGGCATTACTGGGCAGCTACCGTGTGCATGGAACAATGCCTGCCACGTTAATACTCATCTCCTGAGATCCTAATGGGACCCACTGAGGGAGGACCAATTGTCAGGGCCATTTTACAGAAGAGGGGAGGAAAGCTCAGAGAGGCAGTCACTTGCAAGACGTGGCAGAGCTGAGATACCCTCAGGCTGGCTAATGAAGGCAGGGGGCCTGGGAACCCCAGTTGCTTATAGCTGCACCCCTTCTGAGTGGTTCTAAGTTGTGTGCATCTCCCCTCTGCCCACTGGACACAGCCTCACTCCACAGTTGGCACTCGAGGTGCTGTTCCTTCTCCCTGCCATGTCCCTCGCCCTCCTGGCCTGCCTAGGACACTCAGACATGTTCATTAAGACCCATCTCAAATGTCTTCTCCTCTGAGAAGGCTTCCCTGATGACCCTGGTGCTGGGGCTCCCAGAGTCCTATATGTGTCTCCCATCATTATACTTGTCACCTTGTCCTGCAACTTTCTTTTACTCATCTGTCCCTCAACTGGACTCTAAGTGCCTTGTAGGCAGGGCCAAGTCTGGTTCACTGTGGTAGCCACCAGCCTCTCTATTAAAACCACCTTACTCCTGATCACCCAGGCCCACCCAGACCTTAAATGCTCTTTCCTGCTGACATCATCATTCTGGGTGTCTGAGCTGTTCCTCCAGGAAATGCAGTCGCTGGTATCAAGATGGCTCCACATAGTAGATAATCCAAAGTACTTACTGCGCTGAGCTGTCACACATATTATCTGTTTTGATGCTCACAATGCCCCATGCGATAATTGATTATTGTCCCCACTTACCCACCCACCCATCTATCCATCCACCTACCCACCCTGTCACCCCATCCATCTGTCCCACTCCACTCACCCAGTATTCTACCACCTGTTCATCCACTAGTATCTCACATATGTATCCATTCATATTCCTACTGAACCAACCTCCCTTCATCCCTTCCTTCCTGCAGATGGGGGAAATAACCTTCAGAGAGGTTAAGTAACCTGCCCAACATCACACAGCGAGTACACAGCAGATCCAGGAGCTGAACCAGGTACTCTTTTAATCACTTTGCTATGTGGCCTCTTAGCTGTCTCACTTTATTTCTAACTGTCCTGTTGCATGCAGGTTTAATCTTATAAGTCACCTCAAATCCCTCTGCATGTGAATGGAGTGTAAATTACAAATCAATAAGACACAGGCCACTGTAAGTCCAAGCTGGGGTCTCTTGGGTTGGAGTCAATTAGCAAGCCTGCTGCAGGACCTGCTGGGACTTGATGTATTTGCCTAATTGGCACTGGTTTCCCCCAGTGAAGGACAATTAACTCAAATCCCAGAACCCAGACCACCCCTCTGCTTCTGGGCAGGGTGTCAGGCATTTAGCTACATGAAATTTACTGTTTATTCATTCACCCATTGACCCATACGCCCACTCATCCATCTATCTTTCCAACCATCCAATCCTTGCAATCATCCATAAACTATCTTGACATCTGCTCACTCACCCACCTACCTATTTACCCATCCGCACACATCTATACGCTTATCCATCTGCCCGCCCGTGTACCCATCCATTCACTTACCCAACATTCCACCCACCCACACACTCACCTATCCATCCATCCATCTATTCGTCAAATCACCCAATCCAAGCAGCTATTTATGAAGTCATTCTGCCATCTTGCCTTCCACTCACCCATCTATCTATTCATCTACTCATTTTCTCATTTACCACATTCATCTGTCTATCCTTACACCACCAATTTATCCACTCACCCCTATGCCCAGCATCCCACTTCGGTTTTTTCCCTTCCTCTGAAGCAACCTCCCTCCCTACCTCTCTTCTTTCCATTCATTTATCCACTCGCCCATTCATTTACCTGTCCATCCATTCACATCACTCATTTATACATCTATACATCTGCTATCCACTCCTCCCATCCAGCCAGCCTGCATGTGTTGAACACCTACTATGTGTCAGGCCCATGCTGAGTACTGGAGAATCAGGCTCTACGTGGTGGCTCACGCCTGTAATCCCAGCACTTTGGGAGGCTGAGGTGGGTGAATCGCTGGAGCTCAGGAGTTCCAGACCACCCTGAACAACATGACAAAACCCTGTCCCTACTAAAAATACAAAAATTAGCTGGGTGTGGTGGTGCATGTCTGTAATCCCAGCTACTTGGGAGATTGAGGCACGAGAATCAACTTGAACCCAGGAGGCAGAGGTTGCAGTGAGCTGAGATCTCACCACTGCATTCCAGCCTAGGTGACAGAGTGAATGAGACTCTGTCTCAAAAAAGAAAAAGAAAAAAGTATTGGAGAATCAAAAATAGATACTATCACTGACTTAAAGAAATTTACTGATTTGGAGCAAACCCTAAGCCCTGTCTGGCTCCTGCCACTAGTTCCCAAGCACTTTCCAAGCTCCACATTCTACCTGTGGATTGGGCCCTTGCTGAGTCTGGAATCCTGGGCTCTGTTCTGTGGCCCTGGAACCTGGCTTCCCTTTGCATTCAGATAGCCTGCTTCACGAGGACCCCATCTGGCCTGTGAATCTGTTGTCCATATCACATTATGGATATGGACATGGCTGGGGCCCATCCCACCCCAAAGAGGGGCCAGTGAATGGTAACTTAAACCAGGTTCAGCCTCACCCCTACCACGGTCCCCTGTCCTACAGTCTGTAAGGGGGATCCCAGACATAAGGGGTCCCAGTCTATAAGGGGGATCCCACAGCAAAGGAGGAATCCTAACCCTGCCTGGAGGTTAGAGGAGACTTCCCAAGTGAGTGGCAACTGGCTTGAACCCCAAATTGAGTAGGAGACAGCAAGGCAAAAGGAGGAGGGAAAGAGGAAGCACCAGGAGAAGGGGAAAAGGTGTCTCGGGCAGAAAGAACAGCTTGTACAAAGGCCGGGAGGAGAGAATGATCAGGGCCCCTTCAAGAACCTGCAGGAGGGAGAAGGAAGGCCTAGGGGAAAGAGAACTCCAGACACCACAAAGAGTCTTCTTTTTTTTTTTTTAATGGAGACAGGATCTCTCTCTGTTACCTAGGCCAGAGTGCAGTGGCAGCATGACTCACTGCAGCCTCAACCTCCAGGGCTCAACTGATCCTCCCACCTCAGCCTCCTGAGAAGCTGGGACTACACGTGTGATCACCATGCCCTGCTTGCTTGCTTATTTATTTATTTAGTAGAGACTGGGGTCTAGCTATGTTCCCCATGCTGGTCTTGAACTCTTGGTCTCATGTGATCCTCCCACCTCGGCCTCCCAAAGTGCTGGGATTACAGGTGTGAGCCACTGTGCCTGGCCTCACAAAGAGTCTTGAATACCAGGTTGAAGGACTAAGACTTCATCCCTAAGACAGCAGAGGACCACAGAAGAAGTGGCCTGACAGCTGTTGCTGTGTTCTCTTGTGTAAAGGATCCATGTTACAGATGAGGAAACTGTAGGATCAGAAAGGTATGGAGGGCTTCTCCAGGCCACACAGCTGGTCAGGAGCAGAGAAGAGATTCCACTTTAGGTCTGATGGCTCCAAAGCCCTCGCTCTTTCTGAGAGAGGCTGCTGCCTCGGAGGAGACGTTTCCAGAATGCCTGCATCCCTCCCACAGTAACGCTTGGCTCCAGGACCGCCTCCGCAGCCCTCAGCAGTGTGGATGCAGTGACAGAACACCCCAGGGTGCCATCTCTGCTCAGTGTGACTCCCTGGGCTCTCTTGCCAACCACACCTGGCATCTCAGGCAGTTAAGCAGTCACGGCTCTGCTGGGACATTTTCTCGCATGTCGATGTTTCTCAGGAGAGCTGCTCAGTGATTTCCCATCACCATCTTCACCAGAGACTCCATGTCTTCATCATTAGTGACCATTGCTTTCCCACCATTTCCCACTGGTACCCTGAGAGGCAATGCCAGCTAAAGAGCCAGCTTCTGGAATGGGGGCTGGTGGGGCCCTTGACATGGAGCAGGGCTCGAAATCAAGAGAGCCTTCGAGGTGGAGAAGACACAGGGGGAAGAGGGGCACCCTGGGCCAGTGGTGGGAAGGAGGACATGGACCAGGAGGTGAGGGAATGCTACTTCCACCCCTAGCATCTCTATCACCATAGCTACCATTTACTGAGCACCTACGACCTGCCAGGCACTGTCCCATGCAACGGACACCCAGCATAGCACCTGAGCTCCTCTAAGCTTTCCAAAACCCTTCAAGGGATGGATCATTGTCCCCATTTTGCAGATAAGTAAACCAAGGCACAGAGAGAACAAGTAAGCAGGCAAGATCCCTGCAAGTTGGCTGCAAGTTGGTGAGGGAGGCAGGCTTTGATTTCTGGGCTGTGTGACCCAAACTCCTTTCATGATCCCAAGGAGCCTTTTGGGAGTTGAAAGTCTCAGGTGAGAGCTGATGCAGGTAGTGGCGTCGGGAAGGGCTCAGGTGGCAGCATGGAATCAGACCACCCCCCACTTCCCCAGCTTGAGTTAGATGCCCCTTCTCTGGGCTCCAATTCACCCTCCAGAGTGTGTCTGATGCCCTTTCCTAGTCTGGTTTTGGACTGGGCCTGAGGCCCTGCAATGCTGGGCTGCTAAGTGGAGGATGAAGGCCATTGGTGCCCAGTGTGACCTGGAGACAGCTTCCCTGAGGCACAAGGAGAGGCTATGTCAGATGGCCTTGTGCTAAGCCCACAAACATGGCAGACCCGGCCTTGTTCCTGAGCCAAACAGAAGCCTCCCAAGCTGCTGGCTGTGCCACTCCGCTGGTTCACATGAGAGCCGGAGGCCACAGGACCACAGGCCACAGCTGGGCCCAGTGCCCTGCCCAGTCAGTTCATCAGCTCCCCAGCCCCACACTGGGGTTCCTTCTCACCAGGAATTCTGTATTGGTGGTGATAGCAGCAGCCTGGGGCAGCCCAGTCAGACCTACTGATGCTGGGAGCAGGCTCAGAAATTTTTTCCTATAAAGGGCAAATTGGACCCGGAACCTCAAGCATCTCACCACGCTGGCTCGCATCCCACTGGGACAGGATGCTTCTCTGATGGGGTGTGTGGTGGGTGGTCCCCTCAGGCTGATGGGCTCCCAACTCCTTCCCTGCTAGCCCTCTCCTCCCCCCAACCACCATAGGACTGCAGCCTCAGTGACCTCATCTGGGAAATGGGAATAGTAAATAACACCTACTCATAGGTATGGACACAACGCCCTTTGCACAAGGCCTGGCACAGTCAGCCTAGCTCAGGGGAGGCTAGTACCACAATCATCATTGCCCCTCATTCCCCTAGAGGCCAACACGACTGAGAACAGCTCCCAAAGAAACCTCTGGAGTGGGGTGGGATGAGCGGGACGCTGCATTTGAACAGGGATAATAATCATAATCCTCATTTCCAGCTATTGAGTACCTACTAGGTGCTCAATGTACCAGGCACTGTGCTAGCCACTTTTCCTAGGTGATGCCATGTGGTCCCCATTTCACAGATGAGGAAACTGAGGTTCAGAGAGGGGCTGTGACTTGCCTGGGGTCACCAGGGAGGCAGTGGTAGTGCTGGGACTCTGAGTGCCATTTGAGGCTTCCTCCCGGCTGCCTCCCTTCAAAGCTCAGAGAGTCCCCTGTGCTGGGCCTGGGAGGGAGTGTTCACTTGGCCTTATTTAAACTTGCAATTATCTGTCCCATTTCCCACTGGCTACAGCTGAGCTCTCCGGGGAGGCGGGAAGACCCTGATGGAGGAGGATGCCACAAACAGGGAATGTCTAAGGAATCCTCCCTGAGCCTCCAACTGAAGGAGCAGGGAAGACACATGCTCCTGCAGGAGGCCCTCTTCCTGTACCTGGCTTCTGTCCCCTCTGCCCCCACCCCAGGGAGCAGAACTGGCCAGTGGCGGGTTCCCAGGGTGGGGAGGTTCCTTGTCAGTCCCACAAAGGTTGTGAAGGGGTCACATCATGAGCTGAGGCCTTAGGGATTGCTGGCATGCAGCAATCTCTGCACCCAATGCAGAGACGGAAAGACTGAGGCAGCCTGGGGGTTGGTCCAAGATCCCATGGTGAGGTAGCAATGTGTGGGGCCTAAGACTCAGAGTGACGGAAAGCTCGTGGAGAGGTGGAAAGACAGAACTGGGGAAGGGCCCCAGGGTTCCAGCAAAGGAGAATGCCGGTGCTCACGGGATGAACTCAATGTTTTTTTTTTTTTTTTTGCGACAGGGTCTCTCTCTGTCACCCAGGCCGGAGTGCAGTGGCGCCATCTTGGCTTACTGCAACCTCCGCCTCCAGGGTTCAAGTGATTCTCCTGCCTTAGCCTCCTGAGTAGCTGGGATTACAGGTGCCCGCCACCATGCCTGGCTAATTTTTGTATTTTTGGTACAGATGGGGTTTCGCCATGTTGGCCAGGCTGGTCTCGAACTCCTGACCTCAAGTGATCCTTCCGTCTCAGCCCCCTAAAGTGTTGGGATTACAGGTGTCAACCACTGCACCCGGCTAGACTCAGGGTTTTCTACACACTGGTGCTCCCTAAAGGCTTTGCAAGGAGCAGAGTGCAGTGGGGGTCCTATGCTACAGACAGCCTCAGAGTTCTGGGCCAAGGCTCCCTGTCAAACACTCAGTGGTGTGGCCAGAATTGGTTCCCAGAATGTCCGGCTCCTCACCCTCACCCAGATACAGAATTAGACTCAGACAGACACCCACTCTGCTCTCCCACAAGCAGCCCTCAGCACCCCTGCCTGTCCTCCAGCCTCTGCCCTCCTCCCATTTTAACACTCCCTCTCTGAGCGCCTCCCGTGCATCTGCCCCAACCGCAGCCCCTGCTTGGAGGAACCCAAACTGGCGAGGGTGAAACCCCATCAAGCAGTTCTTGTATCTGCCACTGGAGCGAGTCGCAGGGGAGCGGGAACCTGGCAGCAGAACCCAGGTGTTAGGTCCAAACACCAGGGAAATGGCCTAATGGCCTATCCAGCGGCACATCCCAGGGTCTGAGAGAGTGGCCTCAGCAGTCATTTAGATTTTTTTTTTTTTTGAGAGTTGCCCAGGCTGGAGTGCGGTGGTGCAATCTCGGCTTTCTGCAAACTCCGCCTCCCTGGTTCAAGAGATTCTCCTGCCTCAGCCTCCTGAACAGCTGGGATTATAGGTGCGAGCCACCACACCCAGGTAATTTTCGTATTTTTAGTAGAGACGGGGTTTCACCATGTTGGCCAGGCTGGTTTCGAACTCCTGGCCTCAAATGATCCGCCTGGCTCGGCCTCCCAAAGTGCTGGGATTACAGGCATGAGCCACCAAGCCCGGCAGAGTCATTTACATTTGAACCCCACTTCCTAACCCACTACCCCAGGGCAAGTCTTGAGCTTCCCTTTCTGAGCTGTGGGATAGGAACAAGATTAGTACCTGCCTCGCAGGTGGCTGTGACAAGATCATGCATGTTAAGTTCTTAGCCCAGAGCCTGGCTATAGTAAGTACTCAGTAAAATATTGACCGTGGTCATTATCACTCAAATTATAACACAAAGCAATCACTCAATAAGCGGATGTTATGATATTGTTATTATCAACATCAGCCAGCACCCTCGGGCCAGGCTGAGCAGACTTGCTTTCTCATCTATGGGAGACAGAATAATGTCCCCCAAGAGATGGCCACATTCCTAATCCCCAGTATCTGGGAATGTTGCCTTACGTAGCAACAGGGACTTTGCAAATGAGATGAGATTAGGAATCGTGAGATGTGGGGATTATCCTGGATTAGCCAAGTGGGTCTAATGTAATCATGAGTGTCCTCGTAAGAGGGGGTGGGAGGGTTGGCGTTAGAGAGATGTGATGTCAGAAGCCAGGTGGGAATGACACACTTTGGGGATGAAGGAGCCACAAGCTCTGGGATGCAGGTAGCCTCTAGAAGTCTCTAGAAAGGGCAAGGACATGGATCCTCCTCCTGAGCTTCTGGAGGTAGTGTGCCCTTCACCCCCCGCTGGCCATTTCAGCCCAGTGAAACCCATTTCAGAAGTCTAACCTCCAGGGCTGTAAAACAATAAATGCGTCTTGTTTTAAACCACGAAGACTTTGGTAATTAGTCATAGCAGCAACAAGAAACTAACAGACCATCCTCAGTCGAGAAAGTGGCCATCTCTCACACCCCGTGATGGCTGGATCCATGAACCCCACACACTCACTCCTTGCCGCTGAGAAACCACCCAGACCCTCTGCTGAAGGGCATTTGAAGTGGGGGGGAGGGCCTGGCCACTTTAGTTGACATCTATGGTTGAGGGGAGCCACCCCACCTCCACCGTGTGCCTGTCCAGGAGAGGCTTGGAGCTGAGGCAGGGCAGGTGCTGGTCCTGTGTGACTGGGCCCTGGTGGGCCCAGCAAGTTTCTGTCCTGGAGGGATGGGATTGCAGGTGGGGGTGGGCTGGTGCTCTCAGGGGCACCATGGATTTAGTGTTTTCCACCTACCAAACCCTGCCCAGGACTCGTCTTCCCAAAGCCCAATGAGACAGGAACTATTATCAGCCCCATTTTATAGATGAAGAAATTGAGGCCCAGAGAAGTGAAGCAACCTGCCCAAGGCCATCCCGCAGGATGTAGCCCAGGTTCTGCTCGCACAGGCCCAGACCCAGGCAGCTCAGGTCCTCCATGGATGTCCTGTCCACTCTCAGACCACTCAGATCCTGGCAGGGAACCCCTGCGTGGGCCTAGCTGTGTGGATCCAGGGCTGCTCTCTGCCCAGCACTCTCTGGGCCTCGAGGTAGGAATCGTGCCCCCTTGTCTGCCTCACTGAGGGTCTGCGTGGTGGCTGGTCATAGGCACTAGATGCTGCTGTAGAGAGCTGGACCCACGAGGGAGGAAGAGATGCTGGGAATCACTGGGCACCAGCACTCCTGGGTGAATGCTAGCCTTCCTTATGATGAGCCACTGCAGCCAGCGCAGAGTTCACCCAGGCCTGCTACGGTGTGGGGCCATCACACTCCCATTTCACAGAAAATCATGATAATGAGATGGATTACAATAGTGGCCATTGGTCAAGTCCCTGCCCATGCCAGGCACCAAGCTAAGTGCTTGCTGATGTCTCCTTTTGTCCTCTGACACATCCCCTACAGGAAACTCCTAAATCATCCTCATTTCCAACTAGGTCACTGGGATTCAGTGAGGGGAAGGGGCTTCCCCAGGTCATGAAGCCAGGAAGGAGCCTTGCTGGAGACAGGAGTCTCAGAAGCCCACTCACACACCACCCCTTGGCCCCTACCAAGATCCTCACTGGACAGAGGAGGAAATGGGCCCAGAGGGGTTCCTGGCTTGCTCAAGGCACAGGGATTCAGTGAAAAGGTGGCCTGGGAACCTGGTTTCCAGGCCCCCAGAAGAGGCTACCTTCCTTTCTGCCACAGGGTGTCCCTGAGCCATTCTTAGTGGGTAGAGGTTCCAGCTGAGGGTCCTGCAGCCCTAAGGAGTGGAGGGTGTCTGGAGTCTGCCCAGCATATGGCCCCAATTCCATTTTCTCCTGTCTCTGGTGGGACACCAGCTGCTGGGAGCTGGGAAACTGGAATTGGGGGTCCCCAGCAGCCCCTGGTGCCATCAGGGACACTGCCTGCACCCTGGCCCCTTCCCATACGCCACCAGGAGACGTTCGCCTCAGATGACTCCGGGTGATGTCGGTGCCAGGCTGGGAGGAGGGGGAGGCAGGCTGGGCGTCTGCCACAGCAGGCCTCAGAGCCCCGCTCGGAATCCCAATTGAGCTATTTTTAATGTGCTTCAATTTTCATTTTCTTTTATTGGAAAACACAGATGGTGACTTGCTGCCCCCTCACACACACTGAGCAAGGCAACGACAGGCAGAGATGCGCAGCAGACACGTGGACGCCCCCCTCCCTCTGCTGGGGAGCCAGAGCTGGCAACCAAGTCCCTCGGCTGCCCTGGGCCTTGGTTTCCCCATCTGCAAAATGGGCTTTGCTGAGGCAGCCCTGAAAGCCCCTGGCAGACTGCACACACCATGAGGGTCTGGATGAGCCGGGGAGGAGGCTTCAACTGCTTCAACTGGGCATTGGCAGGGAAGGGCGTCCAGGGGAAGGGTTGCCAGGGAGAGAGAGGTCCAGGAGAGGGAAGGAGGAAGGAGAATTGTTAGCTCTAGGGAATTATCTTACTCAACACTCCCAGCTATACTTTGAGACTTTCCTATCCCCATTTTACAGACAAGGGAACGGAGGCTCAGTGCTCAGTGTCAAGTGCCCTGCCCAAGAGCGGGGTGGCTGACCCGGGTCTGTGTGGACATGGCTCCAATGCTTATTCTCACCCCTCTCCAAATAGTTCCCAGCCAGATGCTCTGTTATTTATTTTTTTCATTATAAAAGCAATACATGCTCATTAGAGACAATTTGGAAAACACAGAAAAGTCAGATGGAAGTATAAAGTACAAAATAATAATTATCTCCCCCCACGATCCCTCCCGCTCTCCGCGACCACTGCCAACATTTTGGTGTGTTCGTGCTACTCTTTGTTTTTTTGCTTCTCATAATCTGTCACACTTTGAACATCATTTGGTGGTGGCACAGGGTAGCAGCTGGCTGTGCATCACAATGGACTCAGGCACGTTTTAAAAACATCAGTCCTGGCATTCCCTGATCCCCATGAGATCAGAAGAGAATCATGGGGGCAGGCTCATAATTGGTGGCTGGGAATCTGTATTTTCCACAAGCCTCCCAGGTGATGCTGATGCTGCCAGCCTAGGAAGCCTACAGACCTGCACTTGGCAAGACCACTGGCTCTGGAGACAGCTGGCATCACCTGGCTCAACATTGGGATGGGCTGTGTGGCCTTGGTCACATGCATTCACCTCTCTGAGCTGCAGTTCCTTATCTGGAAAAATGGGATCTTCCTTTGCAGGCTCGTCGGGAGGATGAAAGAAAAAGGCCGAACAGGATCTTATACCTACCCGAGACACAGCCACCCTCCCAAGCCTGTCATCCTAAGTGATCTAAGGCCACTTTCCTGGGTGTACAGATGGGATGATGGGGAGGCCCCTGGAGCAGAGGAGAGAAATGGGTTACAGCAGCAGAGGAGTGACTCACACAGGCCTTGGGGTGTGCTCAGCTGGCCCAGCCTCTGCGGTCTCATCTCCCCGAGTTATATCACCCTCCCGGACAGGGGATCATGGCATGTGTCCTCCCTCCTGTGGCCAGGATGACATGAGGCAGACTCTGAGGAGCTCAGCTTTTCAGCTTTGGGAAGGTTGGAGAGCTGCTCCTTGAGGACAGAGGCAAGAACACCTGAAGCTGGGGAAGAGGGCACAGGTGGGGCAGGAGGTGCTTTTAGAAGCAAAACCAAAATAGATGTCATCAAGACTGCCTCTGCAGACAGGGGACAGAGTTGTCCCTGTCCTTAAAGAATCCAGGCCCCCACTACCATGCGTGGAATTGACCTTAGCCCACAGTCTTCCCCAGCCCACCCTATTTGCCAAAATTCTGCTCAGCTTTCAGGACCTGGCTACAAGGTCATTTTTGGGGTTCCCTCAGCCCCATTTTCTGTGAGCCTCCACCCCATCCTCCATGCGGGGAGATAATTATTTCTGAGTGCCCCACCTCCACCAAACTGTGGGGTCTTGGGGGGCAAGACTGAGTCAGGTTATGCTCTGTCTGAATAAGCCAAGCATGAACTTCTTTAAGTCTCAGTTTTCTCAGCTGTAAAATGGGTGACTTGTGTTATCCATCTGACGTGCCTCAGAGGTTTGGCCTCTATAGCAAATTAGAGGATGCAGGTGCCTCTTGAACCCATAGAGTGCACAAGCCTCAGGTTGACAGGCAGCGAGAATGTTGCATGGGTGGGATCCGGGGCAGGTTCTTGAGCCTCTCCACTCGCCTCCCCTGACACACATGCAGGCCTGCTGTTAGCCAGGCCCAAAATTTGGCTTTGAAGCAGTGGGTGTGGCTGTGGTGAGAGAATCCCTCCAGAGGGTGCTACAGTCATCAAGGAAGGTTAGCTGCTAATTGTCCCCCTTGTGAGGATGACACCTCCTCTAAAGTGTGTCACCGAACTCAAGGGGCTGGGGATGGGATGGTAGAAAGGGCTTTGAATTCCCTGGCCAAAGGCTCAGAGCCACCTGGTGAGGGAGGTGGCTGGGCAGAGGTGTTGGTATAGACCTAGGCACAGCTGAGCTTCCTGAAAGGCAACAGCGCAGTCCTAAACAGTTTGCAAGGCCCCTTCCCATCACTGTCAGGGACACTCAAGACACTCATCAGAGCCTCCCTGAGGGCCTACTGCAGGGTTGTACTGAGCTCAGCCGACTCCAAGAGGAATGAAATCCCACCATCCCTTGGGGCAAGACAGATAATGGGGGCAGGGTGGCAGGAATGGCCCGGGGCAAACAGACCACCATTAAGTGCAATAAAGAGTAACAGGTACTGTTGAGAAGTACCTGTTGAAGTACCTGAAGAATTGAGAAGTACACAGGGAGCACCTGAGCAGTATAAAGGAAACAGGTGAGCCTCAGTGTCCCCATTTTACAGATGAGATAACTAGGGTTCAGTGAGGCCAAGGGTTTTGCTCAAAGCCCTTGGTGATTAGTGGCTATGCTGGCCTCCAAGTCAAGCTTCATGGCAGGTGAGGAAGCGAGCTGGGAAAATAGCTGGGGAAAATGTTCCGAGAGGAAGGAGCAAGTGCAAAGACCTGAGGAGGGAGCAAATCATTATCTGATTCTGTCATTTTCTGGCGTGTTCATGAGTTAACTAGGTAACCAACCATCCATCCATCCACCCATCACCCATCATCCATCCATCCATCATTCATCTGTCCATCTATCCATCCATCCATCCATCCATCCATCATCCATCCATCCATTCATCCACCCACCCACCCACCCATCCGTCACCCATCATCCATCCAGCCAGCCATCCATTCATCCATCCATCATCCATCCACCAGGACCTGGCTGGGCCCCCAATAGGTACCAGGCTCTGTGCTGGGGAATGAGGATATGAACTGGTTCTGACAGCTAGCTCCAACCTCACTGACTATAAAATCTTGAGTGGCCCTCAGAGAGAGGTCCAGCTTGCCCCTCATACCACTGTGTCACCGAGAGGGAAACTGAGGCCTAGAAAGGTGACCTGATCATGCAGGGAAAGACCATGTGTGAGAGGTGGCACTGGGACTTGAGTCCCAGTCTCTGGGGGCAGCCAGAATCCCACCCTGGCTTTGGATCACAGCTCAGGCGTGGCACAAGGGCAGCATGGTGTCCTGCTTTGTGGCTGTCCTGGGAGCCCCAGGGAGGCAGTGCTCATGCAAATGAATGCCAGCTGCCACTGGATACCCAGACCAGGATGGACCTTGACTAAGGACTGCCTGGTGCCCTTACGACGGGCTGCCATATCATCCAACTGCCTAGGAAGCCCTCTCCTAGGAGAAGCTGTTCTCTCCTAGGAGGGACCCTCTGGGTCCCTCTACATGACCCTTCCTGACCCTATGCCTTTTCAGGCTGGGGTCCTGGACATCTGGCAGGGTGCTTTCAAATTCTCAGGGCCATCCCCCAGCTTTTGGGATCCCTACACCTAAAAGCATAACTTAGGCCGGGCGCGGTGGCTCACGCCTGTAATCCCAGCACTTTGGGAGGCCGAGGCGGGCGGATCACGAGGTCAGGAGATTGAGACCATCCTGGCTAACACGGTGAAACCCCGTCTCTACTAAAAATACAAAAAATTAGCCGGGTGTGGTAGCGGGCGCCTGTAGTCCCAGCTACTCGGGAGGCTGAGGCAGGAGAATGGCGTGAACCCGGGAGGCGGAGCTTGCAGTGAGCCGAGATCGCGCCACTGCACTCCAGCCTGGGCAACAGAGCGAGACTCCGTCTCAAAAAAAAAAAAAAAAAAAAAAAAAAAAGCATAGCTTACACATAGTGAGCATGGTCTGATTTTTTTTTGCTGGGGGGAAAGGGTCTCACTATGTCACTCAGGCTGGAGTGCAGTGGCACAATCATGGTTTGCTGCAGCCTCAACTCCCCAGGCATAAGCGATTCTCCCACTTCAGCTCCCAAGTAGCTGGGACTATAGGTGTGTGCCAGCATGCCTGGCTAATTTATTTTTATTTTTTGTAGAGACAGGGTCTTGCCATGTTACCCAGGCTGGTCTTGAACTCCCGGCTTCAAGCAATCCACCTGCCTCAGCCTCCCAAAGTGTTGAGATTATAGGCATGAGGCACCACGCCTGGTCGATTTTTAATATCTTTAGGGTAAACATTACACAGATGAGAAAATTGAGGCTCAGGATGACAAAATATGCTCAGAGTCCCATGACTGGTAAGTAAAAGAGCAAGGATTTGGATTCACACCTGTCTGACTCCAGAGTCTGCTCTTAGCTTCTCTTCTACAATGCCTGAGGCTGTCCTTCCCATCTAATCTAATTGTCTCACCTTTCAATGGCCGCCACCTTTGGGAAACCCTCCCTGACTGTCTCTACCCACCTCCCTGGAACCTGTCTGTGCCTGCCTTATCCTGGGAGCTCATCCATGTGGGGTCTCCCCAGTGAGGCTGGGGTCTCTCGGAGGGTAGGGCTCTCAGCAGAGAATGACTCAAGTATTCCAGAACCACCCAAACCCTGAGCACCCTCAGGACCCCACAAAAGCAACCCCCTATCACCCATAAACACAAAGGCCCTCTCCCACCCACCATCACCCCCTACCATTACTCTGTTTTTAAAAAAGTTTGTAAGTGAAAAAAGTATATGCTTACAAGATATTGAAACAATATAGACAGGTATAAAGTGAAAGTCAAAGCTCTTTCCCCAGAAGAAGTCACAAACTAAACATCATTTAGGCATTTTACTGCACATAAAATGTATTTATAGAGGCACAGATGCATATTTATTCCTTTCAAAGTTGCAAATGGAATCATACCCAGCATACTGTTAGTAAACTGCTTTCGTATCATAGACATCTTCTGACCCGGGTACAGAAGCTTCTAGCATGTTCTGTCTACAGCCTCCTCATATCTAAGGTTCTTGCCTGTAGCCTCTCTCTACTCACCCCTCAAGGTGTCTGTGAGGAGAAACTGAGGCAGCAGGTGCCGCCTTGTTCTGGGGCTGGCCCAGTGAGATGGGGTGGGGTTAGTTCGGGGTGGAAATGGGGTCAGCGCAGGTCCATGGGCTGGAGAGCATCCTCCAGCTCTCCCCTCTCCCACCAGGGCTGCCTCACACGCCCGCTGCCCCCGCCACTTCCCCCACACCTCATAAATCTGCAGGCGGCCAGGCCTGCTCAACCCAGACGGGACACCCTCCGGAGACTCCCAGATAAAGCCGCCCACGGGCGAAGGGAAGGACTGGGGCCCAGTCCACACCTCAGGCGGGACTCAGGGTCAGGGCCGGGTCAGGGCCCAGGACCATGAGGTCCTGGCGGTCAGTCTGACTGAAGGCTCCTTGTGCTTCTCCCAGGGGACCGTCCCAGGCCAGCCGCCCAGTGGAGCTTCCTGCCTCCCCTCCGGACCCTTCCGCTGCCCCCATCCATCCTGAAACCGCAGCCACACAGACCTTCCCCGAACACCCCCTTTATCATGTCACTCCCTACTCGTGGCCTGCCTGTCGCTCCCCAGGGCCTGTGGGAGAAAGTGCAAGCTTCTTCCCACGGAATTCCTGAGCTAGCCCCAGCCGCCCCTTCCAGCCTGATGGACCCCCAGCCCATCCCCGCCCCAGAAGCCCTCGGCTCAGCTATCGGCTCCTCTCCCTGCGTTTCCACCTCCCCACTTGTCCTGAGTCCATGTAGTGAACATCTGCGTGCCCAGGGTCAGAATGTGGCTGCATCCCCACAATGATGGGACCCTGGGTTCGTCAATGACAGTCTCAGACAAAGAACTATCTTTCTAGAGTGGTGAAATTACATAAGATGAGCCACACAAATTGCAGGCACAGTGCCTGGCCTTTCATAAGGACTAAATACATGTTAGTTTCCTTCCTTTCTTCCCTGTGACTAATAATAATAATAATAGTATGACTGGCAAACACAGTGTTTATGCCAGGCACAGTTGGAAGCATTTACATGTAGTAATTTATGAATATTTAATATCCTAAATGTTCCTTTGACATAGGCACCGTATTAGTCCCATTTTACAGATGAGGAAACCGAGGCACTTTGCAGTGAAGTAATTGCCCAAGGTCACGTGGCCATTTCAGGGCAGAGCGAGGATTCAAACCCAGTGCATCTAGCTCCCCCAGAAGCCCCTCCTAGTGAGATGGCTCCCCTCTCTGTCCTCACCATTTGTCTACTATCAAGAATTCCAAGCTCACCCTGGGAGCATGGGCCAGAAGGGCAGGGAGGAGGCAGGTAGGCCAGCAGGATGGATGGGACTTTCTGAGGCTTCTTTCTTCAGACCTCAGTGTGCCCATTTGATTTGGGGCATCCCCTCCCCTGCATCCATCTAAAAATGTTTTTTCGGTCTTTGTTTTTAAAAATAGTCAAAGTGAGCATAAACAGATTCAGGGACAGCAGGTCGGTGCAGTGACAGGAGAGGCCATCTTTCTGGCATGTCCACGCCCTCGCCAAGTCCCTTCCTGGCTCCGGACCTCAGTTTTCTCACCGGGGCCATCTGCAAGAGGATTTAGTGGCACCTGACACTGTATTCTAGGACGGCATAAACTGAGAACATTTTCCCTTTTTCAATTCTCTTCAATCCCCTGATCCCTCAAAGAGAAAGTCTCCACTGGGGCTGCTGAGACGTTAACACCTCTCCACCTCTCTGAAACACACTGGTCTTTTGCAACAAAGAGCAGGAGAGGGGGGCCTCGGGCTCAGGGCCTAGTATGGAGCTGTCTCTAGGGCACAGGCCCTTCGGCTCACCTCTCCTGCCCCTCGCCTCACCTCCCCTGCCCCTCACCTCACCTCCCCTGCCCCTCGCCTCACCTCCTCTGCCCCTCGCCTCACCTCACCTGCCCCTTGCCTCACCTCACCTGTCCCTCACCTCCCCTCCCCTGCCCCTCACCTCCCTTCCCCTGCCTCTCACCTCCCCTGTCGACCTCTCTTTTCTGCTCTGGGGCCACAAAGATGCCCAGTGCCTGCAAGAGCCTCTGCCTCCTGACACACGGCACACAGACACGTGTAGGGGAGGCAACTCCCCATGAACAGCCTTGACAAGAGAGGGCGGGTGGCAGTTCTGAGGTGTGCTCTCCATGGCCCCGTACCAGGCCTGGGGGATCGAGCCCCAGCTGCCCCAGCAGTGGTAAGCTCCACTGCACACCTCGCGCCACCTTTTCCTCCCTCCCTGGGCCCCTCTCTGGTCCCCTGAGCCCTGGTCTCAGGTGTCCTCCCTTCTGCAGAAGCCCAGCCAAAGAGTGAGCACCAGGCTGGAGCCGGACATGGTCACCCTGTCCTGCCTCTGTTGTATTTATAGTTACAGTTAACTTCTGTGGTGTCAAGAGATGCTGGTGTTTTATTTATGGCGGGATATGGACTTTCTGTCTTCATACATTTACCCAGGAAATAGAAAAGTGAGTCATTTGTAGAACAACAGTGAGAACATGGCTTGAGATGGTAGAAATTGAGACTGACAGCTGGGAACCACAAGACGGGAGGTTTCTGAGCACCTTTGAGCCACCATTTTGGTTTGGTTTGGGGACATTTCTGCTATCTCCATGGGCTGAAAGCTTCCTGGCTGCCTGTCTCACTCCTGGGGTGGCCACAGAGGGTCCAGTGTCTCTGGGGTGCCCCCTAAGGAGCCCACAGAACACTCAGGCCCAGGATTTGGGGTCCTTACAGCGGCCTGGAACCCCAGGGGATCACGAATCTAAGTGTCTTGGGCCTGTGTAAGGGTGAAGCTAAGGTTGAGTTGCAGGCTCTAAGGCCTTCCTGTCTTTTGGTGAACGAAGACTCATCCCTGCAATCCCAGCACCCTCCCGGCTTGAGGCAGAGGTTTGGGGAAGGCCCTTTCACCACATCTGGAGCTCATTACGCCGAGAAGCTGGAGAGGCGGAGGATATAAATGGGTCCAGCAAGGGTTTAGATAAATACTGGGATGATAGATCCACACCAGGTTATTGAGAGAAAGTGAAAGGATGTCCAAAGAAGATCCTTAACCTTGTCAAGCTCCCCGACAAACTGTCCCCAGGGGGCCCGTCCACTCAGCAGCCTCATCTCCTGCCTCTCCCCCACAGGCAGCCTGGGCACAGCCAAAGGAAAAGGCCCCTCCCACTCCGCACTCCACGCTTGTGCCTGTGCTGGTCTCTGCACCTAGCCAGCCCTTGCCTTCCCTTCCGACTCGGCTCATGGGAGCCTTCCCTGACCACCCAGACTGGGCTTGGTGCCTGCGCTTCCTCCATCAGGGCAGGGGACCGACTGACTTTGGATATCCACCAAAGCCACCTGACTGGACCATGACAGCCCAGTGCAGGACCCAGTGCCTCGTGATCATGTGACAAGAGGAGCCATCATTTAAGTGTCCAGCACGGGCCAGGATGTGTGCCGAGCATTTGATGTGCAGTGACTCATTTAATCCACATAACAATCTGGTAAGGGACCCCCATTTTACAGATGAGGCACCTGAAGGTCAGAGAGTGAAAGCAACTTGCCCAGGGTCACACAGCCAAGATTTGGGAAAACTGGCCTGTAAATCCAGGGTTGCCCAACTCTGGAGCTCACACTCTTTCTTCCATACCACAATGCCTAAACCAGTAGTGGGTGAAAAAGACTGTTGACTGGAAGAACAGATGGGAAACAAAATATCAGCCTGGGCCAGGTGTAGTGGTTCATGCCTGTAGTCCCAGCACTTTGGGAGGCCAAGACAGGAGGATCACTTGAGCCCAGGAGTTCAAGAGCAGCCTGGGCAACATAGTGAGATCCTGTCTCCAAAAAAAAAAAACATAGCCCAGCATGATGGCATGCACCTGTAGTCCTAGCTAATCAGGAGGCTGAGGCAGGAAGATTGCTTGAGCCCAGTAATCTGACGCTGCAGCAAGTCATGACTATACCACTGCACTCCAGCCGGGGCGACAGAGCAAGACTCCAATTCAAAACATATGTGTGTGTGCATGTGTGTGTGTGTACGTGTAAGTATAAATATATACTTTATAAATATTAAAATACATGAAAATAATATTAAAATATTAAAAATGTATTTACATGCACATATTTTTATATACAAATATATAGATCAGCCTGGATCCAACTCTGCTCAGGCCTTCTTCAGAGGCTCTTACTAAAAAGCAGGTTTTAATTCCCTTGTATGTCCTGACTACGTGGTAATTTTATATTTTATTTTATTATTTTATTTTATTTTTGTATTATTTTATTTTATTATTTTATTATTATATTTTATTATTATTCTTTCTTTGAGGCAGGGTCTCACTCTGTAACCCAGGCTGGAGTGCAATGGTGCAACCTCAACCTCCTGGGCTCAAGCCATCCTCCCACCTCAGCTTCCCAAGTAACTGGGATAACAGGTGCACACCACCATGCCCAGCTAATTTTTGTATTTTTGTAGAGATGGGTTTTCGCCGTGTTTCCCAGACTGGTCTTGAACTCCTGGGCTCAAGGAATCTGCTTGCCTTGGCCCCCCAAAGTGCTGGGATTATGGGCGTGAGCCCACCCCACCTAGTAATTTTAGAGTGTTGCACACTTTTCTGCCTACACAAGGAATAAAAACAATCATAAATAACACCTGTGAAGTAGGTCAGACATTTCCAAGAACACTCATCATGTTTAAGTTTCACAATAACCCTGCATGGTTTCACTGGACAGATGAAGAAACTGAGGCTGGGAGTGGAGAAATGACCAACCCAAGGCCACACGGAACTAGTGAACGCCCAAATCCAAAGCCTGTGACTGGTGTCACTGTGCACAGGGTGGAACTCCAGACCGAAGCCTGATTTTTAAAGAAGACAGCCCCCAACTTGGGGTATTCTCATCTCTATGATGGGGACAATGGCCCTAATTCATTCTCCGCTTCCCAGGACCCTCATGGAGAAAGCTGGTGGCCTTCATGACAAAGGAGGCAGCCCTGCAGCGAGGCAACTCCAGAAGGAGCTGACATCATTCCCGCCTTTCTGTGTGGCAGGTGATCCTCCCAGCCCACTGTCTTTGATCTTGTACATCCCCATTTCCTACCTGAGGATGGCACAGCTTGCAGGGGCTAAGCATCCTAAAGAAAGCCACATAGTGGGTATACGGCAGAACCAGGACTTGAACCCAGGGTCAGCTCGCATCTCTCAAGGCAGAGGCTGTGAAAGCTTCTGGAAAGGCGTAAAGGTAGGGAAGGTGAGCCCTGACCAGCAGGCTGAGGACAGAGCTCCCCACTCAGGCTCTGTTGAGACTTGGAAGACAAGGTAAAGACATACAACAGATGTCAGCTCAGCAGTGGCCAAAATGCTGACTTGGGCTTGGGCCTTGGGGCTCAGATCTGCCTGTTCCCAGAACAGCAGAGATAACAGGGATCCTGTTACAGCACCGGGACACTTCTGGGCAGGTGAGCACACCTCTGTGCTCCTGCCACCTGGCGCCCCATCAGTCCTGCGTGCAGGAAGCAGATGGGCGTGGGTGGCAGGTGAGCGCTCCCATCTGTCCTGGCAGCCTCCAGGCTCACTCGCTGTGTGACCTCTGCTAGGTCCCATCCCCTCTCTGTTCTTCAGAGCATCCCCCTCCACCAAATGAAGGGCTTGGACTGACCAGTGTTCTTCAAACTTCAGTAGCCCTTGAACTACTGTTAGGACTTTGGCTATTTCCACACAACCACTTGAACTCCACTTTACTTTTAAATTGGCTCACCTATTTTCATGGAAATAAATTCATCAGTAAAGGAAAAAATCAGGCTACTGCTGGAACTAGAAGAGAGCCAGCACCAATTCTGAGAATCAGAGGTAGTCTGGGGAGATGCTTAAGAGCATGGGCTCTGGGGCCTGCTGCCTGGATTCCTAGTCCTTGCTCTGACACTCTGGAGGTGTGACCCAGGCAGGTTACTCAACCTCTCTGTGTATCAGCTTACTCATCTGGAAGGTGGATAATAGCACCTGTCTCATAAAGTCGTAATGGGGATGAAATATTTGTAATATTTGCAAAGCACTTAGAAAGTGCCATTTGTATGTTTGTTAAATAAAAATATATAAGCTAAACTATTCATGATGAAAACAAGATGATGTCCTGGCATTCCAGCTCCCTAGCAGGTTCTGAGCTTGAAGTCTGCTTTTCCCAATTGAAAAGGGAGATTAGGGGCTGTCAGAGAGGTGTTAGAGACATGCTGGCAGGAAACAGAGACTTTCTCCATGAGTAATCAGCAGGCACGGAGGAGAAGGGAAGGGGAACTTTCTTACTGTGTGATTCAGCGTTATTTAATGCCATTTCCGTGTTCCCCTGGAGCCTGCTCCGTCTGACACTCATGTAAACACAGGACTAAAGCACATCAGAAGTCTGGCTCTGGTGACCCAGGACTCCAGAAAGAGAAGAGAGCAAAGCTCTGATGCCACAGAAGGGTCCGGGCCTCAGCACCCATCCCAGCCCATCTCTCCTGCTCCCCCTGCCCCTTGCCTGCTGAAAATCCTTCTACTGCCCCAGCCACTACCTTCCCTGGATTGTAGGGCTGCCCCAATATAAACTACCCCACTGCCTTTCTTTTCATAGAGAGGTGGCCCATGGGAGAAGTTGAGATAAGGATTCTGGACTTTAAATTCCACATCTGACACTTGCTTGCTGTGTGACCTTGGGCAAGTCACATCCCTGCTCTGGTCTGTTTCCTCATCTGCCAAGTAAGAATATAACTGCCTTCTTCAGGGGGCCTTGGGGGCTTATTAATGAGATAATGCAGGTTAAGGTCTTTGCACAGCTCTGAGTGCACAGCTGGCACTCAATGAATGACAGTTGTTACTATAAATAAATTCAAAATTTGAGAAGAAAGTCCTTTGTCAAACCACACGTCTTGATTAGGGTAACTTCATGTATCCCCTCCTCATCCCCATCCTTTTGTCCGTATGTCTTTCTAGGTGTTCCATGAGGGCAGGGACCAGCTGACTCATCTCAGTATCTTCAGCCCCCAGTATAGGGTCTGGAACCCAATGGAGGTCCAGCTGAGTGAGTGAATGAATGAACGAATGAATGAATGAATGGCTCCGGTAGACATAAGCCACCCTGTGGACGGGGAGGAGACAGCATCCTTCCCCTCTCCATCCTGGGCCCAATACCTTCACCTTCCTTTCCCCTTCCCTCAAAGAGGAGCCAGGAGGGACAGCTCCCCTGGCAATGGGAGCTGATGTCACATAGGATCTGTGACACAAGACAACCAAGAAACACCTGTTGTCACCCACAGAACCAAACACCTTGGTCTGAATCCTTCAATTCACTTCCAGGTTTCTGGTGGATCTTTATCATGTGCCCAGACCTGGGTGAGGCAGTGTTGGGGGTAGAGAGTTCTAGAAGAAATGCACATCCCAGTCCCTGCCCTGCATTCCTCTTTTTTTCCAGGGCACCAACATGCTGGCCAAAAGCAAAGCCAGAAAGTAAAAAGGAGGCTGGGTGTGGTGGCTCACACCCTAATCCCAGTACTTTGGGAAGCCAAGGTGGGCAGATCGCTTGAGGTCAGGAGTTCGAGACCAGCCTGGCCAACCTGGTGAAACCCTGCCTCTATTAAAAATACAAAAATGAGCTAGGCGTGGTGGCACCTGCCTGTAGTCCCAGCTACTAGGGAGGCTGAGGCATGAGGATCACTTGAACCCAGGAGGCGGAGGTTGCAGTGAGGCGAGATCCCACCACTGCACTCCAGCCTGGGCAACAGAGTGAAACTCCATCTCAAAAGAAAAAAAAAAAGCCACAAAGTAAAAAGGAAAGAATGGGACAGGCGCCGATGACCAGCAGCTCACAGACAAGAGGGCCCATGACGTGTAGCCTACCTTGTTGGTTTTCATAAAATGCGATACATTCTACTAGGTTGGTGCAAAAGTAATTCTGGTTTTTGCCATTACTTTCAAAGGCAAAAACCACAATTACTTTTGCACCAACCTAATATTATTTCTAGAAAGAATTGGAGGAAACTTTATAATTAAAATAAATTATATAATTTATTTTATTTTAATATCATATATGTGTGTGTTTATGTATGTACATATATCTCAGGACATTAGAATCAAATTTTTGTAAAAAGAGGACCCAGAGCTGGGCGCAGTGGCTCACGCCTGTAATCTCAGCACTTTGGGAGGCCGAGGTGGGCAGATCATGAGGTCAGGAGTTCGAGACCAGCCTGACCAACATGGTGAAACCCTGTCTCTACTAAAAATACAAAAATTAGCTGGGCATGATGGTGTGCACCTGTAATCCCAGCTACTCAGGAGGCTGAGGCAGGAGAATGGTGTGAACCTGGGAGGTGGAGCTTGCAGTGAGCTGAGATCACGCCACTGCACTCCAGCCTGGGCGACAGAGCAAGACTCCATCTCAAAAAAAAGAAAAAAAAAAAAAGGACCCAGAAAGCCCCCTTGAGGTAAGGGAAAGATCATTCTTCCATGAACCTAATTAGGAAACAACGTTTGCTCTGAGCTTCCCAGCAGCCAAAGTGAGACAGGAAGCAAGTTGGCAGGGTATGATGAAGGAATATTAAGAATAACAGCCAAACTTACTGAGTGCTTACTCTGTGGCAGGCATTAAGAGCTTCACGTGTGGAAACACATTGAATGTTCACAGTAACCCAGTGAAATTGATAAGATTACTTGCTCCATTTTACAGATGGGGAAACTAAGGCCAGAGAGGATTAAATAACTTGCACAAGTGGTAGCAGGAAGTTGAGCCAGGATGTGAACTAGGAAATTCAGTTCTAGAGTCATACTCGTTCTCAGCTACCATGCTATCCTGCCAGGCCCTTAAATGTGGTTCTTTACTGGCTTCACACAGCTCCACCACAGTGTGTTATTATCTTCAGGTGCTGAATGAAGTAACTGAGGCACAGAGAGGTGAAGTGACTTGCCCAAAGTCACACAGCTCATCAGTGGCTGAGTGGGGCCACCCAACTTCATTGTCCTTTTCCCCAGGCAGACCGGCTCCGCTCTACAGCACGATGGGTTCTAGAGCTCAAGCCACCAACAAATGGGTTCATTCCAGGTGAGGAGACAGGTCGCACCTGAGTCCCCAAACAGCAGAGGAACCCCGACGGCTCGCTTGCCTGCTCTCCTGCAGGCCGCCCCTGCTGGCAGAGGTCCCTGATGACTGGGGGTCTGGCAATGCCAGCTCACAGACCACATGCCACCCCAAGGTGTTTGCTTTGCTCAGCTGGGTGGGTGAGTCATCTCAGAGCCCCCCTCCCTTGCCTGTGGCTGTGCAAGGGCTTTGGCAGCTGGGATTTGAGGAATCTCAAGCCCCTCTCGATTTGCTCTACCAGGATGACAAAGAATCTCTGGAACAGCCTAGTTGGTCTGGCATCAACAGACCTTGATTTTGAGTCGGGCCTTGGGCAAGCCACTTCACCACCTGGGGGCAATGTCAAGGATTAAGTAATATAACTCCGTAAAAGCACTTATCAGAGTGCTTTGGCACAGAAAAAGGGCTTAATAAATTTCAGCCATTATTAATACAAGTAACCTTGCCTGGGCTATCTGTGGCCCACAGCTGCTGTGACCACAGTGAACAGAGGACGTGAGCCCGCCTTGCTTGGGCCCTCAGTCCGGTGACTGAACCCTGAGCAGAAGGCAGTTCTCCCTGTTTGCCTGGGTTTCTGGTAAGCAGCAGCTGATGCAGAACCCGAGTTTGGCTGTGTGATCTGGGGCCAGCCAATCTCCCTCTCTGGGCCTCAGTTTCCCCCTCTATAAAAGAAGAGGCTTGGACTGAGGGACTCTCCTGCTCTCACCACCTGTCACTTCTTCCTTTATTTCATCTGACTTTAAAACACTCCCTAGGAGGGAGGCAGGGCTGGTCCTAACCCCCTTCCAGGAATGGGGAAAGCAAGGCTAACCTAAGAGATTTGCACCCCCGGGGGGTCACAGGTCAGGAGGGTGCAGAGGGAAGTGTGTGGATGTGGCCTCAGAGCGGGGTCTGAATCCCAGCTCCCCTACACCCTCGTGGGAAGGTCATGAAGAAAACACACTTCACACCTTTGTGACCTGACTTCTGCATCCTGAAAGGTGGAGGTGAGGCCTCCCGTGCAGAAGGAGGTCAGGATTTAGAGATGTGTATTGGAGGGCCTAACATGGTCCATGGTCCACGGTCCACAGTAGGTGGTCGATCATGGAAGTTTTGTTATTCTTTGCAAAAGGCTAATTTCACCATCTCATCTCCCCCCTGCAGAACACACTGCAGTGACTTCCTGTTGCTCCAAGTGTGAAGACACACAGGGTGGGGCTCAAGGAGGAGCCCACAGGCCTCCCTGGCCTCACCCTGCCCCACTCTTCATGGAGCTCTCAGTTCCAGCCACTCTGGTTCCTTTTGACCACCAATAACTCACACTCCTACTGGATCTTTGCCCAAGATGTTCCCCAGCTTGGTGCACCCTCCCTTCCCTTTTAGCCAGGTCAACTCCCGCTCATCTTTCAGTCCATACTTATGTGTCACTTCCTCCAGGAAGCCTTCCCTGGCCTCCCTACCAGACCCAATCATTACAGCCTCTTTTGGCAGTTGTGAAAGATGCAGTTGCCCCATGTCTGTGGGCTCATTCTTTGATGACTGTCTGATCTGTTGCCAGAGGCTGCAAGGTCCATAGGGCAGGTGTCTGGTGCGATCTTTCCACGGCTGCACTCACCTCCTTCCCTGGCAAAATGCCTGGCCCAGGGCAGGGACTCAGTCATTACCAGATTTCGATCAGAGCAGTTGATCACTATGTATTTGGAGGTCTTTCTCACCAAACCTTGCTGGCATATAGAGAAGTTAAACATCCTGATCCTGCTGCGTCCCCACTGTGCAGGCTGACTGCTGAGGTGTAGAAATGGGTGGGGAGATAGGCTTTGAAAGATAAGCTGCAGATTGTCACAGAATCCAGAGCAGCGTCGGCTAGGCACACCAGCCACATCTGTGGGCAGACGCCAGGCCCCGCTGCGCTCACAGCTGCCGATCATCCAAGGCCCAGCCCGAGCCTTGCTGAATGACATCAACAAAGCCCCCCATTGCCAAGCGCCCACCGTGAGCTAGGCTGCTGCATGGATTATAATTATCTCAGCACATCCTCTCAACCCCTGTGACCACCCCCTTTCAGAGATAAAGGAAACTGAGGCTCAGACAGGTCACTTGCCCAAAGCCAAACCATTAGAAAGTGGGGAGGGATGTTTGAAGCTTTTTTTAATCGAGGTATAGCTCATATACAGTAAAGCATGCAGATCTTAAGTGTACAGCTTGATGAATGTCTCAAATGCATATACCCATGTAACTACCACTCAAAAAGTTCCTCGTGTCCTGTCCTCATCAATATCCTTCCTTCACCATAGGCAATCGCGATCCTGACTTAATTGCCATTGATTCGTTTTGCCTGGTTTTGAAGTTCCTATGAGTGAAACCAGTCGGGTATGTATTGTTTGGTGTCTGGCTTATTTTGCAAAGTGTAATGATCTTGAGATTTATCCATGATGCTGCGTGTTATCAGCAGCTTGTTGTTCTTTTTTATTCCTGCGTCATATTCCATCGTATGAATGAATACCCCACAATTTATTTGCTCATTCTTTGTTGATGGACATTTGGGTTGTTTCCAGTTTGGAGCTGTGACAGGCAAAGCTGCTGTGAACATTGTGCTCTAGTCCCTGTCTTTCAGTGAACATGTGCATTCATCTCATTTAGGTATATACAGCTGACCCTTGGATAACACCAGTTTGAACAGAGCAGGTCCACTTATGCTTGGACTTTCTTCTGCCTCTGCCACACTCGAGACAGCAAGACCAACCTCTCCTCCTCAGCCTGCTCAACGTGAAGACGAGGAGGATGACCTTTATGACAATCTACTTCCACTGAATGAATAGTGAATATGCTTTCTCTTCCTTGTGATTTTCTTTTTTTCTTTTTTTTTCTTTTTTTGAGACACAGTCTCACTCTGTCACCCAGTCTGTAGTGCTGTGGCATGATCATAGCTCACTGCAGCCTTGAACTGGCCTCAAGCGATCCTCCTGTCTCTGCCTCCCAAATAGCTGAGACTACAAGTGCATGCCACCATGCCTGGCCTATGCTTTCCTTTTTTTTTTTTTTTTTTTTTTTTTTTGAGACAATGTCTCACTCTGTCGCCCAGGCTCACTGGGCCATCATAACTCACTGCAGCCTCAAACTCCTGGGTTCAAGTGATCCTCCTGCCTGAGCCTCTCAAGTAGTTGGACTACAGGCACACACCACCATGCCCAGCTTAGAATTTTCATAATATTTTTTCTCTAGCTTACTTTATTGTAAGAATACAGTATATTATATATATATATATAACATACAAAATATATAACATATATATATATACAACATACAAAATATGTGTTAGTTGACTATGTTATCAGTAAGGCTTCTGGTCGACAGTAGGCTATTACTAGTTAAGTTTTTGGGGAGTCAAATGTTATATGTGGATTTTCAACAGTGTGAGGGGTCAGCACCCCTACCCCCACATTGTTCAAGGGTCAAATGTACTAAATAGGGAGTGGAATTACTGGGCTACGAGGTAGGCGTGTGCTCAATTTTATTAGAAACAGCTAAACTGTTTTCCACGGGGGTGGGGGGGTTATATGACTGATTTTATTCATACTCTTACCCCAATCTGTTTCTTAGGGAAATCATGATTTGGGGTGATTTTGTTATTTTGAGTATGGTGATTCATTGTGTTAATAATGAAATGTGATCTGATTCTTTTTAGTACTACTGGGTGAGTTCCATTAGAAACAAATTGGCACATCAATTATAAACTCTTTGTTAGAACTCCTACGTTGTAATTTGGGGGTTCAGATAAGAACAGCGTCATTACCTGCTGCCCCGGATGCCATATCAAGCTTCCTGACTTAGAGCTTGTGGGACCCAGTCCAGAAGCAGATGACATTACCATTTGTAGAGGTGGCCGAGGAGGCCTACTATGTGCCAGGCACTGTACTCAGAGCTTTGGGGCTATCATCTACTTTAATCCTCCCGGGCTGGGCACGGTGGCTCACACCTATAATCCCAGCACTTAGGGAGGCCAAGGTGAGGAGATCACTTGAGGCCAGGAGTTTGAGACCAGCCTGGCCAACGTGGTGAAACCCCATCTCTACAAAAGAACACAAAAATTAGTTGGGTGTGGTGGTGCGTGCCTATAATCCCAGCTACTTGGGGAGGCTGAGGCACGAGAATCACTTGAACTTGGGAGGTGGAGGTTGCAGTGAGCCAAGATCACCCCATTGCACTCCAGCCTGGGCAAGAGAGTGAGACCCTGTCTCAAAAACATAAAATTAAAAAATAAAATTAAATTTACAGAAATCCTCCCAAATGTATTATGAAGTAGTGATGACCATCCCATTTTAAAGAGGAGGAAACTGAAGCTCAGAGAGGTGAAGTGCCTCAGCCTGGGTCTCACAAGAAGTAAGCTGATCCTGGTAAGCTGTACTGGAGGTCAGCAGCCCTTCAGGTGTACGGGCGGCATCACCAAGCCCTGGGTTGCTGTGACCATTAATAGCCAATACATTCCGGAGAGCATGATGCCTAGTACAGAGTTGGCACTCAAAAAGGCTTGTTTAGGCCAGGTGTAGGGGCTCATGCTTGTACTCCCACTGTTTCAGGAGGCTGAGGTTGAAGGACCGTTTGAGCCCAGGAGTTCAAGACCAGCCTGGGCAACATAGTGAGACTCGATCTCTACTAAAAATTTAAAAATTAGCTGGGCGTGGTGGCACAAGCCTGTAGTCCCAGCTACTCAGGAGGCTGAAGTGGGAGGATCGCTTGAGCCAAGGAAGTTGAGGCTGCAGTGAGCCATGATAAGACCACTGCACTCCAACCTGAGTGACAGAGTATGAGACCCTGTCTCAGAAAAAAAAAAAAGTTCATAATAAATGAATGTCAAAGTAGAAACAGAACAAGGACCCTGAGCAAACCTGGGGGTTAAACTTCTCTGCTCAGAAAGACATCAAAGCACTTAGAAAAGAAAGTCAGTCAGGTGTCTGACTTTCCTTGGGAGGCTGAGGTGGGAGGATCACTTGAGGTCAGGAGTTTGAGACCAGCCTGGGCAACTTAGTGAGTCCCCTCTACAAAAAATAAAAAACTAGCTGGGCATGGTGGCATATACCTTTAGTCCTAGCTACTCAGGAGGCTGAGGTGGGGGGATCGCTTGAGCCCAGGAGGTCAAGGCTGCAGCAGTGAACTATGATTGCTTCTGCGAATAGCCATTGCACTCCACTCCAGCCTAAGCAACACAGTGAGACACTCGGAAGAAAGAGAGAAAGGAAGGAAGGAAGGAAGGAAGTCTGGCTGGAATGTCAGTTAGTCGATTCACCCCATTTTCCTTTTGATCTGAGTGAGGTCCAGGAGCTGGGAACCTGGACAGAGCTCCGGCTCTCAGCTTTGCCCCTGCCCCCACCCTTTCTACCAACTTTCCTCCATTATTCCTAACTGTTCCCAGCCCACCCTGAATGCAGAAGACAGGGCTCTCTATCTCCAACCTGTCTCACTCTGGGCATCCTTCTACATCAGCCAGGGCGGTCCTCATGTCAGGGACCCTATGGCTTGTCCATACCACGAGCCTGGAGCTTTGCAGACCAACACAGCCTCTGGGCTCATATGGGCCAGGAGGATGATGTGGATGGACCCTATGAGCAGGGGCCTGGGTCGGATGCTGGCTTGGACCCTGCCCACCCACCCACTCACCCAGGGGACCTCGGGCAAGCTGTTCTTTCCGAGCCTCAGATTTCCCATCTGTAGCAGGGTGAGTTCATGAGTAAAATAAAATGGTGCAGAAGAGGTGTGGGGTACCAATGAAGTACATGGGCACTGGAGACACAGAACTAGTTCAAGTCCCGACTCTACCACTTCCCCATTGGGGGCAGGTGTCTTAACCACACTGAGCTCCGGCCTTCTCATCTCTGAAACAGGGAGAAAAATAAAGCCCATCCCCGAGACAGGCATGTAAGACAACAGGCCCAGTGTGTGGGGATTTGCAGCTTCCACGCAGGTGAACTATTATTGCCCTTGTTTTCGTTATTGCACTGAGCCAGAGCCAACGTGAGAAACTGAGGTTTTTTGTTTTTTTGTTTTTTTTTGCTGGGAAGAAAACCAGGCTGTCAAGGCAAATATAACCCGCCTTCCCTGAGCTTTTAGACCTCATTCCAAACCTCCGAACAGGAGGAATAGATGGGCTACAGGGTCCTTTCACTCACTCGACACATATTTAAGTGCCTACTATGTGCCAGAGTTATTCTATGCATCAGGCAGTGAGCACCTAGGATGTAACTAAGGTAATCTGCAGGGAACCCTTATCTCCCAAAGAGAGACAGGAGGGCTTGGGATTTAGATAAGAGGGAGACTAGGGGGCGCAGGCTGGAGGAAGGCAGCCAGGTGTCGTCAGGGGAGGGAAAACAGACGGCTCCAGGAACGCGGTTTTAAGGAGTTTTACTTAGGGGGAGGATAAAGTAGAGGGGACAGACTTGTGAAGTGTCAGGTTGGGAAGACAGATCCCAGCAGCCCCATAGCGAGAGAGGAGATGTCTCCCAGGGCTGCCGCTGGGAAAGATTAGGCACTTAGATAGAATCAGAGGATAGGGGTCGGGGGGAGAGATTAAGCACTTAGATAGAATCAGAGAACAGGGGTCGGGGCAGGGGTGGTCTCCAAAGCCAGTGCCCCATAGGAAAACGGGACCTGCATCCCCCACCACAGGGGAGACCTGGGGACAGGGAGAAGGGGCAGGCAGAGGGGAGCAGGGCACATAAGCTGGATCGTCAATCCCCGCCGTCAGCAAGGAGAGGCTTGGCATCGCAGGGACGGCTCATGCTCACCACTGGACACCAAGAACTTCACACGGACCGCCCCCCAGCCAGGGGAGGAAGGTTCTGTTCTGCTCCCTATTTTACTGATGAGGAAAATGACACTCCGAAAGCTGAAGAAATGAGTACAAGGCCACCCACATCAGGAAGCAGGGAGGGGCCGGTATGATGGTGAGGGGTCTGGGGCTGAAGAAGGGTGGGGCTCTGGGAGGGATGAGACGGGCGGGGAAGGGCCGCCAGGCAGAGGGAAGAGTGGGAGTAAAGGCAGGGAGGTTTGAAAGGGTCAGGTGAGTTCCAGGAATGGCAAGACACTCAGGGTGGTGGGACACGAGGCCCTGGTGAGACCAGTGGGTCTTGCCTGGCATGGTGTCCCCCAGATGGCACTCAGAAATGCAGCTGTGGTTGTCGCAGTGATGATCAAGGCTTGAGGGCATGCTTACTCAATGCTGATGCCACAGAGGTACCATCCCAAGCCCGCCAGACCGCAGGACCCCAGGGCCACGGGTCTCACCTTTTAAGGATTGTGAGGGCACAATGACCATACTGGGTACCACTGGCATTTCATGGGCTGGAGCCAGGGGTGGAAAACACCCTGATTGGGTAGGACAGTCCCACAAAAGGAAGAATTGTCCCACCCAAAATGTGAATAGAAACCTTATTTAGAAAAAAACAGTAGATTAGACTGATCATGACACACTCCCCAAAAGAACAATATATCCCAGTGACCGCAGTTGAAGAGGGTTTCAGTGATGCCACGTGATGGGGACATCACCCAGGTGGAGAGGGCCTGGCTGCATTGGTGCCACTGAAAAAGATCTCAGGATCACCAGGGACCTCAGGTTGAGTACAAGGAAGCAACGAAGGGCTCAGGCAAATCGTTTGGACCCGAAGCTTCAAAACCGGTTTATTTGGATAATCCCTCACCAGGCCTCCCTGCCTCAGCGCCTGGTTTCTCTAAGGATTTATTTTGTGAAAATGTCTCTCTCAACAAGTAAGTTATCCTAGTCTGAGCCGACGAGGGAATTCTTCTCTGTGTTCAAAACCGCAAACCCCGGGCAGCCCTTCTGCAGCCCGGCACAACTTTCCGCAGCGTCAGGTTATGAATCACTCATCAAATCCGAGAACGATTCCAGGCCAGGCCGGGCATGTGGGGGAGGGCAGCTTCCTTCTACTCCCAGCTTCTGGGCTGCTGCGCAGGCTCAGACCAGCTTCTCCTCACCCTGACTCCCCAAGGGTCACCTGCCTGGGACCCCAGAAATGCTCAGACTGGGATGGGTCTGATCATCCATGACAGACCCTTTACACAGATGAATTCCTTGAGGCTGTGGACTGTCCAGGTGAGCTAGGTCTGGGTAGTTCACTTCAGAAATGTGCTCAGAGATGGGGTGATGTGGTGAAATGGAAAAGGTGGCAGAGCTAAGTCTAGAAGCCAAAACCCTAAACAGGCCAGGCACAGTGGCTCAGGTCTGTAATCCCAGCACTTTGGGAGGCCAAGGCAGGTGGATCACTTGAGGTCAGGAATTTGAGACCAGCCTGGCCAACAAGGTGAACCCCCATCTCTACTAAAAATACAAAAACTAGCCAGGCGTGCTGGCATGCGCCTGCGGTCCCTATTACTTGGGGGTCTAAGGCACGAGAATCGCTTGAACCTGGGAGGCGGAGGTTGCAGTGAGCCGAGATCATGCCACTGCACTCCAGCCTGGGTGACAGAGTGAGACTCTGTCTCAAAAAAAAGAAAAAAAACAAAAAGAATTAGTTGGACATGGTGGCAAATGCCTGTAATCCCATATACTTGGAGAGGCCAAGATAGGAGGATTGCTTAAGCCCAGGAGTTCGAGGCTGCAGTGAGCTATGATTGTGCCACTGTATTCCAGCCTGGGTGATAAAGCAAGACCCTGTTGCTAAAAAAAAGTACACAACATAATTTTTAAAAATAAAATAAAATATTAGATTTACAAAAGCAACCCTGAGCATGCTTCACTGTGCCAGGTGAGACTTGGGAGTGAGCATACTAGCTCACTGCTGGTATCCTCCCCAACCTGCTAGACTACAGGACCCAGGGCTGCAGGTCCAAACCGTTCAAGGACTGTGGGGGCACCTTGGTCTAGAGGTTCCCGCATCATGGCTTGAGAATGCCTCTCTTCCTCCTCTCTGCCAATGCCAACCTCAAGGTCTCACCTCCCCTAGAAGTTTCTGCAGCAGAGCCCAGGCACATAGTTGGTCCTCAGTAAACAATTGTTGAATGCAAGGAATGAGTAAATGGCTACAATGACTAATAACAGCACATGGGCTCCAAAAGTGGCTACTGAATGAATGGCTCGATAATGAATGATTGAATTGCAGTATGGCCCTAGAACAGGAAAGCACACGGAAGTTATCTGTAGATCTGAATCCTGGCTCTGCCATTTACTACCTGGATGACTTCTGGGAAATTACTTTGCTTCTGTGAACCTTGGTTTTCTCATCTGCAATGTGGGGTTTAATGACAGTACCTACCACAGGGGGTCATTAGGAAGCTCCTATGGGTACAGTACCAGCAGAGCTTGGCATAGGACCTGACACCCAGCCATGCTTGGAGATAGAAACTGTTATTCTCATGACTATCATCACTACATGCTTGAGGGTTTGGGGAGCTAGAACATTTGGGCACTCCTGGCTTTGGAAAGACCATCAACACAGATAAGCACAGAGCCAGGAATACAAAGGAACAAGAAAATGACAAAGGAAAAAGAGGAAGAGAAACTAAGACAAGGATCCCAAGTGAACAAAGCCATCTGTGCTTCTGTATAAATCATCCCCAAAGAGGGGGTTGGGCCAGGTAGCCTCTAAGAATCCATCCAGCCCCTAAGTGGAGAATTCTCAACTCTGCGATAAGTTAGTATTTTTTTTATCTTTAAATGGTTTGACCAGGTCTTGCCTCAAGGTAGAGCATGAACTCCAAGACCTCTGCGAGGCTAGGTTGATGTAAGAGCTGCCTTGTTCTGGCCTGAGACCCAGATCCAGTCTCATTCCAGGTTCTACCTAGTTTCAGAGGCATCTGAACAGCCTGTGCATCATGATAATTTCCTCCTACTTCCAAGGTCTTGTGGGAGTGTCATGCTGAGTTGTAAAAGCCTCTAGGATAGAGGGGGAAGTTATTTTCATGGGCAGACAATGTATTCATTCATTCTCTCATTCATAAAACATCAACCCAAGAGCCTGTTGGTAACAGACTCTGTGCTAGGCACTGGAGGCCCAACGATGAATAAGACAAGAAAGTCTCTACACTCCAGTTTAATGGGGGAGGGTGATGTAGACAAAATTAGCCATACCTTGGTGTTATAAGAATTGTTAATCAAGAGCTGAGGGTAAGTACAAAGAAGGATATACCAAGGAGGGGACATTTGAGTTGGGCCTTGAAGGATGAGTAGGAGTTCACTAGGCAGAAGCAAGAAGGGCATTCATTCTAGGCAGCAGCTGGGGCCTGAACAAAGATCTGGGGGCATGGGAGTTTATAACATGTATGTATGAAACCTATAGTTTATGGATGAGAATGACATCCACCTAGAGTTTGTGGGATGACAAGGACAGGCAGAGAAGGCCTCAGGGGCCAGGTCAACGAGCAGCTGTTTGACCTTGATTTTTTTAGATAAGGAGCCCAAGGTCTGAGCAGGAGGGTAATGTGGTCTCAGCTGCAGTTTAGAAGACTCAGTGGTGATGCTTTGTGGGGTTCAGAAGTCACTGAGATGGTCCAGGTGGGGCAGGGGGTAGACTTGAGGTCAGGTGGTAGCTGTAGGAACAGAAAGGCAGGCAGTAGCTGAATGGCCAGGGTGAGAGGGAGGCACAGCTAAAAAGGGCCGTGCTAGCTCTGGCCCTGGTGGTCTCTCCTGAGAACCACAAGGCAGCCAGATTAGAAACGGAAGCACTGGATGACTTGCCCAAGATTCCTCGTCACGCCGATGGCTGGATTCGCAGACACCTGGAGGCCTGGGGGAGTCCCAGGTTCTCCACTGTGTCTTCCCTTCTGACTCCACCCAGAGAGCCATGGCCAAGGTGGCGGCTGATCCGAGCCAATCGGTCTCCCCCAGTCTCCCCTCCTCCCCAGGTCTGACAGGGAGGGGGCCGGCTGAGTCCTGTGTCTCCATTGGCCCAAAGCTCCATTATCCTCCTAGGCAGGGTGACCCCCTGCGGCCGCCCCACAGTGCGCTGGGAAAAAAAGGCTCCTCTCTGACAAGAAAGCCCCATTGCAGGCTGGGCCCGGGGTCTGGGCAGCGCCTTTATCCACAGTGACCCTGCCAGAGTGTCAGCGGCGCAAACATGCCGCGCTGCGGAGGCTGCCCCCACCCTCAAAGGGCCTCGTGCTGAAGCTGTGAAGGGGCCCCCTCCAGGGCCTCTGGGAACCAGACCGCGGCCTGCAGGCCCCACCGAGGCTCCCAGGCTCCTTCCCACCCCCAGGGAACCATGCTTTGGCCAACACAGTGACTGAGGCGGGTCTGTGGGGTGGGGGCTGCTAAACAGAGCCTCGGCTCATGCATTGGGAAGGGGGGCCCCATGGAACTCTTTGTCCAGCCTCCAGAATTATTTGGGAGGAAAGTTGAAGGGGAGAGGCTTTTACGTCTCTGGGCCCAGCACCAGGCCTCATTCCCCACACCAACCAGGCAAGAGGGGCCGCCTTGTCCCCAAACGTTCCCCCATACCAGCCTTATCACTCCTCGCCCAATCCCCTTTCAGGTACAGTCTTGCCAAAGAGGAAAGGGAGGTCTCCTGAGCAGCCTCCTGTAGACCCCCGTGTGTACGATGAGCTCTCTTCCACAGCCCCCCGACTCTGCTTATGACAGCAACAACGATGACCACTACGATCATCTTTATTGAGCACTACCTTTGGGCCAGGGACAGGGCCACATGTCTCTTAGTGCTATTTATCATCCTCATTTTACTAATGGGGAACTGAGGCTCAGAGAGGGAAAAGAGCCTATCGAAAGTCACAGAGCGTGTAGGTGTAAGCCAGGATTTGAACCCAGGTCCCTCAGAGCCCACACTCTTATCCACTGTACAAGATACCTTAGGCTGCTCCGGTCCTGAGGGGTGCACAGGCAGGGGCTCTGCCCTAAGTCTAGTGACCCTACTGACCTCCCAGCCCTCTCCCTCAGTCCTGCTCTCTGGGCCGACTCACTGCCAAGGGCGTCCCAAGTGCCCTATAGGAATCATTAGGCTGTCCCAGGGTGGGAAGAGGATTTCAAGGAAGGCAAATTCCCATGAGTTAAGCCAAATGAGTCAAGCTTGAATTGCAGACTTTCCCATCATGTAGAGCTGAGACAGGCTCTACCCAGGGCCCTCAAATCAGACCCCTGGGAAGTGGGAGAAGGAGGCTCCCTGCTGGGAGTTCAGAGGTTGCTAGAAACCCTGTCCTCAGTAGCTGTTCCTGCTCTCAGGCCTGGGGTAAGCCAGCAGTCTTTTCCAAAGGCAGAAAGTATGGACTGTAAACTTCCTTAGAGGCCCTGGTTCTACTTCTGCTTCTTCTTCTTCTTCTTTTTTTTTTTTTGATACCGGGTCTCACTCTGTTGTTTAGGCTGCAGTGCAGTGGCATGACCATGACTCACTACAGCCTTGACCTCCTGGGCTCAAGCGATCCTCCCACCTCAGCCTCCCAAGTAGCTGGGACTATAGGCACATGCCACCATGCCTGACTAATTAAAAAAAAATTTAGTAGAGATGGGGTCACACTGTGTTGCCCAAGCTGGTCTCGAACTCCTGGCCTCAAGCAATCCTCCTGCCTCACCCTCCTGCCTCACCCTCCCAAAGTGTGCTGGGATTATAGGAGTGAGCCACCGTACCCAGCAAAGGTCCTTGTTCTTAACAGCAGCCTCAGGAAGATGCTCCCACACCATGCCCCACAGGCCACAGGAGTCGGTAGAGCAGGTTCATAGCCCTGCTGTGCAGCCTTAGTCAGTGTCACCCTCCCTTGAGCCTCAGTCTCCTACCCTGCAGGGGTGTTCTGAGATAATGTATGTAAACCATCAAACACCCTGCCCAGCACAAAGCAGAGGCTCAATAAAACAAAGTTGTATTCATTATCATCAGTACCATGGAGCAACACAACAGAGGCTTGTAATCTGTAAGTCCCCTGAATTTTTTCATAAAAGTATCTGTGTGTCTCCAACTTTCTAGGAGGGGGCAGTTCATAGCCTGTGGCAGCTTCTCAAGGATCTTCAGGACCCCAAAGAAATTAAGAACCACAGCAAAATAATACTGACATTCAGGCCGGGAGTGGTAGCTCATGCCTGTAAATCCCAGTGCTTTGGGAGGCTGAGGCAGGCAGATGCCTGAGGTCAGGAGTTAGAGACCAGCCTGGCCAACATGGTGAAACCCCATCTCTACTAAAAATACAAAAATTAGTCGGGCGCAGTGGTGCACACCTGTAATCCCAGCTATTCGGGAGGCTGAGGCACAAGAATCGCTTGAACCCAGGAGGCAGAGGTTGCAGTGAGCAGAGATTGCGCCACTGCACTTCAGCTTGGGCAATAGAGCGAAACTCAGTCTCAAAAAAAAAAAAAAAAAGAATATTGACATTCTGGTGGTACTTTATTGAGTGTATATATCTCTGGGCTTTGGTTTCTCTGCATGAAGACTGGGGAGCCCTACCCTAACTGTCTCACAAGGATGTTGTGAAGCTCAGGTGAGACTGTGGAGGGGAAAGGATGCTGTGAACCACACTGGGCTGTGCATGGGCTGTGCCGGGGGGTAAGATTTATCCTGCTCCTGCTAAAGAGGCAGCCAGGACCAGCTGCCTGCATGCAGGCTGGGCCACAGAGGCAGCTGCTCCAAAGCCCCCTCACAGTGAGGCCTGATAGAGACATGAGCCCCCTGCCCAAGCCCAGGCTGGCCCTGGGTGGGAGGCCCAGGGCAGAGCTCTGTCCTTGACTGAGAAGCTCCTGACAGGGCCACTCCTGCGGCCTCTGGGCTGGGGTTTTGTTTTTGGGGATCAGGAGGCCAAGAATCCAGTCCCAGGTTCAACTTCTAGCTCTGTCCCCACCAAATCACACCAGGCCAAGAATCCAGTCCCAGGTTCAACTTCTAGCTCCGTCCCCACCAAATCATACCAGGTCAAGAATCCAGTCCCGGGTTCAACTTCTAGCTCTGTCCCCACCAAATCATACCAGGCCAAGAATCCAGTCCCGGGTTCAACTTCTAGCTCTGTCCCCACCAAATCATACCAGCCTGATGTAGTAGCGTGTCATGAGCATGGGCTTTGGACTTAGAGAATCGCGGGTTCAAATCCCATTTCCGCCCCTTACTGGCTATGTGGCCTTGGGCAATTTACTGAACCTCTCAGAGATTCAGTTTTCCTCTAAAACAAAAATAATAATAATCCTGCCTCACAGTGGTGGATTCAGCATGGCAACATGGCACATAATAAGGCCATGGTATATGCTGATTTCCACCGTGCAAAACTACTCCGTAAAATCAATCCTTTAAAATGACTGTTAACATGAATGTTAAAATTGTATAACGCTAATATTTTCATCATTCATATCATCACTCATCACTGTGTGACTTTGCACAGGTCCTTATCCTCTTTGGGTCTTGGTTTCCCCATCTGAAAATAAAGAGGCTGGTTAGAAAGGCAGCCTGGGCCAGCCACAGTGGTTCACGCCTGCAATCCCAGCACTTTGGAAGGCTGAGGTGGGCAAATCACCTGAGGTCAGAAGTTTGAGACCAGCCTGGCCAACACGGTGAAACCCCGTCTCTACTAAAAATACAAAAATCAGCCAGGCGTGGTGGCAGGCACCTGTAATCCCAGCTACTCAGGAGGCTGAGGCAGGAGAATCGCTTGAACTGGGGAGGCAGAGGTTGCAGTGAGCCAAGACTACGCCATTGCATTCCAGTCTGGGCGACAAGAGCGAAACTCCAAAAAAAAAGAAAGAAAGAAAGAAAGAAAGGCAGCCTAGGAGGGGGAACATACAGAGAGTCTGGACAGTCCTGGATTAAAACTCAGGAAAAAATCCACTTGGGCAAATCCTTTCATCTCTTTGAGCCTCAATTTCTTCATCTGTGTTATGCGTCTCATTCTTCATCTGTATTCAACAGACACTAGCTGATTTTTTGTGTGTGATGTGCCAGGTCTGGACTAGATGCTGCTGGTAAAAAGATGGTCCTATCTCTAAGTGATGGGTCATGGTGACACCCCCGCCCAGGAACGCAGGAGGAGCAATGGAGATATCAATGTGAGCGCGCCTTGTAAGCTGCAGAGCCGCACAGTGTCAGCTGCTGTTAATGGACCTTAGAGGGCCTCCAATTGCAAATCAGAAAATAAAGCGGGGCCGGGGGGCAGTCCCTAAATATTTACCTGCTAGGCAAAAATAAGAACCCCTTCAGCAGAGGCACAAAAGGCAGCTTTAAAAATCTAGACATTCGTGTGCGTGTGTATATCTGTGTGCACACGCGCACTGAGGGTGTGGAATGAAATGAGGTCATATGGAAATGGACTATTTTTATTTCAACAAGGCATTTTAAAAATACTCTTAATTATATGAAGATGGGGTAAAGATTTTCTCAAAAATTAGAGAGAAGAGTTAGAGCCGCCCTCCGGCCCCCCACGCGCTTCCCCAAACCCTGCTGCCTCTGCCTCCAGGTTTCCACCCCCACCTTCTCTGGCCCCCTCACCTTTCCCAGGCCCCCGCAGCTCTTGGCTCCCACTCCTGGGAGCCAGTTGGCCCACACATCTGGGCAGAAGGGAGCCAGAATTCATAGAGCCCCACCCTCTAAGCCCTTTCCAAGTGGGTTCTTATGTCATCCTCACTCTGGGAGGCAGGCCCTCTAATTCCCACTGCACAGATAAGGGGAGCTCATCACCTCTGGAGCTCAGGAAGGTTGTGCTCCCAAGCTGAGGTCACACAGCCTGTAAATGGTCTGTATGGCCCAGAGCTGAATCTCCTCCGCTAGAGGGGGCTGCCTTCCAGGGCAGCTGCTGCTGAAGTTCTGCAAGTCCTGAGACCCAAGAGATCCTTCCAAAGACCAGGCAAATTCCTCTTGGGTGGGATGAAGACTGGGGCACAGGCCGCACAAAAGCATTCCGGCCCTGGCTTCTGTGCCCTGGCTTCTACACAGTGATGATTTTGTTGTTGTTGTTTTGTTTTGTTTGAGATGGAATCTTGCTCTGTTGCCCAGGCTGGGGTGCAGTGGCGTGATCTTGGCTCACTGCAACCTCCACTTCCCGGGTTCAAGCGATTCTCCTGCCTCAGCCTCCAGAGTAGCTGGGATTACAGATGCGCGCCACCACGCCTGGCTAATTTGTATAATTTTAGTAGAGATGGGGTTTGACAGGCTGTTGGCCAGGCTGGTCTTGAACTCCTGACCTCGTGATCTGCCTGCCTCGGCCTCCCAAAGTGCTGGGATTACAGGCATGAGCCACCGCGCCTAGCCGATGATGGTTATTTGTTGAGAACTTACTATGTCTCAGCCACCTACTAAGGTAAGGACTATTACCCTCTCCATTTGACAGATAAGGAAACTGAGGTTCCAAGAAGTGAAGCAACTTGTCCACAGTCACACCTAGTAAGAGCTGGTGCCAGGACATGAACCCAACTGGTGTGACTGCAGAGCCCCTCGGTGGTCCGCTAATCCCCCAGTGCAGCCCCCAGCTCAAAAGAGGGAAGGGGCCTTGTGCACAGTCGCTCAGCAAGTCCTGATGGGGGTGGATTTGGGCCCGGGCCAGGCTCTTCTCTGTCCCTCTGCCCTCCATTCCCCCCGCCAGAATGATCTAGCACATGCTAGAGTCACCAACCTGGCTGCCAGGAGATCGCATTGTCAATACATTATCAATTTACATTAGAAAGAAAGAGACATATGTTTCCATGCCAAAAATGCCAACAGAGCCTCCTGGGGTGAGTGGGGGCAGGCCAGAGGGAGAAGACATTTAAGGTCCATTTTCTCTCCGCCCCCTCTGGATCCCCCAAACTATGTGAGGCAGCCTGGGGAGCAAAACCAGGGCCACTTACTGACAACTCCCCACCACTGCCCGCTTGGTCCAGCCACCACCGTCTCGTGCCTGGACTCTGTGATGGTTCTTCCTGTCCCCTGCTCTGTCCCTCACTCTCTGGCCTCTTAAGACAGAGTGGTGCTTTCTGAACCCAGGTTAGATCCTGCCACCTCCTCAAAGCCCTGCACCGCTCCCATCTCACTCCAGGTAGAAGCCAAAGTCCTGCCATGGCTGGTCCCTCTGTGTCACCTGCTCCCATTCTCCCCTGGCCCTCCCGCTCCAGCCACGCTGGCTGCCTTGCACACCCCTGTCACAGGGCCTTTGCCCAGCTCTCCTCACTGCCTGAAACACCCTCCCCCAGATATCCCTGAACCCCCTCTCTTGCTTCCTTCTGGCCTCTGCTCAAACGTCACCTCCTCAGAAAGGCCTTCCTGATCCCTCCTCTCGCTGGCCCTCCCATCTCTGCAGCAGTTTTCTTCTTAGCACCATCCCTACTTAAGCTACTCACTAGATATCTGGCATCAGTCCTGTCCATTAGAATAAAACCTCCATAGGGCAGGACAATCCATGCTGCCCCCTGCAACTTGTCCACAGCCACATGGCTGGTAAGAGCTTGGGATGTCAAGACCCCCAAAGGCCAGGGATCCCTGACACCTCCCACCCAAGTGCCCACAAGAAGTGGGGGAAGGGCCACCTGGCTTGATATCCGTTGGATCTGAGTGCACGTCTGTCCCACTGACTAGCTGTGTGGCCTCATCAAGCCACCCCCGCCTCCGCCCCTGGCTCTGAGTATTAGAAGCCTCATCTGTCCATCCAGGAGAACAATACCAGTGGGACCTTCCTCCCAGGGGGCTGTGCACAGCCAGTGTGTGAGCTCCCCAAGGCCAGGCCCATGATGCCTAATTCACCTCGGATCCCACACCCCCACCCTGGGGCCTGGCCCTGTGCCAAGCCCCTGCAGACTTCAATCCCACTCCGTTCAATTAAAGGGAGATGATGGATGTCACAGCACTCTGCCAACTGTCACCCAAAAGAACAAACAGAAGCATATCCTCCTTTCAGTCATCTGAGAGCCGTGCATTCATTCATTCATTCTTCCAATCAATATATATCAGTTGAGCACTTACTAGGGGCTGGGCGCTATGCTAGGCCCAGGGAATCTAAGTGATGAAGCAATTGGATCATGGTCCCTGCCCTTGTAAAGTTGACGGTCTGGTAGGAGAGGTAGAGATGTTCAAAGAAACACATTAATTATTTTAAAATTATGATGTTGACAAATGCAGCAAAAGATTGGCCCATGGAGCTATGCTCTGGGAACACTTCCTTGAAAACATGGAGGATGGGTGAGAGTTATCCAAGGATAAGGGAACAGCATTCCAGCTAAAGGGACCAAGCAGTGCAAAGGCCCTGTGGTGGGAAGAGTCTAGGAATTGCAAGGAACTGAAAGGCCAGAGTGGCTAGAACCCCTAGACTGAGGTGGGTGATGGAAATTAGGCAGAGTAGGCAGGAAGCAGGCCGCACAGGGCCTATGGGCCAAGGAAGAGTGACCCAAAAGCAACAGGGAGTTGTGGAAATGCTCTGGAGCAACAACATGACTTGATTCATGATCCAATTCTGGGTCATGTTCTCCTAATATAGGTCTGTGTGTTTCTGTCTCCCAGTGTGGCTATGGGCCAGGGTGTCAGGCTTGAAATCCTAATTTGGAGATTTCAAGACAAAAGGTCATCTCCTTCCAGCATCTCATGCCCAGGTGAGAATGTCCACACCCCTCGGAATGGGGCATTCCAAAGCTGCTGGGTGCCCACTGGCTGAGGTCTACTTGCTGCCCAAGGTCTGCCCAACAGCACAGATGTCACAGAGAATTACAACCTGCCCAGAAGTTCAGGAACCTTGGTGTAGCTCCCCCTGTGATCCTAACTGGGAGGCATTACCCCGAGTGAGCAGATTATCAGGATGTGTAATTTCTGGAATAAACACAGCTGTGTTTGTTTCTCCACGCAGCGCTCCAGACAGAACGGCAGCCTGGCCCGCCGCGTGCAGCTGGAACCTCGCACCTTGGGACAGATGCCGTCAGGGAGCCGAGAAAACACTCCTCCCGCAGGCCACTGGGAGCTGTCATGCAGGCGGATTTGCAAGGAGGCCAATTCAGGGCCCCTAAGGAAGCAAGTGATGAGACCACAGAGGTGCTGAGGTCCCAGAGGGGAAGTGAGCATTGAGACACCTCCAGAGGCCTTTTCCCTTCGGGATTGGGGGTCATGATCAGGCAGGACAACGGGCCTTAGAGTTGTCGGCCATGGGAAGATCATCCCTAGTGTGATCAGTCCATGTGGGAGGACCGTGAAAAGGTCAGAGGCCAGCCCTGGAACCTTCCAGGTGGGAAAACTGAAGTCCAGAAAAGGGGAATGGGGGGATTAGGGTAAGAGACATGGTCTATCCAGCACCTACTTCATGCCAGGCCCCACAATAGTTCCCAGAAGCACTCACCTGGCTCTGCAGCAGCTGTGCAGCCCTGCAGGCTGTGGGGCCCCACAAAGCAGGGCTTCTATCCCAGTTCCATCACCCAGGAACTGTGTGACCACGAGTAAGTCATGTGTAATCTCTCTGAGGCTCAGTTTCCTCCTCTGCAAAGTGGAGATAATCATACCAATTCCACACCTCAGGATTGTTCTAAGGATTAAACAGGATTCTGCATGGAAAGCATTTTCTGCAGTGCCAGGCACATTGTGAGGAACCCGTAAATCATATGTATTCCTTATTCATTCATTCATTCATTCAGTAATTTTTTACTGAGCACCTGCTAAGTCCTAGGTGCCATGCTGAGCATTTGTAAACAAAAGAGATAAAAAAATCCCTGCCTTTGTGAAGTTTACATTCTTACAGGGAGGTGATAGGAAAAATGATGACTAAATAATGTTTTATTTATTATTATTATCCCCATTTTACAGCCGGGTAAACTGAGGTTCAGAGTGGTTAAGACATTTTTTAAAGGCTATTTATTTTTATTCCACCTTACTCTCAAGAGGGCTAGAGGCAGATGTTAAATACTATGTCTGAGTCTCAGCCAGGTACAGTGGCTCACACCTGTAATCCCAGCATTTTGGGAGGCTGGGGCAGGAGGATTGCTTGAGCCCAGGAGTTCAAGACCAGCCTGGGCAATACAGAGGAGACCCCATCTCCATTAAAAAAAAAAGTTTTTTTTTTTTTTGTTTTTTTTTTTTAAAGAAAAGAAAACATAGGCAAAGACAGGAGAGGAAAAAAGAAAAGAAAAGAAAATATGTTCAAGCCTCCACAGCTAGAAAAGGGAGACACCAACTTATCTCCCTTGGAAGGAGTTTTATGCTATAGATCTAGCCCCAAGTTCCAGCCGTGCCACTATCTCTGTGTGTCCTCAGGCAACTAGCTGTCCCCTTCTGGGCCTCAGCTTCCCCATATGTCCAGCTCTGACACTCTGCATATTCTGGGATGGTTCTCAGGGTGCTGCTTGGGTTGTCCAGGCTCGATGGAAGAGCTGAGGCCCAGCAAGGTACTGGCAACCATTCCCTGGCTCAAGGAGTGAAGTGGGCAGGGTGGGACAGGATGCGGAGGAGCCCCCTGGGAGCTGTGGGGCTTCAGTGAGGGGAGAAGGCAGGCAGGCAGCTGCTCTGCCCTAACTCGTTCACTCTGCCCTTGTCCCTGCCATTGTGGCCCATCCACCAAGGATGTGGGCTATGTCCTGGCCTCTCCCAACTGCTGGAGTAGCTGGCTGGGCAGAAATAGCCACACCCAGGGTCTGGCTTAATGGAGGCTAGGCCCATATAGCCCCTCCTGGCCTCCAGCTTGCCTCTCCCTGCTCTGGATCCTCCTCCCATGCCAGGCTTCATGGCCATCTTCCTGAACCTTTCCCTCCTTTTGATTTCTTTCAGTGGCTTCCTACTGCTTCCAATGTCAGCCATAGCTCATCACTCAAGGCTTCTCTTAACGGACTCAAACCTCTCCTGCCATTTCTTTCTCACACTTTGGTTCACCATGGCTCATACAAACCTACCCCTTTCCAGCCTCTAGGCCTTTGCCTAGGCTGTTCCCCCTGCTAAGAATGCCCTTCTTTCCATCTACTATGTATCAAAATCCTACCTACTAAATAATGCCATCCTGACGGCACAGGCTGGAGGACTTTCCCCTCCGCACTCAACACATTCCATCTCATACACAAGTATGTACTAAAAAGTGTGACCTTGGGTATATCACTAAACATCTCAGAGCCTGCTTTTTTACCTGCAAAATGAGCATTATTAACTATTACGGGCTGGGCATGGTAGCTCACACCTGTAATCCCAGCACTTTGGGAGGCTGAGGCGGGCAGATCACTTGAAGTCAGGAGTTCAAGACCAGCCTGGCCAACATGGTGAAACTCCATCTCTACTAAAAATATAAAAAATTAGCCGGGTGTGGTGGTGCACGCCTGAAATCCCAGCTACTCAGGAGACTGAGGCAGGAGAATCGCTTGAACCTGGGAGGTGGAGGTTGCAGTGAGCCAAGATCATGCCACTGCACTCCAGCCTGGGTGACAGAACGAGACTCCGTCTCATAAAAAAAAAAAAGAAAAAAAAAGAAAAAGAAACTATTATGCAGGGTTGTTGAGATAAATTAGAGTATGTCAGAATCTCACCTAGGATGGTGCCTGGCACTTAGTGGGGACTTAACGGTGGAGGCTGCTATGATCATGATATTGATGAGGGAAGAAGAAAAGAAGAAGAAAGAGCAGAAAAGAAAGAAGAGGTAGAGGAGGATGAAGAGGAAAAAGCAATGGAGTAGGAGAAGGAGAAAAAGGAGGAAGGAGGCCTTGCCTATCACCTCTACTGGGATATAATTCTTTGCCATCAGAACATTGATTCTCTTTAATTTCCCTCTATGTCCCCTAGCATCCTAGAGTCTTTCAAAAATGATTGCTGAATGGATGGACAGATGGATGGATGAAGGAGGGAGGGTGGGATTGTGAGAAGGAAGGATGTACGGACAGATGAACAGAAACAGATCAGTCTGGAGGAGACGGAGTGTGCTATCCCAGAAGCCTAGCAGCAGAGCATCCCACTGGCAGCAGAGGCTTCTGGGACCAGATGCCAAATCTCTTCCCCTGCTGTTGCATCTCCCCCTGGCTCTAAGCTCCTGTGCTCCTGGCCAGCATCAGTCTGCTCTCAAGGTGGAATGAGTAGAAGCTCGGGGCAGCTGACACCCAGGGGAGTTCCAGCTCTTCCCCCACCTGTCACCAGCCTTTGACAGCAGGAACATATCTCCAAAAGTGTGGGCCAAGTCAATGGGAAAATAGGATTTACTTTACAGAAATTCACTTTGGGGGCCAGCTTCTCCAGAACTCCCCAGTGCAAAAACCTTGGCAAATCCATAGTCAATGGCTCAGAAGGTTTCTCCAAACCTGGGGAGTGTGCTGTTTGCTAGCTCTTTCCAGGGCCAGAAACTGGAAAATGAGGAAATGTCACAGTCCAGATACAAAAGGGAGTCTCGGGGGGAGAAATGCACTCTGGTTTTTGGTGTTTGTTTATTTATCCATTGATTTCATCGATTTATCCAACCAACTATCCAAAACAGGCAATCATCCTGCCATTGTCCCTCTACTCATGAAACCAACCTGTTACCTATCTATCTACCTCTCCATCTATCCAGCCAGCCAGCCAACCATCAACCACTCAACAATCTACCTCACCATCAACCTGCCCGTCATTCACCCAACCATCCAATCCATGCACTTATCCTTTATCTATCCAGCCACTTATCCATCTAACCATCAATAACTCATCCACTCATCCAACAGCTGAGCTGCTCATCCAACCGTCTAACTGTACACTACCCAACCAGCATGGATGAGAATCTCCCAGTATGGTGGGGGAGAAACCTATACATGGTATGGCATAACCTAGGCAATATAAAAGGGCTGCGTGCAAGGTGACACCAAGGACACAGATGCCACCAAGAGCAGAAGGGGGAGGGGCCAGTGAGAGGGATCAGAGCAGGTTTCACACAGGAAGAGATGCTCAAGCTTCATCTTAACAGGTAGCAAGAACTGACCAGGGAGAGATGGTGAAAAGGGTACCCAGGCAAGGAGGAGAGGGAGGAGCAACATGAAACAGTATGGTGGATTCTAGGAGCCCAAAGCCTTGAGTCCTCAAAACTACTTGGTTAGCTGTGATCCCTGGGCCAGTCCCCAGTTTTTCCAAGTCCACCGGACTCTATAATTCCCCCTTGATTCCTAGAGAGAAAGGGCCATGTCCTGCGGCAGCTGGGTGGGAAGCTGCCATCTGCTGCTCTGGGCTGTGCTCTGATGGCTACAATAGGGTTAAACCCAGGAGGGGGAGAAAAGTGGGTGCCCTAAGATTTTGTGAAACAGGCTTTGCTGCCAAGCAAACCCAGGTATAAATCCCAACTTCTTATTTTGCAACGAGTTATTTAACTTCTGAGTCTTTCTTCCCTCCTCTGAAAATGAAGAAAACACCAAGAGCTCTATGCCAGGCCATTGTGAGGACAGAAGCAGCTAATATAGGGGGAGTACTTGGTAAGCTGCGGGTAAGACCAGTTACTCTTCCTGGTCGCTGCCAATACTCAAGTCCTACTGTGTGCCAGGCAAAGTGATCTAAAACAGGGGTTAGAGAGCTGGCCTTAGACAACACGAGTCAATTATCAGTAAATGTTAGTTCTCTGTCCATGTATGCAAATTATGTACAAATGGTTCAGAAAAAATATATATCTCTACATTACACACGCACACACACACACACATGCAAGGGGGAAAGGGGAGCAGAGGGAGTGAGAACACACAGGAGAGCAAATGTGGTAAACATGTTGATGATTGTTGAATCTAGGTGAAGGCTAGACAGGTGTTTTACTCTGCTTTCAACCTCTCTGTATGTTTGAAATGTGAAAAAGAAAAGAAATCAGCTCTTTCTCCATTTATCTTGGAGCCAGACGCCTAAGCTTGGATCCTAGCTCTACCATTACTGGCCAAATGGCCATGGGTACATGAATGCCTTCTCTAAGCCTTAATTTTTTCATCTGTAGGATTCAGCTAACAATAATACCTAAGCCCAGTGCCTGCTCCTTAGCAAGTCCTTAATACATGCTAGTTGCTGCTGGTATTATTACTACTATTATTATTGCCTTTGAGTGGCTGAGATACTGAGGATGAGAGAGGCTTGGTAAAACAACTGCTTTAAAAAAATACATTAGCTCTTTTAATTCCTCAAACAACACCATGGGGTAGGTGACAGTATCCTCACTTTACAGATGAGAAGCTAAAGCTGAAGAGGGTGAAATGGTTTGCCCCTGACACCGCCAGTGAGTGGAAAGACTAGGATTTGAACACAGTTCTGCAAGTCTACAAAGTTCAGGGTCTTTCCCCCGATATCTCCTCCCTCTCCTGGCCTCAGGCCAAGGGGCCCAGCCTCATCACCCTTTCAACTCCAGAAGGGGCTGGTCAGAGGGAGTCCTGAGCTTTGCTGGCATGGCTGTGCTTCCGGGCCAGCCAGGGGCACCCAGTGTCAGGGGCTCCTTGGCAGCTCAGGAGCCCTTTTCCACTGTTCTCCCGAGAGCTGCGGGAGCTGCCATCTGAGGCCGTGGGGAGTGACAGCTGACGCTGACGGAGACAGGCAAGAGGATGTACCGGCCAGAGCCCTGACTCGAACAGACTCCCTGGGCCATGGCCTTTCGTGGGTTCCAAAAAGGCCCTGCGGGCTCTGGACGAGGCTGTTCCCAGGCTCTGCCTCCCCGTGAGAGGCGGAGAAGCCCCATTCAGGCGGGACGCATCCCACTGTGCGCTAAGCCGCTTTCTCCCCACTTACACGTTTCAGATGCTTTTTGTCCTTCCGGCTTCCCATGGACTCAGGCCAAGTGACAAGTTGGTGCCGTGGACATATGTCGTCGCCATAATGGGAATGTTGACCCCACGCTCTCTCCCTGCTGGGGCCAGGCAGCTTGCACCCCGCCCCAGTGCTTGGCATGCCCCATTCTCAGTCACACAGGACTCCTTCCAGCTCCCCAAATACATCACACACTCACGGGCCTCCTATCCGGATCTTTGCAGATGCTGTTCCTGTTGCCTGGAATGGCTGCCTTGCTGCTTCTTCACCTGGCTCTTCCTTAAGAATCATCTTAGAAGTCGCCTCTTCCAGGACGCCTTGTCTAACCTCATTGTATAGTTCAAGAAGCTGAGGCTCAAAGAGCTAAGAGGGCCAAGGTAACACTGTTAAGTGTCAGAGCCAGAGGTCCAACGTAGCATGGTTCTAGTCTAAGACCACGCTGCTTTTCATTCATTCTGCCAACTCTACCTCCCTCAAGAAGAAACCTAGGGAAGACATGCTTTCTGCCTTCAAACATGGCAGATGCCTGCAAGATGGCTCTTACGTTCCTGGATTGTTCTGGAGCGTGGAAAACAGGGATCATGCAGGGAAGTTACAGGGAAAGAGACTCCCCATTTCAAGGTGAGGAGCCATGTTTTAACACCTCCCAGTGCCTAACAGCTATGTAACCTTGAGTAAGTCATTGAACCTCAACTTCCCCATTTGTACAATGGTGCTAACAATACCCTTGCTATTTCTTTACCCCAAATACCTAAGGTTGTAAACTGCCAGCCAGTGAGCCAAATCCAGCCAGCAAACATGGTTTGGTTTGGCCAGAACTGTATTTTAGAATAAAATGAGTAAACATTCAAAAACCAGTTTTCAGACCAGGCATGGTGGCTCACGTCTGTAATCCCAACAATTTGGGAAGCTGAGGCAGGTGGATCACTTGAGGCCAGGAGTTTGAGACCAGCCTGGCCAACATGGCAAGACTCCGTCTCTACCAAAAAGAAAAAAAAAATGCTGGGCATGGTGGTAGGTGCCTGTCTTTACTCAAAATACAAAAATTAGCCAGGCGTGGTGGCACATGATTGTAGTTCCAGCTACTCAGGAGGCTGAGGCCCAAGAATTGCTTGAACCTGGGAGGCAGAGGTTGCAGTGAGCCAAGATAGTGTCACCGCACTCCAGCTTAGGCAACAGAGCGAGACTCAAAACAAAACAAAACAAAAACCAGTTTTCCCATAAGCATCAGAACTTTGCAAATCAGGCTGGGCGCAATGGCTTATGTCTGTAATCCCAGCACTTTGGGAGGCTGAAGAAGGAGGACTGCTTGAGTTCACAAGTTCAAGACCAGCCTGGGCAACATGGTGAAAGACTCTGTCTCTACAAAAAAAAAAAAAATGCTGGATGCGGTGGCAGGTGCCTATGGATCCAGCTACTTGGGAGGCTGAGGTGAGAGAATTGCTTGAGCCCAGGAGGTCAAGGCTAAGTGAGCTGCGATTGCGTCACTGCACTCCAGCCTATGAGACAGAGTGAGACCCTGTCTAAGAAAAAAGAGAGAGGAAAAAAAAGAACTTTGCAAATCAGAAGATGTGGCAAAACCGGACACAGATTCCTGTGTGACAACATGGTCAGGAGTGGGTAGCACCTGCCTTTTTTAGACTGGACATGCGCTCTTACTGGGGGCACTATTATACTTCCAACAGTCAAGTCACCTCACTCATTCACAACGCAGGCCAGCTCACAAGTCTGGAGTCTCTGATCAAGACTCTTGTGATTTATTCCCGGTATTACGTTAGGCCAGATTTCCTGGTCTGCCAGCAAACAGAAGGCCAATTTCTTGCTCAATGGTTTAATGCGTCAACTTTGACTATGTGTTGCCCAGGTCCCCCTCAACTGTCTTTGGAAGCAACGCTCAGAGCTCAGTGGTCCCACCCACTCACTTCACTGTTTGTACACATTTCCATGTGCTCTGGGGCCAGCCTGTGGTCCAAACTTAATTTGACAATAACTGGCCCATGCCTTTAGAATTTTTTCTTTTCCTCTAATGCTTCCCCACTCCTGCGATGACCTCTGGCCAAGGTGGGAGTGACAACCAGTCACCCCCTTACCCGGTCTTTCATAGTAGAATGAAGAACACAGTTACTCCTCGGCACAGCCTTCTGTAGTGCCTGAAATTATGATGCCCAGTTCGCTGATAAGGAAAATGAGGCCTAGAGGGGTGAAGTGACCTGCCCCAGGCCACAGGAGCACCAGGGACCCATCTTTTCAGTTCAATCCCACCAGCCCAAGGCCCCTTTCTCTGGCCTCACACCTCATACTAGGTCTTGAATATCTACAACTCCAGGCTGCCATTTTTCATGAATTTTAGGTTCGTTTATTGCACAAACATCTATCTAATATCTATCATGAGCCAAGCCTTGTGCTGTACATAGTGAAGTGGAAAGTCCCTGCCTTCTCAGAAGAGGCAGATAACACTGAAGACAATTCGGGGGTAAGTGCTGGGGCGGGGGGGGGGGGGAATGAGATTTCTGGCTTCCTGTTGCCTCCCCACCGCCATCCCTGGACTGGACGATAAACTACCTGTGAGAGGCTGTCTCCAAATATGGCTGCCAACAATTCCTCCCCCTACTAAACACGAAGCCACTCCTCCCAGTAAGGGGGCGTCTAGATTCAAGTTTGGACCACAGGTTGGCCCAAGAAACATGGACAACAACAGGGTGCAGGGGCGGGCACTGAACTCTGAGTGTCACCTGATTCAGTGGGTCAGGACATGTTGAGTGGGACGCTGGATAACCCACCATTAAATTTTCCATGCTGAACAGCTGAGCAAGAAATGGGACTTCTCTTCAAGGATAAAACAAAAAAATCAAGCCCAGTATATTTTCCTTTTCCTTGAACCTGATGAGGAAGCCTGGGATGAATCTGAGCTGGTGTTGTGACTGGCTTTGACCACCACAGAAGGCTGCAGGGGTGACACTTTGTGACATTAGAGCCCAGCCCTTAAGAAGCCTTGCAGTTTCCATTTCACCATCTTGGGAGCTAATTGCCATGGATAGAGGCGCAGTCTAGACTAGCAAAGGATGGGAGATAGCGAGGAGCGTAGGGGGACCAGCCTTCCAGCCTTCTCTATGAGGGCCTCAAAGATGTATGTGAAGCCACGATGGAATTTCCAGCCCAACCTAGCTGAGTGCAGCCTCCTGAGTGATCCCAACTGACAACCCGGGGAACAGAATAAGCACCCAGCTGAGCCCAGCCAATCCACTGAATCAGGACAACTAAGAAATCATTATTGTTTTAAGCCAGTAGGTTTTGTGGTGGCTTGCTAAAGATAAGTGATATGCTTTTCAGGAGTGGAGTCCTGTACTTTTTGTAGCTCTCCCTTCCCTTGCCTGAACCCCTGAACCCTGGCAATGGGCACTGAATCCTGGAGCTGGAAGAGGCCTCCAAAATCACTGAGTCTCACCCCTGTCATTTTATAGAAGAGAGAGCTGAGGCTCGGGAAGCCATGCAATTGACTCCAGGTCACACAGGGTAACAGGGGCAGATCCAGGAGGCAAACTCAAGCCCTTACAGGGGTTGAGCACCAAGGGTACGTCTCCACCGACTTGCAACACACCAAGACAAATGTATGTTGCAAGTCAGTAGAGAGGTACCCCTGGTGCTCACACATTCTGTCTTAAGAGGCAGTCACTCCAGCCAACTGTGGCCATGTGGGAATGTGGGCCCTGTGAAACCAGATTGTCTGACTTTTCAGAAACGCCAGAAACAGGACTTTTCTGTAAAATCTCTTGATTTTCAAATGTTGGCTAAGAATTTGAACTGGATAGATGAGCTATTAAGATTGGCCCTGGGCTTCAAGCTTGGTCCCGCTGCTGGCTTTGGGCGAGTCATATTATCTCCCAGACCTCAGTTTCCTCATCTCTAAAGTGGGCCCCGTGGCTCCTGCCCCTTTCAGGATGGCTGTGAAGGCCTGATGAGCTATTGTATTTGGAAGTACAAGCTGCAAATGGCCCTGTGACTGTTTCGTAGTCTCCATTCTCTGTGGAGGCGCCCCTTACAACATAATGAGTTAACACCCGATTTGTCTAAGTTAGAACAACATTATTCTGACCATTATCACAGAGATTGCATTTTTATGGCAGGTTTGTGAGTTGTAGAACCCTCCCATTGCATTATCTCAGGATGTTGATGGAGCTGGAAGCTGGACAGCTGCCTTAGAGACCCTCATCAGAGCCAAGCCTTTCCTCTGAGCAGGGAGGCACATTCTAGAAGTGGAGAAGAGCATGAGCTCTGGAGTCACCAGACTTGGGTTTCAATCGCTGCCTCACCACTCCCTAGGTGTCCTTGGGCCAGTCACTCCTCTCAGAGCTTTGGTTTTCTCATCTGTAAAATGGGCACAATAATACAACGACCTGTGGGGCTCTTGGGGCAACTGCACAAGGCAACACACATAATGCTGTTAGTACAATGTCTGGCACAAGAATTGACAGCTGCTGGGCGCGGTGGCTCACACCTGTAATCCCAGCACTTTGGGAGGCCGAGGCAGGTGGATCGCCTGAGGTCAGAGTTCGAGACCAGCCTGACCAACATAGTGAAACCCCATCTCTACTAAAATATACAAAAAATTAGCCGGGCATGGTGGCAGGCATCTGTAATCCCAGCTACTCAGGGAGGCTGAGGCAGGAAAATCTCTTGAACCCGGGAGGCAGAGGTTGCAGTGAGCCGAGATTGCACCACTGCAGTCCAGCCTGGGCAACAAGAGCAATACTCTGTCTCAAAAAAAAAAAAAAAAAAAAAAAGAATTGACAGCCATTCCCATGATCATGGCAGGGAAGGTGGTGCCTGGCAGGCACTGGGCAAAGAAGGAGGGTACAGCCATGAAGGAGTCTACCCCTTTCCCAGATTAGGGAGGCTGAATTGGAGTGGGGAGGGGGCCTTTGAGAAAACCTGGATGGTACCCTGAGTGGGCAGGCTGGAGGGGCCTCTCAGCTACTTGGCAAGCCAGTCAGACCCTTGCCCTGTAAGGCTCAGAACACAGTGGGTGGGGGAGAGCTGGAGATGAAAAACCTGGTACACTGGCCCCCTGTTCCCCTACTGTGAATTGAGCTTCCCATTGGTAGAAAGCAAGGATAGCAACCGTTCACATTTATTGCAAGCTTAGCACACCTGAGGCACACACTCAGCTTAGTCTTCCTCAGATTAACACATCCATTGCTCACAACCATCTCAAGAGCTAGGAACAATGATTACCCCCATTTGAAAGATGAGGAAACCAAGGCTCAGAGAGGTGAAAACACAAGCCAGAGGACACACAGTACGGAGCAGTCTGACTCCACACACATTTCCTGTAACCCCCAGGCTCTGCTGTTTATAGAACAGGAGAGAAAGTGATCAGGGCTAAGCAAAGCCTCTGTAGGACTTCAGAGAAAGGGACAAGTCATTCTGGCCAGGGGCACGAGGGTGCTGCTGACATTTAATGGTTACGGAAACTAATAAAGAATGGACACAGCTGAGTGCCAGGCAGTTCTGCCAGTCATGGTACACAGCATCTCACTGAATCCTCGCCATGAGCCTCTGACACATGCGCGGTATTCTCCAGTTTCCAGATGAGGAAGCTGAGGCTCAGAGAGTGGATCACTTGGTCAAGGCCACACAGCAGGCAAGGTCCCCTCTTCTGAGGACACTCCCACCCCACAGGGGCTGCAGCAGGGGGGCAGATGGCTCCAGGAAGCTCACCTAGTGAGGGTGTCCTAGGCAAGCCCCCAGATGACACGGGGGTACTGGGGAGACAGGTGTCCCCCTCCTGCACCCTCCGGAAGGCAGCTGCTTTAAAAGGCCCTAAAATGCTTTCAAGGCAGCCTTATCAGAAGGCCTGAGCTGATCCCAATCAGGGAGCCTCCAGGTGCTGCCACAATCAACAACTGCCTGGCCTGCTGCCCCACCCCTGGGAGCTGTGCAAACATTCTTTCCTTCCCTGCCTTCCCCCAGCTAACCCTCTTTTTATGCACGAGCCAGCGGCAGCCAGGGCTGGTGGGCGCTAACTCTGATTGATTTCACTTCATTTCAGTCTTTTCCAGTTTCCTGCTGAGGTTTCTCTTCCTCTTTCCCAGGAGTCCTGTGTTTTATCATAGGCCGCTGGGGGGCAAATTTGCCTGCCTAATGGAAAGACCTGGAGAGTATGTTAAAAATACAGACTCCCCAACCTTGTTCCCCATCTCCCAGATCTCCAGCTAAGTCAGGCATGCAGGTGCCAGGTCAGGAGACGGGTCCTTGGTCGGAGGTGTGGAAGATCCTCCCGTCAGGAGGCCCACCGTGCTCTGCATCTCCGCCACCCTCAGTGGGAGCATGGGTCCCCTGCCTTGCCCAGCCCAGGCATCCTGTCACCAGCAGGCTCCATCTGCCCCTTCCTGTTAGGGGCCTTTCTATGTGCAGAGGTCCAGTCTCCAGTCTAAACTCACAGGTGAGCTCTGGGCAGGCAGAGTTGACCAGAGGCTACCACGGGCTGAATGCCCAGCAAACTGGCCCATAGAATCTGTCCCAGGCAGGGCACAGTGGCTCAGGCCTGTAATCCCAGCACTTTGGGAGGTCAAGGTGGGTGGGTCACTTGAGGTCAGGAGTTCGAGACCAGCCTGGTCAACATGGTGAACCCCCGCCCCGTCTCCACTAAAAATGCAAAAAAATTAGCCGGGTGTAGTGGCACATGCCTGTAGTCCCAGCTACTCCGGAGGCTGAGGTGGGAAGATGGCTTGAACCCGGGAGGCGGAGGTTACAGTGAACCGAGATGGCACCACTGTGCTCCAGCCTGGGTGACAAAGTGAGACTCCATCTCGAAAAAAAAAAAGAACCTGTCCCCACTTTGGCGCTGATGAAGAGCCTTGAGGAAGTAGGGCCTAGGACAATCCCACAGGAGGGAGGGGGCCCATCCAATGTTCTATGACAATTTCAGGGTGAACAAAGATCCCCAGGACTTAGGAGGCTTAGGGACCCCAGATGACAGTCCCTCTGGACTAGGAATCTGAGTATTTTCCCCTGATGGGGCTCTGGAGAAAGAGGCAGGGATGGAGTCTGAGTCTGTCCACACTTGGGGGGTTACCATCCCGAGTCTGGGGGAAGTTGGGAGCTTGTGGGGTGGGTTAGGGGAGACACTGAAGGCTGATCTGGTGCCTGGACAAATTAAATGCCAAAAAGGGGGCCACGTCGCCATCATTGAGGGAAGGACCTTAGAGGGGTTGAGACCAGCATTTAATGTCCACAGCATTTAATGAGTGTCTGACACAGGAACCCAGGGGGAAACTGAAGTGCAGGGAGTCTGCGCTCCTCGCCCCAGAGCACACAGCTGGGATTTGAACTCACGTCTGTTTGCGCCTGAAGGCTATGCATTTTCTCTACCACACACTGCCTGTGAAGTCAGCTGGCCCCGTTCCCCACCACAGGCAGAATCCCTTCTCCCAACCAGCCCCTGACATGAACTAGGTGCCTGGTGACTCTTTAAAAATATATGGATGGATGGAGAAATGAATGAGTGAATAAGTCAACTGGCTTTCTGATTCTACAACATTTAGGTTTTAAATCTAAGCCCTGATTTCCTGGCTAAGACAAATACATGAAAGCAGCCTCCTTTAAAAATGAGAAGCAAAAGAAACAGACATAAAAGGAAAACCAATTCCAAATTAATCCCATGGAAGGTCGCTGGGTCTTAGACAGGTAATGCCCCAGAGGTGGGCCCAGTAGGGTAGAGGTTGGGGTGGGAGAGTTGAGCTGGGGGAGGGAGGGAGGCAGGCTTCCCCCACCCCCCATCAGAAGTGGACTTGTCTACCTAGCACACAGTGGCTGCTGGCCCATCTGAATGCTCTGCTCCCTCTGAACTGGTCTATTCGTTATCCCCAGCACTTTCTTGCATCTCTACTCAAGCCATCCCCTTGGTATCTCCCTCCAGGAAGACCTCCTTGATTTCCTCTGCCAGATGGACTTCCCTCCATCTCCATATCATTCTCCCAATACTTATCACATAACACAGTATCATATATTCATCTGTTCATTCACTCAACATTCAATTCATTCCATGTTCCTCAGCTGACAATGTCATTCCGTTACTGAGCACCCGCATGGCTGGGCACAGTTCTAGGCACTGGAGATGTCACAGCAAACATGGCAGATGAAGTCCTGGAGTTTACAGTCTAGTGGGCAAGGCAGATGCCAAACAAGTCTTTGATGCTTCTTCAGGTGGCGATGGGTTTCATGAAGCACAACAAAGCAGGTGGGATGGAAAGAAGCAGAACTGGGTCTGTTTTAGAAGAGAGAATCAGGGAAGGCCTCTGGGGAGGTGGAATTTGAACAGAGCTCTTCAGACCAGAACTGTGGACACAAAGATGAGCCAGATGGGTCTCTGTCTTCAGGGAGCTCACAGTCTAGCCGGGAACCGACAAGCTGGCTTTACTGTGACTGTCCAGGACCAGATCTGGCTCATCTGAACGTCACCACACATTGCAAGTCAGTGATCTTTCCAAGCATGAATCTGGCCAGGTCCCTTGATAGCTCAAGAACCTTCAAGGGCTCCCTGCTGCCCTCAGCATTTGATCCAAACTCCCCAGCCTTCCATTCTAGCCCTTCAGGACCTGACCACCCCACTCCCATTCTCAGTCTCAACCCCCACTGCTGCCCTCAACACCCACCCTCCTCAGACACATCAAAGTAAGCACCTGATCATCCTGCCTCCATGTCTTTCTATGGACATATAGACATGCTATTTCCTTTTTTAGGTAAAATTCTCCACATCCTATAAGTTCTAAAGTCAACCTCTTTAACTCTTGAGAACACAGTTCGTTAGCATGACAGGTGGCTAAGAAAGTTTCATAGCAGGGAAAATGGGTGGTGAGAAAATGAGGCAATGCATAACAGCATAAAAGATGAAATAACCCTGTTCTGTCCTCAAGTGCACCTGCCGCCCCGGGGGGTTCACAGCCTCCTCTGGGAAGTACGTTGGACCCCGTATCATGCTCTGTCTCGCCCACTCTTTTCCCTGTCAGCTTGTCCCGTCTCCTTGCCTGCCCCGGAGTCCAGCACCCTGTCAGCCAGAGAGGAAACTCTATCGATATTTGGAGAGCAAAGGAGCAGATGTAAGGAGGCTGTTTTCTTGAGACCTTGACCTTTGGATTCCATCGGCCAGGGATGGACAGGGTCTGCCACCGGCCTCCTGTCCTGTTGGACGTTTCCCCAGTGCTCTTCCATCCTGCTCGCCGCCACTTCACATGCTCCATGCTTTCTTTCACTTGGTCGGGGGGCGGTCTCACAGTTTGGGGGAGATGCTAAGCTTACCGTCCTAACCTAGAAACCCCCCGTATACACACACACTCTCCTCTCCCCCATTCCGAAGGCTGGAGCTGGGGATTTCCTGGGGACTTAACCGGCAGGACAGCCCTTTACGGGCTGAGGAGACAAGGAAGGAGGAAGGGAAGGAAGTGGTAGCCATGTGGCTCTGGGTTCTGGGAGCCAGAGGGGCCACCCTCCTACTGCTCCACGGCCCAGTCCTGTCTCCACAGACTGTGTCACCCTCAGGAGGACCCTGGTGTCTCCCAAATGTGCACAGGCAGCACCGCCCCCCAAATGTGCACAGGCAGCACCGTCCATCCCTGGCTTTGAAGGGGGACTTCTCCCACCCATCATCTGGTCTGATCCTCACAAACACCCCAGGAGACAGGCAGGACAGGCGCTGTCATCACTCTCACTAGACGGGGGAGGAAAACGAGGCTCAAAGAGGGGAAGTAGGGCGTAGACGATGGACTCTACAAGATATTTAGCCAGGCCATTTTACACCCAGAGAAACTGAGGCCCCCACAGGGAAGGGACCTGGCCCAGGGTCCCATAGTAAATGAGAAGCAGGCCCTCTGACCTCCACCTCACACCATCTCCCCATCCATTCGGCCAGCTCCTTATTAACCACTGATGGACTAACTTCCTAGTGTCCAGGGGGCAAACGGAACAAGAGCCTGAGGCAAGCATTGGGGTGCCTGCTGCAGCCCTCCTCCCACCCTGCTGTGGCTTCCCTTCCCCACCCTGCCCCCAAGTGGCAGTCCAAGTAGCCATACCCTCCTGTGACGTCAGCGCCCACCAGCCCTGTGTCCAGGGCCAGGGTCCAGGCTGGCCACAGCCCACCAGATTCCAACCAGCCTCTGCCAGGGCGATGGCTGGACAGATGTGGCCCTTCCATCTACCCCAGAGTAATTAAAAACACACCCAGGCCTCTTCCAACGAGAGAGGGGCCAATTTTCTTCCCCTCCAGCACCGCTGACTGCAACCTAAATAGCAATATTTATGCCAAGCTCCCCATAATACTGTAAACATCCCAATGTATAGCGGGCCAACGCATGAGTCATTTCCCCAAAGCCAGAGTTAATAAGTGGTACCTCAGCCATATTCCACAGAGCTCCCGCCAGCAGCCAGGCCCCAGGGCTGCCCTCCACACCCAGGGCCCGTGGCACCCTAGGTGCCCCAGTGGCCCCACTCCGGGAAACCGCAGTCAGCCGCCAAATCCCCCAGGAGCCGAAGGACAGCTGCCTCAGTGCCAGAAACTGTGGCTGCCATCCAGGGACACCCCCCACCCCCTGACTGCGGTCACTAAAGTGCTCATTACCGAAAGAGAAACTGAAGTTGTAGCACAGGGTCCCCCACGACGCCTTTCCCAGAGGCCGCAGCCCCCACGTCTGGTCTGATATGCGTTTTTTCTTAGGCTGCAAGAAGGGAAGGGGCGCCCCACAACCCTAAAGTGGCCTGAGAGGTGCACACAGACATCATCCCTAAGCCCAAGGGAGCAGAACCCTGGAAGGGCTCACGCAGTTTAGGGGCAACAAAACCCAGCTAAGTGAGTGCTGGTTTCAAAGAAAGACCACAGACCTGGGTTCTATTTTTGTCACCCAACGGCCCTGGGTGAGACATCGGACTTTTCAGAACCTCGGTTTCCCTATCTGTTCAAGAGAAGTAGGAATCATACCTACCTGTCTTCCCCGGAAGGTGTATTTTGAGGGATCCAACACGCTGGTGGGCGGGAAAGCACTTTGTAAAGCTTAAAGTACCTTGTCAACTGTGCAGCACGTTGTAAACCACAGAGAGCTGCGTATAGTGCGAAGTACTTCATAAACTGTAAAGTGGTTTGAAAACTGTAAAGTGCAGTACACGTGAGAACCATTATTCACGTTCGCTTCTTGCCCTGCAAGCTCGGCCATTCCTGGTGGACACACCCAGACCGCACTAACTTTCCCTCCAGAGCAAGCTGGCTCGGGAGACCTAGCAACTACCCTTGCCCCCCTGGGGGTCGAGTGGTACCAATACACGAGGCCACGGGGAGAGGGCCCGCGACCCTGGCCAAGGCCAACACATGGCAAGAGCATCTGGTCCGGCCCCGGCGGCAGCTGGAGAGTTCCCGGGGCTCCAGCCGCCACGCTGAGCGCCGCGGCCGCGGGGCGGTGGCCGGCGGGGGTGCCCGGAGACCTTGCGCGGCGGAGAGATGCCCACAGACCCATCCCCCGCGCAGTCCTCTCGGGGAGGGGACCCCATTGTACGCCGCGGGCGATGGGCAGGCACCGACGCGGGGGCTGGCGCGCTCCCTTCCACTCTGCCAGTCCCTGCTCTCCGGGGCGCCGGGCCCCATCTCGGGGGCGCGGGCCGGGAGCCCCCACCCCGGCCGGCCGCGGTGCCTCCCTCCCTCTGCTCCCTGCCAAACTTTCCAGCCCCGACCGAGCGCCGGCGCCCCCCCCGCCCCCCGCCACGGCCGGGCCCGCGCCCCTCCACCCTGTGCGGAGCAAGACCAGGCCGGCGCGAGGCGGCTGCCCGAGCCGGGGGCGGCGAGCGCGCGTGGGCAGCCCCCAGCCCTGGGCGGCGCTCGCCGGGCTGGCTACAAAGCCTCGGCAAGATGGTCCCTTCGCCTCCTCCTGGCACAGTCAATCAGCGCCCGCCGCTCCCCGGGCGCCCGCGGGGCCCGCTCCTCCCGGCGCGGCCGGACACACCTCCCCGCGGCCACCTGCGCCCGGCGCCGGCCCCCGGGCAAACTTTGCGGGCCGCGGAGCGGAGGTGGGCGCCGGCGGCCGCCCGTGCCCGGCCGCTCCCCGCCCCCATCGCCCGCCCGCCCGCCCGCTCGCTCACCTTCCACGGCGGCGAGCAGCGGCAGCAGCAGCAGCGCGGCCCCCAGCCTCCGCAGAGCCATGGCTGCGCTTCCCGGGGCCTCGGGCCGCGGCGCCGCGGGGCCCGGACGGCCCGGGCGGGAGCGCGCGCCCCGGGCTCGGGGGGCCAGGGGGGGCGGCAAGGCGCGGCGCACACACAGCCGCCGCCACCGCGCAGCCAGCAGAATGAGCCATCCAGCCCGGGCAGAACGGGGACCCGGGCTCCGCCAGCGCTGGGCACGGCCCACCTGAGCCGCGGGCGCGGGGGGAGCCTCGCCAGGCCACCGCCCCCCGCGCGCGTCCCGGCCCCCGGCGGCCGCGCGCCGCCGCGAGCCCGGGTCCCCACACCGCGCCCGTAGGGTCACCCGGGGGCAGCGCGGGCGCTGGAGCGCGGCGACCCCGCGTGCCCGGGCCACTGAGACCCCGGGCTCCCCCCGCGCAGCAGTGGTCTCTCCCGGCGCTGTGGCTCCTCCAGATAAAGCAGCGATTTCAGCCCAAATGTTTCTCAATTTTTATTGAATGCTGCAAAGCCGGAGAGCGTCTGGCGCGGCTGACAGGGGCAGGGAGAGCGGACGGAGGGGAGGGCGGGGGAAGGGGCTTCCCAAAGCGGGGGCCGGCACTACCTGTCAGGGCAGGGAGTCCCACCCCCTCGCCTCAGCCCTGCCACCCGGGTCCCTGCGGCTTCGAAAGGGACCGAACTGCAATGAATGGAAAAAAAAAAAAAAGGGTGTGTGTGGGGGGGTGGCATCTGGGAACAAAACAGGCGGCTTTCCCAGGCACCGGGGCTGGGCCGGGGCCTCCGAGTGGGAGACTGGGCCTTGGCGCTACCCGAGGGCCTGGGGTGGGGCTGGGGGGAGGGTGGTCACTCGGCACTGGTGGGCTGGGCCCTTGCAGGCAGACCCCAGGCCTCCCCTCCCTGCCCCGTTGTTCTGAGCTGGCCCGCGAGCCCCTCACTGCAGACTCGTCTATGTCTGTATTAGATTTCTCCTTCTCTGTTGATCTTGCTCCCAGTGCAGTTTGGGGATGGGGTGAAGGAAGTCCATGGGTGAATCTGGGGAAAGCCCCAGCCACCCCCACGCTGTGGAATGGACCTGTCTGTGCAGCCGTGGTTTTGTGCATGGCCGTCCCTTCAGGGAGAACACAACCCTAGCCCCAACCCTGTGGGCCCTGCCCTGCTCTGACAGCCTTCATCACCATCATCATTAACAGACTTTACTGAAGTCTGGATGGTGGGCGGCTGCAGGGGGCCTGCGGCAATCACCCAGGCTGAACCCCTGGCAGTTGGGAGCCCACTCCTGACTGAGGAGACTTCATCAGGAGCTCGGAACTCTGTGGAGTGAGTGGAGGAGCCCAGTGCAGGAGCAGGTGGTTTAAGTCGAAGGCAGTTTAAGTCTATGCTACCCACATCTCCTGTGTCCCTTTGTCCCACATACTATCAAAATGTCCCAGCAATCCCTCCCCTTCAGTCCATACCAAGAAAATGGGGTACCACAGGCTTTGGGAATCCATCTAAGGTTTGGAAAGTTGGGTCGTCTCTTGAAGCTCCAAGAGTCCAGTTGAAATGGGTGTCATCCTGGAAGGCCACCAGGAGGAGGCAGCCTGGGAGGGAGACAGAACAGGAGTGAGCAGGGAGAGAAGAGAAACAGGAGATTTCCCCCTATTAAGCCTACAGACCCCTCACCAGGGTCAAGAGCCAGTGGGGTGGGGCTGGCAGAGCCACTACCGTTCCTATTTGAGTGAGCAGGGAGAGAGGAGAAACGAAGATTCCCCCTTTTAAGTCTACAGACCCCTCACCAGGGTCAAGATCCACTGGGGTGGGGCTAGCCTTTATTTTCAGTTCTTGCCTGTCAGACCTTCCAGGAGACCCAGGGTTTGAGGGACCCCAAGCTTGGCCCATCTTGAGGCAATCCTCCCTCTCCTGGACAGAGCAGCTCTAAGCTCTGGCCCCCTCCAGTGCATCCAGGTGCTAGACACTTCCAAATTCAAGAAGTCATTATTGAGCACCTATTATGTACTGTGCAGATTCAGCTTTTTTGCTTTGTTTCTATTTCCTGGGACCCTTGACTCCACCTACCCAGGGCCAGTGGTTACTTCCTTTTTGTCTCAAAATAGGAAGACCAGTGACTCTGCTTTATTGAGGACATGGTACCAGGCACTAGGCTGGGCTTTGTTTATTTCTTGTCCCCCTTAATCTTTCCTACTCTGTGCACCAGGTGCTGATCTTTTCACATGATGAAACTGAGGACCAGATAAGTAATTTGTCCAAAGTCACATGGCAAATTGGGCTAGGATTCAACCCCATGTCCGTCCGACCCCAGTGCTGACCTCCTTGTACCTTTCACAGAAGCACAGAGCTCAGGGCTCTTCCCACAGGCTATTTCACAGATAAGGAAACTGAGGCCTAAAAAGGAAAGTGACTCACCCAACGTTATCTGATGAAATAGACATCTATCCAGGGCCTTTACCTGGCAAAAATAGAAAATTACTGATCATAATTAAGTTCCCCTTCTCTCACATCCTCTTCTCTCTAAACAGTATTTTATTCCCCATTTGGGGTGGCTGGGTTCTGCAGTCTGGCCAGGCTCTCCTCCCTGATTTCTTGGCAACCGCCTTTAGCTGTGCTTTTGTCCCAGCTGTGCACTCCACCTGGTTGCCTTCTTGGCTCTAAAGACTTGGATTCAGCCTCACCCCAGCCCCCACCAAGAGCTTAATTGACATTCGCCTCACCCCTCTCTGACTGACCTATTTGCCTATTATCTGTTCCCTGAAAGATAATCAGCCCCACATGGTCCATTGCTGGTTTCTCTGATGGATTGTTTCTGATTTGCACGTTATCTCTACAACTCCAGCCGACTGTGAGCTCCATGAGGGCAGTGCCTGGATGCAAAACTATACTGTACACTGCCAGGGCAGGAGGCCCCAGGGAGCATCTGACCCAATCCCCTCCTCAGCAGAGGAGGAGGCGGTTTAAGCTTCATTTGTCTAATGACAACAGCTACTCGAATTTGCAATCACGCTTTAACAGTTTACAAAGCAGCGTTCACACCCATCAACTCGACTCATGCTAATTCAACCAGCCTATCCTGCGAGCCAGCCCGGCAGCCAGGGAACGCCATTTTTCAGACGGGGAAATTGGGGCCCAAAGAGGGGCCACTTGCCCAAAGACATGTGGAAGGTTTGGGGTTTTTTGTTTGTTTTTGGTGCAGCTGGAGTGAGGCTTCAGTGACCTGTCTTGTCTAGGTCTCTTTCAATCAGAGTTGATTGACAAACATTAGTTGGGCACCTCCTGCATACCAGGCACTGAGGAGGCAGGGACGCAGCTGTGGACCTGCCAGACAAGGCCCTGCTCTCTGGGAGCCTATATTCTGCTGCAGAGAGACCTATATAGGGACAAGCTAATAACGATAATGGTAAGTGCGAGAAAGATAATGACCAGGGTGATGGGGCAGTGATTGACGGAGGGCAGGGGGCTGCTCTGGCCAGGGGAATCAGGGAAGGCCTCTTAGGCAACATGGCAGCTAAAAGCTGGACAGCGAGGAGTCTACCATGCCAACATGTGGGAAGAGAGCTCCAGGTGGAAGAAACTGCAGAGGCAAAGGCCCTGAGGTGGGAACACACTGGGTACCCTCTGGGAATAGGAGCTGAAGTACGGCAATCAACTGGAGCGTGGAGGAGGTTACATCAGGGAGGGAGAATATGGATTGTAGTTTAACCTCAATGGGGGAGTCATGGAGGATTATAAGTTGAGACTGGATAGATTGGAGGTAGAGGAAATAGCATGAACTTGGCTGAGCAGGGCCTGGGGGACCCCATGTGTTAACCCATGCCACCATCCTCCCGGTCTGTGGGGCTGGGCTGGCCTCTAGAGCCCCTAGATGGAGACACCAGGGGCTCTCTTAACTTGCTTCCCTTAACTTGACTCCCTTAACTCCCTAGCCCTCCCTTAACTTACTGTGTGACCTTGGGCAGGGTACTCACCGTCTCTGGGCCCCACTTGCCACAAATGCCAAATGAGGGCATTGGCCAAGGTGGTTTCTCTGAGGCCACTTTCAGCCCTCTCTTTGTCGTGGATTCAGTGGGGGCAACAGGACCTTGGTGAGGATCTCAGCCATACCAGAGGATGCCAATGAGCTCTAGGCTCCCTTTGCTTTCCCTGAGGCTCCTTCTTCCTGAGGGGAAAGGTAGTGGGGCTCTTGAAGGGGGGAAACATGTTACACTGAGTGGCAGAGCCCAGAGAAAACATAGAATAGACATCCCCTCTCGGTGTACCCAAGTCTCTGACTCCCATCCCAGTGGCTTTGCTGACTGATGCAGGATTGATGGGGTCACATGGCCATTTGTGGGTCAAACCATCCCTACAGCCAGTGCCAGGCCAGGGGGAATTTCTTTTTTTTTACTATATATATTTTTTATTATGCTTTAAGTTCTAGGATACATGTGCACAACGTGCAGGTTTGTTACATATGTATACATGTGCCATGCTGGTGTGCTGCACCCATTAACTCGTCATTTACATTAGGTATTTCTCCTAATGCTATCCCTCCCCACTGCCCCCACCCCACAACAGGCCCTGACGTGTGATGTTCCCCACCTGTGTCCAAGTGTTCTCATTGTTCCATTCCCACCTATGAGTGAGAACATGCGGTGTTTGGTTTTCTGCCCTTGTGATAGTTTGCTCAGAATGATGGTTTCCAGCTTCATCCATGGCCCTATAAAGGACATGAACTCATCCTTTTTTAAGGCTGCATAGTATTCCATGGTGTTTATGTGCCACATTTTCTTAATCCAGTCTATCATTGATGGACATTTGGGTTGGTTCCAAGTCTTTGCTATTGTGAATAGGGCCTCAATAAACATATGTGTGCATGTGTCTTTATAGCAGCACGATTTATAATCCTTTGGGTATATACCCAGTAATGGGATCGCTGGGTCAAATGGTATTTCTAGTTCTAGATCCTTGAGGAATCGCCACACTGTCTTCCACAATGGTTGAACTAGTTTTCAGTCCCACCAACGGTGTAAAAGTGTTCCTATTTCTCCACATCCTCTCCAGCATCTGTTGTTTCCTGACTTTTTAATGATCACCATTCTAACTGGTATAGATGGTATCTCATTGTGGTTTTGATTTGCATTTCTCTGATGGCCAGTGATGATGAGCATTTTTTCCTGTGTCTATTGGCTGCATAAATGTACAGAGACATGGCTCAAATTCTAGTTCTGTCACCAGTTGGCTGTGTGACCTCAGACAGGGCTCTTCCCCTTTCTGGGCCTGAGTTGAGAGCCCCAGATCTACCCTCATGAAGCTCATGAACCAGCACTGTCCAATAGAAATATGATCTAAGCCCCACATATAATTAAACCATTTCTAGTAGGCATATTTAAAAAAAAGAAAAAGAAATAGATGGAGTTAATTTTAATATATTTATTAACCCAATATATCCAAAATATTATCATTTCAGCATGTAATGAATGAACCATTTTACATTCTTTTTTCACACGAAGCCTTTGCAATGTAGCATGCATTTTATATTTCAGCATAGCTCAACTTGCACTAGCTACATTTCAAGTATTCAATAGACACGTGTGGCTGGTGGCTAGTGGCTACCATTATTGGATAGCACAGATATAGACACTGACGGCAATAGTTATCCTAAGGAACTCAAAGTGCTGTTTAATAGAGGTTGTCCAAACCTTCTGCGGGCACAGAGGAGGGAGTCACTACTTCTGCTTAGAGAAGGGGAGAAAGCTTCCTGGAGGAGGTTACATTTAAAAGATAAAAAAATGCCTTGATAGCTAATCCTCTTTCTTCCCACTTTCAAGAAATCTTTTCTTTCTACCTTATGATAAAAGAAACACATACTTATTGTTAAAAATAAAGAAGATATAGAAGAGATAAGAAAGAAAACAAAAACCACCTCTAATCTCCACAGCCTGAGAGCCACTACTAATATTTTGATCTGTTTCCATCCAGGTACTTTTTTTTTAAGGCACAAGTATTTTGCATGTAACTATAATCTTGCTGTCTGTATGGTGCTGTGTCCTATTTTTTCCCACCCAGCACCATGGAGTGAGCATTCCCTTGGGTTGTTAAAAACCCTCTGGAAACATCATTGCTAACCACTGCATACTATTCCAGGGGGGTGATGGGCCGTGAAACCAGAAACTCTCCTGCTTTCCCACTTCTCCTGGAGGTACCTGCGAACCCAGCTCCACTTTGGATGCCCCTCTGAGCACAGAGGCTGCAGGGAGAATGGAGAGAAGCAACCAGGAGGGGAGAGTTCCCTGAAAGCCACCCTTTGCTTGACTCCTCACTGTCAGCCCTGGGTCTTTGTGACTCAGAGCTGGAGGAGGCTGGGCTGGGCTGCAGCTCCAATTAGCCAGTCTCTTGACTGCCACCTGGTGGTCCTGGAAGTGAATTCACCCTCTAGGAGAACCATCAGGGAGGTGGCCAGAGGCAAGAGGTGCAGGGGTCCTGGGTTTCCACTTTTGACCCCTGGCCCTGCACCCCACTTCATGACCAGCCTTCTGGGGAAGGGGTCATCTGAGTTTTCATTCTGGAGAAGGGCTTCCCTCCTGCTGTCATTCTAAAGGGTCGTAGCTTGGGGAGAGGACTGCCTGGGTGCAAATCCAGCACCACCTCTTATAAGCACGGAGTCCTCAGGCCAGTCTACTTTTCTGTCTCAGTCTCCTGATCTGTAACATGGACTAATAATAGTGCCTATCCCCTAGAGCTGTGAGGCTGAAATGAGATAATCCATGTGGACAAGCACGGGGCCTTGTCCACAGTACATGTTCAGTGTTTTAAATTATTTAATGTCAGAGGGAAATTAAGTGCAAAGTACAAGGATGAATCTTATTAAATCTCATCCTGTTTCTCTGGTTCTCTGCTCTTAACCCTTAAGCCCCTTTGTTGGAGCCACTTTCCTGCTCACAAGTCTTGAATGCCCCCCTACTCCCCCCTGCAATAAATATAAACTCCCTAGCCTGGCATTTGAGGCCCTTCAAGGACGGGACCCAGCCCACCTTCCCAGTCTTGTCTCACTGTTCACCTCCAGGTACCCTCTGCCCCAGCCAAACCATTGTCCTCAGGTCTCCAGGAACTCCTCCATTTTCTCACCTCCACTCTTTCCTCATGCTCAGCTTCACGCTAGACCACATTTCTCCCCATCCTGTCTTCCAGAATTCTGCTTATCCTCCAAAGACCTCATCACAGACCAGCTCCTCAGGAATCCTTCCATAGACCCATGCCCCTTCTGGAAACCTCCCCAGCCTGCTGATGACACACACCTCAATTTCCTTCATCCTATGTTCTTGCAAAGTAGCCTTGAGGAGCAGAAAGAGTGTGGCCTTTGGAGTTAGGGAAGGGATGTGTTAGAATCATGCATGATCTTGAGCAGGGAGAATACTCAACCTCGTTAAGCCTCAGTTTTTTTCTCTCTTTTTTTTTATTTTAGAGATAGGTCTCACTCTGTTGCATAAGCTGGAGTACAGAGGCGTGATCATAGCTCATTGCAGCCTCAAACTTCAGGGCTCAAGCGATCCTCCCACCTCAGCCTCCAAAAATGCTGGAATTACAGGCATGAGCCACTGCACCCAGCCCTCAAATTTCCTTATTTGTCAAGTGGACCAGATCCTTATAGGTTCGTGATGAGCATAGCATGCAACGACAAACAGAAAATACCTGGCATTAGAGAATACCTGTGAAATGTCAATTTCCTTTCCCTGCGAGTTCATGCCCCATCCATACGTGAAGCTGCCCTAGGGCAGACTACATTCTGTTCACCCCTGAATCCAAGTCCAGCAAAGGGCCTGACACATGGGCACTGACTAATTGCTTGCTAGAATGAATGGAAACTTCTCTCCCACCAGTACAAAGAACCTTCTTGGCATAGGAAATAAGTGGTAAAATGCTACCCAGTAGCTGTGAGCCATGTAGCTCCCAGTAGCTCCATTACCACGTGGAGCCAAAGACTCACTTCCTCCTGGGAGCTGGGAGGGCCTGGCTTGTCTAGCTTGTAGGTGAGGCTCCTGGTGGGTGGGTGGGTGTCTAGCTTCAGTGGGTAGCCTGTTTCCACAGTCTGTTCCCACCCATCATCTGCTTTAATCCTTGCAACAACCTTGTGAGCCTGGCAGCCCTTTCACTTTACAGTGGAGGAAACTGCAGGCAGGAGAGGAAGTGACTTAGCTAAGGTCGCTCAACAGACTCCTGAATGCTGGGCTGGGAGCCAGGTCTCCCAATTCCCCAGATTAAGGCCTTTCCGAAGCTTGTAGCTATGATATGGTTGCAAAGGCACTGGATTTAATGTCAGGAGAAACGAGTTGAAATCCCAACTCAGCCCTTTACTTTCTGTGTGGCTTTGGGTGGTTGTGTAACTTCTTGAACCTCAGTTTCCTTGTGGCCAGGGGCCCTGTTGGAAGATGAAAGAAGCCAGGAGATGGGAAACACCTCTGTCAACTGTGGAGTGCCGTATCCAGGTAAAAGGTTGTTATGTTGTTACGGTTGTATACTGAGACTGATATGGGATACTTTGATCTTTGCGCCCCACAGGAGCACACAGAATTTTATGGCTATTCCCCTGGCCGACCGTTTCCCAATCTGCGTCTCTCCTGGAGTTTGATAATGCTGTTTTGATGGGTTCCTGGTAACAGAGGTGCAGCAGGGTGGGGGAGCTGGGCGAGTGAGCTGGGTGTGGAGGCTCTGAAGGCCAGGACAGCTGTCCCCTATCCGGGTACAATCACAGAAAAGATCCAGACTAGGCTGGGCACTGGGGTTGGGGACACATACAGAAGGGTAAGGCACAGGTCCCATTTTTTAAGGACCCTGGACGTGAGAAGAAAAAAGTCATGGAACTGGGTGTGGGTGTAGCTAAGCTCTCTGGAAAGGTTTTAGCTGATTCACATTTAAAGAGGACCAGGCAAAGAAGACGTTCTGGAAGTGTTTGCCAAATGGACGCGTGGATGGATGGATGGATGGTTGGTTGGTTGGACAGACAGAGAGGAGAGGACATGATGATAAGCAGGCAGGCTTCTAGGAGGTAGTGACATGTGAGCCATGATGATTCTCTGGATTGCAAGAAATTGACTAAGGAGTTTTTGGAAGGACACATAAGGCAATCAAAACCCAGGAATCTCTACTTTGTGATCAGGACTTATTGGAACCCAGCAAAAGCCTTAGGGGGCCTGAATAGGACTTGTAGTTATTGAGAATCAAAGGCATCTGTAGCTACTGAGATAATGATAATAATAACAATTACTGGCTGGGCGTGGTGGCTCACACCTGTAATCCCAGCACTTTGGGAGGCCAAGGTGGGAGGATCACTTGAGGCCGGGAGTTCAAAATGAGCCTGGGCAACATAGCAAGATCCTGTCTCTACAAAAATAAAAATAAAAAAATTAGTGGGGCGTGGTAGTGCACACCTGTAGTTCTAGCTACTTGGGAGGGTGAGGTGAGAGAATCCCTTGAGCCCAGGAGGTTGAGGCTGCAGTGAGTTATGATTGCACCACTACACTCCAGCCTGAGCAACAGAGCAAGACCCTGTCTCAAAACAAACAAACAAACAAAAACAAAACAAAACGAGTTGGTGCCAGGGGCAGTGCTGAGCATTTTACAAACATCATCTTATTCACTGCCCCAAATTCTCTTAGGATGCTTGACAAAGACTCTGTACCTTCCTTCTCTTGGCAGGTTGCTCCCTCTCAGTACCCACCTCGTCTGCCTGACTCTTTCTGTGCCATTCAGGAGAGACTGGGATTGGCCCAGTCAGCACCTCAGCCCAGTGTGGGTGGAGTACCACCTGGGCCCCTGGCCAGTCCAAAGCCCTGCTGACTTTGGGTCTCCTAAGAGAGGGTAGAGCCCTGGCCAGGGTCTCATGGTGGGTTGGAGCAGTGTCAGGAGTAGAACTCAGATGTCCCAGTGCTTTTCTATCTCTGCATTCAGATGGGAACAGGCATTTGGGGTCCAGGAGGGGAACTGAGATAAAGGAAGGAGAAGGAGCTTTGAGGGTAGTGAGCCTAAACTTCTCAGCCTTCACAGATGTTCCTTGGATAGACTCTGTTCCCAGGAAATAGGCCTCAAAATGTTGAGGTGAACTGTGCCTATAGTCAGTTTTCAACCCATGTTCTTGATATTGATGATGACAGAATGCTATCATCTATTTTTTTTTTTTTAAAGGAGTTTCAGTCTTGTCACCTAGGCTGGAGTGCAGTGGCGTGATCTTGGCTCACTGCGACCTCTGCCTCCTGTGTTCAAGCGATTCTCCTGCCTCAGCCTCCCAAGTAGCTGGGATTACAGGTGCCTGCCACCATGCCCAGCTAAATTTGGTATTTTTAGTAGAGACAGGGTTTGACCATGTTGGCCAGGCTGGTCTTGAACTCCTGACCTCAGATGATCCACCCACCTGAGCCCCTCAAAGTGCTGGGATTACAGACATGAGCCACCATACACGGCCAGAACGCTAGAATCTTTAGATTTGGAAGAGCCAGCCTGGAATCAACTTCTCCATCCCTCTCATTTTATAAATGAAGAAACTAGGTCTCAGAGAAGGAAAGTAACCAACTCAAGGTCACACAGCAAGTTAGTGGGCAATGATGGTGAGATGTTCTCCAGCTCATGGAGTGGAATTGGCAGTTGGCCTAAGATTTCCAACTGGGAAGTCTGGGACAAGGAGCCCAAGGGGAGTCCAAGGAGATAAGGCGGGTGGTTTCCGTTTTTCTAGGACCATCTCAACAGCTGGGCCGAGCTGAGCACTGCAACTGTCTGAGGTGGAATTGGAATGCAGCCAGCTTGTCAATTCCGTTTATTAACTAATAGTCTATTATTTTCCTCTAGGGTTAATATTTAAATGCAAATGGCCTATTTTATCACACATTTGAGCATTCAGCACCCATCGGTCCATGGCCTCTGAGCAGGGGCAGGCCTTCTTCCATTGGCTTCAGGGGCCCAGGCAGCCCCTGGGGGACACAGGAATGGGGGGCACATGGGTAGCGGGTCAAACCTTTTGTTTCTGAATTCCGATTCTGCACCATACCCATGACACATTTGGGAGGGATGAAGCAGTGGGGAGTGGCATGAAGGGACAATGGTTGAAAAACGGGAGCCAGTTCTTGTCCAGGACATTTTCCTCCTCTTAATTAATATCACAAAGGGAAGCTGGGTCTGCATTGGATTGTGGGGATTATGCAAATGAGGCCGTGGATGGTGACGGGGGTGGGGGCGGAGGGGAGGCGAGAGATTTCTGAGCTCCTGGTTGTTCTCGCCATTTTAAAAACCTGTCCATTTCCAGAAAACCTCCACCAAGGCTACAGCTGGGACTGTGTCCTTTCTTGAGTCTAGGGTTATGGCGTGGCAGTTGGAAGAATCCTGACTTAACAGGGTGCAGCCTGGGACTAGAACTTCTTATTTATTAATTTATTATTTTACTTTAAGTTCTGGGATACATGTGCTGAACGTGCAGGTTTGTTACATAGTTATACATGTGCTATGGTGGTTTCCTGCATCTATCAACCCGTCATCTAGGTTTTAAGCTCCGCATGCATTAGGTATTTGTCCTAATGCTCTCCCTCCCCTTTCCCCGCACCCCCCAACAGGCCCTGGTGTGTGATGTTCCCCTCCTTGTGTCCATGTGTTCTCATTGTTCAGCTCCCATTTATGAGTGAGAAGATGCGGTGTTTGGTTTTCTCTTCCTGTGTTAGTTTGCTGAGAATGATGGTTTCCAGCTTCATCCACATCCCTACAAAGGACATGAACTCATTTTTTTATGGCTGCATAGTATTCCATGGTGTATATGTACCACATTTTCTTTATCTAGTCTATCATTGATAGGCATTTGGTTGGTTCCAAGTCTTTGTTATTGTAAATAGTGCTGCAATAAACATACGTGTGCATGTGTCTTTATAGGAGAATGATTTATAATCCTTTGGGTATATACCCGGTAATGGGATTGCTGGCTCAAATGGTATTTCTGGTTTTATATCCTTGACGAATTGCCACACTGTCTTCCACAATGGTTGAACTAATTTACACTCCTACCAACAGTGTAAAAGCAGCGTTCCTATTTCTCCACATCCTCCCCGGCATCTGTTGTTTGCCTGGGACTAGAACTTCTAGAGAGAGTCTAGGGGTAGGTTTTACTAACAGAGGGGAGATTAGACTGGTCACCCTGAAGGGAACCCAGCCACAGGATGCAGAGCTTAATAATTCTTCTCCAAGAAGCCAGTGAGGCACAGGAGAAAGGGCGGTGGTTTTGGAATCAGAACTGGGTTCAAATCCCTGCTCCACCACTTGGTGGCTGTGTGACCTTGGGTGAGCCATTTTACCCCTCTAAGGCTCAGTCTCCTCATCTGTGACATGGGGGACAATGATTGTACCCTCATAGAGTTGATGGGGGGATTGAATGAGATAAAGTCTGGTAAAGGCCTGGGACTCAGCTCAATCATACCAATGCTTGCCTCTTCATCTACTTGCTCCGTATGGAATAAATACAACAATAATTCATGTAATGTAATAATATTTTTTGTATACACAATATAACAGCAAATTTTTATATATATACATATATACTTATATATACATATATATACACACATATACACACACACACACACACACATACACACACTACAACAGCAAAGAGTAATATAACAGCAAATGCTTGGAGAGGACCTACAGCAGGAGCTGGGAACTGTTCTGAGCCTTTTATTAGCTCACTGAGGGCTTACAACAACCCCGTGATAGAGGCACATACGAATGCACCCATTTCATGCCTGAGTGTGTGTGTACAGGAGGGGTGTGTCTGTTGTCCTCCCACCTTTGAGCAGATCCTGGCTGGTCAGGGGCCCTCATCTCCCCAGCAGTATAGACGCTATAGAAGAGCTCTGACATTCATCAGGTTTGACCTGCCTATTTTACAGTTGGGATGCTGAGGCCTAGAGAGGGAAAGTAACCCAGCCACCACAGCAGACAGTTACCAGCAGGTCGTCTGTCTCCCAGCCCAGAACTTGCTTCTCTTTCCACTCCCACCCACCCTGGGGCAATCGATTGCTGAACCACCAACTGCCTCATGGGCTGAAAATGTTTGCTAAGCCTGAGTTGGCCCAGCCTGAGCTAGGCCCTGGGGGTGGGCGGCACCAAAGCTGAACAACTTGGCACCTGTCTGACCTCAGAAGGAAGCCAGACAAAGAGGGGAGCTCTGGATGAGGTGCTGCGGAAGGGGAGTGGGGAAAGGGTATGGACAGGGAGGGGCAGAGATGATGAAGAGACCCTGGTCCCTGCCCTTTAAGAATTCACAGTCTGGTGGGTAGTCAGACCTCTAATAGGTAGCATAAGTAGACCACCACAGGTAGCATTTATCCAGCGTGGCCTTGTGGCCGGGTGCAGTGGTTCATGCCTGAAATCCCAACACTTTGGGAGGCTGAGGCAGATGGATCACTTGAACCCAGGAGTTTGAGACCAGCCTGGGCAACACAGTGGGACCCCGTCTCTAAAACAAACAAACAAAAAAACACACAAGAATTAGGCTGGGTGCAGTGGCTCACGCCTATATTCCCAGCACTTTGGGAGGCTGTGGTGGGTGGATCACTTGAGGTCAGGAGTTCAAGACCAGCCTGGCCAACATGGTGAAACCCTGTCTCTACTAAAAGTACAAAAATTAGCTTGGTGTGGTGGTGCGCGCCTGTAATTCCAGCTACTCAGGAGGCTGAGGCAGGAGAATTGCTTGAACCCGGGAGGCAGAGGTTGCAGTGAGCCGAGATCATGCCACTGCACTCCAGCCTGGGCGACAGAGGGAGACTCTGTCTCAAAAATTAAAAAATAGGCCAGGTGTGGTGGTGGAGGCCAAGGTGGGTGGATCACCTGAGGTCACGAGTTTGAGACCAGACTGACCAACATGGTGAAATTCTGTCTCTATAAAAATACAAAATTAGCTGGGCGTGGTGGTGCATGCTTGTAATCCCAGCTACTTGGGAGGCTGAGCCAGGAGAATTGCTTGAAACCGGGAGGCGGAGGTTGCAGTAATCTGAGATCGTGCTATTGCACTCCAGCCTGGGCAAGAAGAGCAAAACTCTGTCTCAAAAAAATAGATAGATAAAAAATAAAATAAAACACAAGAAGTAGCCAGCAGTGGTGGTGTACCTCTGTACTCCCAGCTACTCAGGAGGCTGAAGTAGGAGGATCACTTGAGCCCAGGAAGCCAAGGCTGCAGTGAGCTATGATGGAGGCACTGCACTTACAGCCTGGGCAACAGAGCAAGATCCTGTCTCAAAAAAAGAGTGACCTTGTAGCATACGTTGTGCAACAGACTTTATGCTCATACTCTTCGTTGATCTTCATAATAATCACTGGCTGGTGATATAATAATGTATCAGTTAGAGATATAATAAATAATATCACATATAGAATTTAACAGTATCACATATATAATAATGTCACATATAGAATATCACAGCCCCTTTACAGATAAGGACATTGAGACTGAGAGAGACTAAATAACTTGTCCAGGATCACACAGCACTGCAGCACATGAAGGAGGCAGAATTCACACCCAGTTCTGCAGGTACCTGGGTCTGTGCTCAAGGACCTGAGCACTCCTCTGTCTAATAGAGTGGCCACTGGCCACATGTGGCTATCAAGCACTTGAAATGTGGCAGTCTGAATTGAGATGTGCAGTAAACGTAAAATATACATGGGATTTCAAAGGCTAAGGGAAAAAAAGAATGTAAAATATCTCATTAAGAGAGGTTTTTTTTGTTTTTGGTTTCAGAAACTAGAGATAGGGATCTTGTATGTTGCCCAGGCTGTTCTTGGACTCCTGGCCTCAAACAATCCTCCTGCCTCAGCCTCCCAAAGTGCTGGGATTACAGGCGTGAGCCACTGTGCCTGGCTGAAGTGTTTTTTTTTTCCTTAATATTGGTGAAATATTGAAATAATATTTGGAAGATACCAGACTAAATAAAATATTATTAAAATTAATTTCACCTGTTTCATTTTACTTTTTTTTTTTTTTTTTTTTTTTGAGACAGAGTCTTACTCTGTACCCAGGCTGGAGTGCAGTGGCATGATCTCGGCTCACTGCAACCTCTGTCTCCCAGGTTCAAGTAATTCTCCTGCCTCAGCCTCCAGAGTAGCTGGTAGTACAGGTGCCCACCACCATGCCCCACTAATTTTGTATTTTTAGTAGAGATAGGGTTTCACCATGTTGGCCAGGCTGGTCTTGAACTCCTGACCTCAGTCAATCCGCACTCTTCGGCCTCCCAGAATGTTGGGATTACAGGCGTAAGCCACCGTGCCCGGCCTCATTTCACTTTTATTAACATCGCTAAATTTTCTAATTTAAAATTCCACATGCAGCTCCCTTATATTTTGGTTGCACAGTGAGGCTCTGGACCAGTGCTGTCTGAGAACTTTCTGCGATAATGAAACTGTTCCGTTCTGCAGGGTCCAGTAGGGTAGCCACTAAGTTACATGTGGCTATTGAGAACTTGAACTATGACTAGGGCGACTGAGCAAGTGCAGTTTTAATTCTAATTCATTGTAATTAATTTAAATTGGACTTTAAATGACCACACGTGCCTCGTGGCTACTGTATTGTATAGCACAGCTCCAGAGAGGTGGGCTTTTCTGCCTTGTGGAGACAAACAAGTGTCACGGTGTGTTCTGGGTGTCCCAATAGATGTGTGTTTACAGGGTGTGGGGGACTCAAGGAGGAGGTCGGTGGACAGGACTCAGAGAGGTTAAGGATTACTCAAGGGCACACAGCTGGGAGGTGGTAGATTCAGGGGTTGGCCCCAGGTGAGCCTCCCTCGAAGCCCTGGGCTTGTTCTCAAGGTTTGCTGCCTCCTTTGCGGGGTGGCAGGGCATCTCCAAAGAACCCCTCCAAGTCAACCACTGACCTGTACCACTCCACCCCAGAGCACCTGTCCTCCTGGGCACCCTGCTGGAACCCCCTTCCAGGCTGAGGTGACATGCCGACCTGCCTCAGTATGTGCTCAGATACTGTCGCCCTCCCCGCCCTCATCCCTCAGCACTTCACGCCTGAATCGTGGCCTCTCTGCGCTGGCCACACCCTGTCTCATCCCACCCCTCCTACGTGCTCTCCAGGCCCCTGGCATCCTGTCCTATCATCTGCTCTGGGAAGAGTGACTGCCCCTGCCTGTGGCCTGCTACCTTTCCATGGCTTCCGGGCTTGCCGGGTACTTTATTATTAATAATACTTTTATTTTTCTGAGATGGAGTCTTACTCTGTTGCCCAGGCTGGAGTGTGGTGGCGTGATCTCAGCTCCTGCAACCTCCACCTCCCAGGTTCAAGAATTCTCCTGCCTCAGCCTCCCAAGTAGCTGGGATTACAGGAATGCACCACCACGCCCGGCTAAATTTTGTATTTTTAGGAGAGACAGGGTTTCATCATGTTGGTCAGGCTGGTCTCGAACTGCTGACCTCGTGATCCACCCACCTCGGCCTCCCAGCATGCTAGGATTATAGGTGTGAGCCACTGCGCCCAGCCCCAGGTACTTTAAAATGCAGAAATTGAACTCCCATCTCATGTGGAAGCAATACCAGGAGAAGCCTGGCTCACTGCTCCCTTACCAGGCTGAGGATGGGCAGGGCTCCAACCCCCGAGCTGCCAAATGTTTGTGTGACTACGGGCAAGTCACTTCTCTCCAACCCTCAGTTTCCTCATCTGTAAAATGGACATAATGATAGCATAGGGCTCTTATGAACATTAAATGCAGCAAGGGATGCAAAGTACCCTGTTAACTGTCAAATGAAATGCAAGCATGGGAAATCATTATGGTCCTTACTGTGGGCCGGACGCTCTGCTAGGTGTTACCCTCATGCTAACCTCATGCTGTAGTGGCTTTGAATTATTTAAATCCTTAAATCCTCCTCTTTTCAGAAGGTGGAGTCTAATTCCCTTCCCTTGAGGGTGGCCTGGACTTCGTGGCTTGCTTGTAACTAATGGAATAAAGTAGAAGTGATGATGACGTATGACTTTGGAGACTAAGTCATAAAAAGGTGCCGTGGCTTGCTCCTCTTGCTGTCTCGTATTGGGGGGTGTTAGCTGCCATGTCTTGCGGACTCTTGGACACATATTGGGAGGCCCAGGTGGTGAGAAACAAGGCCTCCTGCAAGGTTCTAGCAAGGAACTGAGGCCTCTTGCCAGGAGCCCTGGGAGTGAGCCACCGGCTATGCGGGCCCTTCAGCTTCAGGCAGAACTTTAGATGACTGCAGGCCCTGCTGACATTCTGACTGTAACCACGTGAAAGACCCTCACCTAGAACCAAAGCCACTCCTGAATTCCTGACCCACAGAAACTGTGGTTTAATAAATGTTTGTTGTTTTTAAACCACTACATTTTGGGGATAATTTGTTATACAGTCATAGCAAAAACACATGCATGATCTCATTGAATTCTCATAATCTGATGTAGATACTGTTGTTACCCCCATTTTACAGATGAAAAAACCAAGGCTCAAAGAGAAGACACTTGCCTAAGTCTACTCAGTAAAGATGTGATGGACTCAAGACCTCAGTGCAGGGCCATCTGAATTAAAACCTGATGATATGTATGTAAGTGCTCTGACATATCACCTCCTAGAGGGTTTCTTTTTTCCCCTGTTCTGTTTTGTTTTGTTTTTGAGACTGAGTCTCTCTCTGTCACCCAGGACCCAGGCTGGAGGGCAGTGACATGATTTCGGCTCACTGCAACCTCTGCCTCCCAAGTTCATGTGATTCTCATGCCTCAGCCTCCCGAGTAGCTGGGACTACAGGCGTGCACCACCATGCCCGGCTAATTTTTTTGTATTTTTAGTAGAGACAGGGTTTGGTCATGTTGGCCAGGCTCAGCCCATCAAGAGATACTGTTGAAATAATATTTAGAAGTTACTGGATTAAATAAAATATATTATTAAAATTAATTCTACCTGTTTTGTTTTACTTTTATTAACATCGCTAAATTTTCTAATTTAAAATTCCACATGTGACGGCCTTATATTTTGGTTGCACAGTGTGGCTCTGGACCAGCAATGTCTGATAGAACTTTCCACGATGATGAAACTGTTCCATTCTGCACGGTCTAGTAGGGTAGCCACTAAGTCACATGTCTTGAACTCCTGGCCTCAAGTGATCCGCTCCCCTTGGCCTCCCAAAGTGCTGGGATTACAGGTGTGAGCCACTGCACCCAGCCTCCTAGAGGGGTTCTGATGGCTGAATCTAGATCTGTCTGGGCTCCACTATGAGCTGGTGCACTCCCAAGAACAGGGGCTGTAAACTACACATCTTGACCCAATTCCCAATACCTAGCAACCAGTACGGGCTCATTAAATGCAGGTTTGAATGAGAGACATTTGAATCCTGTGTGGTCCTGGGCTGGTTCCTTGGCCAAGTCCATCCAAACATTTGTGGGGTTCAGGGCCAGATACAAATGGAGTTTGTATCTAATATTTAAAAGTTATAAATCATACTGGGTGCAGTGGCTCATGCCTGTAATCTCAGCATTTTGGGAGGCTGAGGCGGGTAGATCACTTGAGGTGAGGAGTTCAAGACATGTGACTTATATGTGTGTGTGTGTACATATATGTATATATATGCTTGTATGTATGTATGATGTATGTATGTATGTGTGTGTGTGTGTGTGTGTGTGTGTGTGTGTGTGTATAGCTGGGCATGGTGGCACATACCCATAGTCCCAGCAATTTGGGAGGCTGAAGTGGGAGGATCACCTGAGCTCAGGAGTCAAGGCTGCAGTGAGCCCTGATCATGTCACCGCATTCCAGCCTGGGTAAAGAGAGTAAGACCCTGTCTCAAAAAATGAAATAAAATGAAAGTTATAAATCAAACCTAATAAACAGTTAAATAAAATATGGCAACTATGCCTTTATTATAACAAAATAGAAAATATGTGTAAACTGCAGTTTTTATATGGCCAAAAGTCAGCAAGTTATCAAAGGTGACTGAATATCATATTGCATATGTCTGGGTAGTTTCTTGATAGGCTGATCATATTTGAATAAGTAATAAAACAAAAGCCTACATGATTCATAAATTATTATTTGTTCCATCAATTTTGTCTTTCTTGCCTTTATTTCAACAAAATAGTAATTGTGTGGTGATAATCAAGATTCTCACATAATTTCTGTTCCGTTGATGGCAATGTGAAATTAGACAACCTTTTGCAAGTCATTGTATTTCTTAGCTAGTTTTTAATTAATTTCAAGTTGGAAACACTTGCTCTGTTGAGGATGTAGCAACAAATTGTCAATAAAATTCTTAAAGCAATATTTAGATTAGGAAATGAGCCATGAATTTTGTGTAGCAAGCTCAAACATTGTAATGGGGTTGCATATAATAAATTACGATTATTATGGAAAATGTTACAAGCTGTAAGTTCTTCATGTAAATCATATCATATATATCATGATTTTTTACTGTCTCTCTAGGCAATATCGAGATCTAACAGCCACGTAAGTAATTGACGTCACAGTTTAAGTATGTTACAGCTGGACCTACGTATATACAAATTTAAGAGTAATATAAAAGATTTAATATTGCAAAATGTTCTTCAGCTGCCCTGTGCAGCTCTTGCAGACACCATGCTCTTTTTTGAGCACCTCCAGAACCAGGACTTGGAACATAACAAGAAGTAAGGAAATGGATGTTTGGTTCTAGTGGGAATTTACCGCATTTGAACTCTCTTAGAGGAAGGATTTAGCAAGTTAATTAATTTGTCTTTTTTCTTACCTAAGAGTGAAAGCTTTTCTTACACTGCTCAGAGCCTCCCCGTGCCCCAAAGCAGCGTCCATCTGCACTGTCAGCAGCCGCACAACCCACAGCCTTTGTGGCATTTGGACGCAGTCATCCTTTGTGTCAAGGACATAGAGCAAGAAAAGAGGAGAAGCGAATCCCTTCTCCCTCCTGGGGCCTGAGCAGTGTCAGTCACGAAAGCGGATGTTGAGGGTTACATTGGGTGTGCTGGGCCAAGTGACCAAGGATCTGTGTATCCTTTAATAAATTGTGTATGTTTGTGATCTGGGGGTCCCTGTGCTACTCATGTGTGGTCTGGGCCTGTGGACTGTGGCTGGTGCATGAACTACTCAGAAACCAAAAATAAGTATTTTAAAACGCTCACAGCATTATTGCTACATCCAAGCTCATGTTCATTTTTCTAGTAGTTCATTTTTAAGTAATTATTTTATAAAATGTTGGAAGACAGTGAGAACATGTTTCTCTCATTTCCTGAAGTTTTATTACCATTGCTTTAGGATGCATTGACTGTCATTTCAAAATAGCACATTGTATATTGGCATCACTATCTTTGCAAGTTATAAAACTATCTTTTTGCATTGTGGTGAAAAAAACACATCACATAAAATTTACCATCTTAGCAGTGTTTAAGTGTACAGTTCCATAGTGCTAAGTCTATTCATGATATTATGAAATAGATCTCTAAGACTTTTTCATCTTTACAAAAAAATGAAAACTCTGTACCCTTTAAACAACTCCTCTCTGCCCCTCCTCCCAGCCCCAGTAACTATCATTCTACTATCTGTTTCTGTAAATTGGACTTACTTCAGATACCTCATTATGGATTCTTTTTTTCTTTTTTTTTTTTTTTTTTTTGAGACGGAGTTTCACTCTTGTTGCCCAGGTTGGAGTACAGTGGCGCGATCTCGGCTCACCGCAACCTCTGCCTCCCAGGTTCAAGTGATTCTCCTGCCTCAGCCTCCCAAGTAGCTGGGATTACAGGCATGCGCCACCATGCCCAGCTAATTTTGTGGTTTTAGTAGAGACGGGGTTTCTCCATGTTCATCAGGCTGGTCTCGAACTCCCGACTTCAGGTGATCTGCCCGTGTCAGCCTCCCAAAGTGTTGGGATTACAGGTGTGAGCCACCTTGCCCGGCAAATTCATTTTTATTGTCTCTTATTAAACTATCAGTCTGAAACAGATTAGAGGTTTGAAAACCAAAATGGTCCTTTGCCTTAGGTAGTTGAAGAAGCACTGCTCCCAAAATGCAGGGCCTAGGACAGGTCTCCTCTTGCCCAGGTCTAAAGGCATTTCTGCTTTACTTCCCTGAGCCTCAGTTTCCCCAGTGTAAAAAGGGGTGACTGAATGGTGATGCTCTGAAGGCCTCACAGCCGTGTCACCCGGGGATGCTGTGGTCACTGAATTCCCCGAGTTAGGACTGTCTGGCTGGGCAGCCATCCTCTGTCCCCTCCCGTCGGGCCCTGCTCCAAGTCCCATTTCACGCGCCGAGGACTCCTTTGTCTCCACTGACACCTGGTTTCCTGCCTCTGCAGTCACAGCGGGGCCTTCTCATGGATGACACATGCAGGCTGCTTCTACTGCTTATGTCCTGGCCAAAGGTTTATGGCATTACCCACTAAGTTCACATTCCTCTCTGCTTGACCGTCACTCCTGTTTTCCATGAGTCACACAGGGCTGAAAGAGATGAGCTGATGTTAAAGAGGATGCAACCGAGCAGGGGCCCCACATTGCAGAATTTCAGAGCTGAAAGGGACTCAATTCTATTTTTTCTCTTATTTCACAGTAACGCACATTTACTGCTAAACAACCCCAAAAGATATCTCTTTTTCTCTCTCTCTCTCTCCTGCAATTCAAGCACCTAATGATAACTACCTTTATTTATTTATTTGTTGTTTGTTTGTTTTTTGAGACAGAGTCTCATTCTGTTGCCCAGGCTGGAGTGCAGCGGTGCAGTCTCAGCTGACTGCTACCTCTGCCTCCTGGGTTCAAGTGATTCTTGTGCCTCAGCCTCCTGAGTAGCTGGGACTACAGGTGCCTGCTGCCACGCCCAGCTAATTTTTTTTTTTTATTTTATTTTTGAGACGGAGTCTCGCTCTGTCGCCCAGGCTGGAGTGCAGTGGCGCGATCTCGGCTCACTGCAAGCTCCGCCTCCCGGGTTCACGCCATTCTCCTGCCTCAGCCTCCCGAGTAGCTGGGACTACAGGCGCCCGCTACCACGCCCGGCTAATTTTTTGTATTTTTAGTAGAGACGGGGTTTTACCATGTTGGCCAGGCTGGTCTCCAACTCCTGACCTCAAGCAACCTGCCAGCCTCAGCCTCCCAAAGTGCTGGGATTACAGGTGTGAGCCGTAACTACCTTTAATATTTTAGTAAATACTGGTTGAGCATCCCAGATCTCAAAATTGAAAATCCAAAATCCAAAATACTTCTGATCCTAAGCATTTCAGACAGGGGATGTTCAACCTGTATCTTGCTTGTTTTCTTCCCACTTTTAAGACAACATTAACAAGAATATGTTGCATCTATTGTTTCTAACCTGCTTTTTCCATCCAACCATGAATATTTTTCTACATCTATAAATGCACTGCTACATCATCAGTATGAGTGGCTACAGAGTATTCCCTTGTGTATATGTTTGGCAGGACCAGTGTCCTCTCTCTCTCTCTTTCTGTTTCTCACTATTTTGAATAATAAATAACATTCCTGTAGTCAATTTCTTCATTATTTCCATAGGATAAAATCCTAGAGGTGAAGTTTCTAGGCCAAAGGATAAGCATACCATATTTAAAAGACTTTGGCTACAGGATTTAACAGTATTGATTAACACTGCCATCAAAAACATCAAGAGTGCCCATTTCAGCTCATGCCTGCCAACATTGGGTATTATCACTCTGGTGTTATTGGGTATTGGGTATTATTTATTGGGTATTATTTATTTAATTGTTGTTTTAATTTGTATTTCCTTTGGGGATGTCGTGGACATGTTTTCCTTATGCTTATTGGTCAATTATAGTGAAACAGATTTTGGAGCTTATCATCCAGCTTTTTATTTTGACAGCTGTGAAAACAGGCGCAGAGGTGAGAAGCTGCTTCTTCAAGCAGGTTAGGGACAGATCAGAATGGAAACCAGATTTTCTGATGTCCAGGTGAGGGGGATGTTTCTCCGTGATTCTGGGGCCTCTCAAGTTGATAGAGGGAGATAAGATTACACACTGAGAATGGAAAACAGCCCTTCAGTGTTCCCTGTCATTGTATGATATTAGACAAGTGACTTCAGACTCCTCTCTGAGCCTCAGACTTCTCACCTGTAAAATGAGAAGGTTGGATGAAATTGATTGCTCAGGTCTTTTTTTTGTTTTGTTTTGTTTTTTGAGACAGAGTCTTTCTCTGTTACCCAGGCTGGAGTGCAGTGGCACGATCTCAGCTTACTGCAACCTCTGCCTCCCAGATTCAAGCAATTCTCCTGCCTCAGCCTCCCGAGTAGCTGGGACTACAGGTGCATGCCACCATGCATGGCTAATTTTTTGTATTTTTAGTAGAGACAGGGTTTCACCATGTTGGCCAGGCTGGTCTTGAACTCTTGACCTTGTGATCCACCTGCCTTGGCCTCCCAAAATGGTGGTATTACAGGTGTGAGCCACCGCACCTGACTGATTGTTCAGGTCTTGTTCAGCCCTGAGATTAAGGCTGTGATGCCATCTCCAGGTCCCTTCCAAGCTCTGATAGTTATAATGAACATCTTGCATGTGTACAGTACTTTACAGTTTGCAAAACATTTCTGTGAAGCAGGGAGGAGAGGTATTGTTGTTAACCCCATCTCACAAGTAAGCAAACTGAGGCTCAGAGAGTTCAAATGGCTTAACCTATCTGAGTCACTACAACTTCAGCAAATTCCTTAGCCATTTCCCAACAGGCCTTCTAGCAAGATAGCTGCCTTGAAGCTCCTCTATATAGAAATTCTGGACCTACCACTATCTGTCCACCTGCCACGGGCTACTCAGGATTCACTGAGCACCTACTCTATGCTAGGATCTATGCCAGGGGTGGGGATGCAGAGACCAGCGTGGAGCTTGCAGTCTTCTGGGGGAGACACACCAAAACAGACCACTTCAACAGAGAGTGACAGGTGCTCTGAAGTGCTTTGACAGAGGGCAGTGTGAGAATGATGGAAGCACAGAGGGGCATCCAGCTCAGATGAGGGGCATCTGGGCAGACTTCCTGGAGGAGGTGATGCCTGACTCTCATCTTGAAGAGGGAGTTAGGCGATAGTCAGGTGAAGAAAGACAAGGAAGATATTTGGGGCAGAGGGACAGAGTGGGCAGAGAATTGGAGACAAAGAGGGAACAGCACCTTTGGGGAACTTTAAAAAAGCCATGGGGCTTGGACTGAATCCAGTGGGCAGTGAGGAGTCAAGGAAGGGTTTGGGTGGGGAGAGGGACATCTTCATTTGTTTGTTCAGTAAGCATATGTTGAGTGCCAGAGCCTACTATGCTGAATGCCAGGCACAGCGCTAGTCCCTGATTGAGAGTAAGACCGATAAGACCCTTGTCCTCACAACCTATGTGTCTGATGATCAATTCTAGGACAGCGATTCTCAAACTTTTTGCTGTCAGGATCCTTCTATACTCTTCAAAACTTTTTGAGGAAGAATCGTCACTTACATGGCTTATTGATACAATCCATGAACATGATATTTATGTGTATTGAAAATTAAGATGGGCCAGGTACAGGGGCTCACACCTGTAATCCCAGCTACTTGGGAGACTGAGGCAGGAGAATCGCTTGAACCCGGGAGATGAAGATTGCAGTGAGCCAAGATTGCGCCACTGCACTCCAGCCTGGGTGACAGAGCAAGACTCCATCTCAAAAAAAAAAAAAAAAAAAAGAAAATTAAGACTGAGGAAATGTGAACATTTTTATCTATAAATTCATTTCCAAATAATAATAACACACCCATTCCATGTTTAAGTGAATAATATATTTTATGAAAAACAACAATATTTTCCCAAATAAAAGTATTTACTGGACAGAGTACCACTGTTTCACATTTTTGCAGGTCTCTTTTATGTCTGGCTTATGATTTTGAAAAAAGTTTGACCTTGAAAATTCCCTGTAAAGGTCTTGGGGATCCCGGGTCACACTCTGAGGAGGATGAATTGGATGAGGGGAAATCCGGGAGGAGGTGAGGCTGGTGAAGAGGCAGCTTTTAGGGAGGGGCTGGGAGCTAGGGCATAGGAGAGCAGGGGCAGGTTTGAGAGAAGGCAGTGGGCTGGGAGGCAGGGCCTGGATGCCTGTTGCTGGCTGCCAAGACAGGGCCGCAGTCGGGGAGCAGGTCTGCGGAGGAGATGATAAATGGGAATGCACTGGGTTTGAAGTGTCTGCGGACTCCCACGTACAGTGCCCAGAGACAGGCTTGGGCCGAGGAGGGAATGAGTTTGTGTAGGAGGGAGAGTGTCGCTGAGGACAGAGCTGTCAGGACCAGGAGTGACAGGGCTTCGGGGGGATGGGAAGGAGAGTGTGGCCTGGGGGCTGTGCGCCAGCTAGGCGGGGGCTGCTGTGGGAGGATGGGAGGGTCTGTCTCCTCCCAGCCTTGCTGAGCAAAAACTGCATAATCCAAGCCAGTTTCCAGAAGGAGCAGCCAAGGAGGGGCCCCACCAGGGCTCAGCCTGAAGGGGAACTGGGGACAGGGAAGGAGGAATGGGCTGGAGGCCCCGGGGCTAGGAGATGATGCTGGAGGTGTGCCACGTACCCAGCCAGGGGTGGGAAATACTCAGGGGAGAAGCATCCAGGGCCTCAGTGAGAAAGGAACCAGAGGGGGTTCTCTCCATCTTTGAGTCTCTGGTGTGTTTGAGAATTCGGACGCCTTGCTAGGCAGAGGCAGGTGCTGGCTCAGACGATTGCAATGCATGTCCTCCTAGCAACAAGCTATGGGCCTGACCCTGGCCCTCTGCACAGATACTGTTCTATGCAGTCTCTTTTGTTGGATTTGGGTGGAAGAAAGCCAATCCCAGACTGCCCCCATCCTTCCCTAGGCAATTGGGTGGGCTCTGCCAGTGTGCTAGCCCCACGCTGTTTGCTAGGGAAGAACTGGCCCACAAGGACCCCCAAGACACTTGGGTGAGATAAGCAGGGACCCATGACAGTAGCTAATAGTGAACAGTTACTAGGCACCTGGCACTGTTCCTTATGTGGATTGATTCACTTAGTTCTCACAGCAAATCCGAGAGATAAGAACTATTGTTATCCCCATTCTAAGGATAAGGAACTGAGGGACAGAGAGGTCAACTGGCTTTCTCAGGGTTTAAATGCAGACAGCCTGTCCCCACAGCATGACGCTTACCCACTGTGCTCTGCTAACGTGTCTCAGGAGTGCCATACCGCACTGGGAAGCCCCGTGGTGGCAGCCACAGAAAGGGCTGAGGGAGCTCTGAGGTGTGCATTCTCCCAGCTGGGGGACGTCAGGAAGGCTTCTTGGAGGAGATGCCATATAGCAAATAATTAGCCAGGCAAAGGGGGTCAAAGCAGGAAGCATAGAGGAAACAGCATATGCAAAGGCCATGAGAAGGTCGGGGAGAACGTGGTTCTTCAGAGAGCTGCAGGGGGATGCCCTGTGGCACGGAAAGGCGAGGGGCCAAGGGAGAGCAAGGACGCTGCCGAGTGGGTGGGACTTTACCGGCACGAAGGGTCAGGCATCGAGGCCCGGAAAGGTATGAACACAGAGACGGATCCACATCTCCAACTGGAGGTGCCACAGGCTCCTCAAACTCCACATCCCCAAACTGAAGCCATCCCCTTCCCTGGCCCCCGCCCTGCTTATGCTCTGTGTCCTCCCTCTCAGGGATGTCCCACCAACCTCCTGCTTGCAAAAGATGGAAACCTGGATATCACCTTGGCGCCTTCCCCTTCCCTATGCTGCTCTTTCCAACCAGTTGCCAGCTCCTGCCACTCCACTCTTTCCACCCTCTGCCACTCGAAGTCCAAGCTGCCTGGGCCCTGCTGCGGCTCCAGCTGGCTTCTGCTCAGGTTTGGCCCACCCATCTCCACATGGGGACTAACGTGGTCTCCACCACATCTCTCTGCTACTCACAACCTTCAGCAGCTGTCCAAGGCTCACAGGATGAATCTGAGCTCCTTGGCCTGGTCTGGCCTTGCCTGCGTCACTCACCCTCTCTAATCCAGGCCATCTGAATTTTTTTTTGCCTTCATGGATGTGCCATGCACTTGTTGGCTCTCAGCCTTTGCATACTGCCTGGAAGTCCCCCGGCCCCTCTCCCCAGCAACCCATGTACAGCCCCACCCTTTGGCTCCTGCGTTTCCATAGTCCCTGTACTGACTTCCCCATCATCATGTCACACATGATTTTAACTATTTTCTCATCAGTTTCTCTAGATCAATGGAAAGTTGCATGAAAGGAAAGTCTTTCTCTCCCCCAGCACACAGCACTGAGCCGTGTGCTTAGTAGAGACTCAGAGCTCTGAGTAATATTTGTTGAATGAATGAATGAGTGAATGAATGAATGAATGAGGCATGATGCCTGATCCAAAGGAGCTCAGAGGCTCCAAGACAGACCTTACAATATAGAGTGCTATGAGGTCCCCCCACTCCCTACCACCAGGGAGAACAGCATGGCAGGGGGAGCTACAAGAAGGCAGAGGAGGGAGCAGCAAATTTTGAGGGAATTTCTTTACAATACAGGTGACATTCTCTGCTGTATCTTGAAGGTTGAATAGTTTACTAGGCAGAGAATCAGGGGAAGAAGAACCCTTTTTTTTTTGAGATGGAGTCTTGCTCTGTTGCTCAGGTTGGAGTGCAGTGGCGTGATCTCGGCTCACTGCAAACGCCGTCTCCTGGGTTCAAGCAATTCTCCTGCCTCAGCCTCCCGAGTAGCTGGGATTACAGGCACATGCCACCATGCCCAACTAATTTTTGCATTTTTAGTAGAGACGGGGTTTCACCACGTTGGCCAGGCTGGTCTCGAACTCCTGACCTCAGGTGATCCACCCGCCTTAGCCTCCCAGAATGCTGGGATTACAGGCGTGAGCCATCACACCCAGCCTGAAGAGCACAGTCTTCCTTACCATTATTATTGGCTAATGATGCCTGGGATTGGCATGAAGGTTATTGGTCCAGCAGGAAAGGTGGGGAGGGCATGAAGTTATGTACTTGTTATCTGAGGGTGGCTCACACTGCCTTCCTCAGAGTTTTCCAGATAAGAAAATGGTGTAAGTCAGGACACCAAGTTGGCTTGAGTGAATACATGGAGTTTATGGATGCACATCATTGAAATAACCAGGAGTGAACTCCAGGCATGGCTGGATCCAGGTTCTCAAGTGATGTCATCAGTACTCCATCTCTTGACTCTGTTTTCCTCTCCAAGGGCTTTGTCTACAAGCGTTCTCTCCCCACGTATTGACAAGAGGTCTTTCTGCATAGAAAGCCCAATGAAAAGAGAGCTCTTTTTTCTTTTTCAATATTCTCCCACAAAATTCCTGGATAGACTCTTGTTGGCCTGACATGAGTTGCATGTCCATTTTTGAACCAGTCGCCATGGCTGGAGGAGAATGGAATATGCTGAGTGGCCAGGCATGCCTTAGAGTCTTAAGAGTGGGAGGGAGGATGGGTGGGGGGAGCAGTGTCAGGCCCTCCCAAATTACACAGACAGCAAGTGGGAACAGGAGGTCCCCACAGGAAATCAGGAGGCTGCTGCCAGGAGAAGGGGCTGGACTCTAGCCAGTGAGAGACCCCCAGGGCTGAGAGTCTTCCTGGCCTGGGGATCAGTGGCCAGCCTCCCCTTACATGGAGTACAGAGTCCAGGTACCCCCACGGCACTTGGGGATCAGTCACAGTTGGCTTCCATCTTGGCCCCCACTCCTGGGCTGTGTGACCTTGGGTGAGTTATTTCTCCCCTCCGAGTCTCAGTTTCCTCCTCTGTAAAATGGGATGTCTTCCTAAGAAGAGGAGAAGACACAGGGAAGAGGCCATGTGAAGACAGAGGCAGAGATATGAACAATTCCACCACCAGCCAAGGAACACCGGGGCCACCGAAAGCTGGAAAAGACAAGGAAGGATTCTTCCCCAAGTCTTCAGAGAAAGCAGGTCCCTCCCATGCCTCGATTCCAGACGTTCAGCCTCTGTAACTGCGAGACAATCCATTTCTGTTGTTTTGAGCACCTGGTTTGTGTTATCTTATTGCAGCAGCTCTGGAAGACTGATAACCATCTGAAATGAGACATGATCGTATTTATTTATGGATTTATTCTTCATCCTTCTCCTCAAGGGATCCACTCCATAAGTCCAGGTGCCATCTGTTTTTGTCGCTGCTGTGTCCCTCATGTCTGGAACAGTACCTGTTGCGTAGTAGATACTCACGAAGGATTCCGTCGAATCAAAGAACCCTGGGCCCTGCATGCTGGGAGGATCTGTCTAGTCCAGCCCCAACCTGCTGTTCCAGCCAGGCCCTCCTTGGTCCCCTCCACCCCACTACCCACGCATTTGGCTTTTGACAAATGACTCTGGTGACAGACCATGTTCCCACCCCCAGACACACACAGTGGCTCATGTTATCCTTGAAGAGGCAGTGCAGCCCAGAAGCGACAAGCTTGGAGGTATGGAGACCCCAGAGCCGGGTTCAGTGGGGTCTGGCTTGCCCTGTGGCAACCCCCCCGGCAGGTCCTGTGCCTCTGTTTCCTCCCCTGGAAAATGGGGACAGGATCCCAGCCTCTCAGAGTTACCGTCAGTGCTTGGTATGCAGTAGGTGCTCAATAAATGGTGGCTGTGGGACAGGTGCGGTGGCTCACTTCTGAAATCCCAGCACTTTGGGAGGCCGAGGCAGGTGGATCACTTGAGGCCAGGAGTTCGAGACCAGCCTGGCCAACATGGAGAAAACCTGTCTCTACTAAAAATACAAAAATTAGCCAGGCGTGGTTGTACATGCTGTACTCCCAGTTACTCAGGAGGCTGAGGCTGGAGAATCGCTTGAACCTGGGAGGCAGAGGTTGCAGTGAGCCGGGATAGTGCCGTTGCACTGCAGCCTGGGCAACACAGCAAGACTCCAGCTAAAAAAAAAAAAAAAGGTAGCTGCGGTCAGCTCTCCTTGGATGTCCCAGATGTCCCGTCTTCCCTGTGAGGCTGGCCTGAGCCCAGTCCTCCTGCAAGAAGCCCTCCCTAACTACCCCACCCTAGGGCTGGCTCTCCCTAGCACAGACTCACTGAACGGCTCCCTTGCCGCTCAGCACAGTCTGTCTGGGATGGTGAATTCTCTGTTGGCACACACGTGGCCCATCTCCACAGCCGCCTCAGCCGTTGGCCATGTTTTAATGAGGACTTCTCTTTGTAAATAAGGAAGCAGGCCTTTGATCTCCCTTTTGGAATCGGCTGTCTTTGATAGCCTGCACTGAGGAACTGCTAAACGTCTGGCTGGAATTCAAGTCTGGGCACTGCTGCCACTCGCTGCCAACCCCGGGCAGGTTGCCTCCCTTCTCCCAGCCTCAGTTTCCCCCTAAGTAGAAAGGGCCTGGGTAGAGCAGACAATCTGTGGTCCATAAATTAGCCCATCCATGAATTCAGCAAAATGCCACCTTAGTGCCAGTTTCTTTGGTAACCTCCCTTTCTTTAGTTTCAAGCACAAATCAGCAATTAGCTCCAGTTCCCTGATGAGGGCTAATGAGGCCAGGAGAGGTAAAGTGACTTCTCCAACACCCTCAGCCAGGCATGAAGCAGAGGGGGGATTAGAACCTAGGTTGTCTGACTCCTGGTCTCGCTTATTTCTGTGACCTCTCACCCTCCAAGGCCAAGGTTAACTGGGAATGCGTTGGTCTAGTGGTGACATCTTGGAGTCAGTCCGAGTCAGGACATCCCCAGGCCTGCTCTGCTGTGCTCTGCTCTGGGAGGGGGGCAGTCTGACAGCTTTGGGCAGGACATCAGGCACTAAGATTTGGAGGAGGGACCATTTTCAAAGGTGAATACAGTTCTTATGCAACCCTCAAAGGGCTCAGTGGCTCTGGTTCTTGGGGGCAGGGCACTTGTGGAGGCCGTGTTCTTCATGTGTGCCCACTCCATGCACAGAGGAAGAGATAAGACTTGGAGAAGAAAAGGAGTTACATAAGGTTGGTGACAGGGCTGGAACTGACCCCAAACCATGGCCTATCTTGCACTAACTGTACCTCCATACCCCAGAGGGGGCCTGTCAGTGGGGGAAGCTCCCAACAACCCCCTGGTATATGGAGGGGAACAGAAACAGGCTCAAAGCCACACCGTCAGGTTCCCTGGGAACCGTGTCATGGGCAAGAGTTGGGGGAGGAGCAGCTGGAAGGGGAAAGACGGTGAATGTGAGAGAGATTAAAAGAGACATTAAGAGAAAAAAAAAGAGACAAAGAGAGGGCAAGCAGGGGGAAAAGATGGAAGGAAGGAGGGAGAGACGGGGAGGCAGGAAGGGAAGAGAAAAGAGAGAATGAATAATGGATTCATTTCCATTTTCTGAGCAGAACCCATTTCCAGATCTAGGGGAATGCCCGGGGCAGAATGGCTAACTCAGCCTGCTCGACAGGAGCATAGGGACCTTCACCTCCTTGTCCCCTGCCCTTGTCCCCTGCCCTTGTCCCCTGCGTGGCTCCTTGGTGGACAAGGCATGGAGCAAGGCTGGTGGGATTCAGGGCCAGATCCCACTGAGAGATGGGAGAGGGTGACTGAGGGGCCTGGGCCATGCTCAAGAGCCAAGTGATCTTCAGTGAGCCACAGCCCCTCTCCCAAGCCTCAGGTTCCAAATCTGCAAAACAGTCAGAGCTGGGGCCGCGCGCGTCTGTGTGTGTGTATGTGTGTGTGCGTGTATGTGTGTGTGTGTGTGCATGTGTGCATGTGTGTGTCTCTGTGGGGGTATATGTGTGTGAGTATTTGTGTGTATATGTATGTGCATGTGTGTGTCCATGTGTGTATTTGTGTGTGGTGTGTGTGGTTATGTGCGTGTATGTGTGTGACAGTGTATGTCTGTGTGCATGTGTGTATGCGTGTGTGCATGTGTGTATGTGTGTGTCTCTGTGGGGGTGTGAGTATATGTGTGTATATGTATGTGCATGTGTGTGTGTGTCCATGTGTGTATTTGTGTGGTGTGCGTGGTTGTGTGTATGTGTGACAGTGTATGTCTGTGTGCATGTTTGTGTATATATGTGCATGTGTGTGTGCATGCATGTGTATTTATGTGGTGTGTGTTGTGGTTGTGTGTGAGGGTTTGTATATCTGTGTGTATGTGTGTGTGCATGTGTGTATGTGTGTCTCAGGGGGGATATGTGTGTGTATGTGGTTATGTGTATATGTGTGTGAGTGTATGTGTGTGTATGTATGGGTGTGTGCATGTGTATGTATTTGTGTGTGGTGTGTGGTTTGTGTGTGTGTGTGTGCATGTGTGTATGTGTCTCTGTGGAGGGATGTGTGTGTATGTGATTATGTGTGTGTGTGTATGTCTGTGTGTATGTGTGTACGTACATGCATGTGTGTGCATGTATGTATTTGTGGTGTGTGTGGCTATGTGTGTGTAAGAGTGTGTATGTCTGTGTGTATGTGTGTGTACATGTGTGTCTCTGTGGGGGGATATGTGTGTATGTGGTTGTGTGTGTATGTGAGAGTGTATGTCTGTGTGTATGAGTGTGCGTGTGAGTGTATGTGTGCATATGTATGTCCGTGTGTATGTGTGTGTGCATGTATTTGTGGTGAGTGTGGTTATGTGTGGTTGTGTGTGTGTGTATGTGGGGGGTATGTGTGTGCATGTGTGTGTGGGAGTGGGGTGTGTGCATGTGTGGTTATGTGTGTGTGTATGTGTGTGGGGTGTGTGTGTGCATGTGTATGGTTATGTGTGTATGTGTATGTATGCGCGTGTATGTGTGTATATTTGTGTGTGCACACATGTATGAGTGTATGTGTGTGTGTGCAAACGTGTGTGTGCACGTGTGTGTGTGTGTGTGTGTGTGTAGGAGGCAGCATTTGGGCTCTGATGTCCTGGATGCCACCACGCCTGGGCTCTGGGCCTCTCGTGGGTGGGAGGTGGGGCAGCTGGTCGATAGCCCCCTCCCTGGGTGGATTCAGCCTGGGCCCCTGCTGCGGCCTCCCACGCATCCATTGCCTCCCTCCCCCTCTCTCCAGCTCCTTCCTTACTCTGCCAAACCAACCCCAACCATGGAAAAAAGGAGTATTTGGGGCCAGCCATTAGTGAGCGGAAACTCTTTGTTTCCTTCTCTTCCTGTTCTGGGATCCATCCTGCTCTGGGCCAAGTAATAACAATAGCAGCTGCCATTATTGGGTGCCTACTGTGTGCCAGGAGCTAAAGTCTTTAGCAGATCATCTCATCAAACCCTCAGAACTACGCCCTTCACAGATCCCCAGTTTCCATAGGAGGAAATCGAGGCTCCTGGGGGTGAAGTGACCTGCCTGAGGGCCCATGCTGGGGGCTGGCAGAGCCCAAGCTTGCACATGAGTGATGGGGGTTGGGACCAGAATGCAGAGGAATGGTAGAGCCAGGACTTGATCGGGTCTGTGCTCTTGGGCAATCACCACCTGCCTACAGACCTCAGTTTCCCCATCTGTTAAAAGAGTTGCAGTAAGCAATGGAGATGGTTGTAGAGCCCATGGCAATGGAGAGACTCAGCAAACTTCAGCTACGTGGATGAAAGAATTCAGATTCAGCCTCCCGCTGAGATCCCAGCTCTGCCACATCGCAGCTGGGTGACCCTAGGCAAGTGACTTAGCCTTACTGAGCCCCTTTGTAAAATAGGGTGCTTCAAGGAAAAGATAGGGGTGCGTAGAAAGGGCCCCACTGAGCGCCTGGCACAGGAGGAAGGACCTTTGATCCCAGCCCTTCCCTGCCTTTCCCCTTCCCCTTGTAGGGGTGTGGGAAGGGAAGGCGTGGGGCAGGAGGGGATTAGCCCTGGGTCCCCCTCCTGGGGCGGCGCTTTTAACCGTGGTCTCCCCCGGGGATCAGCCCTGCCCCCTCCCAGGCCCCCGGCCAGGCCTGTGTTTGCCGTGGGGATCTGGGCTGGCCCGGGCCCCTGCCTTTCATTCCCGGGCAGCTTTTGCTTGCTTTGCGCGCCGTGGGGCCAGGCGGCGGTTATGCCCGCTCCCCAGGAGCAGATGGGCCGCAGTGGGAAAGCGGGCGGCTGGCCCTAAGAGGATTGGCGGCCTTTCTTCCCACCCTTTGTGACGCTCCCCGAGGGCCGCCAACGCACAGACCACAAAGGCCGCTTGTTTGGCCGCCTCTGGGGGCGCAGGGGTCACAGCTGACAGCGGCGCCCTTGGAGACGGTGGCACCCCAGTGCGCGGCAGAGCCGGGAGCACCTGGATCACCCGGGCTGGGGAAAGACGGGGGAATCCTTGTCTCCCTCCCACCTCCCAGAATTTCCCAGGGAGCACTGTTGCATGCAGGGGAGAGGTGCTGGGAGTCGGGGGGACTGCTAGGACCGTCCTTTAGAGGGGGCAGGCCCAGAGAGGGTCTGTCTACACGCCCCCATCACCTCACTGAGAGCTGGAGGCCCAGACAGGTCTGTGACTCAGCCAAGTCACACAGCAAGTTAGTCACCAACCAGGACTGACTCCTAGGGTCCCCAGAGCCCAGCAAAGCTCCCCGCCATCTTGGAAATGTGGTCTTCCTTTCCTGCCAGTTTACTCCGCGTAGCTGTGGGGACCAGGAGAATCTGAGAAAGGGAAGGTTGGGGGCAGCAGAAACTGGAGGGACTTAGCAAGAATAGTCCCAGAAGGGGCTTTTGACAATAGTTTGAGGCCAAGCTCCTAGTGAGAGGTGGAAGCTGGGGAGAGGAAAAGGACAAGAATTATGTCACCCATGAGCTTATTTTGAAAAACTGTTGGCTGGGCGCAGTGGCTCATGCCTGTAATTCTAGCACTTTGGGAGGCCGAGGCGGGTGGATCGCCTGAGGTCAGGAGTTCGTAAACAGTCTGGCCAACACGGTGAAACCCCGCCTCTACTAAAAATGCAGACAAATCAACCGGATGTGGCGGCGTGCACCTGTGATCCCAGCTACTCGGGAGGCTGAGGCAGGTGAATTGCTTGAACCCGGGAGGCAGAGGTTGTAGTGAGCCGAGATCGTGCCACTGCACTGCAACCTGGGTGACAGAGCGAGATTCCGTGTCAAAAAAAAAAAAATTGTTGCGTGCCTGCTCTGCGGTGGGTACTGAGAAAATCAGGAGAAATAAGATCAGGCTCAGTGCTTGGGGCCCTCTGCGTACTAGGAAGACAGATTTGTAGGCAACAAGCTCTAGCCCAGTTTCTCAGCCTTGAGAAAGTGACATTTAGGGCAGATAACTTCTGGTTGGGGGCGGTCCTGTGCATTGCAGGAGGTGTTACAGCATCCTTGGCCTCCACCACCAGATCTCAGTAGCAACCCTGTGACCCCAAAAAGGTCTCCAGACATTGTCAAATGTCCCCTGGGGGGATGCCAACCCCGGTTGAGAAACATTGGTCTAGACCATAATCCTGGTCATTTGTTCATTCATTCCACACATGTCAAGTTCATGCCTATTGCATTTGCCTCTTTGAGGAGAGAGTGAAATAGTTAATGCAGGGATGACATGGGCGTGCGGGTTACCAGGAGGCTCCTAAACAGGTGATATTTGAGCCAGACCTAGAAAGAGATGCTGGGACGGAGAAGATGGGAAAGAGGACATTGTAGGCCGAATTGGCAAAATGGACATTCTGGATTCATTCCTTAGAGGTACTCTGAGGGCCTGCTGTGTGCAGGGCATCTCTGGTGATACCAACAAACTGAGACAGCCCCTTTCCAGCATGCAGAGGCTTTGGGCATGCCGAGAAAGGTCTGCACCCGGTTCAGAGGCCGTGGAGGGATCATAAGTGCTTCCCAGGGAAAGGGAGACAGGGGCTACATCTTGAGGCTTAGCAGGCAGGAGATGGGCAGGCAGGAGAAGGAAGGAAGAGATGCAGACAGAGGAGGCAGCCCCTGCCCAGGCTACAGAGCCTGGGAGCCCAAGGCTTTGGGAGAACTACAAGGAGGCAGCTGGAACCAGGGCATGGCATTCTGACAGTGGAGATGGGGGCATGAAGCTGGAGTGGGAGATGAGGAGACGGACCTACCTGAAGAGCCTGGACTTGATACTGAGTCACTGGGGAGCTATGGAGGGCATTTGAGTAGAGGCATATTTTTGTTTTAGAAAAATCACTGTGGCAGCGGTGAGAAGATGGTTGGAGGGGAGCAGGCAAGAGGCAGGGGGACAGTTGCAGTGGTTCAGGAATGAGATCAGGGTGGCTGTGCACAGGGCGTGCAGGGGACAATCCCACAGACACCCGGGAGGTAAAGGCATTAGGATATGGGCTTGAATGTGGGGTTGAGGGAGCTGGAAGAGGCATCTGGGCAGATGATGGGTGTCTAGCAGGGCAGCCCTGAAATGAATCACCAGATTAGAAACACCAGATAAAAGATTGAGCAGAGAAAGATATGTCCGTGGGTCTCAAAATGAACTGTTTTTGAAACTTTTCCCTTATGCTCATCTTTAAATATCGATAACCAACATTTCTAAAGAGCTTAATGCTCTGTGCCAGGCACTGTTCTAAATGCTTCATGTACATTCACTCATTGAGTCTTTAAAACAATGCATCGAGGGAGTTGCTTTCCATCATCTCCATTTTGCAGATAAAGAAACTGAAGCACAGAGAAGTAACTTGTCCAAGGTTAACTAGCTAGCAAGTGGCTGAGCCAGGATTTGAACTCAGGCAGTTTGGCTCTAGAGTTTGTGCTGTCTGCTATGCTATACTACCAAAACATAGAGTTTGTTTAAAGCCTCCTTAACTTTGGCTATTTATAAAGTCCTGTAATCTTAATATAAAAGTAAAAAAGCAATGGCATTTTATAGGTTGTGGTGGTGGAATGTAAAAGTGGAATATCATCTTCTGGAATCTCAGGGAGTAGTTGGAAAGTGCCTACCGCCACCTGGTGGCAGTGTACCCCAAGTAGAGCCACGACAAAGGCTAAACCCAGTTTCTTTCAGTATTACTTTATGAAACTCCAGGCCAGGGTGATAAGAACTTACTAGTAATATATACACTACTATTATGAAAAATGTGTCATCTATGAGGGGGCAGGAAGAAAGAGAGGAGGCTCCCAATGCCCAGGCTGCGGGGTATATACTCTGAGGGACTGTGACTGTGGGTACTCAGGATGAGGTTGCCATGTCCTGTCCAGACCCTCTCACTAGTTCCCTAGACGACCAGCATTAGGCATTTCTGAAACAGCTGGTGGGAGCTAGGGGTGGGGTGGGGCGTTACTCTGCAAACATGGGCTGTACCCATGACCCCGACCTTCTAATCCCAGGGCTTAACTGACTTCATTAACTCCAGGGGGCTTGAGAGAGACCCCTCCCCAAAATCATTATCTGATAAACCATACTCAGAAAAGTCCTATTCCTGGGGGCCATGCCGGAAAACCTCCTGCGTGAAGGCAGGGAACGGGAGGTGATGCTCCTTGGCTGCAAACCCTCCGCTGCGTGAAAGGGCTGGGTCTGCCCCACCCCCTGCCTGCCAAGGGGCAACGAGGGAGAAAACTGGGTGAAAGCAGAGCATGCCGGGTAGCCCGGCCAGGAGCTGAGCGGTCCAGCCTCCCACCCCCCACTGTGGTTGCCATGGCAACTGAGGAGGGGAGGGAGGAGGAGAGGAGAGACCACTCGTCCCTCAGACAATGGGAACCTATTCCAGGTCACCCTTGGCCTTATCCTGAGGGACTCGGGGCAGTCAGCAGTTCTGGGCTCTTTGTACCCTGCAGCATGGAGATTTGGGGGCATAGTCTTCTGCTCAGGCCAGGCCGGGGGGCCCCAGAATGGGGGACAGAATCCTTGCCCTTGGAACATCCCAACCTTACCAGAGCTTACCCCTTCCTGGGCTCCCAGATCCCCCAAGATGAAGTTGGGTTCATTTTCCAAGGGCCCCTCCCCCATGGAATAGTGTGACCTTCTGTTGTGAAGTGAGCAGTGGGCACAGGGAGGAGGCAGCAGCCACTTTGGGGACAGGTCAAATATTTTATGAGTAATTTAATATCTGGAGCGCGAACCACTGAGCGGAGAACTCGTCAGCTGCCGGGAGCGAGAGCTGGTCTGGTCCTCATAACGCAGGGGCAGGGGTGGTGGGCTGACAGGGACGGACCTGGGGCCACAGGGAAGTTAACCCTTTCAGGGTCCTGGGATGGAGCTAGGAAGGGGCAAGGCCGTGGACCTGCCGTGCACCAGATCCTGAGCCATGCGGTTTGGGTGGCTTGAGCACTTTGAACCTGGGAAGGAAGGGTTGGCCCATTGGAAAGGCACTGGCTTTTAAACGGGGGGACCTGAGTTTGGCTCTTGCTAGCTATGTGACCCTGGACTAGTGTGAGCCTGTGTGAGCCTCAGTTCCTTATGCATGAAATGGGGATGATAGTAATGAGATCTATGCCATTCCTACCACGGTAAGAATTGAGCAATAATGAATACAAAGCACTTAATACAGTGCCCAGGACACAGCAGGCCCTCGATCAGAGGACCTGCCTTCACGACTCTGATGCTGTGTGAAGCTTGCCAGAACCCCTTGAAGCCCCCCAGAGCCCCTCAAAGCCCCCAGACATCCTTCATAGGGATCTCCCCAACACCCAGCTGTGTTCTGGATGCCTTTTCTTGTCCCGGGACCACCTGACAGACTTTCCTACCATTCTACACAAGACATAGCTGTGTTCTGTCTCCTGACATTTGCTTTAGCCTCTACTCAGAGTTTCTGCAGAGGGGGTCCTGTCCAGCCTGGTGGCATGGAAGGGGCCTGGGCCCTGGGTCAGAATCCCAGCTCAGCCACATTCCAGTTCTGTGACCAAGGCCAGGTGCTTCACTTCTCTGGGCCTTCATTTCTTCCTCTATGAAATGTGAGTAACAAAGTGCCGTCCTCGTAAGAATGCTGTCCCAGTTAATGAAGATCATTCTGTAAGGAAGCCAGCACAGCACCTGTTACATAGTAGGTGCTCATTAAATGGTGCTCTTCATCATTGATACTTCAAGAGAGTGGCTTCAGTGCCAGACTGTCTTAGTCCATGCCCCAGCTCTGCCGTGGGCTAGCTGTGAGGACTCGGTCAAATTACTTCCCTATACCTCACTTTCCAGATCTGTGAAATGGGCATAACAGTCACACTTGCCTCATGGAGATTAAATGAGTGAAGATGTGTAAAGTGTTTGGAACAAAACCTGGAACAAGGGAGGAGCAAAGTTGGTGCCAGGCTATTCTCTTTTTCTGAGGTTCAGAAGCAATTTGTGAAAAGGCATCTCCAGTCCCCTCCCCTGCCCTCATCCTGCCATTGGGACTGGGAGACAGGTCTCCCAGGCTACCTTTGTCTGGTGCTCGGGTTGCAGCATGGTGAGCTCTCTCCCTGCCCTGGGTTTATCTTTCTGCCTCCCTGAGGGACTCCAACAGCATCAAGGGCTTCTCCTGCCATAGGAATGGCAGGAGCACTGGTCTCAGAGTCACCTACGCACTGTGTGACCTCAGGTACATAACCCCACTCTCCAGAACGGCTTCTCTTGCCATGGGATTCTGCCCCTGCGTTAATCATGAAATCTCCCTTTTCCACGCAGCCTAGTCCTGACCATTGTTTCACTTCCTGGAAAAAATTCCATGTGCCTGAGCTGAGATGAGCCAGAGATCATCTGGTCCAGTCCCGTCATTTTACAGATTGGGAAACTGAGGCCAGGTATTGGCCTTATCACAGTGCTCCAAAAGGAAGAGCCCGGCCGGGCCAGGGATTTTACAGATGAGGAAACCCAGTCCCAGAGACTGGAGTCACTTATCTGAGGTCACACAGTGAGTCAGTGACTCTGGGAGCAGTGCTCCTGCACCTTACTTTGCCCCCAATTACCTACTTTCAATGTTGTTTCACTGAGAATGTCAAAGTCTCTCCCCACTTGGATCCAAGGAAAGGGCCATTCATTGAGCACCTGTGTCTACAAAGTGGGCAGCTCCATTCCCCAGTGTGCCCCTTTTTGTGTTTTCCTGGTTGCAGTGAGTGCCTGCTCCTGGAGAGGGACTACCCTGGGCAGCTTCCAAAGGTGATCTTTATTTCTTAAGAACCCATGGGCACATATATTATGTCCCCATTTTATAGATGAGGAAACCGAGGCTCTGAAGGGGAGAAGTGACTGCAGGTCACACGACAATCAGGCCTGGCCTGGCGGGGGGCTCAATGGGAGACTGTTCTCCCACTCCCCACGCCTGGCAGGACCTGCGCAGGTTTCCACCACGGTGAACTCGCTCTGTATAAAGCCATCATGGCCTAAGCTGTAAAACAGAAGGAATGAAGACATATTTTTCTGGTCTCCTTCCCCGGAAACCAGCTGGGGCTGGGGCCCGGCGAGGCTGACATTTATGTACTGTCTTTAATCACAGTAGCTGACGTATTCCAAATAAGGTCTGGAGACACCTTGTTAACGAGGGCCCAGCTGTCTCTCCTGTGGATACCTGTGCTGGCATGGGGAGCCCGCCCCGAGATATGCTAACTCAGGCCTGGAGCCTGCAGACAGACCCACCCTGTGGCACGGCTCACGTGCTGCCGCCGCAAGCCCTGCAGAGGCAGGGGCTTGTTGGAATGGCTGGAATCCAGGCTGGAGGGAGAAGGAAAAATTTGTCCTAAGGTGGGCACAGGATTTTTGCCTCTTGTGGCTCACCTGAACCTCACAACAACCAATAGTCACATTCCACAGGTGAGGATGCTAACATTTGTTGAGGGCCTACTATGTGTCTGGGAGGGTGTGTGGTTCTTTTGTTTTGTTTTGTTTTAAGACAGGGTCTTGGTCTGTTGCCCAGGCTGGAGTGCAGTGGTGTGATCATGGCTCACTGCAGCCTCTACCTCCTGGGCTCAACAGAGTTTCTCACCTCAGCCCCCCGAGTAGCTGGGACTACAGGTGTGTGCCATCACACCCAGCTAATTTTTTTATGTTTTGTAAATATAGGGTCCCATTATGTTGCCCAGGCTGGTCTCGAACTCCTGGGCTCAAGCAATGCACTTGCCTCAGCCTCCTGAAGTGCTGGAATTACAGGCGTGAGCCACTGTGCCCAGCCTTGTGTTTCTTTATAACAGCCAGATTTTATTTTATGTCTACTATGTGCCAGGTGGGTGCTTTACATACACTAGCTCATGGAATGCTCATAACAATAGTAGCCAATAGAGTTCCATTTTGTAGCCAAGGATATAAAAGCTCAGAGTCGAGGCGACTTGCTTGTCAAGGTCATCCAGCTAGAAGGTGGCAAAGCAGGAATGAACTCGGTAGGGCTCAAGCAAGAAGCCAGTGAGGGAACCTGCACAATGCACCTGGCATGGCACCTGACACGTCGGAGTTGCTTGGTGCATCCTGCTTTGCTTCCTTTGCCTTCTTTTTGGTGGTTGACTTGTTTACGTCCTCTCTTGCTCCACAGATGCTGTAAGGCAGATTATAGGGAGAAGTATGTGATGAAGCAGGGTGCCGTGGCTCACACCTGTAATCTGAGCACTTTGGGAAGCTGAGGAGGGCAGATTGCTTGAGCCCAGGGGTTTGAGACCAGCCTGGGCAACATGGCAAAACTTCGTCTCTACAAAAAATACAAAAATTAGCCGAGCATGGTAGTGTGCACCTGTGGTCCCAGTTACTTGGGAGGCTGAGGTGGGAAGATCACTTGAGCCTGGGAGGTTGAGGCTGCAGTGAGCCATGATCATGCCACTGCACTCCAGCCTGGGCAAAAGAGCAAGACCCTGTCTCAAAAAAAAAAAAGTGATGAGAAGACATAAATGAGAAGAATCTGCAAAAGCAATGGGAAAATGTGGTTGGAAAGGCAGGAAGACGTAGACAGAAATGAGAGTGGAGGCTACAAAGAAAGTATGGGCCAGGCATGGTGGCTTATGCCTGTAATCCCAGCACTTTGGGAGAACGAGTTGGGCAGATCACTTGAGCTCAGGAGTTCGAGACCAGCCCAGTCAACATGGTGAAACCCCGTCTCTACTAAAAATACAAAAATTAGCCAGGTGTGATGGTGCGCGCCTGTAATCCCAGTGACTTGGAAGGCTGAGGCAGATGAATTGCTTGAGCCTGGGAGGCAGAGGTTGCGGTGAGCCAAGATCACACCACTGTACTTCAGCCTGGGAGCCAGAGAGAGACTCTGTCTCAAGAAAAAGAAAGAAAGAGAGAGAGAAAGAGAGAGAGAGAAAGAAAGAAAGAAAGAAAAGAAAGAAAGAAAGGAGGAAGGGAGGGAGGGAGGAAGGAAAGAAGGAAGGAAGGAAGGAAGGAAGGAAGGAAGGAAGGAAGGAAAGAAAGAAAGGTAGGTTCCTAAAGCCCTGAATGCTCTCTGAGCCCTAGTGGGTTTCTCTGGAGGTTCTCGGGCCTCAGTTGTCCATTGGGTCCTTGCCTCTGGACAGTGGTAATGATGCCCACATCAGGGGCTGCTGTGAGGATGACATGGGCTAATGTCTGCACAACGGGTACGTTCATGAGGCTCAGTTTGGCTTCTCCCTGCCTGCTTTCCTTTCCTTCCAGATGCCAAGCCTTCCCCTGGAAATTGTCCCAAGGGCTTAGGAAACATTATTAGTATAGGCCCTATCTTTCCAGGCAGGACATAATTTTGACAGTCCTTCCATCTTACCTTTCTTCATTCCGTTTGGCAGCTATTCACTGAGCATATATTATGTATATCTGTCTCCAGGTCCTATACTCTCTGGAGTCGATCAGTCAATTAATTAATTAACTAATATAGCCATGCTTTCATGCATTCATTTGATAAACATGAATCTTCCAGGCTCTCTGGGCTGTGAGATGTCAGTTTTGGCCTCCTTTGTTCCCTCCTGGGTCCTGGCCGTGTTCTGCGTAGCTGAGGATTCTGGATAAGTAAGGTGTAATCGAGGGACTGGGCTACTGCTTTCTCACTGGTCGGTGACCTTGTCACCATTCATTACCCTTTTCTTGAGGGCATCACCAAGCTCCCCTAGTTCCTAATCAATAGGCTTGGGGTGGGCTTGACACTATCACAGGCTCCCCTGGTGAGTCTGATGCAAGCCCCTCTTTCTATGGGATAGTCTGAGGCTCAGAGAGGGGTAGCAACTTGTCTGAAGTTGCACAGTAAGTCAGGTTCCGAGACCAGCGTAAAACTGGGAGCTCTTTACTTCCCATCCAGGGTGCCTCCTGCTCTGCCAGGTCCCCTCACTGCGGGTGTCCCTCCCTGGGTGGGCTGCTGGGTTTCTCGAACAAACACCCCCTTTTCTCCTGCATCTAGTCAACAGGGTTGTCTATGAGAATGCCTCCTGGCTATGCACAAAGATAAATGCAGCTTGCAGCTTGCTCTGAAAGGATGGCATGTTTGTGTGTGTGTGTGTGTGTGTGTTGGGTAGGGGGGTGGTTTAAGGCAGGGCACCTGGTGCTCCATTGTCAGCAGGAGACCAGAAAGGCGAGGGCATGGAGGAGAAACAGGAGGGAGACCACAATGCTCAGCGTTGGGGAAACGATGATCCACCCTTTGTCCTTTCCTCTGCCTGACCTTGAACTCCCGCATCCTCACCATCAGAACATCATCACAATGAGCACGATAGCAACAGTACGGGTAACATGTTAATTACAGAGCACTTGCTGTCTACCAGCTCCTAGGCTAACTGGTGCCTATGGATGACGGAATTCAACTTCATAACAAATCAAAATGCTGAACCACCGGTTGGTTCTAACCCTGGCTACCTAAAGCGTGGTCCCAGCTCAGCAGCATCAATGCCTCCCAGCAACTTATTAGAAAAGCAAATTATCAGGCCTCTATCCCAGACCTACTGAATTTGAATCCGCATTTTGACAAGACCCCAGGTGATTTCTGTGTACATGAAAATTTGGGGAACGCTTGCACCACCATAGCATCCTGATTCTAAACAACCCATCACCATAACGACAGCTGCTACTTGTGGGGAACTTTCTGTGTGCCAGGGGCTTTGCACACAGAATCCCATTTAATCCTCATCAGCTTTCTGGAGTAGGTCTGATTATCACCCCCATGTGACAGATGAAGAAACTGTGACCCAGAGAGGTTAAGTAATTAGCCTGAGAACACGCAGCTTGTAAGTGGTAGAGGTGAGATTTGAACCCAGCCTCTCAAAGCCCCGTAGGCTTTTCTTCTTCGCTGCATTTCTCATCTTTTGTAGGTGCTGACAGACAAAAAGTCTTCTTCCCATTTTCTCTCCCCATATAGCCACTGGATTCCTGGGGGAAGAGGCTGCGTCTACTGCTATTCAAGCTTTCATGTTCATTAGCCCAGCCCCTGGCTGGAGGTGGAGGGCCACCTTGAAACCAAAGCAAGGTATTTGAGAGAAGTGCAGATTCCCAGGCCCCTCCAGATATTGTCTAATCTGATGGAAACAGAACCATCAGCACCTCTGGTATGGTAACTGCATGCTAGCAAGTTTCTAGGGGATCTCATTGCACAGTAAAATAGGCGACCCAGTGCCTCAGATTGCACAGAGATTGCAATGCTCATTTTACTGTTAAAGGCAGTGAGACCCAGAGAGTTTTTCTGCCAGTGTCCCAAGGTTGGGATCTGGCAGACGAACTTACAGGAAGGAGTACTGACTTGGGAGTCAGGCAGTGCTGGGCTCAACTTCCTGCTCCTCTTTTCCAAGGTTAGAGCCATATTTGGGACTAGAGAAGGTTGGCAAACTATAACCCATAGGCTAAATTCAGCCCACAGCCTGTTGTGTGCAGCCTGCTAGCTAAGAATGGTTTTTACATTTTTAAATGGTTGAAAAAAAAACAAAAGGAAAATATTTTGTGACACGAGAATATTATGTAAAATTCAAATTTTAGTGTTCATAAAGATGTATTGGAACATAGCCATGCTCACTTATTTATATATTGCTCATGGCTGTTTTCATGTTACAAAAAGAGGGCTGAATACTTGCAACAGATGCTGTATGGCCTGCAAGGCCTAAAATATTTCCTGGTTGCTTACAGAAAAAGGAGGCAACCCCTGGTCTAAAGCAGTAATTCCCAAGCTTGGCTGCATCAGAATCACCTGGGCAGGTGACTGCTGGGCTCCTGCGTCCAATTTTCTGATTCAGCCAGACTGAGATGGGGCCAGAGAATTTGCATTTCTGACAAGTTTCCAGGCAAGGCTGATGCTGGGACCCCACGTTGAGGACGCTGGTTTAGAAGGAACCTGGGTCTTCAAAGCTGACCTCAGCACCTCCCTGGAAGTTCATAGCCCACCCAGAGAGTGGGAAGGCCTGGGGGAGAAGAGAGCAGGGAGGGAGGAGTTTCCACGGTCCCGCGTAACCACCGGTCCCTTTTCCAGGCAGTCCTTGTCTTGGTGTCTGCTCCCCCCTGGTGGCAGCAAGCCTGGAACAGGCCTGGCATGTTCAGCCTTGACAGCCCATCCCTCCATTTGGAAACACATTTCAAAGCCTTCAAAAGTGCATATCCTTTCACCTGGGGAGTCCACTTCTAGGGGTCTAATCCAAGAAAAGAATCAAGGATCTGCGCCAGGACATCACAGGTGCATTGTTTATTTGTATGGGGGTAAAACAGGAGACCAGGGCAGTCACTTGATGGGAGGCACACAGCTAGTGAGAAGCCCAGGCAGGGTTCGGACTCAGGTCTAAGTCAAGAGCTAGTGCCCGCAACTGCCACCAGCACCACCCTTCGGGGATCCTTCTGTCTGCAGTGACAGAGCAGCAGCTCCAGAACTGACTTGCCGGGCGTTGAACCTGGTTCTGTTACTTAACTAATTGCAGAATTTCGGGCAAGTCATTGAACTGCTCTGCCTCCGTGTTCCCACCTGTAAAAGGGGAACATGACTGTAAAGGTTACACAGGTTAACATGAAGTACATAGAACCGTGCATGGTGTGAGTTGTTGTTACCATTGTTTATTAAGCCCCCACCTTCCTGCTTCTTTGCCCTTTCCTCTCCTTTCCTCTCGTAACTGACTTAAAGCATTGTGGGTCACTGGGAGGGGCGTGTTGGTCAGGGTCAACAGGGGGTGAAGCCAGGACTCAGCACTGTAGTCAGAAGGTGACATATTTAACAGGGCCTGCCAGTGCTGTTCTGAGAACTGCCCCCACCCATTGGGCTCCCTGTACCTCAGTTTCCATATCTGTGAAATGGTCATAGCAATAGTACGGGCCCACCACGGATTAAACGAGATAAGACTTATAAATTACAAAGCCTGAAACAAAGGAGGGGTTGCCTGTAGTCTGGCCACAGTGCACAGGCCTTCAACACGTGATTAAATAGACCTGGATTGAAATCCCAGATCCTCTGCATGATATGGGCAAATAGCATCCCTCCCCGAGTCTCAATATTCTTATCTACAGAATGGGAGCAATATAATGAGGGCAGTGGTTCTCAACAGGTCGTCTCCAAAACAGAAGCAACAGGCCGGGCGAGGTGGTTCGTGTCTGTAATTCCAGCACTTTGGGAGATCGAGGCAGGAGGAATACTTGAGCCCAGGAGTTTGAGACCAGCCTGGGCAATATGGCAAGACCCCATCTCTATTTAAAAAAAAACAAACAAATCCAGAAGCAACAGCACCCTATGGGAACTGTTAGAAAATGCAAATTCTAGTAAGCCCTTCTTGTGACTGTGATGCTTGCTGAAGTTTGAGAAGCACTGGATTAGAATGATCTACTCCTCAGCTGATTGGGCGAGGAGTATCCTGATTCCAAGCAGGGGCAATTGCATCTCTCTCCTGGGAACTGGGGATTGGAGATGTTAGACTCTGTGTCACTTCTATGAAAGATGGGGGCTAACTTGGGGGTCCAGACGTCATCTGGGGGCATCCGCTTGCCTTCACAGTTGAGAGGGCAGTTCTGCAGAGAGAGATGCAGAAAAGAGAGGTCTCAGAGTAATATCCCAGTCCGGGTCTGGGGGGCACCCAGGTCTCAACCCTGTGTCCACTGAGACTGAGCAGCTCCCCTGCTCCTGGGTTCTTCTGATTACTCCCTTTTTTCTCCCAAGTTTGTTTGAAGGGGCTTCTGTCACTTGCAAGTAAAAGGGTTCTGGCATGTTGAGGGATGGGGGTCAGGATCAAGGGGGTGCATGAGGTTCAAGGGTCATAAGCCTGAGGAGAGCCACTTCCCTTCCTTTCCCTGCCCAACTGCTAGCCCAGGCAGAAGATTTGAGTCCCACTGCCTCTGAGAATGGGACCAAGGGGAAAAGGAAGGTGTCTGGGCAGTGATAAAACAGGTGAGCTACCAGGACTCATCTCAGATCACTTCTGGGTTCCCACACTGTTCTTGGTCCAGGTTCTTGTAATGAAACCTCACTCATCTCCCCAGAGAGCTGTAGGAGCAACCCTATCCCAACTGGTTGGAAAAGAGCCATGATAAAGGTGAAGGCTGAGTGCAGTGGCTCACATCCATAATCCCAGCACCTTGGGAGGCTGAGGCGGGTGGATTGCTTGAGCCCAGGAGTTCGAGACCAGCCTGGGCAAGATGGTGAAACCCCATCTCTACAAAAAAATGCAAAAATTAGCTGGGTGTGGTGGTGCACACCTGTAGTCCCAGCTACTTGAGAGGCTGAAGTGGGAGGATTGCTTGGGCCGTGGAGATCGAGGCTGCAGTGAGCCATGATTACGCCACTGCACTCCAGCCCGGGCAATAGAGCAAGACCCTGCCTCAAAAATAAATATAAATAAATAAATGTGAAGAGTCGAGATGCATGCACGTCTGCGTAGAGCAAGGGATGTTGGACTATGATGGCCATGGCTAGACACACAGTCAGAGCCTGGATTTCTGGCAGGTCTGGAAGCTCCTGGGAGGGCCCGACAAGGGCACTGTTATGAGTGTCCTGACTGCGGGGGTCTGGTGGAGGACAGGGGGCAGGGTCAGGGTTTATGGGTCAGGGGTCCGAGGAGGGTTGGTCTTGCAGAAGAGCCAGGCGGCCTGACAGCAGCTCCCGAGACAAGCAGGCAGGAGCGTGGAGCTCTGACTTCTCAGACAAGCCCGGCTCTGCCTGGGTCTGTGCAGCAAGATGGGGTGCTCTGCGCATGCTCGACACCAGCAGCCAGCTCTGCTTCCGGGTGCAGTGTAGCCTAGCAAGGATGGACCCAACTGCAGAGGCTCGAGAATGTGAACTCCTGAGGTCAGATGGGTTCAGGTGAGAGGTCATGGGGCTGCAGAGGGGGGTTGCTGCAGAAGGGGTTCCAACAGATGTGGATGGCAAGGAGGTGATGAAATCTGAGGCAAACAAAAGCAGGCTCCAAACCTGGCTGTGTAGCTGTCAGCTCTGTGACCCTGGACAAATTGCTTGCCCTCTCTGAGTTTTATATTTTTTGTCATGTAACCACATGAGGATGATACTATGTTCCTCCTAGGGGTTGTGGTTGGGAATTAAATGAGCTGATGTGCGCAAAGCACTAGATACACAGTAATTCAATTGTGGTGTGACCATTACTATCATAACTATTAGTATTAGAGTCAAAGGCCAGGCAGTTTGCATTGAAAGGGTTGAGCAGCAGAAATAAGGGCCAGCTCCTGGAGAAAAGATTCTAGGTCTCGGTTGGACCTAGTCTGGGGTTAGGGCAGGTCATCAAGGCCAGGCCCCAGGCCCAGGAGATAGGGCAGAAGCTGCACCCAATGAATGGAATCCTGAGAGACAGGCCAGCCAAACAGGAGGCTGGACTGGTTGACACGGGTGGGACTATCTTAAATCCCTCCCATCTCAGGTCAGGATTGGTTGAGGGTCTTGATGCTGGGGCTAGTAGGAGAGGCTGAGGAGAGCAGGTGCAGAGCTGGGCGGGACTCTGGAGTCCTAGTCCTGTGGTCTCAGCCAATCAGGCAATAAATCTTTACTGAGTGGCTGCTGTCCATCATGGGTTCTGTGCTGGCTCAGAGATGAGCAGGGTGCAGAGCTACAGCCTAGCTGGGGAGACAGGGTGAGGAGCCAAATGCTGGCTGTGCACGCTCTGGGGTAGAGGAGGCCAGAGGAGTGAGCGTGCGAGAGCTAGGGTGTTCCTGCTTCAGGGAGGAGGTGTGGCTTGAATGAGGATGGGTAGATGGGCAGAGTGGAAGGCTTCTAGGTAAGGGAACAGTGCGAGGAAGGGCACTGAGGTGGGCTTGTTTAGAAGACAGAAAGGCCCAGTAGAGTGAGGCTGGAAGGCCAAGTTCATGGGCTGGGACTGTATCTGGTGGGCAGTGGGGAGCCACTGAAGGTTTTTGAGCGGGGGAGTGACATTTACTCTAACTGGATGGCTGAGTTTGTGCTAGGCTGAGAAGATACTGGGAGGAAGGGCATGTGGGGAGAATAAGAAAGGGAAAGGTTCCTGCTCCAAGGTCAGTTAAAGCCTTGGAGGATGACCCCTTGATCCTTGGTAGGGGTAACAGGAAGGGACAAGCACAGAACCCCTTTAGGGGCTGGCCTAGACATGTTGCCTTTAAAAAAGGTCTCAGGCCATCAATGGGCAGGCCTGCCCTTGAATCCCAGCCCTGCTGTGAGATTGTGGACAATCCCTTCATCCCTTCTGATCCTCAGTTTGCTCTTCTGTAAGCTGGGCACGATGCGCCCTCTCCCAGGAGGAGTGTGAGGATTAGTGAGAGAATCAGGAAAAGGTGTAGGCTACCACTGGGAGCATAGTTGGTGCTGGACCCCCACCTCCCACTGTGTGGCTGGCACAGAGCAGCACACGGACAGAGATTTCATTCATTCATGGTTCATTCATTCATGTAACCAACATTTCTGAGCATGGCACTTCTGGTGTGCCAGGTGCTGGGACACAGAGTTGAATTAGACCACTGTCCCTTGGCCTTGAAGAGTTTATTTACTCATTCACTCAGCAGCATTCACCAAGCCCTACTGTGTGCATTGGTTGGGCAAGGGGTGGTGTTGGGGGTAGAGTGAGCGTTGCTGGCAGGGGGAGCCGGGGTGGATGTGAAGCAGCCCACAGGTCAGGCCTCCATATCTGGAAAGAGCAGGAACCCGGAAAAGATGCTGTTGGCACCCTCCATGCCCAGTAGTGAGTTCTTGTCGGTGGCCTGCAGGAAGACGTTCTCCCCCTGCTCCAGCTTGAGGACCATGCCACCGGTGGTGACCTGGAAGGTGTTGTAGGCATAGTCACAGAAGGTGACCACCTTCTGTGCACGCTCCCGGCCACGCATGAGGTTCACGCACAGGTTCCCTCGAGAGCTGGCGTGGTAGGTGAAGTAGTAGAGACCGGGCACCTTGCAGGTGAACTTGCCACTGCGGGGCTCATAATTGTTGTTCATGTTGGTGATCACGTGGTCGAAGCGGATGGTCTGGTCCCGGCGCAGGGGGACGTTGATGGTTCTTGTGGCAGAGAAGGCGATTTTCTGGGTGGCCTTGTAGTCTCCCGATTCACCTTTGGGGCCTGGGGCTCCAGGGGCCCCTGGGCCACCTTTAGGGCCCATGGGGCCCTTGGGGCCGACTTTTCCTGGATTCCCAGGAATCCCTGGGTCTCCCTTCTCTCCGAACTCACCATGGTCTCCAGCCAGCCCTGGAAGCCCTGGAAAAGCAGAGACCAAAGAAGTGAGATCACTGAGACCAAAAGAAGGAGGCCTGCGCTGGAACCTTGGGCAGGGCCCTGCCTCTCTCTGAGCCTCAGTCTCCCATCTGTAAAACGAAGGAGGCAGTGTCAGGCAGGGGCTCTGGGTCTCCCTCCAGCCCAGCTTCCTGAGTCTGTGATATGCTTGACCTTCTTGGGGGCTGCTGATCGTGGGGAGGGGAATGGCTCCTTGCTAAGGAAGGTGCTAGGCCGGCCCTCCTCCCCAGCTTGTGTGGGGGTCCTTCTTCAGCTAGAGCAGGGATAATGAGTGCTGTCTCCCTCTATCCCTCACCCCTGGCAGACATCCCTAATCAACCATGGCCTTCACTCTTGCTGCTCCTGGAAATGGACTTTAGACTCCTTCTCACTCCACCCCCCAAGCAGCCACTACCCCTTGGTTTGGCACAACACAAGATAAGACCGATTTTCCAGTAGAGTGGCAGAGAATAGGGCCTGAGAAGATGGGATCTGGGGACAGAGAGATGTGCTTTGCGTGTCACATCTGCCATTAGTAGTGGTGTCACCTTGACTGAGTCACATTTCCTGAGGACAGCCTCCTCATCTGTGAAATGGGGATGAAGATATTTTGTGGGATTGTAAGGATTAGATGAGATTATGTGAGGAGAGTGACTGGCACAGACAGTTGCTCTATAACGGTAGGTTAAATGAATGAATAAACCAAATTTTACAGAGGGGTTTTCAAGGCTGGGAGTCTCATTTGAACCCCATGACAACCCCAAAAAAGTACCATTGCCCCCATCTTACAGGTGAGGAAATAGCAATTCAGAGAGAAGTCATTTGCCCAGGAGGTAAGTTTAAACACAGGACTCTGTGGCCACAGCGGCACTCCCTCTCCACCTGAATTTAATGGTAAGAGATCCGTGGTCTGGTCTTAGCCTCAACATTTACTGGGCTACCTTGAGTAAGTCAGCAGACTTTCTAGATGCTAGTTTTCCTCTCTGTAAAATGGGAATCAGAATTCCCTCCTTGCAAAGTTACTGCAAGGGTTCAGCAAGCTGCTGGATTTGCCAGTGCTTTTGCAGTCTCAAAGGTAGGCAACTGTGACTTGGGAGGCAGGAGACGGGAAATTTGGTCAGTATTACCAGTGTCCTGCTAAATCCCATGGTACCTTTCTCTCCTTTTATCCCTGGGGTCCCAGGTTGGCCATCGGGGCCAGGTGTCCCAGGGATACCCGGGATGCCAGGGATGGCTGGGGGCCCGGTGCAGCTGAGCTGGGCCTGGGAGATATCGATTAGGCCCAGGAGCAGGAGCAACATCAGTACTGGGATGCTGCCCCATGGGATCTTCATCATCATACTGTGTCAGACGCCTCCTGTGGAGAAGACAATGTGAGAGGTTACCACCGTGGTGATCCTATCATCCATCCATCCATCCATCCATCCATCCATCCATCCATCCATCCATCTCTCTATTCCTCCATCTGCATCCATCCATCCATCCATCCATCCATCCATCCATCTCTCTATCCCTCCATCTGCATCCGTCCATCCATCCATCCATCTCTCTATCCCTCCATCCCTGCATCCATCCATCCATCTCTCTATCCCTCCATTCCTGCATCCAACCATCCATCCATCCATCTCTCTATCCCTCTATCTGCATCCATCCATTCATCCATCCATCCATCTATCTCTCTATCCTCCATCCCTGCATCCATCCCTCCATCCCCCTGTCCATCCATCCATCCATCCATCCATCCATCCATCCATCCATCTGTCTCTCTATCCCTCCATCCCTGCATCCATTCATCCACCCATGCATCCCTCTGTCCATCCCTGCATCCATCCATCCATCCTCCTCTCCATCCATCCATCCATCTCTCTACCCCTCCATCCCTGCATCCATCCATCCATCCATCCCTCCATCCTGCTGTCCATCCATCCATCCCTCCATCCTTCCATCCCTGCATCCCTCTGTCCATCTGTCCATCCATCCACCCTCCATCCATCCATCCATCCATCCTTCTGCCCCTGCATCCCTCCATCCCTCTGTCCATCTATCCATCCATCCGTTCATCCATCCATCCCTCTATTCCTCCATCTGTCCCTCCATCCATCCATTCCTCCATCCATATGTTCACTGATTGTCCCCTATCTACCAGACTCTGTGCAAGGTGCTGGGGATTCAGTGAAGAACAAGACGGATACAGTCCCTGCCCTCCTGGACTTGTGCCCCTAGTGGGGACAGATATAAACAGGTAGATATAAATGGGTCAGCATAAAGTAAATAGAAATAGTGATAGACCGTGATTGGTGCTCTGAAAGAAAGAGAAGGATGCTGGGAGGCAGAGTAACTGGGCTGGAGGTGGGAGGTGGTGGGTTTTGTGAGGGAAGTCCTCCCACCAGGAAAGTCTTCTCCAAGGGGAAGCCACTCTTGGAAGTGATGATTAGGCTGAGACCTGAAGGTCCAGAAAAGGTGGGGGCAAGAATGTTCCAGGAGGACAGAGAATATGGAGAAGGCCCAGAGGCAGGACAGAGGTTAGGATGTTGAGGATCAGCAGGAGGCCAGTATGACAGAGGGGAGCAAGAGTTCAAGTGACAGGAAGCAAGAGTGGAGAGGCAACTAAGCTACTATGAGTTTGGGGTTTTATTCCCCGAAAGCTCTTATTCAGTAGAGCTTCTGAATTCAGGGTATGATGCTGCTTATGAACGGGCCACCTTGCATGCTTAGAGCATCCCTGCATCTACTGTGATTCCTACACCAAAGGGGACACTGAGGCTCAGGGAGGCCAAGTCACTTGCTCAGAGTCATACAGGAAGGAATGAAGCCGATGTCCCTGCCAGCATACCAGGCTGTTTCTGCTGGTAGAATATTCTCAGAGCTGTGACTCTGGCAAGAGGGCAGTGATGGCCCCTTTTTAATCCCAAAGAACTAGGAAGAAGCCGGTGGGCTGTCTCAAACTGGTCAGCATGGCCAGTGTTCCATGCCATTAGCTCTCAGGACAAAGTGGCCTTTAAGTTCATCTAGTTTAACCCTCAGCCTATATATTTTTAACTGAGGCAACATTCCTACAACATAAAATTAACCAATTTAAAGCAAGCATTTTAGTGGTATTGAATACATTCACAGTCTTGTGCAACCCTCACTTCCATCTAGTTCCAAGACTTTTCATCACCCCAAAATAAAACTCTATGCCCGTTAAGCAGTTTCTTCTCAATCCTCCTTCCCCCAGCCCCTGACAACCATGAATCTGCTTTCTGTCCCTATGGATTTACCTATTCCTATTATTTCATATAAATGGAATTATACAACGTGTGACCTTTTGTGTCTGACTCATTTCATTTAGGGTAATGTTTTCAAGGTTCATCCATGTTTCTATGTTGTAGCATGTATCAGTACTTCATTCCTTTTTATAACTGAATAATACTCCATTGTATGGGTACATGTGATATTGCAAAGTATATATTTGGTCTTCTACCTCTTTCCTGGCAGACAACTCCTAAAATCCTTAGAATTTCCAAAGTGAGGTATTTTTGTATGCTAATGATTGATTGATGGCTGCCAGCCCCTAGGTAGCTTCAGGATGGGGCTCGTCACCAGGAAGACCAAGGCAGGCTTAGAGGGTCTACTCTCAGCCCCACCCCCCAACCTCTGGGGAGGGGAGTGGGGCTGAAGGTTAAATTGATTACCAATGGTCAATGGCTTAATCAATCGTGCCTACATAATAAAGCCTCCATAAAAATCCCAAAGAACTAGGTTTAGAGAGCTTCCAAATAGCTGAACACGAGGAGGTTCCTCGGGGGCAGCATGCCCAGGGACCTGGGCATGACAGTGGCACGCCTCTTCCCTCATACCTCACCCTGAGCATCTCATCTGTATCCTTTATAGTATTGTTTATAATAAACTTGTAAACGTGTTTCCCCGACTTCTGTGGGCCACTCTAGCAAAGAATCCAAACCCAAGCAGGGGGTTGTGAGAACCCCAACTTGAAGCTGATTGGTCAGAAGTTCTGGGGGCCTGGACTTGCAAATGGTGTCTGAGGGGGAGCAGTCTTGTGGGACTGAGCTCTCAGCCTGTGGGGTCTGATGCTATTCCTAGACAGTGTCAGAACTGAGTGGAAAGACACCCAGCAGATTTGATTGCTTGCTTGGTGTGTGGGGAGAAACCCCCCACATTTGGTCACAGAAGTCTTCTGTGTTGATTGTTGTGGTGTGAGAGCAGAGGAAAATACCGTTTGTGTCTTTCCACTTACAGACCTTCCACTTACACACTACAATTTGGTTTTGGGGTTTTTGGTTTTTTTTGAGATGGGGTCTCACTCTGTTGCCCAGGCTGGTCTCGAACTCTGGAGCTCAAGCCATCCTCCTGCCTCAGCCTCCTGAGTAGCTGGGATTACAGGCACGCACCATCTCGCTTGGCTATTTGTTTATCCACTCATCATTGGTGGACATTTGGGAAGTTTCCACCTTTTGGCTATTGTGAAGAGTGCTGCTATGAACATTTGTGAACAAGGATTTGAGTATCTGTTTTTAATTCTTTGGGGTTTATACCCAGGAGAGGAATTACCGCTTATGGCAATTCCATGTTTAAGTTCCTGAGGACCCTTCAGCCTATTCTTAAGTTTCCTCAATGACACCTCTGCCAAGGTCCCCCGTGTGGTGCCTCAACGCACTCCCCTGCTGCACAAACGTTGTGTTCACTCAGCCCTAAGAACTAATCACAACGCTAGCTGCACATCACATTATTTCCTTGGAAGAGTCAAGCTGAACTTTCTCAGCAGAGTGTGAGGAAATGACATCTCTGCCAAGGGCTCTTCCATCCATAGTTTGCACCGTTTCAGTGATGGGCAGCTCATTACCTCTCGAGGCAGCCCATTCCACCTTTGCCCAGATCCAAATGTTTTTTCTTCATTCGAAGCTTGGGTCAAAGCCTTCTTCCTCCAGGAAACCTTTCCTCAGAGGCTGAACTGTATCCTCTCTTAAAATGGGGGAGCAGAGTGGTCTCTGCCTACTTCCCAGAGTGGCCACAGGGACCCAGGTGAGACCATGGATGGGAAAGAGTCATAAAGCCTTGAGCCCCAAGCTCTCATTGGGACTTGTGGCTGCTACTGCTATTGCTGCTGTTCTCTGATCCTCTCAACACCCTGGGGAAGTGGGTTGTGATTAATTTCCCATCTTGCAGATGAGGAAACTGAGGATCGGAACTTAGAAAGCAACCTACCCAAAAATCACCCAGCAAACTATTCTAACAGCAGGGTTGTGGCCAAACTCCTACCCTCTCTGCCACATGCTGGCTGTCCCAACCCCAGAGTCTGGCATGTGGAGGGCTCCCTGGGACCAGACAAGGCCTACTGATATTTGGCTCCTATGCTCTGCAAACCAGCCTCAGCCCCTCAGCCTAGTCCTGATCAATTTCTTGCTGAAAGCCCTGAGTTATGCCAGACACTGTGCACCAAGGAAAGGAAGCTGTAAAGATGAGTGTGGCCAGGGAATGCTGGTGACAGCTTTAGGTTCTGTCAGGCTCTATGCTCTGAAGACAGGGTGGCTCAGGGGCATGGTCCTGCTTATCCATGAATAAGCATCAGCTCTCACTCTTGCTCTTGCTAAAGGTTTTACAAAATGGCAATTTAACAACTTTAATAAGTTGGGTACGTATAGGCCAGGCTCTGAGCCAGATGGCTTGCATGCCATTATCCCCTGTAATTTGATATTCAGCCCCTGAGAATGCACTCTTGCTTTCTTATTTTACAGATGAGGCAACGGGATCAGAGAGGGCAAGCACCTTGATAAAAGTCACACAGCTCCTGTGTGGCTGGGAGTCAAACCCACATCCACTGGATCTTAAAACTCAATGTTATGTTAAGAGGCCACTGTACCTGGTGGTAAAAACATAAACTTTGAAGCCAGACAGCCTGATAAAAGGACTAATGCATGGGACACACCAAGGGTAGTGGTAGGCACATGGTCAGTGTTCGGTGAAAGTGGCTTTTTACCACCACGATGATTGCTGCTCTTGTTAGGCAGCACACATTCACCTGGTGGCGGGAGCCTGTAGTGTCACAAGGAAAGCAACACTCAGCGTTCACATAAGGTCTCTACTGCTTCTTAGCTAAGGGACTTGGGAAATCACTCCTTCTCTCTGGCCACAGTTTACCCTCCTATAAAGTGGGGATAATGCTACTCTCTCCCTCATAGGGTATGTGCGAGGACATGAGTTACAGCTTCCAACAGAGCCTGGCATGTTGGAAATTCTTAATGAATATTAGCTATTTTATTATTATCACTGTCATCCAAGAATTCCTGAGTGGTTGAACAGAAGGGAAGATGGTTGGAGAAGTAAAAAAAGACAATCCCTTTGAAAGACTGTGTTTAGAGGGAGGGGCTCTGTCAGTTGGAGGCAGCAAGGGGTGGAGAGCTGTGACCAGTTGGTGGGGAGAGAGGGTGGGGAGCAGGGTACTGACAGGACTTGGGCTTCCTGGGGAAGCCAGGGGCAGGGGGAGTGGGAAAGTGCTGGTTCTAGCCCATTTCAAAAGCCACCGAGTTTCAGCCTTGGGTTAGGGCTTACAACTCATCTGGTTTAACTGCCTCCTGCCTGTGCCAGCCCATCATCATTGCCAGCGCGGTTTCTCCTGTCCTCCCCCCAGGCTCTGACCTTTCCATCTCCTTCGGTCCAGCAGTCCCTTTCCGCAACATGGAGTCAGGCCCACTTGACTTTAAAGCCCCATCTGCTACCGGCTGCATAACCTCAGGCAAGTGCCTTAACCTCTCTGAGCCTCTTGGCAATGCTGATTTCAACCTGACAGGGCTGCCAGAAGGATGACAGGAGAAGGCGCTTAGAAGAAATAAGGTCCCCCCTGCCCCGTGCAGTGCCACATCCCACTCCCCAGCTGCACAAACATTGCGCTCACTCAGTACTAGCTGAGAACTCATCGTAACTCTACCTGCACATCCCCTTATTTCTTTGGAAGAGTCAAGCTGAGCTTTCTCAGCGAGTATGAGGAAATAAGCAAGGTGTTGGGGAAATGCTGGGCCGGGCAGGAGCGACTGGCTTATAATCCCACTCCTGCCTCTGGTTTACTGATAAATTTTGAGCCAGGGCATGCACTAAGCTTTTGCAAGCTTGATCTCCTGTAAGGCACAGCAGTGCTGAAAGATTCTGTTCTCTGTAGGGGGGCCGGGCTGAGAGAGGTTAGGTGACTTGCCCAAGATAACCAATACATAAGGTGCAGAGCCAGACTCAGCTCAAGTCTCTGCGATGCCAAAGCTCCTATGTGCCAGGCTCCCGCTTTAGGTGGCCTGCCCATCCGCTAGGCCCTGGGTAGCAGCAGACTCCCCAACTCACCCCAGAGATCTGGGTCCCATAGGTCTGGGATTGGGCCCAGCTACCTGCACTGTTAAACAGCCTAACTGGCTCCGAGGCAGGTGACGCAAAGCTCACACTTACGGAATCACCACTTTCTGCCATATTGGCCCTGCCAGCCTCCCCCAGGCGCCAAGCCCCGTCCTCACCTGGGAAGCTGGTGTCCTGTGAGGCCACTGGGCTGAGCAGCAGTGGGACCAGGAGCCGAGAGCCTACTGCCCTCGGTCCGAAGCGGAAGTTCCCTTCCCCAGAGGCGGGAAGGGCTTTCCCCTGACGGTCCCCTCCCATGGACCAGCAGGCTGGCCCCTTTCCCGTCCCCTCACTGTCCCCCCACCCTGCTGCCCTCAGGCAGTTTCAGGTCCTATTTCTGCAACCCACTGGATTTACTGTAAATGAGACGGGTGGGTGGCAAGTTTGGTTCTGCCAACTCAGCAGCTGTGGGGAGAACACGCTGTCCTGGGGGAACATCCACAGCTCACCCTCCCAGGCTCTCTGACCTCGTGATCTTCTTCTACACTGGGCAGGGGTGTTCCTCAGTGAGCATCATGTGGCGGGCCCGCTGCCTGAGTGCTGGCTTACAGTCAGAGCCTTTGATTCCAATCCCGCCTCTGCCACTTGCCAGTTGATGTGTTGTCAGTCAAGGGAGCCCCAATTTTCTCTGCTATAGGATGGGACCATAATTGTACCTGCTCTACAGATACAGATCTCACAGGCCACTGGGAGGATAATGGAGGAAATGATGGGGGAGGAAGTGTCTGGGGGTAAACTGTAAAGGGCTGTGCACGTGTTCATTGTTAATATCACTTCATGTCCCAGGCTTCCCCTTTCTGGGCTCATCTCTTCTGCTTCCTTCCCATTCTGTGCCCCTGCTCTTTCCCTGTTCTCAGAAAATAATCTCATAATGAATTTTAAATGTGTTCATTATTTATTGATACCCCTCCCTCTGCTTCCAGCAGGGCTGGACGCTGATGACAATAATAGGCCCAGGCAGGGGCCTGTTGCTTCTTCTCGATCCTGGAATCACGCCAAGTTAGGGCCGGAGAGGGGCTGAGGTTACTCGGCCCATCCTCCTCATTTTATATACGAGGAAACTGAGGCCCAGAGGGGAGACCCACCATTTAACAAATATTTAGTGTTTGCTTCCATGTGCACTGAAGAGAGAGCTCTTAGCAAATCAGCCATGGTCCCTGCCCCCATGGGGCCTCCCTTCTACGGGGGGAGACTGGTGTTAAACACGGAATGACATGAGGCTTCATTGCTTCTGTGATAAATGTCACAGAAAGACGTGACTGCTGGGGCCGATGCCTCATGGAGGTGGCAGATGCAGACCTGGAAGCCGGCATCCCTGGCACTAGGATATCAGTCTCTCCCTGTGGCTGCGTCTCAGACGACATGATGACTAGCAAGCACCAGGAGCTGGAGGCCCTCTTGACATCTGTGCTTGGAGATGGAAATTCACTGGGCTTGTGGATGCAGCTTGGTGGAAATTAAGTGTTAACTGCAATGGGTGAACAGGAGGGAAAGATAAGTTTGATAAAACCAAAAGGTCTCTGAGCTCAGTCAACTATAGTCCCGAAGGGACCCAGGCTAGGGTGAAGAGAAGAAACACTGGATTCCACAAAGGGAGAAACGAGTTAGTAGGTTGCAAGTTGAGGGCTTCTGAGCATTCCCAAAGCCGAGTGGCTCTGGGCCTCTAGTTCTTTTTTTTTTTTTTTTTCTTGAGATGGAGTCTCAGTCTGTTGCTCAGGCTGGAGTGCAGTGGTGCGACCTCAGCTCACTAGAACCTCTTCCTCCCAAGTTCAAGCGATTCTCCTGCCTCAGCCTCCCAGGTAGCTGGGACTACAGGTGCATGCCACCAAGCCCAGCTAATTTTTGTATTTTTTTTTAGTAGATACAGGGTTTCACCATGTTGGCCAGGCCGGTCTCAAACTCCTGACCTCAAGTTGATCTGCCTGCCTCGGCCTCCCAAAGTGCTGGGATTACAGGCGTGAGCCACCATGCCCAGCCTCTGGGCCTCTAATTCTTAGGTGGCTAAGGGCAATGGGAAAAGATGGATGTCAATTTGGGGTAGAAGCAGTGAGGCTAAGAACAGGAAGCAGCAGAGGTGGGTTAGGAGCACGGACTTTGGCAGTTTGAATCCCAGCTCTTCGTCTTGCTAACTATGTGGCCACGGGAATGTTTACTGGCCTCAGTTTCCTCGTGTAGAAATGGGAAGCATGAACGCCTATCTCCTGGGGCTGTTTTGGGGGCCAGCGAGGTCCCCCTGCCATGTCCAGGGCCAGGTGAGTGCCCAGCCCTTGGTGGGCACCCACTGCAAACATGGGAACGGTATTACTTATATGAAGAGAAGATGGAATTCTTGGAACCCAGGAGCAAAGAAGCCATGCCTGGATTAGGAGGAGGCCTGGACTTGGGGATCAGGAGCTGAGGGGTCCCTGGGCCTTGACCGCTAATGGGAGCCAGCTGGTCTCTGTACCTACAAAATTTTGGACTCACATCCCTGATTGAGAGTGGAAAATCCCTGATCCCTGCAAAGAGTGGAAAAAGAAACCTACACCCCCTCACCTTCCTGTGGTTGGAAAGGGGTTCCTTGCAGCTTGGGGTGTCTTGTCCTGGCTCCTGCCCCACGTCCACCCCTCCTTGCCTGCCCCACTGAAAAACTCTCCCCCGCCTCCCCTCAGCAAGGCAGACACGTTGGCATTTTCAAAGGCTTGCCCCCCTGATGAAGAGAGAACAACAAGGAAACAATTATGGAAAATAAAAATGGCACAAAATTGTCATTTCCAAAGTACAGGTTTCTGATATGACACTGTGACCTACATAAATGGTGTATTGATTTTTTAAACAAAAGAGAAATGAGAAGAAAGACATATCACCCACAGCTTCGCCCGGCCGACAGCTAAGGGGTTGGTGGAGGAGAGCAGTGGATGCTGTGGCCGTGGCCTTCACGCTGTCCCCGCCGGGGGCACTGGACTCAGTGAACCGTCCAGGTTCTTCCGCCCCTGCCTCCTGCTCTCCCACTGTGTATTTCTGTATGTGTATGTGTGTGCATGTGTATGTGTGTATGTGTATGTATGTGTGTATGCGTCTGTGTGTATATCTGTGTGTACATGTGCATGAGTGTCTATGTGTGTATGTGTGTCTATGTGTGTGTCTGTGAATGTATGTGGATGTGTGGATGTCTATGTGTGGGTGTCAATGTGTGTGCATGCATATGCGTGTGGGTATGTGCATGTATATGCGTATATGTGTGTTTCTGTGTGTATGCATATATCTAAGTGTTGTGTGGATACTATATGAGTGTATATGTGTGTGTATGTGTATATATGTGTATGTCTGTGTGTATGTGTATACATGTGTGCGTGTGTATATCTGTGTATATAGGTATATTTTTGTATGTGTATATGTGTGGATGTCTTTGCATGTGTCTGTGTATATATGTGTATAAATATGTGTATGTGTATGCATATGTGTGTGTCTGTGCATGTGCCTATATATGTATGTGTATATGTGTACATATGTGTGTATATGCATATATGTGTGTATGTATACATATGTGTGTATGTATGCATATGTGTGTATGTACATGTCTTTACATGCATGTGTATATGTGTGTATGTGCATATATGTGCGTGTGCATGTGTGTGTGCATGTGTGTGTCTTTCTCTCCCTCCTTCCCATCTTACACACTTTTCATGTCCCTGTTATGTGCCAGGTATGTATGGAAGGGGCCCTGCCCCCACGATTCTTACAGTCTAAAGGGGAGGCAGACCTGTAAGTGACTAAGTGCACAAAAGCTAGTTGGTGGGCTGTGTGCATCAGATTCCCCTGCAAACCGCCAACTCATTTACAGCCTGGGCTTCTCCAGACCTTTATAAAGCAGCCTGGAGTTGAGAAATCTGGTTTTGTTTGTTTTATTTTGTTTTAAATAAGTCTTTAGGTTAATTTTATTCACCATCTGATTTGGGAACCTGGGCTCTAAGGAGTCATGAATTTGTGCCCAAATTTGTGGAGGGCACTGTGGGGACCCAAGGGGTAAATCGGAGAAGGCTTCATGGAGGAGGTGATGTTTGTGTTGACTCCTGACAGTTGAGTGAATGAATATCATCCAGGTGGATGGATGATTTGCATGAGTGGGAGGGACTGCATGGGCAAAGGCAGGGAGGTGTGACACAGCCCCTTTCCCAAACAGAGGAGCCAAAGTGAATGGAGGTGGTTGTAGAACTCAGCTTGAGCCACTGCTCTTAACAGCCCACACCTCAGATGGCTGGTGCTTCCATGACTCCGTGGGGCTTTGTGGAACCAAGCTGTGATCACAGCCAGGACAGGCCAGGTTCTCCCAGGCTAGAGTGAGCCTCGAGTCTGACTGGGTGCTGAGAATTGGACCTGGAGCCTGCATAGGAGAGTTAGACTTTTTATCTTTTTGTACCTGCAACATCAAATTGTGGGCTTCCATCATCCTCCAAGAAGGACCATGGTGGCTGGATCCAACCACCAGCAACCTCACAGTCAAAACTTGATGGCCGGTGGGCAGCAGTGGTTTCAGATCTCCTGGGAGTCCCAGAGTCTGTGAGTTATTTGGGGCAAGTCAGACATCTGGGAGGCCAGTTTTCTCTCTCTGTCTCCCCCTCATGCCCATCTCAGAGCATCTAGGCACAGAAAAGAGAGCTCTTAGCAAATCAGCCATGGTCCCTGCCCCCATGGGGCCTCCCTTCTACGAGGGGAGACTGGTGTTAAACACGGAATGACATGAGGCATCGTTGCCCCTGTGATAATGAATATTAAATGAGTTAATATGTGTAACGTGCTTAGTGTAATGGCTGGCATACACTAAGTGCTCAATAAATGTTAGTTATTATGATTTTTATTCATTCATTCATTTACTCTGCTTTTAGTTATTCACTTACCCACTTATGCAATAATTCATTCACACCAATTTCTTATTCATTCAGCACAAATTCATTGCACATCTTGCCTTTGTCTGTTCTGGGCTTACCCAAGCCCAATTTCCTCCCATAGTAAATGCTCCTGAAGTTCAGCACAGGCCCAGGAAGTCAAACTGACTCCCATTTACCTGTGGGCTTGGATACCTTTAATGATGGCAGTGCCTCTCCCCCAAAAAAAGTGACAGCAGATGATCCCTTGGGGACCGCTGGCAGCATGTAACCACACTTAGAACATCTCTCTCCCACCAGGCCAAATGGTGCTGAGTGTCCCAACACTGGCAGCCAAGCTTTCCTGAGCACCAACCAGATGCCTTGAGTCCAGAGCCCAGCTATGGCTGATGCAAAGTTGAAGATCCGAAATTCAAGGAATCAGCAATGAGGAATCTGAGCCAGGCATATGTATTGATTTCATGATTTATTTATATATCTCCCCACCCCTTCCAATACTTGAAAAAAAAAAAAAAAAGAATGGCAGTACCAGAAGGCATTGGTTAAGTGTCCCAGGAACCACACAAGCAGTGACTCCTAAAGAAGTTCAGAGGAAGGAGAGAACCCATGGGGAGGGGGTGCAGTGGGGGTGGGTCAGGGTGGGCTCCCTGGAGGAGAAGTCCATCTGGTGGGGAGAATGGTCTAGGCAAGGATGCAGACTGGCCAGTAAGGTGGGTCCATGCAGGAAGCTGAGGGAGGTGGAAGGCCCGTGGGGCTCGAGCGCATCTGCCCGCCCTAGTCGGGGAAGAGCAGGAAGCCGGAGAAGACGCTGTCAGAGCCCTGGATGCCCACCATGTCGTAGTAGTCATTGACAGCCAGCCACACCTCCTCGCCCACCTGCAACCTCAGCAGCACACCGCCCGAGTTGACCTGATTGGTTTTGGACGTGTGGCCACAGAAGGTGACCACTTTGACGCCGCTGCGGTACAGCAGCACGCACAGGTTGGCTGTATGCGACGCGTGGTAGACAAAGTAGTAGAGGCCGGGGACTTTGCAGGTGAACTTGCCAGTGCTCGTGTCATAATCTCCCTGCGGGTTGGTGAGGACCGCGTTGAATCTGATCAGGCTGTTGGGTGCAGGGGGCTGGTGGGTCTGCCGAGTGACCGTGAACACTGACTGGAATTTCTGCTTGTATCTGCCCTCCTCACCTGGCTCTCCAGGGATGCCCATGGGGCCGGGCACCCCTGGCATCCCAGGGGGTCCCATGGGGCCATTTTTCCCAGGATGGCCGGGTAAGCCGGGTTCTCCCTTCTGCCCTTTGGGTCCTCGGATCCCGGGAATGGCTGGGATTCCTGGAGATGGAGAAGGCAGAGAGAAAGTGATAGGGTGGGGGACAGGGAGGAGGGACCCTGAGGGTGTCTTCCAGGGAACACAGCGCTGGCATTTGGTCTCTAGAATCTCCTTCTCATAGATGGGCTATCTCCCTAGGAGCAGGGTGCAGGGAGTTAGGCTTTGGCTGGAGGGGAGAGAGAGAGTCTGGTTCAAGTCCTGCTTCTCCACTGACCTGCCCTCTGACCTTGTCTAAGGCACTTCCCTGTCTCTTGGCCTCAGTTTCCACATTTGTGATGAAGCAAGTAGGGAGCTCAGAGCTGGGCGGGATCACAGATGCCATGACTGTCAGCCCACGGACAGATGGCATGTGGCCACAAGTATCTTGTTTGGCCTGCACAATGTTTTTTAAAATTTTTAATTGGAGCCCAACATGAACAAATTCAGAACTTATTTAAAATTTGAAATTCTCAGACCTTCTTGACAAAAAATCAGAAGGTTGGTCAGAGGCAGCTTAAGTTTCAGGTTCTGTCCACTTGCATCAGCCCCTTCAAGACCTTTTGCCTAATTTTGTATTTCTGATTTTTTTCAACTTTTTTATTTTGAAATATAGAGTCAAAGAAAGTTGAAGAAACAAAAGAACAGGGACTCTTCACCCAGTTTTCCCCAGTGACACAGCTTGTATGACTAAAGTATAATGTCAAAACCAGGAAGCTGACATTCCTAGAATTCACAAAGCTTATGTAGACTTCACCAGTTTTATATACACTGTGTGTGTGGTTCCAATATAATTTTGCTACATGTGTAAATTTTTGTAACCACTCTCACCTCTGCAATCAAGCGCATCTTTCAGTTTGTATTATTTTTCATAAAGAAGACCCTCAACATTTTACAAGCTTCAGAGTCCCACAAAACCTATATCTGCTCCTGAGATGGATTCCCCAGGTTAGCACATGGGAACCACTGGAAGGAGCCGAATAGAAGCCGCCCCACTGCAGGGCCTGCTCTCTCCAGCTCACCCCAGCCCCATTCAGCCCACGTCAGCCCCCATGACAGCTGGCCTGGTTCAACTTCCCTCATGTTGCCGATGAGGAAGCCGAGTTAGAGACTTGCCCAAGGCCGTGCAGCCAGTTTGAGGTGGAGTCAGGTCTCTAACTCAAGTCTGGAGAATCCCAGTGTCTCACTCTGTTCCAGCCCTGATGATCTGAGCCTCTGTGAGATTCTTCTCCCCTTATCTAAATCATACTCATCTTTTAAGGGCTGACTCCAGTTTCTTCTTCCAAGAAGCCCTCCTTGACCGCTCCCATCAGCCCTCATGTTTCCTTTCCTCCTCTGACTTCCGTCAGGCTGGGTGACTGTGCAGACCCATTTATGACAGATCCTCTATGGCTTATGAACCTCTTAGGCCTCAGCATTAGGAGTGTGGGGTCGGGACCCAGCAGACCTGGCCTTCACATCTGTGACCCTGGGTGGGTGACCTCCCTCCCTGAGCCTGTATTTGCTCAGTTGAGATACGGGCATAATAGAAGAGGGAGTCCCTGAAAGGGTGGAGTGGGACAGGCACTGTGCCAGGCACACCATAGGAAGCGTGCTCTGGAGTGTCTGGTCCTCGTGATGGCTGCCAGTGATGCTGAGCAGAGCAGCGTCTCATCCTTCGTGATGTCTTCAAACCACCAATTGAGAGGGGGCCAGGAAACAGCAATACAGAGGGGACTTGAGAGGCAGCTGAGGGCAGTGGTGGAGAATGTGGACTTGAGAGTTGGACAGGATCCCACTGTGTGACTTTGGACAAGTTGCTCAATCTCTCTGAACCCCAGCTTTGACATTTGCAAAATGAGGGTCAATCACTTTTTCAAGGGATTGTGGCCTCGGTTTTATCATTTCCTAAAACTGAGACCACACCTGGGACTTGGGGGCTCAATCACGGGTGGCCATCAGCTACCCTGGGCAGGGAGGTGGTCAGAGGCAGCTGTGAAGTACAAGCTCCTGGAAAATGGCAGACCTGGAGGCCTCATTGAGCTTTGAGCTCACCCTAAGCTCACCCTAAATTGGAGAATTCCTTCTGGAATGTTGGTGCCATTCCCTCTATCCAGGAGGGAAGATGATGGTGGGACCACTCCTAAGGACATTCCTCTCAACTGGCCTCCCTCCTTTCCACTGCCTCTGTCACCCCATCACCTCCGCTCAGTGTCACCCCAGGCCGGCTCCAGGCATGCCTAGCATCTGAGACGTGCCCAGCTCACTCACAGACAAGGCACTCATACCCCCCAGGGCTCCAGTTCCAGCCCCAGTCACCCATTCATAGCCTCAGCCCCCTTCTCTTATGCCAAGGATTGCCTGTGGACCTCCAACAGAAGTTTCTCTGGCTGCGATCCTGACCTCCTACTCCCCACCCCTCCAACTATCCAGAATCCTAAGGAGGGAGGTGAGCATGGATATCTGATAAAACCAATGATAAAATAGCCTACACCTGTATAGACCTCCCAGGTGCTCAGGGCTGTTTTATATTTAAGTTAACTTAATCCTCACAGCAACCTTGTGAAGCAGGTGCTACCATCTCCTCGTTTTACAGATGAGGAAACTGAGGCACTGCGAGGTTAAGTAACTTGTGCGGGTTCACATAGAGGGAATCAGTAGGGGCTGGGATTTGAACCCTGGCAGTCGTGCATTGGATATATTCACTGTGTGGGCCCCAGCTTCCCCAGGTGCCCATGTTGCAGGGCAAGAAGACTTTCCCTGCACTGTCTCCTGTGAGCCTCCTGGCCACCTTTGGGGGCAGGCGCTCTTATTCCCTCCCTATAATCGGGTAAGGAGGAGAAGGAAGATGGAAGTGCGCTGGGCCCAAGGTCACCTCTGGGGTGGCCTGAAGCCTGGGCTCTGAGGATAGAGGAGCCAGACACACCGTGAGAGTCCACCTCTGCCCTGGGGCAGGCGTGGCAGCAAGGCAAGCACTTCCTGCTGTCCCCCGCCCCCTTGGTCAGCCCCAGACAGACACTCTGATCCCTGCCCCAGACCCAAACCCCCAAACCAGGCCAGCAGACTCACCTGGCTCCCCCTTGGGCCCCGGCAGTCCGTCGTACCCATCCTTCCCTGGTGCCCCGGGCAGGCCGGGCATCCCTGGGATCCCGTAGCAGCCTGTGTTGGCTTGGCCCCTGAGGGGCAGCAGCAGCAGGAGCAGCAGCAGCTTCAGCCCAAGGTGGGGCAGGGAGCTGGGCCCCACGTCCATCCCGGAGAAGGAACTGGGAGGGAGAGAGCTGAGCTGTCCCCGCCAGCCCCTCACCTGCCCCCAACCCTCTCATTCCCCAGGGCCCGTCCTCCTCAGCCCTCGGGAGCTCGCCTTCCTTCCTCCCCCAGGAGCCTCACCATGGATGGATGGTGGGGCCTTTTCTTCAGCCCAGGCCCCGGGGCCCAGCAGGAGTGGGAACCCTCCTTCCCCTCACACACCAAGCTGCCCCTGGCACCACATTTCAGGAAGGTGGCGGAAGGTGGAGGAAACGGCCATCTGCCCATACCTGGGCAGGGGTCCGGGCCTCACCTGCAGGTGGGCGGTTTCTGGCCTGGCACAGAGATGTCCTCAGATCTGCTTCCCCTCTCCCAGGCAAGAGGACACGGTGTCTGAGTGGTCAGAGCAAGGATTGCCCAAAGCAGGGCTGGGCCCCCTCCCCTTCTCGTGCCCTCCCCCAATCCCACATCCCCTTTCCCAGAATTTTCCCTGACTTGACACTTTCTTTTGGGTGCTGAGCCAGACTGACCACAGCAATACCCCATCCACATCCCCCCACCGGCAGTCAGTGTCCGAAATGAGGAACTGTCCCCTGCCCCAGCATCTGGCTGAGGGTGTGTGTGTGTGTGTGTGTGTGTGTGTGTGTATAAACACAAGCCCCCAGGGCACAGACGTCCCCCAGAGTCAGGTTCATCCCATCTAATGACCAATGTTAGCATTTGCTTTGCCTGAGACTCAGTTTTCCCAGAATCCCTAGGAGGAAGTTATTATCCCCCTTTACAGATAAGGAAACAGGCTCAGGAGGATGTACACCGTTGCCCAAAGTCACACACTGAGTGGTCTCTTGGGGCCCAAAGCCTTGCTCTGACCCCTCTGCTCAGCTGCCCCCAGAAACAAGCCTCACATGCACTTGTCAAGTTGCAAGCCTTGTTCTAGAAACTTCCATGTGCCCCATCCCAGTGGCCACACTTGGAGGTGGACCCCCAGGATGGACCCGCTTTGGCGGCAGGCAGCTGTTGTGGTGCACGGGCTGCCCTGGCTACAGAGCCAGGGCCCTGGCTTCTCCTTCCAGCCCTGTCACTGCATGGACCAGATGCCTTCAGCAAATCACTGGTCCCTCTGGCCTCCCTTCTGTCTACTGGGGTGGCCTTGGCTTTCAGTATTGGTGCCTCTTCCTTCGTTGGGGCACCTGGTCTTCCCTGACGGTTCCATCTTCCCTGCCAACACCACCCTCCTTGCCTGCATCCTGGGGGTGCCCTGCCTCTGGGCTTGGAGCCCACCATGGCTGGTGAGGGGCTCCCCATCAGGACCAGGCTGGCAGAGCTGAGAGGCCTTCTCCCCTCTCCCTCTTCTCCTCACATGAGATTCTAGGGATGAAGGGGCTGTCAGGCAGTAGCAGGGCTCCAGCCTCGACCCCACACCTGCCACCTGTGTCCATTGGTTCCCCCTCTGTAACATGGAGGCTTCTTACAGCTCCAGGCCAGTGGCTGGGATTCAGTGCACAACACACGTGTGATGCCTTGTCCCGTGCCAGGTATGGGCAGGTGTTCAGAGCTCTTCCCCTGCCTCACTGAGGAACCCTCAGGGTCTCAGTCTCCCCTTCTGTGTCTCCACCACGTGCCATGGGACTGCAGAGAGTGTGGGGTGAGTTAAGGGGCATGAACCCACTTGGCCCTAGGAGTCCCTGGTGGGTGGAAGCCTGGGCCGAGAAGAAATGATGGATACTGCATTATGGGGCTGGGGGCCACCCAGCCTAACGGCTCTGGGCTCCTCTCCTCCCTCTTCACCTCCTCTGCGCCTGGGTTCGGCTTGTCCAGCAGGTGGCAGCCTCGGCCCACGCTCAACCCTCCCGTGCCCCGCCCACTTGGCCCCGCTCCGGGCAGCTCCAGTTCATTCCCCTCCCAGAGGGGCCAGAGATTTTGCATCGGGGTAGTGGGTGGATGGTGGGGTATGGGTAGGATTTAGGGTAAGGGGGTGGCCGGGCACTCACTGCACACCCCATTTCTCTAGCTTGGCCTCTACTGCCGCTGATGGAGCCTCCACCCCTGGCATTTTCTTTGCGTGCCCTAACCCTGTGGGGTCAGGCACCCCTGGCTCAGCCCCAGGGCCCTTCCCCTTTCTGGCTGTGTGTCCTTGGGTGGATGTCTGCTTTCTCTGAGCCTCAGTGTCCACATCGATTTTGCTGGGATTAAATACATCAATGGCCGTGGAATGCCCAGCACGTTAGGTTCCCGAAGACCTGTCTCTTTTCCCGGTGCCTGTGAAACAGTGTGTGTTCTGGGTGAGCGAGGCGGGGGGAGAACAGGGCTGAGCTGACTCTGGAAGGGAGCTGAGGGCTACCCTGAGGCTGTGGAGGGTTCATCCTCTCCCTGGGCCCCCCTCACTTCTTCCCGACCCCCAAAGCCTGTTGGCAGGGCAGGGGCAGTCCCAGGAGGGGGTCTTGTACTTTAGAGGTGGGTATTCAGGTTGTGCACTCGAGGACCATGAGGCCATTTGTGCATCTGGCAGTGGATGGGAGGGACAGCCCGTGTTTCTGAGGATGGCCCTGTGGGAGTTTGAGTGTATGTGTGGGTGGTGGGGGGTCCGTGTGGGAGAGAACACAGGCATTCTGAGGCTCGTGCATGCTGGAGTGAGGAGGATGTGTGTCCCCGGGTGAAAGGAGTGTGTCTGGGACACATGCGTAAGAGAGAGAGAATATGCGATGGTTCATGGATGTTACTTGTATGTCTGAGGCAGGGGCTGTGTGGTATGATGGATTGTGCCTCCCTGAGTGTGTCTGTGGGTGTGAAGGCATAACTGGTGTGTGCGTGTGTGTGTGTGTGCAGCACAAAGCTAAACCCAGCTTCCTTTGAGAAACTGCATGGTGCATTGGACATTTTCAGATCTGAACTCCTGGCCCCCTTATTTCTCCTGCATTCGAGGGACAGGGTGGGGTTTGCTGCTTCATAGTAGCTTCCAGACAGACAAATAGGGCCCTGGAATGCACTGTGAGCATTCAAGACTCTCCCAGCCCCCAGCCTGGGCGGAATGTCCATCAGGCAGCAGAGGCAGCAGCCCTGGTCTCCACACCTGCCAGGTGGAAGCCCAGGGCTGGACTCAGGAAACCTAGCTTCAGGAAGGACTGCGGAGTGCCCTTGGGCCAATTGCTTCCCCTCTCTGATTCCTGCCCCTGCCTTCCCAACACAGGGTTGAAAAAGCACCTGTGTGATGTGTCATGTGCTTCATAGAAGCCAGGGAGGCTGGTGAGGGTAGTGGTTAAACACAGGCTTGGGCATCAGTAAGACTTGGGTTCAAATCTCAGCTCCTTCCCGCCTCCCCACCCTCCAATTTTTTTTTTTTTTTTTTTTTTTTTAAGAGATGGAGTCTCGCTCTGTCACCCAGGCTGGAGTGCAGTGGCGCGATCTCAGCTCACTGTAACCTCTGCCTCCCTGATTCAAGTGATTCTCCTGCCTCAGCTTCCCAAGTAGCTGGGACTACAGGTGTGCGCCACCACCCCTAGCTAATTTTTGTATTTTTAGTAGAGACAGGGTTTCACTATATGTTGGCCAGGCTGGTCTCGAACTCCTGACCTCTAGTGATCTGCCCGCCTTGGCCTCCCAAAGTGTTGGGATTACAGGCGTGAGCCACTGTGACTGGCCCCCAGATCCTCCCCTTAGATGCTGATTTGCTGATTGATGCCTACTCCTCGCAGCCTCAGTTTCATCATCTGTAATGTAGGGCCATCATACCATACCCAGAGCTTGGTCATAAAGATTAAATAAAATATAATAATAGCAAAAATTTCCATAGCCCTTGTTATAAACTGAGCACTGCTCTACAATTTTCATATATTAAGTCATTTAATCTTCCCAATGACCCTTTGGGATCATCAGTCCCACTTTACAGATGAGGAAACTGAGATCTCAGAGCTGGGTTAACATGCACATGATTAGACAGCTAATAAGTGGTGGCATCAGGATTCGAACCTGGGTAGATGAGGCTGCTAGGACATGCTAAACACATCATGTGAAATACTAAGAATGGGCTGGGCGTGGTGGCACATGCCTCTAATCCCAGCACTTTGGGAGGCCAAGGCTGGAGGATCACTTGAGGTCAGGAGTTCGAGACCAGCCTGGCCAACATGGTGAAACCCCTTCTCTACTAAAAATACAAAAAATTCACGGGGCATGGTGGCAGGTACCTGTAATCCCAGCTACCTGGGAGACTGAGGCAGGAGAGTTGCTTGAACCCGGGAGGCGGAGGTTGCAGTGACCGAAGATCACTCCATTGCACTCCAGCCTGGGTGACAAGAGAGAAACTCCATCTTAAAAAACAAAAAACAAAAAAACATACTAAGGACGGGCCTGACTCTTAAGCACTGGATTGTTATTATTCTTAGGCCTCCCTCTCAATGCTCCGAGTAGCAACTGAAGCTCATGTTCAGCAGACACAGACACAGATGTTTATTCCAGGAAGAGGTCTAAGAAACGAGCTTCTTAGAGCATGTGTCACGGGGCAGCCAGTCCTGGGGCTCTCAGAGCCAGCCCCCTCCCTTCAGCAGCTGAAGCAATAGCGCCCCCATTTTACAGGCGGAGCATGGAAGCCAGAGAGGTGGGTGGGGGAGGGGGTCCTTCCCTGGCTCAGGCAGATGGGAAGATGAGGAAGCCGCTGAAGACGCTGTCGGCCTCAGAGCCCTGGTAAATGTGACCCTTTTTGGGGTCTTTTTCAACCCAGACCTGGTCACCCTGCTGCAGCTGAAGCACCATGCCCCCTGACACCACCTGGAAGAGCCCCTTGTTGGTGGTGTCACAGAAGCCCAGGGAGCGTCGGACCTGGCCCCTTGAGGAGGAGACGATGGACAGGCAGATTTCCCACTGGGACAGCACCTGGAAGGTGAAGTAGTAGTAGCCGGGTACAGTGCAGACGAATCGGCCGGAGTGGTTCTGGTACGGTTCTTCCTGGTTGGTGATGACCGTGTCGAAGATGACCACGTTGCCCCCCATTGGGGGGTTCCGCCGAATGGCGGAGAAGGCTGGCCTCGGCTGGTCCTTGATGTTTCCTGGGCTGCCCTTGGTGCCTTTAATTCCCGGGATGCCACGGGCTCCGAGGGGGCCGCTGGGCCCTGGGTAGCCCACCTTGCCGGGGTTTCCAGAGGGCCCAGGTTCCCCCTGGTCTCCTTTAAGGCCTTGGATGCCTGTCCGGATGCCAGGGGCCCCTGTGGGGAGAAATGCCAGATTGGAAGTGAGAGTCCAATGCCTACTGGTCCTCAGGGAGAGAGCTGGACCCCCTGAGTCTATGGGATAAAGGGCAATGAAGCACCTGGGCCTTCAGGACATCGATTCTGATTGGCTGTGTGACTTTGGGCAAGTGTCTCAACCTCTCTGAGCCTCCACTTCATCTGTAAAGTGGAGAGAAGTGTGAACAGGCACTTGGGAAAGTGTCAGGTTCTGGGAAATGCATGGAACTCTGGCTGCTCTGCTGTGTTCCTGCCCAAGGCTGAGGACTTCATACCCCTCTGGGGCACTGACCTTGACTTGGCTTCAGGTTCAGGTACCACATGTAGGATGCCCGGATGCAAATTACTGCAAATGTCTATGTGATCCTTCTGGTCTGCTTTGGACTAGGAGGCCCAGGGTGATTCCATGAGACTCCCTTTCTACTTTGGTCAGGACCTCTTCCCTTTTCCATTACCCCTGGCCTTTCTTCTAGAATGTGAGTCTCTGAAGCCTGAAGGGGCTGGGGAGGGGGAAGCAGGGACAGTGTTGGGGGTGCTGGAAGGAAGTGAAGGGACAGATTCAGTTATTTGATCCCTCTCTATGTGCCAGGCAGTGTTATTTTTCCATTTTACAGATGAGCCCACTTAGGCTCAGAGAGGGCCAATAACTTGCTTGAGGTCACACAGCAAGGCAGTGGCTCCTGAGTCTAAACTCTGAGTCCTCGTTTTTCTGGCAAGAGAAACATGAACAAGGACTCAGCATTGCTGCCAGAACTTTCACTTTCACTGGTCAAAGCAAGTCATTCTCCAGAGGGGGAAGGTGAAGCCGAAGAAAGAGGGCCCAGGCAGTACACAGGGAGTGGAGAGGCCTGAGGACATGGCCCGAGAAGGCTAGGCCTCCCTTAGCCCCTGTGGCCAAGTACAAACTGGAGAGGATTCATGGGGCACTGGGGGCAGACGGACTCCTGATTCTCAGTGCCACCCCAAGCCTTCACCCTGGAGGCCAAGTCAGGCCAAGGTCCAAGGGGCTGGGTCCCGAGGAAGGGTGCTTACCCGGCTCCCCTTGCTCCCCCTTGAGGCCTGGCCGCCCCCGTCTGCCAGGTCTTCCTGCCTCCCCTTTCTTCCCGTCTGGTGCTCGGCACAAGTCCTCGGTCACCATAGAGGCCAGCGATATGGCCAGCACACAGAGCACCAGCCATCCCCGGGGACCCTCCATGATGCCTCTGTGGAGACACGGGAGGGCCTGGGCAGGTTGGACATCACACTCACACCCAGCTCCCACCCTTGAGTCCCATGCACACAATGATATATGCACAGTCCTCCCCAAGTGCACATGCACCCTCTGGGGCTCTCAATGTCCACTCTCAATCCAGCCCCAGGACCCCACGCATATACACAGAACCACAAACTCACACACATCCACACATGCAACAGAGCACACCCACATCTTCACACACTCACACAAACACAGCTCTCATCCACGCACCTACAAAACACAGTAGGCAAACTCAGAAATCCACTATACCCCCCTAGACACACAACTGATACCCAAATAGACCCTGTCCCTCACTTGCACGGACACACACATTCATACACTCCCACAGGTAATCGATTTCATTGAACAAATATGTATTGAGCGCCTGCTCCTTATTTAATTAACACTGGCTCACCCAGATGGTGGAGCTCTGCATACACACAGGAATTCACAAACGCCCAAAGCGACACCTGCTCACTCTTCTGCATGCTCAGCGCCTTTCAGCATCCACCTGAGCATGGGTGACTGGCTGCCCCTACAGTCCCCTCTGCTGGGTCCCACTGCCAGCTCTAGCACCCCAGGCTTTTCCTGGTTTCTTATGTGTTATGGGGCCAGGACCCAGGAACCCTGGTCTTACCCTTCAGTTGTTAGGTCTAACTCATCGCCTCTCACCCTCCCCCAAGCCCTGGCTCAAGGAGTTAAGGTCCCTCCACTCACCCATTCTGGGTCCTGGATCAGTGCTGCACCCCCATCCCTGTCCTAGAATCAGGCACAGTTATTTCCCTCCCTCCCTGCCTCAGCTGCCCAGCCTCCTGGGCCAGCTCCCCTGGGTCCCAGAACTCTGCAGCCCCCTCCCTCTGGGACTCTGGCCTCACCTGCCTCCTGTTGTCAACTCCAACTGGATGCTCCTGCCCTCCGCCCAGGGACCCTGTGGGCTGCCCAGCAGGAGTGGCTCCAGGCTGTGGCCAAGTTTCACATCCCTTCCTACTTCCCCTTCTTCAGACCTGCCCCCTGAACTTCCCCAGTGGCCAGAAGCTCACCAGGGACATTTCAAGCAGACTTCAGCAAGACTGGGACATTGGGCGTCCTGCCCCAGCAACAGCTGGTGTGGGAGTGGGGGCAGTGAGGCCAGTGCCTGTGAGGATGTGGGGTGGAGGCCGTGCAGGGTGAGGTTCTGAGAACCAGCGAAGCACAGAACACCAGAGCGGAAGGAATCTTTAAAAAAATCTGTCCCTTGTAGGACTTTTCATGATTATGAAAGTGACATGCAATTCATTGCCAAAAGCTTGGAAAATACAAAGAAGAAAGAACAGTGCATTGGTGAGAAGGAAGCACAGCAATCTGTTTCTAGACTTGCTGCTTCCTAGTTGCATGTCTTTGGGAAATTACTTGACCTCCTGAGCCCTCAGTTTTATCTGTACACTGGGAACGGGGTCCTATATCATCTGATTATTATAACATTTTAATGACTTGCACATACAAAACACTTGGCACATGGTGAACACTTAGTCACTAGCTTTTGCCAACATTTAAAAAAACAGCAAGTCTAGGTGCTTTGGCTCACGCCTGTAATCCCAGCATTTTGGGAGGTCAAGGCAGGCGGATCACTTGAGGTCAGGAGTTCGAGACCAGCCTGGCCAACATGGTGAAACTCCATCTCTACTAAAAATTTAAAAAATAGCCAGGTGTGGTAGCATGCACCTGTGTAGTCCCAGCTATTTGGGAGGCTGAGCTGGGAGGATTGCTAGAGCCCAGGAGGTTGAGGCTGCAGTGAGCTTTGATCTTACCACTGCACTCCTGCCTGGGAGACAGAACAAGACCCCATCTCAAAAAAAAAAAAAAAAAAAAGAGATGGCAATGGCGGGCCGTCTGGAATGGCTGCTGTCATCACACTGGCTGCAGCAGGGAGGCACGGCCAGGGCTGCATGCTCCATGTAGCCAGTGGGAGCTGGGGACAGTGGGAACCCCGCCCTCCTGGGAACCACTGCAGCTGCCAAACCACAGCTGATCCTGCTTCATGGAGCAGGTGGGGGCCCCCGCCATCCCCCATGCAGCTGCAGCTGCCTAAACTGCAGCTGTGGACCCAGGCATCCCTGCAATCTTGGGGGCCCGGGAAGGCCCCCCGCCCCACCCTTCAGGCTCAGAAGTGTCTGCTCCCACTGCCTGGCTTCTCCCTCCTCTTGGCGCCCACTCTGATCTTAGAGCAAAGTTGGTGCTGAGCCTGGGTGCTGTCGCAGCCTGGCTGGGTGTGGGCATGCTTGGGGCAGTGCTGACACACTAGACCCCTGCTGCCTTGGCCCCCTCTGGACTTTGGGCACTGACTAGCATGGAAGGAAAGCCAAGGGGAAACTGAGGGCAGCTCGGCACTGGCCTGCAGACGCTCCTTGGCATGAACAGCCTGGGCACCATGAACAGCAGCAGGAGACAGACAGGCTCCTGGGTGGAAGGGGATGGGTCCCTGGTGAGGCCCTACCTTCAAGCCAGGGAGGGCCTCAAGGCTGGGGGCCAGGCTGCCAGTCCCACACACCAGAGTGGGAACTTATGGTGTATTTTCTGGGCTTGCCTATAGCCACCCATGGACCAATCAGTATGCACTTCCTCCTCTCTGAGGCTCATGAAAGCTTCAGGCTCAGCCAGAGCTGGGCAGACATTGGATGACCAGCTGCCGAGAGGAGCTACCCGCTCCAGGGCCTCCTCTCTGCTGAGAGCTGCAGAGATGGCAGAACAACTTGCCTGCAGAAAGGAGCTTCCCATTCCAGGGTCTTCCCTCTTCTGAGAGCTGGAAAGTCGACAGGATGACCTGCCTGCAGAGAGGAGCTTCCCATTCCAGGGTCTCCTCTCTGCTAGCAGCTGAACACTCATCAGGACACCCTGGCTGTGGAAAGGAGCTGCCCCCTGAGGGAGGCTCTGCAGGAGGCTGAGCTGTTCTATCGCTCAGTAAAGCTCCTCTTCGTCTTGCTCACTCCCCACTTGTCTGCATACCTCATTCTTCCTGGTTGCAGGATAAGAACTTGGGACCCATCAAATGGTGGGGCTGAAAGAGCTGTAACACAAACAAGGCTGAAACATGCCCCTTGCTTGCCATGATGCAGGTGAAGGGAAGGAAAGAAGAGCTGCGGCCCTCTGGGGAACCCAGACCTGGGAGCTCCCCAAGCTGGAGCTGTGACTCCCTTTTCGGGGCCCTGTGGTTCCTGGCATCTCGAAGCTTCTGGGTGCCACCGTGTTCCCCGGTGCCAGCTGTGGAAGCTGCTTGTGGTGTACTTGGTCTAGCCACAACCTCTCAGAGAGCTGGCGCCCATGCTGGCACCTGGAGCTGCTCACCCCGCTGCAGCAGCCGGCATGTCTGACTGTGTGCAGTGGCCAGACCCCATGTTCACTCACACACCCTTCACTGTTCCATGCCTGACTTGCCCTGGGCAGATGTGGAACCCAGGCTGGTAATGTGAGCTGAGTGCTGCCTGCCAGGAGGAGTGAGTGAAACAAGCCCAGTGGGCCTGAGCAAAACTTGGGCAAAGGTGCCACCAGCCACAGAGGTTTCCGGCCAGAAAATGACACCCCAAAGATCCTGTAACACCATCTCAAAAAAAAACAAAAAACAAAACCCAGCAACAAAAGCCTGTGAATTCTACCATCTAGAGACAATTGCTGCTAGTGTTTGAACAGATCATCTAGCCTTACTCACCTTAACTGATGGGATGCTCATTACCTGTCAGCACGGCACACTGCATCATTGTCAGCTTGGACCCTGAGAATGCTTTTCTTTAGATAGAGAGGCTCTGTCTCTCCCAGACTGGAGACCAATGTGTTCAGGCCTGGGCTGACCACATCTGTCTGCTTCTTCTCATGAGCATGTTTTTGTTTGTTTGTTTGTTTTCTGAAAATTTTGCCAGAGGCAGGAGGAGGAAAAGAGGAGGAGGAGGGAGGAGATAAGGGAAGGCTGTTGAAGTGGGCAGATGAAGGATGGTCTAGAGCCAGGGTTTTTGAGCTTTGGGGACTTCTTTTTCATTTGCAATCTTGTGTGGCATCTGATGTATGTCAAACAGATAAAAATGGGGATACTGGCTTGAAGGGTGGGGGCCCAGAGCTCCCCCTGACAGCCCCTCCCATGCTCCCTGGATTCAGAAAGTTCGTGGAGCTGGAATCTCATCTGCTCAGCCCATACCTAACTCACAGTGTGACCCTGGGCAAGTTATCTCATCTTTCTGAACCCCACTTTCTCCATCTACCAAGATGAGGGAGTGGGTGGGAGGTGGGAAGGCTGCCCCAAATGGCCTCTAACATCCCTTCCAGTCTCCTCCTCCTCCTCCTCCTTCTTCTTCTTTTGAGACAGAGTCTCATTTTTTTGCCCAGGTGGGAGTGTAGTGGCTGGATCTCAGCTCACTGCAACCTCTGCCTCCTGGGTTCAAGAGATTCTCCTGCCTCAGCCTTCCAAGTAGCTGGGATTACAGGCACGCATGCACCACCATGCCCAGCTAATTTTTGTATTTTTAGTAGAGACGGGGTTTTGCCATGTTGCCCAGGCTGGTCTCAAACTCCTGACCTCAGGTGATCTGTCCATCTCGGCCTCCCAAAGTGCTGGGATTACAGGCGTGAGCCACCGCGCCCAGCCCAGTATCCATCTTCTTCTTCTTCTTCTTCTTCTTTTTTTTTTTTTTTTTTTGAGACAGTCTCACTTTGTTGCCCAGGCTGGAGTGCAGTGGCTCGATCTCAGCTCACTGCAACCTCTGCCTCCTGGGTTCAAGAGATTCTCCTGCCTCAGCCTTCCAAGTAGCTGGGATTACAGGCGTGTGTGCACCACCACGCCCGGCTAATTTTTGTATTTTTAGTAGGGACGGGGTTTTGCCATGTTGCCCAGGCTGGTCTCAAACCCCTGACCTCAGGTGATCTGCCCATCTCGGCCTCCCAAAGTGCTAGGATTACAGGTGTGAGCCACCGCGCCCGGCCCAGTATCCATCTTCTTTGACTGCATTGCGTCAGCCCTGCTTGCCTGCCAGAGGAGTTAGAAACATGACATGCCCGAGGCAGAAACGCCAGCCCTGCGTGCCCTATTTTACTCTGAAGACACAAAGGACCAGAGACAAAAAAAGACTTGCCCGGGTCACACAGACAGGGGCAAGAGTTGGCAAGAGGAAAAATCAGATACTGTGAAAAGCTTCTCAAAGTCTAGTTTTCAAAATATTGAATACCCAGTTCCTATAGAAATACAGTGTGGGAATGTGTCAGTGTCCTCTTGTAGGTTGTTAATGGAGGAACCAGCTGGGTGACAAAGCTAGTTCAATGGATATGGAAAAAAATATATATGTATACCTATATATGGAGACAGAGAGAGTCAGTTAAAACAACAAGAATTCTGGAATATTCATAAAATTGCTAAATTAGATACAAAACTGGTTAGTGTTCTATAGGGCAATAAAATCATCATGTTGGGGCTATCTTCTCTATTGAAAAGAAATCATTTGCATCTCTACTAGACAAAAATAATTTGCAACTTAACAGTTTTCTACCAGTTAACAGCTATCTTTACTGAATCTGGGCTCTAATCAATAGTAAATAATAAGTCAAGCCAAGTGACATTCCCCTAGAGTGTCAGATGACCCTTAGCAGGGTTTGTTAGATACAGCTCTCATTTGACTTTGAAAGGACACCGGTTATCTATTTGCCTTATTTCCAAGTGTTGGATGATTTTACTTATCAGGCTGTTGCAAGAGTATAAACACTTCCCAAGAAATAAAAGACATCGATACTAATGCGCATATCATTAGTGTGAGAAATAAAAGGGTCAGCAATGGCCCTGTGCATGTCACAACAGGGACACCTTCAGGCGGAGAGGAAGGGCATATTCTTCCATTTCTCCAGAGCCCAGACTCCTAGACGGGAGGCAGGAGATGTGGGGAAGAGAGGAAATTCCTAGCCATGCTTGCACAGTTATGATCCATGAGGTTCAGTCTCAGAGTGGGATCAAAGGTCAAATAAATAACCAAAAAATAATTTTTAAATGACTTGAATTCTTTATGGCAGTCACATCCCATTCAAGGGTTGTGTTGCAAAATCGGCATACGAGGCAAACATTGTAAATGGTGAGTATCACCATTGTAAATGGTGGAAAAATTCTTCAAACAGCGCCACGTGAAAGACTGTATTACCGTTTCACAATAGTCTTTTGCTGTCAGTTTTGGCTCCAATAGTAGAACAGATTTCTTTTTCTTCAGTTGAGTACCAGTTGGTTAAGGTTAACCAATTCCCCCACCACTCACACACAAAGGAATTGAATCTTTGGAGACTGGAGCCACCCTTGGAGGTGAGGTGTTTAGATCATGAGGGGTTCACAGGAGCGGAGGCAGACTTGGGGACAGCAGAACTCTCCCAGCCACGGTCCCTCCAGAAATAGGCTCTTAGAAGACAGTATCCCCTGGCTGGGAGCAGTGGCTCACGCCTGTAATCCCAGCACTTTGGGAGGTCGAGGAGGGTGGATCAACTGAGGCCGGGAGTTTGAGTCCAGCCTGACAAACATGGATAAACTCTGTCTCTACTAAAAGTATAAAATTAGTTGGCCTAGTGGCACATGCCTGTAATCCCTGCTACTCGGGAGGCTGAGGCAGGAGAATTGCTTGAACCCAGGAGGTGGAGGTTGCAGTGAACCAAGATCAGGCCATTGCACTTCAGCTTGGGCGACAAGAGTGAAACTCCGTCTCAAAAAAAAAAAAAACCAATATCCCCTGCCTTACTTAAATTGTGATTCTCTCTCTGAGTCCTATTAGGCGAAGTGGAGATAGGCAAGTGTGTATATAATGCGACTCTAAGGTGCTTGTATATTTCTTTTAAAAAAAATGAGGCATAATTTGCACAGAGTAAAATGTGCACATCTCAAGCACACTGCTCAGTAGCTTACACCTGCACGCACAGGCCCTCTACCACCACTCAGATCAGAGTGCAGAGTATCCATCTCCCCAGCGAGGCGGCCGTGACCCTCCAAGTCAACAGTGCTCCCCTCCACCCGCAAAGTAACCGGTGTTCTGCTCTCCCTCACCATTGGTGCCTTCTGCCTGTTCTTGAACTTCATGTCAATGGAATCATGCGGCCTGTGCTCTTTTGTGTCTGGCTTCTTTTGAAGAGCATGCCGGTGAGATGCATCTGTGTTACGTGTGTCAGTTTGCGTGGTATTGCTGAGTGCTATTCCATCGTATGCATATGCAGTATCACACTTTGTTTGTCCCTTCTGTTGGTACAGAGTTTGGGCTATGATGAATAAAGCTGCTAAGAACATTCTGGTGCAAGTCCTCTGCCCCACCCAGCCCTGTGAACAGATACACTCAATTCTCTGCTGTACATTTGAACACCAGGAAGGAGGCATAGAGTTGACACCAGTGCTCTTTGCTCTTTTCCATCCACTCCTCCAGACCTCTGTCTTCAACTTCCTGTCTCCAGCAAAAAAAAAAATCTCCCGGCCCCTCTGCCCAGAGCCACTGTTCCTCCTTCTCCCTGACTCTCCTGCTCTCTGTTCTTTATTATGGAGATTGTCTTAGTCTCGCCTTTCTTGCAAAACCCTCCTTCTGGGCCTTTTGGGGTCTATCCTTCCATTCTTTGTCCCCACCACCCAATAAGATCAGGGTTTTGTTAGCAAGTGGTTGGGGGAGGCATTTGGAATTGGGGAGGGAGCTGTTGTGTGAGAGAACTGCCATGTGTTGTCTGTGCACACTCTTTATTCTTTACTTTTCTTGGCAGATAAAAGCACTTCTTGGGATTATTTTATGAAACGCAGAGGGGATTGTAAACAACAGATCATTTGTTGCGGAGATGGAGGCAGCATGTGTTCAAATTCAGTGTGTGTCTCTCTTTGGCTGTGTGATCTTGCACGAGTAACCTCCTGTGTCTGGGGCTCTAGCACCTCACCTATAAACTGGGAATGATGACCTCAAACTATGCCAGGCTTCCAGACAGTAGTGCGGCTGGTCTCTGGCACACAGTAGGCTCTTAGCACAATGTTTTACCTCCTCCTACTCTCACCTGGCACTCAGAGGGCCGGTGCATGAAAGAAAATTTGGAAAAAAAAAAAAAAAAAAAAAAAGAAGACAGAAAAGATTTATTGGCAGGGGAGAGTGAAGAAAAATAGGAAGAAATAAAGCCCCCCAGCTGGAAGCCAACACCCTGAATGCCTGTGAGGGAGGCAGCCCAGCCCGGAGGGGAACTGGGTGGAGCTGCTCTGGAGACATTCCCCACAGGCAAATATAGCCGGAAGCCACCAGGCAGGTAAGATGTAAAAAGATTAAGAGGACTAAGAGTTTGGAAAACAAACAGATCGGGCTGTGGGAGCCAACAAGGAGGTATTACCTCCACCTTGAGAGGGCTGGGCCTGACGTCCAGGTTGCTGGGAGATGCTAGCTTCCAAGGAGCTCACATAGGCATGAGGGTCACAAGAGAGTGGCCAGGGAGAGCCTGGAGTGCAAATGATCTCCCTCATCTGCCCATCACAGGACCTGAAATTCCTCCTGTAGTCATTCTTTCCACAGGGTAAGCCTTGTCCTCTCTGGGGTGTTTTGAGGTTGATGCTTCACCGTGGTATGTTTGCAAGATGCTAATAGGCTCTTCCTTGTGAGCCCTACTGAATGCTGGACTTCCTACTGGGTGCTTAATACACGACCTCACTTCATCATCAGAATCCCCGGGGAGGTGGCATGGTGACAGTCCCTTTTACAGATGAGGTAACTGAGGTTCAGAGAGGGTAAGTGACTCACACAAGGTCACACAGCCGGTAAATTGAATAGTTATTTATTTATTTATTTATTTATATTTGGGCACGGAGTCTCTCTCTGTGGCCCAGGCTGGAGTGCAGTGGCGTGGTCTCGGCTCACTGCAACCTCTGCCTTCTGGGATCAAGTGATTCTGGTGCTTCAGCCTCCCAAGCAGCTGGGATTACAGGCTTACACCACGACACCTGGCTATTTTTTTTTTTTTAGATGAAGTCTTGCTCTGTCACCAGACTGGAGTGCAGTGGCACGATCTCAGCTCATTGCAAGCTCTGCCTCCCAGGTTTAAGCAATTCTTTTACCTCAGCCTCCCGAGTAGCTGGGACTACAGGTGCGCGCCACCATGCCAGGCTAATTTTTGTTTTTTTCAGTAGGGACAGGGTTTCACCACGTTGGCCAGGATGGTCTCCATCTCTTGATCTCTTGATCCGCCCGCCTTGGCCTCCCAAAGAGCTGGAATTACAGGCGTGAGCCATCGCGCCTGGCCTGGAATAGTTATTTCTACCACATTGGGTTACCTTCCTGAGAGTGTGCCGTTGGCATCCGTCCTGCAGATTGGGGTCTGAAACAGCAACCCTGAAAGGGGTGGGGAGGAGTACAGAGGAGATGAACGTGTTGAGTATGGGGACTCCGAGGGCGAGATCTGCCAGCTTCACACATTTACTTCCCTCGTGCCAGGCATTTAACATCATCTCACGTAATCGACATGAGATCCTTACAGGGTGGTATTTTGGTTCATTTCCAAAGATGAAAAACTGAGGCTCAGAGAGGTGCAATGACTTGCGCATGGGTCTAGGTTTGCCAGATTTAACAAATGAGAATTCAGGATGCACATTTCAATTTGTGTTTCAGATAAACAATAGTATGCATGGGATATACTTACGCTAAAACAATGATTCAGCCTGCATTTTATCTGGCAACCTCCGTAGGTCACACAGGCTATAAGTATAAGTGGCTATTACCCCCGCTCCCTGTGGCTCTCTGGCAAGAGCCATCTAGGGAGGGGTGAGGGTGCGAGGGTGTTCCTGTATGCATCCCAAGGGGATGTGAGCCTCACCCACCCACCTAGGGGCCAAGATTACTGCTCCCATGGGCTGGCCAGAACCTCAGCCCAGTTCCCCCCCAATGGCTCCCACATCATCACCATGGAAGGCTGCCTTCTGGGGTGTCTCTAACTGCCCCAGACTTTTTATCAGCAGAGGCCACTGTGGGCTGGAGGCAGGGGACTTGGTTTCCATTCCTTGGACAAATCACCCCCCTGGGCTTCAGCCTCTCTGCTGTAAATAGGAGGGAGCTGCACCGAAGCCGTGGGTCCCTGGAGCAGAGTCACCTGGGGGAGCTGGGGAAGAACACCGCTGCCAAGCTGCATGCTCTCTACAACCTCAGAGGCTCGGGGTGGGGCCTCTGTATTTAAACAGGTGCCCTGAGTGAGCTGAGGCTGGCAGCCCAGCCCCTTTCTGGGGCTTTGACAGTGACCAAGTGTCTTTCCAACCTTGGCACGTTAGCTGGGCCTGCCCTGGACCTTTGGACATGACCTTTTGGTATCTGACAAGTGGGGAGAGGCACTGGAGGGTTTAGAAATGACTTAATGAGGGAGAGGCAGAGCGCAGGGGGTTGCGGAGGGGAGAGAAATGCCTTCATGGAGGGGGCAAAGCCAGAAGGCCACATTAGTTGGGTGGGGGTAGGAGGGAGGGAAGGTCCCTAAATCTCCCCAGAGGCTGAGACCATTTCCAATCTTGGAATTCAGGCGTATTTCTTACATCTAAGTAGAGATGTATGTTTTCCAAGGCCCCTGCCTGGCTCCTGAGAGTCCCTGTTTAGGGGCTGGTGAGGTTACTGCCATCATTCTTAATGAACTGATGGGGGATGCAGAGGGCTGAGTCACCTGTGTCACACAGAGGAGAGGTCCAGTCTCCAGCCCACAAGCCCTGCCCTAGGATGGTCCTGGAAGGGGTCCCGTCCCAGCCTTCTCCCAGAGTGCTGGGTCTGCGGGGTGCTGCCTTTTTCATTGTGAGGCTCTGAGCCTCTGTCTGCCCTGCGGCGGCTCACTGTGGGCCTTTGTCCAACGGTCCCCTAACCCCAGCTCTAATCAACCCTTCTCCTTTCCCTGGAGCCCAGGGCATGGCCAGGGTCACATGGTGCGCAGGTCCTGTGCTGGGATTTGAGCGCAGGTCGTGTTATGCAGGAGCTCGCCCTCATTTTTTTTTACCCGTGGAGCCGCTCGGGAATTTGGGCTAATGACAGCTGCCACTGCCCTGTCCGCACCCCCCTCTCCCAGCCCTCTGCTGATTACAAATAAACACCCGGTCTATGCAGGAGAGTAATTAACTCTCCAACGTGGGGAGGACTAATCAGCCTGGAGTTTGCTGCAGGTGGGAAAAAGCGAAGGCGTTTCCTAAGTAGTATGCAAATGAGCCTATAGTATGCAAATGAACCCCTCCTGCTCCTGCAAAAAGCTGTCAGAGTAGGAAGCGCTGCTGCTTCCAGGGACAGGCTCTGGGAATATGGCCCGGCTGCAGGGGCTTGGGCCTTTAGGTTTAGGGGGGTTGGGAGGTCAGAATAGGAGTAGGGGTGGGGCTCACCTTGAGGGTCTCCAGCACACCTGCAGCCCTTCCATGGGACACTGTGGGGATGGCAGAGGGAAAAATAGGTATGGGGCTCAGAGAAGTGGCTCTGAATCTGAATACCACTGTCCTCACCTGGGTGACCTTGGTCTTTGTCACCGTGCTCTTGCTCTGCTGCAGAGGTCATGGAGTCCTTGCACTGCCGTGGGTGGAGCCACGGCATTCAAGTGGCCTGGCTTGCTGAGGTTCTGCATGAGGGACAACTGCTCTGGAGAGACACCCAGACCCACGACAGGCTTTGCAGGAGTGGAGAGTAAGGCTTTGTGGTGTTAAGCCCCTGTGATACAGTTGTTACTGCAGCATAACCGAGCTTCTCTTGACGGATACAGCAGAGGATGAACCCACTAGAGAATGATTATTACATGAACATTGTTGTCCTCATAGTCTTCATCACCCTCCCCTCCTCCCTTTACCTTGTCAGGGCTGTCGTTGTCTCTGACAACATCCTCATAGAACCCTTCTAGCAACACCATCCCTAACGGGTCCCAGTGGAGCTGTCCGGGGTCCTGTCCTCAGCCTGAGCACTCCAACGTTGCCCAGACTTTCATCGGTTCTGTGCCATTGGGCTGGGCACCCAGGAATCTAAAATGAAAAACATCCAGATGTACCTTTGGAGAGCTTGCATGCTGCTGCAGAGGCAGACATAGGAATAACTCCAGGACTGAGCAGGCCATGGGGCCCCAGAGACACCCAGAAACAAGCAGTGGGTAAGACAAGAGTCACCCCAGTGCAGCAATCTTGGGAGACTTCTCAGAGGAGGAGGCAGGAGGTGGCAGCAGTGACTCACCTTGTTGCTCATAGGCTCCTCTCACAATTCAGGTCTGAGTCCCAACTCCTCTTCTTCCCACTGTGTAGCCTTGGGGCGCACAGTGGAATCTTCCTTCCTAAAGCCTTAGTTTTCGCATCTGTGAAATAGGACAGTAAAAGTACATCTTCATGGGATATTGCAATGACTGAGTGGATTAGTATGTGTGAGGTGCTTTACTCAGTGCCTGGCATGCAGTAACGTGCAGTAAACAGTTGTTCTTATGACCTTGTTTGGCCTTTGCAACAACCCTGTGAGAGAATAGAAATAACTAGCGTTATCACTGTTGCACAGATGAGAAAACTGAGGCTCAGAAAGGGCAAGTGACTGGCCTAAAACCACACAGTTAAGAGCTGGCTGAGCGTGGACTGGAAGCCGGGCCTGTCTGGCTCTGAGCCTACGTTCACTGTGCTGCTTGGGGTTAGCATTTGTGCCCTCAGACCTTGGATCTCACCTGCTTATTCTAGCCTGGCCGTATCTCCCACTCTTTCCATGTCTCGAACCCCCAGCCTGACCCTTTGAGACCCCACTATTTTTTTATTGTGATAAAATATACATACCATAAAATTTACCATTTTAACCATTTTAAGGGTGCATTTCAGTGGCATGAAGAACATTCATGCGACCATTGGTATGCAGCAATGCTCTTTGTCACCGTGCAAGAACATTGTTATGCGACCATCACCACCGTCCATCTCCAGAACTGTTACCATTTCATACTGAAACTCTATACCCATTAAACCATAAGCCCCAACCACCCTGACAGCCACCATCTCATTCTGTGCCTCTGTGAATTTGACTATTCTAGGCACTTTGTTTTTCTTTGACCTTGTGCAGTGGCACGATCTCGGCTCACTGCAACCTCCACCTCCCAAGTTCAAGCGATTCTCCTGCCTCAGTCTCAGTAGCTGGGATTACAGGCGCAAGCCACCACACACAGCTAATTTTTTATATTTTTGGTAGAGACGGTGTTTCACCATGTTGGCCAGCCTGGTCTCGAACTCCCGACCTCAAGTGATCCGCCCGCCTCGGCCTCCCAAAGTGTTGGGATTACAGACGTGAGCCACTGTGCCTGACGGTACTTTGTGTAAGTGAAATTATGCATCCTTTTGTGACTGGCTTTTTTCACTTAGGATAACGCCCTCAAGGCTCATCCGTATTATAGCATAGATCAGAATATCATTCCTTTATAAAGCTGACTAATATTTCATTGTATGGACAGACCGTGTTTTATTTATCCATCCATCCAGTGATGGACAGTTGGGTTATTGCCACATTTGGCCATTGTGAATAATGCTGCAATGAACACAGGTGTACAAAGTCACCACCTTCCTGAGACCTCCATGGGCGCCACTCCCCAAGAGCTTTGCCAGGATCCACAGGTCCCAAACTGCCCATGATCCAGGAACCAGGGCCCACCCAGCCCATCACCCACTGGCCGCCTTGCTTCCCCCTGAGCTCTGTGCCTTTGCTTTCCCTGCCTGGTGTGTCTTTCCCCAGCATCTCCATCATCCAAAGCCACTCGCTCATCAAGACTCATCTTGAATGTCCCCCGCCCACACCCATAGCCTTCTCTACTTTCCTTGTACTGTGTCCTACCTCTAGCCCCCACCCTCTGTCTGTCCCTCACTTAGGTCTCTGATTATTATTATTATTATTATTATTAGTAGTAGTAGTAGTAGTAGTAGTAGTAGTAGTAGTAGTAGTAGAGACGGGGTTTTACCATGTTGGCCAGGCTGGTCTCGAACTCCTGACCTCAGGTGATCTGCCTGCTTCTGCCTCCCAAAGTGCTGGGATTACAGGCATGAACCACCGCACTCGGCCTCTGTCTCTGATTATTTTAAACCTTAGACTAGTGTTACCTGTGACTGCCCCCTCTTCCAGAATAGGGAATTTCCTTCAGAATCTTGTTGAGAGGACTAGGCACGGTGGCTCACGTCTGTAATCTCAGCATTTTGGGAGGCTGTGGCTGCAGGACCCCTTGAGGCCAGGAGTTTGAGACCAGCATGGGTAACACAGCAAGACCCCCGTCTCTTAAATAAGAATTAGCTTGTCCAGGCATGGTGGCTCACGCTTGTAATCTCAGCACTTTGGGAGACTGAGGCAGGCGGATCATGAGGTCAGGAGTTTGAGACCAGCCTGGCCAACATGGTGAAACCCCATCTCCACTAAAAATACAAAATTAGCTGGGTGTGGTGGTGCATACCTGTAATCCCAGCTACTCGGGAGGCTGAGGCAGGAGAATCACTTGAACCCAGATGGTGGAGGTGCAATGAGCTGGGATTGCACCACTGTACTCCAGCCTGGGCAAAAAGAGCAAAACTCCGTCTCAAAAATAATAATAATAAGAACAAGAATTAGCTGGGCATGGTGATGCATGCCTGTAGTACTAGCTACTCAGGAGGCTGAAGTGGGAGGATTGCTTGAGGTCAGGAGTTTGAGGTTACAATGAGCTATGATCACTACTGTACTCCAGCCTGGGCAACAGAGTGAGACCCTGTCACTGAAAAAAAAATATTGCTGAGATGGACTTCTCTTGAATATAAGGCAAAAATGGAAAAAAAAATGAGAGTCCTCTTTCTTTGGAATGTGTCTATCTGAGTAAAATGTGTCTAATGAGTAAAGCTGGTCCCTTGTGCCGGTGCAATGAATTAGAGGTAATCTGGCTTCCTGAGTCTTGCTATACTTTCTTTTCCAAGTTAGATAAGACAGTCACTTACCAGAGAAGCATCCTAGACAGACTGGGTTCAAATCCTGGCCCTGCCCCTTCCTGGCTGTGTGGTACCAAGCAAGTTACTTTATTTCTTGGCACCTCAGTATGTCCGTCTATGAAATGGACATAGTAATATAATCTACCTCATATGATTGTGACAACAGTTAATGGAGTCAATAGGGCAATGTCTTCGGAACAGTGACAAGTGTATAGTAAGCGTTCACTAAATACCAGACATAATTTATTAAAGGAATACATAGTGCAGGCTCAGGGAATCTTTGCCAAATTAACGGGAAGAGTGAGACCCAAGAGGGAGTTTGGATCCAAAGTAAGCAGGTGCCTGGGGTCTAGAGACAGCTGCTCAGCCTCCCTCCACTGAGTGGGTAACATGTTGCTGGCTGCCCACACTGCAAGGCTGTCCTGGGCATTAGTGTGGGGCTTGGGGTGGAGGCATAGGGCAAACAATGCAAAGGGCCCTTGACCCAGCTCTTTCCTCCTCAGGGAGAGGGACTTCTGAGCAACCTTCTTGGGAGCCCCCACTCCCTGGCTTTCTCCAGGCAGACAGGTAGTTGCTGGGAGAGCCAGGTGGGAGTTGGCACATCTGGGCAGCAGCTGTGGGATAAGCCATCCTCCCCTCATCCCCCACTCTCCACAGTAACCGAGGCTGCAGGGGGATTTCTGAAGGCTGGGTGGACCCTGGCAGGAAGGAAAGGAGGCAAACGCCCATGGGGTGGACTCTAGGGCCAGCCTGGGGTGATGGGCGTAAGTGCCAAGTCGCTCTTGGAGGCAGGTCATGGTCAGCAGTTCTGCCCAGGCACCTGGAGAGGGCACTGGGACCCTGGAGAGCCAGGTTCTAGGCCCAGTGGAGCCTGTGCTGCCTCAGCCTCCTTCTCCTTTCTCAGGGTTCAATAGCTTTGTCTCTAACAGGTACTATCCTGCCTGCCCCATGGGGCTGTGGGGCGATGCTTCTGAGAAGATGCTCGAGGCCAGGTGCCGTGGCTCACACCTGCAATCCCAGCACTTTGTGAGGCCAAGGTGGGCGGATCATTTGAGGTCAGGAGTTCAAGAACAGCCTGGCCAACATGGTGAAAACCCATCTCTACTAAAAATACAAAAATTAGCTGTGTGTGGTGGCGAGTGCCTGTAATCCCAGTTACTTGGGGGGCTGAGGCAGGAGAATCACTTGAACTTGGGAGGTAGAGGTCGCAGCGAGCTGAGGTCGCACCACTGCACTCCAGCCTCGGCGACAGAGCGAGACTCTGTCTCAAAAAACAAAACAAAACAAAACAAAAAAATCCTTGTGAAGAAGCTACCCCAAACCCAGGCAAATCTAAGGGCATCAAAGTCCTGCCGGTGGGTGACTCACTCAAGGGTCTCTCCCACCATCCAGCAAACAGTGGAGCGGGTCTGAACATAGAGAGAGATGTTTATGGAGCAGGAAGAGGGCTGGCTGGGAGTCCTCTGCTCCCTCTGCCCCTCTGTAGCCCATGTGCTTGCCTTGAGTAAGCAACCCCATCTTGGAGCCTCAGTTTCCCATCATGGATGGCACCATGCAGGGCCAGGCATTTTTTTTTTAATTGTATCTAAATGTTCACCACTTCCCTGCATGGTAAAGATCTCATTCCTGATTAGGTGACGTTGCTTGCCCTAGGCATTAGCACATGTGCTGTGTGGCCTTGAGCTGGCACCATTGCCTCTCTGAGCACCAGTTTTCACATCTGTAAAATGGGAGTGACACTCTCTCCCTTGAAGGTGCTAAGTATTGGTGGACAATGAAAATCCAAGTAAGGGCCGGGTGTGGTGGCTCACACCTGTAATCCCAGCACTTTGGGAGGCCGAGGTGGGTGGATCACCTGAGGTTAGGAGTTCAAGACCAGCCTGACCAACATGGCGAAACCCTGTCTCTACTAAAAATACAAAAATTAGCTGGGCATGGTGGTGCACTCCTGTAATCCCAGTTACTTGGGAGGCTGAGGCAGGAGAATCACTTGAACCTGGGAGGCGGAGGTTGCAGTGAGCTGAGATTGCACCACTGCATTCCAGCCTGGGCAACAGAGCAAGACTCTGTCTCAAAATAATAATAATAATAACAAAATAAAATAAAATAAAATAAAAATCCAAGGAAGCATCGCTGAGGTTTGAACCAAGGGCTGTCGCACCTGCCCCTGCTGCACACCAGGCTGCCCCTGTGGGTAGGGGTTGGACAATAGGATCTTCAGGAGTCTTTGCAGCTTGACTTGGACACTCCCAGGCCTTCATCTAAGCCTCCGGGTTCCTTGGAGCCCCCTCTGTCTCACTTCATTTGGCCTGTTGCCTGATTTTACCTGAGGGCTGTTTTTGATGACATAGCAGCTCTTGGTCCCCCAGCCCCATTTCCCAGAACCCAGGTGTGTGTGGGCATCTTCCTTGGCAATGAGGTAGCGGCCATGACTTCCTGAGGCTCTCAGCATCCGTGAGGGGCTAACTGGGGGCGCCACTCTAGAGCACCCTCCTTTGCTTCTCAGCAGGAGGGAGTGACCAGGTTATTTTTGTGATAAAAGTTGAATAAATTGAAAGGCACGGTTTTTATTCAGTGGGTAATTAGCTGCCGCTGCTGCACTCCCTCCTAATTGTCTCTCTCACTCCAGACGGGCGGAGGTCAATAGGAAGCGGCCACTGTGCGGTGAAAGTCACAATTAATTAATTGCCGGGCATGCGTGTGTCTCCATCTCTGTCACATCAAAGGGCCTGGGGCGGCAGCTGCCCAAGTCTCAGCTCTGCTGGGCCGGTCCAGCCCAGAGGCCCCAGATGCGTGTGACCACGAGCCACAAGGCAGCCTTCCTTCCTCTCCCTCTGGCAGCAGGAAGCTCCTAGAGAAGGGGTCCCCTGAGACCTCAAGCTTATCATCATCCCACCACCCCCAAACGTCCACCATAGCATCCCTGCCTTGGATACCCCAGCCCTGGTCCTCTGGCTGCCCTTTGCCCATTCAGTCTATTCTTTTCCCTGCAACTTTGGCTGTATCTGTGATCAGAATAGTGGTTACTTCTGCTGGTGGAGGGGAGGTAGTGACTGGGACAGAGAACGTTCTGGGGTGCTGGAGATGCTCTACATTTTTTATTCAGGTGGTGGTTTCATGGGCATACCCCTGCATCATAAGCCATTTGACGCAAGAGCCAAAGGTACACTTAAGATGAATGCAAACAGTTACACACACGCAACACCCCTCCCCACTCAGTAATAACCACTTCCGTTTATGTGCCAGGCATGGAGACATCAGGATGACGAGGATCGCACGGCCAGTGAGTGATGAAACCACAGGCCCTGCTTAAACATCTCTCCCCTAATCTTCACCACCAGCCTTGAAGATAGGTAGCATTATTTCCATTTTACAGATGGAAAAACAGAGGCACAGAGAGGGGCTGGGAAGGAACAAAGGTGAGGAGAGGGGAGAAGAGGATGGAGGGTGGTGGGGAAAGCGGAAGGGAAGGGCTTGTGTATGTGGAGGGCTCATGTGCACCAGGCATGAGCTTGAAGCTCTGCGTACCTCCACCTCTCCATGAAGGTGGAGCCATGTGTCCCATTTTGTAGACGGGGAAGCTGAGGCTCAAAGAGGTGCAGTCCCTTGTCTAAGGCCACACTGCCCGGAAGTGATGGGCCGCATCTGGAGTTGCCTCACTCCAACGTCCCTGTGATGGGAGAAGGATGAAGAGCGGGAGGACAGAGATGGTGGGCAGGGCGGGGCGGGCTGGAGAATGCACGGAGCCGGGAGGCAGGTGGCCTTAGTGACTTACAGAAAGAGCTGGGGGTGAGAGGGGGCCCGAGGCAGAATGAGTGAACCTAGCAAGGTGTGAGTGTGAAATAGGTGCTGCTAAAAGACACCACCATGTGGGTGCACACATACGTGCACACAGTGCACACACGCACCCACACTTCTACACTTTTGCTCCATTCCAACCTTTGCAGAGGACTTCCTGCTGCCTCACGGGGGCCAGCGTTTTCAGCTTCTCCTCACCTGCCTCCAAGGTTTGCTGTGCCCCACATACTGCCTGGCACAGAGATGGGGCTTGGCATGTGGGCTGGGAGCTGGGCAGGGCCATGCTGGACTCCGGCCACCCGGCCCCCTGCCCAAGGCCCTTGGCTGTGCAGGTGAAGCCTGGCTTTGGGAAGCATCAGCCTGTGTGTCCCAGACCCCAGCCAGTGCTCCTTTGTCATCCCTCGGCTCTCCCAAGCGGGCTCCTCTGCCCCCCTGGAGCTCACAGGTTGACAAATATTGTAACAGCTTCCTGCTGGTGGGGGAGGCAATGGCTGTCCTTCGGTCTGCTGTTTCTCAGTGAGAACACCGCAGCAAGTCCAGCCTCCCGCTCCTGGCTGGTCGTCAGGGGAGGCCACCTCCATGCTCCCACCAGCGTTGCCGCCTGTCACTGTGCCTTTGAAGTGGTGCCTGATTTTCCAGTCTGTCTGAAGTTGCTCGCTGTTTATGCAGCAGCTGGTCCGGCAAGTCCCCCCGCCGGGCCTTTCCATGACGGTGCCAGCCGCTGGGGACTCGGGGAGACAGCCACCGGGCCTCCGGGGGGATAATGGGAAGAAGCCGAGATGCCATTTCTGTCTTCAGGGTCTTCTAGACTGAGTTTGCTTATTTTTTGCTTAAAAGGACAAAAAAAAAAAAAAAGAGTTTCTATGAACCCCAACGTGCTATCTCTCTTCAAAGAAAAGGGAATAAAGATTTAAAGCAAAACAAAAAAAAAAAAACACAAAAAAAAACAAGAGCCAAAGGTAAAACTCACATTTCTTTGAACATTTTTAAGGCTGCAACTGCTGCATGGAAGAAGGTGCTAGACAGGGAATGCTTTTGCAGATGCTAATGTGCCGTGTGACCTTGGGCAAGTCACTGCGCTCTCTGACTCTCTGCTTGTTGGATCCCCTGATGAGGTTTCAGTGGGCTCTACCCCACACCACACTGTGGGACTCTCACAGGCCGTGCTGTTTGCTGCCCCCAAGACTCAAACCCAGAAAATCAGAGCAGGGAGGTGGAGGGGCCTCCAGGGATCAGCGAGCAGGATGGTCCCTTTCAGACATGGATGTGTGAAATCTCCATTGTGAGGATGTCACAGCTGAGGGTCAGAGGCATTAAGTGAGCAGCCTAGGGTCACACAGCAAGGGAGTCCATGGTAGAAGCAGAATTATTGAATCTGTGTCTTCTGCCTCCCCAGCCAGGGGCTTCTTCTCCTGCCTCATTAAGCTGCAGAAGGAAGTTCCCAGAAATCAGGGGCCACCTTTATGTAACTTACATTTTTCCATAGAGACCTTTGGGAGTGGAGTTTAAGGGTGAAGGCTCGGAGGTCAGACAGAACTCGGTCCTGCATCTGCCACTCCGTTCACGTGACTGCATGCAATTGATTTCACGTCCCCGATCCTCAGTTTCCCTAACTGTAAAATGGGGCTGTTCCTCGTGCCTCCCCATGCATAGCTGTGAGGGTGAAGGAGAGGACACAGGTGAGGCGCTCAGCTCACAGACTGGCACGCTCAGCTCACAGCCTTCCATCAATGCCAGCAGCCACTCCTGTGAGCCTTCAGCGTGGGGCAGGAGCCTCTTCTGTTTCCTTCATCAAATTCTTGGGGTAGGAGAGCACCCTGGACTGTTCTCCCAGGCCTGCTTGTCACATCGCAGTTGTCATCCCACAGCCCCTCCCACCAGAGCCCCTTCCCAGGAAAGACAGGCAGCCTCCGGCAGGATGTACAGGAAATGTCAACCTCATCTCACCCAGAAGCCACTGCTGACACTGATGAGACCCCCGGCGGGCGGGGCAGGCAGTGAGCGGCTCAGGGCTCGGCCGTGCCCCCACTGGGCTTGGCCTTTCTTGGTCTCCCTGTCACAGCTCTAGCTCCAACCTGGGGAGGCGACCCCTTAGGTTGCTTGGGTCACCTGCCTGGCTGGGAAGCTGTCAGTCTGGGGCTGGCCTTAGATGGAGCTGGCGGGCAGGCAGGTGGGGGGCCAGCTTCCAGCTAGCAGTGCAGAGGGCACGTGCCTGGTGGGCATGGGCTCAAGGCTCGGATGCAGAAGGAACTGGTTTGGAAGCCTGACTCTGGCTCACTGTGTGACCTGGGGCAAGTTAGCTCGCCTCTCTAGAGGAAGGTTCTTCAGCTGAAAATGTGCCCAGGGTAAAGGGTCTCCCAACAGGGCAGCTGGGAAAACTGGAACGATGGCAGTTGGGGACACACAGAGTAGCAGCCTAATGAATAGGAGATGCTATTCATTGTGTTGTGTCCCCGCCCTCTCAGGTGGGCAAGAGAATCATTCAGTCAGTCATTCACTTATGCAATAAGGCGGCTTTGCACACTTACTATAGTTTGCCAGACCAGTTCTAGGCACTGGGGAGACAGCTGTGAACAAAGAGACTAGGCTCCTTGCCTTCATGGAGCTGACATTCTAGTGCAGAAGGAAGGGGGGCTGGAAGGGGAGGCTGCTGGAAATCAGAGGCCCAAGGAGGACAAAGAATGTGATGAGGCCACAGTAGAAAGAACACAGAAGACCTGTGTTCAAAGCCTGTCTCAACTGCTAACATGCTGTGTGACCTTGGGCAAGGCACTTCCTCTCTCTGGCCTTCAGTTTCCACATTTGCAAAAGGAGACTCATCACCCTGCCTTGCATCACCGAGAAGCAAGTCTCCAACGAGGCCAGTCTTGGAAAGTCACCAGGAGAATGGGTTCCTCTGCCTGCCTAGCTCCCCTCCCCTGAGAATCACAGCTGGGCACCTAGTAGAGGAGTAGGGTGTGACCTGTGGCTTCTCCCCAGCCTGTGAGCCCCAGTCCAGCATACCCAAAGCTACAAACCTGAAAATGGCCGCTCCACATTTTGAAGTCTGGTGCTCACCTGAAGTGGAGGCAGGAGCTCTGCACATCTTCTCCAGCCCTATGCCTCTGGACTAAGACCCCCTCCTTGAGATCCTGTTTCTTCCAGTCACCCTCTAGGTGGGATTCTGGGGATCAGAGTAGCCTTGCAGCTGGAGAAGACCAGCATTCATTCATTCATTCATTCATCCATCGTCAATCAGTTGGTCAGTCAACAAACACTCACCTAGCATTTACCAGGTGGCAACGCCATGCTAAGCACAGGTTATTGGGGTGTGTCAATTTCTTCAGCAAACACTGAGCATCTCCTCTGTTCTGGGATTCCATACCTGGAACTGGGGATGAAGTGATTAATTGATTTATTAAATGTTTAGAGGCACCTACCATGCACCCTGTGGTGAGTGTCAAAGAAATATGGAGGCGGCTGGGTGTGTTGGCTCACGCCTGTAATCCCAGCACTTTGGGAGGCTGAGGTGGGCGGACCACGAGGTCAGGAGATCGAGACCATCTTGGCCAACATGGTGAAACTCCGTCTCTACTAAAAATACAAAAATTAGCTGGGCTTGGTGGTGCGTGCCTGTAATCCCAGCTACTTGGGAGGCTGAGGCAGGAGAGTCGCTTGAACCCAGGAGGCGGAGCTTGCAGTGAGCGGAGGTCATGCCACCGCACTCTAGCCTAGCGACAGAGTGAGACTCCATCTCAAACAAAAGAGAAAAAAGAAATCTGGAGGCTTTACTCTGTGCCAAGCACTATGATGGGCACAGGAAGCAGAGTCATGGGCTCCTTGAGCACCAGCACTGAGCCAGGCACCATGCTGGAGAGCAGCGGCTGGCGTTTTGTATGCGGACATGAAACCCGGAGTCTCCCTGTGGCTAATGAATCATCGAGCTTCACAAGAGAAGCGCGAACGGACCCCCTTGTCCATGAATTTGCTAATTGAGCTCCTCAAACTCAGACATTAACCTGCATTACCATAAATACTGCAGAGAACAGCCGTTCTCAACTGCTGCTCAATGGTAATGGAGAAAATCAGTCAAGGGATAAAACTGAAATGGAATCAGAAAACCTGATTTTTACCATTAATTCAAACCTAGTTTCCCCCAAATACCTTCAGCTAAATCTTTCTCTAACACTCAAGGCTGGAGAGAAGAGCATGGGGATGGGGGCTGGAAGAAGGGAGAGGCTTGGCCATGGAGGCTGGGGAGTGTAAACTGGGACAGGGGCTTGAGGGTAGGAGTGGGTCTGTTCTACCTCACTGGAGGCAGCCAGCCCTGGCCCATGGCCTAGAGGAGTGACCTTGGTGATGAGTGAGCTCAGTGCCACACATGAGAGAAATGGGCAGAGAGCTGGGGATAGCAAGGGCCAAGAGTGGGGACAGAGAGACAGAGGGGGCAAGAAGTGGATGGACAGGCAGACAGGCAGCTAGAGGGACTGATTGACTGCCAGGTACACAGAGGAAAACAGACAGGCAAACAGAATGACAGATGGACAGCCAGCCTGACCCACAAGAAGCCTGATGACCCACAGGTAGACCGACAGCATCACAGGCAGACAGACAGGCCCAGGGACAGTCCAAGCAGCAGGTCCAGAGAGAGGCAGACGGCCAGGCTGTCCATTGAGAGGACCATCACATGGGCTGACACCAGGCAACAGGGACTGGAGGCTGGAGCTGGGGACAGAGGCTGGAATCGCTGAGCCCTCCCTAGACAGGTTAGCGGGAGGAGACCTGGCAGATGGCTTCATATTTCGTGTTAAGCCCCTTGCGTGATGAGACTGGAGTGCGGGGTGCTCCCCTGGGCCCCAGGCTTCCCGGCTTCTTCCCCCTCCTCCTCCTCCCCCTCACAGCCACGTGCATGATCTGGCACGCAAGGCAAGGAGGCTCAGAGCAGCCGTGACGTCTGCTCCATGGTTGGGCAGTGGGGGCACTGCCTGGACCCCTATGTGGGCCCCGTTGTCTGTGGGGGGCTCAGACCCAGTTTAGGGTCCTAGCCCTAGGGACTTGGACTTGGGGGGTTGGGAAGTCCTAAAGGGAGCCTGTTGGGCTGCTGCCCCATCCCTCTGCCTCATTCGTCTGTTCCATCTGACCCTGGCTGCCACACTGTGTGGTAGATTCTGTTATTGCCCCCATTTAACAGAGCAGTAAACTGAGGCTCAGGGAGAGGAGGCAGTTGGGCCAAGGACTTTCAGCATCGGGGGGTGGAATCTTTCTGTACTGGGGGCCGGGCTGCTCACAGGAAGCTCAAGTGTGCTCTGCTCTTCCGTAGCTGATGTAGCTGCTAAGTCCAATGTACTTTGGCAGGGCAGTGACTGTGCCGGACCCTAGAATTCCCTTTAGGAAACCTACTAGCTCTCAGATGGAAGCCACGTTGACAGCATCAGCTTCTTCAGTGATCCAAGTGCCTCTGGTATCCATTGGGAACTGCCATCTGTCTCTTATTTGGTCACAAAGTCAGGTAAGGCAAACCCCTGACATCTGGAGCTCTGGTCACTCGACTCCCTCTTGCTGACTGCCCCCCATCCCTGACACCAATGTGACAGGAGGGGAGTAATTTGGGGCTTCCCTGAGGAGTAAATGGGGCGTCAGCACAAATCACCTTGATTTTCATCCATTTCTCTCTTTGGTTGTGAGTCATCAAAACTCACGACAAGAAATACTTCCATTCATCAAGATAACGATAGCAGTGGTGGGAGCGGCAGGAGCAGTAATGGTCATTTATTGAGTGTTACCCAGGAAGAGGTAAACTGTGTTCCAAGCCCAAGACACATTAGCTCACACCTCACAGTGACTCCGTGAGGCAGGCATCTGCCCCATTTTACTGGAGTGGAAGCTGAAGCCTCTCTGGCTTCTCTCAAGTCTCTTGGTGAGAGGCAGAGCTGGGATCTAGACTCCAGTCTGATTCTAAAGCCTGGGCTCATTATGCTGCCCCAGGCTGTCTCAGAGATGGTGCAGGAGCTTAGCAGGGCTTCTGAGAGCTGTGGCTGGGCCGTGGAGAGGGAGGGAGGAGGGGAAGGTGGTGGCAGATGGTGGGTGGGGCAGGCCAGACAACCCACGGAGCCAGGAGGCAGGTGGCCTTAGTGACTTCCAGGCAGCTTATTCCAAGCCCTGGGCTGCTGCAGGTGAGAGACACCGTCCCATCCCTCATGAAAGAAACACCAGTGTTAATCGGATCAGGCCCCACACCCTAGGCTGGGTGCCTCATCCATTTTTCATTTATTTCTTCCTTAAAACTCAACCCAAGGGGAGAAAGAGGGGAGGGAGCTGAGAGAAGGCTGCGGGGCGTGGGGGAGGGGTAGAAATGCTCTGCCTTCCGGATTGGTTCAGGGAGTCTTCGTAGCACAGAGGTTAACAGCACAGGCTTGAAGTCAGACTCACCTGAGTGTGACCCCAGCCCAATTACCTCCTAGCTGTGTGACCTTGAACAAGTCGCCTTTCTTCTCTGAGCCTCAGTTTCCTGATTTGTATCATAGGGCTAATAATACATATACCTCTGGGTTGTGGCCGGCACATAATAGGTGTTTAATAAAAGGCAGCCATTGTGCCTAAGAGCTGGCCTGCTGCCATGAGAATCCTAGAAAAATAATGTTTTTTTCTTTCTCATTGTTGGGAAGCTCACTTCTTTTGGAGGCAAAAATGATTCCTTGTTGAGGAACTCTGACAGTAAGAAAGGGTTTCTTAAGTGGAGCTGAAATCTGTCTTCCCGAAGCATCCACCATCTGGTTCTGCAAAGATCTAGCCTGGGTTCCTTTCCCGGGAGAGATTCCAAGGGACCTGAGGACAGACAGCGTTTAGTGATGCTCCCGCATCCTCACCAGGGTCTTGCCACCATCTCCCCATGCCATGGCGTCCAGACCCCCACCACCACGGTTCCATACCCTGGACACACCCAAGGCCCTGTTCTTTCCCTTCAGCTCAGGCCAGCAAGTATCACAGCCAATTCCTGGGTTGCATCAGCCTCACCTTGCCCCTGCGAAGCTGTGTAAGGGGTGTTCAGGCTACAAGAGAGGCAAGGCTCTAGATGTGCTAGGCCAGCATAGAACACGATGGGAAAATTGTGAGTTTCTGCTCCCAATAATCCAGCCCCAGGTCCTGGGGACTTCTTGGGAACAATGTTTGCAGCCTCTCGAAATCAAGAAGTAGCCCATCCCAGCCCAGGACCCAGAGGTAAGAGCCAGCGGATGCCGCTTCAGCACCAAGGACAGCTCAGCCATGCTATGGATCTGCCTGTGTCTTGCTGAGTTGGAGGCTGAGGGAAGCCGACGAAGGTGGTGGCTGCATCCTCAGAGACTTGGTGATGAGCTGGCAGCCCAGGTTGTGTGGTCACAGGATGGGAGTGCTGACTAACTGATAAATGAGCGACTAATTGAATGTCTTGGTTTCAGCCATTGCTGAATTGCTTTCTCAGAAAATTAGGGAACCTTCAGAGAAAGCAATTGGACTTGAAGTTGAAGGCAAAGTCTTAACTTGTCCGAACCTCAGTTTCCCCAGCTGTGAAATGGGGAGGAAGATATACAGTATATAATATATCTAACGTCCTGGTGCATAACCCTTCTGAGAGTTGGCCTTTCTTGAGGATACAGCCAGGAGTGTCTGCCTGGCCGGGAGGGACACTGGGAGGATCTTGAGGGAAATATATTAAGCAGGACTCTGGGGCTCTGCTGAGTATCTGCAGTTGAACACTCCATGTCCAGGCTGTTCCTGCAAGGATCCTTGCGTGGAGGCAAAATGATTCCTATTCTGAGCGTCTCAACAGACATAAAATTCTCCTGGGGGCAACATGGGGGTGGGGAGAGAGGAATCAGAGGTGACCATCCTGGGTTGGCATGTGCACAGACACACACAGCTCTCTGTACACATAGGCATGCAACTCACACCCAGTCACAGCCTGGCCCATGTCACAGTCATGGAAACACACGTACACCAAGCACACACACATACAATCGTGTATATAAGACTATACCTACACCAATCACACACACACACGCACACGTACACGTGTTTTTTTTTTTTTTTTTTTTTTTTTTAGGCAGGTTATCGCCTAAACTGGTCATTTTTAAAATTACTTTTTGTAGAGACTGGGTCTCACCATATTGTCCAGGCTGGTTTTGAACTCCTGGGCTCAAGTGACCTTCCTGCCTCAGCCTCCTAAGTGGCTGGGATTACTAGCACATGCCACCGCACTGAACCCATTTGTGTATTTTATATATTTTAGTCACTGGATTTTACACACAAAGACACACCCGTGATCAGCCACTCTCATGATCATAGCATATACTTACCCATCACAGCCATACTCATATGAACGCACACATGCACGGTGGTTCACCAACAGTCATATACACACGTGGAGATAATGCCACACATACCCTTTGCACAGTCACACACCACGAAATGCACAACTATGTCACAACCCCTGCTAGTCATCTACTCACATCTAAGCACAAATCCATAGCAGTGAAGTGGGGTTCGGTGACTCACACCCGTAATCCCAGCACTTTGGGAGGCTGACATGGGAGCATCACTTGAGGCCAGGAGTTTGAGACCAGCCTGGACAATGTGGTGAGACCCAGTCTCTACAAAAAATAATTTAAAAAGTTAGCCAGTCACGGTAGTGCACGCCTGTAGTCCTGGCTACTTGGGAAGCTGAGGTGAGAGGATCACTTGAGCCCAGGAGTTCGAGGCTGCAGTAAGTTGTGAGGGTGCCACTGCACTTCAGCCTGAGTGACAGAGCAAGACGCTGTCTGAAAAAAAAAAGAAAAGGAAAGAAAGAAAGAAAGAAAGAAAGAAAGAAAGAAGAGAGGGAGGGAGGAAGGAAGGAGGGAGGGAGGGAAGGAAGGAAGAGAAAGAAAGAGAGAAAGAAAGAAGGAAAGAAGAAAGAAAGAAAGAGAGAGAGAGAGAGAAAGCAAGCATCCCTCTACTCATCACTCATTATCCCTGGCCAGTGGGCCTGGGATGCTCTCCCCCAGGAGAAATCGGAAGACAGATTCAGGTGTGACCTGCTGGCTGGCTGGGTGACTCCCAAACTTCAGACAGGGCCCACATCCTCAACCCTCCTCCCAGCCCCAGCACACACCAACACTGCCTCTCCCCGAGGAGTCAGCCTGACCTGTGTTTGGATCCTGATTCTCACTCACCTGCTGTGTGACATGGAGCAAGTTACATAACCTTTCTGTGCCTCAGTTTTCTTACTGGTGAGAAAGGGATGGTAATAGCAACACTCTGCTAAAGTTGCTGTGAGGACTGAAAAGCACAGTGCACAGAAAGCACTTGGCACTGTGTGTGGTGCAGGATAAAAGCTCGGTAAATAGCGACTCCCCATCATTAGTGACAATCATGACAATCAGCCACCCACAGAGGCTCCTGTCAGAGGCCATGCAGACAGCCTTCCCTCCACAGCCCCTCTCATGTGAGTGTGTGTGGGGATTATCACTTTTAGCATCTGAAAAGGGCGTCCAACCTGGGAGGGAAAGGGCTGCACCTGGACGCCCCTCTGCTCTCCACCCTGGTCCCACCCATTGGTCACCTTGGCCATGCGTCCACGAACTTCTCTCCTGATGCTTTAGGCTTCCTTCACCTGAGTCTGTGACCCCCCGGCCCCTCCTGCTCCCCACCAAAGGCCCCGGGGTGCCTTCTCCTTCCTTGGGTTCTACCACTTCACAGCAGAAAGGGCTTTCTGGTTGATTTTGGTTGATTTTGCACTGGGTGCTGAAACCTGCGTTCTTGGTATTCAGGGAGAAGTTTTGCGCTAATCTCCCCACTCTGAATGCTCATCACATTTCTCTTAAAGCCACAGGAGCTCCCCCCATCCCCATCTTTTATTCATCACCTTCCACCATCCCCAACACGGGAGACATGGAAATGCAAACCCTCTGAGCACTGCAAACTCCATCCAGCAGCTGACCCTTCCCCAGCTGCCCAGTGCTGGGGAGCTGGAGGGTCATACAGAGGTTCTTGGGCTTTGGGGATGGAGTAAGACGGGCGGCCAGCCCTGGGTCCAGGCCACCAGCCCCAGGTGGAGTGAGCGACAGAAGAGCAACAGTGGGGCCGGGACCAGACTACTGCCCCCACTCCTATTCCCCAAGGCTCCTCCATGCTTGCCAGCAGCTTTGCTCTCGGCCCCTTCATAGAGACCCCCAATCCCCCCCTCCCCCAGCAATAGTGACAAACACTGTCCCCTGCATGCTATCCTCACATTACCCTTCAATCCTCATGGCGAGCCTGTGGAGTAGATGAAAGTGGTGGCCCCATGTTACAGAGGATGAAACAGGGCTCAAAGAGAAGTGACTTCCTCAAGGTCACATGAAAGGGAAGGATGAGGAAACTGGCCCTGCTTTACAGCAGATCCTCAGGGCCCCTGTAAGGGCAATTTGCCTGTGCATTTATCACTCACTGAATTCTTACCATGTCCCCCCTCCCCCTGGGCTAGGCACTGGGGTTCTCTGACCAAGTGGAGACAGTTCTGGCCTTAATCCATTCACGATGAAAGTGAGAGATTGATGACAGTGGAAGATAAGTGCTTCAATGGGGGCAGCCCCAGAATCTGTGGGATCTCAGAGAAGGGAGGCATCTAACCTCGAATTAGGAGAAGGGAGCCAGAGGTTGAGATCTTCAGTGTGAGCTGAAATTGGCCAGGGGCAGAAGGGAGAGGAAGGACATTCCTCTCGTGGAAAACATACACGCCACAGCCATGGGAAAGGGGTGAGAGTATTGATTGGCCTGCAGGTGTTTCCTCCTGGCTGGAGGTTTCCTGTGGGCTTGCTGGAGAGTAAGGACAGGAGGCAAAGCCAGAGATTTGGATGGGGCCAGATTAAGGGAAAAAAAAAAAAAAGGTATGCTGGGGCCAGGCACCATGGCTTATGCCTGTAATCCCAGCACTTTGGGAGGCTAAGGTGGGGAGATCACTTGAGATCAGGAGTTTGAGGACAGCCTGGGCAACATAGCAAAACCCCGTCTCTACAAAACAAACAAACAAACAAACAAACAAAACAAAAAACAAAATTAGCCAGGTGTGGTGGCATGCGCCTGCGGTCCCAGCTACTTCAGAGGCTTAGGAGGAAAGACTGATTGAGCTCAGGAGGTTCATCCAGACTGCAGGGAGTCGAGATCATTCCACCCTGGGTGACAGAGCAAGACCTTGTCTTTAAATAAATAAATGAAAGAAAAGAAGGGCACCAGAGAGGGGAGGATAGTTGGAGAGAGATTGGAGAGGCCAGCAGCAGCAGATGACAGGGGGGCGTTGCAGGTCAGGGGAGGATTTTCGATGTTATTGTAAACGTGATAGGAAGCTTTTGCAGGATTGTAATCCAGAATGTAGCATGATCTGGTTTATGTTTTTAAAAGATCCCTTTGGCTGCTTGTGGAGAACGGATTATGGGGGCCAGAGAGGAAGTGGGGAGGCTACTGATGAGGCTTCCGCAGTCGCTGAGGGAAGCGGAGGTGGCAGCAGAACCAGGGGCAGGAGGAGATGGTTAGGCTCCGTGTACATTTTGGGAAGAGAGCTGACCAGATCTGCTGGTCTGTTGCAGCGCAACCAGCCCCCGCCACCGGGGTCCAGAACCCTGGACAGCGTCAGTCCTCCCCACAGCCCCGAAGAGCCAGTTCTTCTAACCTCCCCACCCCACCATCCCCCCACTTCCCCACCCCCATTTCTGAGACCCCAAGTTTCCTGAGGGCAGCCTGCAGAACCCCTCCCTCCCTTGTGGATGTTTAAAAATAAGAAACTTTATTTTTTAGAGCATTTTTAGGTTCACAGCAAAATTGACCAGGAAGTACAGAGACTTCTCATATAGCCCCGTTCCCTTTGTGTTCTTTAAACACTCTTATTTAAAATTATAGGCCATTGCAACATATGAGAAAATTGAGAAAGAATGTAACAGACACACATCGAGATTAAATGGATATTCACATTTTGCCATATTTGCTTCAGAGTCCTCTATTTTTACAAAAGAGCTATCAATGAAAGACAGATACAGTTGTGCTGACCGGGTGTTTATCTGTCTCGTGAATATTTTTATGCTGTCATTACCTAGTTATGCATTCAAAACCTGTGTATTCAATTCTTACTTTTTTTTAAAGTTTACATAAATGGTGTAAACCTGTGGAGGTTCCTTTGTTATTTATTTTTTTCATTCCATGTTATGTTTGGAGACTTATCCCTATTGATGGATGTTGATCTAGTTTGTTCATTTGAACTGTGGTTGATTATTTTATTGTACTTATAAAGCAGTTTTTCTTTTCCTGCTGAGAGGCAGTTAGGCTCCTCTTTGTCTTTCTATTACACACTAAGGTGCAATAAATACCCGCGGACATGTATGCTACTGCATATGAGTGTGCTTCTCTGGGACATGGTGGAAAACACTGGTGGTGTCCCACTCTGATGCCTTTTACCTGTAGGTGTTCCCACCCTCTAGCTGTGAGTGTTGACGCTAAGGGCTCAGAGCTACTCTCCTCTTGGGAACTCCCTTGCCCACAGTTACACCACTTCCCCATCCTCCCCATGGGGTGGCCATAGCTGATGACTGAGTGACATGGGGGTGGAAAATCTTGGCTCCCTTGCCTCGAGGTAGACAGACTCTGTGTTGTCACTCATGCCCCAGAGCTCCCATGGGATCAGATTGAAGCTAATCTTCAACCAAGAACATATCACTGCCTAGCGCTTCCACCCTATCTGCCATCCCATCTCCCTTTCACCTAAGAGTTCTGCTTCAATAAATCACTGCACAAGAATCCCTGACTCAGGCCCCAATTAGGAAACTTAACCTAAGAATCACACATCAGTGGCAAAGTTGGCTGGATCCTAGATTTGCTCGTCTTAAAGTTTATCAAGCATTTTCAAATTGCTCTCCAAAGTAGTTGTGCAAATTTAAATTCCCATCAGTTTACAGACATTGGTATTTCCCCCATATCTTCATCAATACTCCCGTTAGACACTAATTTTGCCAATCGGATTGGTGTAATGAGCCATCTCATTATTGTTTCAATTTGCATTTCCATGTTTACTAGTGATGTTGAGACTCTTTTATATCTTGTTTGGCCTTTCAAATTTCTTCCTCTGGTATTTATTCACATTTTTTGCCCATTTTCCTATTGCTCTGGAATGTTTTGGTAGATTGATTCTCTAGAGGTTTTTTAAAAAATTCTTTTGGAAACTAATTGTCTCTTGCTTATACGGGCTGCAAATACCTTCTCCCAGCTAGTGGCTTTAACAAATCTATTCATCTTTTGTCAAAGAGAAGCTCTTAATTGTAGTAAGATTTATCACTTTAAAAATCATTTATGCTTTTTGTGTTTTGTTTAGTTTCTACTCTAAGATCATAAAGTTACTTTCCTCTGTTTTCTTTTAAAAAGTTTTATAGTGTTCTCTTCACATTTAGGACTTTAACCAACCTGGAACTTATTTTGTGAGTGGTGTGAGCAGGGATCCAATTTTATGTTTTCCAGTAGGGGTATTCCATTGTTCAACATCATCTGTTAACAAGACCATTTTACCCTTTGTCCTGTCTCACACTCTCCTATATATTTTGATCTTCCCCTAGGCATTATTCTCTGTTCTATTATCTGTTGGTCTATTCCTGGGACCAAATCACACTATTTTAATTATTAGAGCTCCACAGTGCCTATTGATACCTGATAGGGTGAGGTTCCCTTCCTCTTCCTCTTTCTTTTTCAAAATTGTCTTGGCTATTCTGGGTTCTTTATTATTCCATGTACATTTGGGGATGACTCTGTCAAGTTGCCAGGAAAACCCCACTGCAATTGTTATTGGAAATAAAATGTATAGATTAAATTGGAAGGGCGTAGCCAGCGTTGTGGCGGTGAGGCTCCTCATCCATGAACATGGTTTGTTTCTGCTCTGGCTGTTTTCTTCCTCTCCTCTGCATTCCATGCCTTGCACAAAGGACTGCCTCGGAAATCAACCTCCAAACCCTTCACACTCTTCAGTGCTTAACTGAAATGCTTCCTCCTGCAGTAAGTCCTCCATGACAGACCTGCCTGTCAAGGCTCTCTCTGACCCTCTTAGAATACTTCTGTGTGCTCCATTTTTTGGACACTTAGCACATTGGATCTGATTGAGGGAACCTCTTTTGTGCAGTCTGCAGCTCCACCTAGTCTCTGAGCTTCTAAGAAGAAGGGCTGCATCTCATTGTCTTTTACCCCCAGTGGTGCCCAGCACAGAGCAGGTGTTGATTAGGATCTGATGATTGGATCCTATCGTCCAATAGGATGTTAGGGTCTCTTCCCCTTAAGGGAAGAGAAGTCTGTAGCAACAAATTATTCCTCATAGGAAACAACTGGTTTTGTGGGGAAAGGGCCTGGTGCTTAGTTTGGAGTCTCAGGGGAAGCATAGCTGGCTTGAAATCAGACAGATTTAGCTTTACGTGGTGGCTCTGCCATGTGGGACATTGGCCTCTCCAAGCAAGCTTTTGCCCATGTGTAAGTGGGGGATGATATTCTCAATCTCATAGGGCTATTGTGATTCTGAGTGAGACAATGTAGGAAATGCAGTGTAGGTGTTTTCTGCCTGTTCCCACTTCCCCAGTTTGAGGGGGTTCAGGAGTGAAGCCCTTCTTTTAGCTGGAGATCATCCACTCCGTCATCTCTAAGACCCTGGAGCACCTTTTCCAAATGTCTGAGCCACTGGCGCAAATGGATGCTGTTGTTATCTGCTCTGCCTCTGTCTCTGTCTCCTGCCCAGAACCCCTGCTGCTGTTCCCTCTCCCCATGAGCAGAGTCCTCGGCTCCCTGATGTAACTCGGGAAGATGCTCGGACCCTGTCTTCCCTGTTCTGCCTCCCAGCACCCAGGTCTCCCAGTGCCCCCCCCCTTGATCCTGAGGAAGTTGTTCCCAGGAAATGTCCTTTCCCTGTGTATTCCTCTTCCAGGGGGGCATCTTTCTCCGCCAAGAGAACTCAAGGGCAGTGTCCAGCTGGGACTGGACTCTACGGTTAAGTACCATGTGCACCTCTTGGAAGAGAGAATTTGGGGCTGTGGGGTGCTTCCTAGCTGAGCCTGGGATTTGGGGTGTGACAAATCTAGGTTCTGATTCATCCCCCGGTCTGTCCTTGGCTTTAGGCAGGTTGGCTGAACCAAGACTCAGCTTCCCCGTATGTACAATCCATGCACTAATCCTACCTCCCCAGACAGATGAGAAAACCAGAGGGGAGAAAAATGAATGGGATGCAAACAGTAGGTGCTCAGTATGAGGCTGGCCCTTCCCCAACAGGAGATGTCAAGCTTTCAGAGATGGGGAAAAAATGGGGGACGCAGGCAAAGATGAGGCAGAATTTATTCTTATTGTGGGTAAGTTCAAGAGTCAGGATGGAGACCACAGAGAGGCAGATCCCCAGGACCCTGAGAGGGACCACACACTAGAGTGAGGGGCCACACTTTTGCAAGTGCCAGGCCCACGGTGCCTCCATGACTGTGAGGATCCAGAGCCCAGAAATTGGGTAAGAGTGGGGTGGGGTGGGGAGGAAGACAGGATCCCCCCCCCAGATCGTGTTCTGACCATGTTTCCGACTTCCATAGGAAGGAAGAACAGCTCGGCTATATAGTAATATAATATATAGAGGTGTAGAGAGCTGGCCGCGGCACCTGGATGGGGCTGAGACTCCCCGAATTATTGCAGGAGGGAGAGGGGGCTCAGTGCTGGTGTCCCCGCGGGATAGCTGTGCTGGCTATGGGGAGGGGGGGCAGGGCTGGGCAGCTGGGCTCGCCACTCCCTCTGGGGCTGGCAGGGGGCACACGGTGGGGTTCCTGCTTCCCTGCCTGCCAACGGCCCCCGGGATGGGGCTTTCTCACCCTGGGTGCTTTTTATGTGCTTTGAAGACCATTTTTGCATTGTCAGGAGTGAGGAAAAAATATTCTGACATGGTAGAAAAGAGATATTTACATACCCTGGTGGGCCGTAAGGGGGGAGGTCAGTGTGAGAGGGGAGGGGCTTCCAGGGCACTTCCACCCCCAGCGCCCTTGTGGGATGGTGTATGGGGACAAGAGCCTTGGCAGGAGGCCGGAGCCCCGACTCTGACACTTGGTTGCAGTGCAACCTGGGACGGGGCATCACCCCTCTCTCCAGGCCTTAGTCTCCCCATATGCTACAGGAAGGGGTGGGCTGGGTGCTGAGAAGATAGGATCCTCTGGTCCCTGATCCTAGGCCTGGGGGACAAAGGGCAGGTGTCAGGGCTGGGCATTGAAAGGTTGGCGAAGGGACTTTGAGTGAGGAGACCTGGGCCGTGGAGGGAAGGCATCAGAGGCTAGAGGAGGCTGCTGAGCCCCCGGCCCTGGCCAGGCAGCCAAGCCCAGCTGAGGACATCTCATGTGCTCTGCCATGATGCCTCCATGAAGGCGGCCAGCCGGACTGACCGGGAACCCTGTTTTCCTGTTGAAGCAGCGGTGAGAGCCGGGTGGAGGCTGCAGGTGGCCTCCTCGGCTAGAGGGAGGACCCAGACCTGAGATACAGCCGGGGTGGGCTCACCCAGGCAGAGACGAGGGTGGGCCTGGTGCTGGTGCAGTTCAGAAGTGGCCCCTGGCTCCAGCCTCCAGGTGTGGGGGGACGTAGGGGTGAGCCTCTCCCCCGCCCCCATGGGTGCTGGACCTGGCGGTGTCACACTGAGTTCCCTGCTCACACACCTCCTCATTCATGACACATCATCCACCATCACCCACATGTGCCTCCAGCCTTAACGGATAAGCACACGCTCATAACATGCACACGTCCATGCTGAGACCCGAAGGGGTGGACACACTTGATCACACACTGTTCACATGAGATCCCATGACCTTGTGAGAACACCCCCCACCACACACACACATGCACGCACACAGAGGCAGGCGAGTGATGTCCCTGTTGGACTCTGTGACGTGGAGGCCCCAGGCTCTGGAAAAGAGAAGGTGCCTGCCCTGGGGGACAGGTGTCCTCACCAGGGTGGCCACCAAAGGCCCCTTCCCAGGCGCCTGACCCCTGATAACTCCAGGTCCTGTGGCGAAGCCTTCAGCTCCTCCAGCACCTGAGAGGAGGGCAGAGGCCTGGGGCCGCCCTGCCTGCTGCCAGCCCCTCACGTCCTCTGCCGCTGGCATGACCTGGGGTGGGCTTGGTGGCTGCCTGGGCCCTGCTGGCTGTACATCAGAGGTGCCGGCGGGGCCCCTGGGTGCTGGTCAGCTGGGCCCGCATGGTCTGAATGCTGCCCAGGATCTTCTTCTGGTGGCCCATGAGGGTGATGCCCAGGGCGCGCACGTCCCTGTGAAGGAAGGGTGCTGCTGGCCAGCTGGGCCTGGGAGGCTGGGAGCCGCGCACGCAGCCAGGGCCATGGATCTGGACCTGTAGCCTCCCCGGCAGGGGTCCCCCCCCCTGCCCCCACACGCATGGGGCCCCAGCCCCACCCATCACTCACTGGGCGTTCATGCGTAGCACCATGCCCAGAGAGGAGTATCCGCCCGCAGCGAAGTGGTCTCGGTACCGGCCCATGCGGATGGAGTCCAGCCAGTCCCCCACGGTGAGGCCCCCACCGCCACCGCTGCCCCCTCGGAGGTCAAAGCAGCTCCGGACGAAGGCAGGGGGTGGGCACCTGAGGCACAGGGGCTCTTGGTAAGTGGCCAGAGGGTTCGGGAGGCTGGACCCCCAGAAGAAGCAGGCTGAGGAAGGGGTTCGGCAGGGCAGGGGCCGGGGGCCCAGGCTGGGCCTGGTCCTAGTGTCAGGGCCAAACTGTCCCAGGGACAGATCTGGGGCAATACTGGGAGGCAGCTGGGCCTCAAGGAGCTGGGGTGGGCACAAGGCACCTGCTGACTGTGGCGGTGGCCCTGAGACTCTCAGGGCTGCGGATGAGCGCATCGAGGACACTGACAATCTGGGAGAAGCGAGGCCGCTGCGCCCGGTCCTTGTGCCAACAGTCGAGCATGAGCTGGTGCAGGGCGTGGGGGCAGCCCATGGGTGCGGGCAGGCGGTACCCCTCCTCCACAGAGCTGATGACCTGCAGGGGATCAGCGCTGGGCTCAGCCGTCCCTCCCTGCACCCTGAGGCTCCACCGCCCGCGGACCTGCCAGGGCTTGGCACTCACATCCCGGTTGGTCATGTTCCAGTAGGGCCGCTCCCCATAGGCCAGCACCTCCCACATGACCACGCCGAAGCTCCACACGTCGCTGGCCGAGGAGAAGGTGCGGAAGGCGATGGCCTCTGGGGCCGTCCAGCGGATGGGGATCTTCCCGCCCTGCGACGGACACACAAGAGTTGAGGGGCTGCCCAGGCCTGGCAGGGTGTCCCCCGAGCCGTCTGAGTCAGAGAGCTAAACACTGGGGTCCTGTTTTCCAGTCCAGAGGGACAACACAGCCCCCACCGTCCCAGAGCACCTGTCCTGAGGGAGGCCTCACAAGAGCCGCTGTGGAGACGAAGGAAGGAGGGAGTGAGACGCCTGGTACAAGCAGATGCTCGGCCAATACCAGCCACAAGCCAAGGGGGCTCAGGGGCCACAGCCTAGTCGTTTTCTAACTCTTCCTCTTCCTTCTCTTCCCCCACTTCCTTCTCCTTTCTCCTCCCTTCCCTTCTTCCTTCCTCCCTTCTTTTCCTCTTCCCTTCCTTCCTTTCCTCATCCCTTCCTTCCTTCCCTTCTTCCTTCCTCCTTCTGTCCTTCCTTCCCTCCTTTCTTCTTTCCCTCCCACCTTCCTCCCTCCCTCCTTTCCTTCCCTCCTTCTTTCCTTCCTTCCTGCCTCCCTCCTTCCCTCCCTCCCTCCTCCTTCCTTCTCTCCTTCCCTCCTTCCTTCCTCCTTCTCTCCTTCCTCCCTCCCTCCCTTCCTTCCTCCCTCCATCCCCCCTTCCTTCCTCCTCCACTCCCTCCCTCCTTCTCTCCCTTCCCTCCTTCCTTCCCTCCGTCCCTCCTTTCCTCCTTCTCTCCTTCCTTCTTGTCCTTCCTTCCTCCCTCCCTCCCTCCCTCCCCCACTCCCTCCCTCGTCCCTTCTCTCCTTCCCTCCCTTCCTTCCTTCCTCCCCCACTCCCTCCCTCCTTCCCTTCCTCCCTTCCCTCCCCTCCTCTCCTCTTCCCTCCCCTCCCTTCCTTTCTTCTTTCTCCTTCCTTCCCTCCTTTCTTTTCCCTCCCCCTTCCTCCCTCTCTCCCTTCTTTCCCTCCTTCCTCCCTCCCTCCTTCCTTCCCTCCCTCCCTTCCTTCCCTCCTTCCTCCCTCCCTCCTTTCCTTCCTTCCCTCCTTCCTCCCTCCCTCCTTTCCTTCCTTCCCTCCCTCCCTTCCTTCCTTCCCTTCTTCCTCCCTCCCTCCCTCTCTCCACTCCCTCCTTCCTTTCCTTCCTTCTTTCTTTTGTTGTCACAGGATCCTTTCTCCATGCGAAACCTTACCCAGAGGCTGTGGGACAGAGGCTAAGGGAGGGCTCCTATTGGGGCCAGGGTGAAAACTGGCCCCCATGCACTCAGCTCCTGCCTTTAAGGCTGCCCCTAAGGCACCTCTAGAGAGGTCCAAATCCCCATGGAATGTGTTTGAAAACAGCTGGGTTTTAGGCAAACTTTAGAGACAGATGTGGAGTCTGGGTACAATTCGGGGAGATTCCAACCCTCCTGAAGTCTCCTGGTGAGTGACTGTGGGGACCAGCCCTGGGGTCTCCCCTGGCCACCTGGTGACAGAGGAAAGGCAGGCAAGGCTGTTCCCATTTCCCAGAGGAAGGCACTGGCGTGAAGAGGAGAAACAGGATGTGCCCCAGGTTGAGGGCCACCCCGAAACTGCCAACTTCATTCAGCTACTTGCAGAATGGTTGGGCCCTGGGTGCCACCGGCGCCATCTCCCCACTCCCCAGTCTAGCCGGAAGGAGTGTGGGCGACGCACCGTGGTGGTGTAGGCAGCATCCGGGTCGTCCTCCAGCACCCGTGAGAGCCCGAAGTCAGACACCTTGCAGACCAGGTTGCTGTCAACCAGGACGTTGCGGGCGGCCAGGTCTCGGTGGACATAGCCCAGGTCTGAGAGGTAGCGCATGCCGGCACCCACTCCTCTCAGCATGCCCACCAGCTGCATGATGGTGAACTGCCCGTCGTGGGTCTGCAGGGGGACATGGCTTGGACTTCAGGAAAGCCCGGCGAGGCGCCTGGTCCGTGAACAGGAACACCTCCCATCTGTAGGATGCTCTCGAGTTGAGACGGTGCTTTGCAATTTGCCAAGTGCGCCACTACTTCTGAAGCACTTTGCAGTTAAGGGTTATTCTCCTGGTCTCATTTACCCTCACAGCAACCCTGCGAGGTACGTGGGGCAGCAATGACTGCTTACCCATTTTGTGGAACGAGAGATGGAGGCCCAGAGAGGTTAAGCTCTGTGCCTAAGAGCACCCAGCAAAGAAACTGTGGGCAGGAGCTGGGAATCCAGCCGTCTCCACCACAGCCAGCATGCCCCCCAGCTGGGTGGGGCCTGGATTCCCACAGAGGCACCCCCCTCAGCCTGTGTGCAGGGCAGCAGGATCCCATGGAGCAGAGGGACTTTCATGCAATGGGGGCCGAAAGGCAGTTCGACTGGCTGAACTCGAAGACCTCCTCCCTATACCTGCCTCCTGTCCCCCGGCCTGTGGTGTCCAAGCCAGGGAGGGGGCTTAGAGGGCTTTGCACTATCTCCCAGCACCCAGACTGGACCTCCCTCCCCAAGCCCATGCAAGAGGCAGGGGTGGGACACGCACCCTCAGGAAGGTGTCCAGAGAGCCGTTCTCCATGTACTCAGTCACAATCATTGCCAGGCGGCCTGGGCGGGCAGTAGGGAGAGGGTGGCTCTTGGTTTGGGGCTCAGGGCTGCTGATCAGAGACCCCAGGAGCATACCACCATCTCAGGACCTGTGCCAGCACTGGAAACCCCAGGGTGCCTTGGGTTTCCACTGGGGTCCCAGGCTCTGGGCACCCCGAGTCATTCAGGGACCTGAACCAAGAGGACAGGGTCAGGTGGGGCAGAGCAGGATGGATGAGGGGATGGACCCAGAGGCCTCTCCAGGCAGGAGGGGCACTGCAGGGGGAGGCTGTCTTTGCCCGGCACCTACCACGGGTGACGACACCCTCGAGGCGGATGATGTTGGGATGGTCGAATTGCCCCATGATGGACGCCTCGCTCAGGAAGTCCCGCCTCTGTCTCTCCGTGTAGCCGGCTTTGAGGGCCTTGATGGCCACGGGCACATCCCGCTGCCCTGGCACCCGCAGCCTCCCGTAGCAGACTTCCCCGGAGTCTCCTGCAGGCCCCGAGAGGGGCAGGTGTGGAGGGAGGGCAGTGGGACCCTCAGACTCCCCCAGCCTCCCAGGCCCTTGGACCCCCTGGGCTTGCCAGACCCCTGGGTCACACGCTCCCTCTGCCCTGGGTGCCCCCACCTTGCCCTGGGTGCCCCCACCTTGCCCCATGCTGGCCCCGCCCTCACAACCCCTGAGACTCACCAGAGCCGATGATTTTCTCGATGTGGATCCTAGAGGCCTCGATCTCCCGAGTGAAACTGCGGCCCGCCCGGCCTGGCTCCTCGTAGGTGTGGGGTTCCGCATAGAACTGGGGCTCTGGGAGCTTTCCCGGGGGGTGATGCAGAGGCAGGAAGACAGGTGGGGGTGCTGAGGGGCGGGAGGAGGGCCTTCAGTGGGGCCCAGGAGAGATTGCTTTTTCCTGACATTCCCTGGGCCTGGGATGGGTCTGGGGTGGGGTGAGGGGTGTCTCTGGGAGTCTCTGGATGTGGTAGCAAACAACACGCACCCCATAAGTATTTCCCAAGTGAAAGTGGGGTCTCTGGAGTCGCTCTGGGGTTTCTATGGGGCTGTGGAGTCTCCAGTGAGTTCTGGGCATGTCTGTCATTTTCTGGGGTCACTTTTACAGTCCTTGAGATCTTTCTAAATTGTTCTGGAGTAGGGATGTAGCAAAAATAAGTTTTTGCCACAAGGGTCAACTTTGATTCATTGAAAATAGTTTCTGGCTGGGCGTGATGGCTCATGCCTATAATCCCAGCTTTTTAGGAGGCCGAGGCGGGCGGATCACTTGAGGTCAAGAGTTCGAGACCAGCCTGGACAACATGGTGAAACCTCGTTCTACTAAAAATACAAAAATTAGTAGTGCATGGTGAATGCTTGTAATCTGAGCTACTTGGGAGGCTGAGGCAGGAGAATTGCTTGAACTCCAGAGGCAGAGGTTGCAGTGAGCTGAGATTGAGCCACTGCACTCCAGCCTTGGCAACAGAGTGAGACTCTGTCTCAGAAAAAAAAAATAATAAAAAATAAAAAATAATAAAATAAAATAAAAATAAAAAGTAGTTAAGGAGGAGTCTGAGGCTGCACCCAGGCCTGGTGGGAATCAGCACCATGCTTGATGCTGTCTGCCACGGGCACAGGAGTGGGGTGTGGAGGGAGGCATCTCCAGATTCGCCTTGTTGTCTGGGATCTCTACAGGATCCTGAAAATCTCTCCGTAGTAGGGATTCTTGTCCAAGAGTATATGCACTCCCACCCCGAAATCATACAAATGTGTGCCCTTCCCTGGGGAGAGGATCTCTAGCATCCTGAATGGGGTCTGAGAGTCCAGGAGGCATGAACGGCGCTGCCCTCTGGGGCACCAGGTCTCTGTGACACCCTGGAATCTGCCTCTTGGGCTCTGGTTTTTTCACTGGGCACCTTCCTCCTTCCCATCTGTGCCACCCCCAGTCCAGCACTGGGTCCCCCTGTGGCCTTCCCTCTGCCCCAGACCACCGGGCCCCTGCACTCACCCTGTCCATTCTGATAGTGCATCTTCTCCTCGTCCGAGTCCTGGAAGGCCTTGCTGTAGCCACAGTGCCTGCAGAGGAGGGCACCGCCCTGCCTGAGGCCAGGCCACCCCTAGCCCGGGACCTGACCCCAACCAGGGAACGAGTCATGGCTTCTCTCTTCATGCCCCTTCCCCTGACAGGTCAGCTCCTGCTCCTTACAAAGTCTGCAGGGGAGAGTCCCTGACTCCAGGCTCTCAACCCAGCTAAACTGTGACCGCCATGATGGTCACAAGCACTGTGGGATCCTCAAAATGCCCTCAAGTCCACCTGACCCTCTTGGCAAAGTCTACAATGCTGTTAGCCCCATGTTATATGAAACCACCCTTGGTGGGGGCATTGGGAGATGAGGCTTCTGTGGCCAACTACATGGATGACCTTGGCCAGCCCCTTCTCTTCCCTGGGTCTCCATTTCTCCATCAGTTAGATGATCCTTACAGTTCTCATTGTCTGGGATCCCAAGCCCACACACTATCCTGTCTCCACCTCCCTCCAAAATGGAGTGGGAGAGGACAAAGTAACTGAGAGTATGGGCTTGAGTTTGACAGACCTAGGCTCATGTCCTAGCTCTGGCATTTATCAGCTGTGTGATTCTGGCAAGAAGACTAACCTCTCTGATCCCCAATTTACTCACCTGCAAAGTGAGGTCAGAATCTCTACATCACTGGCATGTCACTAGGTTAAATGAGGTGGTGTGTTTGTAAGTGAGCCAGCCCCAGGCACACGGGGACCACCGGCTCGGTGGGGCTGGGGGCAGGCAGGAGGTACGGTGCTTGAGAGGAGGGGCTGGGTGTGGCTGGGCCAGACCACCCACCTCTTCTTGCAGATGAGCAGGAGCAGAAGCACCACCAGGCCCGTGATGAGCGTCAGGCAGATCCAGACAATGGTCCTGGTGTCATAGCGGGGCCCTGCAGGGGAAAGCCAGGGTTGGGGGACCAGGCTCTCAGCCCTGGCCTTGGGCCCAGGGGTCTGGCAGACCTCTGAGCCTGCCTGGCTGTGACCCTGGGGCCAGTGGGGAGCCCAGAGCCATGAGCCAGCCCAGAGTCAGGGCGCAGGCCAGTTCCTCCTCTGTTCCCACCCCACCCTCTACTAAGCTTCCTCTTCAAGTTCGTGAGACCTGGATGCCCAGCTTCCTAATGCTGGTGCCGCTGCTTCTTGTGGCTGTGGTACCGGAGAAGAGTCGCGTGTCCTCTGAGCCAATAAATGCCTGTCCTCCCTGTTATCCTGACAGTGACAACACGGAGTGTGCTGAGAGCTGTACCTTCAAGCCCCAGTAAACCCTCCCCACGTCCCTTCCAGAGAGACCCCAGCACTATCTTCAGTTTTCAGATGGAAAGAGGCTCAGAGAACTCGAGGAATTGACTTGAGGCCACACAGTACATGGGATGGAGGGCTCAGGATTCCCATCTGGGTGGTCTCCAGGGGGTGCCAGGCCTACAAGCACTGGAGGCACTCAGACGCCCAGGGAGCGCCAGGTGGGCGGTCACTAGCTCTGCCCTACCTCCACCACGCAGTGGGTGCACATACAGGAGACCCTGACTCCGGCTGGAGATTGGGGCAGGAGGAGAGTGAAAGGGACAGCCTCGAAGTCAGAGGGTCCCAAATGTGACAGTGCCTGGGGATCACCGAGGACTTGTTAAAACCCAAATGGCTGGGCCCACCCACAGAGTTTCTGAAGGGCTGGGGTGAGGACTGGGAATTCGCATTTTTGGTAAGTCCCCAGGTGAGACCGATGCTGCTGGTCCCAGACCCTGACACTCATCTCAGTACCAGCCATGGTGTGTGGGGGGCTGTCACCATCTCTGCCGCCTCAGGCGAGCGACCGTCCTTCTCCTAACCTCGGTTTTTCATCTGTGCAAATGCTGACAGAGGCCGGGTGCAGTGGTCCATGCCTGTAATCCCAGCACTTTGGGAGGCCAAGGTGGGAGATCACCTGAGGTCAGGAGTTCAAGACCAGCCTGGTCAACATGGTGAAACCCCATTTCTATTAAATACACAAAAAAATTAGGCTGGCAGCAGTGGCTCATGCCTGTAATCCCAGCACTTTGGGAGGCTGAGGCGGGTGGATCACAAGGTCAGGTGTTCGAGACCAGCCTGGCCAAGATGGTGAAACCCCGTCTCTACTAAAAATACAAAAATTAGCCGGGTGTGGTGGCAGGTGCCTGTAGTCCCAGCTACTGAGGAGGCAGAGGCAGGAGAATTGCTTGAACCTGGGAGGTGGAGGTTGCAGTGAGCTGAGATTGCACCACTGCACTCCAGCCTGGGTGGCAGAGTGAAACTCTGTCTCAATTAAATAAAAAACTCCGACAACCCCACTTGGTAGGGCAAGGAGAGCAGAAATCCTGCATTGGCACTGGCTCAGCCTGCACTAGCTCTCTCCTCGGCCACCCCCCGACCCCAGGGTCCTGGCACCTGGGCTGCTCCGCGCCCACGCCCCCTCCCTGCACTCACGGGGTTTCCCGGTCTCCACCTCCATGGCCTGGCTGAAGCGGCCACAGCCTGCTGAGGTGCGGGCTCGGACCTGGAACACGTAGCGGGTGCCCGGCTTGAGGCCGGAGACGGTGGCTCTGGTGGTGACGGCCTTGAGGGTGGAGTAGCTCTGCATCTCCTTGTCCTGCCACGGGACGGTGGTCAGTGGGCCCTGCCCTGCTGGCCCAGCCCCTCCCACTCCGTCCTGCCCGTGGTACCTTCTCGTAGTACTTGATCTCATACTCCAGGATGATGCCGTTCGGCTGCTCGGGCTCCTGCCACAGCAGCGAGACGCTGGTCTGCCCCGCCCGCTCTTGACGGATCACCACCACCTGGGACGGGGCTGGGGCGGCCAATCCCGTCAGATGGGCGGAGGGGAGACAAGGCGTGGCCTCTCTCCCAACCCTTCCCAGGTTCCACCTGGGGATCCTGGTTCCAGCCCTGCTCAGCTTCCTGATGGTCCTGCCCCAGCCCCAGGACAGCCAGCACCCTCCAGTTCTCCCAACAAATCGCTGGTGGCCACTTGGGGTCAGTCCCCTGGGGTTGGCGTGGCCTGGCATGGTCTGGGATGTTGGGGTTGGCTTGGACAAGAAGACGCTTGAGCCTCCCTCCCCAGCCCAGGGCCCGGCATGGACCAGCTGCTTGGGAGTGCTTGAGGAAGGAGGAAAGGTCAGGAGAAAGAAGTGTAGAAAGAATGGAGGAACTGGCCCCTCACTGCCTGGGTTTGGAGGGCATACCTGGGACAGTTCTGGATGCTGAGGGAAGGGGGTGAGCTGAGCCCCAAGTATTCTCCCAGTCACACTTGGTTGCCCGCCCACCCCTCCCTCCTTGACGGCGTCACCCATGCCTTTCTTCATGCATCTCTCCCTCCTGGCTCAGGTGCGGTCAGCCCTGTGGGGAGGCTGCTAGGAGGTGTCAGACACAGCCACGCCACAGCCAAACAGAGGGAACTGCCCTGTCCTCCCTGCCCCTCCAGCCCTCAGGCCTCCTCCTCCCCTCTGCTCACCCCGAGTTCTGACTCTCTGCCCTATGTGACTAAGTCTTCCCTCATGTCTGGGCATCCCCAGCACAACCGGGAGCTCCCTGGGGGCAGGGACTGCACACAGTAGGTGCCCAATAAATGCTGCTGAGGATTCTGGCATGAGAAATTAAGAAGCAGCTCCAGAGTTGCACTGGAAGGGTGTGGTCCAGGGGAAAGCCCACCAGTCTGGGAGCCAGGCGTGGGTTCGGGACTTGGCTCCCTCTCTTGCTAGCTGGGACCCTGGGTGAGTCACTTGCTGTCTGCGGACACCAGGTCCCCTTCTATAAAGTGAAGCTAGTGAGCACCACTTGCCAGGGGGAGGGGAGGATTCGATGAGGCCACTGTTTGCAAGGGACACACAGGGTGTGTCTCTTAAAAACCAAGGCAGGAGGTGCTGTGGGATGGGGGCAGACAGAGTGAGACCAGGGCCCAGAGCGGGAGGGGAATGGGGTTCGCGTCCGAGAGGGCTCCAGGGAGGAGTTGGTTGTAGAGAAGTGGTGATGGTGAGGCAGGAGGGGCAGGTGGTCTTTGAGCACAGTCCTCCACATTTGCTTAGAGCTGTCGCTTGATCCTCTAGGACTCCTGAGTGCCTATCACATGCTGGGCACGGGGCTAGGAGCCGGGAACTCTGCAGTGCCCAAGACATCCCTCTAGGAGCTTCTGTCCCAGGAAAGGAGACAGGGCGTCCAATAAACAGGAGAATGGGGGTTCTTTTGGTGCTGGGAAAGGTAGGAAGGGGTGCTGTCTGTGATGGAGAAGACCACTGCAGGGCCCGGAAGGGCACTGGCACGTTTCAGCTGAGGTGGTCGGGGGAGCTTCCAGGGCAGAGGAGCCAGGCATAGGAATGTCAGGGGAAGAGTGAGTCATTCCGAAGGAGAAGCCAGGCCACGGCCTAGCAGCAGGGAAAGACCCAGTGTGTTCAAGGAGGGGGCACCGGAGACCATCATGGCCAGAAGAGAGTGAGCCAGGGAAAGAGGTGCTCTGGAGAGGCAGGCAGGGGTGAAGCTGTGTGGGTCCACAGGCCATGAGAATGTCTGAATTGCATGTGCGCTCAGCCTAGGCTGTGAAGGGCTTTGAGGACAGCTTGTTCTCATGTATTTTCATCTAAAAAACTTGGGGGGCGGTGGTGCTGGGCATGGTGGCTCATGCCTGTAATCCCAGTACTGTGGGAGGCTGAGGCAGGAGGATCACTTGAGCCCAGGAGTTTCAGATCAGCCTGGGAAATATAGGGAGACCCCATCTCTACAAAAAAAAAAAAATCACTGGGCATGGTGGTGTGTGCCCTTGGTCAGCTACTTGGGAGGCTGAGGTGGGAGGATCACTTGGGCTCCGGAGATCAAGACTGCAGTGAGCCGTGATTGTGCCACCACACTCCAGCATGGGTGACAGATAGAGACATTGTCTCAAAAAAAATTTTTTTTGTAGAGATGGGGTCTTGCCATGTTGCCCAGGCTGATCTCAAACTCCTGGCCTCAAGTGATCCTCCCGCCTTGGCCTCCCAAAATGCTGGGATTACAGGCGTGAGCCACCACACCCAGCCCTCACTTCTATTTTTAAAGCTCACTCAGGACTGGTGTGGAGAATGTCTTGTGGGGGTGAGGCAAGAGGGGTCTCCTGTGGTGGTCCAGGCATGGACTCGTGGGGGGTGGAAGTCAGTTGGTCATTTTGAAGGGAGGTCCCTGGGGCTTTAGGGGGGGATGGATGTGACATGCATGAGAGTCAAGGATGACAGCTTGGGTCTGGAGGTGCCATGTCCTAGGGCGGGGCAGGTGCAGGTGTGGCAGGGTTGTTTGTTTTTCACATAACCGAATGGAGACAGGAGTGGGCAGCTGGGTCCTAGGGGAGAGGTCTTCGCTGGTGACCGCGAGTTGGGGGTTGTTAGCACAAAGGTGGAATTCAAAGTCATGGGCCCTGAAACAGCCGCCCAGAAAAGATGGATCTGGGCACACAGGAAAGAGAGGAGGGCCCAGGACATTCCCAGGGACCCATGGCCTTTAGAGGCCATTTAAAGGAGGTGGGGCTACAAAGACAGAGAGGGACAGGCCACACAGGTCAATGGAAAATGGGCGTGGGCTGGGACACACGAGCAAGAGAAAAGTGTTTCCAGGAGGAGGAAATGAAAGGGGGAAGAGGCGCCCATGGATGTGGCCACGCAGGGCTGCTGATTTCTGTGAAGAGGTGAGGAAAGACATGGAGAAGTCCCGCAGAGGAGAGGAAGAAGTAGATACGCCAGGCACGGACAGAGAGGGTCGTATGGGAAGAGAAATGGTCTGGTGACCGGAGGGGAAGGCAGGTTCAAGGCAGGGTCTAGTTTCCTCTTTAATGTTGGGGCATCCCGGATGCTGCCTGAATGCTGTGAACTTCTCTTGCTCTCCCCTCCACTTGGGACCAGCCTGCCAGGGGCCTCAGGTGCCTAGAGACAGGTGGGCCAGGGCTGGGCTCTACCACGGGGCACATAGCTCACTCTCTCTCTGTGTTGCCAGCACCTGGCACCACACTTGGCATTTAGTGGGTGTTCCACGAGGGCTGTCGAATGAGGGAATCTTCTGAAGGGCTGAGGCCCTGGCGTCAGGGAGCAGCATGCCCTAGATTCAGAGTGGGGGGACCTGCTTCACTTGGGAGTGACACAGACCTGGGTTTGAGCCCTGCCTCTGCCACTTCCTATGTCAGGTGGCCCTGGGTGCTCTCCAGGCCTCAGTTTCTTCCTCTGTGACGTGGTGGGCATATTGTCTGCGAGGCCAGGGCTGTGTGGTTTTGGGAGGAGATGGTGGGTGGGGGCCTGAGGGTCTTGGGCACAGGTGAGGGTGGCTGTTAATAGGAAGCTGCCCTAGGAGGGCTCTTGGGTCACGCTGTCACTTGACGGGCAGGGTCCTCCAGAGTTTGGGAAGAAAGAGGTTCCGGGGGTGAATTCAGCCCACCAACTGGCCAGAAACTGATAGATAAACTACTGTGGTCCAAGCCAGTGCAGCCAAGTCTATCCCAAGGGCAGCTGTAGCAGCTGTTCTGGAAAATGATCATCCGAGTGATTTTATTTTTTAATGACATTTATTGAGCATTTACCACGGGCCAGGTGCTGGGCTAAGCAATTTCATTCCTCTCATTTAAGCCTCCTGAGAGGACCTCAGGCAGGTACTATTATTCCCATTGCACCAGGGAGGAAACTGAGGCACAGAGAGGGAAAGTTCTGGAACCTAGGCTTTCGACGGCCACACTAGCCTGCCTCTGAGCTTTTGGGATTTCTCTTACTTATAGAATGTGTTCCACTTTTCTAAAGGCAATGAAGAGCCTCCAGCTCTGGGTCCTGGTGAGGAGCGCAGGGCCAGAGAGGCACTTGCCTAAAGGCCCACAGCACGTCCCCGGCAGAGCTCTGATCCCTGGATGGGTCTGAGGCAGGGGAAGCTGGGGGACCAGGACGCTGCGGGACGGAGTTTCTCCGCCTACCTGCCTGGTTCGTGGTGATGTTGACCACAGCGGCCCGGCGGGGCTCGGGGCTCAGGTCGGACACGCCATTGACGGCCTCGATCCAGAAGGAGTAGTTCATGTGGGCCAGCAGGTTGGCCACCAGCAGGCTGGCCTGCACCAGGCTTGTCTGCTGGGGCACAAAGCGGGTGCCGCTCCCACATGCCTCGCAGCGGCTCAGTGCCCAGGGGCAGCGGCGGCACACGGCATTGTAGGTGATGTCACTGCGGCCACCTGGGTCCAGGGGAGGGGCCCACTCCAGAGTCACTGATGTCCCATTCACACTGGAGATCAGGTTCACTGGTGCCGAGGGTGGCCCTGAGGGCAGAGGATGACAGATGGGGCAGTGGTTATTTATTTGGGCTGTCCTGTCTTCCTATCATCAGACCTGGGGCTCCCCAAGGGAAGGGCTCCCCATCATATTTAGGGCTCCTTAAGGATAAGGTCCACATCTACTCCATCCTCTGTAGCCTCCCCAAGGGCAGAGTTTGTGTCTCTGCCATCAGACCGGGACCACAATGTCAGAGTCTGGGCACAGAACCCTGGGACCCCATCCCCCCCACCCATCAGGACCACCATGATCCAAGGGTCTGGACATCCCACTGCTCACCCAGAGTGGGAGAGAGACCGCACAGTCCCGGGGGTGCCCACAGCAGCCACCCTGTGTGTAAGTGACCCAGGTATTTGCAGCCACATCTATTCCTTGACCCTTCTGTGCCGGATCCGATACAAAATGCCACTGAGCACGCACTGTGGAATTAAGTGGAGGCCCCCAGAAGCCCACCGTGTATCCCCATGGCTGTGTGCACCAAGCAGCCGCTCCCCAACCCCGGGCATGGGAGCCTCTGTCTGGGCAGCACAAAGACTTTGGAGAGAGAGGGGTGACCCCTTGGTTGAGGAGACCAGGACGTGGGGCTGGGGGTCTGAGGGGCTGGGGTGGGGGTTTGAGCCAAGAGGGCATGGGGGTCTGTGGGGACCCCTGGCCTCAGAATTCCAGTTCTCAGAATTCCAGGCAGAGAATCTTAAATCTTCAGAAAATAGAATTGTAAGATCTTGGAATCAGAATCTTACAATTTGAAGAGAAGAGAATTTTTAACATCGGAAGGGTATAGAATACTAAAAGCTCAGCCTTTACGATCTTAAGCTTTCCAGAACCTAAAGGCACTGAACTGTGGGTTTGGAAAGAAACCAGAGTCCAGCCAGCTTCACGCAAGTGTCCATGACCTGGGGCCAGACTCGACTTGCCTGAGGTGCCCACGCTGTCACCTGGCCACCTTTTCTGCCCCAACAGGTCCCACATGTGGAAAATGCACAGATCTGGGCAGGGCAGTGGAGGGAGGGTGGGTGTGTGTGTCTGTGTGTATGTGCACAAGCATGTGGGCATGAATGCACCTGGGCCCTCGCCTGCCATGTGCAGGGAGGCTGGGGCTGGGTGGTGATGGATGTATGGGAGCGGGAGATGGGGGCTGATGCTTGGGCAGATTCAGAGCAAAATCAGAACAGTCTGAAGTGCCTCTTGCCCTACCACAAGAGCCCAGGGTTGGCAACTGGGCTGGGCTGAGCAGGCTGTGGTCCCTCCCCAGGCCTGGAATGGGAGTATGAGTGGCCCGTTAGGACACATGAGAGGAGAGAATCCAGGCGCTGCATCAGCAGAAGGTAGGACAGTCACGCAGCCCTGCAGGCATGGGTGCAGAATCCCCCCATACCTTCAGGTCCACAGGGCACGTGCACATGCAGCCACACCCTCTCCAGGCACATGCACCCTTGCAGGGCCAGGTGTGCACACGCACACACACACGTGCTGAGCTCACAAGACACCCTCATTCAAGCTTTACAAGGACTTCTGAGTCCCCTTCAGGTACCCAGATGTACACACACACACACCTCCTCCTAAGAATCCTTAATATATGTGACGAATCCTTTATATATGTGAGCTCAACTACACGTCACACATTTACATGCAGGCATCCAAACACGATACAGGCGTCGTCTGTAAGAGCAGCTGCTCACACAGACACACGCTAACACACAATCACTGCAGGGCCCCAGGGCATACACAGAATCAGATATTCGAACTCCATGGGTACACACACATATGCACACACACCATACACATGTAAGGCAGCTCTCAGCATTCAGCAGTTCCAACAAGTTCATCAAAGATGATGGTGATGGAAGGGTTGCTGCCCTAACCCTCACCCTCTCCGCACAGGCGAGCACCCTGGCTTGCCCACCTGGCCCCCAGGACATCGGCATCGCTGCTAGATCAGAAGATGACAAAAACTGCCCGATGTGGGGAAAGAAGTGAGGCCAGCTCCATTCTGCCCTCCAGTGTAGGTGACACAGGACAGAGGCTGGGAGCCCAGAGAGGTCTAGGCCACCGTGGAGGGATCAGAGTCACCCCCCCCACCTCAGACTGGCCTCTGGCTCAAGAGAGCCACCCGCCCCTGCCCCACCAGCAGAGAACTGGCTCTCTGAGGCCTGGAGGACCAAACACAGGGGCCCGGCCCAGTCTTGGGCTCAAGGGTACTGGCATCTCGGAGTGGTACTCACGGGTGCAGGCTGAGGACGGCGGGTCCAGGGCTGCACGGTAGTAGCTGAGGTCACAGTGGCAGGCTTGGGCGGCTGGAGCTGCGGAGTGGCTGTGGGGAGGGCAGCGGGCACACAGCTGGTCCCCAGGGGCTGACTTGTAGAAGCCCAGCTCACAGGCTGTGGAGGAGAAGGCGGCTGCACATGAGCCAGCAGGGCCACCCTGGCTGGCCTTGGGGACCGCTCACACTGTGGCCCACAGCTTCCTGGGGGGTGCCCCAGAGGGATGGAGGTGCAGACCTTCACACTGCCCAGTGCTGCCCTCATTTGCAGAGGGCAGAACTGAAGTGCAGAGGGGGCCTGTGTCTTCCACAGGGTTCCACAGCCAGTCAGGGCAGAGCTGAGGTTCAGACCCTGACATGGGAGTCCCAGCCTCAAAGTGAGCCCCACCCCTGAGCATCTCCAAATTCCCCAGCCCTCCTCTAATTGACCCCTCCCCCAGGCCCTGTCTCCAGCTTTAGGGGTGGAGATGCTGTCCTTCTCTCTTTTATGGGACACTGGTTCTTACGTGGGACGCCAGCCTAGGGGCCAGGGCCATGGGGCTGAGGATCAAATGCCCCGGAACTGACTTGGGTGGGATGAGGAAGCAGGCCAGGGATGGGGGTGCTGGGAATGCGACTAGAAAGGGGGGGGACACCTGGTAAGACCCATTGCTCCCAAACACAGGCAGACATGGAGCCACCTCCATAAAAATACAGATTCCTGGCCCCACCACAGACAGCTGAGTTAGAAGAGCCAGGGCCGGTACCTGGGGTCTGTTTTACAAGCCCCCATGGGAGGGTGACTATCCAAGAAGCGCAGGCTTCTCCCCTCCCAGGCCCACACTGTCACTGTCCCCGTCACTGTGGCTGGGACTGACCCTCTCTCCAGCCACTGCCACACCCTACCTCATCTCTCACCCACAGCAGCCTGCAGACTTGGCTTCCAGCCCTGCCTCCCCCCACCCAGCTGCCTGCGTGATCATGCATTCAGTCAACCACTGTTCATGAGCACAACTCTGGACCAGGCCTGTTTGGGCCTTGGAGGGCTGTGAACCAGAGCCACTGGCTCTCAGCTGGGATCACTGCTAGGAGGGAGGGAGAGAACAAGGGGGCTAAGGTGATGGAAGGGTAAATGGTGGGAGGAGCTACTTCCCAGAGGAGGAGATGATATTTGAGTTGTGGCCTAAAGAATAAGGAGTCCACTGTGCAGGGAGGGGGATACCCTAGGTTGAGGGAGTCTCCAAAATGCACATCTCACTCAGTCACTGCCTGTTTCATGCCTCACAGGCTCCCCAGGGCTTAGACAATGAAACCTGGTGTTCAAATCCCTCCCTGCCCAGCCAAAACCCACTTGGAGCCTTGTTTAGTGCTGCCCCTCACCCCCATCCTTAGGCCAAACTAAAGCACTGGCCGATCCCCACACCCAGCAGTCTGATTCCTGCCTCGGGGCCTTTGCACAGGCTGTGCCCGCTTCCTGGGCTGCCTTTTCTCCTCTGTCCACCTACTGAGCTCCTCTTTTAAGATTAATTTTGACTGTCCCTTCTGGAACTCTAGACACACGCGTGCGCACACACACACACACACACACACAGAGAAACGACCATTCCCCGCCCTGCTCCTGCGGCCCCTGCTTGGCCTCACCACCTGCAACACTATGGCTGTACTCGCTTGTCAGTGCTGACTCTCCTTCTAGACTGGGAGGCCCCCGTGGGCAGATCCTTGCAAACAGAGTACGACTCCCTTATTCATCTCAATGTCCCAGAACCTGGTCCAGTGCTAGCCCTGGGCAGATGCTGTTAAACTCCAGGCAGGAGTTTTCAAATTGAATGGATCCCACCATTATCTGCTCTGGGCAGAGACCCCAGAGGTTCAGGTGGGCCAAATGCCACCCAGCCAGGCAGCTCCCGGCTCCGTCCATGGAACTGAAGTCCTTTGCAACAGGGACCACTGGGAAGCTCACTGTGGTTCTCTCTCCACTAAATCCTGTTCTGGAAAACTCAGTGCCTGAGAGAACCTTCAATTACAAAGACATCAGGCCACTGCAGAGCATTTCTTCTCTGGATGTTGATCGTATCTCTTTATTACAAAAGCTAAAACCAGGTTCATTTGTAAAATTCTACAAACTTGAGAGAAAACCTGGAGTCAGGAGAAATGGTAACGCCCTGAAGTTGCTTCATACTCTAGAAGGCTGCAGAGCCAGAAAGAGCTTGTAAGTTGCAGAGTGGGGGAAAATACGCACCATTGTTGCAACATCTTTCCCTCCCCTCCAGAGGATCCCAAGAGGGCTCTGGTCTGCCTGGGGGCTGAGCTCAGGTCTAGGAGCTCGGAGTCGTGAGGAGTCTTGACTGACACACTGTGATCTCGCCTCCTCTTCCCAGAAGCCCCCCGGGAGGCTCAGTCCTGGGGCACAGCCTTGGGCACAGGCTCCTTCTGAGCCCCGGGGGCCGCTGGGGGTGGCATCATCAGAAAAGGGCTTTGCATTTTGTCAGCAAATATTTGTTGAACCTGTTACTGAGCTGAATGACAGTAATCCTCACTGTAATGATCCAATCCACAACGATTAGCATCTCAGAGACCATTTGCTTCTTCCCTCCCTCATTTATTCCTTTCCCCAACATTTACTGAGCTTCTACTATGGACCCAAGAGAAGTAAGAGCTGGGCCTGCTCTTAGGGAGCTTCCACGGCATTGGCAGACGGACAGGCAAAGCCTCATGGCGTGATGCGGGGCCTGAGGGAAGCCAGCACCACGGCTGGCCCTGCAAGTCTCTGACCCTTTCCAGGGCCCACCTGGTCCTTGTCAGGCCCGAGCAGAAGCTCGGGTGTAGCACCTGGGTTCCTGTCCTCGTCTAACCCCCTTTATCTGAGCTCAGTGACATTAGGCAAGGTGCTGGAAGTCAGTTTCCTCGTCTTTAAGGTGGAGATCATAATTCTACCCACCTTAGAGGGAGATGGCAAGCATGACATGAGTGAAGACACATAAATTCATGCCAGGGCAGTGCCTGGCACTTGTTGTTATAACAATTTGATGTAGTTGGAATTCTTACAATTGTTCGACAGAAGAGGAAACAGAGGCTCAGGGAGCCTGAATGCCTTGCCCCAGGTTCCCAGCAGAGCCAGAATGTGCAGTCAGGCGGGGGAGCCTCTGGAGCTATGGCCTTTCCCCCCGTCCTCCCAGCACCGTCCCAGAGCTGAGAGATGGCTGCGCCGCTGTGGCTCACCAGTCGGCAGTTCTCACACACTCGGCTAATACCCATATGGCTATAATGTGTCAAGGCCAGATTAATCCACGCAATGAAAATAAAATAATCTTTAATAAGAATACTAATCACCAGGCCTCAGGGAGCCCAGAGACCTGGAGGCTGGGCCGGGAATTAATGGCTGAGACAGATGGAGTGGCTCTGGGCTGGGGCCCGGCCCTGCCTGTCGACCCAGGGTGCTTCCGGAGCCTGCACGTGCCCGGGTGTTGGGCCGCGAGCCAGGAGGGGCTCCTGACCCTGCTGAGGGCACCTTGCCCAGGCCGCCTGTCAGGCCAGCAGCTGCCTGTGGCCCTGGCCACCTCTCTGCTCTCCCCCGCAAAGAGCCGGAGATTTGACAAATAAGGTGTCCGCTGGTGGACAACCAAAGGAAATTAATTCTAAATCAGATTTTAAACACAGTCAGGAAGGCAAAAGAGCTCACTGTTCCTGCTCCCCCTCCGAAATGAGACTCTCTGATATTTATAGAAAGATGATTAGGGCCGCGAAGGGTGATTTATATTCTGCGTCCAGGTGACAGGAAGGACAGCAACCAGGACTTCAGACTCTGAGCTGCTGCTCCGCTGGGTGATGCGCTGAGAGGCCCTTCCTCTTTCTGGGGTGAACCAGGGTGCGGGGGGTGCTGGGAAGTGCAGTCTGGTGTGGGGAGGTCACTGGATCCGGAGTTGTGGAGTGTGGGGAGCTTCCTCTGGGCAAGGAGTTGGGAGATGTGAGATTCTATCAACCACCCCTCGCTGTGTGCCCTTGGGCTAGTCACTTCACTTCTCTGGGCCTCCAATTCCCCAGTGGTAAACTGGACGAACCCCACATGGCTCTGACATTTTTCCATGGGTCTCTTGAGGTCTGAGTGCAATCTAAGCAAGGCCTCTAAAGAGCCATGTGACCTGGCGGGTCCCTTATCCCAGGCTATACTGTCTTCTGCAAAATCAAGTACTGCCTGGCCACCTTCTGAGGGTACCTCTAAGGGCAAAACCCAAGGCAGGGAGGGCAGCTGTTGAAGGGGGCCTGGCCCCTGCTGTGGGTCTCAGGCTCTCAACCCCTGCTCCTGTCACTAGAAGGACAAGGGCTCAGGACTGGGCAAGCTGAGACCCCCTGACTCCACGCCCTTCCTCTCCTTAACTGTTTGCTGAGAGAACTGCCCAGAAGGGATCAGGATGTTCTCAAACCAGGCAGGGGCCCCATGGACCTCAGCAGGTCTCCTGAAGACTCCCTCAGGCTGGGCAGGGGCAGTCCCAGATTGCAGAAGACATCTCAAGTATCCCAGGAAAGGTACCCCACTCTGTTCCCAGCCCTTCCTTTGCCCCAGGCCATCCACCAAGGAGCCGGGCAGCTCCAAAGAGGTCAAGGGCTTCTCCAGGGGTAGAAAGGGGGACCAGGCAGGGCTCTTGGACCTGGCTCCCATTTGTGAAAGGCCTTAGTTTGAGACCCGTGCTGACCTTCCCAAATGAGGTTACGCAGCCAAAGAAGCCACCAACGGGGCTGAGAAATGTCTTTCCTTGTGCGACTTAAAACGGGCTTTCCGTTCCCAAATCTCACTGCCTGCAGTGCACTATGAATTAATATTTTTTATAAAACCTGTAATTATCTTGCAACTGGCATAATTACGTTGTATTATTATTTAAATGTAAAATTCAAAATATGCTGCAATTCCCTAACCCCACTTTGGCATTTCTTTTTATTTGTTATTAATGTGGCAGCAGTGCCAGGAAATAGGAGTGGCCTTGGCCTCTCCCAGCCCCCGTGAGGTCCTGCCACTCAGGCCCTGGGGTTTCCACTCAGAGCCCCACCCCTGATGTGCTGAGAAAATTGGGCAAGACATATCCCCTCTCTGGGCTCCGCTTCCCTCTTCTGCCACACAGGGAGACTGCAGCGTTACCTGAGACCTCCAAGCGAGGTCTTGACCCCAAAGACAGGAGGGCAGGTCTTCTTCCTACAGACAGATGTGGTTCAGTTCACCTGGGACAAATAATTGGCATATTTGTACTCGCTGGCTAAATCCAGACTTGGGGACGGTGGCCGACCCTGAGTGCGTATGCACCGGCCAACCAGCCAGATTGTTATGACTTATGCTGTACCAGTTGCTAACCATCCATCCGAATGCTACCCCAGGGAGGAGGGAAGTGGGGCTTTGCAGAGGGCTTTGTGCACAGAGGAAGCAATTGAAGGTGCTGGAGTCAGGCAACCTGGGATCAGATCACTACTCTGCTACTTAAGTTGAGGGACCTCAGTTTTTCTTATCAGTAAAATGGGACTATAATACTTATCTTAAAGGACTGTTGTAAGGATAAGAAATTGCTAAGTCCCCAGAGGCAGGGACTCCCTGTACCTGTATCCCCAATGCCGGGACACAGTAGATGCTCAGCAGAATGGATAATTATTACATCAAAGACGAAAAATCATCACTAAGGTCCTTCATTAGCCCCACCTGAATGAGGGGAGGTTTGGCGCAGCTCTGGCGGACAAAGCAGCCTGGGGCAGGCTAGGGAGACGCTAAAAGCCTGTACCTGGCTCAGAGCAATACAGACCTGTCTTCAGGCTCCAGCTCTCACTAGCTGTAAGGCCTAAGCAGGTAACACTACCTCTTACACCTCAGCTTCCCCATCTGTAAAATGGAATTGTGATACCTGCCTTGCTGCAATGAGCAAATGAGCTGGTATGTGATGCGCCCCGCTATGAGCTGTGAAGGCAATAGGGGTGTTGGTTGTTTTTCTTCCCAGTGCAAAGCTGACACACAGGGCTGTCTGTGATAGTAACCATGAGAGCTTGTGGCCTGGGGAGCCTGGCAAACCAGGCTGCAGAGGGCAGAACAAATCCAGAAATGGGCAAATGCCACAGAAGGTGCTTTGGGGTTTAGAGCTCGGGACAGGAGAAGACTCATAGAAATTGGGGATGTGAAATGAGATTTCTTAAGAAAACCAGAGAGCGAGTTGGACGTGGTAGCTCAAGACTGTAATCCCAGCACTTTGGGAGGCCGAGGCAGGCGGATCACTTGAGGTCAGGAGTTTGAGACCAGCCTGGCCAACATGGTGAAATCTTGTCTCTACTAAAAATACAAAAATTAGCTGGGCGTGGTGGCGGGCACCTGTAATTCTAGCTACTCGGGAGGCTGAGGCAGGAGAACCGCTTGAACCGGGAGGCGGAGGTTGCAGAGAGCTGAGATCACCCCATTGCACTCCAGCCTGGGCAACAAAAGTGAAAACTCCGTCTCCAAAAAAAAAAAAAAAAAAAAAAAAAAAGAGAAAGAAAGAAAACCAGAGAGCCTCCGGGAAGGGCTTCAAAGGGCCTAGTGGCTGCAGGGAAGATCCTGGCCCCAGAGATCTCTGGGCAAGACGGCTCCTAAGTGGAGCCAGCTGGACTCCATCCCCACCTGTTATCACCTGAGGCTGTCAGCCTATGTCATGCCCAGTCCTATTAGCGCTCAGGGGCCTTTCCTGCCTGCCTGCTGGGGGATGGGTGATGAGGACTAAAGGTCCCTCTCACTGTGGCCCCAGGGCCTGTATAGTAGCAGCAAAGGGCTAGAAGCATATTCCCAGCAGCTGACAAGGGCCCCGTTCCAGTTTTCACTAAGGGTATCTGGGGACAGGCTCTTGTCTCTCTGATCCCTGCATATAAACATCCTCCTCCCTTTCACCTCCTCTGTCCAGGGGATCCAATGATCTCAACAGCCAGGCTTCACTGTGCCCGGGGGGCTGAGCCACCATGTGCCCAGCCACTCATGAGACCAAAGAAAACGACGGAGAGAAGCCTGGCCAAGACCAGGAACAGCTGGACACCTGCTGTTTGTCCACACAAGCTTGCTTAGTGTTCCCCACTCTTGGGGTGCCTGGCTGCACAGACTCCCCCACATGCACACACACATGCGCACACCATGCAGACATACACTCACGTATACATGCATGCACGCATGCACACATACACTCATGCACACATGCAAACACATGCACACATACATACACTCATGAACACATGCACACAGTGCACACATACACTCATGCACACATACACACACGCATACATACACTCATGCACACATGGACACATGCATATATACACTCATGTACACATGCATGCACACATGCATATATACACTCTGACACATGCACGCACATGTACACATATACTCACATGCACACACATGCATACATACACACACATGCACACAGGTACACATATATTCACGCACACATGCACACACATGCATACATACACTCTTGCACATATGCACACACACATGCACACATACACGTACACATGCACACATACACATGCACACATGCACGTACACATGCACACACATGCATACATACATGCACAAATGCACACACATGCATACATACTCTTGCACATATGCACACACATGCATATACACATGCACACATACACTCACACACATGAACATACACATGGACACACATGCATACATACACACATGCACACATAAACGCACATGCATACATACACATGCACACATGCACACACGGACACACGGACACGTGCATATACACACATGCATGCACACATGCATATACACACAGGCATGCACATGTACACATACATGCACACACGCACACATACATATGCCCACACGTACACATACATTCACACACATGCACAAATCCGTACATACACTTGCACATATGCACACATGCATATACATACACACACAGGCACACATACACTCATGCACAAATGCATACATACACTCACATGCACACACATACACATACACACATGCACACACGCAGACATACACTCATGCACACATGCACACACGCATTCATGCACACATGCAGACACTAACAAATGTGCACACTCACGCACACATGCACGCATATGCACACATGCATAATACACTAATGCACTCATGCACACATGCACACACTCATGCACATGCACACACATGCATACACTCGCACACATGCACACACGTACACATACGTACACATGCAGACATGCATACACTCATGCAGACATGCATACATATACTAAAGCACGCACACATGCACGCACACATACACACATGCATACACTCATGCACACATGCATACATATGCACACAGGCATAGACTCATGCACACGTACACATGCACTCATGCACACACGGGTATACAGACACACACATGCACACATACACACATGCACACTCACACGCACACACTCGCACGCACACACATGCACGCACACACATGCACACATACACTCATGCACACACGCACACATACACACATGCACACATGCATACACTCACGCACACATGCATACACTGACGCTACATGCACACACATGCATACATACTCATGCACACATGCACACACATGCACATACATACACATGCACACATGTACACATACACATGCACACACAGGTGTACATGCACACATGCACACATACGCACATGCACACACATGCATACACTCGCACACATACACTCACGCACACATACACTCACGCACACATACACACACATGCACACACTCATGAACACAGGCCCACACAATGCATACATACGCATGCACACATACATGCACACACGCACACATGCACACACATGCACACATACACTTACGCACACACGCACACATGCACACACACACTCATGCACACCACCTGGGCCTAGGCTCCCTCGTCTGCATGCCTTGCTCCTGCTCCGACACAGGAACCCAGCAGCACACCTATGGGTACAGCTGCCACCCTAAGTCATGGCCCAGGGGCTCTCTTCTCACTGTCCTCCTCCACAAGGCCCTTGCCTGTCTTCTCACACAGGTCCCTGATAAGATCCCCCTGAACAGAAGCAGCCTGTTCAGGGCCCCAGGGACAGGCCCAACCCAGACTGTACTCCCTGGGTGTCCCTGGCTTCATACCCCTCAGTGTGCTCATTCACCCAGGGCCCCGGTCCCACTTCCCTCCACCCTACAGGTTAGAAGTTCAGCGGTTTCGAGCACCAACTCTGGAGCCAGACTTCTGAGTTGAAATCCCAGCTCTGCCATCCCCAGCTGCATGACCTTGGGCAAGTTGCTTTGCCTCACTGTCTCTCCTCATCTATAAAACCAGGATAACAGTAGTTCCTACGTCATAGTGTAGTGGCCAGGATTCAATGAGTTAATACTCGCAAAGTGCTTAGAACTATGTCTGACCTGAGTTAGCCCATGGTATCACTCCCTAATCCGGGTAGGAATCCCATAGCATACCCAATTGCACAGGTGCCTTTAGCTGTACCTCCCACAGAAGGCACCGCCTCGCTGGGGTCTGTTTCCCTCCCTCTCCCCTCCCCCATCTTGCTCCCACGTCCTTCCCAACACACGGACACAGGTGGCCTCGCATATTTCCTGATGTAGGAACACTGGAGGTTTATCCATCTTCCCAGGGGCTGTGTGGGTCACTCAGGTGCCTGTGGGCTCTGACGTCCCCCCTTACACCCTGGCAGCCCTGCCAAGACCAAGCACCGCTGCCGGCTGACCCATGCCCAGGCCATGGCGCGCTCACCCACACAGGCATCCCGCCGCTCCTCGTAGCCGGCACTGCACACGCATTTGCCGATGGGCACGAGCCACTCGCCCTCCGCGCTGCAGTACATCTTGGGTGTGTCCCGCTCCTCTGAGTGCCGCACGCACTGGCCCCTCACCTCCACCAGTGAGGACGAGTCGGCCCCCGTCACTGCCTCCGAGAAGGCAGCCAGATTGCGCACCATGGCAGGGCACTTCTTATAGTAGATGCGGAGAGAGAGGATGGCCAGGCAGGCACCTATGTCCTGGAAGGCCAGGTAGAAGCCGCGCTTGCTGAGGGGACCCACACTGCGCACCTCCGTGTTGAGCTTGAGACGCCGCACACCAAGGTCGGCACCTGTGAAGCTCTCGTCGGCCGCAATGGTGTCGATTTTGAGGAACTGGCTTTCTTGTGTGCTGGCCCCCAGGTCGCGGTCCGACTCCAGGTAGTAGAGGTTGAAGGTCTCCTTGCAGGTGCCCAGCACACCAGGCATGCTGTTGCAGTCGCGCAGGGTAAACTTGATCTCAGCATAGACGCGCCGGGCGCCGTCTCGGGGGACCCAGCTCGTGCGCAGCCAGTTGTTCTGGTTGGGGCTCATGACGTTGCAAACCTGGTACGTGTGGATGGGCTGGAAGGACTCGTCCACCTCGTTGATGGAGTCCCACTGTGGGCAGAGAGAACACAGCCACTACAGCAGAGCCAGCACCTCACCCTCTTTTGCCAATGACCCTGTGTTCTGTGCTGGGGACGCTGGCAAAAAAAAAGACAAAGGAGCTGGCCTCCTGGTGGCTACTAGATGCCAGGCCCCCTGCAGACATGATCTCGAAGAGGGCCACGATCTTCAGGGGAAGTGTTATTTACTAACTCTTGAGATGAGGAAGTAGAGGCTCTGACCTGTGAGCCACACATCTGAGGTCATGTCATTATCGAGCAATGGCTGGACGGGAATCGGTCCTGTCTGATGCCAAAGCTCTGCCCTCATTTCTCTGTGGCTCCTCCTATCTTTCTTAGAGTGGGAGAACTTGCCTGGGGAAGTCAGCAAGTCCAGTTTCCATATCAGCTGCCAGAGGAATCTTTCTAATATATGAACCAGACTATGCCTTGCCCCCACTTCAAATCCTTCAGCCGCCTCTCCTGCACAGCTGCTTGTTGAGTGATTGCCTGATCCACAGACTCCCTCCACCCTGCTCTTCTTGCTGTTCCCCTGGGCTGGCCTGGGTCCCACTCAAGGGAATCCCAGGATGTGAGAAAGTTGAGTGTTAATTGCTTCTGTGCTGCCTGCTGGCTGGGCATCAGTGATTCCGAAATAAACCAGACACTCTCAACAGAGTGAAAAGGTAACCCAGGAAATGGGGGAAGCTATGTGCAAATCATGTAGCTGATAAGGGATTAATATCCAGAATACATAAAGAATTCCCACAACTCGACAACAACAGAAAAGAAACAGTCCAATTAGAAAATGGGCAAAGGACTTGAACAGACATTTCTCTAAAGAAAATATTCAGATGGCCAAATGGTGCATGAAAAGATGCTCAGCATCACTAATCATTAGGGAAATACAAATCAAAACCACAATGAGATACCACTTCATACGCATTAGGATGGCTGTTATAAAAAACAATAATAATAAGGCCAGGTGCGGTGGCTCACGCCTGTAATCCCAGCACTTTGGGAGGCCGAAGCAGGTGGATCACCTGAGGTCAGGAGTTCAAGACCAGCCTGGCCAACATGGCGAAACCCTGTCTCTACTAAAAATAGAAAAATTAGCCAGGTGCAGTGGCGGGTGCCTATAATCCCAGCTACTCGGGAGGCTGCAGCAGGAGAATCACTTGAACTTGGGAGGCAGGGATTGCAGTGAGCCAAGATCGCACTACTGTTCTCCAGCCTGAGCAACAGAGCGAGACTCCCTCTTAAAAAAAAATGATAATAATAAGTGTTGGCAAGGATGTGGAGAAATTAGAACCCTGTGCATTACGGGTGGGATTGTAAAATAGTGCAGCTGCTGTGGAAAACAGTATGGCAGCTTCTCAAAGTGTTTAAAATAGAATTACCATATGATCTAGCAATCCCATTTCTGGGTATATATCCCAAAGAATTGAAAGCAGGGTCTCAAAAAGATATTTGTACACCCCTATTCATAGCAGCATTATTCACAACAGCCACAACGTAGAAGGAACCCAAGTGTACGTCAATGAACCAGTAGATAAGCAAAATGTGGCATATACCTACAACGGAGTATTAGCCTTAAAAGGGAAGGAAATTCTGATACACCTTAAAGACATGCCAAATGAAATAAGCTAGAAACAAAAAACAAATAGTTAGGATTCCATGTATACGCAGTACCTAGATAGTCAGATTTAGAGAGACAGAAAGTAGAATGCTGGCTGCCAGGGGCTGGCAGGGAGGGGGCAGTTACTGTTTAAGGGTGTGGAGTTTCCGTTTTGCAGGATGAACGGAGTTCTGGCAGTGGTGGTGGTGATGGCCACACAGCAATGTGAATGCACTACATGTCACCAAGGTGTGCGCTTAAAAAGGGTTAAGACGGTAAACTTTACCTTATGTGTATTTCACCAGAATAAACAAGAAAGAAAGAAAGATGCCTGGCCGGGCGCGGTGGCTCACGCCTGTAATCCCAGCACTTTGGGACGCTGAGGCAGGCGGATCACGAGGTCAGGAGATCGACACCATCCTGGCTAACACAGTGAAACCCCGTCTCTCCTAAAAATACAAAAAAGTTGGCCGGGCGTGGTGGCGGGCGCCTGTAGTCCCAGCTACTCAGGAGGCTGAGGCAGGAGAATGGCGTGAACCCGGGGGACGGAGTTTGCAGTGAGCTGAGATTGTGCCACTGCGCTCCAACCTGGGTGACACAGCGAGACTCCGTCTCAAAAAAAGAAAGATGCCAAGAACACTCCCTGTCCTCAAGTGCCCCGGGTCCACCAGACTAGGCAGTGCAGGGTGATGAGCTGAGGGAATCCAGGTGGGCAAGACTCCCAGGCCCCTTCCCAGCCCTCCTGGGTGTGGGCATCTGTAGTTTACCTGTCAACCTGGCACTGCAATGAAGCAGGACCTTCTTGCAAGGGTGGAGGTCTGCAGAAGACAGGGGAGGGGACAGTCCTAGCTTCCTCGGCTGCTGAGCACTGGCTGGCCAGGAGCAGTCCCTTGTTGAGCTGACTTCAGGGACTCATGAGGGCTCTGAGGAGGAGCTGGAGGATGAGGGCAGAGGGAGGGGTTGGTCTCTGGGCCCCTGTCCTGGTTCCTCCACGCATGCAACACCTTGACCTTTTTCAATTGTCCTTGAACTAGAGATCCTATTGCTTAAAGGGGGAGGGGGGCTTCATGACCAGATGCTCTGAGAACCTGTGGAGTTCTGGGCTTATTCCACAAGCACTAGAGAGAAGGTCATGGGCATCTCAAGTCTTTTTCTGCCCATCCCAAGCCCCTCCATCTAATCTCGTCTTGATCCTCAGTGCCCACATCTGTAAAATGGGACTCAAACAGGCCCCACTTGAGCGAGGTTTGAGAGGATGCAATGGGAAAATTTCTGCAAAGTGCTTAGCTCAGGCCTGGCACGGGAAGGCCCTTGACGAATGGCCCTAATATTATACTGAACTGGCAGCATCTTCACAGCCTACCGCGCCTGCCTCCAGGGACCATGCGGGAGGATTTCCTGCTTCCAAAGGGGCCCCAGGGAGCGCCAGCCTCACCTGAAAGAGTTTAGGCTTCCGAGTCTCCCCGACCCAAGAAGGACCCCTGCTCCACACCCCGCTTTGCTGTCAGAGGCTCCAAGCAGCACAGCGTCACATCTGGGGTTAAAGTCATTGTCACAATTAATGGAGCACCAAAGAGCCAGCCAGCTGCTCCCTGTCTGTTTCCTGCCAGGGACCCGGATAAATTAATCAGTTCCATCTGAGTCTACTCCAGCTGCCCCACCGGGGCCAATGGTCTGGCCTAGCCCTGCCAGCCCCGGGAGCTGCTGATGCCCAGAGTGGCACAGACTCCTGGAGGTCTGGTGCAAGGGCAGAATCAGCCCTGTTCTCTGCCTGGGGCACCCCCACCCCGTGATGGGTGCCACTCTCATCTCCGCTGCCCAAAAACTGACTCTGGCACGCTGCTCCCCCAACTCTGTCCTCCTCCCATATCAGAATGCAGCGAACCAGCTGTGCAGCGCTTGGTGAGGCATATCCCTTCTCTGGGGCTTGGGCTTCTCTTCTGTAAAATGGGGTAGCAAATGCCTGCTCCTTCCATCTACTCCAGGGCGTGGTGAGAATCCAGTGAGACAATGGAAATTAACCTGCCCACTTACCTAAAGCAGCATTCGTTAGTCCATGTTAATTAGCCAGAGCAGGCGGAGCACGTCCCAGCATGCGGAAGTTCCCGGGAGCAGAGGGAAGGACGCAGCCTGATGAAGAGCAGGGGGTCTGGGCCAGACCTCCCCCAGTCTTCGTAGAATTGCTTTGCCTCTGAGAGTATTCAGTTTCTCGTTGGTAAAATGGCCTTTTCATCTATCAGCCCAATGATGGCACTGCACAGAGCAGTTCTAAGATTGTCCCCACGTTATAAATGAGGAGGTGGAGGCGAAGTAAGTAATCTGCCCGAATCACACTGACTACAGGAGGCGGAGCCCCCGTTCATCAGGACCCAGTGCCCTGGCCCTTCAGGCTCTGCACCTGTCTGATAATCGGGTAACATTTCTGAGGCTGGAGACTGCCCTGGGTGACCCTTGTCCTCAAGTTACTGAATGGACTCCAGAGTCAGAGGGGTGGATAGAACCTCAAGGACCATCTCCAGAGGTTCCCCCTCCCAGCTGGGCAGGAGAATCACCTGGAAAGCTTATTATTTTTTATTTTTATTTTTTGAGACAAGATCTCTCTCCATTACCCAGGCTGGAGTACAGTGGCTCACTGCAGCCTTGACCTCCCAGGCTCAAGCGATCCTCCTACCTCAGCCTCCTGAGTAGCGGGGACCACAAGCGTGCACCACCACTCTCAGCTAATTTTAATTTTTTTTGTAGAGAAAGGGTCTCACTATGTTGCCCAGGCTGGTCTCGAACTCCTGGTCGCAAGCAAGCCTCCTAAAATGCTACGATTACAGGTGTGAGCCACCATGCCTGGCTCCCTGGAAAGCTAATTAAACAGAAGATTCCCAGGCCCCTCTGCAGACCTCCTGGATGTGGGACTCTGCATGCCTCACCTGCTAGCCTGGCACAGGTTCAAGGTCTAGAGTTTGGAAATCAGGCATCTCATTCCAGCCTTCTCTCCTCTCCGAGAAACCCCAGTCTCCAGGCCCCCTGAAGATGGCAGGTGGTCCCTGCCTCAGCAGAGAGTGCAGGCTTGCCTCCCCATCTCATGAAATGGTCACAGAGTAGGCCTCGCTGCCTGCAGTTCGAAGGTGGCGGAAGGGACTCACCACAGGCTCTGGGCCCAGAGAGACCCAAGTTTGAGTCCCAGCTTGCCATCAGCTGGAACCTGCTTGATGATGGGCAAATTACTCCTCACTGCCCTGAGCCTCACCTTCCTCACCTGTGAAGTGTGGTGGCTGCACCCACCTCAAGGATTGGTTGTGGGGAGTGATGAGATTACGCCTGTGACCTGTTCAGAGCTCAGCGAATCTAAGTTGCCTGATTTGTTCTAACTCGCAAATGCAATGCTAGAACGCTGAGCTATGCATTATAGCGCCCCGCATGAAAACCCACCTGAGACTGCCAGTGTGAGCGTCCAAAACACGAGGCCAGCCATGCTCCCCACCTGCTGAAAACCCTGACAATTCCTCACTACCCTAAACACCAAGTCCGATGCTCTGAGTGGGATAAAGACACCCCGGAGCCAGCCAGGGCCCAGGCGTGCCCTCCTAGCTGCTGGGACTCAGGGGAATGCCATCTCAGCCAACCGCCATGCAGTGAGGGAGGGACCAGGACCCACCTCCTCATGGGTGGAACCCTGCCACGGGGGGACCAGCTCACTGCACCAAAGCCCTTCCACACCACGCTCACGCGGGGAAGACAGCCACACCAAGGAGTGTTTTACAGAGTGGGGAACTGATGGGCTGGGAGGTAAAGGGACACCTCAAGAACCTGGCGTCCGCGCTCAGGCAGTGGTGCTGGGTCAGGTGACGAGGGCTTCCTCCAGGCTCAGGGACCTGGAGAGCCAGGGCCATGTGGCCTGCCCCCAGCTCCCGGGAGCCCGGTGCATGAGGGCTGATAACAGGCTCAGCTCACCGCTGCCTGGTGACCAGACCCCCAGAGAGAGAGAAGTGGGGCCGTGTCTACACTTCCAATCACAGGCCCCCACAAAAGGCCCAGATGAAAACTCTACCCAAAGTCAAGAAAGGCCCTTCATAAATGTTACCTGTTGGTGTCGTTATCATCATCATTATTAATATTATTATTCTTCTGTCCTCAGAGCCATAGAAGCTGAACGTGGACATGAAAGAACTCAAGTATGCACAATGTGCTCGTGCCTGTGGCAGAGATGTGTGCATATGTGCGTATGCGCGCGCGCGTGTGTGTACGCGCACACGTGTGTGCATGTGTGTACCCACGCATGTGCATGTGCGTGTGTGCATGTGTGTACACGCACACGTGTGCATGTGTGTGTACGCGCGTGCATGTGTGTGTACATGCGTGCGTGTGTGTGCATGTGTGTGTTTCTGAGCACGCTGGTGAGAGGAAGTTCATGTGACAGTAACTGTGTGAGAGAACACACGTGAGTAACAATGTTAATGATCATTATAAAAGCCTATGTTCATCGAGGGCTCACCCTGTGCCAGACTCGGTGCCAAGACTGTGTCATCTGCTCTCACCCTGGCGCAGACCTGGGAGGTCATCACAGACTTGTCCCTTTCTATAGATGGGGAAACTGAGACTCAGAGAGGTGAAATGGTGACCCAAGTCCACCTGCTTGTCAAGGGCAGAGCTGGGATCTCACCAGGCTCGCGGGCTCACTCCTACTCTACTGCCCTGCCCCCGCAGGATTCAGAGAAGAGAAGCAGAGGGACGGGGCAGTGCAGCCTGCTCACTGCAGCCCTTCCCCAGGAGGATGGGGGCACGGCCTGTGAGCACATGACCCACAGCGACCTGAAGGCTGAGTCCAGAGTCTGTGGCCAGGACCGGGAGCTTGGCCACATTGGGGAGACAGACAAGCAGAGACTCCAGAGGTCGGAGGACTGGTGAGGCCAGGGCAGCTGGGAGGGAGGGAGCAACCCAGAAGGCAGGAAGGCCTGGCTGGCCTTCTTTAGTCCTGGCCTGGCACCTCATGAATCTGTAGGATGCAGCCATGGGGATCCCCGGACCTAGGGCCTCAGACTTGAAGAATCAGGGATCTGGTGCCAGGGTTGGTTCTGTAATCTCAAGGGTCTGTATGCACTAAACTGTTAAGAGATCAGCAGCACTAACTGCTGTGTGCCCTTGGGTAAGTCCCTTGACCTCTCTGGGCCTCTGCTTCCTTTTGATCTATCTCATGCAGACTCTGTGAGTGGCAGCCTCTCTCTGCTCACAGAGGGATGACGTTGTCCCCAGTGCCCATCACTCACCCCATGAGCCGGATACGTGAGCCAGCCCCAGTCCCCGTGGATGGTCGACGTGTCCAGCAAATTCACTGTAAAACAGGAGACAAGAGGGCATCAGGCCCCTCTGACTTCTCCCCAGCTCCTCAAGAGCAGCCTGACCCAGCTACACTGGTCCACACTCAGCCCCCAGCACACAGCTCACACGGGTCCCTCTGCCTGAATGCCCTTTCTCTCTTCCCCTCTCCTTGAAGGCCCAGTTTAAGTTCTTTCTCTTCCCTGAAGCCTTCTTCTCACCCTCTTGGCCAAAAAGTAATATTCTGAACTCCCAGAACACAAGCTGTTCCAAGTGCCAGACATCCTTGGTTGGTGGCACAGTGGGATAGTTGAGGTGGGCTCGAAGCTGGCAGGCCTCTGAATCCCAGTTGTGCCACTTAGGAGCTGTGAGTCCCTGGGCAAGCCCCCTCACCTCCCTGAGTCTCAGCTTCCTCCTCTGTAAAATGGGGTGATAACAATTCCGGTCCCACAGGGCTTTTGTGATGATGACCTGACCCTTGTCTCCTGTAAGAGCCATGATGGCATTCAAGGTCCATGCTGCAAAGTCATACCTCCCATCTGAGGACTGGCCCCAGCTTCATAATCACCCTGTTCCCCCAGCACGGTGCCTGGCATTTAGCACGTCCTCCGTGCACATCTGGTGTGGAGGGGCTTAGCGGGGTAAGAGCTGCCTCTTAGTGGGCACCCACTATGTGCCAATATCTGCAAGGGGAGCTTGAGATGCCTCATCTGCACCCCGCACAACAACCTGAGAGGCGGCCAGTATTACCTCCATTTTACAGATAAAAGAACCGAGCCTCAGGGAGGTCCGGGAATGTGCCAAGAGCCCCACAGGTGTAGCTGGCGGAGCTGCCATTCGGAGCACTTGCTGTAGCAACGGCAGGCCATCCACCATCCCTGGATGCTCGGGCCCGAGAAACAGAACCTCTGGGTAGTCTCCACGGCAGGGAAGGAGCACTGGTCCAAAGGGCAAAGTCACTCTAAGTCAGGCCCTCTGCAAAGGGGACCCTGCAGGCTCAACATGGTAGGGAAAAGAGCCCATCTGGGGGGTCAGACATTCCTGGGCCCATGTCTCAAGGCAGCTACTTATTAGCGAGTGACCCTCAATTTTCTCATCTGTAAAATGGGTTCATAGTACCTAAGGGTGGGATGAGGGTCAGGAAATTACGTGAAGCCTGGAGCCAGGGCTGGTCCTTACCAACACTAGTTCCCCTTCTCTAAGTCCCCCGCCCCCTGCCTCTCTCCATGTCCCTTGTGGTCACACCCTCACTTAAGGTGAAACAGATGCATTATGCTGTTTAGAAATCAGGGCTCCGGCTTCAGCCGTCTCTAACTGCTGTGTGTCCTTGGTTAAGTCCCTTCACCTCTTTGCTTCCTTTTGATCTAGCTGGTGATTGCTGTATGAGAGGGCTTTTGGCTCCAGAGTCCCACAGCTTTCCCTTTCACTCTGCCTTCCATGACCCCTTCTCCCAGCCAACAGCCATGGGCTTTTAACCACCCCAATCAGCGGGCTTGGGCAGGTGACGGGGGTTAAAGGTGGAGCTCTCCTGGAACTTTCCCGTGGGGAGGCTGGGTGTCCTTCTGCCTGAGATTTGCATAGCTCTAAGCCTGCCCCTCGAAGACAGAGACAAGTGTCCTCAGGAAATGCTGGAGTGAGGATGCTCTTATTTGCTGATTTTCTCCTGCCTCTCACCCTCCCCACCCCACCGTCAGGGACCCTGAAGGAGGCCGGCTGGAGTGAGGCTGGCAGAACTAGGGAGGGGGTCTCCGCGCTCCTCCCTGCATTCCTCCCTGGGTCCCCAGGGGCCACTTGGGATCAGGGGACACAGCGAATGTCCGCAGAGGGACCTCCCCCTCCCCAAGCCGGCCCCACGCCAGGGGCAGAGGCAGAGAGAAGGCTTCCCGCCTGCCTCCCTCCCTCTCAGGCAATGTAGAGAAAACTGGGTCAGGCAAGCTCTCTCCTCCTGCTGGCTGGTGGGAGGGGGAGGGGGCCGCACTGCAGTTTCCCCCAGACCAGCAAAGCCGAGTTTGGGGAGATGGTGAGGGAAGGACACACACGTATGGGTCCCCCCGCCCCACCCCGCATCCCAGACACAGGTCTCGGGGTGACTGGGCCCCTTCTGTGACCTGGCCTGGATGCAGCCCAGACCTGTCCCTATCCCGGAGCCACTCAAGTGGATGTCCACTGCTTAGGATTCTCGCCCTGGAGCGTGCAGGCTTCAGGGCCTGCAGACACCGCTCTCCAGGCCCTGCCCTCCTGGGGGAAGCCCCACCGTATCTGCAGCTGATTCTTGATCAACCAGCCAGGGGGATCAGATAATCCAAAGATAAGTCAAAAGTCAATTCTATCGGACTCAGGAAGGGCTATGGGATTCCAGGGCTGTTTGTTCCAATTCATTCCAGACCCTTCTATGTCCCTCCCCTCCCTCCTCTTCCTCTGTCCCCATCTCCACCTTCCCCATCCATGTCCCCTTGAATGGGTGAGAACGCAGAGTGTCCCTTGAAGGAAGCCCCAAGTCCATAGGAGGTTTGATGAGTGCTGAAGAGAACGCCACCATTAGGCCCACCCAGCCTGGGCCTGGGTCCCCTTGGGAATTCAGACCCTCTGGTCACCGCAGCTGGCCTCTCTCCTGCCTCTTGCGCTGCCGGACTGTGAAGCCAATTCTCCCCTGTGGGCCCATCTCCCCGCTTACCAAACACGGGGATCGGACTCCATGGTCTCCTAGGGCCCTTCAGTGAAGCGAAGCACTTAACCCCTCTGCCTCAGTTTCCTTATCTGAAAGATGTCCATAGGCATCCCTCCTAGGCCTATCTGCCCGGGCTGTTCTGGGGGGATCAAACGGGTCCCTCTCCTGCTCTGGGAAGCACAGATAACTCCTAAGCCGTTCCTGTTCGACTGTGGAAGGCATTATGCGATTTCTTTTTTTCTCCAGCACCGTCGCCTTCCCCCATTCCATTTCGCTGAGACTAATACTTAAATTGATTTACATTCCCTGAGGACGCAGCGCATGATGGTGAGGCTGGAGAATTCGGGGTGGCCAGGGGACGTCAGCCAGGATTCTGAATGCCTTGGAGATCACCTCAAAGTGGAGGATAAGCCACACCAGAGAGCAATAAGCAGCCTTGGGCCTGGCAGGGGTCCGGGGGGCGTCTCTGCAGGTGCAGGGCCCTTCCTGGGCCCACGGGTGCCCCAGCAAAAGCTCTGAGAGTGGCCTGTTGTAGGGGACTGTTGAGTGGACTGTTGTTTGGCCAGGCTAAGGTCCTGTTACCTTTGCTAGACCCAGCTGGGAGCACAGGCCCCTCCCTGAGTTCCAACAGTCCCCTCAGCTGGCTCTGGTTGCTCTAGACCAGCCCAGGGACAGTGCTGGGGAGGACTCCCAGATGCGCCACATGGAACTCAGGTCCCAGGTCTCCACCCCATGGCTGTCTGACTCGTGTGGGTAACCTGTGCCTGGCTGTGGGTACCCTGCTGCATTGATCGGAGAGGGCGTGGACTCTCGCCCTTGGGCTATGCCTCCCTTCACCATGGACACAGACTTCCCCACCTGCCTCTCTCTCTAGACCTTGCCTCTTCCTCAGCTGCTGGCCCCCACCCACTGCACAGGTCCCCTCCCCAGACCCATGCTTTGTCCTCAGCACATGAGCCTGGTCCAAGCCCCCTCTTCGAGGGGCTCTGGGGCTACCAGCCTGTGATTCCAGAGGGTGCTGGCTCCTTCCCAGAGAAGAGAGTTGAGGCAGGGGGTTGGGGGTGCACCACCTGACTCCCAGCGCCTCGATGGAGGGGCCTCAGAGCCTGCTGGGCAAACGAACTGTCCCCTTCCCTCCACCCACCCTCAGAAAGCCGTCTTCTCGGGTGCAGCTCCCAGGGCCCCAAGGCCTCTTAGATTCCAATCTTGCCCCCTTTCCTACTCCCCAGCACCCCCCAACCCCAGACCTCTCCTGGTGCCCCGGGAACCTGTGCCTTGTTACACCCACCCGGCCCTGCTCTGCCGGCATCTCACTTCTCGGCCACCCTGCCGTGCCTCTCCTCCATGCTGGGCCCTGGGCTCATGGGAGACTATGATTTTATCTGTGTCTGTGTGTGTTTGTTGGTGCACATGCATTTCCGTGGGCATGGATGCAAACGACGGGCTCCTTACATATGTGGTGTGATGTATATATGTAGACACAGAGTTGCGTATTTTCATGTGCATGCATCTGTACGTGCATGTACATGTGTGTTTGTGCTCATGCATACTGGCTTCATTTCTGTGTGTGTGGCTGTGGATGTTATGTGGGGTGGGGAGACTGACCGCACATGTCAGTCTCTACAGGCCTGGGTCACAAGTGTGAATCCCAAGTAGCCTGTGTGTGTGCTTGTGTGTAGGGTGGGCCCTCGGTGAGCTGTGTGTGAAGGGCAGATGTGTGATCTGTCTGGGCGTGGAAGAGCAGCACCAGCTCCGGAGTTCGCTTACACCTGGAAGTTCATCTTGGCAGGGTGAGGACCCAGCTCTGGTCCCTGGACATCAGCCCTGGGAGCCTGCACAGAGACGCTCTGGCTTCCTTGGGGCAGAGCTGTGGGAACAGAGGAGGGTCAGGGCAGGGGTTGGGGTGTGGGGAGTGGGACCCAGGGAAACCTCCTGAGCTGGATGGAGCTGGGGTCTCCAGGGAGCTAACGGGTGTGTGGGTGGCAGGCTTAGGTGCTCCCTCTCAGCTCTTCTTGTGCCCCCACCACCAGAAGTCATTTCCCAGACCTTTTTGGTCCCAACGACTCAGTGCACCTCCCCACCCCAATCCTTCCTCCCACACAGGGCCCCAGAGTGACCCTGCCATCCCAGCCTTCTCTGACAAGACTTTGCTCTCCGGGGCCTGCCTGCCTCAATCTCTCTGTGGCCTCCCCATCCCCCAGCCCTCTCCTCCCCAAGCCGCTCCCGCTGCCCACGAAGCTGCCTCTCCTCCAGCTGGAACTCCCCTGCCCTCCCTTCTTCTCCCCAGCCCGTCGCCAGACTGTGGCCCTCGGGCCCTGACCCCTCTCCCAGACTCTCATTCCGCACCCCTCCTTCCTGCCTCCCCTCAAAGCCAGTCCTGCTCTCCGGGGTCCCGTTTCTCAGCGCCTGGCTCCTATCTCTCAATGCTGTCCCCACCCCCTTTGCCTTCTGCCCTCTGAACCTCCTCCCCCATTCTCCTGTCCCTCCAACCCCAGTGCCTACCCCCCTGTCCTCTGTCCCCAACCCTGTTCCTTGCCCTACCTCACTGTACCCTCTCCTCCTTACCTCTTCTCTTGTCTTCTGTCCAGTCCTGTCCCCTTGTCCCCGGCGTCCGACCCTCAGTATTCTGTCCCCAGCTGCACATCCCTCAGTCCTGTCTCCTGTCCTTTCCCACTGTCCCCCAGTCCCCGGTACCTGTCCGTCTTCCTCAAGCTCGCGGGTTCCCATCTCCACCGCTCTGTCCCTTAATCCCGGGTCTCTTCCGCGGTGCCACCCCGCCCCCCGGGCCGAGGGATCCCGGCCGCCTTGGAGCTCAGGGTCCATGCAAAGGAAGTTGAGCCGCAGGCAGCGCGCGCCGCGCCCCGCGCCCCTCGGCCGCCCCTGCCCCGCCCCGCCGCCGCCGCTCACCTTCGCCGCGCGCCGCGGACACGCAGGTGGCCGCCGCCGCCGCGGCCGTGACGACCCAGAGCGCAGGGGGCAGGCGGCCCCGGGCGGGGGCCATGGCCGGGCCGGGCCGGGCGGGCGGGGGCGCCACGCACCCTCGGGCTTGGCCGCTGCGGCCCGCGCGTCGGGAGGGAGCGCGCTCCCTCGCTCTCCGCACACCCGGCCGGGCGCACACCCCGGCGCACACGCGGCTCCCAGCGCACACGCGGGCACCCGCGCCCGCCGCCGCCGCCGCCGCCCCGGGCGGGGGCCGGCCCGTCACGGCGCCGAGCCAATCAGCACCGAGGCGGGGGGGTGGGGGACACGGAGCCCGCACCGCGGCCACCCGGCCCGCGGCCACCGCCGCCGCACGTGCGCACGCCCACACTCCCCCGGCGGGCACCTTCGGGGGCGCGCCCCGCGCTGCGCACTTGGACTCAGGGCTCAGGGCCCCAGTGCGCGAAGCCACCATCGGGACGTCCCGGCGACACCAGGACCAGACCCACCCAGGGATTCCCTCTGTGGACACACGCGCGGGCCGCACATCCACCGCATGCTCGCTCCTGCCCGCATGACCCCAACACCGAGTGCTTCGCGTGGTGACACACTCCGATGGATACACACTAGTTCATGGGCAGAGGCTCAGAGATGGGCTCAGCGGCAAACTCAGAGGCACTTTTAGGTGAAAAACCAAAAAAACACCAAAACCAAAACTCTCTCCCTTTCCCCACCCCAACAACTTGGCATTTAGGGACCACGGGATTTTAAGGAGGCCTTAGATTGCAGTGGTCAGGAGGGCAGGCTCAGGGACCAGGAAGACAAGTGTCCTGCTGTGTGGCCTTAGGCAAGTTTCTTAAGCTCTCTGAGTCTAAAACTTCATGTCTGTAAAACAAGAATACCAGTATCGATATCCTAGGGTGGCGTGAAAGGGCCCAGGTGGAACTCCTGGCAGACGGCCGGGCACACAGCCAGGTGGCCGGTCATGGGAGCTGTTATCCAGTGAGGGGGACTATCATTCCCTGCTTTTCCCTCCCCTGACCTTCCCTGTCTCCAGTTCCATCCCCCAGGACTAGGGGTCTCATCCAGGGATGGCTTTGGGCTGTGAGGGGAGGACAGGGATATAGGGCTGCATCCTGGGGCCTGCTCTGCCACCCTCAAGTCCCTCACACACCTGGTGGGCCAAGCAGTCCGAGAAGCAGGCAAGAGACCTGCAGCCTCCTGAGAGGGTGGATGCCCACGGGAGCAAGTGCCTGATTGCTTCCCACTGCCGCCTGGCACAGACCATCGTCCAGTCCCCTCTTCCTTCGTTCCCAGCTCTCATGGTCACTGGGGGGTGAGGAGAATTGGAGCCATGGCTGGAAGTTACATAGGATGAGAAAGGCCATTTGGGGAACATGTGCCCTGAGTCAGACCCTGCTCTAGGGGCTTTATAAACTCGCTCCAGTTTAAGCCTCACACAGCCTTGCAGGGCTGGCACACCTAAGGAAACAGAAGCTCAGAAAGGCCATCATTTGCCTTAGATCACACAGCTGGTTGAATGCTAGAGAGGTACTCAGATCCACAGCTGCTTGGCTCCAACGCCCGTTTCTTTCCTCTGTGTCTTTTTTTTTGCTACAGAAAGGGGGAAGACAGTTCCATAGGAGCCCCTTCCTCGCAGCTCAGGTGGACTGCCTCACTGATGTAGTGAGACTCCTGTGACCAGAGGCATTTAAGCAGATACTAGCTAGAAATTGTTCAGAGATGCTGTAAGAGGGCAGGTGAGTACAAAGCAGATTGGACTAGACCCAGAGTGGCAAACTCAAATGCCTACATGAGATAGGCAGGCACCCTTACAGAGCCTGCTAGGAGAGTGTACCCAGATCCAGCCAACATTGCTGGTGGAGATGTGTGTCCAGTTTTCTGCATTTTCAAGAAAAAGTTGTCTATCTGGAACTTATTTGTGTTACGTCTTGATTTTTAAGGTTGGCAGCTAATGTAAACATTTTAATAACACCATAGTGTAGGCAGACCTGTGAGTAGGGTGGCCGTAGCCCACAGGCCTCCGGGCTGTGCTTCAAGGCTCATCAGATGGAAGAATCCATGGCTGGGAACTCACTCCTGGGGTGTCAGAGAAGTGGGCAGATGAGAGGCGGAAAAACGCAGACAAGGCGAGGCACGGTGGCTCATGCCTGTAATCCCAGCACTTTGGGAGGCAGAGGCAGGAGGATCGCTTGAGCCTAGGAATTTGAGACCAATCTGAGCAACATGGCAAGACCTCATCTCAACAAAAAGTTGTTTAAAAATTAGCTGGGCGTGGTGGTGCACACCTGTGGCCCCAGCTACTCAGGAGGCTGAGGCAGAAGGATTGCTTGGGAGGCTGAGGCTGCAGCGAGCCATTAGTGAGCCGTGATTGTGCCATTGTATTCCCGCCAGGGAGACAGAGCAAGACCCTATCTCAAAAAAGAAAAGAAAAAGAAAAAAATGCAGACAGTATGCAGAACACAGTCACAAGCACTCCTGGACATCCCCTACTCCATCCCAGGCTCACAGAAAGATTTGTTGGTGGAGAGAGGCTTTGCTGGCGGTTGGGGATCTGCATCCCCACATGTATGTGAAGCCAACCAAATCTGGGTTTTGCCCATTCTGTAGGTGAGGAAACTGAAGAAAGCCAAGTTTTCTGGACCTGGGGAGTCCTTGAGGGACTTGGTGGGCATGAGGGATGGTTCTGAGTCAGAAGTCTGCTCTACATTCCAAAGCTCTTTAGCAAAATAAGGAATTCATTTTGCCAATGTTCCGTGGAATGCTAAGAGCAGCATGCTTTCAGCTGTCTCCCTGCCCCCTGTGAAACTCCCAGGATGCCCCAGCCGAGGTGTGCCCTCTCCCTGGGGTCTCTCTCTCCCACCCCTCCCCTCTGCTGTTCTGGGTTTCAAAGGGGCAACTTGCCCATCTGCCAATGGGAAGGAAGAAACTCTTAGAGGGGCAGGTGATCTCACTGGGCTCTTGGGGACATGACAGTTCCATAGGAAGACAGTTGACCTTGCATCTGTTTACTTGACCTTCCATCCTCCCTGAAGGGTCAAGCAGTACAGGGCTGTGGGGAGAGCCTCAGAGGAGGACTGGGGCAGGCTCCCCGCTGAGGCGAATCTTCCCCAGCTCCACCACAGCACTGCGAACACCATCCAGGCTGGACTCGGAATGCCTTTTCTCATTGAATCCCCGCAATGCATAGATTTCACCCATTTTAAAGAGAAGCGCAATGAGATTTGAGAGGACTGATGGACAGGGAGCCCTGTGAGGTGCATGGGTGGAATCCCTGATGCTTGCGGCTTCTTTTGTCTCCTCTCCCCAACTGGATTCTGAACTGCTTGAGAGCAGAGTCCATGGCAGGGTCCTGGCTGGGTCCCGCTGGGTCCTCCTGGTGCACTGTAGACGCTGCAGGAACGTTTGCTGAATGACTGAATGAGCAGCTGTCTAAAAGGGCCACACTCTGCAGGCCAAGTATGCCAGGTGAGCATGGCTAGAGTTACAGGACAGTTGGATAGCTGTTCAGGTGTGCTAGCTGTACCTGCCAAGTGGGTTTGGCCTGAACCCTAGAGGTGAATCTGAACAGTGCTTTCCCTCTCCCATCAGTACATCGGGACCTTGTTCTACAAAACAGGCAAGCTGGGGGCAGCGGTGGGCAGAGCTGGGCTTGGCAGAGCAGGGCAGCCTCTGAGTCAGTCCTTCCCCACTTTCAACTCCTCCCTGACCCATGTCTTTTCCTTCTGGAAGGGGGAAGAGTAATTGCAAAGAACATCAGACAAGCCTCGTCTATGTGCAGACGCTCCCAGATGTATCTCTCCTCACTTCACCTTTCTGAGCCTCAGTTTCTCCAGTTATAAAATGAGGATAATGCCAACAACTCACAGGGTTGCTGTGAAGCGTAAGTGAGTTCACAGATGCAAACGTGTTTGGAAACCTATAACGAGATCTAAGATTGGAAGGCATGGTTACGTGCTAGAGGAGGGGACTGAAGCCCAGCGGCTCTGCGCTCTGCGGGCGAACTAGGCCGGGTGCCATTTTAGGCCCAGGTAGAAAAGATGTTCTGGTAGAAGACAGATGTGTAGGAGTGTGAGGGGTCAAGTCGGGGCAGTGGTGAGTGGTTAAATCTTCACCCATCCTTGAGCCACCCTGCCCTCGGCCTGGATCTCCTGTTGCCCACCCAAGCTGTCTCGAAACTCCCACCCCACATCCCAGAGCAGGCTTGGTTCACTCTGTGAGGGGTCTCAAAGGGGACAGGGCTTTCCGGACACTGGCATCTAAATCTCTCCCTCTCCTCTGGCTGGAAGGTGGAGTCATCGGAGATCTTGGAAGAGACCTACTCCTAACACGAGGCCCATGTTGCTTTCCCGCTTAGGGACTCTGCTTTTCCACCTATAAGGTTCCTTCTCCAGCTGTTTTCCGGAGTTGCAAGGGGAATGGAGCTTGGCACTGGCACTCCACCGGGCTGCTGCTGGGGTTCCCTGGTAATAAGTTCTGACTTTGCCCTTGAAGTGTCCCAGCCAGAAACAAGTGAGGAAGTAGCTTATGTTGCGTGGGAGAGTTCCACGCAGACCACAGGGAATGTGTTTAAACTTTGTACTTTGCCTCTAGAGTCAGGGCAGAAGGGTCTAAGACTGTCCCGTCTGATAGAAAGACAGTGGTGTGTGCCACATATGTAATTTAAAATGTGGTTAGCATCACATTAAAAAGTAAAAAGAAGGCTGGGCGCGGTGGTTCACACCTGTAATCCCAGCACTTTGGGAGGCCGAGGCAGGAGGATCACCTGGGGTCAGGAGTTCAAGACCAGCCTGGCCAACGTGGTGAAACCCCATCTCTACTAAAAATACAAAAATTAGCCGGGCATGGGAATGGGCATCTGTAATCCCAGCTACTCGGGAGGCTGAGGCAGGAAAATCACTTGAACCCAGGAGACAGAGGTTGCAGTGAGCCAAGATCGTGCCATTGCACTCCAGCCTGGGTTATAACAGTGAGACTCCATCTCAAAAAAAAAAAAAAAAAAAAAAAAGAAAGAAAGAAATAGGTGAAATTAGATGTAAGAATATGTTTGTTGATTGAGTGGTGCCTGGTATGTAATATTAATTTATTACTAAATTCACTCATTCAACAAATGTGCGCCGGGCACCCCCTGTAGCACCGTGCCAGGTGCTGGAAGAGGACAGCGAGCCACACAGACACAGGCCTTGTTCTCACAGCATTTCCGTCTAACAGGATAATTAAATAGGCAATTACAAAACCCCCTTCCACATAAGGGAATGCTTCAGAAACTATAAGGCACCAAAACTTAAAACGTACAATTTAAAATGTTATCTCCAAAAAAGTCCTTTTTTTTTTTTTTGAGACAGAGTTTTGCTCTTGTCACCCAGGCTGAAGTGCAGTGGCATGATCTGGGCTCACTGCAACCTCCACCCCCCCGGGTTTAAACAATTCTCCTGCCTCAGCCTCCTGAGTAGTTGGGATTACAGGTGTGTGCCACCATATCCAGCTACTTTTTTATATTTTTGGCAGAGATGGGGCTTCACCATGTTGGCCAGGCTGGTCTCGAACTCCTGACTTCAAGTGATCCACCTGCCTTGGCCTCCCAAAGTGCTGGGATTACAGGCATGAGCCACCGCGCCCAGCCCAAAAAAGTCCTTTTTAGGCTTCAAGTACTGAATGTGATTTAGCCTATTCTTAGCGGTTGAGAGTCATGACTATGAACCAAGAATCACTGAATCTTGATGTGGAAAAAGACCTAGAGTTCGTCCAAGCCCCTGCTTGTGGAGTATGAGACAGAGGTGCCTTCAGGGCCACTGGGCTGGGTGGACTTATTTGCCCTGGCATGAAACGCCCAGGCTTGAATGAGTTTCTATCTCTTCCTTCTCCCTCAGGCTGTCAGCTGCCTTTTCTGTCTGCTGCAGGTCTCCTGCCTCTGACAGTTTCTAACTGCCTCCTGCATTGTGGTTTCTATCTCTTGTGGACTTTGAAAATAAAAAGGAATGCTTGTTAGAATTTTTTGTAGAGTAAGAGTCAATGGGCTATAAGTGAGCAACTGCCTTATGGGTAGAGTGTGAGGTTAGGGCCGATGGTGTGGCTGCCCAGAGGTCTCTTCTGCTTACTCCTGGCGGTTCTCCAGACATTTGTTCTCGGGTTGAAGGGTAAGGGAGGTGTTGTTCTAAATACATAAGAGGCTTATTAATGGCCAGGCATGCACAGACTAATTGCTTCCTGCTGTTTACACATAATCAATCACGTCCACAGTTTGGAACCACTAAGCAAGCAGCAGAGCAGAGTGGAAAGATGACTGGATGGGAAGGGGCCTCAGAGGTCTGGGCTGCTCCATCCTTCACATTCAAGTCTGTCCTGTCCTAACAAACCAGAACGAAAGCCTCCCTCACTCGCCTGCCTTCTCCCTCTCTCCTCCCCTTCCAGCAAACTGCTGTTCTCACGGCCTCCCCATTTCCTTCTCTCCCGGTCTCCCCTCCACTCTGCTCATCTCCCAGTCCCTGCACAGCCCTAGATCACCTCCATTACAGTCCCTGCACAGCCCATTGTCACCTCCACAGCCCTTCAAACACCACCTGCCCTTGCCCCAGATGATGCCCTGGGCCTCTCCCAGCACCATGGGCCGCCCAGTTGCACAAGTCAGGAAACTGTTCTTTGTCTCTGTGCCTCCTTCTCCACCAGCCACGTGGCCAGGACAGCCCAAGTCATGTTGCTGATACCACCTGGACATGTCTGGAGTGTGTCCATGCTTCCAGCCTGATCTCCATCTCCACCGCCATCAGCCTGCTCTAAGCCTCCCTCACCTCTCACGGGGACAGCTACAGTGGCCACATCCCTGGCCTCTGTGCACACCCTCTGGCCCCTTCCAGCCGCTAGCCACACTGCAGCCAGGAAGCCATTCAGTGCACAAGGTCATGGTCAGCCCTGCCCCTGCCCTCCCCTCCTCTGACCTGATTGGAGCTTTTCCAGAGCTTTCCATCGCTCTCTCTCTGGATAAAGACCCAAATCTTTATCACACCTGCAAGTGCAGGGAGAGAGGGGCGGGGTCTGGCCCCTACCACCTCTCCAGTCCCCGCCTCTCCCTCCCCAAGCTTTCTGGAAGGTACTGTGCCCCTCCTTGCACACGGCCTTTGTCTCTACTGCTCCCTCCTTCAGCCTCTCCTCCCCACCACCCCTCACTCCTCCTTCAGCTTGGCTCAGGCAGCCAGTCCTCAGGGAAGCCACCCGCCCCTGCCCCGCCCCCTGGCCCAAGTCAGCTCTGTCCCAGAGCCTCGTCTGTCTCAGCGGCACTCTTGGCTGGGGCTGGAATCCTACCTGGATTCCTCAGCTGGCTCCTTGATTCTCACCACCCTCCTGGGGAGCAGGGGCCCCTTCTGCTCTCGCTGGACACCAGCTCGTCAGTGCCCGGCCGGCAGGTTGCCCTCCACAAGGGAGGCCCTGGCTCCTCCTTGAGGCCTGGCCCAGCCCTGGAACTGAGGCTGGATTGTCTTTGCCACTGCCTGCCTGTGTGACTTAAGGCAAATCACGTTACCTCTCTGGGGTGCTGCTCCGCATGGGGGAGGGCCTCCAAGGGCTCTCTGCATCTAGGATAAAATGACAGAATAGTCACTATTCTTATTAATCTTAATAACAATCCTTTGAAGCGAGTTCTATTATTATCAACATTGTCTCTATGTAAATGGGGATCAGGCAGGAGGGGGGAACGTGACGTGTCCAAGATGCCACAGCTATTAAGTGGCCAAGTCAGGATTCGCACTCAGATCTGTTTGGTCCCAAAGCCCAAGCACATAGTCATGAGATAGTTGGGGCCAGGCAGCAGGGGGAGGACTCCAAGCATGGAGAAAACCTGGGTGAGGGGCCAGGTCGGCACTGAGGACCGAGCAGGTGCCACGTGGGTGCTGGGTTATTGATTTGGGGGTTACCAGGTGGGTTGGCTGACCCTTCCCTGGCCCCTCAGACTTCTATGGGGAAGGTCAAGGAGCTCATGGCCCCGAGGAGAGGCCGAAATCTCAGTGGGTGGAGCAGGGAGGTTCTGCCAAGTCCACGGGTCAAAGCTGGCTTGACTTCTAAGTGTGAACACGGGGCGGTGCAGGGGCCCTCCCTGGGGACAGCCAGGGTGACAGGGCTCCCAGGAAGCGGCTGAGGAAAGTCTCTAGACTGTTGGGAGGCAGCAAGGAGCTCTGGAGTCAGACCTGGTTTAATAAAAACCCCATGCCTAACCCTTCCTGTGTGCTGTGTGGCTTTGGGAGCTCACTCTACCTCTCTGAGCCTCAGTCCAGATCTATAAAATGGGGCCACCACCCCCTGTCCTTTAGGGTTGTGAAGATTAAAAGGATGCCTGGCACAGAGTTGGTCTTCGGGCTTCACAGGACCTTTGCCCGCCTCTCCCTGCCCAGCCCCAAAGCCGCACCCAGGGAGCAGGAGGGAGAAAGCCTCGGCTGGGTATGAGAGAGAGGAGCGTTAATGTCCCTGATATTCAAAAACAACCGTATCACCACTCTGCCTTGTTGGGGTGACAATGCATCGGCATTCTCACATATGGGAGGAACTCTGTGCACGCCAGTGTTTTCTAGAGAGACAGACAGACAGAACGAGAAGGAGGGGGAGAGAGCGCGCGCGCGCGCGTGTGTGTGTGTGTGTGTGTGTGTGTGTGTGTGTGTATGAGAGAGATGAGAGAGAGAAAGAGCAAGCCAGTGCCTGGGTGACAGTGACTTGTGTGTGGGGGCGGGGATTGTGTGGGTGTGAGTGGGTGGGTGGTGGTGAGGGCACCTCTCTCGAGCAAGGGAATGGTTTAAGGAGAGTGACTTGGTAATACCCAATACCAAATGTATTGAGATGCTAAGCAGCTCTAAAGATCTGTGTCTGATTCTCATTCAAGCTGCCGAGGCAGAGGGCGTGATGGGAGGGGCAATGGCTCCATCACTGCAGGGCAGGTCTGATTTCAGGAGCCAGAGCCAGGATCATGGCCAGCACTGGAGCCACCCCCACCCACACCACCGCGGCCGCCTTCCCAGCCACTGCCACCATTGTCGTCACCACAGGCAGTGCCACACAAGGGATGCTCTGGCCCCTGTGTTAGGCCATGTTGGTTGCTGGACATCAGGGCCTCAGTCCCCAGTGCTGCAAACGAACGGAGGGAATGCCTGCCCAGTGCTCTGCATTTGGAAGTCCCCCTCCCCTGCCTCCTGGGCCCATGTGCTCATCTGTCACATGGGCAAAGAAGACCCCTGTCCCACCTCCATCCCGTTCCATCCACCCACATTTTCTGAGGCCTGACAGTGTGGAGGACCTGTGCTGGGTGCTACATACTGGTGACACATAACCCGCCCTGCAGACACTCCTAATCTGATGGTTCAGACAGACTTATGTAGACCATTTCCTGGCAATGAACAAGCTACTGTAGGCTCCAAAGGAGGGAGAGCTGAACAGTGGTGTGGGCGTGGCGTGTATGGAAGGACGAAGGGAGCGATTGCAGGGCCCAGAGAGGGAAGGTGACTTCTCCCAGGTTGCACAGCCAGCAGCAAATCTGGGACCAGAACCCAATCTCCTGGCTCCTCATCCAGGGCTCTGGCTGCTACCTTGGGCCATCTCACCATGGAGCAAGCAGATCATGGAGAAGGAGCCAGGCTGTGGGTCTGTTCACTTGTCAGCCTCGGGGGAAGGAGGGATAGGGGAGTCTGTGTGCTGATCCCCAGCAGGGCAGGTGGAAAGCAGCAGCCGGAAGGGGCTGTCATCTATGCGGTGCCCAACATGAGCTGGGTGCTTTGCAATTCCCCTCCTCCCCTCACCTCTCACCAAGGCTGCTGGGGCATCACATCATTAGGCTGCCCAGAGTCTCAGAGCAGGGGAGCAACCTGTCCAAGGTCACCCAGCCAGGAAGCAACCGAACTAAGATGTGAACCCTCCAGCCCGCGTATGTCCCCTTGGCCAGAGAACTCCCTGGGGCAGGTTTGTTGGGAGGGAGATAGAGGGTCACTTGGACACTGGAGACCCATGTGGTTCAGGGATCACCTAGGAGCAGTTCTCGGGAGTCTAGTTTAATTTGGATTTGTCCCAAATGCAGGGTTACTCCCTCGGATGCGAGTGCAAGAGGGGGTGAGAGCCCATTTCCGCCCTGACTGCAGCACCCAGGGCCGCTGGGGACCCAGGCTGTCTGGATCCCAGCCGATCTATTGCCAGTCCTGGCCCAAGGTCATTTTTTCCGGGAAGAAAGGCAGCTTCTCAGTCTAGCATGTCCCGCCCTCCCTGGCTGAGCTGGGAGCTGGGGCGAGGCTGAAGGATGTTTCTGGTGAAAGCAGATTACCTCGTAAGGGGGCTGGCTGGGTGGGATGGCACTGTGGTGGCAGGTCCATCAGATGTATCTCCATGGGGATGTTTCCTAGGCTGCTGGTGACAGGCCCCCACCTCAGGCTGTGGAGGAACTGCTGCTGAGGTGGAGACAGTCTGGCCCCATGCCTGGGCTCGGCCTGCCTCCTCTGTGGCCTCACGGGCAGGGGCCCAGCCTCTCTGATGCCTCCTCCCAATAAACCCCAGAAATCGCCCAGGGACCAGCCTTGTTCTAGCTCGAGCCCATCTATTGATTCTGTCCCCTCGTTAACTCCATCACCTCCCTCTCTCCTGGCCACTGCCTCTGGGTGGCGGGGGCAAGGGGGGGTCTTCCTGCCTCCAGGTGCCCCACCTCCAATTTCGCCTCCAACCACAGCCAGGGCCATCTTTCCAAAGCAAGATACTTCCCTTGGCATCACCTGCAGCGATCCCACTGCCTTAGGAGGAAGCCCTGGCTAAGTGGCCTGAGAAACGAAGCCCTTAATGGCCTCTGCTTTGCTCCTCGCAACATCTTGGACTCCTGTCCTTTCTTCTCTGCTCTGGGCTTGCTGTGGGCTACTCCTTCCGCCTGGCACCCTCCCCTCACCCCGCCACTTCCGACAGGGCCTAACTTGTACATCTCCTGCAGATCTCAGCTTGGACATCACCTCCTCCTTGAAGCCTTCCCTGAACTGAACCTCTGAAGTCTGGATGGGTGCCCCCCCAGGCCCCCTGGCCCTCACCCCTTGGTCATCCCATCATCATAATGGCTCACTGCGATCAGACTCTCAGGGGGAGCGGGCTGTGCCAGGCGTTTTGCCCACACTGCCTAATTCCATCCTGGCACTGACTGCAGTGTGGAAAATGCGATTGTTCATCTCACCCACCAAAGTGGGAGTGCCTGATGATCACCCCTTAATGAAGGAGGGAGTTGGGGAGGGATGCACTCAAAGGCAGGCAAGTGGCTGCTGTGGCTGAGTTCAAGGATCCCGACTTAGCCAACACCCCACCCTCACATCCCACCCTGGATATCTTGGCTTCCTGGGGACTGTTCCCAGGTTCTGGGGATGCCAGCTCTGTTCAGATGTTAGCTTAAGACCAGCTCTCCCAGCAGCTCCTCCAGGCCCCAGATCTGAGCCACTTCCCAGGGAATGCAGCCAGGATTCACAGCCCTCTCCTCTCTGGTTCTCCCCCCTCCACTTCCCAGTCCCTCTGCTGGCCCCTAAAGTTACTGGCCTTCCCCAGTCACGACCTCCTGGCTTTCAGATGTCACCTCCTGGTGGTCCTGGATCGCCATCCACACTTCAGAAGCAGCCTCTTGGCCCACCCGGCCTCCAGCTCGCTGGCTCTATGGAGAGGTTTCAGAGAAGGGTTTCTGACCTTGGACCCCACCCAAGGCCCCACCCTGCCCTCAGTCTGCACCTGGGCTTGTTCTGTGGGCCTGACCCCCTACCAGAGCTTGTGAACTCAAACGCGGGAGCTCAGCGCTCTGGCCCCACCTCCTCTCCCCATCACTGCCTAGGGGCTGGGGGCGCTGGGGATGATAAAGTCGTCTGGGAAGAAGGAAGCTAAAGATGTAAAGGAGCCCATGAAATCCCCGTTGACAGCCGTGACCACTGTGGCTCCAGCCATTAAACACGGAGCTTTAACGGCCCCCAAAATACACCTGGGGCGCTTGTCAGCGGCTCCTGCTCATCACATGTGCACATGCGGGCCGTGCACAGGCGTGCGTGCCTACACGGGCTCAGCGAGCAGCACAGAGGGTAGCATGGGAAAGCCCAGGAGGTGGTGCCACAGCCCCTTGGCTTAGGGATGGGATACTGGGGGTGGAGAGCAGACCTCCTTCCATAGTCTGTCCCTCGTGGCCTCCCCACTTCCACGTTACACTTTATATTTTCATAGCACTTGCTCATTCCCTGCATCCTTACAAAAAGGTTTTGATGTCGGTCGGATGCTATTCAGTATCTGCTTTCCTCTTGTTCCTCGGCATAGCCCCCGAGGATGCAGCACACACCTGGCACACAGCAGGCACGGGGCCATGGCTTGCTGCCCTGGTACATCCTGTTGCCTTGGCCATCAGTGAAAACCCCTAAACCAGACCCTCAGGCTTCAGCTGAGTTCCACGTGGTCGTGTTGAAAGCCCTGGATGGGAAGCCCGGGCTCTGGGTCCCGGCCTTGCTGCTAACTTCTGTGTGACCAAGGCCTCCCTGTCTTTGGGCCTCGGTTTCCTTATCTGTAAAGTACCTGTCCTGCCCTGGTCATAGAAGCATCCTGCGGATGGCTGGCTGGAGCCGAGTGGTGGGTGTGGGCAGCCTGTGGTCCCTGCAGCCTGGGCAGAGATGGTGGCCTGGCAGCTGTGGGACTGCAGAGCCTGGGGTGCACTCAGGGCCGAGGAGGCCCTGTGGGGACAGGGTGCTTCCTCTGTGGGCAATCGTTTTTGCTCAGACAGCGCTAGGCTCGAGGCATATGGTAGAGACTCAGGGAAGGTTTCTTAGGCCTGAACTTAGCCACCAAATCCCATTAGAGTGAATCTTCAGGAAACATTCAGGAATCCCTTCTGGGCCATTCCCCACCAAGATAGTACAGTGGCCCAGTTCTTGCTTCTCTCTCCAGCCGAGGGTCTCACCACTCCTACCTCCCCAGCTCCAGGGAAGAACCATTCTGAACTTCCCACTCCTGTCCACCAAGGACTCTCTGGTCCCCTCAGCTGCTTCCCCAGCTGGCGCACTCCTCTCCTGCTTGCCCTGGCCCTTTGCCTGTGAACTCCACTTCAAACGACCCCAACTTCAGGTCTCCACAGCCTTCCCTGCTTCCGTTATCTGGGTCAGGTGTGTCCTTAGAGCTGCCTCAGCCTCCTGAATGTCCACATCACAGAACTCATCACAGCGGCACAGCCATGCTGCGTGGTGTCTCTTCTCCAGGCCCTGGGGACTTGAGGGGGGCCGGGTGGTGACTTCTTCAAGGCTTGGCCTGGCACATGGTTGGGGTCCACACAGGCTTGCTGAGTGAATGAAAGACCCCAGGGCAACTCAAAGTTGGCAGGCTCTGGCACAGGCCCTGGTCATAGCAGCATCCTGTGGATGGCTGTCTGAAACTGAGTGGTGGCTGGGTGGCTTCCCACTGGCTCTGCAGCCACCCAATGCCTGACACGTGTGGTCATTTCTAGGGCCGGGGCTGCTCCGTGGGGCCGCTGCTTTCACGGTGTGCTCCACTGACTGTGCCACAGGCATGCTTGCTTGGGGGCCATCCTTCTAAGACGCCAGGCACGGGGTCGGGTGGGACCCATGGCAACCAATCCCTCCTGGGCACCTTTTCCACACACAGCGGGCCTTTCCCTCACGTCCCCGAGGGCTACAGGGCTCAATCCTTCCATCTCAGTGTGGGTTAACTTTGCCCTCTCCAGGGGTCATCAGTCATAGATAACAGGAGGCAGGGTGTCAAGGACTTTTATGTTTAAGTTCCTGAGTAGAAAACTGCCTGTCATTGCCTGGTGGTGGCCTGTAATAAGACCAAATCCCCAATGGATGATCTGTGATGGAAAAGGTCAGACTAGGGTGGGCAACGGGTGATGGGGGAAAAGCAGGCAGGTCCGGCTGGAAGGGATGGAGACCCCAGGCAGGCCGGCCATGTGGTGACAGCCCCGTCTGGCAGGCCGCCCCCTTGGAAGGGACTGACTATAGGGTTAGGGTCCTGGAAAGGGCAGGCAGAGGTGACCAGAAAAGATTTAAGTGCAGGCAATTGGCAAAGGGCAGGCTCAGGACAGACCTCCAGGCCTGGGGTTGGGGACCCAAGAGGAGAGACTGGAAAAGAGGCTGGGGAGACGGTAGGTGGGGGAAGAACCGCGAGCCAGTTACTTAGCTTCTTGGGCTCCATTTTTCTCATCTGTAAAATGGGGATAATAAGAGTAGCTTCCAGCTGGGCATGGTGGCTCATGCCTGTAATCCTAGCACTTTGGGAGGCCGAGGGAGGTGGATCACTTGAGGCCAGGAGTTCATGACCAGCCTGGCCAACATAGCAAAATGTCGCCTCTACAAAAAATAAAGAGTAGCTTCCTCATAGGGTTGTTCTGAGAATGGAATGAGTTAACATAAATACAGCTCTTCAAACAATGTCTGGCCGGGCACGGTGGCTCACACCTGTAATCCCAGCACTTTGGGAGGCTGAGGCAGGCAGATCACTTGAGGTCAGGAGTTCGAGACCAGCCTGGCCAACATGGTGAAACCCCGTCTCTACCAAAAAATACAAAAATTAGCCAGTCGTGGTGGTGCGCGCCTGTAGTCCCAAATACTTGGGACGCTGAGGCAGCAGAATCACTTGAAGCCGGGAGGCGGAGGTTGCAGTGAGCCGAGATCACAGCACTGTACTCCAGCCTGGGCGACAGAGCAAAACTCTGTCGCAAATCTCTGTCACAAAACAAACAAACATAACCAAACAAACAAAAACAATGCCTGACACGTATTTGCTGTGCCTGTTATTATTAATGACTGCATGTGTTGTTGCAACTGTTACTATTATACGAACAATGGTCATTTATTGAGCAGCAAGGATGTGCTGGGTGCTTTTCATGCAATACCTTACTACACCCTAGGGATAAATACTCATATCCCGCTTTGCAGAGGAGGCCTAGAAGGATGAGGTCAGTTGCCCTGGGTCACACGGCTAGGCAGCAGCAGAGAGATGGGGACCTGGAAGCTGGTGTTTGACCCCAGAGCCCACAGTCAGACCTCTGCCCCAGGGCTCCTTTCTCTGTGCGGCGGTGGGATCTTGGTCTGGCAAGGGTGGGGGCTGACCCAGAGAGCCTGCTGTGAGGGAGCCCCCAGATAGTAACCATCAGTGCTGGGCATGTCTGGGAGGGTGGTTGGGAGGAGGGGCCCCCACTCCCAGGCCCCAGGATAGATGCCCTGCCTGAACCCTCCTTCTACCATCTCATTTCCAACAGGGACTCTTTTAAGAGCAATGACCAGCTTGCTAGCGGACTTCAAAGATAGTATTTGATGAGTTTTAGCAGCTTCAGCAAAACTCTAATTTGAATTTCAGGCGCTGGTGTGTGATTTCCTCGGTGACAGCTCCGAGGGATGCTTGGGCTCGGCTGTCATCCAGTGGGGCTTCTTGCTGGCTGCCGCAGCGCCTGCCTTCCCAAGGAGGAAAGGCGGGAGGCCGAGAGGAGCGGGGCGCCACTGAAGCTGGGGAGGAGAGGCGCAAATAAGTGACAGGGAGAGAGGGGTGTGGAAGGGAGAGGGACATGGGAGCAGATGCAGAGGGACAAGAAAGAGGGAGAGAGAGAGAGAGAGATGGAGAGAGAGGGAGAGAGAGCAGGGGAGGAGAGGTAGAGAGAGGGGTGGAGAGAGAGAGAGAGGGATAGAGAGAGATGGAGAGAGAGCAGGGGAGAGAGAGAAAAAGAGAGATGGAGAAAGAGAGATGGAGAGAGAAGGAGAGAGGGGGAGAGAGAGGGTGAGAGAGAGAGGGAGAGGGTGAGAGAGAGGGAGAGGGAGAGAGAGAGATGGGGGAGAGAGAAGAGATGGAGTGGGGAGAGGGAGAGAGAGAAAGAGAGGGATGGAGAGAGGGAGAGACAGGGAGGAGAAGAGAGAGGGATGGAGAGAGAGAGGGGGAAAGACAGGGAGGGAGAAAGGGGGAGAGGGGGGAAGAGAGAGATGGAGAGAGAGAGAAGGAGAGAGAAATGGAGTGAGAGAGGGAGGGAGAGAGAGAGGGACAGAGAGATGGAGATAGATGGAGAGAGAGAGGGACATGGAAGAAGACGCAGAGGGACAGAGAGAGATGGAGAGAGAGACGGAGAGAGGGAGAGGGGGAAGAGACAGATGGAGGCAGGGGTGCGAGATGGAGAGGGAGGGGGAAGAGAGAGACAGAGATAGAGGGAGACGGAGAGAGACGGAGAGAGAGGGGGAGAGATAGATGGAGGCGGGGGAGAGAGATGGAGAGAGGGGGAGAGAGAGATGGAGATAGAAGGAGACAGAGGGAGAGAGATGGAGAGAGAGAGGAGGAGAGAGATGGAGAGGAAGAGAGAGACAGATGGGGAGAGAGAGAGAGAGAAATGGAGAGAGGGAGAGATGGAAAGAGAGAAAGAGATGGAGAGAGAGATGGAGAGAGAGAGAGCAAGAGAGAGAGATGAAGAGAGAGGAGAAGGCCAGGAGAGAGTCAGAGTATGAGGGTGAGATTGGGGGCCTTGGGGAGAGACAGCAACAGAGAAAGGAGATGGGAAGAGAAGAGCCAGAGGAGAAAAGGCAAGAGACGTGTGGAGAGAGAGATAGAGAGAGACAGGCAGCCAGAGAGAGGCCAGAAGAGACTGACCAGTCAAGCTAGACTGAGGGAGAGGGCAAGAGAGACCCAGATAGACAGAGGGACCCGCAAGGAGCTGGAGGGCAGAGGCAGAGACAGGGATTCAAGGAAGGCTGTGGGGAGCAGTAGAAGGACCAGGAGGGGAGGGAGGCAGAGAGGCAGGCTGAGGACAGCAGGAGCACCTGCTCAGTGCCAGCCCCATGGATGTGGGGCCTGGGGTCCCAGCAGGAACCAGACAGGCAAGATCCAGAGGGCCGTGAGGGGGCCTGGGCTCGGGCATCCAGTGAGAGAAGGAAGTTCAACCTCCCAGCCCCCGTTCCCTCCCACAGCCCCACTCCCACTTCAGCTGTTGCAGAGTCCTGCTCAGCACAGGTCTCCCCACCACCCTGACCCCCAGCATCAGGCAGTTTGCAGGCAGGAGCTCTAATGCCCGAAACCAAGGCTGTATGTGGGAAGGGAGTTTATTTCCCAGGTAGCCCTCCCGCTCTGCCCTACACACACACACACACACACACACACACACACACACACACACACACCTGGGAAGAAGGGAGGAAAGGGAGCGACTGAATGAAAGAGGGATCTAGGAACAAGGAAAAGAGCCACTTCTTTTTCTGAGCCTCAGTTTCCTCCTCTGTAAAAATCAGGATCTGAATAGTGCACATTTATTTATTTATTTATTATTTTCTCTCCTCCTCCCAAATTGGTTTTTTTTTTTTTTTTTTGAGACAGGGTCTTGCTCTATTGCCCAGGCTGGAGCGCAGTGGTGAATTCACAGCTCACTGCAGCCTTGAACTCCTGGGCCCAAGTGATCCTCCCGACTCAGCCTCATGAGTAGCTGGGACTACAAGTATGAACCACCATACTCAGCCTCGAATACTACAAATTTCACAGGACTCTTGGGAGGGTAAAATGAGATGATTTGTGCCAAGGGCTTAGCCCAGCACCTGGTTCAGTGGATTCTGAGCTGAAGGGACACCTCCTCCCCCAAAATGGAACCCAGGTTCTAAGATCGATTTTCCCCACGATGTTGCCTTTCCTGGGGGAAGAGGGAGGCAGTGCCCTTCTCCCTTTCCATCTCCTCCTCCCACGCGGGGCACGGTGAGAAGCCTTCTGGAGGCTGCGCGTACCTTCACGGCCAAGACTCCTCACCCTCAGAGCCCAGCTCTTGGTGTCACAGGCTTTGTAACTGCCATACAGGCTGGCACTCAGTCAGGTGGGTAGGGACTGGGAGAACGAGGGCAGCCCACAGCCCCAGGAAGGGTGAGAGGAAAGGCTGGGGGCAGAACAAGACAAGAATTCTAGAACAGCATTCTCCAGTACGGTAGCCACCAGCCACATGTGGCCACTGAGTGCTTGAAATATAGGTAGTCTAGATAACATACATTATTGAAATTAATTTATCTTGCTTCCTTTTACTCTTCTAATACGGCTATTAGGCAATTTAAAATGACACACGTGGCTCACCTTCTATTTGTAGGGGATGGCACTGTCCCTGTTCTGGAATGTCTGAGTTGGAAGAGTCCTTCCATGCCAGAGACTCCGAGCCTCCACTGCACAGGCGGGGAAACTGAGGCCCAGAAGAGAAAGGGAAAGGAGTGTTCGGAAGGCTTGAGCTTCTGTCTCGGACACAGCCGGAAAGAACAAGCACTGTCTCCTCTGGCGTTAACCGGGCTTACGAGTTCATTAGGACGAGATGAGAAGGCATAATTTCTGAGAGTTCAAACAACTGCCAAGTGGATTAGGAGCTTGAAAAGCCTCCTGCCAGGGCCGTCAGAGGAGCCCGACCTCGGGCCCGAGGCCTCACCAAGGATGGGGCCAGAGAATTAATGACGCCACAGCTGCTGAAGGAGTGTGTTCATTTTACAAGCTGCAAAGGGGGAAAAAAAGGGCGAAGCTGAACTGTGGACAGTTATGAAGTCTGCAGAGCCCTTACCTGGCTTAATAAAAGGCAGAATGAAAGTATTGAACATAAGACCTGCTCCACGCCTAAGCCCTCGGGGGACCCAGCGGAAAGCGGTGTGAAGAATGAAGCCACCGACCTGAGCAGAAGCTGGCTGGGTGACTTCGGGCCAGTCTGTGAGCCTTGCTGGGTGCAGCACCCTCATTTGGGGCCCAGAGTCTAACGGTGCGAGCTTTGGAATCAGACAAACTTGACCACCAGGCTCTGCCACTTCTCAGTGACCCGGAGCCAGGCCCTTAAGTTCTCTGGGGCTCTATTTCCTCATCCAAAAAATGTGCAGAACGCCTAGCTCATGAGTGGCTGGGGCGACCAAGAGGATGACAGACCGTGTTTCGCCACCACCAGGCACGTGCTCAATGCTCTTTCGTGCAGCAAACGTGTATTGGGCACCGCACTGGTCTAGGCACTGGGAACCCAACCATGAACAGTGAACAAGACCGGCCAGGTCCCTGCCCCTGTGGGGCTCTCAGAGACAGGCCAATGAGTAAAGAAATTTATAAAACTTTTTTTTTTTTCTGAGATAGAGTCTGTCTCTGTCACCCAGGCTGGAGTCCAGTGGCGCGATCTCAGCTCACTGCAACTTCCGCCTCTCGGGTTCAAGTGATTCTCATGCCTCAGCCTCCCAAGTAGCTGGGATTACAGACACATGCCATCATATCCGGCTAATTTTTGTATTTTTAGTAGAGATGGGGGTCTGGCCATGTTGGCCATGTTGGTCTCGAACTCCTGACTTGAAGTGATCCACCTGCCTCAGCCTCCCAAAGTGCTGGGATTACAGGCGTGAGCCACCGCACCCGGCCTATAAAACTTTCGATCCTGCTAGGTGCTCTGTAAAAAACTAAGATGGTGAGAGGATGGGGAGTGGCATGGGACTGTTCGGGGGAGTGTGGACAGTGAGGGCTCTGTCCACACTGTCGGAGAAGGTGATGTCTGAGAACCCCAGTGTCAGTGAAGGTCTCTAAAGACTGCAGACCTCAGACTCACCTCACCCCGTGAGTGCTCTGATGCCAGACTCAGGGCTTCGATCCCTGCTCCACCTCCTAATACCTGTATGACCTTGGGCCAGTTACTCTCCAAGACTCCATCTCTTCACTTGTTGAATGGGGAAGACAGCACTTGCCTTGGCTGCTCTGGCCTTCCTGTGAGGACAGCCACGTGGGCAGTCCACACCCAGATGCCGACTCTGACCTGGCCTGTGCTGCTGAAGCAGACACAGATGACCGCAGTAGAGCCTAAGTTCAAGGATCAGGAGAAGGACAGGGTGCAGAAGCAGCACACAGGAGGACTTCCTGGAGGAGGTGACATCTGAGTCACGGCTCAAAGTGTCAAAGTGTCAGCAGGTGTTGGCCAGGAAGAGGCCAGGGAAGGGCCCTCTGGCACGGGGGCAGCACATGCAGAGGCTCAGTGAGGGAAGGGCCACGCTTCCTTCTTGCCTCAGAAATGGGGCTGGGCAGAGCTGGTGGGAGGATGGAGGCTGCTGGTAGTCTGCTGACCTGAGAGCGAAGTCCGAGGCAGGGGAGAGTGAGTGACGAGGCTGGAGAGGTCGGGTCTCAGAGGGCACTGTCTGGCTAAGCTACCAGGGTTTCATCTCAGGCGCTGTGGGGGGTGAGGGTGGGCCACGGCGTGGCCAGATCTGTGTCCTAAATACATCCCTCTGACAGTTGAAGGCCTGTGAAGACAGCTCCAGGGCCCCGTGGGCCTTCCCTTTCCCGGCTCAGGGTCTCTAGGGCCCCCAGCTGCCACTGAGCCATCTCCTTAGCGTGTGCTCTGCTTGTAAACAGCCCCCTGGAAGAGTGATGGATCGTGGCTCTCGGGCGGACAGCCCAGGGCCACCCGTGAGAAAGCTAAGCAGAGGGCCTGTAGGGCCAGCGCATCCACCTCCCCTGAACCACCCCTGCCTCTCCCCGCTCACCCCATCAGTGCCATTGGGATACGATCCTGGCTCCCTCTTACAACAGGTGTGATCTTGGGCAAGTGACTCACTTCTCCATGCCTCAGTCTCCTCGCCTGTAAAATGGGGCAGAAACCTCTCATCATAGGTGTGAGTGAGCTCACAGATCTACAGGCTGTGGCTGATGACATCTGTGGGCCTCTCCTGCCCTCTCCTGCCTGATCCCCATGTGAAGTGGTGGACGGGGCGGGGAAGGGATTTTAGAGGTAGGGAGTCGAGACTGAGAGGGAGCTGGCCTCTCCCAGGATACTCCACACATTAAGGGCATAGTTGGGACCGAGACTCCGTTCTTTTGGCACCTGGCCTAGAATTCTTTCCATTCTATCAGGTTGCCATTAAGATACATCTTTCAGGTTGAGGGACAAGGCTTTAATGGGGGGATTCCAGCATCTTCCAGGCACTGGCGAGAAGGTATACTGAGCTGAACTTGAAGGCCTCCCTTCAACCCCCTCTGCGCCCCACCGTGCCCAAGGGGATCAGTCTATGGAGGCATCTGTGGACTGCGTCTAGACAGGGAGTTGGGGTCAATGGGCTGGCTTTCCCCGAGCTATCTAAATTCACTTGCTGCAACCTTGCTTGGCCCAGTATCAGGAGCCTCCCTGATGTGAAGCCCCTCCCCTGCCCCACTGCCCTCCCTACCCCGGCCCTGGCATGGCTCTGTCATTGGGTATAATGATTGCCTGTTTTATTGACTGTCACTCACTAGATGGTGAACTTCTTAAGGACAATGTCTCTGAGCTTGGTCACCCCTCTGTCCCTAGTACCAGGACTGTGGCCAAATGAGTGTGGCTCCCAGCCCTGACCCTCCTCTCCTTCCCTTAACATGGTGTTGCTCACAATTTTTTCCCAGTATTATTCCCCAGGGATCCTTTTAGGACATCTTCTCCCCTAAACATTTTTATTTTTATTTATTATTATTATTTTTTGAGACAGAGTCTCACTCTGTTGCCCAGGCTGGAGTACGGTGGTGCAATCTCAGCTCACTGCAGTCTCCACCTCCCGGGTTCAAGTGATTCTCCTGCCTCAGCCTCCCGAGCAGCTGGGATTACAGGCATGTACCACCATGCCTGGCTAATTTTTGTATTTTTAGTACAGATGGGGTTTCACCATGTTGCCCAGGCTGGTCTCAAACTCCTGACCTCAAGTGATCCACTTGCCTCGGCCTCCCAAAGTGCTGGGATTACAGGCTTGAGCCACCACGCCCGGCCTCCCCTAAACATTTTAATACTACAGACATACAATATATCTATGTATGTACTACGTATCTACTTTATAAATAAAAAGAGCAAGATTTTTCTTCCCCCAATAGCCAGCCCCCTTGAGAGTCCATGCCTTGACCCCATTCACTTACTTATGAGTCCTGCGCACTGCAAACCTCACTTGCTAGGTTGACTTAATTGCTTCACCCAGTTCATCACCTCTCGGTGGAACATGACGACAGCAAAACCATTGTCAGGGCACATTTGTTGGTCAGATGGGTGTTCTGGGAGCAGGAAGCCAACACAGATCCATCCCCCAGCTCTGCCCAGGCTGTGGGGGCCTGGCCCAGAGGAGGGCGGGGATGGGCTAGTTGAGGTTATGGGAGGGCCAAGTTGGTGGGGCACTTAAAGACTGTCTGATCCAAAGACGCTTTACCGATGGAGAAGGACTGAGGCCAAGGGAGGAATGAGGGGCAGAAGCTGGAGGAGGAGGGTAGAGAATTTGTAACCAGACTGTGGGCCTGTGGAGGGGAGAGGCCACGTCTTACTCCTTCCTGTATTTGGTACTGTGCCTGACATAGGTGGGATGAGCAGGGCGTATTGGATGAATGGATGGACAGATTGACCAAGAAGAGGCACATTGTGACACCTGGTCTCTGCCCCACGCCGAGGAAAGAGTGAGTCTGAGCTGCAGCTCTGGTGATGCCAGGTGCCAGCCTGGACCCAGAAAACGAAAGAGGAACAGTGGATAGGGTGACCTTACCACATGAGTCCAGACTCGCATCTCTCTACCTGGACGTGCAGTAGGCTCTCGAGCTCAGCCCGCATCCCCCGTGTGCTCTGCCTGTCTTCCCTGCCTTCTTGAGGTTGTCCCCAGCATAGCACCTGGCAACTTCATGCTTCCACTTTCAGACCAAAAATCTTGGGAATCATCCTTGAACCTCTTTTTCCTTAAATCCCACATCTAGTCCATCCGGGGACCCGGTGGGCGCCACTTGATCACTCCTCACCGTCACCCGTGTCCACATCATCATTTTCCTTGCTTGGCTAACAAAGGAGCCACTCAGAAATATTTTCTGGCTGTGGCTTCATTTTCATTTTTATGAAATTCTGCTGCGATGAGATATTGCAATGGCCCCTTAAGTAACCTCCCAGCACCACCCCCCAACTCCCCACCTTATATTTATTCTCTGCACAGCAGCTGCAGCACCTCTGCTCAAAACCCTTCACTGGCCACAGCCTTAAAATGACCTAGAAGGCCCTGCATACTCTGGGCCCTGACCACTTTCTCGCTTTCTCTCTTACTACCCTCTCCCATGCCCACTCTGCTCCAGCCACCCTGGCCTCCCAGGCATCCTCAAGCAGGCCGTGCATGTTCCTGCCTCCAGGCCTTTGCACTGGCTGTCCCTCTGCCAGGAACATCCTTCCCTAGACATTCACACGGCCACTCCCTCAAAGCCAGCGGGTCTTTGCTCAAGTCATTGAATCAGCGAGGCCTTTCCTGGCCACCCTGGAATTGCAACATTGCCTGGTACTTCCTGTCTGCCCCCTGCCCCCCAGTTTAATTTTTCTCCCTGGGGCTCACCATTATCTAGCAGACTATATATGTAGTCACTGTCTTGACTCAACTGTGAGCTCCATAAAGGCAGGGACTGCAGTCTGTTCTGTTCACTGTGGGGTCTCCACATCTACAATGCTGTCTGCCCATCATAAGGGAATGAATGAATTCTAGGAGTTTTGGAGCTGGGTGAGGCAGGGGACTGTGCCTGTCTCAGGAAGTCTCAGGCATGGTGGTAGCATTCTTTGCCTCTTCATTTGCTCTTTTTGCTCAGTCACTAGTCACAAGGCCCTGTGGAGGATTAAGACGTGAACATATGCTGGGTGCGGTGGCTCACATCTGTAATCCCAGCACTTTGGAAGGCCAAAGCAGGAGGATCACTTGAGCTCAGTAGTTCGAGACCAGTCTGGGCAACATAGTGCGACCCCGTCTCTACTAAAAATAATAATTAAAAAAAAATTAGCCGAGAGTGGTGGCCCCACCTGTGGTCCCAGCTGCACAGGAAGCTGAGGTATAAGGATCACTTGAGCCTGGGAGATTGGGGCTGCAGCGAGCCACGATGGCGCCGCTGCACTCCAGCTTGGGCGACAGAGACCGTGTCTCAAAAAAAAAAAAAAAAAAAGACACGAACACAGACAAATACTGTATGATTCTACTTCTATGATACACCTAGACCGCTTAATTTCCTAGAGACCGGGTAGAATGGTGGTTGCTGTGGTGGGGTGGGGGGTCGGGGTGGTTCAGGGAGAGGAGAACAGGAAGTGACTGACAACAGATACGAGGCTTCTTTCTGGGGCAAAGAGAATGTTTGATGGATACAGAGCTTCAGTATGAAATGATGAAAAAGTTCTGGAGACAGGTGGTAATGGTGGTTGCACCAGTAAGAATGTACTTAATGCTACTAAACATGACACTTAAAAATGGTTAAAAAGGTAGACTTTGTTACATATATTCTATCAGAAAAAAGTAATAAAAAGACATGAACACACATGACCACATGCTCAATACTATGGGTTGTACAAAGTATGGGAGGAGTCCAGGGAAGGAGTTCCCTGGCTGAGGTCACAGAGGCCACTTTCTGCAGTGGGAGACATTTGGGCTGCGCTTGCAGGACTGGGGGGAAGCTGGGTGGGAAAGGCTGGCAGAGGGTGTGGGTTGGTGGATGGGGAGGAGGATGGCCCTGAGTGTGTGTGCTTGGCTGGGGGTACTCACAGTTCCATGTTGGGAACCTCGAGGCTCTGTGCCCCCTGCCCCCCTGGCAGTCTAGGTCCAGGTCCCCAGGAAGGCCTGTGAGAAAGGTTCTGACCAGAAGATGGGAGTGACCCATGGTGTCCAGGGGATCCTATCCTCAGGGCTCCTGAGTGGTCAGATGAGGAAGCCCTCCCCAAACCTGGGGTTCTGGTCTTGTTCACTCGGCCAGCCAGGCGTAACCCGAGAGACTTGGACTCCAGCATCCCCAGACCTCAGGCCCTGGTTCTCCCAGTTGGCGCCGAGGTCACAGCCTTCCCGAGGTCAGCAGTGGGGATCGCAGCAGACTCACTCCTCTCTGTTGCCTCACGGACACCAGAGGCCAGAGCACCCAGCACAGACTTCTCCTGCAACAGCTGGGTCAGGCCCCAGGAAACTAATAACCACTACTGAGCCCACTCTGGCTGGCATCACACAGGGGCCTTCCTGGGTATTACATTCTACCCCCTACCCTCCCCATTTCACAGAAGATGCAAATAAGGCTCAGAGAGCTTAAATGGCGTGCTCAGTCACAGTGCCGGGCAGCAACAGTGTTGACATTTGACCATCTGACTCCATATCCCTGACTGTCAGCCTGGGGGCTATCCTGGACTCTAGGCTTGCTTCAGACCAGGGCTGGCAGGGATGGCTGAGCCACTGTCCTCGTGCCCTGCTCCTCTCTTGAGCCATGCCCTCCCCTCAGCTCTGGGAAACCTCCCTCTTCCAGGACTAAATGCTTCTGTTACCTGTCCCTTCCAGATCCTCCCAGCTGTGCCACTGGTGGGCACAGCCCCCAAGGCCCACACCCACTAAGGTGAGGGGGCAAGGCTGCCCTGCAGTGAAAGCTGCCACAGGAGGCTCTTTGGTGCTGTTCTCAGCACTGGTGCCACCATCTTGGCCCGAAGAGGGCATGTTTCTCCTCCCAGTTGAGGACAGAGACTTCTTCCAACATCTCTTCCTTGTTCCTTGAGATGGGGCCATGGGGTATCGCTGGGTCTTGTGCATGCAGCACAAAAGCGTTATCAGGACCTTCACTGAGCACGCGCCCCATGGCAGCCCCATGCCAGGCTCTTCTTGTGCCAGATCTTGCTGGGCGCTCCCACTCCACAGGAATGGCATCCTTACAGATGAGAAGCCCAAGGCTCAGAGGTAAGTCACACACCGTGAAAGTGGCAGTCCGAGCCAGAACCCTGGTTTCTCTACTTCCCATGCTACCCAAGGAATCAGAAACGTTGGAGGAGGGCTCGTGGAGGTTATCTAATCCACTTGCGGGGGTGGGGCTGAAAAGACTCGACCAAGGTCACACAGCTCATGAGTGACAATGAATTGCGTCTTCTCATGACTTGCATTGTAAGTGTGCTGGAACTAACACATCTTGTTCCATGATGAAACAAAAATCGTATTTAAGATTACATATGCTTTTAAAAAAAGCATTTACTTGAGGCAAGTGCTTTCTAGAATAGTTGTGAGAAAGCTGCAAACACACAGGCGAGGCTGCCCCCCAGGAGTGGCGTGCCTGGCCCTCTGCCCACTCTCTGGGAGCAGTGGCTGTGCCCAGACAGCATGCTCAGTACAATGCTGTCTTCTCAAAGATAGGGGCCAGCGAAGTGTGTGATGGGAAGTGGGAGGGCTTCCTGGCTGCCTCTGTGGCACTTTCTAATTTCGCTTTAGCTCTGGTCTGGAGCTGGTGAGAAAAAGGAACAAAAATAGGGTATTTTGTATTTATGCCAATGTGACCCTTCCAGTAAAAGCTGGTGACCTTGGGCAAGTTTCTCAATCTTTTTGAGCCTCTATTGACTCCGGGAAATGGGGTCACAGTAGTGTTATTGTAGATTCAGTATCAGGCTCAGTCCTGATGGAGGTAGAGCCCCGGCGCCCAGCCTGGGGGTGACGGGTGGTCAATATAACAGCATCAACGCTGACGAGGATGAAGATGCAGGAGGGTACAGCGGTGATGTGGCTGTCCGAGCGCACAGCCAGGGAGTGAGGGGCAGCCTTCACAAATGAAATGAAGCCTTCTGAACCTCACAGCCAATGTCCACCACTCGTGCGCATCTCCCTCCCGACACTGGGCGCCAACGGAAATGCCACAGGCTTTGCAATCTCACAGATCTGGACTTGAATCTGGACTCAGCCACTTCCTGTGTGACCCTCAACCCCCTGAGCCTTCATCCAGTTCTACGCTGTCCAATAACAGCAGCCACGAAGCTACATGGGACTATTTAAATTAAAACTATGGTTCCTCAGGTGCACTAGACACATTTCAAGTGCCCCACAGTCACACATGACTAGTGGCTCCCACACTGGACAGTGCAGAATGGACCACTGTCGCCATCACAGAGAGTCCTACCGGCCAGTGACTGTGGGTGTGGCACCTGCGTTGGGGATGAGGTACACACGCTCTGGCCCAGAGCAGAAGTCAACAAATGGCGGCTCTCACCCATCCCTGCTGCTAGGACTTGGACTTGAGTCTCCTCACTTGCCTGGCCTAAGAGGCACTTCTCCTTGCCAAGTGGATGTAATGCTGGGTCCAGCTGTTCTCACTGCAGTTCTGCTACTGACTCACCATGTGATGGAACAACCAACTGTCCTGAAACCTCGATTTCTTCATCTGCAAAATAATCATCTGCGCCCCTCCAGCCTCAGAGCACTGCTGCCAGAACCAAGCATGTAAATGACTGAAAGTGCTGTGAAACACAGGGAGGTGTAACAGGCAACACAGCGAGGTGGAGAAAATCCTGCGTTCTGTGTCAAAAACCTGGACTCCAATTCCACCTCTCACTAGCGGAGGAGCCTTGCGTCTAAGGCTGAGGTCTTGTACTGTCTGAATCCCTTTACTGTAAAAAGAGGTAACAATAAAGATACCTAAACTTTCATGTGACTGTAAGGATCAAAAGAAATAATGTATATGAAAGTATCTAAAAATAGCAGAGTGTGATTCCAGAATAAGGCATTATGGGACTACCATTATCCATGCAAAAGGGAGGGCAGGCCAGGGGGGTCACGCATCTGCCGCCTCCTCTCTTTCCGTGCTCCACCTGCCCCACAGCCCTACTCCTACCAGGTGAGGCCTCTGCTGCTCCAAGTCAACTGACCGCTGGTTGGGACAGAAATGGGGACACCATATGGGTAAGACGACCCACTCCTCAGCCATAAAAAAGAATGAGATCATGTCGTTTGCAGGGACATGGATGGAGCTGGAGACCATCATCCTTAGCAAACTAACACAGGAACAGAAAACCAAATAAATACCACATGTTCTCACTTGTTAGTGGGAGCTAAATGATGAGAGCACATGGACACATAGAGGGTACAACACACACTGGGGCCTTTTGGAGGGTGCAGGGTGGGAGGAGGGAGAGGATCAGGAAAAATAACTCATAGGTACTAGGGCTTAATGCCTGGGTGATGAAATAATCTGTACAACCCATTTCTGTGACATGAGTTTACCTATGTAACAAACCTACACTTGGATCCCTGAACTTAAAGTTAAAAAACAAAAGACAACCCATTCTGCTGATGCCAGACCAAGAAACCAACTCCACTGGGGCCACATGGCCCAAGCCGTTGGGAAGCATGAGGTCCAGGAAGCCCCCTGCATTGACTATGCGCCCCCTGCATTGACTGTGTGCCCCCTGGGCTGGAGGGGCTTGTTCCAGGCAGGCTCCACAGTGCCACTGCAGCAGTGGGAGGAGCGCAGGTCTCAGGTCTCCGAAGAGCCCAGACCTACTCCCGATTCTGCTGCTTACCTGCTTATACGAGACATGTCTCCTCAGTGCCAGGATCTCTGGCTGTCCTGCATCTCAAGGAAGAGCCCCAAGTGAGCTGTCAAGTGTCAACTGAGGACCGGTGAGACTGAAGAGCATGGGGTCCAAAAAAGTGACAGGACCCAGGCCACTGATCCCACGCAAGGCAAAGGACATGACCCTTTGCTCCTGGACACATTTCTGGCTGATAAAAGCAGTTTTAGGCCTGCCTGGCTGTCTCAGGCAGGATGGACAGAGGGGACGGGAAAGGAGAGAAAGCAGGTGGAGAGTCCTTGGCTCTATGACAACAGTCCAGGTGTGACAGCAAGGCTGCTTAAGGCATAGGAAGTGGGGATAAGCCACATTTTCTGGCTGATTAGGTATTAAACAAGAAATGCTTAAAAATAGCAAGCGATTTAAGAGCAGACTCTGGAGTCAGACAGCTGGGTTTGGACCCCAGCTATGCTGCTCTCTAGCTACATAGCGACTTCACCTCTCTGGTGTTGGTTTCCTCATCTGTAATGCAGGGATAATAATAGCACCTACATTGTGGAGTTGGTGCTAGAATTCTAAGAAATAAGAATTACTGGGCTGGGCACTGTGGCTCATGCCTGTAATCCCAGCACTTCGGGAGGCCGAGGCAAGTGGATCACCTGAAGTCAGGAATTCAAGACCAGCCTGGCCACCAAGGTGAAACACTGTTTCTACTAAAAATACAAAAACTAGCCAGGTGTGGTGGTGCACACCTGTAATCCCAGCGACCTGGGAGGCTTAGGCAGGAGAATGGTTTGAATCTGGGAGGTGGAGGTTGCAGTGAGCTGAGATCGTGCCACTGCACTCCATCCAACCTGGGCAACAGAGTGAGACTCTGTCTCAAAAAAACAAAAAATTACAAAAAGCTCTTCATCCAGTGTCTAATGTGTGGTAAGCATGTAATAACACCAATTATTAATTAGGATATTTCTTTTTTTTTTTTTTTTTGAGATGGAGTCTCGCTCTGTCTTCTCCAGGCTGGAGCGCAGTGGCGTGATCTCAGCCCACTGTAGCCTCCGCCTCCTGGGTTCAAGTGATTCTCCTGACTCAGCCTCCCAAGTAGCTAAGACTACAGGCATGCACACCACGTCCGGTTAATTTTATATTTTTAGTAGAGATGGGGTTTCACCATGTTGTCCAGGCTGGTCTCGAACTCCTGACCTCAGATGATCCACCTGCCTCGGCTTCCCAAAGTGCTGGGATTATAGGCATGAGCCATCGCGCCTGGCCTATTTCTAAAAAATATTAATCCTCCCCTTCCTTCCCCTACCCATGAAAAAGACCAACCAATCAACCAACTAACCAAAACCCCCACAGAATTTGTAGGCGCTGGGATCTTTAGATCTTGAGTCTGGACAGACATGGGTGTTTTGGTATCTGTTTCTCATTCATATATAATCCTTACCTGGCTGATGAGTCCTGTAGGAGCGGGAGCCAGGCACCATTTTAGCCCGGTAACAGGACCTCACCGAGTCCCAGAACTTCAGGTCTAACATACCTGTGCAATCAGGCACCTGATGTGCCAGGCTAACTGCTGGGTACACACATGTGCATGTAAGAGAGAGAACGAGGATAATGCACAGTCCTTGCCCTTGAAGGGGTCGCAGTTTAGCGGGGGAGGATCTTAAGTCATCCTGTGACAATCTAATAATCCCATGCTCCCAAACCCACATGTGCTCTTGACATCTCTCTCACCCCCACATACTCATACGTGCACACACAGCTCCCGTCTCCTCAGCTCCAGCTCTGCCTTTCTGGAAATGCTGGCTTGGTGTGGACCCTGTGTGGAGCACAGGGGTTTCAACCTTAAACAAAATGAAAAGCTGTTTGGTCCTGTGCCAGCCCCACAGGCCCCCTTCCCCGCCCCCTGCCCATTTTTATCAGACCCTCCTGATGGCAGGGCTGTGAAATCTCCCCTGGAGGGGACCGTGGGTCCCTGGACTGACCTTGTCCTGATGTGTTTGATCAGCTGTTTCTGGCCTGCGCCGGGGGAGCCAGAGCTAGAAGAAGCGGCAGGAATGGTGTTTGATCAGAGCAGCTGGGAGTGGTGGGGCCTGGCTGGCTGCTCTTAGCCTTCTGCTAATCTCTCCTCAGAGGACAAAGAGAGGAGGATGTTCTGACAGACCAGCCCACGGGTAACTTGGGGTACAGCCTCAATGACCAGAGTAAAATGTGGAAGTTGGGTTCTCCCTGAGCCGAGAAATGAAGGTAAGCAAGAGGGGTACCACTTGGTTCTGGCAGAGCCTCTGTGTGCCCAACACAGCACTCCTAACTCTCAGAGAAACGAGGGCAGTAAATAGGATGTGGTCCCTGTCCTCATACTGGTTAGAATCTCAAATGAGATGAAGCTGTGTGAGGATTAAGGCACCAAATACACAACTGCATACCTAGGGTTTCAATCGTGTAGTGGATGGATTTGGGACATCGCAGAATACAGATTTAGGGAGTGACAGGGAAAGCTGGGGGAAGTTCTTTCTCCACGATGGAGCTCAGGATTCTAGCAGCACACGCAACCCCGCCAAGTGCTGGCTCTGCCTCACAAGGTTGCAGACATGAGGTGGATGGAGAGTAGATGGAATAATAGCGTATTCCACGACTGGCTAGAAACAGCTCATACTGAACATGTGGTGCAGAGCTGCAGAATAGGAAGCAGCTCCTCTACCCCTCGGAAGAGAGAGCCCAAGGTCAGAGTCCCTGTCTCCAGCAGTCGGCAGCATCTGCTAAGCATCCACTGAGTACTGCCCAGTCTGAGTATGCGGAGGAGATACAGAGGTCTTGGTGGGCATGGGACCTACACCTGCCCTGGTGAAAGGCCAAAAGGCAGGACAGATGCACGAAGAAAAGCCTGCAGAACATTCTCGAGAACATGAACTTGGTTTCTATGTCCACGTCCTTATAACCTCTTCATCTCTTAATGAAGAGTAAAGACCCTGGTCTAGGACACCTCTGCATGGTGCCAGAGCCCCTTTAACCTTTCACTCCAAACATATCCTGAGCATAAGCCCATGGAGAAAAGGATAGACAGTGAACACTAAAGAGGCAGAGAAGCCAAAAATCACTGCAGACTTAGTTTTTCCATTTCCTTTGCTCTCACTGGATGTGTCCCCACCCAACATTCCCAGGTTTCTGCCTTTACTCAGATGCGACCCCTCTGCTGCAGTGCCAAAGAGCTGAGAGCCCCTGTTCCAACCCGGGAGATCCTGTTCCCCTCGTACCACTGTTCACTCTGGCCTGGGCTGGGGTCTCTGGGTTTATGCCTCCTCTTACCCTGGTTTTGGAGACCCTTGCACTGGGTTTCAGACCCTGTTATCTAAGGACACATTAGGTACCTCCTTTCCAGCTGTCCTCCGCCCCAGCTCTTCCTTTCCAGCTGTCCTCTGCCCCAGCTCTTCCTCCAGGCCCTTCTAAAATATTATAAACACGAACAGCCATCATCTACGAAGCGTCTATACTCTGTCAGATATTTTACAAATGTTAACTTTCTTCTCATAGTCACTGTCAGGAAAAACTCGCCCAAGGTCATCTGTCTAGTAAGACGTGGAGCTAGGAAGCTCCCAAGCCCATGTCTTTTCCACCATGCTGCTCAGCTCCTTCCAGCCAGCCACCTTGGCCCAGAAGATCACTGAGGGAACCCCTCGGCCCACTTCCTAGCTCTGCTCAATCCCACCCGACCTGCAGCAGCACTTCACCTCTGCATACCTTCAAATGTGGCTGGGGCCCAACTGTATGTTACAATTACCCACTGCAGCTGGCTGGGACACTCTCAGGACTACTGCCCAAAATATGACATAGGCAGCTCCAGCCCTGCTCTCCAAAGACAGCACTTAGGCAGGGCAGCATTCCTTCCTAAACACACTTGCGGACTCTGAACAAGGGTCCATCTGTGCTCCTCCAGAACTGTCCCAGGAGGAGTGAGCATAGAACCTCCCCAACTCCTCTGCTCTCTACAGCGTCAGGGCTGCGGGATCTGATGCCCCTCCCCTCGTCTTAAACACTGGGTGCTTCCTGCAGAACTCATGTACATCCCATCCGGGTCTCCTGCTCTTGTTTCCTTGTTGGCTGCCAGCAATGTGACATTTTCAGCTGTTCACCAAGAAAGGTTTAGTTTATTTTACAGCTATCTGCTCAGCACTTTGTACTTTCGGGGCAGTTGAGATTCAAGAGATAAATGAAAAGTGGGTGTTATAAGGATCCCTTAAGGCTTCAGAGAGGAAAAAGACTACATAAAGATACAGGAATGAACATTCTCTTTAGTGCCAGAGAATGCAGGGAATAGTTGACTTGTATGCCAAAAACTTTTATTAATAAAAGCTAAAATTTTCTATATTAAATACATTAAATCCAGACTTTTAATTCATACTACAATTCTGTAGGGCAAGCACAATCATTTTCCCCATTTTATAATAAAGTTGGGAGCCAGGAGGAGGGAGCTCAGAGAGAGTAAGCATCTCACACAATGTCAGTTAGACAGCGGGACAGCTGGATGTACCCAGGCTGGACACCAAAGCCTGTGCTCTGAAACCCTGCCCCACACTTGCTCCCTGGGAAGGAGGGTTTAGGAATGAGACTCCAAGTGACAGGAGAGCTTTCTTTCCCCCAGGCCATGTTAACACGGCCTCAAGGTACACAAATGGCCCCTAGGACACCAGGCCTATCACCCCTGTCCCCGTCTGACACTGGCCCAGAACCAAAGAGAAAGCAGGTCTATAACATCACAGTCCATTTGAAACTCATGTAGCCTAATTTTTTTCAAAGTACATATTTTATTTATATAGATTAGTGCAAGCTGAACAAGAATATGGTTTGTAATCCAATTTATACAGCATCACGTAGTGGCTGACTGTCCTGACCATGGGTGGAAGCAGGGATGACTGGCCTTGGTAAAGGAAATGACACACATTCCCCCAATTTGGAAGCAATCTTAATTAGCCAGGGAGTGATTTTTTTCCTTCAGCAATGTAGTCCCCAAAGTACAGACAGCTTCTCTCTTCCTTATAGGCCGAGTCGTAGGAGTAGCAAGCTTCTAAATTTTGGCTGTGCCTCTGAGCTTTTGGCCTAAGTCCCACCAGCCCCGAAGTTTCCATGACAACAAAACAAGGATCAACGTGCCTCTGACACTCCCTTCAGCCCCAAATTGTTCTCTTACTCCCATTTTCTTCCTACCTCCCAAGTATCACTGGGATACAAGCAGAACAGGGCTGGGGTGCTGAACTCACCCTTGGGGAGGACTCATTATAGCATCCCTGCTTTTTCTCCATTATCGTCCAACTGCCTAGGCCCAATTTAATAACATGCTGCTTGTCTCCCTGGAACCGCCTGCCCACTCTATACATGGTTAGCACTTCCCTCCCTCCTTTGGTCAATGTGCAGCTTCCAGGCACGTGAGGTTTAAACACACACCCGCCACCCCATTAGCCTGTCTTCAGCTTGTGGTGACCACGTCACCAGCCCCCAGGTGAGAGACGAACTCTTAGGGCCCTTCTCACCATTCTCCTTCCTTTCTGGGAGTCCCTGATTGATCCCGCAAATAAAGGGCAGGGACCTGTCTCCCCACTGTCTGTCTGACTGGATTTCTTTTCACCCCTCAGCCCCGATTATCAGAACTCTAGCCCGAGGCATGAAGCTGACATGCCTTCCGTGGTCAGTGGGAAGTCAGAATGCTTCCTCAGAGGAGACCTGGATTGCCAGGGAAACCTGGTACTCACACTGCAGACCCTGCTACTCACTGGGCTCAAAGTTTCCCAAACACAGAGCTTCTGAGACAGAAGAGAGAGGCTGTCTCTTCATGTCTCTTTACCCATAAAATAAATGAGTAAAGACCCCTGGTCCCTGCCCCTCTGGTTCCAGGTTCTGCTCATGCGCGTGGACAGTAGGAGTCTCACCTTCCCGCAGTAATCCTTGCTCTTGAATCATCTATTTGCTGTCTCACTTACCTATGATGGGCAAGTCCTGTTCCATAACTGACCCCAGTATTCCCACAGAATCACACTCCAGCCTGGAATCTGACTGCCTTTCCCTCCTCACCACCTGGGCCATGAGCTCTGGGAGCAGAGGTCTGGGGACCCACCGAACAGATCCATGTGTTCCAAGAAGCCCACAGACTCCTTCACACCACCCCAAAGGCCCCAGAGTTCAGTCCAGAGGCCATAAGGGCAGCAGCCTATGGGGAACGAGGCAAAAACAACACCGGGACCCCATGGAAGCGAGCGATGTGGACTCAGGAGACCACACAAACACTGTCCTCTATGGCAGCAATTCAGGTCTCTTGGGCAGAAGTAGGAGAAAAGGATAAAATGGCCAAGCAGAGTCAGAAAGTTTTCCTATAAGATCCATGCCTGGGCTTCTCTAGAGAGCAAGACTATAAAATCAGTCAGCCAGTGCGGAGCCCACTCAGAGCAGACAGTAAACTCGGGAAGGGCCTTCCCCTCTTTCTTGATGAGAACCAGCACTGGGTTTGTGCCTTCTGCTGAGTGTGCCATGGGCCAGAGGGCATCTGATGGGCCCCGGCAGCCAGTCCACTCTCGGCACAGTAAGCTGCAAATCTGGTGATTCCGAAGAAAACAAATGTCTTGTCACAATCTGGGTCTCCAACAGAAACCTGGCCAGGCGTAGTGGCTCATGTCTGTAATCCTAGCACTTTGGGAGGCCCAGGTGGGAGAACTGCTTGAGCTCAGGAGTTTTAAACCAGCCTGGGCAACATGGCGAGACCCTGTCTCTACAAAAAAAAAAAAAAATACAAAAACTGGCCAGCAGTGGTGGCTCACGCCTGTGGTCCCAGCTACTTGGGAAGCTGTGGCAGGAGGATTGCGTGAGCCCGCAGAGGTTGCAGTGAGCCAAGATCGTGCCACTGTGTTCCAGTCTGGGTGACAGAGCAAGACCCTGTCTCCCCCAAAAAAAGAAACCTGAGAAAGAATTTCTCAGTGCTTGAAAGGATCTGACACTGGAATTCAAAATTTACAGCCCTCTTTATTCCGAAGAGTTTTTTTTGTTGTTGTTTGTTTTTTCTTTTTAAATCACTTCCCTATAAGCCCTCAGCAATTATTTCTAGTTTTGTTTTGGAAGAAATTTTAATGACATTCACTGCAACTCCCAAGCCCCATCCCACAGCTTGTGAGGGGCTGGATTCTCATCCACTGGACTTGGCACCAATGCCCTGTAAGCATGTGCCACTCTACGATCTTTCAGTGGGTTTTCTCTGCTGCCAAGGGGATATTCAGTGCCATTTTGCCACCTGCAGATCAAGAGCTCTCCCAGACTGACAGTTCCCAGGACGGAAAAGCCTTAATACAGGCACAGCCTTGGTAGAAACAGTGAGCCCTTCACATGGAGATGAAGTCTTAAAGGTTTGAGCACCATCTTCTGGTCAGTTTTTGGCTTCTGAGGCCGACTCTGCTTTAGAAACTTCATTTATTTCAGAATGGCAGAACCCTAATTGACAAGCTCAAGTGATCTGCGTATCAAAATGTGGACAGGACCAGAAGCAGGTGTAGTCGGCTGGGATGAGCTGTCCCAGGCTGGCCGGAGCTGGCGCTCGCTGTGGAAACCGTCGGGGCTGCCTGCACAAAGCCGGCAGATGCCAGTCAGTGGGCGTGCTGGTCAGTAAGGCTGTGCCTTCTGCGCTTCAAGCAGGGTGAGACCTGACCATGTGGGAGCAATAAAAGCTTCCATGGTGACCAAACGTGACTCCTGCCTCTGTACATGGCAATGTGAGATGTGCCTGGAAGGAAGGGGTGGCCCCATCTCTGCCAGTGTGGGATCCAACCAGGCACTCCCCTCCACAGGGGGTCAAGCCACACAAGGTGGCAGACAGCCCTGCCTGGTGTGTAAACACCGCACCAGCAGACTCCAACCTTTGGCATGGAAGGAAAAGAAGATAAATGCTAGTCATTCTCTCCAAACGGCAGGAACCTACATCTATCTAATTGCACTTCATAATGGATTCCACAAACCATTAATTATCAGATTATATTTTAGGAACTGAAGATAAAAAAAGCTTTGTGAAATTCAAACTCCAAAGGATCACTGACCTGCAATAAGTGTGGCGGCCTGCGGGAGGTGAGGCAGCAGGCCACTCACAAGGCAGGGAGTGGGCGGCAGCAGAGCCACGGGCAGTCACGGCTGCTCCTCCACACGCAGACAGGACTGCCTGCCTGGTGCTGGTCACAGTCTGCACCATATGACCCAGAGGGAGCCAGGCTGCCAGGTCAGGCAGAGATTTCAGCCTTTGATTAAAGGAAGGGGATGAAGATGACACGGAAGAGCTGTGGGAACCAGGCTTCAGGTAAGGAATACCAAGAAGAATGTCCTGGAAAGGCAGACACTGTCTAGCAGCTGATGCCTCACATTAAACACTTCCAGCAGAAACTCCAGAGCTTTGTTTTGGGAAGAGCTGACAACTGACAAGGGGTTATCAGGCATGGAAATGAGGGCTACCTGTCCTATAGCCATCAATAGGGTGCTGGGCGTGGCCACTGGGTGGAGGGGGAACCCCAGCAGAGGGTAGGATGATAGGACCGAGGAAGGGGCCAAGTGTGCCTCAGGAAGGGGCCTAAGGTCCCCGAATTGTCTGTTGGTGCCCCTCTCACTTTAAATGGCCAGAGGCAGTGGCAGCATTTGCAGCCCCCACTGTGGGCCAAGTCCCATATCTAACTGCCATTCTGCCCACTGAGCGCTGTCGGCACATCATGCCTCCTGGGGTACCCTGGTCACCAGCTCCCATCCCACTGCTCTTTCAGACTCTACTTCTGAAGCCACATGTCACTTGGGGATGGACAGTGTCATAGAGGCCGCAGCAGCGGGCCTGTGGGGAGGGAGGCCTGTCTGCTACAGAGGATGGTGCTGTTGGTGTTGAGGGCTCAGATGCTGTTGGTTCTATGAGAACAACGAAGCTTCCATCTGTTTTCTAGGTGAGACTGTGTTGGTTGGTGCTAAGCTAAGATGCTCACCACTCAGGACAGCCAGGGATGGAGGGCAAAGGGCAAGCTGTGGGGCCTCCTCTCTGCTGCAAACGCAGGAAGGCTCTGCCGGATGAAAGGCTGCTCATTTGGCCTCACCACAGATCAGCGTCACTGTGCCATCCAGCAAGTCCTCCACAGTCACCGCCACGAGCTCAGAGCTGGCCTGAGATGCCTGAGAATCTGGCAACGTCACAAACACCTGCGACCCGGCAAGCTGGGTCTCCTCCAAAGTGATCACCTGCTCTGTCGGGGCCACCGGCTCTGGGGTTTGGATCACCTGAAAGAGAAAGACCGTGAGGCTGCTCTGGGCAGTGTTCACAGTTGGCTCCCTGATTTACATGGTTTTCATCTCATGCTGTAATGATGATATTTATGTTTTCACCTGAGGAGAGCACTTACATGTGCCTAATGGGAAGAGGCAAGTCTAACCCACTGGCGATGCAAAAGAGAAGGCCAGCAAACAATTTAAATAACTGTGCACTAAATTGCTATAATTTTGCTCAGTACGCCATCTCGGGGCGCCCGGACTCTATGATTATACACCAGCGAACACTGGCTCTGTTTTTCACACTGGGCTTTCCTGTCTTGGGATGACACTGCAGAGGTGAGTGCCATGTGAGAGGAATGCCACTGAAGCCAGCTGGTCTCATGCCTGGAACATGGGAATGGGATTGATCCACCACAGGCCCAGGTGGGCCCGGGGCAGCCTCTCTGGACCTCTCGCAGGCTCACAGCCTTCCCAGGAGGCCACACAGTGACCGAGCTTAGGAGGAAGACTGGATGAACTGTGACTCCACGCATTCATTCAGCTCACCAGCCTGGCGGGGCCAGTGCCCCCTTCTCTCCTCCACAGCCCACCTATGTCCCTTCCAAATCTGCATAATCTGTTAGAGACCACCTTTCCAACTGAGAGAGAATGAGTCTGTGGTTAGGCATATCCAATTCCCGCCTAAGCCTCCCAGTTGATGTTTCTAACCCATAGATCCCAGAAGAGCTAGATGCCCTTGATATTTTTAAACTAGAGGCCACAGCCACCTTGCTCTTGAGAATCAGTGAAGAGCAGAGAGCAGGAACAAGTGAGGAAGCCAAGCCCAGCTACTTCTCCGTGCTACAGGAGAGAAGAGATCAACTGTGATGTTCAATCAACAATGATCCAGGATAGTAGTTTTCAAACTGCTTTTCTTTCTTTTTCTTTTAGAAATGGACGCCCCAGCCCCACCTTTTCCCCAAAGGACATATTATCAAGAACCATAATATACAAAAAAGATAAAAGCAGAGCACCTTTGGTTGATATGACAGCAGAGTGTTGGCGGGAGTCCTGCCTACCTGACTTCCCCTCTGTTCCCCAGAGGCCTGTAAGAACCTGGTTTATAAATGACTGATCTGGAACTGGACAGCGGGACAGTCTAACAGACCAAAACCTCAATCAGTTTATGGTTCCTCTCCAACCCACCCACAAATTACTGACGATGGATGGACCTGAATTTATTTTCCTTTTCTGCCCACCCTCTCTGGAGAAGATGGGAAGAAGAGTAAAAGAGGATCTGGGAAGCAAAGGGAAGCTGGATCAAGCTTAGCCCTGAAGCATCAAGAAGAGGTGGTTTTTTTGCCCAGGTAAAGGTGAGAGGCCCAGGTGTGTGCAAGTGTGTACTGTGTCCTGCCCAGAGGCGCTCTCCAAGCACTTCAACTGCAGGCAGTCCCTGCCCAACAAAGTGTTCCTCTGTCTCCGAGGTTTCCCGCAGTTCTCACCACACCCCACGGTGTTTCTCAGGAGGCAGGGACGTATGCACTGGGAGGAGGAACCAAGCTGTTCCTCTTTTGGAAATTATTGTTCCAGGCTCCCTCTACCTAAGGGCCACTTCCCATGTGGCCACCAGGAGACTAGAATTTTCTGTTCTGTTTTGTAAGAAGTCCAGAGAGACTCTCTACAAGATCCCCAAAGAGTATCTCTGGGTACTATGACAGAGCCACCTCTAGAGAAGCCTTAGGAACCATGCATTAGCATTCTAATGTAGCTGATGGCCCCAGAATCACCTGCGCCATCTGTGAGGCTGCGGCCTGGGTTTCCGTGCTCATCACCTTTGGGTGCTCAGATTCCAGGTGACTGTCAAGCTGGGCCTGGGAGGTGAAGAGTTCCCCACAGAGCTCACAGGGGAAGGTGGTCTCTGACTGCTTGAAGTGCTCCGTGGTGACATGGTGCTGCAATGCTCCAGGAAAACGGAAAGTAGCAGCACAGTACAAGCACCGGAATGGCTGGGACCCTGGAGGAGAGGGAGACAGAAGGGGAGGGCTGTGGGTAAAATTCTCTGGGTAAAATGAGAGAAATGAGGGCAGGAAGACATGAGAGGAAAGAGCAATGAGGATCGAGGCTTGGAGGCGGATCCACATTTTGTGGGACACGAACGTTATTCAATCTGGGGGGCCTTAAGAAAAATAATACAAAATGACAAGGACAGAGCCTTGGAAGGGTCCATGCAAGTGAGGGGCCCTGAGATGACAGTTTCATTAGTATCAGATTCAGGCCAAATCTGCCTCTGCAGAAGCCCATTATTCATTCAACTGCAGATAAAGATGCTGACGATACTATATTTCATCAATTCTAAGAAATACATTTTAACATCTCTGAAGTAGGATCAATGGCACCTTATGACTTCTGTGGGCTAAGGCAGTCAGGTGCAATCGTCAATGCGCACACCAACATCAAAAGTGGCAGCATCAAGACTTGCAGAATGGGCATCCACGGCTTGGAAGAAACTCCCTAAGACAGGAATGGTGCACGTTTTTAACTCATGGAAACCAAATGGTTTAGAAGGGAGGAAGTAAGTGATGAAAGGTTAGCTATATTCCCAAAGCAGGAATCAAAAGTAGACTAGTTTTACATAACGCTCAAGAGACCAAAACGAATGGCCTTCAATTCTTGATGGAATCTTATATTATGCGTTCCATCATCAATGTTCTTGATGGCAGAGTAAACACTGTGTGGAAAAACATGCTTGTTGACAATCTGAATTGAACACTACTCTGAGAAGCTGGATTCTTCCCTTAATCAGTTTTTTTATGTTTTCCTTTGTATGTATGCACACTAGAGTGAGTGACATGATAAAAATCTATGTCAAATTAGTCCAAAACAGCACTTAGAATAACGTAGAAATTCTAAGTGATAAGAAAGCACAGTTTAACTGGCAGTAGTTTTTCTTTTTTAATAGTTCCTTAAAAATGGTACATCTTGGCTGGGCGCAGTGGCTCACGCCTGTAATCCCAGCACTTTGGGAGGGTGAGGCGGGCGGATCATGAGGTCAGGAGATCGAGACCATCCTGGCTAACATGATGAAACCCCGTCTCTACTAAAAATACAAAAAAAAAATTAGTCGGGTGTGGTGGTGGGCGCCTGTAGTCCCAGCTACTCGGGAGGCTGAGGCAGGAGAATGGCGTGAACCTGGGAGACGGAGCTTGCAGTGAGCCGAGATCGCGCCACTGCACTCCAGCCTGGGTGACAGAGTGAGACTCCATCTCAAAAAAAAAAAAAAAAAAAAGGTACATCTTATTTAGTCGAGCATGGTGGCAGGCACCTGTAATTCCAGCTACTTGGGAGGCTAAGTCAGGGAGAATTGCTTGAACCCAGGAGATGGAGGTTGCAGTGATCTGAGATCGCACCACTGCACTCCAGGCTGGGTGACAGAGTGAGACTCTGTCTCAAAAAAAAAAAAAATAAAAATGGTATATCTTATAACTGGAATTGTATTTATTTATTTTTAACTGGCACTTTAGATTTGATGAGTATAGCAATAACAATGACAATCACAGTTACGGCTTAAGGGATGCTTATTGATGCCAAGGCCTTCAGTTTTTCACACTACTCTATGAGGCAGGTGCTACAACTGTTCCCATTTTATAGATGAAGAAACCGAGGCACAGGTTTGTTAAGCGATTTAGCCTAGGTTGCAAAGCTGCAAGTGGTGGAGGGGAGATTCAGGCCCCGAGTCTAGCCTAGAAGTATGCTGACAGGGGTACTGACCTGAATGCTGGCACTTGACATGAACCTGCAGCAAGGCTGGCGTGGGGAAGAGCTCCTTACACTGGTCACATTCATGGAACTTCATATCTGTGAAGTGCATAAAGAAAGACGTGCTGGGAAAGAACAAATGGTTGGCTCTCCAAGGCTGAAGAGTAACAGGGCTGGGGTTGGGGCGATGGCCAATACTTAGCAAGCATCTACCAAGTGCCAGGAATCTTATAACCTATGGTATATTTGTACAATCTAGTGGTAAAGAGCATGAGATCTGGATCCAGACTGCCTGGATGCTCAGAGGGATGTTGTGAGAATGAAATGAGAAAATATACACGAGGTGCTTAGCATGGTGTCTTGCACATAGGAAACACTCTGTAACTGACAGCTGTTGTGATTATCACCAAATTTACCTGCAAAGTAGGTTTTAATAACTGCCATCCTGGAGAGAAGGAAACAGGCTCAGAAAAGGGAAGTCACTTGCCAAGGTCATGTAGCTGATAAGTGCTGGAATCAGGATTTCCACTCAGGCCTGCCTACCACTGAGGCTGACACCCTTCCCAGGTGCCCCAACAAGCTCTCACTCAGGGCTGGTGGGAGCTTACACTGCGCTACGCTTCCAGGTTTGAGAACCACTGCCACTCAAGCTGCTGCTACTGACTGCTGCTGCTACGGACAGGTGCGCTGGGGCAGAACAAAGGCAATGACCACTGCACATCACACTAGACTATTAGAAGTGGGGATTTCTGGTGGGGCCCAGGAGGCTACACCATCAAGCCCCTCCCGCTCTCTGCCGGCGGTACCCAAACTCCACCTGCATGTTCTGCTTTGATGTGCTTCTTGTGCTCAATGGTGTTGGGGAAGGTTTTGTCACAGGAGCTGCACTGGAGTGATGAGAACTTGGAAGATCGGTGGTTCTGAGCAGCAAATACGTCAGGGTGGTGGGTTCGATTGTGGTACCACAAACCAGACAATTGCTGCAAGGAATTTGGCAAGTGTTAGGTCTTAGAAAGTTCCAGCAAGCTGGAGAGCTCACGAGGCTCTCATGAGAGAAAGAAATACATTTTTGGATAAGCTGACGTTTCTAGTATCACACACTCTTACCTATCACACCGGGTGCTGATGTGAGGAAAGCCTGGTGTTTGTGAGAATAAGGCAACTACATATTCATTGAGAAGCCACTACAGGGCAGGGCTCCCAGGAGTCCTTCACATGCCCATTCCTTACAACAAGCCTATGAGGGAGGTGTTAGAGTCTTCCTAGCGAGCTGGAAGCGGAGACACCGAGGGGTTAAATGACTAATCATAACATCAGGAGATAGCAGGACCAGGATTCAGGCCCAGGCCTTCCAACTGTAACACCTGTGTGCTTTACCAGTGAGCTGCATCTCACGGCTTCCCAGGGAGCTGGGGCACAGCCGAGCAAGCTGCTGGAGGAGTGCACACTGCCCTTGCCCCATAAGCAAGAGTCCCTCTCCTTCCCAGGTTCCAGAGCAGCACTGGGAATACTTTCCCTACCATTCCACGCCATCCTAGGGCTCAAGCCCAGGTCTCCGTTCTGGAACGCTAATGTCACAACATGAGCGTTGGCACAAAGTTAGCTCTCAGTTTTTGCTGAGCTAAAGTTAGCAGTTATGCTTCTTTGTCTATACCCAAATCTTATAGATGCCACAAGGACCATTCTTTTCTCTGTAGTTTTAAAGCTTCTGACAGATGCAGTTTCTTTTTAGTTCTATATGGGGCTTCACTTTAATTACATATCAAATCCTAAGGTAAAAAGGCTGAGCCCTTCCCTGTGAGTTAAACAAACACAAACTAATTGTGCCAAACAAGGTAATTCCAGGTAGTGTTCCACTCCCCATTGCCGCTGTCATGCCCATTGACACATGGGAGCAATGGGTTCTATGGAAGGTGAGCATCCAAGGGGAAAAGCAGCATTAGTTCACGACAAGTCTGCTGTCTAAGAGAAGAAGCGTATGAACTCTCTGCTCCAATAATGAGCTCCCCCACTGCAGCACTCCGACCAGATCTCCTTAGAGAATCTGGATCACAAGCTGCATCCTTCATGAGAATCAGCCAATTGTCACATCCTGGATACAAGATATGATCTGCAAGCCACCAACCCGGGCATCAGGGAAGATCAAATGGAGAGTAGGTCAGGGGTGAGGGGAAGAGCTCCCAGTGGCACCTGAGGTCACCTGGTAGGCCTTGTTGCAGATCCCGCAGCTGAAGGGCTTCCCTCCAACGTGGGTCACCACGTGCCGCTCCAGCATGGACGGGGCACTGAAGATCTTCCCACACGTGGGGCAGGGGTGGTACTCTTTGGAGTGCACCTCATGGATGTGCTTCCGGTGATCCTGAAGAGTGGGGAAACTCATCCTGCACTTCTTGCAGTCATAAGGATCTTCTATGTCTAGTTTCACGGGACATCCATGAGAGGAAGAGGTGGAGAGGAAAAGAAAACACCATAGGCAGCCATCAGTGAAACACTGGTTGTTGTGTACAGCAACAAATGTGAAGACTCTGCTTTACGTAACAGGCAGGGTCATAGACTCCAAGGATCAGAAATCAGTGTAGCAGTCACCTGACTACCCCCACCTTCATCCTAGGAGGTGGGATTCCTCCAGGGTTTCAAGACTAACTGTCTCTGCAGCATCATGTAGTTCATCTCCATTCCTCATTTTACATCTTTCAAGTTAAATTACACTTTATCACTTTCCAGGGAGTTTCACCCTGGCTCGTCCGGTTTGCAGTGGGCATTCTGGAGTTTTCTAATTCTCTGTAGAGGATTTCCAGCACACTCCCCAGAGCATCACTAATTCCTTTGTCATCAACAGCACAAGTGGAGGGATGCTTCCTTTCTCCCCACTTTAGATTCAACAATAAAAACATTAGCATAATGAGTGCTCTATGACAGGCATATTCTAAGTGCTTTATGTAAATTAACTCACTTAATCCTTCCAATAACTCTATGAGTAGGTTCTATTATCATCCCTATTTTACAGATTAGGAAAATCAAGGTTTAGAGTGGTAAGGCAGTATCTTGCCCATGGGCATAATTAAGAAATGGCTGAACTGAGTAACAATCCCATCTCTCACTCCCAAATCCATGCTGTCTGAGAGCTACATGCTTGATTGGATATGCCAACCCTTCAGTGAGACCCCCACAATAAAACTAGTAGTGATGAAGAATACATTTGCCATCCTATGGCAGGAAACTTTGGTCTTTTTCTTAAAGCAACAGAAATCAAAATGTTTTAATAAAATCCTTTGCTCACAAGCCAATCTTTTATGTGCATTGATTCAGATTAATTCAGGAATTCTGACATGCAGCAGCATTCGGTATCACTAACTAGTTTCCCTGTGGACATGAGCTCTTGAAATCTCAGTTTTACACCATCTTCTAAGACACTTTGATGCAGCTTTCCATAAGCAATGATGTGGTTCTATGAAACAGGCAAGAAATGGGAGAGAGAGGGGGGCCTGGATGCTAGGCCTGCCACGGATGATATAGTTTAGGGTATGGCAAAGTATTCTGGGTCTTCTCCCTTCTGAAAGTTAATAACGTCTTCCCCTTTCCTGACGCCCAGGTAATGCTACTGGGAAAGGAAGACTAAAGCAGAATGTCATTAAAGAGGTCAAGAGGACATCAAAATTGTGGCACTGGATCCAAGCCAAATCTCTCATCTGGAAGCCTACTGTAACTGGATTTTTTTGGACAGCCTTGTAAACTGCTTGGAGGGAAAGGGCCACACTTTATTTTCCCCCTGCATCACCCAATGTCTAGCCACATGCTGGGCACATAGGAGCTTTGGCAAAGTCCTTGCTGGCTGGCTGACGACAGACTTGGATGTGTTTACATAAAGCGCACTTGTGAGACACTGTATCTGCCAACAGCTAGAAACTGGTGTGTGGGAAGAGGGGTGGGGAGGGAAGAAGAGCATGTGAGATGCAGGGCATGCAAAAAAGACAAGTTTTGATGGTGACAAATGGCATCTGAGAGGGTTGCTCTTGTCACCAATAATAACAGTATCTGGCATTACTGAGCATTTTCTATGTGTCAGGCGTGGAGTGTCATGCTTTACATGTGGTCTCATTTAATTCTAATTACAATCCAAGGTGGTGGCATTATTATTTGCTCTAGTTTACAGAAGGGGCATAAGAGGCTTAGAATGGTAAATAAATTTGTTTAAGGCCTCAAGAAAAGTAAGCGTCAGGGTCAAGATTCAAGTCCAAGCCTGTGTGATTCCAGACTCCAAGCTCTTAACTCCCCTGCTGTGCTGTGCTGTGCTGATTACACTCCTGCTGCAACAAGAGAGGCTGAAGAAAATGTGATGTGGCCAGCCAAATGCCACGCTGGTGATTTCCCGATGGTGTAATGAGGAATCACGGAATTTCTTTGTCCTTCCTTCCTGTGTGTGTATATATATGTGTGTGTGCCCACGCATGCACGCATGCCGAATAAAAGTGTGTTTCTGTCTGTGTCAGTTCTCACAGAAGGGGAGAAAGACAGGGGCAGACCCCACTAACTGTGTGAAATACAATGGCATTCGGAAGAGAATGCTGGGCGGGAGGTTTTTAAGGAAACATAACCAAGGCTCACTTACGATGGTAGACATTAACTCAGAAAGTGTCTGGACTGCTCCTACGGGAAAAGGCAAATGGAAGATGGCCTAATGGAAATATTCCAGTGCTCTGTGAGCCAATCAGTTACAGAGGCTTTCTCCTTCAAACAAAATTTGCCTCTGTTGGACAAATGGTGCCAGGTGGGCTAAAAAGGAAGACAGGGAAACAGCCTGGCCAGAGAGAAATAAGCGTTATATGAGATACCTTAAAATGAGATTCTTCCTGAACTAGGAATGAGGGACTCTGGGTTTTGCAGCGGAACAGGTAAGGGGAATGCACTGAATGGAGCTTGGGTCTGATGGATTGACACCTCTGCTGCAATTGACACGCTTTCCCAGTGCCAGGCTGGCACTGAGGGCTTGAGATCCACAGTCTCTACATACTGTGAAAGGTGTGCAGATGGATGGAGAGGCCATTGGCTTGCCGGAAGCCCTTGCCACAGTCTCTGCAGACATAGGGCTTGTCCCCGGTGTGGGTCCTCACGTGGCGGGACAGCTCAATAGACTGGGCAAACACAGCATCACAGTACTGGCATGCATACATTTTCCCTGCAAATACACAGGAGCTTATTAGAGTCAGCACTAAAAATTTATGGCATTGCTACAAACAAAATCTAATTCTACAGCACGTATCAGGGAAATATCATCTGGTAGATGACATTAAAACATCAGGCAGTCTGCAATACGCTGGGTGAGATCTGAGCCGTCTCATCACATGGCACCTCACAAACACAGCCGATCACACGGAAGGTGCGAGTGTGGTTGGACAAAGGAATAAGGACGGAGTTCTCACTGCACAAGACAACCCATCTGTTCATCAGCCACCACAAGTATGGAAGAGCGCACTCTACTCCCGCAACCAGATACATCCCTGTGCCCAGAAACACGTGGGTTTGGATCCCCTGGCGACATACACAGTGTGGATCTGCAACTGTGCACAAAGGTGAGAGTCGTGGATTCAGAGAGGAATGAAAGCCTTCTTCCAGTTGCTTGCTATAAAGTTATTATGTGTCCCTTGGTTTCTATATTTTCACATGCATATAATGAGGATATAATGACCAGACTGCCAAAGATTATTAGAAAATGTGGATAAAGAACAAGTCTGGAGAACTGGCATTTGTGAGAAATGCTAGACCAACTGAACCTCCAAGCTCCCTTATGGGCCGAGAGAGCAAGCAGGGCAATTGGTGAGGCATGGCACCAGAACCCCGGATCCCAGGGTCTACCACAACTAGGACAAGCAGCCTCATTTTCAGTGTTTATGTATTGGGCTGCAAAATAAGACTCTGTTAGGAAAAAAAGGGTTCCTTGAATGGAGAGGTGAAATTATTGAGGAGCCTGGGGCTTAGTCCTTGACGTTCTCAATCCTGTTTCTAGATGATCTCTCAGTGCCTCATACACCATCTGTAATGGATGCCTCCTGTAGTATAGCTCCAGCTCCCACCTTTCCCCAGAACTCCAGACCCATATGTCCAACTCCCCACTGCTCTGCTCTCCACCTGGATGTCTAGTAGGTATCTCCCAATGCATCAAATAGGCCACTATTTGTGGTAATTTGTTACAGCAGCAGGATAAACTAACATACTTCACATAAAAACCCAAAGTCCTCATCTGTTTTGGGAGCTCAAAACAGAGCTTCCAATGCTCTATCCCCATCACCCCCACAGCCACCATCCACACACTCCCCCATCTCAGTAAATGGCAGCATCATTCACTCAGTTGCTCATGGCAAAGCCCCAAAGCCTTCAGTTCCTTTAGTTCCTTTCTTTCCTTCACATCCCACATCTAATCCACCATGAGTCCTGTTACCTCCATTTTCAAAAATATATCCTAAAACTTGAACGTTCTTTACAACCCCCACTAACACAACTCTAGTTGAAAACTATATCACCTCTACACTGAACGGCTCTAACAGCCTTCTGTTTCCCTCTTGCCCTACTATAGCTCATTGTCTGGAGTGGCCAGAATTAACTTCTGAAAATGTAAATTAGATCCTACCACTCATTCTCTGCTCAAAACCCTTCTATGGCTTCATGTGGTAGGCGGGATAATGGCCCCCAAAGATGTCCATGTCCTAATTCCTCAAACCTGTGTGTATGTTACCATACATGGCAAAAGGACTTTGTGAATGTGACTGGATTAAGGATCTTGTGATGGGGGGGTTGTCTTGGATTATCCAGGTGGGCTCAATGTAATCGCAAGGGTCCTCATAAGAGGGAGGAAGAAGAGTCAGAAAAGGAGGTATGGTGATGGAGGCAGAGGTTGGGGTGATGTGGCCAAGAGCCAGGGAATGCGGGCAACGTCTAGGGGCTGGAAAGGCAAGGAATGAGATCTCCCCTAGAGCCTCCAGAAGGAACTCTGCCGAAAGCTTGAATTTAGCCTCACAAGACCCATCTTGGATTGCTATCCTCCAGAATGGTAAAAGAGTATATTTGGGTTGTTTTAGGCCAGCATTTGTGGTAATTTGTTACAGCAGCAGGATAAACTAACACACTTCACATAAAAACCAAAAGTCCTCACCTTGGCTTATAAGACCCTCCAAGGTCCAGCCTTTGCTAGCATCTCTGGCCTTATCTCTTAATGCTCTTCCTCGTTGACTCTGCTTTAGCCCCTTCTAGTTTTCTGTGGTCTCTCATGCAGGTAAAGCTCGTTTCCACCGGGGAGGCAGCTCTGCACTTGGGATGCTCTCCTTCTAGGTCTTTCACTGGCTCCATCTCTCACTTTGTTTAGGTTTCTCCACAAATGCCATCTTGCAGAGGCCTTCTCTGATGATACAAATAGTGTCCCCCAAGCCCTGTCCTCTCACTGTGTACCCTGCTTTATGCTTCTTCATAGTAATAACTGCTATCTAAATTTATACTATATATTTATTTGTTTATTGTCAGTTTTACCCAGTGGGATGTAAGTCCCATGACAGGGGTGCGTATATTTATAATACCCCATGTCTGAAACAATGCTTGTGAAATTCATTCACTCAGCAAATATCGATTGAAGGCCTACTATTGCCAAGTACTAGTCTAAGTCCCATGGATACAGCAGTGGGAAAAGAAAGACTAACAGCTTGCCACTCATGACACTTGCATTCTAACAGGGAAGACTAAGCAGAAATAAATTACTAAAGTAGATACTACATCATATGAGAAGCACTATGGGAGAAAAATACTGCATGGAAACCAGGGGTGGGGTGCTGAGACCTTACAGAGGGTGGCCCAGGAAGGGACTCACAGAGAAGGTAAGTGTGAGTAAGGTCTCAAAGGAGGTGAGGAAGTGAAACGTGAGATGTCTGATGGGAAGCGTCCCCAGCAAAGGGAAGGGTAAGAATAAAGGTCCTGGAGCAGGTGCCTGCGGGCCTGAGGCCTGGCCAGAAAGCTAAAATGTGCAGGCCTAAGAGATGAAGTCAGAGAGGAATCAGGAACCTTAATCACAGAGGGCTGAGGAGGCTATCTTAAGGACTCTGGATTTCACAACTGAGTGGGACAAAAAGCCATTGAAGAATTTGGAGCAGAGAAGTGACCTGATAGGGTTTATTTATTTTTTAAGTATCAAGAGAAATGGTGAAAGCAAGACCAGCTTTGAGGCTACTGTGACAGTCCACGTCAAACAATGGTTACCTTATAATTTATAAAGAAATGCTCTAAACAATAGGTAGGCTGCTCCAAAAAGCCTTCCCTGACAATGTACCTCCTCCTCCCCTCCAACTGGACTAGAGACCCCTTCTCCATCCTTCCTCATCACGCTGGTGTTATTCCACATTATACCGCTGACAATCTGCATTGTAACGGGCGCTACACTCCCCTCTCCCTGCCCCCTTCAGGCCACAAGCTATGGGCACACAGGAATCCCAGCTCAGCCACTCGGCATCTGCCACTGTCTGATCCACGGTAGGTGCTTAGTCAGGGTCCTTCTCATGCTTGAACTCGACTTCAAAGCTCAAATAATTTTATGTAAATTCTCTATAACTTTTAATGGCAAAAACCACAATGACTTTTCCACAAGACCTAATATAAAGTCATAGGAGGTTAGCCAGTCTCTTTCAGAAGCTCTCCCAGTAAGCAGTTTACGTCTGTGCACAGAGCTATTCCCAGTCGTCTGTTTGCCTAGAGGTTGTGCATTGTTTTTTAATTTTATTTATTATTATTATTATTTTTGAGACGGAGTCTCACTCTGTTGCCCAGGCTGGAGTGCAGTGGCACAATCTCAGCTCACTGCAAGTTCCACCTCCCAGGTTCACACCATTCTCCTGCCTCAGCCTCCCGAGTAGCTGAGACTCCAGGTGCCCGCCACCACGCCTGGCTAATTTTTTGTATTTTTTAGTACAGATGGGGTTTCACCATGTTAGCCAGGATGGTCTCAATCTCCTGACCTTGTGATCCGCCTGCCTCAGCCTTATTTTTTTTTTGATACTTAACTTTTGTGGGTACACAGTAGGTGTATATATTCACAAGGTACATGTGATGTTGTGCTGCAGGCATGCAATATGAAATAACTGCATCAGGGAGAATGAGAGATCCATCCCCTCCAGCATTTATCCTCTGTGTAATAAATAATCCAAATTACACTGTATTTAAAATGTACAATTAAGTTATTATTGACTTTAGTCACCCTGTTGTGCTATCAAATTGTTTTGTTTTTGAGATATATATCACACCTAATCCAAATGGGGTTTAGGCAGTTCGCAGTGAAAGTCTGCAGGAGAAATGAACTGTGCCCCGCCTTACCTTCTGAGTGCTTCTTCTTGGTGTGATAGGCCAGGGCGGAGGCCTGGGTGAAGGTCATGAGGCAGTGCTTGCACATGAACGGGCGGTCCCCGGTGTGAAGGCGAAGGTGGTTCTTCAGGGTGGAATTGGCTGCAAACTTCGCCCCACACTCTTCACAGGAGAAAGGCTTCTCATCGAAGTGCTCTGTCAGCTTATGGTACTGCATGCCTAGGGAAGCCAAGCACACCAGAGGCCAGAAGAGATGCTACTAATCAGTGTTAGGAATCTAGCACAGGATACCAAGAGCACTGTCTCAGCCCAGGCCTCCAGAGGAAGCACAGCATGAAGCCCAGGGTGCCAGGCCACGCTGGTACCCACTGCACACAGCCACGCTGCTCTCTACCCACCAACTGGCATCCCCAAAGTCACCTGGCCTTACTCCTGGATGGAGCCGGTGGAAAGTAATGCTGGGCTTATCTTCCCCATTCCCTTCTCTCTCTTAAATAGGACCCTGCCACCCAGAACTAGGGAAACTCAACTTGCTTTTATATTTCATTAGGTTTATCCAAATTCTAGGACAAGGGAAACCATTCTGACTGTACATCCCATGATTTCCATGACTCTTGTTTGTTACCAAGAAACAAGTGGCACATGGAAACATGAGCCAGGTATTAAGTAGCTGGTTATCACTGTAAACAGTAAGAGCTGTAAGTTATTGTGTGCTCACTCTGTTACAGGCAGTGCACTGGTGTTTAGCTCTGTTACCTTAAGTCTTCATAACAATGCAACAGAGTAAGTGGTATCAGGGTGCTGCTTTAATAGATTTGGGGAAATCAAAGCTCGGGGGCTGATTCCAAAGCCCATGCTCTTAAAATATTACCCTGCCTCTGTAGGAACCTGCTCTATTTTCTAAGCCCACCCACAGCCCTCACTGCACACAACTAAGGGAAAGGCCTGAAATCCAAGCTATAAAACCCACAATTATCATCCTCTGTTCCTTTGCCTTCTTGAACGTACCTGAGGCATGGGCAAATTCTCTGCCACAGAGGTCACATGTCACTGGAAGCCTCTTCTTCTTCTTCTTGGGGGCATCGGGCTCTCCACCTGCACCATGGGCCTCCAGCTGATGTTTGTCCAGCTCTTTCTTTGAATCCTTGGTCTCACTGCACTCCTTACACTGCACCTGTTTGCTCTTAGCCACCCGGCAGCGCTTCATGTGCACCTTTAGGCGGCAGTAGAAATGGAAGCTTTTGTCGCAGGCCTTACAGATGAAGCTCTTCTTGGCAGGGTCTGGGGAGGCTGAAGCCTCTTTCTCTTGCTGTCCTGGCAAGGAACCAGTCTCTCCTTGATCATTCTGTTCCCCAGGCTGGCTGTCTTCTTTGGCTGCCTTTTCATCTTCTTTGTTGTTGGCTTCAAGGTGAAATTTATTACTCACCTTCCACGTTTCCTTCTCTCCATCTTCCTTAGTAAGGACACCTGCATAAAAGAGACATCTCGTGGCTCTGCGAACTCTCTGTTTCTATTTTGCTTTATAACGTTTCTAACACACTTCTTACAGGAGACTAGAGACTACTTGAGATCCTCAAAAACACTCTGAAGTAATATCATTGTCCTCCTTACTTTCCAATAAACACAAAGAACATTTTCCCCCTATGTCTCATGACTTTTTTAGGTATTCAGAGCATATAAAATGAATACGTAACTTAAGGTTGTGATAAACTATGATATGAAATGCTGTCTCTTTCTTCAAGAAACAACCTGGTGTGCTGATAGGAACCCCCTTCCCACCTGGCCCGTTCCTTACCAATGTATGCCAACTCCTGCATGACAGGCTGCAGGCCTGGAAAAGATTTGTGGACACTGCACAGGAGGTGGCATATTTCAATGGCCGGGACTGATTTTTCCATGGCTCTGCTCAGCACTGCTCTCAGGGAAGCTTCAGGGCTGGCTGTCTCAGAGGGAATGCTCAGAATCTAAATGAATACCAGGAGACAAAGGTGTGGGGTTAATCTCAGCAGATTTTCCCCATGGTTTTCAACCTAAAAAAAAAAAAAAAAAGCTAATCCCAGGAAGGCACTGCTCCATTTATAAGCAGTTTATACATCGCCTTGTGATAAATGTAGTGGACAGCTCTGTTTGCCAAAGAACAGGAAAACTAACAAAACAGAAAAAAAGAAGCATGTATCCAGATAAATGTGCAAATACAAAGAAGATACATGCAGGGAAGCATAAAGCATTTTCTATAAGAAATAGCTTATCAGAAACTAGGAGTCTCCCAAAGACCTTTTCTGGATCTTAATACTAAAAGCTTGAAAAGCTATAGGATTTGGTCGTCGGTGTGTCTGTCTTGAAAATCAGAATAAGTTTTCATAATATATAATTGTCTCAATGTCTGGAAGTAATTCTGCATGATCAGTGGCTTCATATTTTTAGATACTTAGATGTACCCATTTAAACGTCATTTTCTTTCACAAAGAAACTCAGCGTTTTAAAGAAGGTTCAAATAGAAGCTTTAAAGAGTCCAAGAATATTATTTCAAAGCCGTCGTCCTCTTTCAGAATGTTAGAGCTATCAGCAGAAAGAGTCGGTACACTGAGAAAATAAAGCTAAACCATCCACAGATGGCCAAACGGAATTTTCATTTTGGAAGATATTTTATTTCTGCTCTTTTCAAGTCTATCTAAATAAACCTGATGTCCCTGGAGGCAGGCATGAGACTAATTAGTGAGGCTAAAACTGATCAACTGCAGAAGCCCCATCTCTGAAGTTACGGCGTGCTGGAGAGAGTCTAACAGATGAGTCTTTCCTCTGAAGCCCCACAGAAATGTGTGCCATCTTCTTCCCATCTGAGTCAGACCAACATGTGGCTGTCACCTGCACAGAGAGAGTTAGAAACCCGCCCTTCTGCACACCTTCCACACCTACCTGAATCAAAAGGGCACTACATTTGAATCTGTAGTTTAATTTCATGTTCCTTTCTTGTTCTTCCCCACTCAGGATGCAAATGATCCTGGGCTGGACACCCATGAGTTCCCCCAGTCCCCACTTGGTATTCCTGGGATGCTGGCCACATTGTGTGAAGGCTTACAGAAAATGAGCTGGCACTATTTGCTACCCAATATGGGCAAAAGCTTTGTTTTATCTATGTTTATCTTGGCTCTTTCTAGAAGCCAGAATAGAACATGTAATAAGACCAGTTTTACTTTCCTTCATCTGAGAGAAGCTGCTTCTTAGAACAGGTAAGAGAACAGTATCATGGCTCCAGGGGATACCAGGTTTAGATAAATGGAATAAATTGGTTTGAGTCATAGGAAGCTGGGTTCAAATCCTGACATCATCTCCTCCCTGCCAGAGCATTTTAGACAGGTAACTTAACCCTTTGGGGCCTGAGAACCCTTGTCTATAAAATGTGATAACATCACCTGCCATGTAGAGCTGGAAGGATTAAAAGAGCAAACGTGTTAGGAAGCATTAGCCTAGCAAGGGGTACAGATATTGGTTCTGGCCAGGCACAGTGGCTCACGCCTGTAATCCCAGCACTCTGGCAAAGCTGAGATGGGTGAATCACTTGAGGCCAGGAGTTCGAGACCAGCCTGGCCAACATGGCGAAACCCCGTCTCCACTAAAAATACAAAAAATTAGCAGGGCACGGTGGTGCGCACCTGTAATCCCAGTTACTTGGGAGGCTGAGGCAGGAGAATCGCTTGAACCCGGAAGGCAGAGGTTGCCATGAGCCAAGATCGTGCCACTGCACTGCAGCCTGGGCGACAGAGCAAGACTCTGTCTCAAAAGAGAAAAAGGAAAAAAAAAGAAGGAAAAACAACCCAACCAACTATTGGTTCCTCTCTTAGGAATGAAGACAGTCCCAGGCAACAACTGTAAAACTCTCTGGCATTTCGCTTTTTATTCCCACCACACCTCTTTCACAGTCTCTGCCAGGTGCTCCTCCTCCGAGGTAAAGAGCTTGTACTCAATCTTCTGTTGGATGGCCTCCAAGATCAACTGGTTATGCCTCAGGATTGTTTCTAAAGTGGCATGTTCTGGGGTGGTCACTGAAAAAAAGGGGGATCAAAAACTCATTAGGCAAACAATGAGCACCATTTTTTCCTACACCCTTCCTCCACTCAACTCTTCATAATGAAAATGCATTTCCCCTATCTCCTATCTGAGGTTGGCAGTGGGGAAAACGGCAAATAGCACTGTAATCAGAGTATAATAATGAATGTAAGCTTAAGATAATTACTGGATCTATTTTTTAAAAGGTTTACAAACTCTTGTGTCCTTGAACAAAACTGCCAGTCCTTACTTCTAATAGTAGGGATGTAGGTGACTACCGTTAAGAGAGCTCTTCCTATTTTCTAGGAAGACTGACAGTCATCTCTAGTGGGGGCAAAACCCCCCCAGAGGGCAGGTAACTTACCTGCCCGGAAGAAAGCATCGGCACCAGGCTCCCTTCGTATTTCCTCCATGAGCAGGTCCAATGGACAGGTCTTTGTCTCCTGAACCACCAGCAGCAGTTGCCAAATGGCTGTGGCAGAGAGAGTCTGCTTTTCTAGAACTGCTGATATCAGAGAATTGAAACCACCTGAACCAGAGTCACGTTTCACAAGCTTCTCCATGACCTTCAAGATGTAACACAAACACTCACGTAAGAGACTCTCCAGCCACTAGCCCAGCTGCAGAGCTGCAAGTCTAGATATTGGGTTACAGTGAATATGTTTGGGGAAGGAGTTTTTCAACATCCTCACCTCTCAGTCTGAGAGATTTCTTATACATGACAAAGTTCTTCATTTCTCCTTTTGAATGCCTTTCCTTATTACCACAGAAATTAGAACTATTCTATTTGTTATTCCACCTTAGAAACTGAGATACCTTCTATTTCTCCTCTACTTAGCAATTCTCAACATGGCTACATATGTATATTTACAGAAAATATAAATGTGTGTGTGTATTCATATTTTTTCCTTCTTTCTCATTTTACCCTCCCCTCCCTCTGTTTCTCTCCCTCTCTTACCTCTCTTTCTCCAGGGGCTAAACTTGTCATGTGTGAGATCATCTTTAATAAAATCTGGTTGTCTGTGAAAATCTCAGAGAGGTTTTCATGATAGCGTCTCAATAGCTCAGTCCCATAATCATCAGGGCTTGGTTGGACTGTAAGGATATTAGCAAAACAATAATGTTTGATGCAACAAAACCTCCTACAGAAGACTCCAGGATATTACCAATGAGAGAGGAAGAGAGCAATCAGCACAAGGGCTCAGTGTCCTCTGCAGAGCCCTGGCTTGGGGCCTCATACACATATGTTCAGAGCTCCTCTGCCTACACTTAATCGCTTGGCGCTTCAGGGTCATAAAGCCGTTAACGCTTTGAAAGTCAGTGCCTGGTGGTAGGAGCTAGCAATTGCTCACCAGGGGGGTAATTAGAAGGCTGTACTTGTAAGAGACTCAGATGTGCAGGTTCAAGGGGGGGTGTTTGTCAAGCCTGAGGTAGAGGATCCGTGTGGCGATCCTAAAGACGAGCACGAATCAAGGCTGTGCGTGTGAAGCTGACCCGTGGTTTTTCTATTTAGGTGCCCTTTGGGCCAATTTGTTAGGTTCTCTCTTTTAAGAGGTCATATTTACTTGGAAGTTAAGAAAAATTGAAACTATCAGGCATTTCTCTTAGCTTTGCAGATAATTAAAAATGTACCCTTTTCTTTAGCTCAGTAACTCCACTTCTGGAAATCCAACCTTAAGAAATTATCTGAAGGTCTTTGTCTATGTACAAAGACAACTATCAAAGCATAATCTTTGCCGATGATGACAGTGAAGACAGCAACTAATATTTACTGAATGCCCATGTGCCGGGCACAGTGCTAAATGTTTTACATGTATTATACTAGCCACACAAAAACGAATGTGATAGGTACCACCCTTACCTCATTTCACAGAGCAAATGAGGTTCAGAAAGATTAAGTCACTTGCTCAGGGTATTACAGCTACAGAATGGTGCAGTGAGGGTGCGGCCCCAGGTAGTCTTGACACCAATGCCTACAGTCCTAACCATTATGCTACATCCGCTCTGAAATAAGGGCATGAATAATACACCATATACATCCTTATGATGGAAAACTACACAGCCTTCAAAAACTAGGATTGTGGGGAGTTTTTCTGAACTGTGGAGAAGGCTGCTGCAATGTTACATGGGGAAACCATAAAATTATACAATATGAAAGTATCTCAATATTATAAAAGTGATAGATAAAACATGTCAAGGTGTTAATATTGGCATGCTTGAGTGGTAGGATTTTAAATGGTTTTCTTCCTTATATTTGGAATTGTCCAAGCTTGTGTAAGTACATACTACTTTTATAGGCTAGGAACAAATATCCTTTTTCTGAAAACCATCTGAGTCCTAAATGCTCTGGGACAGGGAAGAGTTGGCTTGAGCTGGATTGTCTTTCTAAGAAATAGGATATGGACTCATTTCCCCAAGCTGAACGGACACCAGAATAATGAGTTCTGGGGACTGCTGGAAGCAAACAGCACTCTAGTGGAAATGGGGCAATGGAGATTTGAGGCTTTGCTGCTCCTATTTGCGAATATGGCTGACACAGTGCTAAGCCTTATGAGCACATTTGCTCCTCTGGCTTTCACAGGTGATCCTGGACAGCCCTGGGAAAGCCACACGTTAATAAATCCTGAGCCACAGGAACACCATGAGGGAGCTTAACCGAGAAGAGTCACTCTCAGATTTCAGACCTTAACTCCAGAGAGATCGAGAATTATCGATTTATGACGGCTAGTTTCTATTCTGCAATGACATTTCTTAACATAATCTTATCTCCCCAGCATGGAGCCAAAAGGGTGTTTCAAGCTACAATTTTCTGGAAGAGTGGTTCCAGTCCAGAGAGTCAACAATTTACTAATACCTGTGGTGCTTGGCAAAGTGGCTGATTTCTGCAACTTCTCTAGCAGAAGGCCCAGGTTTGGGAAAGTCGTCTTCACAGCCTGGAGGAGTTTTACCAAACCCTCAGCAGTCAGCGTCTTCTCTTCAGTCATTCTGTGCAACAAATTTTCTATTGTCTCCTTGGGTGTTCTGCCCTCACAGCAATTCAGAATCACCTGCAGTGGCAAGCAATCAACCAGACACCAGTTACTGGCAATTCAACATTTATCTGACACACTACTGGAAAACCTAGCAAGATAGCATCACAAGATGCCTGATCTCCAAGTCCTCTTCTGTTGGTCTCTAGCATTACTTTTTTTCATAGTTTCTTCCTTATTCTGTTTCAATAAAAATCTTAAATATTTTCCAAACAAATAACTGTGAAAATCTTTCTTTCTCAATTGCAGGTCTGTGTATCTGCTCTGCCTCCAACAGCTTGCATTTTGTGAAAACATTCCTAAACTAGGCCTATATGATACAGCAAGTAGCCTACCTCTAACCTGGTTCTTTAGATGTGGCTTGTCTGGACGCTAAGATTGAGAAACACAGATTGATAATTAATATAGTTTAATTTTTTTGGTCTTTTTTCAGTAAAGTTCATAATATTAGCATAGGTTATAATTCCATTGTTTTACTTTACTTGCATAGTAATCTGAATACTCAGATAATTTGTATAATTAGTCTGTGGACTCCAAAATATTAGATTTAAAGTGCCTTTCTGGATTATTTTTCTTGTGGATTCCTTATTATCCATTCCTCTGATTCTCAACAGCCACATACATCAGCTCCAGTCATAATTCAGCAATTCCACTCCTTTGTCCTTCCTTGGTGTGCTAGAGGATTTTGAGTCAAAAGGGCACAGAACTCTAGCAAAAGGATGAAACTAAAACATGTGACAGATATTTTACAGATATTTTAATATTACAATAGAACTATTTCTTAATGGACTACAGCATAATATGCATAGCTTAGCTCTTATGGAACTGATAAAGCAGGGGATTATTTCAATACATGTAATCTACAGATTCACAGGAACTGAATTTTGAGCTTTCCTTTGGGAAAATGCCAGCTCCTAGTCATGGTAGTATGCCAGAGGCTGCCATTATCAAATTAACTTCCATTTTAAAATAATGATTTTAGCTTTAAAACCAAATTGGTTTTATATATATGAAAGGAATATATACATAATAAATCAAGCTGTCATATTCTTTGTCAGTACAGAACATAGTCATTCTCTTTAAGGTCTAATATATAGATTTCTACTAAATAAATCATAATTTAAAAATTAAGAGCTTGTATCTAAACACCATACTGATTTCAGAGCTAAATCTTGGTTCCTAAGCAATAATCTGATATACAAAGAGGCAGCCAGATACTGGTAAGAGTAAGCATAGGCTTTAAAGCCAGACAGACCTAGTTCAAATTGCAGTTCTAATATTTATTGCCTGTGTGACCTTGGGCAAGTTATTTAATTCTTCAAGCCTTATTTTCCTCACTTGCAAAAGAAGATAATACCAACTCTTGCACAGTTGTTACTGTAAAATGAAGGTGCTGTTCATAGGGCCTTGCCTAACTCCTAGGACACATGTGATCTTTAAGAAATGACTATGTTATTGATATGATTAGGGAGAAGTACTCATAGGGGTTAAGAGAATGTGCTTGGATTAGAAGTCTAATTCTTATTACCAGCCCCAAACAGCTGTGTCTTTGGGTGAGCTGCTTCACCTCCCTATGCTCTGTTTCTTCATCTTTAAAATAAGAGTAATATCCATGATGTCATAAAGTTGCTATGAGGGCAAAACTTAATAATGTTTAAAAAGTCCTCAGCACACTGCCTGGCACACAGTAAGCAATAAATAAATGACAGCTATAGTAATTACCTTTTTTTTCTGTTTCCAGTCCTCATGTAAATATGTTCCTGGTTACTGCTTCTTACAAAACCCAACATATTTATAAAGGCCATGGCATCCATTATTAGCATAGTTTCTAACCAGAAAAAAAGTTTGAAAAGGCCTGGGTACACATTCCACACGATGTCAAAATACTGTGGCTATTCAATCAACATTCACCTCTCCACTCCCACTTTCTTAGTCTGCTTCAACTTTCATGAGAAGGAATCACTTAAAGAAGCTCTGGTGGAACCCCAATCTTAAGAAGTGTTTTTGTGATTTATAACTAATTTAAGCTCTTCTGCTTCAGCTTTCTCTGTCAAGTAAACTGAAAGTGACAGAAGAAAATGACAGTGTGGTCTATCTTGCTGCAGAGAATGAAGCTGAGTTTGGACTCTATCTATAAATGCTGTTTTACCAAGATAATGAAACAGTTCAAAGGACACATTCAATCTAGCTAAAAAGAAAAAGGTCTGAATGAGTAATCGAATGAAATCACTAAAGAGGGAATCAGGAACTTTTAGAGCTATAAGCAACTTACTTAAATTGAGTGCCTGAAATTACACTTAATTTGAAGACTAAGGAGAAAAAAAACAGAAGTTTAATCTTTGTATATTTTCTTTCTCTAAGAAGTTCAAAGGACTTAAAAATTTAAAAACAATTAAATCACAAAATGTAATTCTGAGATTAAAGGTTGTTTCCATTGTGTGTGTGTGTGTGTGTGCGTGCGCACATGTGCAACATAAGATCACTGAGAAAAATAAAATCGAGGATCTAGTCCTCACTGTAAATTCAGGGCTTAGCCATTATATCAGTGGCTTCTAAACGTTTTCTCTCCTGAACACTTAAGTCGCTTCCCACGGTTTTAGGAATTGATGCCACAAAAGTACTCTATCCCTATTCCTTCCTTCCAGATATAAAAGTATTTTTAGCACAAAGTTGAAATCAATAACACCAACAAACATAGTTATCTAGTTGCCTTGAGAAGTCATGCCAGCAGTTTTATGAGGATTTTAGCAGCTAGCTGGTGGGAGAGTAAATTGGTACAACCTTCCTGAAGGGCAATTTGGCAATATATATCAAACGCTTGAAAATTTTTATACTCTTGATTCCAAAATTCCACTTCTTAGAAATTATAGTAAGGGAATAATTTCAGAGGTATGGAAAGATTTATGTGCAAGAATGTTCTTCACAACATCACTTTTAATAGCAAAAAAAAAAAGGATACTAATGCTCAATGATAAAGAAACGAAATCCATATTATAGGTATAGACATGTATTAAGATATTAGGTAAAAAGTCAAGTTAGAAAACCATATGTTCTATATAACCTCATCCTGGGATGACTCAAATGAGAAAGAGGGGAACACATGCTTCAGCCTGTTAGCAGTGTCATCTCTGAGTGGAGAAATCTGAATTTTTTCTTTTTGATTGCTTTCCCCATTTTCTACATATTCCAAATGTACAGTACATTTCTATAAAGAGGAAAGGTGTCATAATAATTACAAAATTTCCTTAACATTTTAATTCTGGATACAGTTGTTTACAGTAAAAACTGAGTCAGAGCAGGAATAGCATATATCCATCTGTCCATCGGTCCATCCGTCCGTCCGTCCATCCATCCATCTGTCCAACTGTCCACCCATCCATCCATCCACCCACCCACACATCCATCCATCCATCCATCCATTTTCCTTATGGCTCCATGTGCAAGGCCCTCAGCAAGCTACCGCGAGGAATGCAACAGGATATGAAACAAGCACCTTGACTTCGAGATGCTTACTATGCAGTATGTATTAAAATACTGCAAAGTATAAAGTGCTATGTGCCACAAAAGCATTTTTTTAAGTGCTATATGAATTCAGGAGGAGGGAGGAGACACTTGACACAGTTACCCTTTTTTCAGTGCCAGTCAGGAATTCCTCCTTGGCTGTTTCCAGGGACTCCATAATAGGTCTCAGCTGTGTTACACACTGTATCAGGTCCTCTTTGTGTTCTAGTAACAGAACAGACAAGGTCTTTCCCTCCTCTGTGCTCCCTGGGGGAGAAAGAGTTAGAGACACACAAGAGAAGCTAGTCAATTTGAAGAAAATGACAGCATGGTTTGTCAAGAGAGATCTAACAGAATAGTAAAGTGATTTTCAGCTTATTCTGAGCACCTGAATGCAGAATCGCTTTTACAGAGGAAAATACTTTATTATTCTGTTTAAACTCTATGAAAGGAAAAATGTTTCATTTATCTGTCGAAACACAAAGCTGCAGAGCCAGCCAGAGGTTAACTTCTGGTTGGCAAGGCCACTGCTTTGTACCTAACCCAAATGAGAGAAACTTCAGCCTTAAAGTGCTGTCAGCGAACCAGTCCAACCTGGGTACTCAAGTCATTGATTTGGATGTGTGGCTTTTTGACGGGCAGGAGAACATTGATGATATTCTCCAACTTCAAGGTGTCAGACTAGTTAACTGTGGGATAGAAATGGAGACTCAAATTTAGTTGGTGTATATTTAACATGCAGCTTCTGGAATTTACATGTGAAACTTATGTGAAAACCACTTAATAACTAAGCCACCAAAGAAACATGTCATTGGAACAAACTTCATAGCATCATCCCAAAATAAAACCCTGCCATTCCAATGCATAGGATCTTCTCCTACCTTTTGGCTGCACTGTGTCTACATCTTCTGGCTTCCTGTCTAATAGTGCTGTTTTTACTGCAGGATTAGAATATTGGTACAGCCTCAACAGGGACACAACAGTTTGAACATCCAGGCTTTCCTCTCTTACTTTACCCAGGATTCTCTGGAATGCTGAATGTCCTCCTTCACCCTCGAAACATTTCACTATCATCTATGGAACAAAAGTACCCAGAAAGATAGATTAGCGAACCACAAGAACCATCCGCTCCTTGCATTTGGCAAACAAGGTCCTCAACAGTTTGATTCCCGCCAGCTTCTCCTGAAGCTCCTCACCCACTGCACTTTCTTCCCCAGCAGCAGTTCCAACAAGCCCTGCGGTCCCATGCTCCTGCCCCTGTCTTCTGGAGGACTCCAATTCCACGACTCCATGCTCTAACCTTGCTCAGGGGTTACCTCTGCTGGGAGGCCTTTCCTGGCCACAGGCCCTACCTCCTCTTCACTGCTTTTAATTTGACATTTGTCACACTATATTATAATTTTTTTTTTCTCCTACTAGACTTCTTGAAGACAGGAATTATGCTTTCTAGGGCTCTGTATCCGCAGCAAATAGCATAGCCTGGCACACAGTAGGGGCTCAGTGAATTTTTAATAAACTTAATGCACTTCTTACCTAATTATACCTTTCTGAATCTGGCATTTTAAGTATTTCATGGGCAGGGATGTCTGAATTTAAATTTAATGAACTGTCATTTTATTATTTGAGAATGCAATTAAAATCTCACAATTTAGGAAAAAAGAATACCTTAAATCATTTACATTATAAATGACAGACTACTTAAAAAGACACGGGCCTTATTAATTTTAGATATAGTCTGTAACAATTAAGGCTAACAGTGTGTTGGCTTGTAGTTGCCAGCTGTAAGAACATATGACTCACATGTTAATTACCCCGTGTGAATGACTGCTTTCAGCCTGAAGGGGCTTCACAGATTCTTCCCCTAACCAACGTTTATACAACAAGCCTTGCCTCTGGCTTTGTGCCACTTGACCTTTCGGTGGCACTTGGCAGTGCCTCTGTATCACAATTCTCTTCCGATTTCAGCAGCACTGAAGTATGTGGGATAAGAACTTGCCTTCCTGACCACTCCTTTTCAGCCTTTCCCACTGGTTCTTCTTCCAAATCCATAACCATTAACAGCACCTACGACTGGTCTCAATCTTTTATTTTTTTCTCCTTTTATATGCTCCCTTTTGAAAAGCTCTCACATGTATAGCTTTAACTATCACCTTTATGCAAACTTCTCTGAAAAGCAGCTCTAACCCTGCACTATTTCAATCCAGAGCTGCCACACAGATTCTGCTGGACACACCTTGTCCTCCAGAGGTCTCAGGGGCGCATATAAAACCAAACTCATCATCTTGACTCTTCTAGATGCTTCTAAGACATCAACAACCCCAGTGGTAAAATAAACAAAATTAGCATTCCTTTCTTTGGTTTGACAGAACATCTCTCACGCAAATGCGAGGAAGGTCAATTGGAAGGTAAGGTTCACATTTCTGCTTTAGCAATAATGAATTTACTTGAAAAAATCTGGTAACCAAAACTGAATTTCACGTGTACAGTCATATGTATAGGCTTTATGTTTCTACTTGACAAAACTACAATCTACCTTTGATGTTTTTTAGTGTCAAGATTATAAAATAGAAAAATTTTCTCACCAGAGTCTTTAGAGAGCAAAAGGTTAGTTTTCTACACACACACGTCTCCCCACCACACTAAAGGAGCTCATGAATACTGTATCAACACAGCAAAATTTAGCTAGACAGCTGTTATTACAAATTCTGGTAGTAAGTATATGTTTAAGATTTTTATTTAGAGAGATTTTATCTTTCTCCTCTCCTCCCAAATAGAAATTATAAACGAGTTAGACCTTGTGTTTCTTGGCTTTGCTTTAGCTTGCTTCCTAAGCACAGGATGTCTGTATAAAGCTAAATTAAACTTTAAAAGTTTCCTGTGTTTTTCAGTCATCTCCAAAAGTACACATAGACAAAACACAGTTTAATAATCCACATCAACATATCACTAGCGTAAGAAACTTCTGAGAACCTAAGGTAACTCATCTTGTATTTAAAAAATAATAAACAAAAAATGAAGACGTCAGTTGAAAGCTAAATTAAATCAACTTTTCATGCTTTTGTTAGTTGACTTGAAATCTCTTTAAAATGCCTTTTCACTGACAGCAGTAGGGAACCCAAGGCAGGCAGCATCTAAAATGGACCCTAATACCTGACTCTGGGTATTCATGCTGTTGGATTGAACCTCGTGACTTGCTTCTAAGAAGCAGAATATGGTAAAAGTTACAGGATGCTACTTTTGAGGTCAGGCTAGTTTGACTTCCATCTTGCCTGTGTTTTCTCTCTCTGCCCTTGCTCTGTGAGATGCAAGCTGCCATGTTGTGAGCTGCCCTACGGAGACACCCATGTGGCAAAGAACTGGTCTCCAGCCAACAGTCAGGGAGTAAGCTTGGAAGTGGATCTTCTGAAGCCTGCCAATAGCCATGAGAGTGGGCTTAGAAAAAGATACTCCCCCAGTTGAGCCTTGAGATGTAGCCCTGGCTGACACCTTGACTGCAGCCTGTAAGTGGCTGAGCCAGAGAATTCAGTTGAGCTCTACCTGGATTCCTGACCCACAGGAACTGTGGGAATAAATGTTTGTTGCTTGAAGTTGCTAGATTTTAGAGCAATTTGTGATACAGCACTGGATAACTAATACAGAGCCACTTGCTGCTAATACCCTCAGTAAACATGTTTCTTCCTTTTTATTTTCCCTTTCCTTCCTGCCTGCCTTTTGTGCATCTCAATTGATACAGCATATAGCTATCTCATTCTAGCCTAGGCCAGGCTTTTTTTTTTTTCCACCTGAAACTCTCCGAATATCCCAAATCCACATCTCTCAGTATCCAATTTGTCTGGCATTATCATTTGAGCCAGTGGGGAAGGGAAGCTTTCGTCAATGGTGGCATCTGATATGCTTCTCATTATCCTCTCTGCTGTCTCCCTCTCTGCAGAACTACTCAGCAGTGAAATTAAAACATTTGTTCACTTTGTTGCTCAACAGTGATGCTAGGGTGGCCATCTGGGAAGAGAAGCAGGGGTGGGCTGATGAAAGGGCCAGGAGAGGGCAGTTAGCTGCATGGACAGCCCTGCTCTCTCTGCTCTTTCTTTCAGAACCTACTGGGGACCTACACCAGTGCCAACACTACAGCAGTTACTCCATCAGCCCCCTAAAGCTGCCTAGGGCTCCGCAGTGGAAAAAGCAAGCAGGCCCTTTTCTGCAACAGTTTCTCTGCCTAAACAGAAGGGTATTAGGATATTAGGATAGGCAGGGATTCATCAATTACTATCATGTAACAGAACTCCAAAAGCTGAACCAAAACAGAGTTCTGTTGAAAGGGCTAAGTTCTTTAACCATACATTTGGAACTAACTCTTAATTCTCAGGGGTAAAGGTACTTCAATAAATTCATGTTAATAAGGTCACAGAAGTAATCTAAATACTTTACCTATGAGTGAAATATAGGTAAATATATTTCAAGATGAGACCATTTCTTTTCCCTCTATAAGTGAAAAACCATTTAATCTTTCCCTTAACTCAAGCCTTTTAACTGAGTTGACTTATTTACCCCAATTGTTCGTGTACTGCCTTCAGATCTGTTTGAGTTACACTATATTCTTGTTCACTCAGGCCTCCCTTGACTGCTGAGGGCTGGGTGATGGCAATAATGATAGAGACTACAATCGCTCCACATCATCCTGGACACCGTGCCATCTACCTTCTTCCTCACACCAGGCCTGGGAGGCGTTACTACTACTACTTTAGATGAACTTCAAAGAGGTTAAGTAACTTGCTTAAGGTCACAGGTCTAGTAAGTGGAGTAGCTGGCACCCCTTTCACCTAGTTCTACCTCCCAGATTTAAGCATAATCAAATCTATTTACACTGGGTTCTATTAGACTTACCAGAATCAATACCGGTTTGAATACTGGGTAGTATGTAGACAATCTGTATCACTTTTCTTGGTCTCAATGAATATAAAGACTGGTACATAGTAGGTGCTCAATAAATGTTTAATTGAATAAAATTCCCTTGCCATAAAACCATTAGCCCTTCTATCTATGGCTGCATATCTTAGGCTTAATCATTAACAGAAAGGAGATTTGGAAAAACAACTTATTTTCACCTTTCATAGACCTGTAAAACGAATCTCATTAACTCACTCTCAAGAGGGCTACCCAACCCTGTCAGTGAACAGAGCCCTCCAAACACAGATCTGCATTTGACAAACCTCCAAAGCAGCGACACGGCTGAAAACATCAGATTCACATAGGAGAAGAGATGTGTTTGCCTTTGAAATAAAGTTGAAGGAGAAAAAAATGCTACTAGGTCTTCAGCTTTGGGAGTCTTCTAGATTTTTAGGTGAAGAGTGGACCAAAAAGCACAGAAATCAATAGTAGAAAAATTATCTCCTTATTCTAGTTAAAGATCCACTTTGCTGTATACACAATTAATTAAAAGCAGAGACATGGCTAGGAATAAAGAAGGAAGACAATTTCAGCCTTCATCTTTCTCCCATGCTGGATGCTTCCTGCCCTCGAACATCAGGCTCCAAGTTCTTCAGCATTTGCATTCTTGGACTTACACCGGTGGTTTGCCAAGGGCTCTCCGGCCTTTGGCAAAAGACTGAAGGCTGCACTGCCGGTTTCCCTACTTTTGAGGTTTTGGGACTTGGACTGATCCACCACTGGCTTCCTTGCTCCTCAAGGTACAGACGGCCTATCGTGGGACTTTACCTTGTGACTGTGTGCCACCTACCATGGCTTTGGCCACTTTCTGTTGGATTGCACCTGAAGTTAGAGCAGCTGCTGCCATTTCTGTCACCATGAGGGCAAGCCTTTCTGAAAGTGGAAGCCACAGAGAGGAAGCATTGCTGAGAGACAGGGAGAAAGAACCCAGGTCCTGATGATGGTGTTGCCATACCTGCAGCCAGTCATGGCCAGAGCTATCTCTCCTTCTACACTATGAAGTCACAGGAGCCAACAAGTTAACTTTTTGCATAAGCCAGTTTGGACCAGTAGATTGCACACAGAAGGCGCTCAAAGGAATCCCAGAAGCCCAGCGCTGGAAAGGGCCCCACAATTCAGCTGGTCTGGTGTTCCTTGCGGTACGTGAATGGGTTTACAGCGTCCCCCTACAACTGTCTCTGATATTCCCATGCCTACCCTAACTTAGTTGTTTTATATCAATGTGGTGCCTCCCAGGCAACGTAGTGTCCTGGATGAGAACGGGATCTCTGATGCCTCCATGCTTCTGAGCACTACCTGGTCTGCAGGGACCATGGGTGGTGTCTGAATCCCCAGTGAAATTCCCTGAGCCTCACAGTCCCAGTGGGGCTTGTCTGTCACTGAGTTGCAAGCCACGCTCAATCCCTGGGGATGCTGAGTGCTGTTAATGGACACGTGATGCCAGCTAAATAAAAACAATTTTCAACCTCCAGAAAGTATCCCAGCCACTCACAAAATCATCCACTGTGTCTCATTGTATGCAGGTCTTGTTAGCTCCATGCTGTTCTCGATCTATAGCATCTCTGCTGCCTGCACGTCAGGAGGCAGACACATGTCAGAAAATACAGATGAGAGAACTGGAAAATGCCAGTGCCAGCGTCCTGTCCAACCCCTACCTTGCCTTTATTTGTTTGTTTTTACCCACATGAAAACTGGCACAAAGAGGCAAAACAACTTGCCTAAAGCCACAGAGCAAGTAAGTGGCAGTGTTGAAACTTGTTAGTGCTAATGTCCAGAAGAGTTAAATGATTCCTAAAACGTAAAAAAGGCTGGGTGCGGTGGCTCATGCCTGTAATCCCAGCACTTTGGGAGGCCAAGGCGGGTGGATGGATCACCTGAGGTCAGGAGTTCGAGACCAGCCTGAACAATATGGTGAAACCCCGTCTCTACTAAAAATACAAAAATTAGCCAGGCATGGGTGTGCGTGCCTGTAGTCCCAGCTACTCAGGAGGCTTAGGCAGGAGAACTGCTTGAACCCAGGAGGTGGAGGTTGCAGTGAACTGAGATTGCACCACTGCACTCCAGCCTGGGCAACAGAGCAAGATTCCGTCTCAAAAAAACAAAACAAAACAAAACAAAACAAAAAAAACCTAGCACAAAAACTGAAAAAAAGTATGAGTCTGGCTCTAAATAACAGTTTTACTCAGCTTAGCCAGAGGTCAGAAGTGACCTCTTAGGTCACTACTTGCTTTTCTAATGCGTAAGGGATATTACACTGATATAAAGACAGGCAGAAGACATGTTCCCATCCCAGCACCCAAGAGATTTCTCTTTAATAAGTTTTGGCTTTGATTTCTCACAATTCAAGTAGCCCAGCTTCTTCTCATGTTGCTGCAATCGCTGTTCAGGGAATGGCTTTGCCACCTTTCATCACTGATCTCAGGAAATAAAATAATCAGGACACTAGTTCATGGTGTCCTCCCTAAACTCAATCCTGCCCAGGTGCACACCTCACAGCTGTGTTTCAGAAACGGAATGACACATCCAGGAGTAGACTATTTTTAACGTTAAGCTGTTCTCAAGTTAAGATTAACTAAACAACAACCAATCACAGGATACCACTCAAAGCTCTTGGGGAGCTAAAAATGTATAAACAGAAAAACAAAATACCCCAAACTGTAAAATTGTACGGAAATGTGAAACAACGTTGTTCTAAGTGAACAGCTCTTAAATGCGCTCATTGCTGAAGCCTTATGGTGAAATCTGTAATTTGGCGACTCCTCTGCATACTTCCCCCAAAATAATCACACACGTGGCAGGATTTCTCTGCTGTCAAGATACTCTTTAAGGACAGGGATCAAGTCTTATTGAAGTTTCTCTGCCTAGCAAGCGGCTCAGTCTGGCACATATCAGTTGCTCAGTAAACATCTGCTAAATCAAAGGGTAAGCAAATGAGGAAAATGGGTATTCGGTGGCCTCTCATGCCACTGAAAGGTGCCAGCACAGACATTATGACATCTGCCATCACACACTAAGAGTTTTGTAAGCCATTCACTTCTCCAACTATGCTTCTCAAAATGTAGTCTACAGGTTCCAAAACAGCAACCCATGGGGGAGCCTGTTAAATATGTAGATTCTCAAGTTCTAACACAGCCTAAGAATCAGACACCATGGAAATGAGTTCTGGAGGTATACATTTTAACAAGCACCTCAGATGATTTTTCTATACATTGCTAGAGACTGATTGCTACGTACTAGACACTACCCCTGCAGTACAGGAAGCTACTTCCTCTAGACACTGTTCTAGAAAGTGATTGCTTCAGACTAGACACTGCCCTTGCAGTTTAGGAAGCTACTTCCAAGTGGATGGTGGTACCTATCTGAAAGCATGCCTTACAAATTAAGCTTAAAGTAACAGCAAACCATCTCGTGTCAGAGTAAATGGCCATGGCACCAGGATATTATAAGACATTCAGTGAAAAGGGGGTTTCAAGGTCTGTTAGGTCTAAAAATACTGAGTTAATGTAAAAACAAACAATAGCAGTTGTTACCTACTGACCTCCTACTGAGTGCCTGGCATTTTACTATGAGTTTTATATAAATAATCTTAATTCACAATGACCCCATGATGTAGGTGATAGTATCCCCTTTTTACAAACGAGGACACTGAGGCTTATAAAGATGAAGCTGCCTAAAGTCACAATGCTAGTAAATAGTAGAGGTGGATAAATGAATTGTATATCCACACAATGCATACAACTCAGCAATAAGAAGGAATGAACACACAACACTAGGGGCGTACCTCTGTAGAATTCACAGAAAAAGAAAAAAGGAAAAAAAAAAAAAAACATGGGTGAATCTCAAGATACTTACGCTCAATGAAAGCCAGACAAAAAATACACACCATATGACTCCATTTATACAATACTCTAGAAAATACAAACTTACGTACAGTGACCGAAAGCAGACCAGTGGTTACCCAGGGCATGGGTAAGTGGAAGGGGCAGGAGAGAGGGGTAGTACACAGGGACAAGAAGAAACTTTTGGGGGTGATGGAGATGTTTACCATCTTAACTGTGGTGATGGTTTCAGGGCATATACCAAAACTAATCACACTGTACACCATACCTAGCTACAGGTTACTGCATGTCAGTCATAGCTCAACAAGGCTGTCTGAAACAAAGTATGAGAGAGAGACAGAGAGAGAGAGAAGTAGAGGCCGAAGTACAAAGCAGCATCTCCCTAACTCTCTATTTAATCTTATATTCTTAAAGTATCTGTTCCCTTTTTCTTTCTGAAGTTCAAAGGTTATGGACTGTAACAGAATTGGCTTTAAAAACAGCCACCAAGTGATTTGCAGAGCTCCTACTCTGACCTCTAAAACTGAGGAAGAAATAACATAAGCCTATAATGATCACCAACAGCAAATCAGTGTTCTTTTGAAGTATATTAATGATATTGCCATCAAAAGATTAGAACAAGAAATGGAAAAAAAGAAATGTTGAACGAATGCATGTATAACAGACATTTCTTCATCACCTGTTACATGCCACATACTTTTAGGTACCAATGTTAAAAAAAATGCATAAGACACAGTTCAACTAAGTATAAAGGTGACACTAATAACTTGAGTATTGCTGATCTAAGGAATAACGTTACTCCTCTGTAGCCAAAGTTAAGTGGAGAGGAAGCTTTAAGAGAAAATGAAGAGGTGTGTTTAGAAGCTATCAAGGTAACAAACTAATGACAAAAATGATGGATTGAACAGTTAAGAGAACACGCAAGTGCAAAAATATAAAACCATAATGTCCTTCAGCATAATCAGTACAAAGAGTACCAAGGATTTATGACTTGAAACCTCCCAAAGAGAGTCATCAGGGTTAGCCTAGCCTTGTAAATAGCTTGTCTCCCAAGAAAACAATGTATAGTCGACTGTCAGTTAACACAGCTAAAATAAATACTAGACCTTGAATTTGTTTTTTAAAAAAGTTGCTATGAATCAGGAAAACATTTAATTATTAGAAGGCATGTATTACTTGGACTAATACAAAATTGCCTATAGCAACATGGGAGGATCGGCCCACACTACCCCCTACCAATCAGAGGAGCAAGCCTGCCGGGGCAGCGCCCTCTCACTCTGCCAGCAGCCTCTCAGAAAGGGGAAGCAGGGCTGGGAGAAAAGGGAAATAAATGGAATTCTAAATTGGTTGTGGAGTCGAATCCTGCAGGGTCAGGTGTGAAGAATCAAGTATTGAGAGATCACACAGGTGGAAATGCGTCTCAACTGAGTTACTTAAAAAAAGAGGTCAGCTAAGAAAGCATGATAGCCATTTGGCAGTTTCCTGTCAGGCGATTCCTAAGCACTTATATATATATGCATCACTTTTACCCTGTTGGGAGGCAGTATAAACTCAGTGTGTAAGGGAGCAGCTCTAAAGTTAGAATGCTGAGGTTTCAATTCTGGCTCAGGGTCATATGAGCTCTGTGACCTTCGCCAAATTACACCACCTCTTTGAGACAGTTTTCTCATGCATAAAACAGGACTTAACAATAATACTCACACTGATGATTTTTGTGAAAATTAAATGCGGTAACACATATGCCAAGCTTAATACAGGAAGTGTTCGTTGAATGTTTACTATTACTGTTTTTATGTCTGAAAATGGCCACTGTTATTCCTAAATATTAGATGCATTTTACCAATAATTTATAAGTTTATATAAAGTCCTTTTTGTTCATGTTTTGAGTATCTGTTGTTTTGTTTTAATTTTAATGGTTTAAGTCTCAGGTTTGAGGTTATACATGGCTACCTTCTTAATCTTATCTGTGATTAATCAGGAGTAAATGGTATGATCAGTTAAGTATTCTGGATCAAAACTGGTTAGAAGCTAGGATTCTCCTGGTGATCAAGATGTAATGTCATTTTGAAAGTATCCTGCCTAAGTACTTTTGCAAGACTGCCCTTTAGGGAATAAATGTCCAAAAAAAAAAAAAAATTAAAGTTTCAAAACATTGAAACCCTGGGCTATTTCTGCCCCATATAAAAAGTTAGTAAGGTATCCTGAGAACACTAAACTAGCAAACAAGTACAAAAGTCAGAGGTGCCTACCTCCTTCTGTGGACCTTTAATTTCTGAACACATTTCTAGTTTTTTTAAAACATCCTGGGTAACCATGAGTGCATCTGAGAAGACACCTTCATTTTCTAGAAGAAAATTCAGCTGGTAGTGTTTCCTTTCACATCCTAAATGTAGAACAAAATAAAACAAATCAGAAATTCATTACTTGAAATAAATTTTTACAAGTTTAAGCTGTCTGAGCACCTTCAGGTCATATACTGCACTTAACTGATCTCTGTCTAGCACATCAGTTATGAATAACAGACAACAGTATCTCTCACAGCTTCCTCCTTTGTGCTGTCCTCAGCCTGGTTAAAATAGCAGATAATCAGCAGGGCACGGTGGCTCACGCCTGTAATCCCAGCACTTTGGGAGGCTGAGGCGGGTGGATCATGAGGTCAGGAATTCGAGACCAGCCTGGCCAACATGGTGAAATCCCATCTCCACTAAAAATACAAAAAATTAGCTGGGCGTGGTGGCACATGCCTGTAATCCCAGCTACTCAGGAGGCTGAGGCAGGAGAATTGCTTGAACCCAGGAGGCGGAGGTTGCAGTGAGCTGAGATCATGCCATTGCACTTCAGCCTGGGCAACAGAACAAGACTCCGTCTCGAGAGAAAACAAAACAAAACAAAACGAAACAGATAATTATCGAAATGGTACGTCATTATTCCAATACTGCTTTTCTGCTCTGTAGTTCATGTTTGGACTTTCAATGTTCAAAAACACAGACACTTTTAAAAGAATGGCCCAGTACGGTACTGCACTGAATTTTGGTTTTCTACCTAACAGTGGTCTTTGATAAATTTATTAATCAAACATTAAAACTGATAAAGATCATTGAAAACAGAAGGATGGAATATAAAACAATGACTGTTACCTGGTTCTGTGCTTGTCTTCTTTGCCTCACTAAAGGTTTGCACAGCAGGGGAGGGGGAACAAGCTTCAGCTGTAGTAGGAGTCTCCGCTGGGGTTTCTGCATTCCTCTGGCTCTCCTGGGCTGTGGGAGAATTCACACTCATCTCTTGTGAAACTGAATGGGCTGCTTCCTCAGTCTCAGCTTTCACAGGGCCCCCTGGAGTGGCAGCAAGCTCTGGGGAAGAATGAGGCTCTCCAGCACCTTCAGATGAAAGGATTTCTACTTGAGGCTTCTCTGGTTCCTTTCTGAATGTCTCTGAGGATGGCGCAGAGACATCCCTTACCACCTGACCCTGAACCGAGCAGTTTACAAGGCTGGTCAGAAGATTTTTGCAGCTAACAGCTACATCAAACATCTGTAGACTGTCTGCTAAGGAGATGATTTTGGAGAAGTTGTGCTTGCCCACAGGTAGTTTGCCCGTGTACATCATTTCCAACAAGAGCGCAAACTCCTCGGGGCTCACCACAGATGCATCGATGGAGATGGTATCTGTGTTATCCAGCAGGGTTTTGAACAGGAGGCTGGCAGCAGCCAGGACAAGCTTGTGAGCCCTGAAGTAAATGGTACCAATGGAGATGGTGCAATCACAGAACTGCTGCTCCTTGCACAGAGTGTACAGCTGCTGCAGCAGCTGCCGGCTGTAGTTGGGGAGCTCCATTGCGTCAACTCTGCCCCAAGAACTGCTCTTCCTCTCCTCTCCTTAGAGTTGGCTTTGGGAGGACAGGCCCTAGAGAAACCCACAAAATACCAGGTTAAAACTTCAAAAAACCATAGGGAAAGGCCTTGAATGAAACGCTAAATGAACAGAAAGGCATTTCACTCATTCATCCAACAAATATTGCTTAATAGGAAGGGACAGTATGCCAGGTATACTAAATCAGTAATGATCATTATCATTATGTGTTTAAATATATGAAAGAGACTGTGCATAATGCTTTGTATGGACGGTCTCATTTGATTCTCACAACGATTCAGTGGAAAAGATATTATTTCCTCCCCATTTTACAGATGAGATTGGAGCTTTGAAGGACCAAGAGAATCACCCTAAGGAAAAACAGCCATCTCACTGACTTCGAAGCTCTAACTACACTACCATTCCTGCTCCCAAAAAGCTCTCAGCCACCTAGAGGAGATAAATATGTAGACGGAGACTTACAATACAATGTCCTTGGCTTATTCAGTCTAGCCCTAACAAGGGACGGAGGTCATCATTCTCTTCCTCTGAAAATACATTTTTCACTTGGTTCTCCTTCTCACTCACTAGCCATGCCTTCCCAGTCTCCTTGGTTGAGTCCTCTGCATCAGCGCAGCCTTTAAAGCTTGGAGTGCTCGAGGACCCAGTCATCCCGCCTCTTACCTTCCCTCTCTTCTGATTCCATAGCTTTGAAATATCATCTAAATGCTGACAGCTTTCAGATTTATGTCTCTGGCTCAGCCTGTTCCTCTGAACTCCTGATGTAGACCTCCAACTACCTATTCAACATCTCCAACTGGAACCTGGTTTCTGAAACGTAACATATCCAAAACTCTCCTGCCACTTTCCCACCTCACAGCAATTCTGTCCTTCTAGTTCTTCAGACTAAAACCAAGTCATCCTTGACTTTTGCTTTTTCTCATACGCTATATCCAATCCTTTATAAATCCTGTTGGCTCTACCTTCAAAACATATCCAAAATCCAACCGCTAATTTCCTTCACTGGCTCCTCTCTAGTCAGTCCAAACTGCCATCATCTCTTACCTAGATTACTGCAGCAACCTCCTAATTAGCCTCCATGCCTCCATCCTCCCCTACTGCTACCCCTACCTCATCCTATCTTCAACCCAGTAGGCGGAGCAATCTACTTAACACACAGCCAGATCTTGCTGCTGCTTTGCACAAAAAGCCTTAAATGGCTTCCAGTCTTAGAGTAAAAGTCAAAGTTCTTACAATGGCCTAGCAAGCCTTTAATCATGATCTGGCTGTCATCGGCTCCTAACCTCATCTTTTACCACTCACTCTCCCCCTCACCCATTCTGCTCTGAGAACTCTGCCTTCCTTGCTGACCTGGGAATATACTAAGCATGCTCTGCGTTCTCTGACTCAGGGCTGAGCATGCTTAGTATATCTGTGCCTGGCTGGCTGGCTCATTTCTACCAGCCCTTTGCTCAGAGGCCATGTTAGCAGTAAGGCCTTTCCTGACCATGTTTTTTCAACAAGCAACCTCCCCTCCAACCTCAGAACATCCCGCTCCTTCGTCTGCTTTGTTTTTCAGCATAGCACTTATCGCCTACTGACATACTATATTTTTATTTGTTATTATCTATCTTCCTTCACTAGAATGTAAGCTCCATTAGGGTAAGAACTTAATTTTATCACCTGCTGTATCCCAGTGCTTAAAATTCTGCTTAACACAAATACTGTTGATTACTTGGTAGAATGAATAAATAACTAAAAGGCAACATAATGATGGATTTGTACACACAAACACAGTTTGGGGGATAGGAGAGTCCAGGAGTTAGAGTAAAGCTTTGAGGGAAAAACAGCTGACCTGTGTCTTAAAAGATACGGACGCACAGATGAGGTAAAAAGAATGGGAGGAAAAGGCAATCCTGGCAGGGACGCCTGCATGAGGCATGCAGATAAGAAAACATCCCGTGGTAGCAGGCAGGAGGATTAGGAACTGAGATTATTACTGGAACATAAAGCAGGGAATAGGAGTGTTAAGAGATGAATCTGGAGAGGCAGGCAGGGGTGTTGGCCACAGAGGGATATATAGGCCATGCTTACGAGCTTGGAGGTTATCCTAAAAGCAATGAGCAGCCATTGAGGCATTTGAAAGGCTTTAAGCAGCAAAGTCATGTGGTCAGATATGCATTTTAAATATACCACCTAAGTAACATGTGTACAGAATTTGAGGGGGATAATGCTGGAGACGGGCTCTATTATTGCAGGAGATCAGGAGAAAATCAATGAGGGCTTCAAGCAGGAGAACTGGTAATAGGAGAGAGCCAAAAAAACATTGCAAAGTATAGCTGTCATGACTTAGGGACTGAATGGATGTGAAGGACAGAGAGAAACAATTCCCAGGTTCCTGGCTTGGTGAATGGGTGGATGATAAGATGATCCAGATAATACAAGAACAGACAGTTTAGGGGAAGAGACATCTAGTTCAGTTTTGGGTTTGAGGATCTTATCTTTGAGGATGTTTGAGGAAATTATGTAATCTCACTTGTAAAAGAAAAAAGTACGCTAAGAAAAGGGCGGAAAGACATATGTCAAAAAACCAGTAATTGCTTTTGTTAGAGGATTATGGATGATTCTCTTTCCACTCCACCATTTCTACATTTACTGACACTGAAATTGACAGATAAAAATATAAATAAAAATATTTCAGAGTTCCAGTTTCCATTCTGGTATGTCAGGAGCTTAGAAGTCACCACGTCCTAAAAGCAAACAGACTGAACAAACTGAAAAATCAACAACTCTTCTTTAATTCGTCAGAAAAGAAAGGTCACAGGGCAAATCACTGTTCCTAAAATTAGAGACAGACAGGCAGACACAGAGAATCACAACTTATTGAACAAAAAACACAAGCCAGGCGCAGCAGCTCACGCTTGTAATCCCAGCACTTTGGGAGGCTGAGGCGGGCGGATCACTTGAGGTCAGGAGTTCGAGACCAGCCTGGTCAACATGGCAAAACCTCGTCTCTACTAAAATTACACAAATTAGTCAGGCATGGTGGCGGGCACCTGGAACCCCAGCTATTCAGAGGCTGAGGCAGGAGAATAACTTGAACCTAGGAGGCAGAGGCTGCAGTGAGCCCAGATCATGCCACTGTACTCCAGCCTGGGCAACAGAGGGAGACTCCGTCTCAAAAAACAAAACAAAACAAAACAAAACAAAACAAAAAAAATGTATGAACAAACGCCTCTGTAGGAACAAGTGCCAGGTTAAGAAAACCTGAACTGCAATCGAATCACTGGAGGCTCAGTGTGCACAACTCTGAGAGTTAAAAACTCTGGGGGGGACTCAGTCATAGGGGTCCCCCAACACTTCTGTGAGCTTTACCTCCTAGAGCTCTAACAAGTCCTCACAACGAATAGTGAAGAAAAATCCCCTCTTGCTTCCAGCAGCGGGAGAGGGAAAAGGAACCATTTTGAAATCTGCCAGAGCACTCTGTTTTTAACAAGGCCTGCCTTCAAGAAAACTATTTTACAAGAGCCTAACTGGCTACAGTTTTCTCAGAGCCTAACCTACCTGGAAAAAAACAAATACCCAACTCCAGCTCCCTCTAGCCATCCTGTACCATCTAAGGAGCAAAAAAGCCTGAGAGCACTTGGGAAGTTCACAGCCCAGGGGCACAAGCTCACCAAAAGATTGAGACTGAATCCCAGGACTACAGAAAGCTTCTCCTCCCCTGCACCCTACTACCACATCACTAAAGGCCTAGCTATAGCAGTTCCTTTTATGCAGTACATCATGTCCACCTTTCAACAAAAAATTACAAGGCATACTAAAAGACAAACAAACAGACAAAACCCAAAAACAGTTTGGAGAGACAGAGCAAACTTCAAAACCAGACTCAGATATAGCAAGAATGTCCGAATTAGCACACCAGGATTTTTTTTTTTTAAGACTATGATTAAATAGCCAGGGGCTTTAATGGAAAAAGTACAAAACATGTAAGAATAGATGGATAATGTAAGCAGAGAAATGGAAATTCTAAGAAAGAATCAAAAAGAAATGCTAGAGATAAAAAACACCATAACAGAAATGAAGACTGCCTTTGATGAGCTCATTAGTAGACTGGACACGACTGAGGAAAGAATCTCCTAGCTTGAAGACGTAACAATCCAAAACGAAAAAGCAAAGTAAAAAAAGAAGAAGAAAACAGAACAGAATATCTAACAGTGGGAAGACTAGAAAAGAAATAACTAATGCAAAATGGGGACACCAGAAGGGGAAGAGAGAAAAGCAGCAATATTTGATGCAATAATGACTGAGAATTTCCCCAAATTAATGACAGACACCACATCACAGATCCAGGAAACTCAAGACATTGAGCCTAGGCATATAGTTTTCAAATGTCAGAAAATCAAAGATGGCCATGGTAACAAAGAAAAAAAAATAGACAATACAATTTATTAATATCAGTATCACTGTATACCCCATATACATTAAAAATATAAGGTAATTTATGAATGTCCACAAATATAACCTAAATAAAATGATCCAATTCCTTGAACGATGCAATCTGTCAAAACTCACACACGCAGCAATAGACTATCTGAATAGGCCTATATCTATTAAAGTAGGTGAATCAACAATAACCTCCCCAAAGTGGAAGCAACAGCCCCAGATGTGTTCACTAATGAGTTCCACCCAATATTTAAGAAAGAAATTATACCAATTCTCTACAAACTCTTCCAGAAGATAGAAGCAGAGGGAATATTTCCCAACTCATTCTTTGAGGCCAACATTAACCCTCTACCAAAACCACACAGAGACATTACAAGAAAAGAAAACCACAGACCAGTATCTCTCGTTAAGATAGATGCAAAAATCCTCAACAAAATATTAGCAACTTGACTCTAACAATGCCTAAAGAGAATTATACATCATAGCCAAATGGGACTTCTCACAGGTATGCAAGGCTGGTTCAACATTCAAAATCAATTAATGTGATCCATCGCATCAACAGGCTAAAGAAGAAAAATCATGTGAACATGTCAACAGAAAGCTGCAGAAAAAGCATCTGGCAGAAATCCAATGCCCATTCATGATAAAAACTCCAACAAACTAGAAATAGAGGGGAACTGCCTCAACTTCATAAAGAACATCTACAAAAAACCTACAGCTGGCATCACTCATAATGGTGAGAAACTCAAAGTCTTCCTGCTGGGATTATAAACAAGGCTGGGATATCCCAGTTCACCACTGATCTTAAACACTGTACTGGAAGTCCTAGCTAATGCAACAAGACAAGAAAAGGAAATAGAAGGTATACTGATTGGGAAGGAAGTTAAAACTGTCTTTGTTTGCAGACTACATGATTGTCTTTACAGAAAATTAAAGAGAAATGACAAAAAACCTCCTGGAACTAATAAGAGATTATAACAAAGTTGTAAGACATAAGGTTAATATACAAAAGCCAATTGTTTTCCTATATACCAGCAATAAGGTAGAATTTGAAATTAAAAACTTTACCATTTACACTAGCACCCCAAAAAGAGAAATACTTAGGTATAAATCTAACAAAATATGTACAAGATCTATATGAAGAAAACAACAAAACTCTGATGAAAGATATCAAAGAACTTTAAAAATGGAGAGATATCCCATGTTGTTAGATAGAAATATTCAATATTTTCAGAGACTCAGATCTTCCCCATGACCAAAATAGCTAACTCAATATTGAAGGAGAAGACTGAAGTTGGAGGACTGATAATGACTTCAACATTTACTATTTTAAAGCTACAATAATGAAGACAATGTGGTATTGGTGAAAGAATAGACAAGTAGACCAGTGGAACAGAACAGAAAGCCCAGAAACAGACCCACACAAATATAGTCAATTCATCTTTGACAAAGGAGCAAAGGCACTAAAATGAAGCAAAGAGTATCTTTTCAACAAGTGATGCTGGAACCAACTGGACATTCACATACGAAAAAATGAATCTAGACATAGACCTTACACCCTTCACAAAAATTAACTTAAAATACATCAGAGACCTATATGTAAAATACAAAATTATAATTCCTAGAAGTTAACATAGGAGAAAACTTAGTTGACTTTGGCTATGGCAGTCTTTTTAGGTACAACACCAAAGGCACAATCCATGACAGAAATAAATTTTGCTCCATGAAAGACAATGTCAAAAGAATGAAAAGACAAGCCACAGACTGGGAGAAAATATTTGCAAAAAACACACCTGATAAAAGACTATTATCCAAAATACACAAAGAACTCTCAAAACTCAACAATAAGAAAACAACCCAATTAAAAAATAGCAGAAGACCTGAACAGACACCTCATCAAAGAAGATATGCAGATGACAAATAAGCAAATGAAAAGATGTTGTACATGGTATGTCTTTAGAGAATTGCAAATTAAAACAAGATACCATCACACACCTATCAGAATGACCAAAATCCAAAACACAGGGAATACTAAATGCTGACGAGGATGTAGAGAAACAGGAACTTTCATTCAATGCCGGTGGGAATGCAAAATAGTACAGACATTCTACAGATTAACAGTTTCTTACAAAACCAAACATACTCTTGCCACATGATCTAGTAATCACATTCCTTGGTAATTAACCAAAGGGGTTGAAGACTTATGGCCACACAAAAGCCTACACATGATACTTATAAAGCAGCTTTATTCATAATTGCCAAAATTTGGAAGCAACCAAGAAGTAGATATAATGAATAAACTGTGGTACATCCAGACAATGGACTAAAAAGTGCTAAAAAGATATGAGACATAAAGCCATGAAAAGACAGGGAGGAAACTTAAATGCATATTTCTTTTTTTTTTTTTTTGAGACGGAGTCCTGCTCTGTCGCCCGGGCTGGAGTGCAGTGGCGTGATCTCGGCTCACTGCAAGCTCTGCCTCCCGGGTTCACACCATTCTCCTGCCTCAGCCTCCCGAGTAGCTAGGACTACAGGCGCCCGCCACCACGCCTGGCTAATTTTTTTGTATTTTTAGTAGAGACCGGGTTTCACTGTGTTAGCCAGGATGGTCTCGATCTCCTGACCTCGTGATCCACCTGCCTCGGCCTCCCAAAGTGCTGGGATTACAGATTACAGGCGTGAGCCACCGCACCCGGCCTTAAATGCATATTTCTAAGTGAAAGAAGTCAATCTGAAAATGCTACATACTTTATAATTCCAAATATATGACGTTCTGGAAAAGGTAAATATATAGATAGTAAAAAAGACCAGTGATCGCCAGGGGTTAGAGGAGAGGGAGGGATGAATAAGCAAAGCACAGAGGATTTTTAGGGCAGTGAAATTATTCTTCATGAATCTACAATGGCAAATATAAGTCATTATACATTTGTCAAAACCCACAGAATGCACAACACCAACAGTGAACCCTGATGTAAACTATGGACTCCGGGTAAGAATTATGTGTCAATGTAGGTTCATCAATTATAAGAAATGTACCAATATGGTGTGAGACATGGATGGTGGGACAGGTTGTGCATGTGTGGAGAATGGGAGTGGGGAGGGATCTGCAAACCCTCTGTAATTTCCGCTTAATTTTGCATGTACCTCAAACTGCTCTAAAAAAATAGTTTATTAATTAAAATAAAGATTTGCTGAAATAAATATAAATGTTTCAGTTCTAACTACCCCAAGCCCCTTCTATACCATGTACCTAATATTGTTGGGCATTCATGAATTCATATGATTGTTTTCAGCTTGCTCAAAGAAAATCTTTAAGAATGTCTACCCCTACTTTTTGAATACAGTCTGTTTTAATCTATATTATAAAAATGCACATATATTTTTAAACAAATGAAGAACAGTCCTAGGAGGTAAGTGGCTTTTATCTAATAGAAGTAGCTCTAGTAGGCGACTGGAATTTTTATCTCTTGGTGTTTTATGGAAAGAGGAGGGGAAAATTCCATAAGATTTAAAACTAGAAAAACATTTTTTTCTAGTTTTAATATTTAAATAAATATTTAAATTAATATTTGAGAAAAATCTGAACAAGAATTCAATTTGCAAATAACAAAAGACCATAAACAGGCACTGATGAGGTTTTTCTAAGAAACAAATTACACCAATGTAATGTGATTTTTTTTTTTTTTTTTTTTTTTTTTTTGGTAAAACAAGACATAAGTCTTACGGATTACAGTAAACCAAAAGACTTACCTGGACATACATTAGATCTTTTTAAACATTCTTATTAGTAAGAAACAAGTGACTGGAATTATATTTTCGGGATAGACTCAAACTTAAAAGGTTGCTTTTAAGTTTCTGGGGAGGGTACCCACATCAGATTAAACAAGAGAAGATTCACCCAAGATGCAGAGGGAGATATTTCAAGCATTATGTGGTCAGAGCTATTTAATGTTTTTGTGAACAACTAAATAAGAAGAGAAAAAGAAAAACTTCAGCAGAATGAGCAACTGGGCAAGGTTAAAAAGAAAACTGAACCTAATTATCTGGCTTACCAATATATAGATACTAAAAAGGTGATTATAAGCTTGAGCAATGAAAGGAAAATGGGAACCGTTAAGGCCTAAAACATTCAAGGGTGGTCAATGGCTACATAATGAATCTAAGTTGGCAATGTCTAAAATTGAAAATTTACTGAGATTAATGCAATAATAATTAAAAAACAGACTTTTGGCAAAATGGCACACTGAGCTGAAGTAAATGGCTCTTTTTCTCCCACTACAAATACACAGAAATGCTGGATAAAACATAAAAATGCTTTTAAAATACATAGGCTTGAAAAAAAATTAAAGAAAAGAAATCCCTAGGTACCTGAAATGAAAGAAACATCAAAATCAAAGCTAGAACAGTAAGTGGGAATTGAGACCATGGTGGCCTACAGGGGTTTCAAACTCCTGTACAGGCCCTAAGCTGGGAGGAGGAAGCATTAATACTCACATGGAGACTGCAAATGTAGCTTCAGGCAGGTAGAAGGTGGGGAGTTAGCACTGAGACCCTTGCATAAAGCCCAGAGCCTCAAATGCTGATCCTTCCTTGATATGCAGTCTCAAAAATCTGCTCACTGGCTCAGGGAAACAGCAATAAAAGTTGCTTATTATCTAGGCCATCAGCAGGAAAAAAGGTAAAATGCATGTCTATGCCATACAGAGGTATAGCATCCAAATTTATACTCTGTATCATACAGGAATCTCAAGTCAAGAAATTAACATAAAAACTGGTCTCTAGCATGCAGCAGAAAAAACACAGGGACTCACATAGAGAAAAAGAAAAACACAGAAAAGGGCAGGGCGCGGTGGCTCACGCCTGTAATCCCAGCACTTTGGGAGGCCGAGGCGGGCAGATCACGAGGTCAGGAGATCGAGACCATCCTGGCTAACACGATGAAACCCCGTCTCTACTAAAAATACAAAAAACGACAACAACAACAACAACGACACAGAAAAGAAGCTCATAATTACAAACCACATGAGGAAGACCTGGATGTGAAAAGTAAATCTATAAAAGCTAATAGCAGAAAATGTCAGAGGGGACCTTTGAAACAGAAGGCAAAGACTTCTGAAACAATGCCCCGAAAGCTGAAAAAAGAAAATAAATTTGACTGTATAGGTATTAAAGGTTTCTGTCAAAGGATAATAGAGACAGATGGACAAATGACAGAAATGGCAGATATTTGCAAAGTTTAAAGGCAATAAGGAATTGATATCTAGAATATATAAGAAATTCCTGGCTGGGCGCAGTGGCTCACGCCTGTAATCCCAGCACTTTGGGAGGCCGAGGCAGGTGGATCACTCGAGGTCAGGAGTTCGAGACCAGCCAGCCAACACGGCGAAACACCGTCTCTACTAAAAATATAAAAACTAGCTGGCGTGGTGGGGGGGTGCCTGTAATCCCAGCTACTCAGGAGGCTGAGGCAGGAGAATTGCTTGAACCCAGGAGACGGAGGTTGCAGTGAGCTGACACGGTGTTACTGCACTCCAGCCTCAGCGACAGAGTGAGACTCTGTCCCCCCCAAAAAAACAAAGAACTTACAGGACTACAAAATTAAGTCACTGAAATCCATCAATGGATGAATAGATTAGATGAAGCTAAAGAAAAAATGTGTGATTAGGAAGAAAAGTCTGAGAAAACTGCTTATAAGGTAGCAGTTAAAAAGAAAATATGAAAAAGAGGTTAAGGGACATAGAAGATAAATGAGAGAGCCAAACATGCATCTAATAGGTGTTCCAGCTGGAGACACTGGAGAACATGTGGGAGAAGCAATTTGAAGACATATCTAGGAATTTTCTAGAATTAAAGAATGAGTTTTAAGAATAAAAGCTTCAAAATATCAACACAGAAAAAGATATTTAAGCAAACCAAGAGAAAACACATTATTTACAAAAGAATGACAACTAGGCTGATACAGACTTCTCATTAATAATAATAGATGTAAAAAGAAAATGGAGCAACAGTTTTCAAATATTAAGGAAAACACCAATCAACCAAGTATTTATATGATAAACTATCAGGTCAGGCTGACTTTATAAACAAACATAAAAGACTCAGAGACTGTCACTGAAAGAATTACTATAAGAAGGAAACTGAACCAGAAAGAAGGGATAAATATGCTAAGAAAAAAATAGCAAGCAGCAAACAAAAGAATTATCAAACATCATCTCCACTAAAATAATTAAAATCAGAAAGACTGATAACACCAAATGTTGGTGAGAACGTTGAGTGACCAGAACTCTCATACACTGTTGGTGGAAGTGATTAAATGGTACACCTACTTGAAGAACAGATTGGCAATTTCTTATAATGAAGACTGAACTATTATACATGCAAGAACACAGATAAAATTTTAAAAACATGTTATGTCAAAGAAGCCAGAAACAAAAGAGTACATACTATATGATCCAACTTATAGAAAGTAGAAATACAGGCAAAGCTAATCTACCATGATAAAAACCAGACAGTGGTCCTAGAGGTGCTGTGAGTAGTAAAAACATTACATGTAAAGAGACACCAAGAAACTTTCCATGAGAATGGAAAAATGTTCTACATCTTATTTTGGGTCATGGTTACAAGAGTAGATATTTGTCAAAACTCTTCAAATAGAACACTTAAGATTATTGTAATGTATGTTAATTATATCTCAATTTAAAAATTACTTAATATGTTAATATATCTAAAATGCACCAACATCTAAAAATGAGTATGGGAAGGGGAGATTAAAAACAAAGTAGAATAATGACAATCATAGTAGCTACCACATAATGAGTGCTTACTATGTGCCAGGCACTGTTCTAAATGCTTTGCGTATATTAACTCATTTAATCCTTTCAACAACCCTATGAAGTGGGTACTCATCATCTCCATTTTATAGGTAAGAAAATTACAGCACAGAGCCGGGCACGGTGGCTCACGCCTTAATCCCAGCACTTTGGGAGGCCGAGGTGGGCAGATCACGAGGTCAGGAGATCAAGACCATCCTGGCTAACACGGTGAAACCCCGTCTCTACTAAAAATATAAAAAATTAGCCGGACGTGGTAGCAGGCGCCTGTAGTCCCAGCTACTCAGGAGGCTGAGACAGGAGAAAGGCGTGAACCCAGGAGGCGGAGCTTGCAGTGAACCAAGATGGCACCACTGCACTCCAGCCTAAGCGACAGAGCGAGACTCCGTCTCAAAAAAAAGAAAAAAAAAAGAAAATTATAGCACAGAGAGGTTACATAACTCACTCAGGGCCACACGGCTAGTATGTGGCAGTGTGGGGTTCAAAACTGGGCAGTCTGACACGGAGTTCTGTACTGTTAAACACTGTAATCCACTGTCTCTCTGAAATTAAAAATCAACAACAACACAAAAAGTGAGAGAAACTAAAGTTAGGGTGTTCTAAGAGTCAAGGACGACAAAATAACACCTTTAGCCTCTATTAAGTAAACTATGTACGTTTATGTACAAGGATACAAGGGAATAGAAACTGAATATTTACAAACAAGAGGTATAAAAGAGAATAAAGAAAATGTGATTAATCCAGTAGTAGGTGGGAAAGGGGAAGAAGGAAGGCAAGAAAAGTACGGTAAACAAAAAACAAATTAAGATGGCTGGGCACGCTGGCTCACGCCTGTTAATCCCAGCACTTTGAGAGGCCGAGGCGGGAGGATCACTTGAGATCAGGAGTTTGAGGCCAGCCTTTTAATAAGAGACTTTAATATTTATTTATTATGATGAGTAATATATTTGGACTTATTTCTACCATCTTAATTAGCTTTCTTTCTTTTCTTTTCTTTTTTTTTTTTTTTGAGACAGAGTCTCGCTCTGATGACCAGGCTGGAGTGCAGTGGCGCGATCTCAGCTCACTGCAACCTCCGCTTCCCGGGTTCAAGCTATCTTCCTGCCTCAGCTGCCTGAGTAGCTGGGACTACAGGCGCGTGCCACCATGCCCAGCTAATTTTTGTATCTTTAGTAGAGACGGGGTTTCACCACGTTGGCCAGGATGGTCTCGATCTCTTGACCTCATTATCTGCCCACCTTGGCCTCCCAAAACTGTATTTCTTAAAAGCCAGCTCTATGTTGCTTATTAGTGTGTGGGTGTATTCACACTTAAAACAGTGCCTAGCATATTGTTAAGCACTGTATGTGTTAGCTCTTATTATTGGCTCCGAGAAAGGCTATGAAATCATCCTCATTAAACAGTTTTGAAACTAGCCATCTGACTTGATAGCTTAAGTATTTATCTGTAAATAAACAATTAAACTAGAATTAATTTTCATACCACTTTCAGGAACACAATTCTGTTATTAAATAAATATATATAATCATGAGGGATACACTAGTGATTTGGGGGCTATGGAAATACACTATACAGGCTAAACTATATTTTGCTCATGTCCCAACTGAAATGTAAAAGTCTCTAATATATATTTTACTGTTTCTGCCTAACTTTCTTTGCAAGGAAGTAAATGGAGGAGACAGAATATAGCACTAGATGTCATGTGGTGAAAGGGCACTTTCCGGAGGTAAGAAAGCATAGTGGAACACTGCATGTTGGAATCTCGAAGTCCTGTAGACTCAGGTATAGAGGGAACCTAAATTATGTTATTAAGTACTTAACTGAATTGCTAGGCTCGAAAAAATTGTCAAAGGTCCCATGGGAAGAACGTTTAAGCAACAGAAGAGTACCAGAAAGATGAATGTTCCTCAAAGGAACAATATTAAAGCCTCAAGAAAAGACTATACTGATATAGAATAAAGATACTTAGAAAGAGGAAACTTAATTGGCTGAACCAAGTGCCGCATAATGACCCAAAACACAAATGGGAATTCAACACAAAGTAGAAACTAGGCCAGCTTTCCAAAAGGAGCACAAAGAATATTTATTCATTTAAATTTTTATTCTGTCTACTTCCAAAAAGGATTTGAAAGTTTGAGGGCTGGGCGTGGTGGCTCACGCCTGTAATCCCAGCACTTTGGGAGGCTGTGGTGGGCGGATCACTTGAACCCAGGAGTTTAAGACCAGCTTGGGCAACACGGCAAAACCCCATCTCTAAAGAACACAAAAAAAACTAGCCAGGTGTAGTGGCATGTGACTGTAGTCTCAGCTACTCGGGAGGCTGAGGTGGGGGATCACTTGAACCTGGGAGGCAGAGGTTGCAGTGAGCTGAGATCACGCCATTGCACTCCAGGCTGACAGAGTAAGACTGTCTCAAAAGAAACTTTGAGGATCCTCTAAGTTATAAGGAAACAACAGTCATACACAGGAGAAAAACCAGAAAAAGTACAAGTGAGAACTAAGTTTGTACAAAACATGGAATCCCTTTAATGAATAGGGAGGAAAATAATACTAAATATTTACAGTCTCAATCTACGTTGCTTAAATCAATAAAGTGGATGTTCTGTAATCCGCAATTGCTGGCAAGTTCCCTAACAAGACAAAAGCCTTTGCCGCTACTACTAGAGGGTAAGGGGCTCTCTTCTGTGCCTCAGGGAACTGGACCTGATATTCTCCAATTTATTGTACTAATTTTCCCCTAAGTCTTCAGCCAGCAATACACACGTCCTCATACCAATCAGTGGTAACATACATAAATAATTAACTATTTGTGGGTCAACTGCCCACCATTTATTTACTCAGTACCTTGCTAGGTGCTGTGTGGGAGCAAAAGGAAAGGTAAGTAAAACAAGATCCTTGTCCACAGGGAGATGGTAATCCAATCCTGAATCCAACACTGGAATGATTGAAAAGAGAACTCTTAAAAGAACTCAATCCACAAGAGTCAAGAAGAGGGAAAGGAAGAAAAGGAGAGAAGAAAAAAACAGATTAATCCCAGTGAGTGGCAAGGGAAGGACTAGGGCTGGTAATTTCAAGGTTTAATTTCAACAGACAAGGTGAAAAGAAAAAGAATTGCAGACAAAGGAAGAAACATGAACGCAGACCTAAAGAGACATACTTGGCACATATGCTGGAAATAACATATGCTTGCAGGCAACTGGCACCGCACCTGGCTTTGGAAAGGCACCTGATAAGTAACTGCTATCGCTGTTATGGACACTGGGATGGCCAGAGGTAGATCTCCAAAAACACCCATGTAAGAGGAAGTATGGAGCATGAGTCCAGACAATAGCCAGAGGAACTTAAATGCCTGCTTTCTGAGAAAGGCACACTGAACTAGGAACAGCATAATTAAAGCAGAGCTTTGCTAGTGACCAGCAGAATGGACTAATAAGGGAAACACATTAGCACTAGGAAGGAGTAACAGGCTTCCTATATATATTGCCTCCCAATAAACAGTTTGAGGTTCATGAAGCAAAAGCTAGACCCACCTCTGCCTGGATTTCTGTATTTCAATATCCAAGAGAGAAAAGTCATTCTAATTCTTGATCAAGGTCTTCGATTCTGTCTCCCCTAACAATTCTGCACCCTCCTATGGGCAGACCTATCCCGTGGTCTGAGACATCTTTTTGGGTGTTCCAGCTTAATGCAAGCTTACCTGTTTTTTTTTTTTTTATTGTTGGTACTGGTAATCCCTATCTTCTGAATAAAATCTTGACTTCTATTTTGAGGCCTGGGCTCTGCTGGAACCAGAAAGCTGAAAGGGACCTTGGAGAGCCCTATTCATTGCTTTCACCGAACAGAAGTTCATTACTTTATCTATCACATACTCTTGTTGCATGACCAAATGACCTTAGTCCAATCTCCTTCCTTTTTAAAGGAGGAAACTAAGGTCCTGAGAGGCTGAGATGCTCTCTGATCCTAGTCTGTTTTAACCTCATGGCTACTTAGCAGCTCACAAACAACCAGAGTCAGGTGAAATAACAGGCACTCTCAACATAATTAGAGCAAAGATCACACATTCAGAAACAAGAAATGAGGGGTTTGCTACACACAAAAAGATGACTTAAAATGTAAGGTATCTAAGGGATGAGCTAAGTTAAAAGAGAACTCCTAGCAATTATTTCTGAGGATGCAAGGAGGATTGGTAAGGTTAGGAAAGGGTGACTGTAGCTTTTAGTAGGCCCAGATTTCTCAAGTTCAAAAGCTGCTGTAATTTGGTCTGTTCTCTTGTACCGAGGGCCTGAAAGGCAACAATGTGGAGTGTAAGAGATGCAGATTTCTGTATTTCACACTCCTGGGTTCATGATAGTATCTCTCACATGTATCATCATTGTTTCAAATGCTTTCACTGTCATCATGATTCCTTCCCAAATGCTAGTGTGCTTCGGTTCCACTCTCCAAGATTTGGAGCGATACTCGAATGGCCTGTATGCCTTCCTAAGGTACATTCTATTCTAGTCATTGGGAAATCCAGGCAGCCAGGACAGCTCTGAAGAATGCCAGCACTGAAGATTCTGAAGGGTGTGAATCAGGCATAAAATTCACCTTTGGGGATTTGGGAGGCTGTCTAGTGAGCTCTGTTGTAGATATCAAGTAGGGATGATGCTAATAACACTTTGCTTATATACTGGGATTTACAGCTCATAATCCCACTTATCCTCGTTTTACAGATGAGGACTAAGGCTCCGAGATGTTAACTGCCTTGTTAAGGGCCACAGAGCTAATAAATGGCAAAATCCACACTCGAACTCAGGTTCAATTCCTAAGACATGGTTCCTTCCTCTATAATGCCAAGGCCTCACTGAACGCTAAGATTTAGCTACCACTTTTGCAGATAATTTCTCCCTTCTAAGAGCTTACAAGCCATTAAGAGTATAGCTGTCAACGCTTGGTTACTTAAAATGAGCAGTTACAGTCTCATCCTGAGGGAACTGGTCAGTGAGCCAAACACATCCACTGCCCCATCCGCTCAGGAGACCATGTTTTTCTCAATCACCAATTCACATCGCATGGCTGGGTCAGCCCTAATGATATCCTGCACTCTCTTTTCATATTCTAAATAATACTAGAATATTATTTATCAAATAACCACTAATAGCTACTGATATTTAAGTACCTTACTATGTTTCTAAGCTCTTTCTCCATATCACCTCCTTTAATACTAACAAGCCAGCAAGACAGTTAAACCCAATTTACAAATAAGCCCCTGATAGTGAAGTTAAGTAACAGACCCAAGGACATATAGCAAATCAGTAGAGGAACAGAAATTTTCATACAGTCAGTCTGACCCGAAAGCTCATGCCCTTTATCCACTAGAACAGTTTCTCACACTTTAATGTGCATAAGAATCACCTGCGGATCTTGCTAATGAAAAGATTCTGATTCAGAAGTTCTGGGTGGGGCCTCAGACTCTTCATTTTTAATACGCTCCGGGTGACCTAGCTGCTGTTGGTCCAAGGAACCATCTCTGAGTAGCAAAGTGCTGTACAACAATACCTAATCTCAAATCACATCTAATTATTATCAAATATGTTTTAAGCAACACTTCACCTCTAGAAAGTCACAAGTCACCCTCAAATCCCTCTTTTGCACCTGCCCTTGGCTCCAGACAGAAAAACAATGTCCAAAGTATCTCTGGGAATAAATCCATATGACATGGAGGATCCTAACAACCAGGCCTTAGGCAAATAGCTCTGTGGCCTCCTGGTACCAACCCAAACTCTTTTGGAATGCATTCCAGCAGCCTATCTTCTAGGGCCCCAGGCTTTAGCCAGTTGCTGCCAAAGTAACTAGACCTAACAGGATCCTGTGCCAGGACACACTGCTCTTGATCTAGGAAATGGTCAACCAGACCTAGTTAAGCCTCGAAGGACCTAGAATGGTACAGCCAGCCAATAAATATATGCTGAACTGAACACAGTGAAGATATCTTGGCTCATGACACAATATATGACCTACTGTGACATTTCCTTTCTAGCCATTATGCCATCTGTCGTCTCTCACAGAATCAAACACCTCTACTTCTCTCCCATAGCCTCCTACTCAGATCCCCTGAAAGCTGTATTCAACAGCATTTCAAGGTTAGTATTCTCTTTTGTGGTGTAAAGTCTAAAATTAAAGCTCAATATGAGGCTGGACAGAGTGGCTCACGCCTGTAATCCCAACACTTTGGGAGGCCGAGGCAGGAGGATCACTTGAGTTCAGGAGTTCAAGACCAGCCTGGGCAACATGGCAAGACCCCCGTCTCTACAAGAAACACAAAAAATTAGCCAGGTGTGGTGGCCTGTGCCTATAGTCCCGGCTACTTGGGAGGCTGAGGTGGAAGGATCACTTGAGCCCAGGAGGTTGAGGCTTCAGTGAGCCATGTTTGTACCAGTGTACTCCAGACTCCAGCCTGGGCAACACAGCAAGACTCTGAAAAAAAAAAAAAGCAGCTCAGTTACATGCTTACTTGACATCTAGTACAATCTCGAGGGCCTCAAATGGCCTACCACAAGTACCCCTCCCCATTGTGCTCCACGGATAAGGTCCCCTGCCCAAACAATCCTCCTTACTAAGGGGACCAGGTACAGCTCTTGCTTATTCTTGAGAAGTGAGTGGGTTACAGTTCCCAGCCAGCCCCTGGAATTATTCAAACAAGCCAATCATATCCTCTGGCCAGAACCAGGGGGCACCATCCGCTCTTGACACTACAAAGGCTGCTTCCCACAGCCCCTCGCCGGTGGCTTACTCTGCTCTCGAGTGCAGCTCCCGTGTGGGCCTACGTGGTGTGTGGTATCCCAGCTTCCAGGCTGTGAGTATATGTGACTACAGCTGTCAAGCTCATCTGTCCACTGTCAGGTGTCATGTGTTCAGCATCCCCATAACCCTACAGTGGAAATCCCTCTCTCTTCGGATGGGGTGAATAGGAGGTGATTAAAACATCTTTTTTGCCCAATCCACTGGTCTCTGCCCTTTTCCATATCCCTGAGGCTCTCAAATGCCTTTGGCAAGGTCATCAACTGCTCTATCATGGTAATAATGTCTGGCATTGTGCTAAGCACGTTCCACACACTTTCTCATTTAATTCCCCTAACATCTCAATGAGGTAGATACCATTATATCCCTATTTTATAGATGAGGAAACTAATGTCAAGCAAGGTTATATAACCCACAAGACCACACAGCTAATAAGTTTGAGCAGAGCCCAAATGCAGATGTGCCTGGCTCCGTGTTCTTAACTACTACTTTAATCTCTCTGGCTGACAGTATTTCTGGGCTCACTGCCATCATTCCCCAATCCCTCACAGGCAGAGATGGACTGCTGGGTGGCCTGGCAGGAGTGCCTGCATTTGAGGCTCCTTGTTTTTTCTGCTGGTCTCTGCTAAAGGATGGATGGTGATATGTTATCTGGGAAAGAGTGCTATTGGAATAGGCCAGCTGGCTGGCTGCCAGAAGACTTTCCAAGATGGCTTCAACTTAATTTACCAAAAGGTCTAGTTTGGTTGTCAACCTTGCCGATACAGAAATCTTAACCTGTCAAAGTCTTAAAGTTAACTGGACTTGAGGAGGTTGGATAGCACTATCTAGACACAGAAGAAGCACAAATCAGAAAGGCAATTCATTAATTCACAAGGAGAAATATACCTATTCTTTGCAGTTATCTGTGAAAAAATTCAAATGGCAAGGTCAAATAACATCAGAAAGTCTCTTCAGAATCATAGAAGACAGCAAAGGAAGTTAGGTGTATGCAACCAACATTTAGTGGAAGCCTGGTGCCTCTGTCTTTACCATTAAAGTAAATGCCTGGCCCCACAACCCGGCAGGTGGAGTCTGAGGGCCAACTACACGGCACGGGCACTGCCAACTGACATTCTGTGATGTCTCGTCTATTACGGGGTTCCTAGACTCTTCTGTGGCTCCAGTTTCTATTGATATAGTTGCATTGCTTTGTCTTTGAGATAACTTTTGGCAGGTATCTAATAATCATGACCATGTGCTAATTTTTCAGTCTCTTTCTCTCAGAGTACCCTCCTACTGGCCCTGACCATAGGCTTTTCTTTTGACGCTCGGGACATCTGTCTATACCAGATCAGAACTACTCCTCCTTCAAGAAGCCGAAGCCCAATGAAGCTCCCAGCTCACTTCAGATTTATCCCCCTTCTAGCTTCCTTCTGGGCCATCTGCCATACACTGGCTGTGGCAGACTCATTCCTTGTTCCCTTTCTCTGTTCCCCCACCCACTCCTTTCTCCCACACACTTCATTCACTTGTTACTACTCTCCCTTCCTTCATGCCACTTAAAACTTTATAAAAAACTTATCGATACCAAATGTACATGAAATGATTCCTTATCAGAAGGATAACAGTCAGAATTATGCAACTAGAATTATCCTCAGAGATTATGTAATTCAGCCCTATTATTTTACAGATGAAAGAATTGATAGAAATCAAGTGACCTGCTCAAGTCATAAATCTATAACAGGCAACAGCAGGGCCAGAACCAGGATCCAGGTTTCTGAGCTTTTAAGCCAGTATTTGAACCAAGATACCAAACTCCTAAGTACACACAACAGGGCTTCAGTGGGGAGGGCTTCCATGCATCTCACATGCTGCTGAAGCACTAGGCTGGTTATACAGCCTGTTTATCATTTTTTTCTTCGAATGTTGATTAAAATTCAACCACTGATGGCTCTTTCAGCAAAAAAATAACTATCTTTAAGTCATAAAACTGCCCAAAATATATGCAAACATATGATTACAAATTTCCCAATCCACTGCCACTAGAACTATAAGGTGGGGCCGGGCACACTGGCTCACACCTGTAATAGCAGCACTTTGGGAGGCCAAGGCAGGCGGTCATTTAAGGTCAGGAGTTCAAAGCCAGCCTGACCAACATGGTGAAACCCCGTCTCTACTAAAAATACAAAAATTAGTCGGGCGTGGTAGCTACTCAGGAGGCTGAGGCAGGAAAATTGCCTGAAGCCAGGAGGCGGAGGTTTCAGTGACCCAAGATCGCACCACTGCACTCCAGCCTGGGTGACAGAGTAAGACTCCGTCTCATAAAAAAAAACAAAAAACAAAAAAACAAAAAAACCCTATCAGGTGGATTTGTGACTTGACCTCAAAAACATTTAGGTGACTATTAATATAGCCGGGTGCAATGGCATGTACCTGTAGTCCCAGCTCCTCAGGAGGCTGGCACAAGAGAATGGCTTGAGGCCAGGAGGCCAAGGCTGTAGTGCTCTTTGATCACACCTGCGAACAGACACCACACTCTATCCTGGGCAACATAGTGAGACTGTGTCTCTTAAAAAAAAAGAAGTAATACATTAATGAAAACATAACTGGAAGAGGCTTTTCTACGCATAAAGGAAACAGAAGAAATTCACAAATGATCAATAGATTTGACTACATAAAAATGTAAGCTTTAAAACAAAACACCATCAACAAAATTAAAACATAAATGATAAACCAGTGAACACTTCATGGCTTAAAGGAAGTGACAACCAGGCACAGTGGCTCAATGCCTATAATCCCAGCACTTTGGGAGGCCAAGGCAGGAGGATCCCTTGAGACAAGGAATTCAAGACTAGCCTGGGCAACATAGTGACACTCCATCTCTAAAAAAAATACCAAAAAATTAGCCAAGTGTGGTGGAGTACACCTGTAGTCCTCGCTGTTCAGGTAGCTGAGGTGGGGACATTACTTGAGCCTAGGCAGTCAAGGCTATAGTGAGCTATGATTGTGCCACTGTATTCCAGCCTGAGTGATAGAGCAAGACCCTGTCCCTACTAAACAAACCAAAAAAGAAAGATTATACAAATCAATAAGGAAACACCAAGCATGGCAGCCCATGCCTATAATCCCAACATTTTGGGAGGCCAAGGCAGGAGGATTACTTGAGCCCAGGAGTTCGAGATCAGCTTAAGCAACAGAGTGAGACCCCATTTCTACAAAAACTAAAAAAAAAAAAAAAAAAAAAAAAAAAAAGCCAGCCAGGCATGGTGGCACATGCCTATACTCCCAGCTAGTTGGAAGGCTGAGGGAGGAGGATCACTTGAGCCCAGGAGTTTCAAGCTGCAGTGAGCCATGATTGTGTCACTGCACTCCAGCATACGCAACAGAGCGACATCCTGTCTCCAAAAAAAAAAAAAAAAAAAAAAAAAAAGGAAACATTAACATTTTAAATTTTAAAAAGAAAAATATAGATAATTCACAAAAAATTAAAAGTCAATAAACTGATTAAAAATTCAGCCTGGTGAATAATTAAAGAAACGCAAATCAAAACATGGAATCAAAAGTTTTTCAGTGACAGTATTTAATTGGGAAATAGTGTTTTAGACCGTGGACTCGGATTTGGCAGAACTAACTTGAACACTTACTCGGTGACCTTGGGCATATCACTTTAATCACTGTGAGCCTTAACATCCTTATAGTTTTAGTGTGAAGATGAAATGAGAGAATGCACCTGAATTGCTTTAGCAAAGTGACTGTCAACAGTAAATGCTCAATAAGTATTAGCTTCTTTTCTTTTTTTTTTTTTTTGAGATGGGGTCTTGCTCTGTCACTCAGGCTGAAGTACAGTGGTGCGACCTTGGCTCACTGCAGCCTTGACCACCTGGGCTGAAGCAATCCTCCCGCATCAGCCTCTCAGGTAGCTAGGACTACAGGCATGAGCCACTACACCTGACTAATTTTTTGATTTGTAGACAGGGTCTCCCTATGTTGCCCAGGCTGCTCGCGAACTCCTGGGTTCAAGGGATCCTCCTGCCTTGGCCTCCCAAGGTGCTGGGATTACAGGCATAAGCTACTGTGCCCAGCCTGCTATTATTATCAGGAAAAAAAAAAAAAAAAAAACAGGCCTGACACAGTGGCTCATGTCTGTAATCCCAGCACTTCGGGAGGCTGAGGTGGGAGGATCACTTGAGGTCAGGAGTTCAAGACCAGCCTGGCCAACATGGTGAAACCCTGTCTCTACTAAAAATACAAAAATTAGCCAGGTGTAGTGGTGCCCACCTGTGATCCCAGCTACTCAGGAGGCTGAGGTGGCAGAATTGCTTGAACCAGGGAGGCAGAGATTGCAGTGAGCAGAGATTGCGCCACTGCACTACAGCCTGGGTGACACAGCGAGACTCTGTCTCAAAAAACAAAAACAAAACTACTTGCACTAATAACATAGGAGAGGGAGCAATGGGCTAGGTACCCACACAATGCTGATGGAAGTATAATCTGGTAAAACTTTTTAGGAAACAAGGCTGGTAAATAATCTGGGAGTAATCTGCTCATCTAAAGCTATAAAAATGTCCTTAGAGACTCGAGAATTTGCAGGGTGGGGAAAAGTATACTTTACTTGCACTGCTTGAATGTTTTACCAGAGTTACTTTATATACAAGCTGTATAATTCCAGATAAAAAAGAATGAGAAATCCATGATAGTAGCAGGAAAAAAAATGTTAATGTTTATGCCTTTTAGAATCACTTCTAGGAATCTATCAGAAATAATTAATTATATATGCAATGAAATATTTATGTACACTATATTCGCAGCAATAGTATTAATGGTTAAAAAAAACCCTGCAGACAAACTTAAATATACGAGGTTTTAAAGTAAATATGGCATACAGCCATATTATGGAATATTATGCAGCCATAAAATTAGGCTCTCTATATGACACTAAAAGAACATGTAATCCCCCAATAAATAAATAAATCGAATTTCATCATATTTTTCAATGTCTGTTTATCAAAGGACATCATCATGAAAGTAAAGAGACACTGCACAGAATGGGAACAAGTATTTTCAAATCACATATCTGATAAAGGTCTAGTATTCAGAATACATATAGTGTACCAGAATCTAGTATCCGGAACTCTTACAACTCAACAATAAAAGGACAAATAAGCCAATTTTAAAATGGGCAAAGGATTTGAATACACATCTCTCCAAAGACAGGCAAAGTGGCCAGTAAGTACATGAACAGATGTTCATCATCAGTCATTAGTAAATGCAGATCAAAACTGTAGTGAGAGACAACTTCACATAACACTAGGATGGGTATAATAAAATAAAACAGAAAACAGAAAATACAAGTGTTGCTGAGAATATGGAGAAACTGGAACCCTCACGGAATTGCTGGTGGGAACATAAGATGGTGCCACCCCTGTGGAAAACAGTCTGGCAGTTTCTCAAAGAGTTAAGCACAGAGACACCATATGACCCAGCAGTTCCACTCCTAGTATATATCTGGGACAAATGAAAACATGGATCCACTCAAAAACCTGTACATTAATGTTCATTGGAGCATTAAGCCTAACGGCCAAAAAATGCAAACAACCTAAATGTCCATCAACTTATGAATGGACAAACAAAATATTATACATGTAAACAATGGAATATTATTCATCCATAAAAAGGAGGTACTGATACATTCTACAACATGGATGAATCTTGAAAACATTATGCTAAGTAAAAGCCAGTTTAGCCAGACATAAAAGGCCACATATTGCTGTATATGATTCCATTCATATGAAATGTCCAGAATAAGCAAATCCATAGAGACAGAAAGTGGATTAGTGGTTACCAGACTCTTTGGGGAAGAGTAAATGGGGAGTGACTACTAACAGGTACAGGGGGGGTTTCAGAGTGATAAAACACGTTCTGGAATTGGAAAGTGGTGATGGTTATAATGGTGGCAGCTGATCCAGTTGGCCTGCCATTATCCTGGCTGAAGCAAGGAGGCCTGGGCAGGGCTACATGTTCCACGGAGCAGGCAGGGGCACCACCCAAGTTGTGGCTGCAGATATGAGCCTCCTTGTGTTCTTGGGGAGCCAGAAGCAGGCAGAAGCCCTGCCCCCCATGGGGCAGCTGAAACCCCCCAAACCATGGCTGCAACTCAGGCATCCCTGCACTCTTGGGGGTCTGGGAAGGCCCCACCCTCACAGGCTCAGAAGCACCTGCCCCCACTGTTTGGCTTCTCCCTGCTATCAGCACCCACTCCGATCTCAATCTGGAGCAAAGTTGGGCAGAGCCCAAGCACCATGAACAACAGCAGGCAGACAGAGTCCCAGGTAGAAGGGGGCAGGTCCCAGTAAGGTCCCTCCTTCAGGCCAGGCAGGGGCCTGAAGGCTGGGGGGCCTGGCTGCCAGTCCCACTGACCAGAGTGGGAACTGGTGCCTTTTCCAGGCCCGCCCATGGCCACCCATGGGCCAACTGGCACATACCGCACTTCCTCCCCTCTGAGGCCCATAAAAGCCCCGGACTCAGCCACAGCTGAGTAGACATGGGATGACTAGCTACAGAGAGGAGCTACCCTCTCTGCTGAGAACTTCAGAGACCTGCAGAGACCGCCAAATGACCTGCCCGCAGAGAGGAGTTACCCTCTCCAGGGCCTCCTCTTTGCTGAGAGCAGCAGACGTCTAGTCAACCAGCAAGCAGAGAGGAGCTACCCTCTCCAGGGCTTCCTCTCTACTGAGAGCTGAACACTCGACAGACAACCTGCCTGCCTACAGAGGGGAACTAACCATCGCGGGTCTCCTCTGAGCTGTTCTAACACTAAATAAATCTGCTCTTTGTTTTCTTCACCCTTCACTTGTCTGCATACCTGGATGCAGGACAAGAGGTTGGGCAAAGGCACCAACAGCCAACAGAGGTTTCCAGGAAGAAAATCGACACCCTAAAGATCCCATAACAGTTACACAGATGTTTGAATTGTACACTTTAAAATGGTAAATTCTATGGTATGTAAATTACATATAAATACTTTTGTGGGGGAAAAAAAGGCACTTGAAGGTTTTTAATGACGTAGGAAAATGCTCTCGATATACTAAAAAGAAAACAACCAGCATGCAACTGAATACGTGTATAATTCCAATTTGGTTTAAAAATATGTGTGCATGCATATACATATTTGCATTTAAAAATATAGAAAATACAGAAAAATGCTAAGAGTGGTTATCCTAGGTACTGTCATTATGGCAGACTTATTTTCTTCTTCATATGTTATAAAATTTTCTATAGTAAACATGCATAAACCTTATAACAGGAAATTTAAGAATAAAATCCCAGACAGGTGGGGCTGGCTTTAAAGCTAGTGTCATTTCCAACATACCATTCATTCATTAAACATTTATTTAGCTCCTGCTATGTACCAAACACAGATATAAGACATAATCTCTGCCTGAAAGGAACTGACATAAGTCTAGGGTAGGGTTTGAACCCAAATCAATGGACTGGATAGGGGAAGAAGAGTCCAGAAGCTCTTTAAATTACTGCCCATGTAATGTTGCCCAACTACACCCTTTCTGGGGGAGAGGGCCCACGGCTTTCATGAGCAATGTAGCTTAGTGGTTAAAGGCCAGAGCTGGAGCCAGACTACCCGGGTGCGAATCTTGAATGTTCAATTACAAAGTGTGTGATCCTGGGCAAATTACCTAACCTATTAGGAGCTCTGTTTCCTCATCTACAAAATGCAGATAGTAATAGTACCTTTCTCATTGGGCTGCTGGAAGATTAAATGAGTTACACCTAAAGCACTGGCACCACAGGCCAGGGACATAGCAAGTGCTCAATAATTAGCTGCTAGCTGCCATGATCATGATCACTGCCCCACCACTATCATCTCACAGATTGTCAAGGAGATAGAGACATGGAGAAGATTAAGGACCACTAGAAATGTTTGTTTTCAAAACTGGTAGGTAGCATCTGATTCCTGATGTGCCTATAATAACCATTCTTTTCAATTAATTTCTTTTTCCAGATTCTCTCCATTTCTAATGAAACTTCTTTTGAGGTGTTCTACAAAATACAATGAGGCAAAATATCAAAATGTTCAGCGTAACAAACTGCTTATGTCCTCTTATCTTCTGACTAATTCATAGAAACAAGCAATTTTCAAGACTGTTATAACAGAAGGAGGCTTTGAGAGATTTAGGTGCCTTTCCAGGCCATGCTGCTCTGATCCAGTAGTTCATCCAAGATAACTCTTTACAGACCAAACTGCAAAATCTCCTGAGCGACACATGTATCTAATGAGTGATTAGGGATTGTGACCACATTATACTTAAGGCCAACTTTTCCATCCTGCAGTCAGGAGTCTCAACAAGCAATTACCACTCCAATGCTTTCAAATCCAATCTCTTAGGTATCAAAAAGACCCTTTGCTTTGTCACTGGTACTGAAAGGCATTTTGCTCTGCCCTGAAAACACGGACGATAACTAAGTTTTCATCAGATTGATTATAATACACTTTTCTTCATCAGGGAATAAATCTGGGTCACACATAAATACAGTACCAAATTCCAGAATTCACAGATACCCATCTAATGTAAAAATTAAGGGGCCCTGGCAACTAAAGAGTAACACACCAGGCACTGTGATGCCAGCGGCTATGTGCTCTACAGTAAAGGTGTGGCGCGCAGGCTCTAGAGAGAACCAGGAGCATGAATCCCAGCTCTGCCCCTCTTACCAGCTAAATTTTAGTCAAGTTGCTTAACTCTCTTGGCCTCAGTCTTCTCATATGTAAAATGGGGATAATATTAGTGCTTATTTCATGAGGTAGTTGTATGAATGAGCTACTACGTGTAAATGAGTCAATACACATAAACAGCAGTTCCTGTAACACTGTTAACAGTCACTAAATGTTAGGTGTTACTACCTTTGGAAAAGGAAGCATAAAATACACCTATCAAAGTATTTGCTTTTTATCATTCTGCTTCATCACTTTCAAGTTACATATGTATCTTCTATATATGTCAAATGTCACATAATTTTTTTAAAAGAAAAGAATTCATAGACAACTGCATTGCTCATTTCATACAGCTGGACTGGAATGAGACTAAGCCAGGAAAGAGAGAAAGTGGGGAGAGTCCGACTTCTCATAACAAGACGGCTGGGCTATAATCAGAGATTTCATACAAAACCTTAAACTCATTAAAAATTAGAAGATGCAAAGGACTTTGAAATCACCTGGCCCAATTCCCACATTTCATAGATGAGGAAACCACAGCCTTGAAATGTAAAGTGTTTTAAGATCTTCCAGTTCATTAATGACAGAAATGAGACTCTTCCCGTTACCTATGGCTTAGATATATATTCTAAGTGGAACGTAAAGACGACAACATTTTGGAAAAGGGAAGAAGAATGCGTTTGAGAGGTTAACAATAATAGCTAACATTTATTAAGCATTTATTATATCTCAGGTATTGTGCCAAGCACTTTACATTGGTGGCCTTAAATAATTTTTGCAAAACCAGTGAGATAGTTACTATTATTAACCCCACTTTCAAATGAGGAAGTGGAGGCCTAGAGAGATTAAATGACCTGCCCCAAATCACAAAGCCAGTGAGTGGTAGAGTCAGTCAGTGAACTCATGCTGTCTGACTCTAGAGCCGAAACTTTGACCACTGAGTGATACTGCCCAAACTTTAAAATTTAAAAAGTGGTGAAGTTCTTAACCTTAGATTCTTTCTCCTACTTTTTTGATAACTTCCCTGTTCAGAGGCATTACAAGGATACCCTATTAATGAAGTGGTTTTTAAATAAGAACAGATAATGGAGATGTAGAGCCTACTTATTCTGTGCAGGTGAGACACCGCACACACATTCCTCAACCCTCCCTGCCACTTCCTACTTGTTCAAGGCTGTGCACCTTGGTAACAGGGCAGCTGAAGGATGTGGGAGCCCATGTGGCCCCAGTGTGACCCCAAGGCTGTGTCCCAGCCCTATCAGCGAAAAAGATGTGCTTGTCAATCCAGCAGATTGTCACTGAGCTCAGCCGAATGACCTTAACTGAGGCTTGGCACTACACAGAGAAGAAATTCAGCATAATCCCTGCTCTCAAGGAGCTTATGGCACAGCTGGGAAGAAGAGACCACTTTCAGCTTAAATCCTTCTTTCCTCACACTTTTGTAGTTAAGTACCAGAGCACTGAAGAGACTACAGACCCCCAACTTCCAGCAACACTGTCCTATCACACTACTCAGATCACTCAGCCTTCAGTACCCCTCTGTGTACATTTCACAGATCAACTCCTTTCTCGTCTCCTCCTAGTGTTATAAGCTTTTTCTTTTGTCTTTGAAGAAGTGGGAATTATTTTCATCTCTCTATTTCCCTCCATCACCAGGGAGTATGTCAAGAGGGTTAACTTAAGGAGCTAACAAAAAAACGTAAAAGAGGATAACTTCTCTATTGCTGTTAATGTTGGGAAAGAGCCTATGGGATTCTATAGTATTTGCTCAAAAATGTTCAAAGGAATATACGGAAATTTCATCCTCAACATTTTACTGTCCAGAAAAAAAAAAAAAAAAACAACGGAACTCTAGGGGCCAATTATTCTGCTGTCTTGGACTCTGACCTTAGCCAGTCTCCCTCTGGTTTTAACCTGACTACAACTGAGGAGAACTGACAGCAGAGTACCAACTGAATGAGCAGCTTGTGTCTAGAGTGGTCAAACTGAATGACTTCAGGCCTTCAGAGCAACATTCAAAAGTAACAAGTACCATGCCAAACTTATATGCTAAATGATTAAGAGCAAGTTTCATTGTTATTTAATTTAAATATATTGGTTCCCACTATGTTCACGACATCATACTAGGAGGTAAGTATTCAAAACAGTGGCAAGCCTTTGAAAACCAACCAATATCAGATTGTAGTAATACAACTAGAGAAATAGAAGACAGAGTGAGAAGAGCACATGAGAAGCAGTAAAGGGGGAAAGATGGGAGGGTTTACTGTCTGCAGTGAGTAGAGAAGGAAGTATCTGGGTGTGAATTCGTAGATGGGAAGACTACTATTAGAGTCTTCTATAATACTATACTAGTTTGAAGAGTGGGTCTTGACTCTCTCCTTTCCTTCTGCTCTTCCCTGGCCAGCTAGAGCCTAAAGTTTGAAAAACAATTTTTAATAAGGAGCTATAAAGAGTTGGGTTCTAAATCTGACGTTAGCTTTGTAACCTTGAGTTACTTAACCTTTCAAAACCTGTTTTCTCAAGGGTAAAATGAAGTTAACAAGTATATGGGAGCTCATAATGCTACTCTCACTTTTATATTTGCAAATTTTCTTAATTTTTAGAAACGGCAGTAATAATACCTATTGCTTAGTTGTTGTGAGGGTTACATGAAACAATACTGTAGAATACCTAGTACACTGCCTGGTATTTTGTATGTGTTCAATAAATGGTAACTATTATTATCAACATGATGTGAAATGTCATATAATGTTAAGACATGAATTATTATATTTTAATATTATGAAAATTTTAAAGTTCACCAGAACTTTTAAAAAAGTTTTGGAATGGAGGAAAGAGGAGAACCAAGTACTATGACCCAGTGAATCAATGGCTGCAGACTTAGAAATACAACAAGGATGACCTTTCCAAATAGAGTCTAACGGGCTCTCACTCTTTCACCCACCTTCATTCTCCCCTCACTACTTTATTCATCCATTCAGCAAATATGTTCTGACTGAACTGTACGCAGGACACAGTGCTAAGAGGTGAGAGTGAGAAAGAGATGAAGGTGGACAAAAGAAGGAGATTTAGGGAACAATATAATAGGATGAGCTTTAAGGGGGGAGGTATCAAGGAATAATTTGAAGTCGCATGCAAAATGTTTGGAATATGTGGGTGTGTAGAACTTCTCTAGGATCTTCTGGAGGGATTCTAAACAGAATTATTATTTTTTAAATGTTAAGAATAAAGGTCTAATAAACTGAAAAAGAAGCATACAGATTTTATATAAGGAAAAACATGTAACACTCCTGAAAAATCACCAAAGTAGCTTTGAGCAAATGAAAAGACAGACCATAATCTTGGATAGAAGAGTCAATATGGTAAAGATGCTAGTTCTCCCTAAGCTAATTTATAAAATGTAACACAATCCTAATAAAAATACCATCAAGTCATCTCCTCTTGAAACCAGACAAATTGATTATTAAGTTCATATGCCAGAATAAACAAGCAAAAACAGCCAGGAAAACCCTGAAAAAGAGCAATATTTTAAAAATTGGCCCTTCCAGATGTTAAATGATAAAGCCTCTAAAATTAAGATGATTTTGTAACAGCATATGAATTGGCAATCAAACCAATGGAACAAAACAGAAAATCCAGTAAGAAATCTAAATGCATACAAAGGCTTAGTATTCAATAAAGACAGCATCTCAAATCAGTGAAGAAAAAAGTTTTTAATAAGTACTGTTGAGACAACTGACTGGCCATTGGGATAAAGATAAAATCAGATCCTTCCTCAAACCAAATACTAAGATAAATTTCAAATGGATCAGAGTCTTAAATGTTTTTTAAAAAGTGAAATCATAAGCCTTACATGTACTAGAAGAAAATATAAATGGATGCTCCATAAATTGAGAGTGGGGCAAATATCCTAACTATGACTGCAAATCCAAAGCAATACACGGTAAGACTGAGAAACACAACTATATAAAGATATAAAACTTGGATAGAAATAAAACAATATATACAAAGTCAAGCATATGACAACTGGAAAAATATATTTGCAATCTGTATCACAGACATGATATATCCTTTATCTCATAAAAAGAAACAACAAATTTAAGCTATACTGAAATATTATTTCTTACCTGACAGATTGGCAAAACCCCAAAACTTTAACAGCATACTTTGTTAGCAAGACAGGAGAAACAGAGAAGAAGGGTTTAGGTATGAAATAAAAACTTCTTGGTAAAAAGGAATTTAATTTTTAATAGCAATCCTTAAAGTTTAAAACCAATGACAGCCTGGCACAGTGGCTCACACTTGTAATCCCAGCACTTTGGGAGGCCGAGGCAGGTGGATTGCTTGAGGCCAGGAGTTCAAGACCAGCCTGGGCAACATGGTGAAACCCCATCTCTACCAAAAATCATAAAAATTGGCCAGTTTCCTAATCCATTCTCAAAATTAATTAATTTTTTAAAAAAGTATTCAAGAAAAAGAGCCTGTTTATGAAGTTGGTGATACAACTACACAGAAGATAATTACATCAAGTGACTTTAAGACAATATCTGACTACACATCTCAAGTAGCATATATTCTAAGGAAAAAAGGAATAACAGAAAACCCAAACAGCATTCAGTAATATAAAGGTCAGTGTAGATAATGGCATTGCTACTGGCCTGGTTGATACCAGCAGCAGGGAAGTCCAGGGAGAGGGAGCAGCCTTGAAGCCTTGGAATGTGGCCCACTGGCCCCAGAAAGGATGAAGTCCTGTGGCCACTGAGAGATTTCAACTGGTGCTCAATATAAGGTGAATTGTGGGAGGAGGGGCTGCTCAGAGGCTTGAGAGACAGGCACAGCCACAGTTGGAGGGTAGCACTTGCTGGACCATCCTAAGGGCAGGCAAGCCATCCAAGAGTTTTAAAGCAAGGGAATCACATATTCCGATCTGTGCTTTATAAAGACCACTGGTAACAGTGTACCAAATAGATTGGAGAGGAATGAAGCTGAAAGCCACTGACCAACTAGAAGGCTGTTTCATAATCCAGGACAAGAGATTATAGCAACTCTAACCAAAGGAAGAGAAAGGGTAGAAGAAATCAACAGTCCTGTAGCCTAACTAAATATGTGCTGAAAGAGAAGATCATGGCACCATTCCCAGGTTTCTGCCTTTGGCAACTCTGTGGTGCCATCCACTGAGCCTAAGAACCAGGGAGAAGTACCAGGTGGAAGAAAGATGGCAAATTCACTGCTGCCAATGCCCTGGAGACCATCTTCTGGAGCTAATGGGGACAAGGAGCAAAAGGAGTCAAGAAGGAAAACTCAGGAAGACTCAATGGTCAGGCCCCAGTCCTAGAAAGCTGAGAAATAGGACGAAATTAGCAGGTTAGATTACCTCTTACAGTATTTTCTCAAAATAAGAAATAGAATCACCTACCGTTCACCTTTGTTTTTATGCTAAAAATAACCCCACTATAGCTAACACTAGCTAACAAATATTAACCAACAAATAACCAATATTTGGAGCCTGAAAACCTATTATTTACAGTTATAATCCTTTGTTTCTAATTTCCTCATCCTTCTTGGCCCATTTCTTGCATAAAGCATCCTCTACTGTTTGGTCCTGTTCCAGAACCACGCTAGTGCCTGCAGCAGAGGTCGCTCATGCAAACGCCTCCAGGGGTCAGACAGATGGAAAATCTCTAATGCTTAAATGGAAGTAACTACTTTTTAAACACTCTATGAGCCAAACTCTGGCCTATAGGAGTTTTCTATTGAGGTCCCAGTTTTACAGAATATCCTAAGATAAAGATATTTCCTTGTTTTTGTTTCCCTTTGGGTACTAATAAAACCAGAAATTACATTTATGAATTGCCTTTTTCAGAAGTCCAAGTATTAGTTAAATTCTGAGATAGGTTTTGCCTCAATATAGCAGCTTTTTCTTTTCACAGAGATAAAGAGAGGGGACTCTGTGGACAAATGCAGGGAAACAGCCTTTCTTTCTTTAATCCTCTGCTTCCTCAAGTCTATCCCCTCCCCTCTTCTTCTTTCCTTTAAAAAAAAAAAATAGAGACAGGGTCTCAACTGGAATGCAGTGGTCTGATCACAGCTCACTGCAGCCTCAACTCCTGGGCTTGCATAAGTGATCCTCCTGCCTCAGCCTCCCAGAGTGCTGGGATCACAGGCATGAGCCACTGTGCCCAGCCTTCTTTCCCTTTTAACCCAGCCTTCGTTAAGTCTGAGGAACTGACTCCATCTGCAAGAAGCTGATGCCTAGAAACAAAGCAGTGAGCTTCCACTACCTCCTCCTTTCCTCTATCAGTAGAAACAGTTATGATATCTGCTAACGAGGTTGCCTAGACAATAGGTCCACATCTCACCAGTCTCATGTAAATTAACAACAACCATCTGTAAGGCATTTATGAAGCAGTTCAATGGGCAGATATCTATGTTACACAAACATTCAACTATGCTTGACCACTTTAGACAGAAAACAAAGCCTGAAAAGACTTAAAATCTGAGATTAAGGTTACAGAGCAGTGAAACAGTACCTGGTTTCAGGGGAGATTCTCATCGCGCCTTCAGTTAGGTGATGTTACATGTGATGTTTCATTGTTGGTTCTGCACCTTTTAAAGGGTCAAGGGCCTTTCTGAGATCAGATTAAAGTAACTGGCTCTCTCCCCAGAAAAAATGACATTCACACAAATTTGCAGGCAACTTCAAAGGATTCATGGGTCTCTTGAAATTCAACCATTTACCCTGAGATTAACAATCTCTGACTTACATGGATCAGCATAATACATTTATGTAAGGAAATGAAATACGTGGCATCATAATTTTGAGGATTTGGAGTTAAATAACAACATTAGGGAAATGTAAGGAAAGCTGGCTTTCTTTCCTTATCCTTCTCTCTCGAGGGCTGCCAGAGTCTCAAAACTGCATGCTCCCTGCAAATGAAATACTGCACTCTCTGCTAGACTTACAGAAAGTGACAATCTCATCTCTCAATTTAAATGCCCTTAATATTTAATTCTTTCCTCTATGTGGTTAGTAGCTTGCTTTCTCCACATTATCCAGATGATGGCTTTGGAAGGCAGACTATTGGAGATCCAGAAAACCATATATCCCAATTCAATTTCCTTGTGAAAATCAAAGAGCTCACTCTGCTGAAGAGTTGAAAGAGGCTGAGGGGTCACTGCCTTCCCTCAGGGTGCTGGTTCAGGCAGTACTCGAGAAGGGTAATGTAAATACTCAGTACGAGGCAACAGGGCATACTAATTTGTTTTTCAATCTATTTTATTTCAGTTCAAAGCATCATTGCAGACAGATAGTCCAAGAAAACAAGCCACACTTGGGTTATACTCAGTCTTCCTCAATCTCCAAAAGCAGGTGAGTGTTGCCAAAGTGTGGCTCGTTTTCCGGGGCTGCCTGTCTGCAATGATGCTTTGAACTGAAATAAAATAGACTGAAAAACAAACTGGTATGCCCTGGCTCTTCTTGCAGTTTCATACTATCCTTCAAAGCTAGTGTTAGCACCTGCTCTTTACTGGAACCCAACAGACCCAAATCACAGAGTAAAACTGCAATACTTTAGATGCAAAGGTCCCACCCAAACCTAAAATAGCAATTTAATTCAGGGCTTGTTGTTTAACATTGCATTAAATGACACTCTCTGTCCAGTTCTTTGCTCCGTTTGCAGGGTTAGAATGTGTCTTCTGATGACATGTGCAATATGGTTACTAGGGAGAGTTTAAAGCGAAACCTGCCATGCTGTTCTTCTTACATAGTTCCCTTGATTTATTATTGCTTCTAATTTCTTACATTTATGAACCCGAACATTATCCTATTTTTACTTAGTCAAAAAGCCTGCCATTTGCCTCAAAGCATTCAATACTGTTTTAGAGTATGTGACATTATTTTGAAAACTTTTGGAGGAAACTTGAAATCATGCACAAACAAATTTTTAAATCGCCACCAACTAAAAGTCTAACATTTGTTTAGAATGCCTTAAGAGAATACATACACCTTTGATGGAGGAACATAAGTAGTTTCCAACTTAAAACACTAAAATGCTGAAAAGTGTTCTGCATAGACAGCTGTACAATTTGGCTTTAAAAAAATTAGATGCCATTTGGAAAAGTTCCTCTCCAAGCAGAAACACTAAGAAAAAACAAGATCTGCTCCCCTCTTTCTGGAGATAGAAAGTAGAGGGCTTCTATTTTTAATTGGATTCCCCCATTCTTAATTTTGTCTGTAATGTATTTCTGGATTTTTGTTATTAGTTAGCACTTTATAAAGTTTCCATTTGGAGCTAAATTTGGTTATTCAGCAATATGTGTAACAACAACAAAAAGAAAATACCATAGCTATGAATACAGTTTCTCTTATTTAATCTGCACAACCCTTTGAGGAGGCACCATTATCCACATTTTCCAGGTCAGATAACTAATCTGTAACTTGCCCTTGGGCGTGCAGTTCTCTCAGTAGTAGCTGGGTTCACGGCCAGGGACTGAGCACAGGAGTGAACCACAGCACAGTGACTCCCTTTGAGTTCTCCAACATCTCACGTTGTTACCCACCTTAGTCTCTGAACCTGCTGAAAAGTTCTTCCTCCCAGCTTCGTCTCTCCCTTTCCCCTTCTTGCTAGACTGGTTCCTTGTCACTCAACAAGTTTCAGCTTAAACTGCCTTTCTTAAGAGAGGTTTTCCCTGACCACCCAGATAAAAAGTGAGTCTCCCAGGTTAGTGTCTCTCTCCGTGCTGTTTTATTTCCTTTAGAGCAGTTGCCACAATTTGGAATAACTTTGTTATTTCTTTACTGTCTTGACACTAGGCTTTAGCTTCCAGAACAGAGCCCCAGGTCCATCTTGCTCACCCTGGTAATCACAGGACCTAGACAGTGGTGCTTGGTACATGGAGACACTAAAATATTTGTTCGAGGCCGGGCGCGATGGCTCACGCCTATAATCCCAGCACTTTGGGAGGCTGAGGCGGGCAGATCACTTGAGGTCAAGACTTCAAGACCAGCCTGAACAACATGGTGAAACTCTGTCTCTACTAAAAACACACAAAAAATTAGCCGGGTGTCGTGGCACATGCCTGTAGTCCCAGCCATTCAGGAGGTTGAGGCAGAAGAATCACTTGAACCCGGGAGGCGGAGGTTGCAGTGAGCCGAGATTGTGCCACTGCACTCCAGCCTGGGCAACACAGCGAGACTCTGTCTCAAAAAAATAAATAAAATAAAATAAAATAAAAATTTGTTCAATGAATGACCTAGATTTGTTTACTTGGTATTTACCTGCAAACACCAGGTTGTGGGTACTGGCTAGCAGCTGAGGATAACAACAGTAAGGTGTGGTCCCTGCCCTTAAGGACCTCCTAAGCTAGTAGGAAAGACAATAAACAGATGGAACAATACAGGGTGTTCAGTGTGATCAGATTAGCTTCAGCTCTCAGCTGAATGCCTTAGCTATGTAACCTCGAACATCTCTCCGACGTGAGTTTGTTTCCTCTATGCGTAAAATGGTAATATTAATACTACTTATGTCATAGTATTGGTGTGAGGATTAAGTGATAGTCCATATAAATAAAGCACTTAGCACAGTACCTGGCACAAAATAATCACTCAGTAAATAGCAACTAATAATTTTATTATGATGATGCTATTACAGCTGTATTTGAAATTATCTTTGTCTACCTGTATACCACTTGTCCAAGCCCCACATAGAATTTAAATTCCATGGAAGGGCAGAAATCATATTTGTCTTGTTCACCACTGTATTTCCAGGAATTTGAAACGTCTCTGGTACACAGTAAGTGCTCAACAAACACTAAATGATTAATGAATGCATGCGTACATGCATGGGGTGTTCTGAAACCATTTGTTAAACCACTAATGAATAGCTAAGTTTGGGGACTACTGACATAGAAGAAAAGTGTTTATATTAGAAAGGAGGGGCAGAAGTTTGATGATTTAGCTAAGTAGAAAAAAATTTCACTGAGATTGTAATTAAATCTCCATTAACCATACAAAGATCTGGGTACAATTCCAGGGAAGAACAAACAATTCCAGGTAGAAAAGACTTGAAAGAATAAAATCCAAAGCAGTTTGACCGGTGCCATCAGGCAGGGGGCTCCCAGGGACAGGCTCAATTTGGCAGCCCTATAACCTAGTACACCTATACATATATTAACCACTCAGAACAAATTTCTTCCTCGTTTGTAAAATGGAAATACCATACTTACTTATAAAGCGTCGTCATAAAGTAGAACAACACTTGTATGAATATAAATAAAGCACCTGGTTCATTGCAGCACTGGCTGCATGGTACCAACGCTATTCAAAGCAGGAGAAACTCTGAATAGTCAGTAAGACCAGAAGGGAAGCCAGAGTGTTCTGTCAACTAAAGTGCTCTCGGTGCATCGCGCAGTTTTAACTCTTTTCCCACTCCAGAAGAACCGACGAGAGGAATAGCTGAATGACAACACTGATCCAATCTCCTTGTGTTTAGGGCAGGGGTCAGTAAACTTTTGCTGTAAGGGACCAGACAGAAATATTTCTGGCTTTGTGAGCCAGCCGATCAAAGCCAAGCAACGGCTGCGCAACTACTCAGCTCTGCCCTCTTGGCAGGAAAGCAGCCATAGACAATACATCAACAATGAACAGGGCCGTGTTCCAATAAAACTTCATTTATGGACTTGATTTCATAGAACTTTCGCAAATTACATGAAATATTCTTCCCCCTAACCATTTGCAACTGTAAACAAAGACCGAGAGGGGAAGAGAGAAGGGGGGCATGGATTAGGCCCAAGGCCATAGTCCGCTGACGCCCGGCGAAGGGACCTGAAGGGAGGGGGAGTGAGACAGCGACAAGAGGCCTCCGGACGGGCCGAGAGGGAGGTGCGGGGCGACAGCGAGCCCCAGGCGGTGTCAGGTCGGGCCTGGCGCCCTGAGTGGGTCCCCGCGGTCTCTCCCCTCCGCAGTCTACAGCAGAGCCGGCGCCAGGGGTGCGGACCGCCCCTGGAGGGGGCACGTCCGGGGTGTAGGTGAGGCGGCCGTGATTCGGCCGAGTCCCGCGGAGTTCGCCACGCGGAAGGGTCTGTATACACCCCTCATTTAGGGCGCACCCGGGCCCCCGCTGCAGGAAGGGTCTCCACGCGGAGTCCCAGCCCCGTTTCTATGGTTACCTGTTCAGCACCGATTCAAACTGCCGTTCTTTATTGACAGCGCCATAGAGGACACGAACACTCCTGCCCGAAGGGAACAATAAAGCTTTCGCCATTCAACAGCGCCGGAGACGCCAGAAGGCGGCCATCTTGAGGCCGGCGCGCAATGGGTATCAGAGGGGAGGGGGCGGCCCGACCTGCCCCACGCGCCGCGGTCACGTGCTGGGGGCGGGGCCTGCGTCACGCGCTCGCTCTCCACCTATGCTAGGACGGCGGGGGCCGGCTGGTTGCTAGGCTCTTCTCTGACCTCTGACCTTGGCCACTCCCTCCTTCCCTCCCCACACTTCCTAAGTAAAGTTTTTTTCTTTTTTTTTTTTTTGAGATGGGAGATTCGCTCTTGTTTCCCAGGCTGGAGTGTAGCGGCGCGATCTCGCCCCACTGCAGCCTCCGCCTTCCAGGTTCAAGCGATTCTCCTGCCTCAGCCTCCCGAGTAGCTGGGATTACAGGCGCGCGCCACCACGCCCTGCTAATTTTTTTTTTCTCTTCTATTTTTAGTAGAGACAGGATGTCACCATGTTGGCCAGGCTGGTCCCGAACTCCTGAGCCCAGATGATCCACCTGCCTCGGCCTCCCACCATGCCCGGCCCTAAGGAAAGTTCTAATGGAGCTCCGCAGTCTCGCTCCGGCAGCTCTAGGATTAGGATTTTGTTTCAAAGGAGGGCAAGGAAGTGAACACAAAAGGCTTCGTTTTTCCAAAACAACACATTCACGTGCGAGGCGGAGAGGCGACCTGAGCCGCGTCCCCAGCCCGCACTCTTTGTGGGACAGGCTTGGCGCTGGTGGGGCGCAGTGGGCTGAAGGCATCCTGGAGGCATCCTGATCCTGCCTCTCGCACCTCCCAATTTTGGGATTTAGGGGCTTTGGGATTTAGTCCTAGCTTTTCTTTTGCTCATTTTCCTTCTCACACACTATGCGTTCCCTGTTGAAGCGTCCCCTTGCCACCCTTCCTTACACAAACATTTAAATCAGATCCAGCAGTAACAAACTGAGTCACCTCCGCGCTGGCCCACTGAACACAGTCACCCTGTCACTGACATGCAGCCACTTTTTCTGTCCCTGACAGTTACGTGCCCAAATCCAGCCATCTTAGTGCAATGTCCAGCTTCCTCTGTGGTTATACCTTTTCCATCTGCAATGTCAATATTCAGTCGTTCTGAGAGCTGTCTCTGGCTGACTGACTCACCCCATCACCGTTTTACATCACAAATTCAATCTACTGGGCAGAACTGTCACTTGCATTGTTGCTGTCTCCCGGTCGATCATATTTACTGTCACTGTCTGACATGCAGCTACCGTCATTGACCATAAACTTCAAACGGTTCTGTTCAAAATAGCACTTTGTTTGCCCAGCTGTTGCCCTTTCTGTTGTTTTCACTGTCATTGTCATGCAGCCACTTTTGCTGCCACACAGTCAAGCCAGTATTTAACAGGCCCCTTCAGGGTACACTGTTGTCCTCATACCCTTGTGCCCAGTTAGTCACTTTCACTATTATACTCATGTCACCGTTACATTCAGGGTCGGATTTACTGTAGCTGTTATTTAGTCACTTTTGTAGTAACTGGAACCACGCCTACAGCTGTTGTGTCTCCTAAGCCCTCATTTCCACCAGCCTCACATTCTCTTTTAGTGGGAACATAGGGTTGCTAGATTTAGCAAACAAACACCTAGAAGGGTGCTTGGCACATAGTAGGTGCTCTAGAAATATTTATCGAGTTAATGGGATTACAGGTGTGAGCCACTGGGCATTTTGGGAGCATTTTGGGAGGCCGAGGCAGGCGGATCACCTGAGGTCAGGAGTTCGAGACCAGCCTGGCCAACATGGTGAAACCCCCGTCTCTACTAAAAATAGAAAAATTACCTGGGCATGGTGGCAGGTGCCTGTAATCCCAGTTACTCAGGATGCTGAGGCAGGAGAATCGCTTGAACCTGGGAGGCGGAGGTTGGAGTGAGCTGAGATCACGCCACTGCACTCCAGCCTGGGCAACGAGAGCGAGACTCCGTCTCAAAAAAAAAAAAAAGAGAAATATTTATCGAATTAATGGATTTTAAAAAACAGTATCATTGCCAATGTGCTGTATGTGAATGCAGATGGCTTGAAGCTCAGGAGTCTCAATAGGAATAAGTTTTCAGGCACCATCTGTCCCTCCTGTTCCACTTAACAAGACTTCAAATCCTATAGGGACTAAACGAAGAGAGCAAAAGAAAAGTGGCCACCAAGTGTACTCAGTTATTGGGACAGCAGTGACAAAGAAGAGGCTTTCTATAACTTTTTTTAAATGAATACATGCTTATTATAAAATATTTAGGAAATATGGAAAGGAATCTTTCCCTGGGGGGATTGTTTTAGACATCTCCCAACACACCCCACACATGTATCCACAGTCAGTGGATCAGTGGCTGCAGTTTCCCCATCACCATTTACTTAAGGTTTTGCATTAACAGAAGTTCTCATGGGGCTGACTTGCCTACAGTTCATGAACAACGACATACTGTCATGGAGAGCAATGGCTCTGGCTTCTGGCTGGTCATGATATGGAAGAATAAGAAGACAATGGCTAGACCTTCTAGACCTTGTAAGGGCCTCATCTCCCCACAGAGCTTCGACAGCTGCGGAGAAATAACCTGTGCTTCCCGATCACCAGAAGGACCCAAACCTTGACTTTGAGGGGGAGGGTTGAGAACTTTTCAACTTTTTTTCTACTTTAGAAAAGAGTGTTCCCATGCCACCACCCAGTGTAAGATGCCCGAGGTGCCTCTGCTAAACTGCCAGCTGTTTCCAGAGTGACTACTATATGCCAAGAACACTGAGGTCAACAAAACATGTTCCTGGCCGTAGTAAGAAATAACAACCGGCCGGCTGCGGTGGCTCACACCTGTAATCCCAGCACTTTGGGAGGCCGAGGCAGGCGGATCATGAGGTCAGGAGTTCAAGACCAGCCTGGCCAACATGGTGAAACCCCATCTCTACTAAAAATACAAAAAAAATTAGTTGGGCATGGTGGTGCTGGCTTGTAATCCCAGCTACTCAGGAGGCTGAGGCAAGAGAATTGCTTGAACCTGGGAGGCAGAGGTTGCAGTGAGCCGAAATCACGCCACTGCACTGCAGTCTGGATGACGGGGCAAGACTGTCTCAAAAAAAAAAAATTTAAAAAGAAAAAAAGAAATAACACAACCACCACGACTTCTCCTGCTAATAATAGCAATCATTTATCTCACTCTTTCTTCCAGGTACCATGCCAAGCCCTTTAATTAAATTATCTCATTTAATTCTTGTAACCACCTAATGAAGTAGGTAACATTTTTACCCCCATTTTATACAGGAGGAAACAGACTTAGAGGGCGTAAATAATTTGCTCAAAAAACACAGCTACTAAATAGTAGAGTTAGGGTTTAAACCTAGGAGGTCTGACTGCAGTCTGCACTTTTTTTCAACCTGTAGTAATAACTTTTGGGTTTTACAAAATAAATGTGTTTATTATAAAGAATTCAAGGATTACAGAAAAACACAAAAGAAAGAGTAAAACAGAATCGCTGTAAATCCTAGCACTTAGCAGCAACGTATCATTATAGATGAGAATTTCTCCCAACTCTGGGCATATTTACATGGGTTGATGGGGAGATAATAATGATAATAATGACAGCTTCCATGCAATAAGCACTATGTGCTGGACATTGTTTTAAGCACTTTCCATGAATTAACACATTTAATTTATTCCAAGAGAGATAGATCGATTGACATAATTTTATTAAAATGAACTCATTTGACATATTCAGGGTTCACATCAACAGCCAACCACCTGGTGATGTTTTTCCCCAAAGCTGGTTCTTTCCTCAGTTTTGCTGTCTTCTCTCCACATTCCAATCAAATTCTATGCCCAGAGTCCTTGGGCTGCAAAAGCTGAGTCTTTAAATAGCACCCTCTGCACAGCTGCTGTCCGGTCAAATGTCTCTGCTGTTCCCCAAGGCAGTGGTGTTATTTGTGGAAGTGAAGTTTGCTGGAGGCTCGACATATGCTTTTTATTTGTTCGAGTAGGTGTCTGGGCCTTGGCATTCACTTTCCTGGCTTTCTAAGTGTTAGAATTTCACTACCTTTTTTCCAGTCCAAATGAAGCTCAGTCTTCAGCTCTTGCCCAGTGGATACCAGACAGTCTCAGATGAGGCTGCTGTTGGAATTTGCCAAATGACTCAGAAGGGTCAACTGCCTGCCTGCTTATCCATCCCAGATGACAAATGCCGAGGAGGAGGGAGACTGCCTTGCTCCAGCAGGGCTGCCCAGACAACAGTAGCACTTCTGCGGGCCTGACCCTATGAATCCCTCGCCTTGGTTGCCCCTAAGGCAAAAGGCACTCACATTTAGAAGGATGGAATAGTTTCCACTGAGATGGCTCACAGGCCCGTCATATTTACCTGATCCAAAACTGGAGTGATGATTTCCCAGCCAAGCCTGTTTCTCCCCTCAGGGTTTCTAGCTCCAAGATGATAGCCCACCTGCCATTCTCTGCCCACTTGCTCAGGTCAGACACCTGGGAATTGTCACAGACATCTCTCTCTCTAACCGTCAACCACTCACCAAGTCTTGATTTCACCTCTGATACACTCTGTCCAGGTCCACAGCCAAAGTCCAAATCACCTTTACCTCTTAACTACTCTACTACCCTCCCCCTGCAACCACTTTTCATATCCTTTACAATGTTCTGCAGACAGCAAGCCAGCATGATCTTTCATTTCCTTTAGAATCAACTTTACCAAGGTATAATTTACATATAAAAATGTACTCATTAAAAATGGAATTTTGGCAAATATATGCACCTGTGTAACCATTACCAACCATATCAAGATTTAGAACTTTTTTTTTTTTTTTTGAGATAAGGTCTTGCTCTGTCGCCCAGACTGGAGTGCAGTGACACTATCATGGCTCACTGCAGCCTCGACCTCCTGGGCACAAGTCATCCTGCTGCCTCATCTCCCTGAGTAGCTGGGACTACAGGTGCATGCCACCATACCCAGCTAATTTTTGTATTTTTTGTAGAGATGGGATTTTGCCATGTTGCCCAGGCTGGTCTCAAACTCCTGAACTCAAGGGGTCTGCTTGCCTCAGCCTCCCAACGTACTGGGGTTACAGGCGTGAGCCACCGCGACCAGCCTCTAACCTATATAATTTTCCTCCTCTCTAAAGAACTTCTTTTCACCTTTCTTGCAAGTTAGGTCTCCTGGCAACAAATTCCCTCAATTTTTGTTCGTCTGAGAAAGTCTTTATTTTTCTTTTACTTTTGAAGTTTAATTCCACAGCGTACAGAATTCTAGTTCGGTGGAGTTTTCCCTCAACACTTTCAATGTTTCTCTTCATTTTCTTCTGCTTGCAAGGTTTCTGGAGAACTTTCATGGAGAAGTTAGATGTAATTCTTGTCTTTGCTCCTCTGTAGGTAAGGTTTTATTTTTCTGTGGCTTCTTACAAGATTTCTTCATCTTTGGTTTTTCTAAACTTTGAAAATGATATGGTTAGGTAGAGTTTTTGTTCTTTTGCATTTATCATACTTGGTATTCTCTGAGCTTCTGTGATCTGTGGTTCGATGTCTGACATTAATTTGGGAAATTATCCGTTATTCTTGTTTCAAATATGTATTCTCTTTCTTTCTTCTTCTGACATTCCCATTACATATGTTGCACCTTTTGCAGTTGTCTCACAGTTCTAGGACATTCTGTTTTGTTTTTCTGTCTTTTTTTCTCATTTTTTTTTTTTTCAGTTTTGGAGGCTTCTACTGACATATCCTTAAGCTCAGAGATTCTTTCCTCAGCCATGTTCAGTGCATTATAATAAGCGTATCAAAGGCATTCTCCATTTCTGTCACAGTGTTTTTATCTCTAGCATTTCTTGTTGGTTCTTTCTTAGAATTTCCATCTCTTTATTTACATTGTTCATCTGTTCTTGCACGCTGTCTCCTTTATCTATTAGAGTTCTTAGCATGTTAATTCACAGTTGCTTAAAATCCCTGGTCTGATAATTCCAACATCCCTACCCAGTGGGGCTGGTTCTGATGCTTGCTTTGTCTCTTTAAATCATATGTTGTTGTGTTGTAGTTGTTTCAGTTTTTTGTTTTTTTTTTTTTTTTGAGACGGAGTCTTGCGCTATTGCCCAGGCTGGAGTGCAGTGGTGTGATCTCAGCTCACTGCAACCTCCACCTCCCAGGTTCGAGCAATTCTGCTGCCTCAGCCTCCCAAGTAGCTGAGACTACAGGTGTGCACCACCATGCCCAGCTAATTTTGTATTTTTAGTAGAGATGGGGTTTCACCATGTTGGCCAGGCTGGTCTTGAACTCCTGACCTCATGATCCGCCCACCTTGGCCTCTCAAAGTGCTGGGATTACAGGCATGAACCATCGTGCCTGGCCGGTTTTTTGTTTATTGCCTTTTGGTATGCCTTGTATTTTTTTCTTGACAGCCAAACATAATGTACTGGGTAAATAAGATCTGTAAATAGGCCTTTAGTGATGTGGTGGTAAGGTGGGAGGATATGGGAAGTGTTCTCCAGTCCTGATTAGGGCTCAGCCTTTTGGTGAGCCTCTGCACCTGGACTGTGAACTTTACAAGTGCTTCTCAGTTTTTCCCCTGATTTAGATGGGGCAGGATGGCCTCAGTGGGCTGGAATTGGATATTTCCCCTCTTCCACATGGAAAGCCAGAAGGGGTTAGAGTTGGGTTTGTCCCTGTTCCCAGATAGTCTAGTCTTTGGTAAAACCTGTAAATCAAAAATAAAATTCTAACCCCCCAAAATTGGCTGAACGTGTTACAGTAGGTAGTTTGTCAGACATGAGCAGGGCAGGAGATGATCTCCCCAACCAGGAATGTTGGGCAAGTATTTTAGCCATAGGAAATGTATTCAAGTCACACAGCACCAAAGTATGTTAGCACTAAGGAACGTACCTAAATCACATGGCACCAAAGTATGTTAGCAGCTGTGAATCTGTATGGGTCTGCAGCAACCTCAGTTCTTGCCTCCTCAGAAGAAAGAATTTGACCAAAGGGCATAAGGCAGAGTGAGAGACCAAGGCAAGTTTTAGAGCTGGAGTGGAAGTTTACTAAAAAGTTTTAGAGCAGGAAGGAAAGGAAGTAAAGTATACTTGGAAGAGGACCAAGCGGGTGACTTGAGAGATTCAAATACGTGGTTTGACCTTTGACTTGGGATTTTATAGACCAGCATGCTCCTGGGGAGTTGTGTTTCTTCTCCTTTCATTCTTCCATTGGGGTGGGCTGTCTGCATGAGCAGTGGCCTGCCAGCACTTGGGAGGGGAGCATGCACAGTGAGTTTACTGAAGTCGTACGCATGCTCACTTGAGGCATTCTTCCCTTACCAGTCAAGTGTTCCTAGAAGGTCATCTATTAACACCAGTTAAACTCCACCATTTTGCCTCTTAGTGCACATGCTTGAACCCACTCGCCCAACTCCTGAGATCTTATTGGGAAGCTGCTGATCACCAGTTTCAGGCTTTTTCTATCTATTGGGAGACTGCCTTTCCTTGGTAACACTGACCAATTATTATTTTATTTTATTTTGAGACGGAGTCTCTCTCTGTCGCCCAGGCTGGAGTGGCATGATCTCAGTTCACTGCAACCTCTGACTCCTGGGATCAAGTGATTCTCCTGACTCAGCCTCCCAAGTAGCTAGGACTACAGGTGCCCACCACCACGCCCAGCTAATTTTTATATATATATATTTTTAGTAGAGATGAGTTTTCGCATGTTTGCCAGGCTGGTCTCGAACTCCTGACCTCAAGTGATCCACTTGCCGTGGCCTCCCAAAGTGCTGGGATTACAGGCATGAGCCACCGCACCCAGCGACCAATTGTTATTTTAGAGAGACAGTGTAACAACCACCTGACCATTACCTGATGGTCACCTAACATTCCTGGCGGAGGAGTCCCTCTCCTGCCCCGCTTATGTCTGACTACCTACTGGAACAAAGGGACCCCCATTCTTCACCAAGGGAATCCCAAAGAAACCTGAAAAACTAGTTCAAGCCATGATGGGAAGGGAGGTTGGACATGCCTAGTTATACACCCTACCTTTGGAGTTTATACACTACTGATCAGCATTAACATTAAAATAGAGATCATAAGACTGACAAAACAGACTGTAGCAATAAGATACCAAATTCCAACCTGACATCACCTGACAGATAGCAGGCCCTGAAGGAAATCAAAGTATTTTACCCCAAAATATATTTCTTTGACATATTTTGAAATGGCCTTGCAAAGCCGTCTCTTGCGGGGGAAATTTGCATTCTATAGAGAATCTCCTTCCCTTTCTAGGTCTTTTCCGGATCCAGGAGAGATTTAAGTAAGAGTCTGACACCTTTTAAGATCCGAAAAGAGACATTTACCATCTATTCTCTCTGAAGCCTGCTACTTAGGGGGTTCATGTGCATAACAAGAACAACTACTCTTATCTTAACTCAAGCATTTCTTTCTGCTGACTTCAACTCTTTAGATAAAGCTTAACTCTTTCAACCAATTGCTAACCAGAAACTCTTTGAATCCACCTATCACCTGTAAGGCCCTTGCCCCTGCTTTGAGATGTTCTGCCTTTCTGGGCTGAAATAATGTATATCTTACATATATTGATTTATGTCTTTGCCTGTGGCTTCTGTCTCCCTAAAATGAATAAACCAAACTGTAATCTGATCACCTTGGGCACATGTTCTGAGGACCTTTTGAGACTACCCCGGGCCATGGTCACTCATATTTGGCTCAGAAAAACCTCTTTATATATTTTATAGTATTTGGCTTTTTTAATCAAAAAACCCCAGCAGGTTAGATTCTGTTTAAATAATTTTCGTTGAGACTTTGTTCGAGAGAGAACGTAACGTTCTGGAGTATTTTGAAATGATTATTTTTTCTTCTTCCCCTGTTGGAAGCATCAGGAGATTTTTCTCAGATATTCACTCTGAGAACCTGGCCAGAGCTCCAGGAGGTAAAACTCACAAAAGTGTGGGAGCCTTCAGATTAAATACAACTGGAAGATGTAGTAATTATAAATATTTATGCACCCACTTACACACCATCAAAATATGTAAAGCAAAAATGGACGGAATTGAAGGGAGAATGATATAGTTCTTCAATACAGTTGGAGACTTTGCTACCCCACTCTCAACAATGGATAGAACAACCATATAGGAGATAAGAACACAATAAACCAACTAGATCTTGTTAGGGACAAGCTGCCCCAGGACTCCCCACCTCCACCCAATGCAGCTGACCCTTACCCTGAATACTCTGCAGCTGCATTCCTGGACCTTTATCTAGGTGCTACAGCAAGGTCACCAGACTTGCTTACAGCCCTCCGGGTGGCATGGGGGAGGTCACAAGAAACATGGATAAACCTAAGTTACACCCTCTTATAAATTCCTATATTGTAAGCAGTTCTCAAGATGATATGTGGTAAAGTTAACCGACAAACAACCCCAGGGTCTCTCTCCCCCATATAAACCCATCATTTTGTAAGCTCAGGGCTGCCTCCTCTGACTGTGGCGACAAACAACCCCAGGGTCTCTCTCCCCCATATAAACCCATCATTTTGTAAGCTCAGGGCTGCCTCCTCTGACTGTGGCAGAGCAGCCCAGCAGGTTAATAAACTTTCTTGCCTGACCTTGGGTCTCTCTCTCTCTTGTCCTTTCTCTCGGCTAACCTTACAGATCTAACAGAAATATACAGAACAGTCTACACACCACTGCACACACATTCTTCTCATGTGCACATGAGACATTTTCCAGGATAGATTATATGTTAGGCCAAAAAGTAAGTCTCAATAGACTTAAAAAGATAAAGATCATATAAAGTATCTTCTCCTACCATAATGGAATGAAGTTAGAAGTCACTAATAGAAGTAAAAGTGGAAAATGCACAAATTTGTGGAGATTAAACAACGCATTCTTAAACAACCAATGAATCAAAGAAAACATTAGAAGAGAAATTAAAAAATACTTAGAGAAGAATGAAAATGAAAACACAATATACCCAAACTTGTGTAATGTAGAAAAAGCAGTTGTTAAGAGGTAAATTTATGTGTATAAATGCTTACATTAAAAAACAAGAAAGATCTAAAATCAACAACTTACCTTCACAACTTTAGGAACTAGAAAAAGAAGAACAAACTAAACTCAAAGCTAGCAAAGAAAGCAAATAATAATGGCCAGGCACAGTGGCTCATGTCTGTAATGCCAGCATTTTGGGAGGGTGAGGTGGGCAGATCATCTGAGGTCAGGAGTTTGAGACCAGCCTGGCCAACATGGTGAAACCCTGTCTCTACCAAAAATACAAAAATTAGCCGGGTGCAGTGGTTTAGGCCTGTAATCTCAGCTACTTGGGAGGCTGAGGTAGGAGAATCACTTGAACACAGGAGGTGGAGGTTGCAGTGAGCTGAGATCATGCCACTGCACTGCACTCCAACCTGGGTGACAGAATGAGACTCTGTCTCAAAAAAAAAAAAAAAAAAAAAAGAAAGCAAATAATAAAGACTGAAGCAGAGAGAAACAAGAGAGAACAGAAAAACAATAGGAAAAAATAAACTGAAACTTGGTTCTTTGAAAAGAACAAAATTGACAAATCTTTAGCTAGACAGACTAAGAATAAAAGAGGAGACTCAAGGACATTACTACTAATTCTAGAGAAATAAAATGGAGTATAAGAGAGTACTACAAACAATTGTATACCAACAAATTGGATAACCTAGATGAAATGTATAAATTCCCAGAAACACAAAACCTACCAAGATGAAATCACAAAGAAATAGAAAATCTGAACACACCTATAATCAGTAAGGCGATTGAATCAGTAATCAAAAATATCCTGACAAAGAAAAGCCCTGGACCAAATGGCTTTACAGGTGAATTTACCAAACATGAAAAGAACAACTAATACCAATTATTTTCAGAATTTTCCAAAAAATTGAGGAGGAGGAAACACTTCCCAACTCATTCTATGAAGCCAGCATTACCCTGATACCAAAGCCAGACAAGGGCACTACAAGAAAAAGAAAACTATAGACTAATATCCATTATGAACATTAATATAAAAATATTTCTCAAAATACTAGCAAACCAAATTCAGCAGCATAGTAAAAGGATTATACACAATGACCAAGTGAGATTTACTCCTGGAATGCAAGGATGGTTCAACATACAAAGCTCAATGTAATATACCACATTAACAGAATGAAGGAAAGAAAACCACATGATTATCTCAGTTGATCATCTAAAAAAGCATTTGACAAAACATAACACCCTTTCATGATTAAAAAAAAAACACTCAACAAGCTAGGAATGAAAGGAACTACCTCAACACAATAAAAGCCATATATAAAAAATGCACAGCAAACCTCATACTCAGTGGTGAAAGACTGAAAGCTCTTCCTTAGGATCAGGAACAAGACAAGGATCTCCACTTTTACCACTTTTGTTCAAAATAGTATTAGAAGTTTTACTTGTTTTGTTTGTGTTTTGGAGACCGGGCTCTTGCTATTTTTCCCAGGCTGGACTCAAACTTCTGGGCTCAAGCAATTCACTTGCCTCAGCCTCCCACATAGCTGGGACTACAGGCATGCCACCTCATCCAGCTTAGTATTAGAAGTTTTAGTCAGAGCAATTAGGCAAGAAGAAAAAAATAAAAGGCATTCAAATTGGAAAGGAAGAAGTAAAATTACCTCTATTTGCAGATGATATAATCTTACATATAGAAAACCGTAAAGATTCCACCAAAAAAACCTGTTAGAGCTAATAAATGAATTTAACAAAGTGGCAGGATACAAAGTCAACACACAAAAATCAGTTGTATTTCTATATATTAACAATGAACATCTGAAAAGGAAATTACAAAAACAGTTCCATTTACAATAGTGTCAAAGAGAATAAAATAATTTGGAATTAACCAAGGAGGTGAAAGACTTTACAATGGATACTATAAAACATTACTGAAAGAAATTAAAGAAGACATAAATAAATGGAAACACGTCCCATGTTAATGGATTGGAAGGCTTAGTATTGCTAAGATGTTAATATTACCAAAAGCTATCTATGGATTCAATACAAAACACCAATGACATTTTTTGCAAGAATAGAAAAAGAACACATTCTAACATTTATATGGAATATTAATGGTCTCCAAATAGCCAAAACAATCTTAAAAAAGAACAATGCTGGAGGACTCATGCTTCCTCATTTCAAAACTTACTACAGAGCTACAGTAATCAAAACAGTGTGGTACTGGCATAAAGAAAGACACAAACACTAATGGAGTAGAATAAAGAGCTTAGAAATAAATGTTCCCCATATATGGTCAAATAATTTTTGACAAAGACACCAAGGCCATTCAATGAGGAAAGAATAGTTTCTTTTCAGCAAATGGTGCTGGGAAAACTACATATGAAAGAATAAAGTTGGACCCTTATTTAACACCGTATACAAAAATTAATTCAAAATGAATTGAACACATAAATGTAAGACCTAAACTATAAAACTCTTAGAAGAAAACATGAAGCAAAAGCTTTGCAACATTGATTTGGTAATGGTTTCTTGAATATGATGGCAAAGGCACAGACAATAAAAGAAAAAATGGACAAATTGGACTTCACAAAATATTAAAAATTTTGTGCATGAAAAAAATAAACATAGTAATAGGGAAACCCATGGAATGAAAGAAAACATTTATAAATCATATATCAGATAAAGGCTTAATATCTGTAACATACAGAGAACTCTTAAAACTCAACAACAAAAATAAGTCCCAATTTAAAAATAGGCAAAAGACGCAGGCCAGGCATGGTGGCTCACGCCTGTAATCCCAACACTTTGGGGGGCCAAGGCGGGTGGATAACAAGGTCAGGAGTTCGAGACCAGCCTGGCCAATATGGTGAAACCCTGTCTCTACTAAAAATACAAAAATTAGCTGGACGTGGTGGTGGGCACCTGTGGTCCCAGCTAATCGGGAGGCTGAGGCAGAAGAAGCACTTGAACCTGGGAGGCGGAGGTTGCAGTGAGCCGAGATCATGCCACTGCACTCCAGCTTGGGCAACAGAGCAAGACTCTGTCTCAAAAAATAAATAAATAAATAAATAAAATGAAATAAAAAATGGGCAAAAGAATATTTCTCTAAAGAAGATACACAAATGGCCAATAAGCACATGAAAAGATGCTCAACATTAATAATCATTAGGAAAATGCAAATCAAAACTTCAATGAGATACCGTGTCAACACTCATTAGGACAGCTGCTATAAAACAAAAAACCAGAAACTAGTAAGTGTTGGCAAGGTTGTGGAAAAACGGGAATCCTTGTGCACTGTTGGTAGTGTAAAACAGTACACTTGCTGTGGAAAACAGGATGGTGGGTCCTCAAAAAGTTAAAAATAGGATTACCATATGATCCAGCAATTCCACTTCTGGGTGTATACTCCAAAATTGAAAGCAGGGTCTCAAAGAGATATTTGTACACCCATGTTCATAACAGCATTATTCACAATACATAAAGCATCAAAGCAACTCTAAGTGTCCATTGACTGATGAATAGATAGCAAAATGTCATATATAGACACAATGGACTGTATTCAATATTAAAAAGGAAATAAATTCTGCAATATGCTACAATGGGGATGAAACTTGAAGACATTATGTTAAGTGAAATAAGCCAATCACAAAGAAACAAATATGATCCTACTAATATAAAATACCTAGAATAGTCAAACTTACAGAGACAGAAGGTGGAATGGTGGTTACCAGTGGCTGGAGGGAGAGGGACATGGGGAGTTATTGTTTAATGGGTATAGAGTTTTTTGGGTTTTGTTTTTTTCGAGATGGAGTTTCACTCTTGTTGCCCAGGCTGGAGTACAGTGGTGCGATCTCGGCTCACTGCAACCTCCGCCTCCTGGGTTCAAGCGATTCTCCTGCCTCAGTCTCCCAAGTAGCTGGGATTACCGGCATGTACCACCACACCCGACTAATTTTGTATTTTTAGTAGAGACAGGGTTTCTCCATGTTTGTCAGGCTGGTCTCGAACTCCCGACCTTGAGACCAGGTGATCAGCCTGCCTCGGCTTCCCAAAGTGCTGGATTACAGGCGTGAGCCACCACACCCGACCAGAGTTTTGGTTTCACAAGACGAAAAGAGTTATGGAGATGGATGGTGGTGATGGTTGCACAACATTATGATTGTATTTCGTAACACTAACTGTACACTTAAAAGTAGTTAAGATGGTAAATTTTGGCCAGGAACAGTGGCTCACGCCTGTAATCCCAGCGCTTTGGGAGGCTGAGAGGGGCAAATCACCTGAGGTCAGGAGTTCGAGACCAGCCTGACAAATCGGGTAAAACCCCGTTTCTACTAAAAATACAAAAATTAGCCGGGTGTAGTGGTGCGTGCCTGTAGTTCAGCTACTTGGGAGGCTGAGACTGGAGAATTGCTGGAACCTGGGAGGCAGAGGTTGCAGTGAGCTGAGATTGTGCCACTGCACTCCAGCCTGGGCAACAGAGTGAGACTCCATCTCAAAAAAAAAAAAAAGATGATAAGTTTTATGGTATTATTTTGCCACAATAAAAAAATCGAAAAAAAAAAGTATGTGCACTCCTCCAACATGACTGGGTTCCCTGGAGTTTTTATGTCTCAAACTTGTCCACAATGAGCCTCTAGCAATTCATCAATCACAATTCAGGTTTCCTTACCCAGCACTAGTTTCCATGGAGGTTTATTATGCTCTGGTAAATTATGATTTCTGTATCCACCTGTCTGTTTCTCCAATTCTGGGGCAGTAATTTGCCCTATGACGTCACTTCTCTACAAATCTAAGGGTTGTTGATGTTTAGTTTGTTTGGCTTTTACTTATTGTTAGGATGGAGTGGCAACTTCCAAGTTTCTTACATGCCAGCTTGGAAACTAGACATCCTAGAACATTTTCATCACGTGCAAAAGTTCCCTTGTACTCTTTCCCAGTTCAACACTCTCCCTCCCCCTCTAGACTTGCCCATCTTCCCATCTCTCCAATCCTCATCTCCCAACAACCACTGATTTGTTTTCTGTCCCTATAGATGACTTGCTAGAATTTCATATTCAGAATTTCTAGATATGAAATTTTAGAATATGTTAACATGTTACATGTTATACAACACTACATATTATATATGTAATATATATGGAATTCTAACATATCCTAGAATTTCATATCAGCGAAATTATATAATATGTAGTGTTTTGTGCCTGGCTTCTCTCACTCAGCATAACGTAGTTGAGGTGTATTCATATTGTTACATTTATCAGTTTTGTTTCTTTTAATTACTGGGCCCACTGATATGGATATACCACAATTTGTGTATTCATTCACCTGTGTGAATGTATGAATTTGTGTGTTTCCAGCTTCAGGTATTATGAATAAAGTTTATGAGTATTTATTTTTATTTTTTTATTTTTTATTTTTTTGAGATGGAGTTTCACTCTTGTTGCCCATGCTGGAGTGCAATGGCACCATCTCGGCTCACCGCAACCTCCGCCTCCCGGGTTCAAGCGATTCTCCTGCCTCAGCCTCCTGAGTAGCTGGGATTACAGGCATGTGCCACCACACCCGGCTAATTTTTTTGTATTTTTAGTAGAGACAGGGTTTCACCATGTTAGCCAGGATGGTCTCGACCTCCTGACCTCGTGATCCACCTGCCTCGCCCTCCCAAAGTGCTGGGATTACAGGCATGAGCCACCGCGTCCGGCATGAGTATTTATTTATGTGCAAGTCTTTGTGTGAACATATGTTTTCATTTCTCTTGTTTAAACACTTAGGAATGTGAAGACTAGGTCATATGAACCTGGGAGGCAGAGGTGTTTATGCACCTTTATAAGAAATTACCAAACAGTTTTCCAAAGTGGTTGTATCATTTATACTTCCATCATCAATATGCAAGAGTTCTAGTTACTCTACATCCTCATCAACAGTTGGTGTTGTCAGTTATGATTCTCCTGCCTCAGCCTCCCAAGTAGCTGGGATTACAGGCACCCACCACCATGCCCGGCTAATTTTGTATTTTTTTTTTTTTTAGTAAAGATGGGGTTTCACTATGTTGGCCAGGGTGGTCTCTAACTCCTGACCTCAGGTGATATCCAAAATATATTTTGGATTCAAGTCCTTTGTCATATGTATGTATTATGAATATTTCAGTCTGTATTATGAATATTTTCATCTTCATAAGGTATCATTCAAAAGCAGAAGTTTTTAACTGTGATGAAATCTAATTTATCACTTTTTTTCTTTTAGGAAGAAAATTATTGTCACAGTATATCTGCTTCATTGGGAAACCCTGGTGCATTTCTCCTAAAATTAGGAGCAATACATGGATGCCCACTCTCACCACTGTTCTTTAACATTAAATTGAAGGTATTATTCTGTACAATCCAAGAAAAATGAGAGATAACAGGATTATATAACTAGAAAGCCCTAAAGAATCAAATATATTAAGAGAGAGAGAGAGAGAGATGTGGGGGAAGGAAAAAGAAGTAAAATGTGCTAAGATAAGGTGGAGATGGAATATTAAACAAATATACAGAAACCAGTTAGAAGAGAAAAATGGAATAAAAGACTGCATTTACAATAGCAAGGCAAGATAAAATACCAATGTATATGCTTCAAAATATTAGTGAAGGATAAGCTGGGCACAATGGCGCATGCCTGTAATCCCAGCACTTTGGGAGGCCAAGGCAGGAGGATCACTTGAGCTCAGGAGTTCAAAACCAGCCTGGGCAACATAGTGAGACCCAATCTCTATAAAAAATACAAAAATTAGCTGGGCATGGTGGTGGGTGCCTGTAGTCCCAGCTATTCAGGAGGCCAAAGTGGGAGGATCAGTTGAGCCTGGGAGGTAGAGGTTGCAGTGAGCCGAGATCACACCACTGTACAGAGTGAGATGCTGTCTAAAAAAAAAAAAAAAATTAATGAAGGATAAAACGAAAAACTCGAGCAAACGGAAACACATACCATTTCTTGACCAAGAAAGGTAAACAACGTAAAAATGTTAACTCCCAGCAAACATACCAACACGTTTTTTTCTGAAACTGGAGAAGCTGACTATCAAGTTCAAATGGAAAAACAAGCAACAAAGAATGTGGAGAGCCAGCCCTGCCAGATATTAAACTATATTTTAAAGCTTCAACAGTTAAAATAGTGAATAATTAGCACATCAACAGACAAACCAATAGAACAAAAAGAAAGTCCAGAAATACACCAAGATACATACAGAAATTTAGTTTATGCTAAAGATGTGAAGTAAAGATAAACTTTATAATTAAAAGTTGGGGATAACTGGGTAATAATTTGAAAAAGAAGTTTTATCTATACCTCACATCTTATGCTAGGATAAACCATAAAAAGATCAAAGACTTAAAGCTAAAAAATTGTAGACATTAAAGTACCAGGAAAAAATGGGCAATTTCTTTATAACCCTGAGGTGGCAAAGACCTAATTGAGTCAAATTCCCAAAACCATAAAAGAAAAGATTGATAAATTCAATCACATTTTATAAAATCCATAAATAAAGTCTAAACGCAAATAACAACCTGGGAAAATACATTTGAAACTCATATTACAGACAAAGGATTCATTTTCCTAATATATGAAGAGCTTCTAGAAATTCACAAGAACAAGACCAAAAATCTTCAAAATCTTAGAAAAATGAGCAGAGACACAAAGAAGCAGTTAATACATATGAAAGGCACGAAAATGACTTATAAATACTCAAAAAGATGCTCGATTAATTCATAGTATTATTATGCAAATGAAAACTACCCTGAAATATCTTTTCTTCACCTACTCATTAGGAAAAATTCTGGAAGTCTGACAATGTGATGGTAAACGGGCATTCCCATCCATTGCTGGTTGAAATGGAACTCCACTCTACGATCCCTATGCAGATTAATAATACCAACATTTTAAAATGCATTTTCCCAGTGACCCAATAATTGCACTTCTGGGATTTTATACATACCTGCATGTGTACTAAAGAATGTATATACAAAGTTATTCACTGAAAGGATTCCTGAAATAGGAGAAAAGTAAAATTCAAACAAACAAAAAAAAAACTAGCTTAAATACATTGTGATACATCCATATAATGGCATATTATGCAGTTTAATTAAATAATTAATGAATTAATTTTTGAGACAGAGTCTCACTCTGTCACCCAGGCTGTATTATGTAGTTTTAAAGAAGTGAAGAAGCTCTAAGCATCTTTATAGGGAAATAACTTCAATACATAAAATCAGTCCATATCGGTGGAGGGTTAGTTCTAGGACTACAGGGGTAGTCCTAGAACTAACCCTCCACCCCCGTATATCAAAATCCATGGATGCTCAAGTCCCTGATATCTATAATGGCTTAATATTTGCATATAACCTACACACATCCTCCTGTATACTTTAAGTCATCTCTAGATTATACTACTTAATAAAATGTAAATGCTAGGTAAATGGTTGTTGTACCATATTTTTAGCTGTCTTTTTTTTTTTTTTTTTTTTTTTTTGAGAGGGCGTCTTGCTCTGTCGCCCAGGCTGGAGTGCAGTGGTGCGATATTGGCTCACTGCAAGCTCTGCCTCCTGGGTTCACGCCATTCTCCTGCCTCAGCCTCCCGAGTAGCTGGGACTACAGGCGCCCGCCACCACACCTAGCTAATTTTTTGTATTTTTAGTAGAGACGGGGTTTCACTGTGTTAGCCAGAATGGTCTCGATCTCCTGACCTCGTGATCCACCTGCCTCGGCTTCCCAAAGTGCTGGGATTACAGGTGTGAGCCACCACACCCGGCCTAGCTGTCTTATTTTCTATGATTGTGTTGTTCTTTTGTATTTTTTCCCCAAACATTTTCGATCTGGTGTTGGTTGAATCCATAGATGTGGAACCCAAGGATACAGAAGGCTGACTGCATGGTTAACTTTACAAAGATATAGAACAGGGATCAACAAACCTTTTCTGTAAAGGGCTACATAGTACATATTTTCAAATTTGTCTGCTATATAATCTCTGTTGCAACTACGTGACTTGCTTTTCCATTGTAGCATGAAAGCACTTAGACGATACATTCAACAAATGAATGTGACCAGAATTGGCTCTGGATTTGTCCTACTGGAAGTAATTTGTCAAACTGCTGCACTTACATTACAGTTGCTATTTGTGTGCTAATGGTGGTGATGGGCGGCAGATATAAGAATATACATTTGTATTTGTTTAAAAACATTGGAACAATATATAAGAAAAATGGAGTATGTATCAGTCAGGAGACAAAAACCATGGAAATCTGAACAGGGAATCTGAATAGAGACCTCGAAAGCAACACTTTCCAACAGGACTTTCTGCAATGAAGGATATGTTCTATAACTTTACTATCCAATGTACCTGTATGGCTATGAAACACTTGAAATGTAGCTAGTGCAACTAAGAAACTGAATTTTTAATTTTACTTCATGTTAACTTGTATTTAAATAGAAGTGACACATTTGGCAAGTGGTCGCCACATTAGATAGAGCAGCTCCAAAGAATACAGACGGAGCAGATGTTGGGAGTAGCTGCTGCCTCTAAGGCTGAGTGTACCCAAGGAAGGGACAAGGTTAGGAGAGTCCTTTCCCCAACCCACCCCAAGGTTGAGATGCAGACCTCATTGGGGAGTGTGTGGCTATAGCCCACAGGATGCTGGAGTGTATCTATCACTATATTTCCTATACACCTTTTGCAGAGAAGCCATCCATTGGTAGCTGCATTATACAAGCCAGAAGAAAAGCACCCAGAACCAGGAAGAGAAGCCCTTCCTCTTTCAGTTTCCCTCAGTACCCTCCACATAAAGTCTAGCATTTTGCCATCTGCAAAATGGGAGTAATGTTCAGAGTCTACCCCCAGAGTCACAAAGCAGCATAAAGAAGAGTGAATTTACTCCAGAACTATGCAAGAATAAATGTCTGTTGTTTCAATATATTTTTTTTTTTAGCTGAAAAGTAAGAAATTGAAAACTGGCACAGGGCAAATGGAAACCAGGCGGGAGCAAAACTTTTCATTGTATACCATTTCATATTATTTTGAGTTTGAATAATGTAAACATATTACTTACCCAAAAATTAAAAACAAGAAGATAAAAAAATACCATCAAATACAAATTTTAAAAAACCTAAGACAGCAAAGCATCCATACAAAGAAAAAGGGCCACATTTATCAGCAAAAATTTTTTTTTTTTGAGATGGCATTTCACTCTTGTCGCCCAGGCTGGAGTGTAGTGGCACAATCTCAGCTCACTGCAACCTCTGTCTCCAGGGTTCAAGAGATTCTCCTGCCTCAGCCTCCCGAGTAGCTGGGATTGCAGGTGCCTGCCACCATGCCCAGCTAGTTTTTGTATTTTTAGTAGAGGGGTTTCACCATATTGGTGAGGCTGGTTTCGAACTCCTGACCTTAGGTGACCCACCCCCCTTGGTCTCCCAAAGTGCTGGGATTACAGGCGTGGGCCACTGCACCCGGCCAGTAAAAGATCTTTACACTGAGGACGTATAACAATTACTATATATACATATATATATATATATATATATATACACACACACACACACACACACAAAATATATATGTATATACACTATATAATATATATATACAATATAAATATATACTGTATATTCAATATATTCAATATATACAATATTGTATATATTCAATATATACAATATTGTATATGCATACTATATATAAATGCTCCTAATAAATTAGAAATACATACACTAATCTGCTGATAGACTTTACAATCTACTGAAAGACTTTACTGTCTTTACAAGGCAAAGCAGGTGAATTTACAATGGCAGTTGGAGATATAAACATAACCCTCTCAGAAACTGATAAAGAAGAGAGAACAAAAGCAAGGATACAGAACATTTGAACAATTAATGAGCTTAAGTGAATATATATATAACTTCATCCACAAACCCAGAATACAAATTATTCTCAAAATCATATATAACATGTAGAAATGAATTATGTGCTAAGCTACAAAAGAATTAATAAATTACTAAGAATTGGCAACATATTGGCTAGTTATCTAAATCAAATGCAGTAGAAGTGGGAACTAATAACAAAAAAGCTCATATGTCTGAAAACTAAAAACTATATCTCTAATTAACCCATGGGGTAAGGACAATATATAAAAAGAAAAACTGGCTGGGCATGGTTCCTCACAGCCCAGGTAAGCCAACCACGGAGGCTGGGATGGGAGAATTGCTTCAGCCTAAGAGTTCAAGACCAGCCTCGGCAACATAGTGAGACCCTATCTCTACAAAAAAAAAAAAAATTAGTCGGGTGTGGTGGCATGCACCTGTAGTTCCAGCCACATGGGAGGCCAAAGTGGGAGGATCGACTAAGCCAGGGAGGTTGAGGCTGCAGTGAGCCGTGATTGCTGCAGCCTTGGCCTCCCAGGCTCAAGCAATCCTCCCACCTCAGCCTCTAGTGTAGCTGAAACTACAGGTGTGTGCCACCACAGCCAGCTAATTTTTAAAAATTTGTTGTAAAGACAGGGTCTTGCTATGTTACCTAGGCTGGTCTCCAACTCCTGAACTCAAGTGATCTGCCCTCTCAGCCTCCCAAAGTGCTGGTATTACAGGTGTGAGCGACTGCACCTGGCCTAAATGTTGATATTATAACCAGATAAGGACAGTATGAGACAAGATTATTATAGGCCAGTTTTACTTATAACTACAGATGCAAAATTCCCAACTCAAAAAACCAAAGTAGCATTTATTTTAGGAATGTACAGATGATTTAGAGTCAGATAAATCTATTGAGGTATTTCAGATTAAAGAAGAAATTACAATGTTTTAATAGATACAAGAAAACACTTATTAGTGATTATAGTAGCTTCTTAAATAAAAGATACTTAGATAAAAGAACTTTATCAAAAACTTACAGCAGACATCATACTTTTTTTATTTTTTTGAGACGGAGTTTCACTCTTGTTGCCCAGGCTGGAGTGCAATGGCGCAATCTCAGCTCACCGCAACCCTCCGCCTCCCGGGGTTCAAGCGATTCTCCTGCCTCAGCCTCCCGGGTAGCTGGAATTACAGGTGTGCGCCACCATGCCCAGCTAATTTTTTTGTATTTTTAGTAGGGATGGGGCTTCACCATGTTGGTCAGACTGGTCTCGAACTCCCAACCTTAGGTGATCCACCCGCCTCGGCCTCCCAAAGTGCTGGGATTACAGGCATGAGCCATCGCGTCTGGCCAGCAGACATCACACTTAATGGAAAAAAAATGTAGATTTCCCATGAATATGGAAACCAGCCCAGTATACTTTCCAATACCACTACTGTTTAATGTGGTACTGGGAACCCGGTATATAATAGTGGCATCACAGTTCAGGGAAGAAAAATGAATTACTTAATAATGCTGATGGGAGAATTGGATGGTAAGGTGAGGAAGAAAGTCAACATACTTCCAGCTGGATTAAGGACCTAATGTGAAAAAGCAAAGTTATAAAACTATTAGAAAAAAAAAATGTAGGCAAATGCCTTTGTGACTTTGCGATCAGTAAGAATTTCTTTCTTTTTTTTTTTGAGGCGGAGTCTTGCTCTATCGCCCAGGCTGGAGTGCAACGGCGCTATGTCGGCTCACTGCAAGCTCCGCCTTCCGGGTTCAGCCATTCTCCTGCCTCAGCCTCCCGAGTAGCTGGGACTACAGGCGCCCGCCACCACGCCCGGCTAATTTTTTGTATTTTTAGTGGAGACGGGGTTTCACCGTGTTAGCCAGGATGACCTCAATCTCCCGACCTTGTGATCCGCCAGCCTCGGCCCCCCAAAGTGCTGGGATTACAGGCATGAGCCACCGCGCCCGGCCCAAGAATTTCTTAAAGAAGAAAATATCTGGATTTGACTACTTCAAAATGAAAGACTTTTGCTTGTATCAGTTAGATTTAGACTTACTAGCAGTCCGGGGCTGGCATCCGGGATGTTTCCCCAACCTCAGCACATGGCTCTGACCTTTCAATCCAATATTCCAACCGGCAAGAAGGAGGTAACTGGAAAGAAGAAAGAAAGGAACTCTTTCTTTTCAAGAATATTGCCGACAAATTTCCCACATATTTTCTCTTATATCCTATTGGCCAGAACTCAGTCACATGGCAACACCTGCAAGGTATGCTGGGAAATGTAGTCTTTATACCCGGAAGCCTTGGATCCAGTTACAAATCAGAGTTTGTATTTGTTTTAACTAGGAAGTAAAGGGAGGGCAGTTGTTGGAACTGGCTAGTAGCTATACAACAAAGAAATACCATAGACGGAGTTCATGCCAATTCGACTGAGAGAATATATTTTCAATATACATGACTGGCATTAATATCTGAAATGAACAGCAAAATCAGAAACAACAAAAAAAGTAGGGAGATAACACTATGTAAAAACATGGAAAGGATATGAGCAAGCAACTCATAGACGAGGAGACCAGAATGGCTAATAAACAGAAAAAGAGATGTTTCATCTTATTAATAATCAAAGAAATGCAAAATAAAGTGAGAAATGGCTACTAGTTTACATCCAATGATAAAATATAGGATAATATCAAACAGCCAGGGATGTGGGGAAAATGCAACCCTTATGCACTGCGGGGGTGAGCAAAAAATTTTTTTCCCACTTTTTAAAAACTATAGATTCAGTGGGTACCTGTGCAGGTTTGCTATATGCTTATATTGGGTAATGCTGTGGTTTGGGCTTCTGGTGAACCCATTATCCAGATTGTTCACATAGTATCCAACAGGTCGTTTTTCAACCTTTGTGACCCTCCCTCCCTCCTTGGGAGTGAAAATTGTTGCAGCCACTTTGGAGAGCAATTTGGAGATATTTAGTGATATGGACAAAGTGCATATCACTTTATAATGTAAATCCTGTCCTGTGTATAAACCCCAGAGAAATTCTTGCTTAAGTATACAAAGAGATATATTCAGAGATGTTTACTGCAGCATGGTTTATAACAACAAAATTGGAAGTAACTTAGATGTTCTTCAATAAATAATTATTAAATATAATATGTATAAATGATGGAATATAATACAACAGTAAAAAAGTACTAAATCTATATTAATCAAGACCAATAGATGTCAAAGAAGCAGAATGAGCTATTAGCCATGTATCACTATATACATTAAACATACACACATATGTCATATGTTGTTTATATAAATGCACATGTATGCATTTAAAATGCAAATACAGTTATAAATGTAAATAAAATGGACAGAGAACCTTGGGACAGTGTCTATGGGGCAAGGAGAATGAGACTGGATATAGAAGATAAAAAGAAAAAAACTAAATTAAAAAATAAAGTAGGCCAGGCACAGTGGCTCACACCTGTAATCCCAGCACTTTGGGAGGCCGAGGCTGGGTGATCACGAGGTCAGGAGTTCGAGAGCCGCCTGGCCAGTATGGTGAAACCCCGTCTCTACTAAAAATACAGAAATTAGCTGGGCGTGGTGGCGCACGCCTGTAGTCCTAGCTACTCGGGAGGCTGAGGCAGAAGAATCGCTTGAACCCTGGGAGGCAGAGGTTGCAGTGAGCCGAGATTGCGCCACTGCACTCCAGCTTGAGTGACAGAGCGAGACTCCATCTCAAAAAATGAAATGAAATAAAATAAAATAAAATAAGTAATAAACCTGTGGCCAGACTGAAGCTCCTTAAGGGTAGATCTGAGTTTAATTCACCTCAGATTGAATTCATCTCATTCAAGTCACAAAGCACCCAGCTTTACAAATAATTGGGCGCTTGATAATATTTCATGAGTGAGTGAATGACTACTCCCCAAACTGAGTATCCCTGAGTCTGACGTGCTACAGCACGGGATTTGTGTAATGACTTATAAGAATATTTTCCTCTTTGGGGCTTCCATCATTTGCCTCCAATGGCTTAATCTCATCAAGCATCGCACATACAATTTCAAGTTATTTCTTGTGAGGCCATTATCATCACTGGGTGGTGGTGGTTGTTGTTTTTTTTTTATTTGGAATTATGTTTCTAAAGCATCTCCTTCCCTGCAGGTTTTGAGCCATCTGTGATAAAGGAGGTACTTAAGATTTTAATAACAACGAAAACAGATTAACTAAAGGCTTGCCTTTCATGTTGAGTATATTTCTGTTCAACTTTCAGGTGCTGTGCTACAAAGAGTATTTTGTTTCAGTCGATTGAAAATGAGGCCTTGTACGGGATGAAATGCATTGGTTCTCTTTTCAACTGTTTCCAAGTGTGGAAATCTCTTCCCTCAGATATCCACATGGCTTCCTTCATGTCTCCGCTCAAATGTCATTTTTTAAAGAGGTTCTTCACTATTTATAATAGCATATCCATGCCTCCTTTGCCACTTTTCCTTGCTTTATCTTTCTTCATGGAACTTCTTATATGATATTATATGTTTATTCGTTTATTATCTGTCTCCCTACACTGCTGTGTGAGCTGCATGAGACCAGACCTTGTCTACTTTGTTCACCGTTCTATCCCCATGCCAGGAACAGTGCCTGGAACAGAGAAAGTGCTCCATAAATATCTTTTTTTTTTTTTTTTTTTTTTTTGAGACAAAGTCTTGCTCTGTTGCCCAGACTGGAGTGAAGTGGCGCAATCTCTACTCACTGCAACCTCTGCCTCCCGAGGTCAGGTGATTCTTCTGCCTCAGCCTCCCAAGTAGCTGGGATTACAGGCAGGTACCACCACGCCTGGCTAATTTTTGTATTTTTAGTAGAGACGGGGTTTCACCATATTGGCCAGGCTGGTCCGGAACTCCTGACCTCAGATGATCCTCCTGCCTTGGCCTCCCAAACTGCTGGGATTACAGGCATGAGCCACTGCATCCAGCCCACTAAATATCTATTGACAGAATAAATCATGCATTGTTTGAAGAGTTTTGTGAAAACCTCTTCATTATACACCTATTTAGGTTAGCATCATTCTAATAATTAACCCAATAGACATTTCCCCCTTTCACTGTTAATTTCCCACCCTGTCTATATATTTAGTCATCTAATATTTATTGAGTTTCTGGTATGTGCCAACATTGTACTAGGTGCTGGGGGATTCTGGGACAAATGAGACAAGCCGTGCTTCATAATTTTAGTTTTTGCTGTCAACAACGACAGTGATCTCACTTTTCTAAAATCAGCACATACTTATTAATAAGTTTTCTCTGTGCCAAGCAAGCATAGAGGCAATCTCATTCCATTCATTATCTTTTTCAAACCTCACAGCAATTCTATAAAGTTGCTATTAGAGTGTCTCAAAATGCTTTCCTATAAGCATACAGTTTATTGGCAATAAATAAAACAACAGGATTATCTCTTAGAATTCAGCCCGTGACTTGTCTAAACTGGATAGAGGCTTCTAGAGAGGAATATAGGGCACTGCCATGTGAACAGGTGCAGGCCCCCTGCAAAGATCCTTCACCCCACTCCACCTGCTCCCCAGGCGCATTTGATGCTCTGCACCCCAAACCCACCTTTGCCTTCAACTTCGCAGATTTGTTTAGTGACCATTTTCTCACTCAAGGCTTTCATCCAGAAGAAATGCAGGCGCACACAGTGATGAGGGCTTTTTTTTTTTTTTTTTTTTTTTTTGAGACAGAGTCTCACTCCATTGCCCAAGGTGGTGTGTAGTGGTGCAATGTCGGCTCACTGCAACCTCCACCTCCCAGGTTCAAGTGATTCTCATGCTTCAGCCTCCCAAGTAGCCAGGATTACAGGCGCCCGCTGCCATGCCTAGCTAATTTTTGTATTTTTAGTAGAGACAGTGTTTCACAAGGTTGGCCAGGCTGGTTTCAAACTCCTGATCTCAGGTGATCCACCCACCTTGGCCTCCCAAAGTGCTGGGATTACAGGCATGAGCCACCATGCCTGGCCCATGAGGGATTTAAAACATATTTGTGTGTGATACCAAACATGTTTATATATTGTCACCTTTTCCATGACATAGTCAGAACTATTCCTTCGTGAGAAAGGACTTTGGAGACACTTTAGTATTTTTTGCATCATTTTAGAGACAAGGAAATGGAAGGTTGCAGAGGTTAAGAAACTTACTCATGGTCAGTAAGTGGCTGAGAGAGGCTTGGGAGGGTAATAGCTCCAGGACTTGGTGACCGGGAGCAGGGCAGGAGTCCAAGATGGTCTCCATAGTTTTGACTTGGACAACTGGGCACTTGGGGTCCCATTGACAGCTTGTGACTGTGACCTGCTTGTAGCCAGAGATGAAACCTGAAGCCCATGAGAATGATGTTGGGACTACCTGGTGATATGGTTTGGTTCTGTGTCCCCACCCAAATCTCACTCTGAATTGTGATAATCCCCTCGTGTCAAGCGTGGGTCAAGGTGGAGATAATTGAATCACGGGGTGGTTTCCCCCATACTGTTCTTGTGATGGTGAATAAGTCTCATGAGATCTGATGGTTTTATAAAGGGCAGTTCCCCTGCACGTGCACTCTTGCCTGCTGCCATGTAAGGTGTGACTTGGCTTCTCCTTTGCCTTCCTCCATGATTGTGAGGCCTCCCCAGCCATGTGGAACTGTGAGTGCATTAAATCTCTTTCCTTTATAAATTACCCAGTCTCGGGTATGTCTTTATTGGCAGCATGAGAACAGACTAATATACCTGGTGACTCCAGAAGACCTGGACTAAGGGCCCATGCCCCCTTTAAATTCACTTCCATCTTTTCCTAGGAAGCAAAGCATGGGGGAAATGGCTCCCCATTGAAGAAGTGGGGAGCACCTGCTGTGGCAGGGGTGGGAGGGGCTGCTGGGCATAGATGATATCAATGGTTTCAGCAATGCAGGCATTTCGGACTTCCTGGCATTTGCACAATTGAGGCTCCTTTAGGACCCTGGAAGAAATATCATCCAATAACCAGCAGATACCCCTGGCCTCCCAGAGATGCACTACCACCAGTGACCTTGGTGGTAATAACCTTCAGAAGAAAATCCAAGCAAGCACACAGCTGTTTGGAGAAAACTCTCCAACCCAGGAGCCATAGCCCCACAGATTTCAAAGAGCACAACTGCCTGCCTCTCTGGCCTGATAGCAATTAGAATTCTTCTGCATCAAGCATACCAAGATGAAACAGGTGGAGATTTGCCAAAGATCTACCTTCAGCCAGCACACCAGCTTTTATTCGGGTGACTTTCAGAGTGCAATGTGATGCTTCCAAGTTCCATTCCAGGTTCGGTTCTCCAATGGTGGGTGAATTCATATCCACAACAGCATAGAGCCCAAACCCAAGCCAGTCTCTAAGACAGAATCTTTCTTTATGTGCCATTGATTTGGGTCCTGCTTGGCAGTTTTGGTGAGCAGTGGTTTCTTTATGACAAAAGAGCTTCTTTCCTCAACTGCTTCTTAACCATGGCGGCAGCCATCACACTGGAGGGGGCTTGCTCCCCTACACAGGTCAAGGGCATCTTGGGGAGCATTTGGTTCACTAGGATAGAACCCTGGTCTCCTTGTGGTGGGCCCAGCAGAGGATGCTCTGTCCTTTCTTGTCTGGCCTCTAGGCTTCAGCACATGCTGTTCCTTCAGCGTGGAAGGCCTTTCCTGCCCCTTCTTTCCCTGGCCAACCCTCTTTGTCCTGATGGGCTCAGATCCATGAGATCACTTCCCCTAGCAGTGCCTCTCCATCATTCCCGCTTCCGCCAGCTGTCCGTCTTCTGGCTCCCACAGGCCTTGTGCTCCCTACTCCTGGTGCAAAGCATGCTATCTTTTGGTATCTTTTTTTACTTTTTTGAGATGGAGTTTCACTCTTGTTGCTCAGGCTGGAGTGCAATGGTGCGATCTTGGCTCACTGCAACCTCCGCCTCCTGGGATCAAGCAATTCTCCTGTCTCCAAGCAATTCTCCTGTCTCAGCTTCCTGAGTAGCTGGGATTACAGGCATGCACCACTACGCTCCGCTAATTTTTTTTTTTTTTTTTGTATTTTTAGTAGAGATGGAGTTTCACCACGTTGGTCAGGCTGGTTTTGAATTCCTGACCTCAAGTGATCCACCCGCCTCTGTCTCCCAAAGTGCTGGGATTACAGGTATGCGTCACCATGCCCAGCCATTTTTTTTTTTTTTTTTTTTTTTTTAGATGGGAGTCTCACTCTGTCACCTAGGCTGGGGTGCAGTGGTGCAATCTCGGTTCACTGCAACCTCCACCTCCCAAGTTCAAGCGATTCTCCAGCCTCAGCATCCCAAGTAGCTGGGATTACAGGCATGTGCCATCACTCCCAGCTAATCTTTTTGTGTGTATTTTTAGTCGAGATGGGGTTTTATCATGTTGGCCAGGCTGGTCTCGAACTCCTGACCTCAAGTGATTCTCCCACCTGGGCCTCCCAAAGTGCTGGGATTACAGGTGTGAGCCACCATGCCCAGCCTATCTTTTGGCATCTACTTGCTTTTCTCCCTCTCTCAACAGGGCGGAGACAGGGGCCATGTGCCAAGGTTCTTTATATCCTGTGTGCCTAACACAGTGCTTGGCATGTGGCTAGCCCCCATAATGGTTTGTGGAGGGAGTGAAATAAATGTACATTGTACTGGTGCAAAAGAACTGGAGGATTTAAATTCTGCTAATGACCTTAGAAGTGGTAGGATTCCTTTGTACTGAAAGGCGTGAGACAAATCAGGATAGGAACACCAGGAACCGGGCGCCTGCTGCCATCTGATGCCGATTTCTCTCTCTTGTTCTTTTAAGACAGCATCACAGACATCAGCCTGGAGACCTGGCATTGAGACTCTGCTCAGCCACCCGATTGCTGTGTGGTCCTGAGCGAGGCTTCTGGGCTTCAGTGTTCTCCTTCATGGAGCGAAGCAGTTGGTCTACAGACATGAGCTAGAATACATAATTTGGGGTGCTTACAAGTGCCAGGCACCGTTCTAAATATTTTACATGTATACTTCATTTAATGCTTACAACAACTTTATGACACGGGTATTGTTATTATCCCCAACTTCTTAATGGGGAAACTGAGGCACAGAAAGGTTGATTAACTTGCCCAAGGTCACACAGCTAGTAATGGATGGAGTTGGGGCTTTTACTCAACGATCTGTTTTCAGAGCCCACCTGTTAACCCCAAAGTCTCTTGGTTGGATGATGTATAAGACTCATTCCTGTTTTACAACAGAACCTTTATTATTCTCACATTGAAGATATTTACATCTGATGCCCTCAGAGCCCATTTTTAGCTGACCATCTCCCTGAAAGGCCAGAGGCATTCAGCATTTTTTTTCCTCTGCCCCTTGTGTTGGTTAGAGAGGAAATCAGTGAGGGTGCAGACTTGGGAACTGGGCAGGCCTGGATTGGCATCGCAGCCCCACCACTCACCCGCATGTAAAACACAGACCAATTCCTTTATCTCTTGGAGCTTCAGCTACAATGCCCGTAAAGTGGAGATGGGATCTTCTCCCTCTATGGCTGCGAAGATGAAATAATACAGATAGAGTTGCCAGATTTAGCAAATAGAAATACAGGGTGCTCAGTTAACCTTGAATTCCAGATCAAGGAATAACTTTTTAGCATAAGTATGTCCTATGCAATATTTGAGACATACTCATGCTAGTAAATTATTCCGTGTTGATCTGTAGTTCCAATGTAACTGGGCATCCTGTATTTTACCTGACAGCCTTACATGCAGAGGAAGCACTTAGTATGATGCCTGTCCCATTGGAAGGGATCAATACACTTTAGAAAGATCTCTGTTGAAACCCAACAGTTTGATTTCGTGGGACTCAGTTGGGAGGCCTGGACTCTGGGTAAAATCTGCATTCACAGCTGGGCGTGGTGGCTCATGCCTGTAATCCCAGCACTTTGGAAGGCCGAGGTGGGTGGATCACAAGGTCACGAGATCGAGACCATCCTGGCCAACATGGTGAAACTCTGTATCTAAAAATACAAAAATTAGCTGGACATGGTGGCGCGCGCTTGGAGTCCCAGCTACTTGGGAGGCTGAGGCAGGCACCTGAACCTGGGAGGTGGAGGCTGCAATGTGCTGAGATCGCACCACTGCACTCCAGCCTGGCGACAGAGCGAGACGCCGTCTCAAAAAAAAAAAGAAAAAAAAAATTCTGTATCCACCTGTTTGGACTCACCTGGCTGGGGATAACTGTGAACACCCCTGATTCACCCTGTGACTGTGCGTTTGAGTGGACAGGCCTAGGATTTCAGTAAAGGAGTCTTGAAAGGGCCTTTCTGAAGCACAAGCCGATGTGCCCACTGTCCAGGGGCAGTGTAGAAACTGCAGACAGCCCAGTCAGCAGTGCTCACAGCCAATCACCAGTCTGTCCAGGCTGACTCCAGTCTGTTCCCCATCCAAGGGCGCCATCTCGTGCCAGCATCAGGGTTGCCAGCTGTATATGTGGCTCCAGCAAAGGCTGGGACGTGAGGAGGGGCCCAGAGAAGCCTGGACTGCCGGTCCCTTTACTGGACCCCCCAGAGCTTCCTTCCCCATTTCCCAGCCATTGTTCAGCTTTCCTTTTCCGACCCATCTGTGTTTTTCTCTCGCTCTCTATCAGTGCTCGTATCGGCTTACTAAACAGCACCCGTAACACACCAGGGGCTCAGAGAGGCTGCAGGTGTGTGAGTAACAGCACCGAACCAGGAATCGGAAACGTTTGTGTTGAGACTAGGGAAACTATTTGCTAACTATATGCCCTTGGGGGAATCCATGTGACTCCTCTGCAGCCATTTGCTTTGTAAGATTGTGATAGTCCCCGGCTTGCACATCTTGAAGGAATTGTGGGGAAAAATTGGTGGTACATACAAAAGTGCTCTGGACACCCTATAGTTCCCTAACAACGTAAGTAATGTTATAGTATATGGTTACATAGCATCTCTAATAATGCAGTTTATCATTCATAACAGTTATAACAGTGATACTTCCTGGGCACCTAAGACCCCAGCTCTGACCAATGACCCAGAGACGCCAATACCTTCCTCCCTCCACTGTTTGCCTTTAACTTTTAGACCCAGAACCCTCCTTCCAGGCCAGCACTTCTGTGCTGTAGATACTTCCAGCATCTGGAAACCAGAATGGCTCAGGCAGCAGTAAAGGGCTCTGGATCTGCCTGCCCTTCCCCAAACTCCCTGGGCCTCAGTTTCCTCATCTCTTTATGGGGATGGTAGATAGCAGCCTCCCTTCTCGTGGGATTAAATAAAATAAGTGTGAAGCACCTGGTAACTTTAGAAATCTTTTTCTTTTTCTTTTTCTTTTCTTTTCTTTTTTTTTTTAGACAGGGTCTCGCTCTGTCCCTCAGGCTGGAGTGCAATGGCAAGATCTCAGCTCACTGCAACCTCTGCTTCCCTGGTTCAAGTGATTTTCCTGCCTCAGCCTCCTGAGTACCTGAGATTACAGGCAGCACCATCACTCCCAGCTAATTTTTGTATTTTTAGTAGAGAAAGCGTTTCATTGTGTTGGCCAGGCTGGAACTTTAGCAATCTCGACATAAATTCTAGTTCATATTTCCTTCAGATGCGGCTGCTATTCCAACTGCTTCCTTTTAGGAAGCAGCGTGGAGAAATGGAAATTGCATGGGGTTTGTAACCAGGCAGAAGTGACTTTGAATATCGGCTGTCACCAATGTCATCACTATGGAACTCTGGCAGGTGTCTTCACCTCTCTGAGCCAGTTCCTCCCCACCATGAAACAGGGATAAAAATAGAATCAATCTCCGTGGTTGGGTTTGGCTGACATTGCTTTGTAAAGTGCTATGCACGTTTCTGTCACTGCCTAGTTACCAGCTAAATGGCAGCTCTTATGTATTTCTTCCTCCTCTTTCAGCCACACCATCCATCTATTTATCCATCCATACATCCATGTATCCATCCATCCATTCATCCATGTGAAAACATCTGTTAAACTTCTACTGTGGGCCAGATCACAGGGCTAGTTGCTGGGGATGCAAAGATAATTAAGACATGAGTCTTGCTCTAGGAATTTGCAGCCTCATGGGGAGATAGCCATAAAAAGAATCACTTTCATTTGCTGAGCATCTATATGCAGCAGACATGGTGCTAGGACTCCACACGTCCTCTCAGTAAATCCCAGGAGACAGGACCCCAGAGGCATTGCTCTCATTCAGTGCTCTCGCCTCCCTCCTGGATTGCCTAGTCAGGTAAACCTGCCGCATACAGGTGGGAAGGGCCGTCATGGGGGTCTGAGAGAGGCCGGTGGGGCCTGAAGGAGAGAGTGCTTGGCTCCACGTGGGAAGAATTGGGCAGGTGGGAGCAGTTGCAGAGGGCTTGCAGAGGAGGTTGTCAGAGAGGGCGTTCTGGGTGGTTGGGGCAGGGGGCAGGGGGCAGAGGCTTAGAGGCACAGAGCAGCAGGGAGCCTCATCCTCAGGGAACACTGAGAGTTTGGGGAGGGAGAGTTGTTTTGTGTGGGAGGCAGGGTGGGAGTAGATGATGCTGGGGAGGTGGGAGTGAGGGGCCCAGATCATGAGGGACCTCGGCGTCCTGGCTCGGTTGAGCAGTTTGGACTTTGTGCTCTGAACATGTGTTTCAGAGTGAGACATGGAGAGGGGCTGATGTAACCACCCCAGCAGGAGTAAGGAGGCTGGAAGGAGGAAACCAGTGATGAAGGATTTGCCATAACCTTGTCCTGGATGGAGAGCCATGGCCAAAGTGGGTGGAGAGGAATGGCCATGCAAGGCAGCTGTGATGGATTCACCTCTGTGCAAGACAGCTATGACGGAGTTGATAGAAAGTGTGAGAACATGGGCCACCCCTCCTTGGATGTGTAAGTATTATAGACATCCTAGATATAAGTATTACAGACCCCTACCAGGACAGGGAATTCCAGAGGAAGAACAGGATTTGAGGGAAAAAGGCGGTAAATTAATTTTGATGTTCAATAAGCAAGTCAAAGTGCTGCATTCCAGGCAGTGGGCTGGACACCTTAATCCAAACCCAACAGTTCCGTACACTCCTATAACCACTCCCACTTTACAGATGAGGAAACTGAGGTCCGGAGACATTCAGTCTCTTCCCAAGATCACATAACTCATGAGTGGCAGAGCAAGGATTTGAACCCATGTCTGCCTGGCCCCAAGCCTGATGTGAAAAGGAAAATCACAGAGGGCTTTTCAAGGTTCCCATCCTGAAACTCGAGCCTGGTGATGTTCAGCTGTTAGAGCTGGGCGCTTAGAATCATCCCAGGAAGGTACTGACCGCGCCCTTCAACCCGGTCTGCTCTTGGCACCAGAAAAACCCTTTGGGGTTTCAGCCCTTCTCTGAGACTCAGCCTTAGCTAAGCTTACCCTGGGCCAGAGTGGCAGGCTGACCCACAGAGGGGCTGTGTGCGTGGCACCGACTCCCCAGTCCCTGGCCAGGCCACACCGTCTTGCAGAGCCTCGAATGTGACAGACAAGAGATACAGGTACTGGGGATTAATTTGTCGCTTTGGGGTTTGGTGAGAAGAAATGACGTGAGAGAAGGGGAGGAGAGAAAGGTGCGTGGGAGAGCTTGTGGCCCCTCAGAAGTGAACCAATGGATTAGAGGCACCAAACGAATAGTAATAAAAGCAGAAGCAGGGGCTGCCATGTTTGGGGGCTGCTTACCACCTACCAGGCCTTTTTTACTTTATGCATTATTTAGTCCTTACAGTAATCCTATGGCATTGAGGATTCAATTTCATTTCACAGAGGGGGAAACTGGGGCACAGAGAGGTTAAGTAACCTGCACCAGGTCACACAGCCATCAAGAGTTGGAGAGCCCATCACCATCATTCTTCTGCCTCAGCCCCTCCCACTCTACCTGGTGTGCCTGGCAGCCCTGAAGGCAGAGGAGAAAAATGGGGAGCGGGGAGGTGCAGGGCTGGTGAATCCAACCTCCATGAACTTCCTGCTGGGGCTGAAGGGGCAGGTAGGGGACCTGAGCTCTGAATCCATTCCACCCTGACTCCTCACATGACCTTGGATGATCTGTCTCCACCCTGGATTCAATCATCTTTGTGCAAAGAGAATATTCATTTAGGTGGCGTTTCAGTTTCTTTCCAGATTGGAATGGTGTGATTCTAAGAGTCCTGGGACAGAAGGAGTATTGGAGGTGTCAAGGGGCTGGACCGGTGAGGACAGGAGTCGAATGTGCCCCTGATCTCTGTCCCTCTCCTCGGGGCTGCAGCCCTTGTGACATCGAAGTGCCCCACCCCCTCCTTCGGCTTCCCTCGCTGCTGCGCAGAGGCCACTGGAGGGCGCTGTCTCCTCACACTTCTGGCTGAGCTCACCTCCGCTGTCTGAACCTCCTTTTGAGGCTGGAGAGAAATTGAGAGGCCTGGAGCCAGTGTCTGGGAGGCCTCTGGACACAGCTGGACCCACCGAGGCCACATGGGGTCAGTAGGATCTGAGCCTGTGGAAGGAGGTGCCAGAGCAATGACTAGGAGTCAAAGTCCTGGGCTTCAGGGCGAGGGCTTGTGGTGAGCTCTGGACAAATGGCTTTGTCTGTTCGATCCTCAGTTTTTGTATCTGCAGACTGTGGAGAGTGACCCACCTTATGGCACTGTTGTGAGAAGTGCTACAAATGAGAATGTACATGTGAGTGCTTCAAAGAACTCAGATGTTCTCCATGCCAGAGTGGGTTTTATTTATTTATTTATTTTTTGATGGAGTCTTGCTCTGTTGCCCAGGCTGGAGTGTGCAATGGTGCAATCTTAGCTCACTGCAACCTCTGCCTCCTGGGTTCAAGGAATTCTCCTGCCTCAGCCTTGCCGAGTAGCTGGGATTACAGGTGCACACCACCACACCCAGCTAATTTTTGTATTTTTAGTAGAGATGGGGTTTCACCATGTTGGCCAGGCTGGTCTCAAACTCCTAAACTCAAATGATCCACCTGCCTAGGCCTCAAAAAGTGCTGGAATTACAGGCATGAGCCATCTCACCTGGCTAATTTTTATATTGTTAGTAGAGAGAGGGTTTCACCATGTTGACCAGGCTGGTCTCAAACTCCTGACCCCAGATGATCTGCCCGCCTCTGCTTCCCAAAGTGCTGGGATTACAGGCATGAGCCACCGTGCCTGATCCGCCAGAGTAGGTCTTGATGGTTATCACCCTTGAAGAATCATCCAGTAACCCAAGGAGAAGATCATTTGGCTAGGGCCCCGTATGACCTTCAAACTGGCATAGGCACTGAACTGTTCCTTACGTTCTCACAACAGCCCCAAGAGGTATGAATTATTATCATCTCCATTTCATAGCTGGGAAAACCCAGGCTCAGAGAGGCGCCATAGCTCCCCCTGGGTCACCCAGCCACTGGGTGGCCTTACCGGAATTCAGACCCAGGTCTGTTTGGCTCCATAGACTTGCTTAAACTACTGGACTGTCCCGCACTGGCCCATGCCAAGTCAGGAAAGGGTTTGATGTGACCTACTAAAGTCCCTCGGGCTGAGGTTTCAGCTGAGTGTCCTTTATTTAGTCCTTTGGAGGTGTGGACCCGTATGTCTTTGGTATGGATCCACATTTCAGTGGGGTCAGTAACTCCCTGGATTGGTTTTGCCATTTTTTTTTCTCCCCTTGGACTTATACGCATGATTCTTCCCCCTCCCTGGGAAGCAGAGCTGGCCCTGTGACATAGGTGGCTTTACCTGCAGCTTGACCTCTTTACCTCTTTTTTTTTTTTTTTTTTTTTTGAGATGGAGTCTCACTCTGTTGCCCAGGCTGGAGTGCAGTGGTGCAATCTCGGCTCACTGCAACCTCTGCCTCCTAGGTTCAAGTGATTCTCCTGCCTCAGCCTTCCCAGTAGCTGGGACTACAGGCGCACACCACCACACCTGGCTAATTTTTGTGTTTTTAGTAGAGATGGCGTTTCACCATGTTGGCCAGGCTGGTCTCGAACTCCTGACCTCTCTCAGGCGATCTGGCCGCCTTGGCCTCCTAAATTGCTAGGATTACAGGCATGAGCCACGGCACCCGGCAACCTTCTCATATGAGTGGCAGATGGGTGGAAGAGGCTGGACTTATGTCCATTCACAGGCTCCCCACCCTGGTCAGGGTGCAGGGTATTTGCTGTGCTGGAGGACATACCTCCATGTTAAAATGCCCAGTTGAAGCCTTGTAGCTTTTTTCACTTCTTATTTTCTATCTTGATGAAAGATTGTGCTGTCGGCAGGGTTGTAGTTAAGTCGAAGTGTGGCTTTGTTTTCACAATTTCTGTTCACTTTCCTCCCACTCTTAGGCAGCTTGAGAAGGGTGGAGGGGTGGGGAAGGAGAGTGACAGTGGGTGCTGGAATCTCCCAGCCTGGGGGGTTCTTGAAGTTCCACAGTCATGGAATTGTGGCGCTGGAAGCGACCCTCCCAGGGCACAGAGGAGGCAACTGAGGCCCAGGGAGAGGACCCAGACCCTCCCAAGGTCGCCCAGCTAGTTAGCGACAGGCTGGGACCAGAATCTGCCTTTCTGCTGGTCCCACGCCAACACATTTGCTAAGTCACCCAAAGCCTGGAGTGTGGTTAGTTTAGAAAACTGAGACAAGGAGCCAGGGGATGGGACAGTGGAGCGGGGACAGGGAGGTGCTGACCTTGTGCTTTGAAAGCGCTAGTGGGGAGTTGCTTGTCTTCATCTGACGTCAGCCCCTGGACAAATAATGGCCACAGAAAGCAAATATTATGAGAGTCCTTGTGTAAACACGGAGCTGGTGTTTCAGTGTCAGAAATGGGCCGAGGACTCCAGGCTCTATCAGACCAGCTCCCCAGCGCTGCCTCTCAGCAAATGTACCTCTCCCTGCTGGGGAAGAAGGACCTTCAACAAAGATGGGGGGCAGAGTCCCCCTAAGAGGCCACAGTGGGGCAGAAAGGGAGAAGCTAGGAGGGTTCTGGGAGAACTGAGAAGATGCAGCATACCCAGGGACTAAATTAGTTTAGGGATGCAGGAAGAAAAACCTGTCAATTACCAGGCACCCATCCTGTGTCAGGCCTGACTGAGCCCTTTATAGACATTGTCTCATTTAATCTTCCCAGGAGCTCTAAGGGATAGGCATTGTTGTCCACATTTTGTAGATAAGTACATTGAGGCTCAGAGAGGTTAAGCAACTTGTCTGCAGTCACACAGGTGGGAAGTGATAGAACGGGGATTTGATCTCAAGTCTGTCTGAGTCCACTACCCTGGTGTGTTTTGCAGTCTGGACCAAGGGCCTTTCTTCATCAGAGTCACCAGGAAACCTTGTCAAAGAGGAGATACCCAGGCCTTGCACCAGCCTTTGGGGAGGGCCTGAGAGTGAGCATCTCCCAGGGAAGAGGAAGGAGGAAGGCTGCTAACACCTGGGAATAATCGCTCAATAGCAGGAGCAGCTAAATTTTTCCTTAAAGGGCTAGATACTAAATATTTTAGACTCTGCAGACCTTTAGTCTCTGTTGCAACTATTTGGCTCTGTTACCGTTGTGTGAAAGCAGCCACAGACAATACGTATGTGGATGAGGGTGGATGCATTCCAACAAAACTTTATTTACAAAGTGGCATGCTGGATTTGTCCCTGGTAGTTTGCTGCCCCTTGTCTATAGCATGCAAAGTGCCCCCATAGCCTGTCTCTCTGGTTGTCTTCCCAGCAGCCCTGTGAGGAGGGTATGATTTTCTCCGTTCTACAGATGAGGAGATGGAGGCCCGGGGAGGTTAGACATCCAGGGTCCCACAGAAAGTGGATGTCAGAGCTGGGAGTAGAATTAGACCTCCTGATCCCAGTTCAGTGTGCTGGAAAGTATGAGCCTGGTAAGAAGGTCTGGGCCAGGGAGATTGCTATTAAGTAATGAAAGCAGCCACCACTCACTGGGTACTTGCCATGTGCTGGGCACTGAGTCATGACCTCACATAAGCTGCTACCCAGATGTTGAATGTCATTGTCTCTGTCACATGGGGTGGTCACAGCCTCCCTGGGAGGTAGGAAGGCATCTGCAGCATGTCAAAACCAGCTTATCTCGGGTGCCCCAATACACCTGACATGTTACAGCTGCACCACGGGAAGGTGGAAGCTGCTGACAAGATGTATTTGCCTTTCCATTCGTGAGAATGTATGCATTCTCTCTCTCTCTGTCTCTTTTTTTCTCTCTTTTTCTCTCTCATTCAAAGACACACACACACACACACACACACACACACACACACACACCCCAGTCTCAAACAAACATCAAATAGACATGTGGTCACTTCAGTGACCTTCTTGTCCTAGGTAGGAGAATACAAAACACAAGGCCTGGAAATGACTCGTCTGGTTTACATGACATGTCCCTGCTGAGATCAGGAACCGGGAAACTGCCTGGTATGGGGAAAAGAATGCTGGACTTCCAGTTGGCCTGGATTCCGTACCACAGCCTGACCCTGATCTGCCGGGTGACTTTAGGTGTCACTCTCCTCATTTCTAAAATGGATGTCGCTTTCCTAATTCACAAATTGGGTGGGAAGTAGGTTTGTTCATTTGTTCAAGGCATTCATTTATTCATCCATTCACTTCCAACTATGTCGTAAGCACCTTCAGTGTGCTAAACACAGCTAGATCATTTGATTTGAAACTCTAAAGATTTAAGATGTGATCCTTCCTACGCCTGTTTAAGAGTTAGTACTTAAATGATAGGTCTTTTGACTCAAGGATGCCTTGTGCTAGGATTTCCCTCTAGGTAAAAAATTTATCTTTCTCCCATGCATAAAGTGGGCCTTGGCAGGCCAGGTGCGATGGCTAATGCCTGTAATCCCAGCTCTTTGGCAGGCTGAGGTGGGAGGATCACTTGAGTCCAGGAGTTTGAGTCCAGCCTGGTCAACATGGTGAGACCCTATCTCTACAAACAAACAAACAAACAAAAAAATTAGCCAGGCATGGTGGTGAATGTCTGTGGTCTCAGCTACATGGTAGGCTGAGGCAGGAGGCTTGCTTGAACCCAGGACGCAGAGGCTGCAGTGAGCCGTGTTTGCACCACTGCACTCCAGCCTAGGTGACAGAGCAAGACACTGTCTCAGAACAAACAAACAAAGTGGGCCTTGGCAAGAATATATTGCCAGCTCTGTGTGCCAATTTATTCATCCAGTCTTCCATCTATCCATTCTGTCCATCCATCCACCCACCCACCCATTCAGCCACCCATCCATCCATTCATCCACCCATCCATCCATTCAGCCACCCATCCATCCATTCATCCACCCATCCATCCATTCATCCATCTATCCATCCATTCATCCATCCATCCATCCATCCATCCATCCATCCATCCATCCATTTTTCCACATGAACCCTTGCATCCCTCCATGCAATCATCCATCTATTCAATCCATCCATTTATCCATCCACGTATTTATTAATCACTTCTATGTGCCTGGCTCAACTCTGTCCACTGACTCCAACCTCCAAGAAGGCCCTATGCCCATAGTCAGCTTGAGTTTGAGGCAGAGGTGATGGAAAGCTCAGAGTCTAGGTAGCAATAATTTCCGATTCTCAGAATCCAGGAACTCTCTGAAATGCCTTCAGGCACTTTGAGAGTAAGCGGAGCCGGAGACAGATCCGTTCAGGCTGCACACACCTCCCCTGTTTAGATGAAGCCCTTCCTCTTGGTTCTGCTCTAGCCTCTCCCTCCGTGAGAACACCTGAAGCCCCGGCCCTGGCCCTGTGTCAACTAAAAAGAATCCTACATGAATGGGTAAACAAACTGTGGCATATCCATGCAACAAAATAGTATACAGCTGTGAAAAGTAATGAGGCACTGACACGTGCCTCACCATGGCCGAACCTTGCAAACACTATGCTAAGTGAAAAAAACCAGACACAAAAGACCACGCATTGCATGATTCCATTTGTCAAAACAGGCAAATCCATAGAGACAGAAAGGAGATTAGTGGCGGCCGGGGGCTGAGGGGAGGAAAGAATGAGGGATGATTGCTAAAGGATACAGGATTCTTTTGGAGATGATGAAATGTTCTGGAATTAGTAGTGATGGTTGCACAACGTTGCGAATAGAAATCACTGGATTGTATACTTTAAAAGGGTGAACTGTATGGAATATAAATTATTTTGGAAAGATTTTAAAGTTATTAAAAACATTAAAAATTGAAAAAATAATATTTCCATGTGTTGTTATTATTATTATTATTTGAGATAGGGTATCACTCTGTCACCAAGGCTAGAGTGCTGTGGTGCAATCGTGGCTCATTGCAGCCTCAACCTCCTATGCTCAGGTGACCCTCCTGCCTCAGCCTCCTGAGTAGCTGGGACTACAGGCCTACACCACCGCACCCAGCTAGTTTTCTGTATTTTTTGAAGTTGAGGCTTCACCATGTTGCCCAGGCTGGTCTCAAACTCCTGGCTCAAGTGATCCTCCTGCCTCGGCCTCCCAAAGTGCTGGGATTATAGTTGTGGGCCATTACACCTGGCCTATGTGTTATTAAATATGCACCTCCCAGCCTTCTGGTGACAGAGTCAGGGAAGGTAGCACTGATGCTGTTTCCCAGTGGAGAAACTGGAATCTCGGAGGGGAGGGAGGGGCTGTCAGGCTGGCATTGCTAATTAGTGGCAGAGATGGGACAAGAAGCAGGGCCAGACTCTTGGTCCAGTGCTCTTTCCCTCATGTCAGGCTGCCTGATGAGCAGATGGCACTTCCTGAGCCAATCTCCAGCTCTGTCCATATCTGCCACCTTTAGTCCAGGGGCCACTGCAGGCACAGCTCACACTGGAGGAGGCTGTCACAACAGCTAATGGCTGCCATTTGAGGAGTGACGCTCAGTGCCAGGCACAGGGGCATCAGTGAGTGTGGTCTTATTTCATTTTCAAAGACCTCTGTCATGGACCTTGTTGAGAGTGCCAAACCCCTACTGCATGAGCACCCTGGTCTTTCCTGGGGCATCCTTAGTGAACATAGACTGGTGGGAGGTCATGGTACCCCAACCCTGGAGACCAAAGAAATGGGCAGGAGATAAGCATAGAACATCAATTGGGCCTTGAACATTGAGCTAGTGATGCAGAGGCTCAGGGGCCTCTGCAGTCCTGGCCATCACTGTGGCTGTGGCAGCCTGCACCCTGGGCTGCTCCCGCTTGCTCTAGAGTCTGCTGCCTTGATTGATGAATCATTCTTTGGCCTATTCTTCCATCACTCCTTGCATTCTATCTACTTTCTAGGCCTGGTCTTCCAGTTTCTTATAGGTTCTGTGAGCTCCTGATATCCTTTCATTAAATTCCCTTTTGCACTTGTCAGAGACAGTCAGTTTCTGTTGCTTGCAACCATTCACTCTGACCAATGCATCCCTATGAGATAGGAGATACTCTTACTTGGCCCATTTTACAGATGAGGAAATTGAGGCTCAGAAAGGTGAAGTGACTTGCTCAGGGCCCCCCAGATTACGAGTGACAAAGCCAAGATGTAAACCCAGGTCTGTCTGACTTCCAGAGACTGATCTCTCAACCTCTACTGAGAAACAAGAGCCAGCAAACCTTTCCTGTGTGTTTCCTATAAGCCAGACCTTGAGCCGGACAAATCCTCTCAACAGCTCTATTAGGGAAGAATTGTCCCACTTTTAGAGGTGTGGAAAATGAGGCTCAAGGAGACGATGTAACTGATTTATAGGTACCAGAGCTGAGATTAAAACTGAGGTTCATCTGGCTCCAAATCCCCATACTTTTATACAGAGGTAGGAACCAAGACCTGATGGTGGGTCTCCCTTCTTCCCAGTTGGTAGAAGTTCCCATCTCTGCTTTTGGCTCCATCAGCACCTCCTGCCAAGTCCTGAGGGGTAGAAACCTGACTCTACCCGTTAACACTTGGGCTCAGGGATTCAGCAGCCACTGGGAGGAATCCTGCCCCATAGCCCAGGTCCTCTATAAATCAGGGGCCCAGGAAGCCACAACACTGATAAATATTTATGTTGCCTCTAAGAAAAATATGTCTCACTTGATATATTTTCTTTGTGAAAAGGCAGTAAATGGCAAGGCCCCATTACTTTTCATGAGTCTGCCAGAGCTGTAAAGATGCCCCATCCCAGCTGGGGCTGGGGGCCAGCCTGGTACCCCTTGAGAACCACCAAGTCTGTGTGTCTCAGGCTGCAGCACCAGGTCAGAGGATGTCATTTTTCTTGCCCTCCTGTGAGCCACTGTCAAGACTCTGAGAAGGACCCAGTGGGCAAGCTTGGGGGAGGATTTCTGTCCAGAAGGGCATGGGGCCGGGGGAATGGAAGGAATGGAACCCCAGCCCCGATTCCTCCAACAGCCTCCAAACCAACCCTAGAGCAAATCCCAGGGCCATTCCCAAACCAGCTTCAAGCCAGGCTGGATACACATCAGCACCCACCTCAAACCCTCCTTTTAGCCCTCATCCCAGCTGGACCTGGGCACCAGCCCCAGCTCTAAACACCATCCCACAGCTGCGCCAGCCCCATCCACAGTCCAAACCAGACATCAGCTCTATCCCAAGCTAAACTCAACCTCTGCCAACCCCAGGCCTAACCTCAAACCCACTGCAGCTACAGCCCAGTCCTAAAACTCAAACCTAACCCAGGCCCTGAATCCTGCTCCCAGCTATGCTGTAACCTCAGCCTGAGCTTTCCCCGGAGCCCCAAGGGCAGCCAGTGACATGCTCTGGTAGGGGCAGAGGGGTCACCAGATGGCTTTCCTGTGCTCAGTCTGGAAAACCTCCTTTGGCTAATTCAGCAAATATTTGCTAACGACCCCATGCATGCCAGGCTTCTTCTAAGTACCGAGGATGCATCTGTGAAGATGAACATTGCCTTGTACAGAGAGGAGAGCCCTGCCCCTCTCCCAGCCTCCCAGGTCTGAGACCTCCCCTCACCCTCCACCCCCTCTATTCTCAGCCCTCTCCTCCGGTGGCAGGAGGCTTGGGCTGTGCTCTAGACAGCCACGATCTCACTTGGTAACTCAGGTAGTCTCCCTCCCTCTGAGCCTTGAACCTTCATCTTCATAATGGACAGTGAGAGAGGGAGGGTTGGACCAACTGGACTTTGAGGTTCCACCTGCTTGTGACCTTCTAGAAATCACTGACCTGTGGACAAAGGTCAATATCTGACTGCTAAACAGATGCTGGGTTTTCTGTCCTGGACCTTGGTGGTAAAGAGGAGGTGCTGGCATCACAAATGGAACAGATGGTCTTCTCTCTTCTCTGGATCAGGGGTAGGGGCTAGAAAGCACAAGCTCTCTCCTCAACCCCAACCCAGAGCCATATGGCCCAAGGGGTCATGCAGCCCAGGTGCCATGGCCACTCTCCTCTCTGACTCTTCCCCCGTCACTGAGGATGACGTCTCAGAGCCACATTGTCTAGGCCTTAGCTTAAGTGCCTGGGCCGTGTCCTGGTCAGCTTCTGACCCCTGCCCCTCTGCTGCTGGCAACCCTCCCACCTCCATCCCTGGCTTTCTAAGTTTTCTGCCTCTTCTCCTTCACCCTCAGCCCCTCTTGTCTCTCCCACTCCTCCTTTTCTCTCCTGGGATCTTTAGCTCTTTTATGCATTATTTTTTTCAATGCCTCTGATTTTCTGTTGGCCATTCTCTGTTCCCTCATCTTCCTCCCCCAACCTGGTCATTTTATCTGCAGCATTTTTTCTTTTCTCTGTGTCTGTCTCTGTCTGTCTTTCTTTCAATTCTCTGCGTCTATCATTTGCAACCAAAAGAATGCTGTGGAAATGGGGCATCAGATACATGGCAGTTTAGGAAATGTGAGGAATGTTGCTTTCGGTGCTGAAGAAATTCTTGTGATTTCATCCCCACGAAGTTATGTTAAGCATCACTCTAGCGTCAGCTCGGTGACTTTCAACGCATTATTCCTTGAGGTTTATAATAAGACACATAATCTCATCGAATTCTCCCAGCTTTCCTGTGAGACAGGCATGTCCCCATTTCCTGGATGGGAAAAATGCTCTCAAAGTGGGGCAGTGACCTCTCGAGCAGGCAAGGAGCTGATTCCGAGTCTAGGGCTTTTCTTTGCTCCCTTCATGACATGGCGGACTGTGGCATCCACCCCAAAGCCTGGGAGGAATGTTTTTGGTTGATCTGGTGACGCACAGGGGTTTCTGAAGCTGGGGAGTAGGTGATGTTTCCCACCCACTCCAACATCTGCAATCACTGCAAAAACACAATGAGAATCAATACCCAATCCACCCCCACAAGGGCAGCTCTGTGGAGGATGTGGAGGAGAGGCGGTTGCTCTTCCAAGCCCAGGAACTTCCTAATGAAGAGAAGATCCATGGGGTGGGGGAGGCTGGTAAGGGAGGATAAGACCCTGCCAACTCCTACCCAAGGCTTTGGCACTCGGCTCAGAAACATGGCCCAATGAGGGAACACAGTCTGCTCAGGGGATAGGCTTTGGGGTTGAGTGCTGGCTGCCATTTGATTGCGCCTTAAGGAGAATCTCCATCTTCTTCTCTTTTTTTTTTTTTTTTTTTTGAGACGGAATTTTGCTCTTGTCACCCAGGCCTGAGTGCAATGGCTTGATTTCCGCTCACTGCAACCTCTGCCTCCCAGGTTCAAGTGATTCTCCTGCCTCAGCTTCCCAAGTAGCTGGGATTACAGGTGCCTGCCACCACGCCCAACTAATTTTTATAAATTTTTTAGTAGAGACGGGGTTTCACCATGTTGGCCAGGCTGGTCTCGAACTCCTGACCTCGGATCCACCCACCTCGGCCTCCCAAAGTGCTGGGATTACAGGCATGAGCCACTGCACCTGGCCAGAGAGTCTCCATCTTCTTACTGCAAAGTGGGTGTGCTGCCCCCACCTCCAAGTGTGGTGGATACGAAAGCCCTGCGTTAAATGTACGGTGTAGGACAGGTGCTCCCTGCTAATAACACCGTCCATTTACGTTGAATGCCAAGGACACAGCATTTAACAGAGTTCTCTGTTTACCTACTAACTCTGCAATAACTTTAAGGCTGTGTGATTCTCACCCAATTTTTAAAAGCAGTTTAACTTGAATTGTATTTATTCCACCATCTTGAAAACAAACAAACATGTGACAACTGATAAATTACTCATTCAAATAGGATTGTGTATAATTGAGATGAAATTGAATGCGGACAAAAGATAACAAATATTGGCCAGGATGTGGAGAAAAAGGAACCCTTATACACTGCTGATGGGGATGTAAATCAGTACAGCCATTACGGGAGACAGTATGGAGGTTCGTCCAAAAATTAAAAATAGACCTACCATATGATCCAGCAATTCCACTTCTGGGTATATATCCAAAGGAAATCAGTATATATCCAAAGGAAATCAAATGAAATCAGTATGCCGGAGAGATATCCGCACCCCCATCTTAAGTGCAACAGTATTCACAATAGCTAAGATACAGAATGCTAAGTGTTATCAGCAGATGAATGGGGCTGGGTGTGGTGGCTCATGCCTGTAATTTCAGCATTTTGGGGGCGCTGAGGTGGGCAGATCATTTGAGGTCAGCAGTTCAAGACCAGCCTGGTCAATATGGTGAAACCCCATCTGTACTAAAAATACAAAAATTAGCCGGGCGTGGTGGTGGGCGCCTGTAGTCCCAGCTACTTGGGAAACTGAGGCAGGAGAATGGCTTGAACCCGGGAGGCGGAGGTTGCAGTGAGCCGAAATCGCGTGACACAGTGAGATCCTTCTCAAAAAAACAAAAACAAAAACAAAACAAAACAAAACAAAACAAAACAAAACAAAAAAACAGATGAATGGATTAAGAACATGTGCTAAATACACACAATGGAATCCTATCCAGGCTTTAAAAAAGAACAGAATAACGTCATTTGTGGCAACATGGATGAACCCAGAGGACATTTTGCTAAGTGAAATATGCCAGGCATAGAAAGATGAATATTGTATGATCTCCTTACATACAGAATCTAAAAAAGTAGAACTCATAGAAGCAGAGAGTGGAATGGTGGTTACCAGGGGTTGGGGATTGGGGAGATGTTGATCAAAGGGTAAAAAGTTTCAGTTAAATGGAGGAATACGTTCTGGAGAGCTACCGTACAGCATGGTGACTATAGTTAATAATACGGTATTACACACTTGAAAATTGCTAAGTGAGTATATTTTAAATGTTCTCATCACAAAAAAAAGCTAAGTGTGTGAAGTGCTCAATATGCTAATTTGCGTGATTTAATCATCCCACAATGTATACACGCATCAAAACATCACACTGTGCACAAGATATCGATACCATTTTCAGTTGTCAATTATAACAATTTAAAAATGGGATGTGAAGATGGAAGTTGCATCGACGCTGGTTGGGTTGAGTAAGCTCTAGCAGTTGCCAGCAGTTTTATTGAATGAGTGCTTATCATCTGCCAGGAACTGTTGGGCTCTTTACATGCATTCTTCATCCTCACAACATACAGGGTTCATGTCCCCATTTTATAGACCAGGAAACTGAGGCTCAGACAGGCGAGGGAACTTGCCCACTATTGGGTGGTGGATCCAGGATATGAACCCAAGCAGTCTGGCTCCAGAATACAAATCCTTAACAACCATGCTCTATAATTTCGTGCTGAGAACTTTGCCCATGTGCTCTCATTTAGTCTCATAATAATTCTGCTAGATCAGAAGAATAATATCATAGCTAGCATGTGTGGGGTTTTGCTATGGAGCACAACCTGTCCCAAGCATAGTACTGGCATCATTTCATTTCATCCGAACAGTTCTGCAAGATATCCCACTTTTATGAATGAGGAAGTAGAAGCTCAAAAAAAGGGTCAACCCAACCTTAGTCTAGCACCCAGGCTCCTTAGCCTAGCATTTAAGGCATAGGAGGCTCCTCATGACCTAGCCCCTGCCTCCCTCCATCCCCTTCACCCTCAGCTTTCCAGCACTGTTTGCGTTTCTCCAGGAGCTTCCTGGTGTTTTATGCCTCTGAGCCTTTGCAAAGGCTGCTCCCTCTACTTGGGATACCCAGTCCTAGTGACTAACACCTACTTGTTCTTCAAGCCTAACTGGGATGTCACCTTCCGGAAAACCTTCTCTGATCGATTATGACTGGACTGGGTACCCTTGTTATACTCTCACGTCAACCTTTCTCTCCCACCCTCAATACACTGTGTCATAATCACCGCTTTGCTGGGCTGCCTTCCCCACTGGACCGGGAGCACCAGGAAGGCAAGGACCTGTTTGTCGCTTTCAACATTGTCTCCCTGGTTCCCAGTGCAGCTCCTAACTCCAGGAAATGCTCAGTGAGCACTTGTGTAAACAAATACATAAAATGCTTCAAAGTAGACAAAACTGCTAAATTCACTGGGTGCTTGCCCAGTGCCAAGTATTTGTTGGATATCATCTCATTTGATTCTGACAACACCTTAGGAGGTAGAAACTATCATTAACTCCATTTAAAGACAGGAAACTGAGGCACACAGAACTTAATTATTTGCCCAAGACCACACAGCTAGTACTGGTGAAGCTGAGATTCAAACCCAAATCACCTCACTCCAGCATTCCTACGCTGTCCTCCTTCTAAGGGGAAGTCAGACTTTGTGGAAAGGAGTGAACTCATGGTATAGTGATCAAAATATGATTATAGTTGATTATTCAAATGAACAAGTGCTTTTAGAAAAAATGAGCTAGAATAAAAAATCCTCAAAATGCTCAAAGCTGGGCAAAAAGCCAGGCACGGTGGCTCATACCTGTAATCCCAGCACTTTGGGAGGCTGAAATGGAGGATCTCTGGAGTTCAGAGGTTCAAGACCAGCCTGGACAACATAGTGAGACCCATCTCTAAAAAAAAAAAAAAAAAATTTGTTTTTAATTAGCTGGGTGTGATTGATAGTGCATGCTTGTGGTCCCAGCTACTCTTGAAGCTGAGGCAAGAGGATCGTTTGAGCCCAGGAGTTTGAGGCTGCAGTGAGCTGTGATCATGCCACAGCACTGCAGCCTGGATGACAGAGGGACAATCTGTCTTTAAAAAAAAAGTGGGCAAAATATGGGGAAAATCCCTCTAAAAGCTTAGCAAGGGCTACACCCCCAACCACGAAACACTGCAGATGTGGTCCTGATTGAAATGTGGATGTGTTGGAGGCATGGGCAAACTGGCCTTCTGCAGTGCTCTGGGCCCGAGGCAGCAGGACCGCTCCCAAGCCAGGGTGCTGGGGCTGGGCTGCTGGGGCTGGGCAGATGGCAGCTGAGTTCCACTTCTCGGGGCTCTGGGACTCCCTCCCCGTGCCATGGCCTCGAAGGTGCATGCTAACACTTGTGCAGGGGCACCGCGCGGCTGTCATCTGCCTGGTTTGAATTAGATGCTGGGCTCTGCAGAACCTCAGGCTCATTAGTGGTTTCATCGCCCAGGCTGGCGCCTGCAGGATGGTAACATTTTATGATTTCCTTGCTTTTTCTTTCTTTCTTATTTCTGTCTCTCCCCCACCTCCTTTCTTTATTATTTCCAATTTCCATCTCATGCCACAAAAATGTAAAGGCTGCCACGAGTCCTGCTGGGACATACTCACAGTCACCAGCACCCCACATGCTCGCCCCACTCACCACTGTCCTGGCAGCACACACACCAAGTGCCACAAGCTGTGGACCCACTGATCCCTCTCCAGGGGCAGGGCTTGCAGGGGAATGGGGCTGTCTGTTTCCCTGCCCCAGCCAATACACACATTCACAACCACTGCCACCTGCACTTCTCTGGGCACTCAAGGTGGCACAATAGTCAGGGCATTTCTGGAGTCTCTCTACCTCTGTATCCCCCACCCCAGTTTTGAACTCAATAAATTGAACACCATTTATTCTTTTACTTAGCAACTCAACCTTTTCTCACCTGCAAAATGGAATGGATGTAATAAGAATATTTGGCTGGGCACAGTGGCTCACACCTGTAATTGCAACACTTTGGGAGGCCGAGGCAGGTGGATTGCTTGAACCCAGGAGTTCAAGACCAGCCTGGGCAACATGAGAAGCCCCGCCTCTACAAAAATTATCCAGGCGTGGTGGCGCACACCATAGTCCCAGATACTTGAGGGGCTGAAGCAGGAGGATCACCTGAACCCGGGAGGTCAAGGCTACAGTGAGCCATGATCGTGCCACTGCACTCCAGCCTGGGCAACAGAAGGAGACCCTGTCTCAAAAAAAAAAAAAGAATATTTTGTTCTCTACCATTTATGTTAGGCTGAAAGGAGAGAGTGAGCAGCAGGTACTTATCCCAAACTGGGCACACAGTAAATGCTTAATAAATAGTGGGCATGATTATTATTCTGATGATGTCAGGGGCAGCCACTACCACTTTGAACATCTACCTCCGAGGATGCAGGCAAGAATAGATGAGAAGTTGAACTAGGTCAGCCTGCAGAAATGCTCAGTAAGGGGTATTCACACTCTTCATCACCATCACCATCATCATCATCATCATCACCATCTCTCACTATAATTTCTGTTATTCTTTCCCTGCATTCTCCTCCACAAAGGGTGGGAGACAGCATGGTAAGACCAGAGGAAAGAAGGCTAAGCAGACCGGGAGGAACTGTAATGACAAGCCGGAAGAGACCCTGGAAAATAAGAGATGGGACAAGTTAGGCGGGGCAGGGGTAGCCGAGAGGGGCCGGTGGGTGGGGGCTCGGAGGAGTGGGAAGGCAGTGGGCAGGAGGAGTTCATTTCAGATGATGGTCATTAACTTACATCACTCAGTGTGCTCAGTTGATAAGAGGCTTCCTCTCGAGTTCCTTAGCACTCGCGGGGATCTCTAAAGGAGGGCGTTATTACTTCCATTCAGTGCAGCCACCGCAGGCATCAGGGCATCATGGGCATGGAGAGTGGAGACATTGCAGGGCCTCTGGGAAGCTGCAGCGTGCCCGTGTCAGCTCGACCAAGGCGAGACCATCTTTGCCCAGTGCGGCCTGGGGAGGGTTGTGCCAGGATGCCGGCTAACGTTTCCTGGGGCCCACATGAGCAGAGGAGAGGTCTGTGGGCTGCTGGTGTGTCTGGATGGAGCTGAGAGCTGGAAACTCCAGGCCTCGGGGATGCCTCCTGTGCAGTGGCCTCTTGCTGCCAAAGTGGGTGATCCCCAGGCCTCATCTTCCTCACCCTATCAGCAGCTTTCGACAGAGCTGATTTCTCCCCGCTGCCTTAAGCACTTGGCTTCCAGGACAACACTCTCGGTTTCTTCCTTCTCCCCTGGCCACTGCTTCTCAGGCTCCTTTCTGGAATCTGTCTCCTCTTCCAAACGGATAAGTGGTGGAGTACCCCAGGGCTGTCTACACCCACTCCCAGGGCTGTCTACACCCACTCCTGGGTCTCTGTCTACACTCATCCCTGGGGCCTTGTCTACACTCTCTCTGGGTCTCTGTCTACATCCACTCCCTGGGCTCTGTCTACACTCATCCCCGGGGCCCTGTCTACACCTGCTCCCTGGGTGGGCTCATTCAGGCTGAGGTTGTAGATAAGGTCCCTCCAGATACTGACATCTCCTATATGTCTATCTACAGGCTAGACCTTTCCCTTAAGCTCCAGACTGGTGCCTCCAGCCCCTGGCTTGGAGAAGGCCCACTGCATCTCACACCAGGTGGATTCTTGAAAACTGCTTTGCTTTTGGTCTTCTGCTTCTTGGTACATGGCATCCAGGTTGCTCCGGTCCAAGTCCCTGAAGTTGTCTTACCTCCTCTCTTTCCCTCACATCCTGCATCCAATCCACCCACAAGTCTGGTCAGTGCTCATTTAATCATGAATCCTGACTCCCTGGGCACCCTCTTGCCACCCTAATCTTGTCCTATCAGCTTGTGCCCCTGCTATGAAACTGGCCTTATACTGTCTCCTTGCTTCCCCCTTACCTGCTGCCCTCTGTTCCAGTGATCTTTCAAAAGTGGACATCAGATCTTGTTGCTCTCCTGCTTAACACTCTCAAATTCTCCCCAGCATACACGCAATAGAGTCTTGCCTGGCAGCAAACCCTTCTGTGTGTGACTGACTCCAACCTGCCCCTCCACCTGCATTTTCTATGGTTCTATCTCACCGCAATCAAGACATATTCGCTTCCTTATCTTCCTTGGCCCAAAGCTGAAAGGCCTCCTCAATGGCCTTCTCTAAATGACCTACGTTGGGTCTCCTACTTGGACCTCCACATGGGTCAGTTCCAGCCCTTGCCTGCTGTATTTGTCTTCACAGGACTGACATCCACATTAGATCACGTGCTTATTTGCTTCACTATTAGATTAGTGCTTATTGGCTTCACGTGCAAATAATTAGATCACGTGCTTATTGGCTTCACTAATTCTTCTGTCTCCCACCTGATTATAAGCTGAGCTGTGGGGACTTGTCTTGTTCACCACCGTTTCCCCAGTGCCTAGCACCGTGCCTGGCATATAGTTGGTGCATAATAAAACTGTGTTGGGTGACTACATAAATGAACATCCACTGAGGCTGGGTTGAGAGAGTGTATTTATGGGAGCCCTGCAGAGCGAAATGTTTGTTGAATGAATTAACGTGAGGCTCTTACATGTGTCCTTTTGACGGTCAGTTCCTTGAGGGTAGACCCATAGCTTGCTCTTCTTGGTATTTCTCATGGTGCTTTAGTAAGCTGTGTGACCTTAGGCAAGTGACTTAACCTCTCTGGGTTTCAGTTTCTTCATCTGTAAAATGAGAAGAATAATGGTATCCATGTCACAGGGTTGTTGGGAGGATTAAACAAGTTAACGTATGTAAAGCTCGTAGAACATTGCCTGGCACAGAGTAAGTGCTCCTGAAACATTAGCTGTTCTTATCATCCTGATTTTACACGTAGTAGGTGTTTCAAAAGCTGTAAGGCAGGGAATTGAGCAAACAGTGAGTTGTCTCAAGCTGAGCCCAGAGAAGCTTCCTTATATTGCCTTTACTTTTCCCATACTGGGAGCTGGGGAATTGTCCGATAACATGAACTGGATTGAAATTAGAAACCACAGCATGCCGTCAACTCATGCTGAATTTGTGGTCAGCTAAACCCCAAAGCCTTTCTTCACAGCCTTACTGCTCAGCCAGGGAACCCTCATCCTGTATTTGCGGGTTTTTACTTTATTTTTTGTGGTCTTTTGCTTTTTTTTTTTAATGTTCCGGATTATAAAAGTTATACATGCCCACTGTGGAAAGTTTACAATGAGCATAAAATTACAAAGGGCAGGAAAAAAGCAGGTTACACAACAGCATGAATGGCTTGAATCCACTTGCGTAAAATGCTTTTATATATTTATAAAGAGAGATGGGGACAGGCAGGAATTGCAAGAGAGCGAGTGAGAGGCAGGCTTGCAAAGAAGTTCACCAGAGTGTCTGCAGTGGCTGTTCTCTATGGGCTGCATAACGCATGATTTTCATATTCCCCCATATGCTGTTTGATTTTTTTATAACAAACATGTATTACCGTTTTTTGAAAAAACATTTTTTGATAATTATTTTTGAATGGAAATCAGATCATTCATCTCCTCTACTTAAAATGCTCTAAGGGTTCATTCATTCAAGAAATATTCATTGACTAGGGACTAAGTGCTGGGCTTGGTTCTCTCTCCTTCCCTTGTTTTACGGCCCTTGTAGCTCTCATCAGGTGCTCAGAGTATTGTGTTTGGTTTGGTTTGGTTTTTTCCTTCCAGACAGGGTCTCACTCTGTCACCCAGGCTGGAGTGCAGAGGTGCGATCACAGCTCACTACAGCCTCGATCTCCCGGGCTCAAGTGATCCTCCCACCTCAGCCTTCTCAGTAGCTGGGACTACAGGCATGCACTATCACATCTGGCTAATTTTTATATTTTTAGTAGAGACAGGGTTTTGCCATGTTGCCCAGGCTGGTCTTGAACTCCTGGGCTCAAGTGATCAACCTGCCTCGGCCTCCCGAGGTGCTATTACAGGTGTGAGCCACCGCGCCCAGCCCCAGAGTATTGTTCTTTACAGGCTATGGGGTTCATGTGTATCCTTCCATAGAACATCATCAATTCTGTGAGGGCAGAGTCCTATATAATGCCTGTCCCCTCATGGGTATGTCTGTCTTGTACACAGCCACAGGAATGTCTATCTTACACAGCTTCTCCCTAGGTCCTAAAACAACACCTGACATGTAGTAGGTGCTCAATAAATATTTGTTGAACAAATGAAGGAACGTATAAAAGCAAAAATAAAGAAGTAAGGCAAAATCTTTCATCATTCCACCACCCAGAGATCACTGTTAACGTCTTGGCATATTTCTTCCTAAATTTCTTCTATGTCACTGTTTATATTCATATGAATATAGTTGAAAACACATTTTGCACCTTTTTCCTTAACTCAGCCTAACAGCATAAGCATTTCCCATGGTATTAAGAAGCATTATTCTTCTTGAAGTAACAGTCATGGTTCTCAGCCAGAGGCGATTCGGCCCCCCAGGGGACAGTTGGCAATGGCTGGAGACATGTTTGGTTGTTACAACGGGTGGGGTGAGGGGCATCGCTACTGGCTACTAAACGTCCTATGATACACAAAACAGCCCCCAAAACAACAAATTACTGGCCCTAAATGTGGATAGTGCCAAGGTTGAGAATCTGCCTTTAGTAGTTCATCATGAAGACCTATGAGATTTGGCTCCAACACCTTCCTGTTTCCAGTTTTCACCAATACAAAGAAGATTGTGAAAAAGAGCTTGAGACATGCATCTCTACCACACTTTATATTATCTCCACAGGGCAAATGGTGATGCTTGGTTTTTTCAGGAGGTTGAACGAAGGACAACATTGACCTTGCTTGGACTTCGTTTTTGTCAATTTCAGCTGCTTAGTCCCAGCCCTCTGGGCATTCTGTCCTCTGTCACATTTGTGGTCTTTTCCAGCTGCAAGTCATGTCAAGGGAAAATATCCAGACCTCCATGGCCAGGGTGCTTTCTGTGATGAGGGCTGCCCCACCAGCACCTCACCTGTCCAAGATTTCAAACCCTCACTGGGGGAAAACTTGTTTACCATGATCTATAAATAATGTGTGTCATGTGAGCAGAAGAGAAGAATGGAAGCAAGGATGCTGTGTACTTGCTGTGGACATTCAATTTCCAGTTTATACCAAGAAAACTGCAATTGTTCAAGACAATTTGGATGCCTCCTTGGGAAGTGCTTTAGGGGTTTACAATGCTTTCCCTCAATAAGAACATCATCTAGGTGAAAAGCCCTGGTGTGTGTACAAATACATCCTATGCAAAACAATATTCATTCATTCAGCAAATATTTACTGAACCCCTGCTATGTGCCAGGCACTGTTCTATGCTCTATAGACACAGAGATGAAACGAGACAGAGAGAGTCTCTGTCCACGGACAGCCTACTTTCTACGGGGAGCAGGGTCACATAACCAAATTATGTAAAACACAATGTCAGGAAGTAATTAGTGCTTGAAAAAAACATCAAGGACAGGGGACAGAGTGGCAGGGCAGGGAGTACAATTTTGGACAGGATAGTCAGAGATGGGTTCTCTGAGAGGCCATATTTTAAAGTGATCAGAGCTCAGAAAGTGAGTGAACCCTGGGGCTCTCTGAGAGTATAACAAGTGCAAAGGCCCTGAGGCAAAAATGTGCTGGGCATGTATGGGGAGCAGCAAGGGGGCCAGTGCAGTTGGTGTGAAAGGAGCAAAGGGGAAAGTTGTAGGACGTAAGGTTAGAGTGACAGAACAACCAGATCCCATAGGGCCTCGTAGGCCTCGGTGAGGACTTGAAGTTTTGCTCTCCTGGCGTATTTGAGCAAGGTAAGAAAGAGATCTCATGTTCCTTTTTAAAAATCCCTCTGGCTGCTGTATGGAAGATGAACTGTAGCGAGGCGAGGATGCAAGTGGGGAGCCCAGGAAGGGGCAGTTGTAATCTTGCAGATGAGAGGTGATGGTGGCTTGGACTTCATCATAAGGAGTGTGGTGCAGAAGGGCGAGATGTGGTCAGATTTCAGATATATTTTGAAGATGGAGCTGATGGGTTTGCTGATGCATTGCATGTGGGGGAAGGGTGACAGAAAGAGGGGTGGAGAATGACCAACAATTGAGAATTAAATGGGAGCTTTCGGAGATATGAGAGTTCTCTTCTGGGATTTATGTTTCCGTGGCACACCCACAAGCAATGGAGCCCCATGACAGCCAGCCAACCCCTGGCAACTTCCAAATTTCCAGATGCTCATTGATTTGCTGTTGTGTAGACTCTCCCTACTCAAAGTGTGGATGGAGAAAACACAGCATTAGCATCAGCTGGGAACTGGTTAGATGCTCAGGCCTGCCAGGTGATTCGTGTGCTTATTAAAGTGTAAGAAATGGCCGGGCACGATGGCTCACGCCTGTAATCCCAACACTTTGGGAGGCTGAGGAGGGAGGATCACTTGAGGCCAGGAGTTTGAGGCTGCTGTGAGCTATGATCATGCCACTGCACTTCAGCCCCAGTGACAGAGCTAGACTCTGTCTCTAATAAAACACACATACACATACACACACCCCCCGCACACACCCCACACAGACAAAAGTTTAAGAAACACTGATGTAGGTCACATATCTGAAAGGGTGGAATTCTTTATCTTCTCTTTGGGTGTTTTAGATTTTGTGAACATAATGACATTTCTTCTATAAGGAAGGTGATTTTTAAATGACAGCACTGTCGGTGGAGTAGAGAAGAGGAGCGTGTGGGTGAGGGCAAGCCTCAAAGTTAAGGTGAGCATTGACATGCAGATTTGGAAACACTGGCATTTCTCTACTGTCCTTTGGGCAGCTAGAACCACTTTCCTTTCCTGGGATACAGAAGAGCCAGCCTTCACCACAGAGGGGTGAACTGAGAGCTAGCGGCAGGATGTAGAGAAAAGTGGACAGGCTTTGGGGTCAAGCAAACTTCAATTCAAATCCAGGCTCCTCACTCACTAGTTATGTGATTTCACCTCTCTGAGACTCAGTTTTTCTTATATTTAGAATGGGACTAATAGTTTCAACAATATAGAATTATTGTGGTGATTAAATTAGATAGAATGCATAATGCATTTAGCAACATACTGAAAGAGAAGACCTGCTTAATAACTGTTAGCTACAGCCAAGTATGGTGGTTTGTGCCTGCAATCCCAGCTACTCAGGAGGCTGAGGCAGGAGGATTGCCTGAGCCCTGAAGTTTGAGGCTGCAGTGAGCTATGATCACACTTCAGCTGTACTCCAGCCTGGGCAATAGAGCAAGACCTTGTCTCCAAAATAATAATAATAATACATTTGAAAAAGACTGTTAGCTATGTTAATAAGTGGAGTTATGATGTAAACAGGATGCTTTTGGTTACAAGTAACTGAAAACCTAACTGTTTTAGTTTTCAATTGCTGTTGTAGTAGATTACCACAAACCTAGCGGCTTAAAGTAGCATAAATGTATCTTACAATCCTGTAGGTTAGAAGCTTCATGTGGATCTCACTGGGCTAAAACAAGGCATCAGCAGGCTGCATCCCTTTCTGGAGGCTCTGTGAGAGAATTCGTTTATTTGTCCTTCCCAGATCCTAGAAGGCCTTGGCTCACGGTCCCCATCTTCTGTCAACAAAGCCAGCGCTACTGCATCTCTCTGACTGGCCTTCCTTAGTCCCATCTCCCTTTGACCACTCCTTGAAATGGCTCTCCAATTATAAGAACTCATATGATTAGATTGGGTCCATCTGGATAATCCAGGGTACTCTACCCATATCAAGGTCCTTAATCACATCTGAAAAGTCCCTATTGCCATGTAAATGCATGTATTCACAGTTCTGCTCCTCCCTTCCCCTTCCCTCCCCTCCCCTCCCTTCCCTTCCTTTCTCTCCCTTCCCTTCCTCCCTTTTTCTTTCTTTCTTTCTCTTTCTTTCTTTCTTTCTTTCTTTCTTTCTTTCTTTCTTTCTTTCTTTCTTTTTCTTTCTTTCCTCCCTTCCTTCCTTCCCCTTTCTTGTTCTCTTTCTCACTCTCTTTCTCCCTCCCTCCCTCCCTTCCTTCCTTTTCTTTTATGGGGTTTCACTCTTGTTGCCCAGGCTGGAATGCAATGGTGTGATCTCGGCTCACCGCAACCTCTGTCTTCCAGGTTCAAGTGATTCTCCTGCCTCAGCCTCCCAAGTAGCCGGGATTACAGGCATGCGCCACCATGCCTGGCTAATTTTGTAATTTTAGTAGAGATGAGATTTCACTATATTGGTCAGGCTGGTCTCGAACTCCTGACCTCAGGTGATTCACCTACCTCGGCCTCCCAAAGCGTTGGGGTAATCCCAACGTGAGCCACCATGCCTGGCCTGTATCCACAGTTTCTAGAGATAGTGCACGGACATCTTTGGGGGTGGCATTATTCCGCCTGCTGCACCAACTCAAACTATTAATAGCTCTGAGATTTATTGCCTTGTGTAGTAAAGGACTGAAGGTACTCTGTGTGGGCTTTAGGCATAGTTTTATCAGGACTTGACCTTTGTTTCTCTGTTTCTCTATGCTCTGCCTTCCATGCTTACTCCTTAAAATGGCTTATTTGATAATCACAGGAATGCTGCCAGCAGAAACCAGGGTGATACAATTCCTTTTTCCCCTTTTGGGAGAAAGAAACCACTCTTCCCATACCCATGAAACAGGTATTCTGAGCTATGCTCTGAGAAGACCATCTCTGATGGACAATTGCTGTGGATGGTAGGGGAATCCCGATTACCCTGATTGGTTATCCTGGAGATAGGAGTGGGATCAGTCCCACTTCCTGGGACTGGACCGTTGTAGTGGGGAAGGGGAAGTAACCCCAGTGACCACTGCAATTATCCACGTCCTTAGCCTACCCCCTCCTGGAGAAGGAAGCACTAAAACAGAATGGAAGGCAAGCGCCCCCACTCGGGGATTAGAATCCATCATTCTGCTGAGTTCTGTGTCCTTGGCCTGCTGGACTCCTGACCCCCACCCTGTTTGCCTGGTCCTCAGTCTGATGCTCAACCCACCTTCCTGGCTCCCAGCCGTCAGCTTGCTCCTGGCTGCAGAGCCCTTGTCCCTCCAGCTCTTGCCTCCTTGCCTTGGGTTCATTGCACGCCCAGAACATCCCACAGCTCTGTGCAGGCCCAGGCCCCTGTTTGACTGTCCCCACAGCCTCTAAGGATGCCTGCCTGGCTTCTCTGGGCCCTGGGCATTGCTCCTTCTTCCACATTCCACGATTTTTTTTTTAAGTCAGAGTCTCCACTTTGGGAGGCTGAGGCGGGCGGATCACGAGGTCAGGAGTTCGAGACCAGCCTGGCCAACATGGTGAAACCCTGTCTCTACTAAAAATACAAAAAAAAAAAAAATTAGCCAGGCATGGTGGCGGGTGCCTATAATCCCAGCTACTCTGGAGGCTGAGGCAGAAGAATCGCTTGAACCCAAGAGGCGGAGGTTGCAGTGAGCCGAGATCTGGCCACTGCACTCCAGCCTAAGTGACAGAGCGAGATTCCATCTCAAAAAAAAAAAAGTTAGAGTCTTGCCCTGTGCCCAGGCTGGAGTGCAGAGGAACGATCACTGTAGCCTGCAACTCCTGGGTTCAAGTGATCCTCCCACCTAAGCCTCCAGAGTTGCTGGGATTACAGACAGGCTGAGCCACCGTACTCACCTCTCCACAACTTTTCTTACGCACCTGCTACAAGTATTATTGGTTGTTAATCACCACTGTTTGTCTGGACTCTGTGCCCAGCATTGGGTTAAGCATTTTAAATTATTAGCTCATTCATCTTTACAGCCACTCTTTGAAAGAGGAAGGCATGATTCTTACCCCATCTTACTGACCGAGGAAAGAGAGGCTTAGAGAGGTTAAGTAACTTGCCCCAGGTCACACAGCCAGGAAAGGATGGAGCCGACTCCAAGTCTAGCTCCTTTTTTTTTGCGACAGAGTCTCGCTCTATGGCCCAGGCGGAGTGCAGCGGCACGATCTCGGCTCACTGCAACCTGCGCCTCCCAGGTTCAAGTGATTCCCCTGCCTCAGCCTCCCGAGTAGCTGGGACTACAGGTGCCCGCCACCACGCCCGGCTAATTTTTTGTATTTTTAGTAGAGATGGGGTTTCACCGTGGTCTTGATCTCCTGACCTCGTGATCCGCCCGCCTCGGCCTCCCAAAGTGCTGGGTTACAAGCGTGAGCCACCGCGCCCGGCCCCAAGTCTAGCTCTTAACCAGTGTGTTATCCTGCTCCTCACTGGTGTAGAAGGCCACAGGTAATGACAATCCAGATTCTGGGGTCAATGTGGGTGTGAGGAGAGATGCAGAAGATGGAGATACCCGCAATGGATGATTCATCTCAACACAGGTGGTGGGGGAGCCCAGCTTTGCAATGCCCAGCTCATTAGGTGAGCGCCAGCCCTGGGATCTGGGCCACTAGGGCTGGAAGCAGCTCAGCCAGCAGCGCCAGGCTGCTAGAGAGGTTTTTCCCCCGACCGTGAGCTTATTATTACTCTTTATTTGGTGCTTTGGGACGGGCCTCCCATCCCAGCCTCGTGGAGAAGCTATGCCTTCCAGCCAGAGGACTGTCAGGACAAGGGCCTACTGGCCCTGGTCCAACCAGGGAAGGAGTTTGAGCTGCTTCTCTCCTGCGCTGTTGGCTGAGATGGAGACCAGCACTCCTGCCGAGAGCTAAGACACCTTGGTCCCTGGGCTCTCTGGAAAGCTGCTGCCCACCTGGCCTCCCATGTTCAGCTTGGCCTGGTCATGTTGGCTGAGCTGGCCTGCAAGATAGAGAATAAATTAACACTTCCATTGTGGGGGAATAAGCCTGCTTTTATTATTTGGTGATGAAATGAAGTATGGAGAAATGTTTAGTTTGGTTACAGGGCTGGCAAGAGAGTGGTGTGGGGGCAGCAGCCATGAACGTGAACAGCCACAGATAGGACAGGAAGAGCAGCATCTGGAGCTGTCCACTGGGCAGGGGGAGCAGTTCTGAGGAAGGGGGCTCTGTGCTGGAGGTCCCAAAGACTGTTTGCTGCTTCTGGAGTGCTGGACTGGGACTAGAGGGAGTGGGCTTCCAACCCTAGCTAGATGCCATCATATGACTTGGGGTAAATCCCTGACCATCACTGGACATTAGCCTCAACATCTGTTAATGAAGGCGTTGGCTGCAATGGCCTCTCAGGGCCTCCCTGGTCACCACTGTCTAGGGTTGGCTCGACTGTGGCCAAATAGAAGCTGTCCCTAATGTTTCTGACACCATCACCAGATGCACGGGGAAAAGCTACATGCTTGCTATTTCAAGAAAGGCGATGCTTAGCTTTAAATTCTATAACTGCTAAGGGGGATTTTCATGCCCAAGCACCACCTTTTCTACCTCGGAGAGGTTGGGGCTTATTTCACTGTGTCCCAACTGGATTGCTGGGAACTTCCGGAGAGCATGGATGGGGTTAGGGGAGGGAGGTGGAGGCTGGAGAGACCCCTAGGGAGGGCAGAGCCAACCCTGTGTGTATGCACGTGTGTGTGTGTTGGGGCAGGAAGGGGGATTAACTGACTTCTGTTAAGGGCTACACTTAAAGGCTCTGATCCAAGCAGGGCTGGTAGTAGGTTTTCAGTGTTGGATACAATGACAAGCCATGGGTCGGCGCCGATGGCCACCACCAATGCCAGGGTCCAGACCCAGGGCAAAGGATGGGTGGCCGGAAGGTGGAGGCAGGACTCCACCCCCTGCAGGTGGTAGCTGGGCACTGTGGTTCTGTGCTTAGGCTACAGATTCAGAAGAAGCAGTTTTGCAGCCTGGCCCCGGCTCCTGCTGACCTATCCTGGGCTGCTGACTTCACTTCTCTGGGCCTTGTTTCCTCATCAGAAAGAGGGGGAAAGTAACAGTTCCGCCTCACAGAGCAGGGGCTAGGATTATGTAAGAGGCTGGGCCATGTGTCTGGTGTACCTGGGCACAGGTGGATGGCTCGTTAGGACAGGAGGCCCATCCAGCAGAGGAGACCTGCAGCCTCTGCCCCACCTCTGGGCTGAGCCAAGTGAATGTGGGGAGGTCTCACCTCTGCCAGCTTCCACTGTGCCTGGGTCCTAGGGACAAAGATATGAAAGTGGACTTTGCGAGTGGCTTAGGCAGCACATAAGACTCTTCTGGGCCTGGCGCGGTGGCTCACGCCTGTAATCCCAGCACTTTGGGAGGCTGAGGTGGGTGGATCACGAGGTCAGGAAATTGAGACCATCCTGGCTGACATGGTGAAACCCCGTCTCTACTAAAAATAAAAAAAAAAAATTAGCTGGGTGTGGTGGCGGGTGCCTGTAGTCCCAGCTACTCGGGAGGCTGAGGCAGGAGAACGGCGTGAACCCGGGAGGCGGAGCTTGCAGTGAGCCAAGAACGCTCCACTGCACTCCAGCCTGGGTGACTGAGCAAGACTCCGTCTCAAAAAAAAAAAAAAAAGACTCTTCTGGAGAAGTTATTAGCAATGCAGATCCCAGCTCCAGTCTCCCCAGGGCTCCCTTTGGTTTGGGACAGACCCAGGAGTCTGCATTATTAACATATGTCCCTGAGGTTTCAGCTGTCTCCTGAGAAACTCTGTGCCAGGTGGTGTCTGTGCCAGCGTAGCTGCCTCTGCCCTTTTATGAGGTAGACCCTGGTGCCGATGCATCTCTGGCTATGAGAGGGGGCAACTGGTAAGCCTGGTGCACCCCAGGTCAATGGCAGGGAGCTGGATTCATTCAGAGCAGCCCAGTCTGGGGCCCTCAGGACTTCTCTGCCAGCTCCTTCTCAGGCTCCTGCCAGCCCAGAGAAGCGGCTCCAGCCCCAACCCAGGCACAAAAACGGGGCTGCTGACAGCCTCCTCCTTCCATGACACGGATGGCCAGGCCCTCCCTCTGCTCCCACAGACACTGCTTTGTCCCCAGGGACTTGTCTGCCTGCAGGGTGGACACACTTCTCCACCTCCCCGCCAGATCTCAATTGGACCAGCCAGTGACTCACAGCCCCACGCAGAACGCTTGGCACCTCCTAGGCGGACGATGCTTGTTGCATTCCCTGGCCCTTAGAGGAGGCAATCAATGACAGGGCGTGATTGGGGGCCACCCACCCACCAAATTATCTCCTTTGTGGATGCCTGAAATTCCACTATTAATACTTCATTCTTTTGGAGGATATTATGGCCTTATCTCAGTTCCACTCTTTAAATATAAGCCCCTTGGGATGTATAACATACCTGAGTATGGATGAGCACGTCAAAACACGTTCCTTTCCCGAAAGAGGGATCCAAGTTCTCAGGCTCCAAGCTCAGCACTCTTTCCAATGCCAGACACTTTCAGTCACTCAACAAACATGATCAGGCCCCAACTCTGTGTTGCAGCCCTATGTCTGGTGTTGAAATCTGCCAGACGTGGTTCTGCCCTCGAGGCGCATAGCAGAGCTTCCCCACATGTAATCGGAATGCGCTACTCTCTGCATACATAGCATCTTGCAGACGCCTAGCACACAGTGGGAGCTCACTAAATATTTGTTGAATGAATGAAGCTCTAGATCCACAAAAATAAGGCACTACAGTAGCGGGGATGTGAGCACAAACTCTGCAGCCGACTTCCTGGGTTTGGTTTCCGGCTTTGTCACTTACCAGCCAGGAGACCTTAGGCAAATTTCTGTACTTTTCTCTGCCTCAGTCTCCACGCTGGTAAAATGGGAATAATAATGGTTGTTATGAGGATTCTCTGCGTTTATCTTTGTAAAGTACTTAGAACATTTCCTGGCACACAGAAAGCACGACGTACGTGTTTGTTAAATAACCAAAACTCAACAGTCATGATTGAATACACATGGAAGGTATTCGGTAATGCTTGTTGGCTGGTCTAAGGGCTTACACATGGCAGGGATGGTGTTTTACTACTCTCCGTATCCTCAGAGGCTGGCACAGTGTAGACATCAGTAAATGTTGGTTTACTGGACTAACACTGCCCTCTGTGTGCCTCAGAGTGCTGGATGCCGCAGCAGGGCTGGTGCATTTGGGCTGGGTTCTAGGAGATGCAGTCATAAATCTAGTTGCTGTCAAGTTTCTGCAACAGGCTTTTTTTCTGGCTGTTTGGGTGTAGACAGAAACTGTCAATACAGAATCGATCTTTACGAGGCAGAGACTAATGCGCAGGGTGGTGAGACATGGGGAGGAGGGAACTGGGAACAGCTCATACTTCTTATAACTTCCCCCACGGTTCTGGGCATGTGATTAGCACTTGGTAAATACTTATTAATGATGTTGGAGTGTGGTTTAGAGCAGCCATTCTTTTCTTGACCTTCCTGAGCTCGCTGTTATGTGTCACCTCCAAGCCTCTGTTTAGGCTGGTCCTACAGCTCAGAACATCTTTTCATTGTCCTTTCTCTTTTCTAAGTTCCCTCTGCCCTTCAGAGTTCAGCCTTGTTCACATGGCTTTTCCCTAGATCTTGGTCTAATTTTTGTTCAGTACCTTCCCTTCCATGCAAATAACACCCCAGCTCCACCTAACTACTTACAGATCTTTCATTTATTCATTCAACAAACATTCACTGAGAGCCTACAATAGTCCCTCAGCAAACACTCATTGAGTGTGTTAGGCACTGCACTGGGATCTCCGCACACCAAGCTTACAGTGTGGGGGAGAAAATGGAAAGTCAACAAATAAATGGTCACAAGATACAAAGGAGGTGGAGGCTTGTCGTGTGATCACAGAACATGGAGATCTAACCTAGTCCTGGGGTTCAGGAATGGCCCGTGTTAGAATGTGAGGTTTGAGCTGAGTTTCCAAGAAGAGATATGAGCTAGAAGGGTGAAGGAAGGGAGAGAGCAGGGCAGATTTTTAGACGTGATACTGAGGATAGTGAGAGGTTTGAAATGGAGAATCAGATATTGGGATGTCAGTTTTCAATATGAAATGAGATTGATGTCTTAAAATATGTAACTGGTGATTTTTACTTTTTTTAAAATCAGCTACACTGAGGTCTACTTTACATAATAAAATTCACCAATTTTAAATGTACAATTCAATCATTTTGGGCAAGGGTATATAATCGTATAATTACTACCATCATCAAGATATAAACATTTCCATTACTCCCCAAAGTTCTCTCATGCCCTTTTGCAATCAGTCCCTCCCCTCCACCCCACCCAGTCCCAGGCAACCACGGATCTGTTCTAAAATCTGCACACTTGCCTTGTCTCAACTTTCCTATAAATTGACTCACGCAGTGTGTTGCCTTCTGTGACGAGTTTCTTCCACTTATTACAGTGCTTCTGAGATTCCTCTGTGTGTGTATCACAGCTGGTACCTTTTTCAGTGCTGAGTAATAATCCATTATATGGTTGTATCTTTCACCAGTTGATGGCCATTCAGGTTGTGAGGAGGCTGCTTTGAATCCTCCCCTCCTCCTACCCTAAAGCATATTGTCTTGCAGCCTTTCCACCTCCAAGAAAAGTCCAGGAGGCTTATTGCCTGGGGATGCAGAGAGCAGGTATTCATTAGAACAAAGAGGCCCGGCTGGCTTTCTTAGGTTTGCAGTGAGAAAAGGGTCTCAGAAGTCAGCCTTGTGAAGAGAGAAAAAGTTTTTTTTAAATATCCAAAGCTTCTTCTGAATTCACAGGCTGGGCCTGACCAGCTTGGACCAGAGAGCTTTACTGTGAGCCTTAGGGAGAGGGAACCTTCACAGGATGCAAGAGAAGCTCCCCACCTAGAGAAAATGGAACCTAGATGTCCTTCCAGGGAGAATGGAAGGAGCAGGAGGTGGAACAGGCCCCAGCCCAGTGCTGAAGCTCGGCTGGGTCTGTTGGGGAGGAGAGGAGACAGAAACTCTCACGGGCACTTTGGGGAAGTGAAGGGAGAATTTGAGAGCATCCGGCCCATGCCATCCCCTGCCAGCCTTCTTGGCTCACGTAAACACCAAGGGAGGTGTCTAGAGCAGCAGACCCGAGAGAGCCCTGCTGGTTCCCAGAGGCCTATGAGTGACATTCACAAGGTCCGTAAGTCTTCCTGTGCCTCTCAATGGCATGGGGAGCAGTGAGGAGCTTCAGAGGAGCCCAGAGGATGAGGGCAAGGAGGCCACAGGGAGGCGATGGCAGGGCCCATCATCAGCAGCAGGGGTGTGGGCACACATCTGCAGGCCAGGAGGAACCAAGACTGCACCAGCAGATTCAGCGACCAGAGAGGCCAAAGCTCAGAGATAAGTGACTCAGTACACCTGAGGCCCTGGAGTAGAGGGGGGGCAGAGGACACAGATGGGCAAGCAGTCATTCCCCCGCCACCGTGAGGATATGCATGTGCCCCCGAATGCACAGCCTAGATCAGGAAGGAAAGCTCTGGTGTGGGTAGGAGGAGAACCCTTGCAGGACAGCATCACCTTGGCCTTGAAAGACCAAGGTACCAATTCTCATGGCACATGCGCTTTGAGAACAAACGCCTGGGTTCAAATTCAAGCTAAGCCAATCACTAAATGCGCAACCAGAGGAAAATTCCTTACTCTCTCCGTGCCTCAGTTTCCCCATCTGTAAAATGGGACTCATACTACTACTTACTGCATAGGGTCACTGGGGCCTTTTTAATTGGTAAAATCAGTTTCTTTGTTTGTTTTACCTGCTGTCAGCAGCATGAGGAGCCTTATGAGGAAGTTGGGGTCAGTAAGAGAAAATGACTTTTGTTTCTGTACCTGTGTGGTACCTCTCTGTTGGAGTGGGCACAATTCTTTCCTGCTGTAGAAGGCCACCTTGGCTGAAGCGTCAGGGATGGAATGGCAGGGGTTACCCTGGAGGCCAGAGGACTATTGTATTTGACACCTTCCACTGATGCAGTCAGAGTCTATGGAGGTGGGACCCGGGCATCAGCATTTTAAAAGATCTGCCCCTCCCCACCCCTGGTGATGTCAATGTGCGGCCAAGGTTGAGAAAATCAGAAGGGGTTTAATGTTCATACAAACCATCTGAGGATGTTGTGAAAATACAGATTTCAGTCCTTAGGTCCCGGGTGAGGCCGAGAGTCTGATGTCGACGCTACTGGTCCACAGGCCACACTTTGAATAGCAAGAATCTCCAGACGATATTGAGGAGGTGGAATCAACAGGACTTGCCGATGCCTAGATATGGGGGTGGGAGGGGGGCAGTATTCCAGGAAAAGCTTCAGTTTTCTGGCATGAGTAACCGAGCTTTGGAATCAGATGCCAATGGGGCATGAGTTGTGGGAGGTAGGGTAGAGGCTAAGCCCAGTCTTGGGCCCATTCAACAGAGTTGTCCATTGGCCTGGACCTCAGCAGCCAGTATGAATTCGAGATCTAGATTCAGAAGTCACCAGTACACTGCTAATATCAGCTTGACTCTACTGAGTGCTAATTATGTGTTGAACTCCAGTGTAAGCATTTCACATATATTAACTCACTAAAAGGCCCCAGTAACCCTATGAAGTAAGTAGTAGTATGAATCTCATTTTACAGATGGAGAAACTAAGGCATGGAGAGTACGGAATTTTCCTCTGGTTGCACATCTAGTAATTGGCTTAGCTTGAATTTGAACCCAGGTGTTTGGTCTCAAAGTGCACATGCTGACCAACATCGCATGTGCCACGAGAATGGAAGGGCTCCCCCAGGGAGCCAGTGTCCAAAGAAGAAAGGACGTTCTAGGTGTTCCAAGGAATGCCAGTCCCTAAAACTTACTTTGCATCAGACGCTTACGAGGTCCTGAGGATACTTAGGACCTTTTGGTCACTTTTGGTCACAAGTGGCAGGAGCCCAATTCAAACTCCCTAAAATAGAAAATGGGATTCATTGGCTTGAGTAAGCTGAAAAATCAAAAGACGGATCCGAATCAGGAGTATGCTTGGATCCAGGCACTCAAATGACGTCAACAACTTGTTTCATCTCTCAGCTCTTCTTTTCGGTGCCAGAGTCATTCTCAGGCATCCTCTCCTCGGTGTGACAATGATGCCCCCAACGGCTCCAGGCTCCTCTCCTACCCCTTTAGCAATCCTCATGGAAAGAGCCAGGTTGTTCCTGCAAAGTCCCGGGATGATGCTCGCTGGCTCTGATTGGCCCAGCGTGGGTCATGTGGCAGCTCCTGAGCCAATCGCAGAAGCCAATCACGGAAGCTCACTAGAAATGGTAACAGAAGACAGAGGGACACAGGGCAATTCAACAGATACGCCGTGATTTTGCCTCAGAATCTTTGTCCTTGCTGTTCCCTCAGCTGAGACTGCCACCTCCGCTCCCTGCCACACACACTCTCGTACTTGTGGAATCCTACTCATTCCTCAGTGCCTGGATGCAGCATCTCTGTTCCTTCTAGTGCTTTCCCAGCAACCCCTGCCGGAGTCTTTATCAGATGCCTCTTACTCACCGCGTCAGATCCTCTTGTCCTCCTTGCCCTCAGTCCTAAGGCAGTGTCCTGTTCCAGCTTTTCTTGGGCCCGACAGGCTTTTCACAGGCGCAGCTTCCTGCCCACCCTGGCACTTCCCTTAACTGTGCCTCGGGACGCCTGTGTGGCCCACGCCCAGGTGTGCACAGCCTAGAAGTGTAGGAGAGCCGTCGCTCTGTGTGCAAACCTCTGGCCAATGAGAGATGGGAGCCAGGGCATAGATGGTCTCCTTTCGCTCCACCACTCACCCCCAAGGGACGTACATCCCAAGACACAGTGTATACAGCATCCCAGGGCACAGTTCACAGATCTGGCCACCATGACTCTCGTCTGTAGCTGGCTTGATCACACAACCTTCTACAGCTCCTCCCCTTCAAGTAATAGCGCAAGAGCCCTCTGTCTCAGGCTTGGTTTTAGAGAAGGAATCTGGGCTAGGACAGAATTACTCTTTCCCAGTACTCCCGTAACTCTTGGGCTTTGCTTCTCGAATAGTCAAATCAAGTTCATAGCAGCATTATGGTTACCACTTTATGTCTGCCTCCTCTAGCTCACCAGGCTGCAGGAAGGCTGGACACATTACAGCACTTAAGGAAATGCTTCGAATGTTTGGAAATGCAGGGGATGGCTTAGGGTGATGTATGAATGGACATTTAATATCAGTATGGGAAGGACGCTATCCCTTTTCGCTCAAACTTTATTGAGGTATATACGAAGACCAACAATCTGCACATATTTAAAGTGTCCAGTTTGATCCGTTTTGACCTGTGTATCCCAATCATGGGGCCATCACTATAATTGGGATAACAAATAATTCCATCACTCTCAAGTCCACGGATCTGCATTCTGTCACGATACAGGAATCCTATATAACTACAGTCGCAGAGCATGTATTTTTGTCTGGGTTCTTTCACTCAACAAAATTATTTCAAGATTTATCTATGATGCCGAGGGTATCAATAGTTTATTCCTTTTAACTGCTGAATCGTAGTCCCTTGTATGGATATACTACAATTTGTTATTAACAATTCATTCATCCATTGATGAACATTGGGTTGTTCCTAGTTTTTTGCTATTACGAATGAAGTTGCTATGAACATTTGCATTTGAGTTTGTGTGAACACACATATTTCCTTTTCTTTAGGGTAAGTACCTAGGAATGAAATAGTTGGGTCACATGGTAGGTATATGTTTAACTAGTTGAGAAACAAACTACTAATATTTTCCAAAGTGGTTACACCATTTTACATTCGCACCAGCAGTGTGAGTGTTCCATTTCAGCAATATTTGGTTTGGCTGGTCTTTTAAATTGTAGCCATTTTAACAGGTGTGTAATAGGTGTGAATGGTATCTCATTGCAGTTTCAGTCATGTGTTGCATAATGACATTTTTGTTAAACAATGAACCACATATGCAAGAGCGGTCTCATACGATTATAATACCGTATTTTTTCGTACCATATATATTATAATCCTGCACCTTTCAATGGCTAGATATACAAATACTTAACCACTGAGTTACAGTTGCCTACAGTATTCAGTACAGAAACATGCTGTACAGGTTTGTAGCCTAGGAAAAATAGACTCTGCCACATAGCCTAGGTGTGTGGAAGCATCTACCATCTAGGTTTGTGTAAGAACACTATGATATTCAAACAACGACAAAATTACCTAATGACATATTTCTCAGAACATATCCTAATTAAGTGATACATGACTGTAATTATTCTCTAATGATTATTTTGAGCATTTTTCACATGCTTACTTGCCATCCAGATATTTTCTCTGGGGAAACATCTGTTCAAATCTTTTGCCCATTTTTTGTTGGGTTATTTATTTTCTTATTTTTGAGAGTTCTTTATATATCCCAGATACACATCTCTTAACAGTTATGTGATTTGCAAGTAGTTTCCCTCGGACTGTGGCTTATCTTTTCATTTTCTTAACAGAGTCTTTCAAAGGGCAAAAGTTCTTAATTTTGACAAAGTCCATTGTAACCATTTTTTTTCTTTTATGGATAAGGCTTTTGGTGCTGAATCCAAGAAAGTTTTGCCTAACCGAAGATCGCAAAGATTTCCTCCTATACTTTCTTCTAGAACTTTTATATTTTTATGTTTTATAGATAGGTATATGATCCATTTGAGTTCATTTTATGTTTAGTGCAGGATACAGCTCCTAGGGGAAAGCCTTCAATCTATCACCATTAAGTATGCTCTTAGTTCTAGATTTTTCATAGATAACTTTTATCAGATGGAGGCCTTCATATTTTCATGGTTCTTTGCGTCTTTTTTTTTTTTTTTTTTTAAGATGGTGTCTTGCCCTTGTCGCCCAGGCTGGAGTGCAATGGTGCGATTTCGGCTCACTGCAACCTCTGCCTCCAGGGCTCAAAAGATTCTCCTGCCTCAGCCTCCTGAGTAGCTGGGATTACAGGTGCCCACCACCATGCCCAGCTAATTTTTGTATTTTTAGTAGAGATGGGGTTTCACCATGTTGGCCAGGCTGGTCTCGAACTCCTGACCTCAGGTGATCCACCCACCTTGGCCTCCCAAAGTGCTGGGATTACAGGGGTGAGCCACCGCACCCAGCTGGCTCTTTGTGTCTTGAATAATTTTGAATTGTTCCTTGGATATTGTGACTTTTCTTGTTTGTTTTTTCTTTTTTTAATTTTCAGACAGGATCTCACCATGTTGCCCAGGCTGGTCTCGAACTCCTGGCCTCAAGCAATTCTCCCCCCTCGGCCTCCCAAACTGCTGGGCTCATAGGCATGAGCCACTGCACCCAGCTGTCATGACTGTTATGTTGTGTAGAGGGGGATCATTATTATCTCCTAGAGAACATTGAGCTTTTTCCTAGAGCAGCCAAACAACCTACTAGATTCAGACTTATTTGGGTGGTGGTTGGACTCCCATCCAGTCCTCTGAGGCTTCGCCATGTTGATTTGGACCTGTTCAGTGTGTACGCATTTCTGGGATAGGCTGAGACTTGTCCAGGTGGCTCAGATCTCAGTCCAGTTCTCTGAGCCCTGCCATGATTGGAGCTGTCTAACAACCCTTTGAGATTCACAAGGCAAAAATCAACCTCCTCACCTGGGGGATGAGGCATTCAGAGTTCGAAGCCCCAGAGGTGCTCAGGGGAAGAGACCACCTGTAGGGGGCACCTTCCTCACCTGCTGTGAGGGCTAAGGAAGCCCAGATCAGTGATGTTGGAGGCGGGAGGCTGCCCAAGCCTCTTTTCTCCACACAGTGGAGTCATGAGGCCAAAAGTTGACCTCTCCAGCCACACCCTGGCTTGGGCTGAGGTCTCTAGCTCCTGGCCTGCCTCAGGCTCTTCTCCCATGGAGGGGCACCCCACCCCCCACTCCCAGATGACACACACTCTGACTCAGATAGCCTGTCCTCATCCTTCCGGCCGTGACCCAGGGGGCTGTGGTGGGGGTGGAGGAAGGGGAGGAACAGTCCAAGGAAAGGGTGATCCCATCTCTCTTGTCTCTGGGGCTCACCATGAAGTCAGCGGAGTCCCAGCTGCTGATGTCAGGAGCGAATAGGACTAACAACCCACATGTATTGAGTGCTTGCTCTGCACCAGCACCACACAAGTGCCTTACATCCATAGCCTCCTCGAGTCCTTATCATAACCCTTTGAAGCAGGGGTTGAAATGATGCCCATTTCACAGATGAAGAAACTGAGGCCCAGAAATTGAAGTCCCTTGCCCAAGGTCACAAGGCTGGTCACGGCTGAGACAGGACCTCAGAGCTGGCTGCATCTCTCTGTAACCTAGGCTGCTCCAGCAACTGAGCCAGCTCCCAAATGCTCTATTGTGCTCCCTCAAAACCCCCTACCCGCCTAATGCCACACGCAGGTGCAAGACCCCTACCACGGGATGCCCAGAAGAATGAGCCGCCTCCAGCCCCCAACCCAAAAGAGAAGAGGAGCAGATTCCCGGGGGCCCTCCGGCTAAGCAGGCACCAGCCTCCAACCGGAAATTAACTCAAAGGAAGAAGGGAGCCGACTCTGGATGCAGAGAGATGAGGCTGATTGTTTTCTGTTCTTCATTAAGTAACAAAGGGAAAAACCAACTGTGCATGGTGTGTGAGCTTCCCCACCGGCACCACCCCAGACTCCTGGAACATCTTTATCCACTTACCCAGGGATTCAGGAAATTCTCTTCCAAGCCAGTTTTATTGGAGATTTTGGAAGCAAAGCTCACAGTCTCCCAATCAATAACAGATGAACAATGCTCACATTGCATTTTTTGGGGAGGACGTTTAGCCCGGGCTTGTCCCATCTGAAGAGCCTGCCCTTGGACATCCCTATTTGATCAGACATTGCTGGGAAATGAACTTCAGGGCAATTCTAGAAACCAGAGTCATTGGCATGAGGGTGCAGCAGGAAGGGGCGTCCTGGTCTGGGCCAGGCCTGGGGAAGCCCCATGTCTTGCAAAGGTTAGGGTCTGACCCCCCAGGTTCTCCCTGGCCTCAACTCTCTCCCCCGCCTCCTCCCTGGCTTATCCTCCACATGTGCTCTGCATGGGTATCGAATCTGCAGCCCATAAAGAATCAATCAAATCCAGTCTGGGCTCAGCCAAGGGCTGCAGCGCCAAAGTGCTAATGGAGGAAGGCCGGGCAGCCAGAGGGGATGGCAGGCCTGGCGGTGCAGTGGCGATTTCAGCATCAGCCTTCTTCCCACCCACACTCCATCCCATAGATACACGGAGCTGCAGAAGATGGCCCAAGAATGGGAACTGGGACCAACTCGTGATTCTCCATCTCCGCCTTCTCCACAGCTGGAGGGGTTGGGAGGGGTTGTGGGAGGGGAGCAGGGACACCTCCAGGGGACATAACACTTTTGTTACCATCAGACCATCTACAGTGAGAACAAACTACTTAGAGTGGGAAGCAGAGTCCACAGCTCATATCCTTCCTCTCAGCAACACTTATTGAGCACCTACAGCATGCCAGGCAGGGGGAGGGTAAAGTCCAGGCAACTCCCGTTTGCTGGAGTTTACATTCTAGCAGGTTTATTCAGCATCTCTGTCAAGAGAAAAGAAAAACCAAGAAAAACTATATACATTTTGGGACCCATCAAGGCATGACGGTTTTTTCCTAGTGCCATTTTGGAGATTCCATCACTCCCATGGCCAGGTCATTCATGCCATTCCCAACCTGTCTGTCAAAAAATCTGCTAAATATGTTGGCCCTGCCTGAGTCATGCCCATCATCTGGAAGATATTTGTTGAGCACCAACTAGGTTCAGGGCCCTGGTGGACATATGTTCTGGAAGCAAGAGGCAGGCCAGAATTGGAGCACCCAGTGGTGAAAGGCATGCTGAGGGGCTGTAGGAAAGCTTCAGTCTGAAGAGAGGGAGCCCCTCCACAGCAGGGCGGAACCAGCCCAGGTCCACAAGGCACAAATTCTTGTGCAAGCCCAACTCTGCCAGTGAATCACTATGTGACTTTGGGCCAATCTGTGTTCTCCTCTGAACCTCAGTTTCCCCATCTATAAAATGCGATGATGCACATATGAGTGTTCTCCAGGTACGGTCTTGCTTCAGAATCATCTCAGGGTGTGGGAGTTGGTGAAAATGCAGGTTCCTGGGCCCCACAGCAGGCCTCTGGCAAGGGTCCTCAGGAGGTGGGTCTAGGAGTCTGCATTTGTAACACATTCCCCTTGGGGTTTCCGATGTCCCAAAGTTTGAGCAAGACTCCTGGAGGAGACAGTGTCCAAGTGCTTGGCAAACGGGTCAATTCTGCTACAAAAGAAGGCAGCTGATAGGGGTGCAGATGGTCAAGGGAAACTCCCTGGAGGGGGCAGAAATGAGCTGGGCCTGAAAGCCTAATAACAGGAACGATAATCGTGCTATTGCTTGTGAAATGGCTTTCAAGCACAAGCCCTGTGCTAAGTGCTTTATGTGCATTACTTCATTTAACCATCATGATAGCCCTGGAAGAGAAGACTTCTTATCCCCATTTCATAGACGAGGAAGCTTAGGCTCTCCAATGGTTAAGTGACTTGCCCAAGATATTTGGATGCCCTCTGAGACACACTGCCAAATCCTCCCTAACAAAATACCACAGGCTACTCAGGGACCTCCTGAAACCTGGAGCCATAGAGGAGGCCTTTCTGGAACAGAAGGCTTTGGTACCTGAGGCCTAGAGGACAAGAGTGGCTTGTTTCCTAGCATACATATTTCACTCACTCACTCCCTGAATCAGTCATTCACTCACTCGCTGTTTTCTTTCTCCTTTATTAACTCATGTACTTATTCACTTATTAATTCATTTGTTTAATCACCCAGTCTGTTTGCAGCAGTCTGTATTTCTGGACTGTATTCATCAGGATTCTTTTATTATAAGTGGCAGAAACACAACTCAAATTGATTCAAGCGGAAAAAGAAATTTATTAATACTTTTATCTGACATGTCCAAAGGAGAGGACAGCTTCAGTCAGGGCTGGATCTAGGCGCTCAGATGTTATTGTCAAGAAACTCTCCCTACAGCCTTTGGCTCTGCTTTCTTCTGTGTTGGCTTCACTCGTAGGCAGGTTTTTTGTGTTTTCCTTTGCTTGTAAAGTTGCCCACCAGCAGCTGCAGGCCTATGTCCTATCAGCTTAGCCACCTCTGCTCAAGGAAGAGGCCTCTTTCCCAGGAGCTCCAGCAAAAATTCCAGAGGCCTCATATTGGCCTAGCCTGAGTCACATGCTCATCTGTGAGCCAATCACTGTGGTTAGAGGAATCAGGGATCTGACTGGCAGGCCTGGTTCTGGGGTGATGGTGTCAACCCCAGTGAATCACACATACTGAGCATGGAGGAGGGTTAGTTCCCCAAGGAAACTTGGTGTGTGTATTAGGCCGTTCTTGCATTGCTATTCAATACCCGAGACTGGGTGATTTATAAAGAAAAGAGGTTTAATTGGCTCATGGTACTGCAGGCTGTACAGGAAGCATGGTGCCAGCACCTGCCTTTGGTGAGGGCCTCAGGAAGCTTCCAATCATGGCAGAAGGTGAAGGCCGAGCAGGTGTATCCCATAGCTGGAGCATGAGCAACAGAGTGACGGGGCAGATGCTGCACTTTCAAACAACCAGATCTCTTGTGAACTCAGACCGAGAACTCACTTGTCACCAAGTGGATGGCACTAAACCAGTCATGAGGGATCCGCCCCCATGATCCAATCACCTTCCACTAGGCCCCACCTCCAACACTGAGAATCGAATTTCAATATCAGATTTGGAGGCGAGAAACATTCAGACCACATCAGCGTGCTAGCACTAAGAAGATAAAACTCTTTCATTACCCTTTCATTTGCTCCTAAATGCTGGCAAAATTTAGGGGTGCCTTCGACACAAGAGTCAGAGGTTTGTGTTGTCCTGGGCTCCTCCCACCCAGTTCCAATTTGACTCCAGGCACATCCACCCTATCTCTGTGATTTCCTCTTGGTTTCATGACAGAGTTAGGGGAAATGGCCTCTTCTGGTTTGGAAATGCCGAGCCATGATGTCCCTCTGTGGCTGGGACAATGATACCGACAGCTACCGCTTCCAGGGCATTCACTGAGTGCCTGGCTAAATGCTCCACAGACAGGTCCCCCTTAATCTTGCCAGTGGCCTGAAGTGGGCAGGGTGGGAGAGTTATTCCCATTTTACACTCGAGGAATCTGTGAGTCAGAGAAGTGAAGGACTTTCAGCTGCAGTCACAGCTGCCAAGTGACGGAGCTCGGCTTCAATCCTGGTTCTATGCAATGCTAGAGTCCACACTGTCCATCTCTGCTCTGATGAAGGCAGATTCCTGCCCACAAGTGAAGTTTGGTTCTGTTTGGAGTAAGAGAGCAGGGAGAGGGCAGGGTTGCCAATTTGCAAGTGGTCAGAAAGAAACTTCCACAGTGCTGGAGATTTCCTGAGACTCACCCCGACCGAACAAGGTCCTGATTTCCATTGCACCAGCCCCACGGATGCGACTTGTGTGGGGGCAGGCTGCATGGGGACAGGCCTGCAGGGAGCAGGGCTTTGGCAGGGCACACCCTCCAGGGCTCATCTCAAGCTTCCTGGTTGTAGGGTAACCGAGGTCACTAGGCAGCTGGGGAGGGGTGGGAACCAAATGTTTGCCGAGCATCCACTGTGTTCCCAGAACTCTACTGGGCTAAGTCGGATACCAGGAATCATGACTGTCATAATCATTGCGGGCAGAGATTCTTAGGTTGTTAGTGCAACAAGCAACCCCAGAGGCCAGTTTGCTTGGGGTTTTCAAACTCATGGCCATCAGGGCCAGGCAGGCGACATTCATGAGTACAGCAGGAGGGGCATGAAGGCTGGTATGAATGGAGTATCGCTGGGAATGGGAGAGCACAGTCCCCTCTCTAAAGGGGACGGCCACGACTCAGCATCTGCCATGTGGAGCCGTGGGACTTGGGCTGCCACATCTCCTGATTTTTCCAAGAGAACCTAGAAATCTCAGGTGAACGCCTCCAGTCTTGAAAATCAGATTTGGGGGCCAGGCACGGTGGCTCATGCCTGTAATCCCAACACTTCGGGAGGCCGAGGCAGGAAGATCACCTGAGGTCAGGAGTTCGAGATAACCCTGGCCAGCGTGGTGAAACCCCATCTCTACTAAAAATACAGAAATTAGCCAGATGTGGTGGCACATGCTTGTAATCCCAGCTGCTCGGGAGGCTGAGGCAGGAGAATCGCTTGAACCCAGAGGTGGAGGTTGCAGTGAGCCAAGATCATGCACGCCATTGCACTCCAGCCTGGGTGACAAGAGTGAAAACTCCATCTCAAAAAATAAAAAAATAAAAAATAGAAACAGATTTGGGCTAGGCATGGTGGCTAACACCTATAATCCCAGCACTTTGGGAGGCCAAGGTGGGAGGATCACTGGAGCCCAGGAATTTGAGACCATCTTAGGCAACATGGTGAGACCTCATCTCTACAAAAAGTACAAAAACTAGCTGGGCGTGGTGGCCGGCACCTGTAGTCCCAGCTACTTCAGTGGCTGAGGTGAGAGGATTGCTTGAGCACAGGAGGTTGAGGCTGCAAAGAGCCATGTTTTTGCCACTGCTCTGCAGCCTGGGCAACAGAGCAAGAACTTGTCTAAATAAATAAATAAATAAAAATAAATAAATAAAAACAAATTTGAATTACAGAAGGACACTATGTAGGCTAAACTAACATGTCTGCAGGTTTAGTGACCTTACCTTGCTTTACCATTGGGGATACTGAGGCCCAGAGAGGGGACGCAAGGTGCCCACGGCCGGAGCAAGAACCAGATCTTTTGCCTTCTGGGGCTGTGGTCCTGACCCTGGGCCACTGGGCCGCTTGCGTGTGTCCAGCATGGGGCAGTTCACACAGCACTTCCGTGCCCAGGATCTCAGTTAGTTTTCATCTCAACCCCAGGAGGGGGCAGGGTGGGGGCAGTCCCCTCCATTTTATAGATAAGGAAGCAGAAGCTCAGAAGAGCCCAGGATGGTGCCCAGACCCCACTGCTAGTAAAAGGACTGCAGACACCTGGTTCCCCCTGCAGGGTCTGCTCTCCTGCTTGGTGTTCAGTCTTGTGGTCTGAGTTTCAGCCTGTGTCAGGCCATCCAGAAGCCTGCAGCTTGTCAGGAGAGAGATGATATGTATGGGTAAGAGACAAGACTCAAATGAAACATGCTCAGTGGAGCACAAATGTGTGAGACAGGCAATGAGTAGGAAATCATGGCAGTAGCTGACTTGGGTAAGGTCCAGAGCTAAATGCTTTACATGAATTATCACATTAAGTCTGCCCAACTACCCCCATGAGAGAGGTACTATTATTTTACTAAGGAAAACTAAGGCACAGAGGTTAAGAGCCTCATCAACGTCATACATAGGAGTTGATAGAGCTGGAATTTTAACCCAAATGGTCTGGATCCAGAAAGCCCATGCTCTGGAAATAGTACTGGGAAGTTGGCAGTTGACTGGCACCAGCAGGGAGGATGCCTAGGGACCCCCCAGGAAGGTGGCTGAGCATGAGCAAATGCTTGGAGGCAGGAATCTGCCAGTTGATTGACGATTAGTAAAGAATCTAGCTGGCTAAGGATGTCAGAGCTGGGCCAGTGCTGAGACAATGGGACCCAAGCCCCTCAGTGTCAAGAGGATGTTCTGAAAGGTTTAGGCTGTAGGCCACACAGCAACTTGGTGGAAGAAACAGGACCAGATCCCAAGTATCCGATCTCCCACCTGCATTTCCTGCTGCTCCCTTCACCCCTAGCTTTGCTCACACAATGCCCAGGTATGTTTGAATTTCCATGCATGGGATTTCCTCAAGGTGGAACCCACAAGTGTCAGAATCCTATCTGCCTCACCTCTCTATTGCTTCATCCTGTGTTATCCTCCCAAAACTGAGTGGGTTAAAACAATAATAGTTGTATGATCTCTTGTGAGTCTGCAATTGACAGGGCTCAGCTGGTGGCTCTTCTGTTCCACATGGCACCCTCTGGGGGCTGCAGTCATCTGTGGGGAGCTCAACTGGGCTGGAATATCCAAGATGGCACATTCACATGACCAGTGATTGATGCTGGCAGAAGGCTGGGAACTGAGCTGAAGTTGTCAGAGTGCCTGCCTGTGCCCTGCCCATGTGGTATGGGCTTCTCACAGCATGGCAGTTGGGTTCTAAGACAGGGCATCCCAAGAGTGAATATTCTAAGAGATTCAGGTGAAAGCTGTAAGGCATTTTCTGACCTAGCCTCAGGTTTTACATAGCATCACCTCTACAGCATTCTGTTGGTCAAAAAGAGGTCACAAGCCAATCCAGATTCAAGGGGAGAGGACTACACTAGGTGTGGACATTGGGAAGGATAGTCCATCTTTGGAGACCAGTTACTGCATTATCCTCCCAGACATTTTATTCACTTCTCCATCCTAGTTTCTTTCTTTCCCTCCCTCCCTTTTTCCATTCCATTCCATTCCATTCCACTCCACTCCACTCCACTCCATTCCACTCCATTCCATTCCTTTCTCTTGCTTTCTTTATTCAACAGGGTCATATCCAAGCTGTAGCACAGTGGTGTAATCACAGCTCACTACAGCCTCAAATTCCTGAGCAGTTCTTGTGCCTCTGCTTCCCAACTAGCTGATTAAATTAGAGGTGCACACCATCATACCTGGCTAATTTTTGTATTTTTAGTAGAGATGGGGTTTCACCATGTTGGCCAGGCTGGTCTCAAACGCCTGACCTCATGAGATCCACCTGTCTCAGCCTCCCAAAGTGCTGGGATTACAGGCATGAGCCACCGTGCCATCATTTTTGTATTTTTAGTAGAGACAGGGGTTTCGTCATGTTGGCCAGGCTGGTCTCGAACTCCTGGTCTCAAGTGATCCACTCACCTTGACCTCCCAAAGTGCTGGGCTTACAGGCAAGAGCTGCCATGTTCGGCCTGGTTCTCATAGTTTAGCATGCATCAGGATCACCTGGAAGACTTGTTAAAGCCCACACTGCTGGGCTCCACCCCAGAGTTTCTGATTCAGTGGGTCCGGGGTGGGACCAAGAATTTGCTTTTCTACCGAATCCCAGGTGATGCTGATGCTGCCGGTCCAGGGACCGCACTTTGAGAACTCCTGGTCTGAAAGCTCCACAGGAGAAGAGAGATCATGTATCTTGTAACCTAATGCCTAGAACAGTGTCTGTGCATAGTTGGCACTCATAAATACTTGTTAAGTAAACCATCTTAAAATCTCAGCAGTAAGGAGGCCGTTCCTGAGCCTCAGTGAAAATTAGCTGGCAGGGGAATGAGGAATTTGGGCATGTTGGGGAGGAGCTGTGAGAAAGAATACTTAAACTCCTAGTGGCCCTGCTGTCTTAGAAGGCCTACCCTCAGTGCCCGGAGCAGGGGCCGGGAAGCCCAGCAGGATTTCAGAAGACGCTCTGCAAGTTCACATTTCATTTAGTTTTGACCTTGGTGGGCTTTTTGGTTTGGCCTTGCATCTCAAATTTCTCCTGTGATTCTCTCTAATCTATTTCTCCTTGTCATCAAGGGGTTATTTGCTGTGAGGAGAGCTGACAGCAGGTTCACCATGAGGAGTACCCCTCCCTCTGGGGCCCTGCCCATTTCAGAACCTCCCTCTGTTCTTTGCTGCCTCAGGGCTGGGGGATTCAGCAGAGGGTGCTGCCATGGCCAGCATGTTTTCAGTCTAGGGTCTCCTGGGAAGGCAGTGGGTCCGCTGGGGCTGACACAACCTCACACAGCTGTAATCATTTTTGTCTTTTTCAGAGACAAAGTCTCGCTCCATCACGCAGGCTGGAGTGCAGTGGCGCAATCATAGCTTAGTGCAGCCTTGAGCTCCTGGGCTCAAGCGATCCTCCCACCTTAGCCTCCCAGAGTGCTGGTATTATAGGCATGATTCACTGCAGCTGGCCTAGATTCTATTTTCTTTGTTTTTGTTTTCCATTTTTTGTGTTTTGTGTTTTTTTGAGACAGGGTCTTTTTGTGTCACCCAGGCTAGAGTGCAGTGGCAAGATCATAGCTCACTGCAGCCTCAAACTCCTGGGCTCAAACAATCCTCCTGCCTCAGCCTCCTGAGTACCTAGGACTACACTTGAACACCACCACACCCGGCCAATTTCTTTATTTGTTGTAGGGATAGGATCCTGCTATGTTGCCCAGGCTGGTCTTGAACTCCTGGGTTCAAGTGATTCTCCTGCTTTGGCCTCCCAAAGTGCTGGGATTACAGGCATGAGCCACCATGCCCAGCTTGTAATAATATTGATAATGACAACCGGAACTGCGATTTCTGGAGCTTACATGGGCCAGGCAGAGTGGAGGCACAGCGCGCATTACTTCATTTGCACCTCACCAGGCCTCTGTGAAGTGGGTGCATGTTGTTATCCCTGTTTTACAGAGAAGGAAACAGGCTCTGAGAGGTGTCATCACTTGCCTCAACTTGCATAGGCAAGGAGAAGAGGTAAAGCTGGGATAAACCCAGGTCTTTTTGACTAAAGAGTCCCAGATGCTTAAAACCTGTCCTATGGGAGGGAAATGGGTTTGGTGGCCATGCTGGCTTCCCTGCTGCTCCTAAATCCCATCAGGCATGCTCGGACCTCAGGGCCTTTGCACTTGCAGTCCCCTCTGCCTGGAATGCTCTTCTCCCAAGTGGGTGTCTGCAGACTGGGCTTCCCAGCCTCCTGTAGGTCTTGGATCAACATCATCTTCTCAATTAGGACGCTGTCACCTCCATACAACTGCAAAGCACCCCCCCGCTCTAGCGTCCTCTATCCTCCTCACCTGCTTCATTCTCCTCCGCAGCACTGCCCTCATCTGACATACTCTATGCCAAGCTTGTCCAAGTCACAGCACATGGGCCTCATGCAGCCCAGGACAGCTTTGAATGCAGCCCAACACAAATGCATAAACTTTCTTAAAACGTTGATTTTTTTTTTTTGCAATTTTTTAAAGCTCATCAGCTATCACTAGTGTATTTTATGTGTGACCCAAGACAATTCTTCTCCTTCCAATGTGGCCCAGGAAAGCCAAAAGATCAGACACCCCTGCATGCTTTACTTACTATGTTTATTGTCTGTCTCTTCCCACTGGAATGTCAGCCCCATGGGGACAGGAAGCCGTGGCTTACTTTGTTCATGGCTACATCCCTAACACCTGGGACAGCTCCTGGTGGATATCAGGAACTCATGGAGCATTTGTTGAGGAAAGAAGGGAGAGGGGAAGGAAGGAAAGAAGGAAGGAAGGAAGGAAGGAAGGGAGGGAGGGAGGGAGGGAGGGAAGAAGGAAGGGAAGGAGAGAGGAAGGAAGGGAGGGAGGAAGGAAGGAAATGGAAATTCTCAAAAGTCCCCCAATTTTTCTTACAGCAAAACTTCTCAGAGCCTTCATCATGCTCACATATATACTGTACATTTTAAGAAAAAGAGCTTTGATCATTCCTCGCACTTACTGGATGGCAGAGCACTTCTTGGTAGAGCTGCCATTAACCTGACTGTCCCCAGGCGTGTTCTACACTCTCCTGTGCTCTCGGGCTCTCCCTTCTCACCCCTGCCCTGCCTCCTGCATGGAGTGCACAACTAGGCATTGAGGCACATGGACACCTACCTGCACACCCGCTTGGTGGCTGTGTTGGAGATCTGCCTGTGTGACAACATTGGCCTGCTTGTGGAGATGCATGCCGCCTTTGAATGGACCAATTGTCAAAGGCAGAGAAAGGCCAGCTCACCTTTGAAAGAGGCCACTCACCAGGCAAAAACAGGGTGGCCTGAACTTGGGACAAACAAAACAAGGCAGACAATGAATCCATTGGAAGCGGTTGGGAGCCACAGGGTCTGTGAGAACTTGGCTTTGCTGCACTAGAAGGACAACAGGGAACCAGGTCACACTGGGACAGAAGAAGTTTCCGTGTCTTTTTTATCTGCAATCAAGCCAACAGTCCCGGGGGCCGAAGGACTCCGGAAGTCAAGGATGGTCTCATTCATTAGACCTTTGAATTCCCGAGGACCAAGCTGGACCAACCTGGGAGGCTTTGTGCTTTCCCTTTACCTGCAAAGACCTCACTATTTAAAGAGAAATGGTGTCAAGAGGATACCCTTTGGAATCAACAGGGCTTGGTTCAAATCCTGATTCAGGCAGTGGCTGCTGAGTGACCTCAGGCAAGTTACTTCACCACTCAGAGCCTCAGTCTCCTATAAAATGGAGCAGTCACTCCTGACTCACTTTCTCCCTCCTATTCTTCCTGCAGTCAGTCAGATTCATTCATTCATCTGTTCATTTGTGTGTTCATTCATGCATTCACTGCTTCTACACTTACCATTCTGGGCTCCTTTTCTTTTTCTTTTAGAGATGAGGTCTTGTATGTTGCACAGGCTGGTCTCAAACTCCTGGCTTCATGCAATCCTCCGACCTCTGGGCTCTTCTTTTTTGTTGTTGTTTTTTGTTTGTGTGTTTGTTTGTTTGTTTGTCTGAGATGGAGTCTCACTCTGTTGCCCAGGCTGGAGTGTAGTGGTGCGATCTCAGTTCACTGCAACCTCCGTCTCCTGGGTTCAAGTGATTCTCCTGCCTCAGCCTCCCCAGTAGCTGGGATTGGAGGCATGTGCCACCATGCCCAGCTATTTTTTTTTTTTTGTATTTTTAGTAGAGATGGGGTTTCACCATATTGGCCAGGCTGGCCTCGAACTCCTGACCTAAAAAGATCCACCCACCTCAGCCTCCCAAAGTGCTGGGATTACAGGTGTGAGCCACCGTACCCGGCCAACCTCTGGGCTCTTCTGATGATCCACAGTGAGCATCCTTGGATGCCAACTCCCTCAGCATCCACCCTCCCACACATGGCCCAGAGGAAGGAGCCCTGGACGAGGCACATGAGGACCAGCTCCTGGGCTGCCAGCATCCTGCTGTATCCCACACAGCGGTATTGGAGGTCAGTAGCTTCCTTTCTAAATAACTTTTGTCTCCCCTGATTTCCAAACAAATAAGAAAACAAAAACTTCTAGAGATGCACTTCTAATACTTTGTGTATCTCCTATCAGTTTACATATGTGTGTGTATGCATATTACATATATATGTAACAATGCATTACAGCTCTTAACAATATGCTGGGCTCTGCACTAAGCAAATTAAATGCATAATATCCTTTAATCCTTCCGATAGCTTTATTATGTATGTACTATGATCATGTGTCTTTTCTAGATGGGGAAACCATGGCTCAAAGTGGTTAAGAGCTTGCCTGGGGTCAAACAGCTGCTAAGTGGTAGAAGTCCCACAGGTGGCAGGGGGCAGGTGGGCACAGTTACTTGGCTGGGCAGAGAAGGCAGGAAAAGCTGCAAAGAGGAATAACTTTTAAAGCATGCAGAGAGGTACTCACGTGAGCATTGTCTTAAATAAATAATGTATGCACACTGTACAAATTGAAGAATAGTAGATCAACAGAAGAGACTAAAAATGATTTCCGAACCCACCCCCATCCAAAAATAATCAGCTAGAATGCTGATAAATTTTTTCACTCCAGTTCCATTTAATTCTAATGCCTCTCATCTCCATACTAGAGTGCCTCTTCTAGAAGTGCTTCATAACAGGTTCTTTTCACTTAATAAGATGCCATAGCCATTTCTGCATGCAATTAAGTATTCTTTGGGGGGAAATAATTGTAAAAAATTCCATGATATTCTGAGTGTGGGGATCATTTATCTCCAATAGATGGATTTGTCCCCAGTTTGGGATATTTAAATTGGATCTATATTTTAGCTGTTGTCAATGACACTGGGATGAACATTCTTGTAGATAAATCTTTTCTCACATCCTCAGTTATTTCCCAAAAAATTCCTTAGAGAGGAATTGTTTTGTCAAAGAGTGTGCAAAATACTAAGCACTTGATGCCTATTGCCAGGATAGGTTAGGAGGGCAGCTTTGCATTCAGATTTGGTTGACCCAAACCTCTCAACTCTGCCCACTTCAGTGGGCACAGCAGCCTGGCATTTGGAGTTAGAACTACAATCCCAGCTGTGTTTGGTTCAAGCAACTCTCCTGAGGTCCTTTTCTCCACAACCCCAGCAGAATGTGGATATTTTGTCTACAGTATTGAATTCATTAAGGGGAGTTGTGGTATTAATAGGCGTAAAGAACCTCAGCATGAGTAACATTCGATCACTCCCTAAACGGTGGAGAGAATGAGATCAAGTCCTGCCCAGGGCAGGAGACCCGAATTCTAATTCTAATCTGCCATGGACTCTCTGAGGGACCTTGTAAAAGTCACTTCACCTGTTTCCTACTTTTCAAAATGAGGGGTTTGGGCTGGGTGCAGTGGCTCACGCCTGTAATCCCAGCACTTTTGGCAGCTGAGCCGGGATAGTGCCACTGCACTCCAGCCAGGGTGACAAGAGCGAGACTCCATCTCCAAAAAAAAAAGAGAGTGGGGTTTGAATAAGACCACGGAGGAACCTTCCTGATCTAAAATGTGAAGGTTCATCCAGCCCCTTGATTTTCAGGTGTTTACTCAGTTAATTGGAAATGACTATATTTAAACATTTGGGAACTCGAGACGCATCCTGGAAAGTATCTTGCTTAAGGTCATGCTGCAAATGAGCAGCAGCATCGGGGTCAGAGCCCAGCTGTCTGGTTTCCCAGGCCTTGCAGCTCCCTTTCTGCAACATGGATGACGACGGGAGTGTGCACACATCTCTCTGGAGGGATGTGTTTGTGCATGTGTAGTCACATGTCCGTCTGTGTACACCTGTCTATGGGTGCCATTTCCGTGAGTGCTCACGTATCTGCCTACACACAGTTTTCTGCACACATATATGTCTTTGTGCACATGTATGTGTTTGTATGTCTGTGCATACACATTTTCTGCGTGTACACATTTATGTGTGCACGCAGAAAATGTGCACACCTGTCTATTGTGTACACATGCCAGTATGTACCTGCCTGAGTGTGTACATGGCCTTTATGCGTATATTTGTGTGTCTGCACATCACTGTGTTTATGCCCATGCTGTGTGTGTGCCTCTGTTGGTGAGGATGTGTACACATCTCTGTGTACATGTGCATTTGTGAAAGTCTTGTGCAGGGTGAGATGTTGACTCCAAGGCAAGCTCTGGGCTTGGTTTTCCCCTCTGCATGGGGAGCCTCCTGGCTGCTTGGGGTTCCAGTAAATGCTTCCTTTGAACACATGGGGTATCAGGTCATCCTCCAGTGGCAGCCAAATCAGACATTTTCATGTGGACAAGGCGTCTCCTGCTCTGGGAATGCTGCTTGGACAACCCTCAGCAATGAACGAACCAGGACTCCTGCTTGGAGCTGGCCTTAGAACCACCCGCTCTCTCTTCCTTTAGCCAGGCAATCACTCCGTGAGTCACTTCAAAAACACACATGGGGTGCCTACCACAGACCACCCTTCATGCTGGGGCTCTGGAGAGACTGAGACGGGTGTATTAGTCTGTTCTTATGCTATAAGGATATATCTGAGACTGGGTAATTTATAAAGGAAAGAGGTTTAATTGAATCACAGTTCCGCAGGGCTGGGGAGGCCTCAGGAAACTTACAATCATGGCGGAAAGGGAAGCAAACACTTCCTTCACTTGGTGGCAGCAAGGAGATGTGCAGAGCGAAGCCGGCGAAAGCCCCTTATAAAGCCATCAAATCTCGTGAGAACTCGCTCACTACCACGAGAACAGCATGGAGGTAACCGCCCCCATGATTCAATTACCTCCCAGGGGGTCCCTCCCATGACATGTGGGGATGATGCAAACTACAGTTCAAGATGAGATTTGGTTGGGAACACAGCCAAACCATGTCAGACAGGAAAGGCAGGCATGGGGGAAGGGGCGTCTTTGGGAGAAGCCATAGTCCAATGCCACGGAAAGAGGCCACCAGCAGTGAGTGTCCTGAAACATCACAGGGCTCTGATGGACGGGAGAACCCAGGTCTGCGGAGGCACAGGTGGGTGGGGCACATGGGACAGGGCTACCTGGGCAGGCAGAAAAGTTCCTGAGGGCGGAAAAGTTGCATGAACTTGGGCCTGGAGTCTGTTTAGAGCAGGTAGTGGTGGGTGGTAAGGACTGTCTCCTATTAGTGATGCCTACTCACTGTGCAAAATGAAGAAAAGCAGATGAACAGAAGGAGTAGAGTAAAACTGAACTCCAATCCCACCACCATTCAGAAATAGAGTTGAGATGGTGATATTTTTTTCTGTGTGTGGGGGGGCGTGCATTTTTGCGAATCAAATTGGGATCACGCAGCTATATTATTTGGCAACTTGCTTTGATGTTCATGCAATACAATGTGCCATGAACATTTTTCCATGTTGTAAGCATAGCTTGGCGGCTCCAAGCATGAACAGTGAAGTCCTGGGTCAAAATCGGTCCAACCACTTGGATCAGGTAGTTACCATCTTCTCTGAGCCTCACTTCCTGTATCTGTATGAGGAGAGAAAAGTGAGGCCTCTATCAAAGGGCAGGCCAGAGCCCCCTGCAGGACCAGCTCTCCAGCTCAGCCTTGCCTCACCCCACTCCAACCAGCGGCCATTTTCCTAAGTACCTGGCAGCTTCTCCCTTAGCCTGGAATGCCCCTGCCCCACTTGCTTGGACGACACTTACTCTTCTTTGAATAATCAGAGCAACCTTGAGGATTAAATGAAGCAAGGTGATGTATATAGACAGGGTACCTAGCGCAATGACCGGCACATCTCAGGAGCTTACTTTTCTACAGTATCTTTGTTGATGGCTGCTGAATGTATGATGAATTTCCCTATTCCAATGTATGATGAATTTCCCTCATTTGCTCAATAAATCTCTATTGCTGGACATTTAAGAAGTTCCCAGCTTTTTGCTTCTCTGAAAACACAACTGCTTGCTTCAATCATTGAAAGAAGATCAAGTGCCCTCCAAGTAGGTGCGGCAGGGACATTCCAGGCTAAGGGGGCAGCAAGAAGCAGCCAGGCGCTCAGGGTAGGGGGTGAGGCAAGGCTGAGCTGGAGAGACAGACAGGAGTCAGGTCTGGCAGTGAGGATGTGGGCTGCGTCAGAGCTTAAACACTGGCCTCTGGGTGACAAGCCTGGCCGGGGATTAAGTAGAGTGAAATTGCCGCTCTTTGCAGGCCAGAGGGCAGGCCAAGGAATGAAGAAATGGGGAGGGACATGTGGAAACATTGGGGTGATAAAGAGAAGAGAGGTGGAGGCAGGGAGAGGATGCGAGCCTGGCACTGCTCTGAGACTATCTCAGTTCTGCTACTTAGTAGCTGTGTGACTGTGGGCAAGCTACTTAACCTCTCTGTGCCTTAGTTTCCTCATCTAGACATGAACTACCTCTACCTCTTGGGATTGTGGTGAGGGGTAAATGAGTTAATGTGGATGATCCCTGGACCATGCCCGACAAACAGCAAGTGCCCTGTGTGTTAGCAATTATTATGATGATTCCATTATTGTAGAAGACAGGGGGAGAGGGGCTGCTTCGCAACGGCCTTGCAGTCACCAGGTTGAGCACACATAGGAGCAGGTGGCCCAAGTCGCCCAGGTGTGGTAGTTTCAGTGCTGCTTCCCCAGTTGGCTCCTTGTCCACAGGTCCACAGCGATGGCACAGCAGCAGCTCCAGGTCCTGGAGGACAGCCCGGCTGGGCTCTCTGCCTCCTGACTTCTCCTCTTGGTTGTCTGAACTCCTTCGCTTCCTGACATCTCCCCCAGCCCTGCCCTTTCAGCTCTTCTTTATCTACCCTGTCCGCTCTTTCCTGTGGATTCTGATCCTCAGACGATGGGGCCTGGAGTGTGGCTGGGGAGGCCTTCATGGTGGTCTGGGATTTGGCTGGAGTATTCACAGCAGCCAGCCAGGTGCAGATAGCATCTTTTGCCCTGGGAGAAGTAGCCTCTTCTACTGTACCATGCTGAAAGAGTGTCTGTTCTTCCTCACTTCAAATGATGTTGAAAAGGCCCTTTCTGTTGCCTTAGCCTCAGGAGACACCAGGCTCCTGGAAGGAACTGACAAGGAAAGCAACCTCGAAGGCAATGCTTCCCGCTGACCGAGTGCTTTCTGCCCATGACTTCACTGATGCCTCTTAACAGCCAGTCACCATTCACAGAAGAGAACAACACAGATGGCCAACTCCATGTGCTCCTGACCCTGTCCCTGAGTTAGCGACCATTCCCTGGGCTGCCTGGGCTGCAGACACAAGGGCCTGACCCCCTGTCCAGCCCCACCCAGGCACCACTGGGTGTGGGGAGCTGAGATAGTGGGAGAAATGCTTTGAGGGCTCAGCTGATAGGCCCTGGGGTGAGGTCAGTCCTGGGAGGCCCCGTGGAAGAAGTGAGTATTCTAGAGGCATTGGCAAGAGGGTAGGGGGTTCACTGCTGATGCTGGAAGCTGGGAGGAGGCCTGTGCCAGGATTGACAGTATAAATGTCCTGAGCACTAGGGAGAGACTGGCCTAGATGTGGGAGGCAGGAGGGGCTTGTGTTCTTCGGACAGATGGCCACATGTCTGCAGCAACAATAGCATTGGTGACAGTGACAACTTGCTGAGTGCCTGCTTAGGACATGCACTGTACATAGTTCTCATTCAGTTTTCCCCTCTTTCCTATGGGCAGGTGTTCTTATCTGCGTTGTTCAGACGAGAAAACAGGCTCAGAGAAATGAAGTGATTTGCCCAAGGCCACACAGCTCGTATGTGGCAGAGTCAGATTCAGGTCTACTCAACCCCAAGCCAAGGTCTCATTGCAGGATTGGTTCAGGATCCAGGAAAAGGTGCACATTTCCAGTGATTTCCAAATCTGCCTGCCTGAAGAGTCATCCTTAAAATACAGATTCCCAGGCCTACTCCAGAACTACTGAATCAGCTTATTCCAGGATGAAGGCGGGGCCCTGGTATTTTTCACCTGAACAGAGTCAGGGTAGAAACCTTTGGACAGGAAAAACATTTGGATCCCTTTGAGCTGTGAGATTCCTTGAACCACAAACAAGACCACATTGGAAGTGAGCGCCTCATCACAGATGGCATGACCAGAAGCAGGCCATGTTTCCTCCAAGGGATGTGGGGGGAACAAGCAAAGACTGAATGGATGGTCATTGGCACAGAGGAAAGCACTTAGGCTTTGGACCTGGCCAATCCTGTTTTTGTTTGTTTGTTTGTTTGTTTTTGTTTTTTGAAACAAAGCCTCACTCTGTTGCCCAGGCTGGAGTGCAGTGGCGCAATCTCAGCTCACTGCAACCTCCACCTCCTGGGCTCAAGGGATTCCCATGCTTCAGCCTCCCAAGTAGCTGAGACTACAGGCGTGAGCCACCACGCCCAGCTAATTTTTTTTTTTTTTTTTTTGTAGAGATGGGGTTTCACCATGTTACCCAAGCTGGAATCCTGGATTTTAATCTCACTCCCCCTACTTCCTTCTCTGCAAATACAGAGAAAAGGTATCTGCATTGTAATAGGAAGGTCTAGAGAGAATAGCTGGGAAGCCCAGATCACATTGGGGACCTAACGAGATCTCTCTTGCCAGAGTTCCAGGATAGGAGGCTAAGGCTTTACTTTCCTTCTCTTGGAACCTTTTATAAATAGCACCTGGCATAAGTCTTAAACCATTGAATGGTGCTCAATATACAGTTACTGAACAAGTTCCAGGTATATATTTAAATATAAACCCATCTTTTGTTAGTCGTTAACACTTTAGTGTGAATTGGCATATAGAAATACTAACTCGGGCAGCCAGGAGAAAAACCAAGCCAAACTGCATGGGAATCAAGTCAGGATTGGGGGAAAGAGGTTCTGAAGGAAAAGACGGGTCTGGGGGAGACATCAGACCTAGAAGAGTCCCTCCAGTTCTCACAGGTAGAGAAACTGTAAGAATTTTAAGAAATTAAGAAAATCAAGCATTTTCTGCCTAAAGGCAGAAAATGAATTGTCTGAGGTTACACAGCAAGATGGAGGGACTAGAATCAAGTGTCCCAACCCCTAGGCTGCCGCCTGACCTCCGTACAGCCCCTTCGTCATCCCAAATGGTGGAGAGGGTGATGGCTGCCCTTCTCAGAACTCATTCATTCAGGGATGAATATCTGGCAGAGGTGTCTGGGTCCTTGGAGAACAACTCAGTTTCTCTTCTCCCTGCTGGTGATGTGCTGGGAGGAAGAGTCCATCTGAGCTGTCCTGACCGTCTCTCCACTAGCTCAGCAGGTGGGAGTCAGCTTCTCCAGCCTCCTGATTTTTGTTAAAACAGAGAAGGAGATGGAGAAACAGCCTCGCAGAAGAGGGCAGGAATCATTCTTAGTCCTCACTGCAATTGGTTTGTGCCAAGGGCAGAACTTCCTCCCCCGAAGGCCAATCACATTCTTTGGTCCGTTGTCTACCTAAGCTCCTGCTCCTTCCAAGCTCCCCACCTGCTCTCAGCGGCTCCTTGCCTTCAACCATCCCTCTAGTGATATCACAGGGTCAGGACGGATGCTAAATACAGCCTGCTCACTTTTCCATTCCAAATAGCTTCTTGACACCTTTTAGCAAGCATCTCAACCTTAACACATCCAAAAGCAAACTCTTTATTTTCTAGCTAAAACTTTCCTCCCAAAATCTTCCCCCTCTCAAATGACATCACCATCCACCCAGGTGGCGGGGTGCCCAGCAGCAAAAGAGATCTGCGGGGACCCCAATACCATCCACCACATGAGTCATCTCTCATTCCCCGCTCGTCACATCCCACATCCTACCCATTGGAAACACTGTCAGCTCTGCCTTCGTGGGGCATTCCATTATGACAAGTTGTCACCACGCACACTTCTTCATCTTAGTCCCTGCCACCACTGCCTGTTGCCTGCACCAACCCCACACCCTCTGCCCAGCCCATCTCCTGGTTTCACTTTGGCCTCCACCAGCCATTCTACAACCAACCACCAATCCAATCTTCCTTCCTTCCTTCCTTCCTTCCTTCCTTCCTTCTTTCCTTCCTTCCTTCCTTCATTCCTTCCTTCCTTCTTTCCTTCCTTCCTTCCTTCCTTCATTCCTTCCTTCCTTCCTTTCTTTCTCCTTCCTTCCTTCCTTCCTTCCTCTCTCTCTCTTTCTCTCTCTCTCCTCTCTCTCTCTTTCTTTTCTTTCAAGACAGAGTCTTGCTCTGTTGCCCAGGCTGGAGTGCAGTGGCTTGAGCTCGGCTCACTGCAACCTCTGCCTCCCGAGCTCAAGTGGTTCTTGTGCCTCAGCCTTCTGAGTAGCTGGGATTACAGGCACCCGCCACCACGCCTGGCTAATTTTTGTATTTTTAGTAGAGACAGGTTTTCGCCATGTTGGCCAGGCCGGTTTTAAACTCCTGACCTCAGGTGATCCGCCCCCCCTTGGCCTCCCAAAGGGCTGGGATTACAGCAGTGAGCCACCGTGCCCAGCCCAATCTTTTAAAAACATAACTCACATTAGGTCACCATCCCTCTGAAATCCTTCTGGAGCTATTCGTTGTACTTGGAATAACACCCAAACCTGACCGTTGTCTAGAAGGTTCAGAGTGATCTGTGCTTTCTTTACCTCTTGTACTGAATTTCTCATCATTCTCTTCCTCACTTGCTAACTCCTGACTCCTTTACATTGACCCCTTTTTATTGTTCTTTAAATTCACCCAGCTGGTTCTACCCTCAGGTCCCTTGCCTTTACTGTTTAATTTGGATGCTTTGCCCCCAGACTGGACTGGTTCTTTCTCATCTTGGAGAATCTTAGTTCACAAGTCCTCCAAGTCCCTCTTTGTCATATCAGCCAGCTGAATTTCTTTGTAGCACTTTGCACTGTTGGCAAGTATTCTGTTGATTTTTTCCACCTGCTTACTTCCTGTGTCCCAGCTACAGACTCAGCACTCTGAGTGCAGGACGCTTGCCTGTCTCCCTGCCTAGGACATTGCATACTCACTGTCTAGGACAGTGCCTGGCACATACGGACTTACAATAAAGATTTGTCGAATGAGTAACTGAATGACCCTTCTCCCCTAGTCTCTATCTGTATTAGTCCGTCATTGTGTTGCTATACAGGAATACCTGAGACTGGGTAATTTATAAAGAAAAGAGGTTGAATTGGCTCTGCAGACTGTCCAGGAAGCATGGTACCAGCATCTCCTTGGTTTCTGATGAGGCCTCAGGGAGCTTCCAATCATGGTGGAAGGTAAAAGGGGGAATCAGTGTATTACATGACAAGAGATGGAGCAAGAGTGAGGGGAGGTACCATGCTCTTTTTAAACAATGAGATCTCCCGTGAACTCACTGCGCAAGAATTCACTCATCACCAAGGGGATGGCGCTAAGCCATTCATGAGGGATCCACCCCCATGATCCAGTCACCTCCCCCAGGCCCCACCTCCAACACTGGGGATTGCCTTTCAATCTGAGATTTGGAGAAGACCAGCATCCAAACCATGTCCCCTATTTTAACTGCTTTCCTCTCCTGGTTTTGGACAGAGGACCGTGACAATGCTGCCCTCTATCTGGACTGTGTTCTGGGGGGTCTGCCTCTCCCAACTCCCAGGAAGAACCCTGGCCCCCTGAGCATCTGTGACATCGACTCTTCCCTCTGGGCTCAGGAGGACTACATACTAAGCCTGCCCCACCAGGGCCATCACAGCAGAAACGGCGTCAACAACCTCCTCTGCTTTCACATGGGCTGGCTGGACCTGAAACTTTTCTCTTTCTCTTGAAGAATCTTATTGAGGGCTACAAAAAGGAGCCAACACAGTCCAACATCCTTACGTTTTTCTACCAAATTCCCTAAGGCTTTAGCCCTTGAGGCACAAAATCAGAGTCTCAGTATACAACTAGTATAGTTTAGCCAAGTGCCTCCTATTACCTAACAAGAATTTTCAATTCCCCAGCAAGGACTGGGGAACCCTCCCAGGCCTGCATCTCCCCTCAACTCAGCTCATTCCACATTTTAGGTTGTCATCTATAATATATCATTTTGGGGTACCAATTTCTAAATACATCATTACTGTTTTAGTTGCTAATGACTAGAAACATGACTGTAATGAGCTTAAGCAAAAAGGGGAAGGCATTGGTTCATATAAGTAGAATACTGACGGTACGACAGTTTCAGGCATGGCTGGATCCAGGGACTCAAGTGATGTTTCCAAGACTCTGGCCATCTTTCTTCAGTCCTCTCTCTGTAGTTTTCAGCTCTGCTTCCTTCTGTATGTTAGCTTAAATCTCAGACAACCTTTACCTCACAAGGTGAGAAAGAAACTATGCCAAGTCTCTGCCAAACTCTACATTGCTTATGATCCAGTAAGTTGTTTTCTCCCACAGTCCATACATCTGACCTCGTGGAAGGAATCCAATTGGCTGTGTTTGGATCAGCTGCCCAGTCCTTGGGCCAAGAACTATGAGGGTGAGACCCATGGCAAAACAACAGACATAGCAGGGAGCCCTGCCATTGATTGATCCACTGGAACCATGCGGGATGGGAACCCGGGGAAGACATAGCAAGCGATGTCCCTTGCACCTGTGCTACAAAGGTTATCCTTGATTCAAATGGAAAACAAAACAGTAATGCCTATAAACCCATCAAAACCCATAAGCATTATAGTTGTGTCCACGCAGGTCATGATGCCAGTACTGTTTCCATGACAAGGCACAGATAGGCTGTGAGTCCTGAGCAAAGCCCAGGGCTAAAGCTGTAATTCCACAGCTTTCTCCTGCACCCAAAAAGCTGTCCAAAAGTATGTGGGTGAGAATCATGATAACTCAATTCCTTCTGAGTCTCAGTGACTTTCTGTAGAATTAGCTGGGATACACCTCCCACAGATTTTCACTTGCTAGGCAAACACTTGAAAGCTGTTGTTCTAATGAATGAACACAGTGATTCCCACAGTATATCCTATAAGATATAGTTGTCATGGGAAGGAAAAAGAATTACGTGGTCAAATACGTTCAGGCAAAATGGATGATATGGTTTGACTCTGTGTCCCCACCCAAATCTCATCTCGAATTGTAATCACCACATGTCGAGGGAGGGATCTGGTGGGAGGTGAGAGGTGATTGGATAAGGGGGGTGGTTTCCCCCATGCTGTTCTCCTGATAGTGAGGGAGTTCTCATGAGATCTGATGGTTTAAAAGCGGCAGTTTCCCCTACATGCTCTCTCTCTCCTGCCACCTTGTGAAGAAGGTACTTGCTTCTCCTTTGCCTTCCACCATGATTGTAAGTTGCCTGAAGTCTCCCCAGCCATGCAGAGCTATGAGTCAATTAAACTTCTTTCCTTTATAAATTACCCAGTCTCAGGTAGTATCTTTATGGCAGTGTGAGAACAGACTGATACGCTACATTAAACAATATCAATCCAGCTTCTTTCATGGAGGATTTTTCAGAGCCTTTAGGTGCTAATGAATATTGTGACTTTCCAAGAGGGAGAAATAGTTTGCAGCATTTCCCAAAACAATTCACCCAAGAAGTTCTTTTTTGGCATATTACCTGGTGGCTCTCATGACCCATGGGACGCACTTGGGGAGTGGAAAGATGACGGGACTTGGAGACAGCACAGCCAGGTTTGGAGCCCAGCTCTGCCGTTTGGTAGCTGTGTGACCTTTATATTTTGAGCCTCCATTTGCTCACTTGTAACATGGGATCATTATCATTATTGCCTTACCTGTTTTATTTTTGCCTTGTTTTGAGGGTTATATATATGAAGTCATCCACTGAGAGCCTGGCACAATGAGTTATCCTTCTCTGAACTAAATTCTGCTCTTGCAGCAGAACCGTCAAAGGATATGAACAGTGTCCTTGGTGGTGATAGCCTAAGAGTGTCACCCACACACTGAATCCCCCAGGTACAGAAGTCTGGTAACCTTGGGAACTCAATAGCTTGCTTGCGCCTGACATCCTGAAACTGCCCTCCAGCAAGCAGGTGCCTCTGGCCTACGTCACAGGGAGCTTTAGGAATGGGAAATGTCAATGTCTAATGGCTCTGACCAATAGGTTGAGGTGCATGCATTGAAGGAGGGGAGATGTCAGTTCACCCGAAGCAGAAACCTTCGGGAACCTCTTTGTCCAGTGACCATTGCTATCTAATTATCCTGGGAACTGTCTGACTCTTAACTTCTGAACCCCTTATGTTTACATTACTGAAACTTTAAATGTTACAAGTTTTATAAGTTCTACCCTATGGGTATAAGGCATGCAAAAAAAATTTTTTTTTTTTTTTTGAGACAGAATCTCCCTTTGTCACCCAGGCTGGAGTGGAGTGGCACAATCTCAAGTGATTCTCATGTCTCAGCCTCCCGAGTAGCTGGGATTACAGGCGCCTGCCACCATGCCCGGCTAATTTTTGTATTTTTAGTAGAGACGAGGTTTCACCCTGTTGGCCAGGCTGATCTTGAACTCCTGCCCTCAAGTGATCCGCCTGCCTTGGCCTCCCAAAGTGATGGGATTACAGGCAAGAGCCACTGCGCCCAGCCAAAAAAAAATTTCTGTTAAGGATGCTGTATTTGACTACACTTAAGTTTTGCATTCCATTAGTCATGGATACAGAGCTGACTAGAGGGTAAGTGAGACTGGAGGGGCCTGTACCCAGAATCTATCCCTTTGGGATTCATCTCCCCTGATTCCATGACTTTGTAGAGGAGGTGGGAGGAGGCGGCTCAGGAGCTATCCGGCCCATCTTCCCTGCTGAAACTGGGGAACCAAGCAGGAGTAAGAGATTAAGATGCAGATGGCCCTGATCCCCAAAGCCAGCCTTTTAAAGCTGTGAGCTTCACCAGCAAGGCAACACTTTCCCTTTCTCTTATAAACCAAGTTATGTTTCTGTCTCTTGCAGCCAAAAGAGTACTGATTAATCTGAGGAGTGTTTGAGCCATTTATTAATAAGCAGTTATTCAGCCAGGTGCGGTGGCTCATGCCTGTGATCCCAGCATTTTGGGAGGCCAAGGTAGGAGGATCACTTGAAGCCAGGTGTTCAAGACCAGCCTGGACAGTAAAGTGAGACCCCAGCTCTACATAAAATTTAAAAGTTAGCTGGGCACAGTGGTGTGCACTTGTAGTCCCAGCTATTATACTTGGGAGGCTGAGGTGGGAGAATTTCTTGAGCATAGGAGTTCAAGGCATAGCAGCGAGTTATGATTACATCATTGCACTCCAGTCTGGGCAACAGAGTGAAATCCTATTTAAAAAAAAAAAAAAGCAGTTATTAAACAAATGTTTATTGAGCACCTACTATCTGCCAGGTCCTAGTATGAGTTCTGGAAATGCAATAGGGGACAAAGCAGACATGTTTCCAGTCTTCCTAGGCCTGTCTGAAGTATAGACTCAAAGGGTGAACTAACTTAAAAATATCACCTTTAGGCCAGGCACGGTGGCTCACACCTGGAATCCCAGCACTTTGGGAGGCCAAGGCAGGCGGATCACTTGAGGTCAGGAGTTCGAGACCATCCTGGCCAACATATAGTGAAACCCTCTCTCTACTAAAAAAAAATACAAAAATTAGCTGGGCATGGTGGTGCACACCTGTAGTCCCAGCTACTTGGGAAACTGAGGCAGGAGAATCACTTGAACCCGGGAGGCAGAGGTTGCAGTGAGGCAAGATTGTACCACTCTACTCCAGCCGGGCAAGAGAGCGAGACTCCATCTCTCAAAAAAAAAAAAAAAATTCACCTTTAATTCCCAGTTATAAAATGAATACAAGCCAGGTGCAGTGGCTCACACCTGTAATCCTGCAGCCTTTAGGAGGCTGAAGCAAGAAGATTGCTTGAGGGGAGGAATTTGAGACCAGCCTGGGCAACATAGCAAGACCCTGTCTCTGAAACAACAACAACAAAAAAATAGGCAGGGGGTGGGGGCTCACGCTTGTAATTCCAGCACTTTGGGAGGCCAAGGTGGGAGGATCACTTGAGGTCAGGAGTTCAAGATCAGCCTGGCCAACATGGTGAACCCCCATCTTTACAAAAAATACAAAAATTAGCTGGGTGTGGTGGCGCACACCTGTAATCCCAGCTACTGGGGAGGCTGAGGTTCAAGAATCGCTTGAACTCGGGAAGTGGAGGTTACAGTGAGCCAAGATTGTGCCACTGCACTCCAGTCTGGGTGACAGAGCGAGACTGTGACTCAAATAAAAAAATAAATAATAAAAAAAATAGCAAAACAAAAAAAAACACAGAAAAAGAAAAAAATAAGAAAAAAAACCATAAACTCCTTGGAATATAAAAAACAGTAGAAAGAAGACATATACAAAAAAAGTAGAAGAAAGATTTAAAAATTGACTCATCATCCCATCACCCTGGGACAATTACTATTAACATTTTTATGTATTTAGTTTTTTCAAAACAAATATGCATTTTAAAACGAAAGAATGTGAAATTTATAGCTTTTATCTTGCATTTCCATAAAAGGCATCATGAATATTTTCCCATGTCATTAAATATTCTTCAAAAGTTTTATTCTGAAAAACCATGATTCAAAACAGCTGTACTTTTTTTTAAGCACATTGATCAACAGCGTTTTAAAAAATGAATCCTCTGTTTTGGGGCAGCCAGGTTATTTCCAACATCATGCCGTGATAAATAACACTGAAATGAACATCTTTGTACAAAAAACAAACTTCGCCCGTATCAAAAGACTTCTTTAGATAAATCTCCGGAGGTGGCATTGTGGTAGGCCATAGGAAATGAATATTTTAATGTTTTTGGATGGATATCACCAGTCTGCCCTGCAGAGAAGCTGTATCAGTCTGGATCCCAGCCAGTAGGACAGGAGCAGTTCCATTCACAATACCTTCCTCTTTTAGAATTTACTTGGGCTGAGATTGGGTGAGACCCATGAGACACTTGCCTGGGGCACAAAATTTGAGAGGGTGCCAAAAAGCTCAGTAATTAAGATAAATACTATTTCAATGCAATACTTTATTTAAAAATCAAAGTTAACGCCAAAAGAAAATCCATGATGAATCAAATATCAAAATTTTAAATAAAAATAAGATTTGACAGTGTCCACCACACGGCTATGTCGAAGCCTGAGGAAAACCGCGTGCCCCTATACACATGATTTTACGCATTTTTCAAAAATATGCTTCCCAGAATGTTAAAGAAGCTGAAAAGTTATTAAAACATTAAAAAGTGGGTTATTAAAACTCACAATAGTATTTTAAGCTTAAGTATCTAGAGAGTATATTCATATCTTTTTCTAAAGTTTTACATTCATCAAACATACTTTCAAAGTTTTCTCTCATTTGTTGTAACTTACAACTCTCAATTGAGAAAGAAAAATAAGCATGGCCAAGTGTGGTGGCTCACGCCTGCAATCCCAGCACTTTGGGAGGCCATGACAGGAGGATCGCTTCAGCCCAGGAGTTCGAGACCAGCCTGGGCAACATGGTGAAACCCTGTCTCTACAAAATATCCAAAAAAAATTTAGCCAAGTGTGGTGGCACCTGCCTATAGTCCCGGCTACTAGGGAGGCCGAGTCAGGAGGATCGCTTGAGCCTGGGAGGTCGCAGCTGCAGTGAGCCAAGATCACACCACTGTACTCCAGCCTGGGTGACAGAAAAAAAAAAGAAAAAAGAAAGAAAGAGAAAAGAAAAAAAAAGAGAAGCAAATAAGTACAAATAAGTAGACTGACTTTACATTTTGATTGTTATTGATGAGTTTATTTTCAGCAAAGACAGGCAGGCAAAATTATAATACATTGTGATTTTGCTATAAATAAAATATCGAAACTTAAAAAATAATGTTGTGATTTTTAGTAGTCTTGCTTTTTATTCTTCAATATTCCTTTCCTTAATGTTCTAGAAAAAAATTATTGAAAAACCACCTAAAATACATATACACAGGCGCACATTTTTCCTTTTGCTTGGGTTCCAATATGGCTTGGCACGGTGGCCCTGGAATTTAGCTCAGTCGTGGTTGATGTGAAAATGACAGTGGTTACATATTCATTTATTCATTCGCTCATTCAGTCATTTGATTTTGTGCACATATTATGCTGGGTCCTGGGAGGAGGGGTGTACATAGATGAGTGCCACACAGTCTGCCCTGGGAGGCAGAACCGATGCCAGTGAAAGAAAACATCTTTTGGACCTGGTCCTATCATTCACCAGCTCTTCCGCCTTGAGCAAGCCTTCAACCTTTCCAGGCTCAGTTTTTCCTCTTGTAAGACAGTGATTTTAAAACCCTCCCTTGCAGGGTTGGTGTAAAGATTACATGAGATGATGGAGGTGAGGTGCTTGGTGCACAGTGACTGATGACGGTGATGCTGTGATCATTTATACGTCCAGTTACTTCAAGCCATTCATTCTGCAAACAAATCTGGAGCAGCACCTAATGTGCCAGGCACTGCGATTGACTCTAATAATTGTGCCAACACATCTTAAGTCTAACCTCAAGGTGCATATAATCCCAGGGGCAGTCGGCATTAATGGATAAATGATAATATAATGCAATAACTCCTTGACAGAAGTTGTGTCCTGCAGGATGAAGAGGAGTTTGCGAGGCAGAGAAGGGGGAAGAACAGAGACAGGAGGCAGGAAGAGTCTGGGCAAGAGCGTCAGGTCCAGGTGGCTTCAAGGAGGGCGAGTAGTGCCGACCCAGCCGAGCTTACTTCACCCTCAGAAGAGATTCCTTCACGATCCCAGTGGCCGGGGCGCAAGCTGGTCTCTCCCTGTCTGCCTGCAGTAAATGGCGTTAAGTGCTGAGTGGCTACGGGATTTCATCCAGGACACAGAACAGGGGACTCCAGGACACTGATTCAGTGAAGGCCGAACTTTGTGTTTGTCCTTTGGGAAAAGCTGGAGAAGCCATGGCATTTATGCTTGTTTTGCCCTTTTTCAAATCCCATCTTTGATTATTCACCCCTCCTTCCGCCGTCGTGCATATGGACCGTCCCTGACATTTGGCCATGAGTGTGTTCAGAGACAGCCGCCTGTAAATCACATCCTGTCAACCTGGAGCCAGTGAGAATCGAATGAATGTGACTCTCCCTGTTCCCCACCTCCCGGCCCCCCAACACCCTGTAAACGCCATGAGAGCCCGGGGTTCCTGTCTGGCCGCTTCCCCCGTGTTGGAGGCAGCACGTGGCCTGTAGTAGATGCTGGACGAACCCGTTTTGAATCGACACGAGCCAGGTGATGGGAGGACCCTTTTGGGATGTTTTAGCCGCAAGCTGGTTAAGCGCGGAAGACTTCTCCCTTTTTCTCTGCATCTTCCCAGTTTCCCTGGCTGTGTCCCGTGGGGCCTCCCAGCCTCTCTGTCTGGAAGTTACTGAGCTATAAACAGACACCTAAATGAACGAGTTTAGCTTTTAAAGAATCCTTTGAAGAAGGATTGCAACGTGACTAATCACCCCCTAATTTATTGGCCTGTAAATTTGCATTTTCCTACAATACATTTTTCTTCGCAGAGGGCCCTCGCATCCCACAGACAAAGGCAATTTCAGCTGTGGCTGAGCTGCCCATTTAGAAGCTACAGATGCTTGTCTTTTCCAGCAGTGGAGTCATTATATTGTTTTAATGTCAAGAACGAGATTATAGGCAGGCAGGGGCCAGGAGAGAGGGTGGGGGCGGGGTGGGGGCGGGGGAGGGGGCAGGAAGGAGGGGAAGGATGCGAGGGGGGCGGGGCTAGGAGAGGGCTGGGGTAAGGAGCTTGGGCAAGTGAGCGGGAGGTCAGGGGCAGGCCGCCTGGGCCCACTGTTGCCCCCTTTCTTGGCCCCTGTTGCAGCCCCTGCTCAGCTCCATCCTTCTGTACCTGGAACTGCCCTGCTACACCTCGCCCCTCCCCACTCTGGCCTCCCCTCCCCCATCCCTTGGCCAGGGGACAGGGTCGCGCAGGATTTATGGAGCTGGCCCCTGCGGAGAGGATCCGGGGATAAATCTCAGCTTATTTAGGAGCGTGATCTACATTTATTGCACTTAATGTGATCTTTAACGTGTCCAAAAGGGGCCCATAAATCCCAGCCTGGCCGGCTCTGCCAGCAGGGCCCCTGGGCCAGCCCCTCCCCTTGCTGGGGTGAGCTAGTGCGAGTTCCTGGGTCTGTTGATCCCCCTTTCCCTGGGGCTCGCGCCCTGGCTCAGTCATCCAGGAGTGGTGCCCTCCCTGAGAGGGCTGAAGCCACATCCAGAGTGTATGCCAGGTTCTGCTGAGACCTGGGTTATACCTCTCTGGGACAGAAACAGCGCATGCCTCTCTGACTGGGTAACTTCTGAGATCCTTTCCCGAGCTAGATCTGAAAGCGCCAAGATTTGTAATTAACGTGATGCAGGCGGAGATGACAGCAGTGAGCCGAGCAGAGCAGAAGGGAGGCCATGAGAACAGCATCCCAGTGCGGAAGGCAGAGGCGGGGAGAGGGAGAGTCTACCAACACTGCTTCCTATGGTTTTTATAAATATGAGCCCGTGCATATCTAACAACGGTGGGCTCCCTAATGTAGATGGCAGTTTACAATGCATAAAGCACGTCCACACCTGCCCTCCCACTGCCCAGAGGAAGAAACAACGGCTTCCAGAGGCCACACTTGCTTAAATTCACAAAATTAATAAGCAGCAAACTGGACACGGACCTGTCTCTTTTCACAGGACCACGCTGCCCAGATGTGTGGGCACATGTGTGTACCCCCCAAAGCACACACAGATGCTGTGTCCTTGGGAGCATGCCGTGTGTGTGTTTGTGTGTGTGTGTGTGTGCACGTGCACGTGGGTGCGCCTGCTGGAGCACTCCCGGTGGAGATTGTGCAGACACACTCGAGGTCACCACATGTATGTTTTTAATCCTTTTGTCTCTGTTTTTCTCCCAGCAAAAAGAAGCCATGCCTAGCTGTTAAGAATCTGTATATTCGCATGTGTGTCTCTTGGGTGTGTGAGTGCGTGTTTGGAGTAGGGTGGGAAAATGACGGGGAGGCAATCCCAATTAGTCTATTTGCCTGGAACAAGAGAAGCAGCTTTAAGAACCAGCTCTCATATCAAAGATCATTCTCGTCTCTGGATTAGAGATTACTGTCCCCACCCCTATTTTGGCATCAGCTGGCAGCATGCCCAGCCTCAGGAAACACACTGTGCACACATCTGTCTGCACACACGTTTGCATGTACATGTGAGACACAGGGTTGAAATCCAGGACCCAGCAAGGAGCATTAGGACTGCCACTTAGGGTGAAGGGCATGGCTCATCTATACCCAGAATGCGAGGCGTCCTTTCACAACGATGGGAAGCAGCATGTGAAATGTCAGTGCATCCCTGCACTGAGGTTTTCCTTTGATTAAATTCCTAGAAGTAGAATGGCTACCTCAAAGGTTGTACACATTTGAGAGATTTCTACTAATTCCTTTTTTTTTTTTTTTTTTGAGACAGAGTCTCACTCTGTCGCCCAGGCTGGAGTGCAGTAGTGTGATCTCGGCTCACTGCAACCTCCGCCTCCCAGGTTCAAGCGATTCTCATGCCTCAGCCTCCTGAGTATCTGGGATTACAGGGGCGCCCCACCACACCTGGATAATTTTTGTATTTTTAGTAGAGGCGGGATTTCACTATGTTGGCCAGGCTGGTCTCAGACTCCTGACCTCAAGTGATCCATCCCACCTCGGCCTCCCAAAGTGTGGGATTATAGGCATGAACCACTGTGGCTGGCCAGTTTCTACTAACTCTTGCTGAATTGCTCTCTGGAAAGCAGAATCTGGGACGGGAGGGTCTGCTTGATAACGGGAACGGTTTTGTTGATAAAGGAGGAGTTTGGGAGTCAGTCCCTTGGGAGCAAAGGGCTGGGGTCATCCTGTCTCTTTTGCTGTGGTTTGGGGTGACAGAGGAAAGGAGGGAGGTATTGAAAGCATTCTGCCACCCTGAGTCTTTTGCCAAGGACCAACCCGACTTTATGCCACCTGGGACTCTGTCCCTAACACCACGTCTGCAGTCCCTGTGCACAGGAGAGGAGCTGAGTCAACACTGGTGAGAGAACAAATATTTGTTGAACGGACCAATGTTTGTTGAATGTTCCAAAGTTTGCTGATGGAACGAATGTTTGTTAGGAGAACACTATTGTTCTTGGAAAAGCCGCTGCTGATTCACAGGCTACTTCCCTTCTCCAAAGTTCCTGGTAAGCTCATGGCCCACCTCAGCAGAGCCACAAAGGGGACCACAACAGCCTCCTCCTGGCCGCATCAGGCGGCTTCAGGAGGGTGGGCTGGTCGTCTGTCTTCTCTGAGATTCCAGGATGCAGCCCATTTCCCTCTTCCCGCTGTGTTCGAGAAATGTCGGTTAAATGAATAAATGCCTTGGTTTTAGATCCCTGCTCGACTCACCGCTACTGCTCAGTGAGGCATAGGGTAGGTTGCTTAACCTCCCTAAACCTCCACTCTCAAATACAAAATGAACAGACTGGCCTCTCTGTGGCTATCCATCTTTTTTTCTTTAAAGTCGAATTTTTTTCTTCAAACAAATTCCACTCCAAAGTGCTGCCTCCCCTCCCTCCATGGAACCTCTAGGGTTCTGTGGTACCTAGTTTGAGGGCCCCTGGAATTGTTTGTGTCTAAAATCCACACTAACCCAGGGGCACCATGGCTGGACTCAGCACCATGGATTTCCCCCAAACATAGATGATCATTCAAGAAAATGTGAAGAAAGGGACGTTTAAATCAGGGAGGAGAACTGTGAATTAGATAGAAACACTGTATCGATATTAAATATCCTGGATTGTGAAATTATATATTCTAGATTATATAAGAGAAGATCTTCATTCTTAGAAAATACTCACTTAAGTAGGAAGGCAAACAGTAGCATCACACGGCCTACTTTCAAATGGTTCAGAAAAAGGGAATATATATACATAGAATGAGAAAGCAAATACAGCAAAATGTCCGAAATGCTGAATATGGACAAAAGATACCCAGGAATTCTTTGTACTATTCTCTTGCAACTCTTCTGTAGGTTCGAATGATCTCAAAATAAGAAGCTTTAAAAATAATTCATCTTTTTTTGAACTACTTGGTAAAAAAAAATGTAAAACTTTAAATATTTCTCATTTTAAAATAATAAAAACGAAAGAAGAGACTCTAAGGCCAGGGAGCGTCTGTCTGAGTATCTACAGGCCCAATCAGGTTAGTCCTTTCTGAAGGCGGAAGGGAGTAGGCGGCAGGGAACTCTTCTTCTTCTTTTTTTTTTTTTTTGAAATGGAGTCTCGCTCTGTTGCCCAGGCTGGAGTGCAGTGGCGCAATCTTGGCTCACTGCAACCTCCTCCTCTGGGTTCATGCCATTCTCCTGTCTCAGCCTCCCGAGTAACTGAGACCACAGGTGCCCACCACCACACCCGGCTAATTTTTTTTTTTTTGTATTTTTAATAGAGACGGGGTTTCACTGTATTAGCCAGGACGGTCTCGATCTCTTGACCTCATGATCCACCCGCCTCAGCTTCCCAAAGTGCTGGGATTACAGGCGTGAGCCACCGCTCCCGGCCTCTTCTTCTTCTCCTTCTCCTTCTTTCTTCTTCTTCTTCTTCTTTTTTCTTTTTTTTTTTAAGATAAGGTCTTGCTCTGTTTCCCAGGCTGGAGTGCACTGGTATGATCATGGCTTACTGTAGATTTGACATTCCCAGGCTCGAGTGATCCAGAACCCTCCTCTTAAGTAAACTCACTGGCCAGAAGTTTGGCTGCACAAAAGCTGGGGCTTGGCTGCCTCTTGCAGAAGCCGAAGTGGCCCAAGTTTTCAATGTGCTACCAGGTCCCACTGGGAGAATTTTGCTGATGAATATGACCTCTGGGGCTGCTTGATTTTCTAGCCTTGTTTCCTGGGACAAAAGAGGAGGAGGAGAGGAAGGGAGGGAGAGGAGGGGGAGGAAGAAGAGGAAGAAGACAAAGGTGGTGAAGGTCTAGAAGAGATAGGAAAGAGATGCTTAGGGAGGAGACAGGAAGGAGGAGGGGTCATGGAGAAGGATGGAGTTCAGGGCAGCTGCAGCAGCAGAAGCTGGGTAGCCACTCGATGAGGGTGTTGTTGAGAAGATTCAAGAGATGCTTTTGAGGCTCCCTCCAGCCTTGAAAGAGAAAAATTCAAGGACTGAAAGAGGCAAGAATGTTCCTGGTATGTGGACGTGTATGTAGGTGCGCATGCACACGCACACGCACACGCACGCACACACACAGCCCCGTCCCTTCTGCTCCCATGGCAAGAATATGGCTCTTGACATTTATTACAAGTGAACAAATATGTGGGTTGGTGTACATCAGGGCTGAGCAGCCCACCTGGCTGAGGGACTCGTGAGAGGCACTCACCTGCGATCCTGAAATCCAAGAAGCTCCAAAGGCCGTGTTTTCTATTAACTCATAAGTCTGGTAAAACACAACTTGAAATGTCATGAGGCTATTTATGGCCTTTATTTTCCCCCACTTACTGTGAATATTCACACATTTCACTGCAGAAATAGTCACGTTTGCTTACTGAGTGCTGCTCAGGCCCTACAGAGGTTATTATGAAATCTATGGTATATGCACCAAATTCCCCTTCTAAAATCAGACACATTCTGAAGTCTGAAATGTATCTGACCCCAAGGGTTTTAGATAAGGGACTGCGGACTTGTATGAGGGTAAAATTGTAGTTTCCAGAAGAGGGGTGGGGAGAGCAATTTGCAAGGTGCCCGTGTGTGATTGTGTGTGTGTGTGTGTGTGTGTGATTGCATGTGTGGGTACGTGTGTGTGTGTAAAGTCTTGATTTGGGTGCCAATGTTGATCTCTGCAACCAAGCATCAAGATGTTGGCTTTGGGTCTTACAGAAGAATGGGATTCATTCATCCATTCATTTTGGAGACATTAGTATGGTCGGTTGAAAAGAGCAAAGCTCACCTTATACATAAAGTGAATTATAGGCACAAACAAAGAAAGTGGGGAGCAGGCAGAGGGCTAGAGTTAACCACCAATCCCCACTCACTAGGACATAGTGAGGCCAAGTCCTGTCCCAGGTCCCCTGCTTGACCCCTCCTGGCTCTATGCCTCTGACTTGCCTTTTCTACTTCTTTGTTCCCAGCTAGACTATGCTCCACCACACTCACCTGGCACATTTCAAGGCCCATAGCGATGCAGCGAAGCTGGATGGAGCTGGTGTACCAGGGGTGGACGGAACGGATGCACCAGGGGTGGATGGAGCTGGTGCACCAGGGGTGGACAGAGGAGACGCACTAGGGGCGGATGGAGCTGATGCACCAGGGGTGGACGGAGCTTGTGCACCAGGGGTGGACGGAGCTGATGCACCAGTGTTGGATGGAGCTGGTGTACCGGGGGTGGATGGAGCTGATGCACCAGCGTTGGACAGAGCTGATGTACCAGGGGTGGATGGAGCTGATGCACCAGCAGTGGATGGAGCTGATGCTCCAGGGGTGGATGGAGCTGGTGCACCAGGGGTAGACAGAGCTGATGCACCAGGGGTAGACAGAGCTGATGCACCAGCGTTGGATGGAGCTGATTCAGCAGGGGTGGACATAGCTGATGCACCAGTGGTGGATGGCGCTGATGCACCAGGTGTTGATGGAGCTGATGCCCCAGGGGGTGGATGGAGCTGATGCACCTGGGGTGGACGACGCTGATGCTCCTGGGGTGGATGGAGCTGATGCACCAGGGGTGGATGGAGCTAATGCACCAGGGGTGGATGGAGCTGATGCACCAGGGACGGACGGAACTGATACGCCAACTGATGCACATAGCTGTGGTTAAGGAAGATGTTAGCATTTGGGAAAGCGGCGTGAAGGGTATGTGGGAACTCTCTGTAGTATCTTTGCAATTTTTCTAGAAATCTAAAATTATTCCAAAGTAAAAAGGTTATTTTTTTTAAACCTTGTCTTGATTCCACACCCCTCCCACTTCTTTTTGCTTCTTATTTATCAAAACTTCCCCCAAAGAACTGTCTGAACTCATTGTCTCCGGTTCCTCTTCTCTCAGTCTTCTGCAAGCCCACACTCCAGTCATGTTTTCACTGTCGATATGTCCCCCAAAACTGCTCCTGTCCAGGTCTCCAGTGGCCTCCATGCTGCTAAATCCAACGGCCCATCCTCAGGGCTCCACTTTCTTGGCTTCTCAGCAGGATTGCTGATCAACTCCTTAAAACACTTCCTCGACTTGGCTTTGAGATGCTGCTGTCTCTTGGCTCTCCTTGTATCTCACTGAGTCTCCTGTTTCATCTTCCTGCATTTGCTTTCTCTCTCCAGCCTCCGCATGAGGCATAGAGCCCCAGTCTTTGGACGATCTGCACTCGATCGCCAGCTAACCTTATCCAGCTCCGTGACTTTGTATACCAACTGCAGCCTGGCTGCTTCCAAGTCCAAGTCCGCAGCCCCTGGATCACCCGGGAGCAGCCTCTGCTGCCTACTCATCGTCTCCGCTTAGAGGCACAAGAGGCTTTTTGCACTGAACCCATCCAAACCCAGCCCTCAAATCCTCACCATCTTTCCCATGACAGTCAACGGCGACTCTCTCTTTCCAGTCGCTCTGGCCAGAAACCTTGAATTCATCTTTGACCTCTATTTCTCACACATCCAGTCGATCAGCAAATCTAACACATCCAAAATCTGACCACATCTCCCTGCTCCACTGCAGCCGCCCCATCCAGGCGCCGTCGCCTCTCGCCTGAATGAGTTCCCTCACCTCCGCCTCGGTCGCCCATCACCTCCTCCCGGGGCTCTCTGCTCTGCCCTCTCCCCACCCCCACCTGCTTTAGTCTGTTCTCAAAACAGCAGCCAGAGGCCCCCTTGCAGATGCGTCAGCTCAAGTCATCTTCACCCCTAGTGACTTCCCCTGGCATTCACATGGAGAGTCAAAGTCCTTACAATGGCCATCAAGGTCCCCTGGGACCTGACCTTACCCCCTAACCCACTTCCCCTTGCCCACTCTGCTGCAGCCACAGATGTGCCAAGGACATTCCTGCCTCGGGGCCTTTGCACATGCTGTTCCCCCGCCCCCTCACTTTCCTCGAGTTTCTGCTCAGAGGTCCCCCTCCCAGTGAGGGCTTTGCTGACCACCTTTCATAACGGAGTCAAACCCTGATTCTTTCCCCACAGTTCGGGCTTCCGCAGCGCTCATTCTGTGATGCGCTGGCTGCTTGCTCTGTAAGCTGATTGTCTGTCTCTCTGACTAGATGTGGAGTCGAGGAGACAGAAATTTGATTTTGTTTCCCACTAGATCCTGACAGCCTATAATAGGGCTTGGTGGCAGAGAGATTTTTTTTTAAATCAACTTTCATGACTTAAACTGGGAAAATAATCCCTTGCTAGGCTGAATGCTGCCTGAAACATTCTCTCCCAGTTCTGGAAGGCCTTTCCCGTGGCAGCCAGGGCTGTGGCCACCTGGCCAGCAGGGCTTTGAGCCCCATCGTCTCCCTGTCCACCCTGTGGGAATCTCCCAACAGGTGTGCACGGCCACTCACCCATGTGCCTGCGGCCTGAGTGTGTGTGGACACCGGGGGACGTGAGAGTGTGTGGAGCATGCGGGTGCCTGCAAGGCCCAGGTGTCCCGAGGGCTGCTGGCTAAGTGACTTGTCTTCCCTCAAAGGTTCACTGTGACCTCCTAGGGTGAAAGTGGGACTGGGGTGGGGACCCCTGGAGTGGGAGTCCAGGAGGTTCCCCCCTTCTCCCTCCTCCTCTCTCCCACCCATGCAGCCCTCCCACTGGCTGGCTGCAAACTCTGGCTGGGTCAGGTGTGGAGGGAGGGGGGTCTGAGCACCAGGAGGGGCCCAGGCCAGGGGGAGCTGTAGGACCTGTCAGCTGAAGCAAGGCTGCTGCCTCCTGGTCCCCTCCTCTAAATGATGGGCTGGACCCCTGTCCCTCGTCCCCAGCCGAGGCCACCTGTCAGGTGTGTGTCCCTCTCTCTGTCCACTCCCTCTGGCTCCACTTCGTTTCTGTCACTCCGCGTTTCCCCTGCTGGCTTCTTACCTTTCTTCTGGTCTCTGTTTCTGCTTTTCTCTTTGTCTCTGAGTCTGTCTCCCTTTCTCTGTCTCCTTATCTCTGTGTCCCCTCTGTGGGACTCTCTCTCTCTCGTACCTCTGTTTCCTGCCTCTTTTCTCCCTCTGCCTCTGTGTCTCTCACTCTCTCTCCTTTCCTCTCCTCCTTCAGCCTTGCTCCCTGCTCATCTCTGCTCGTTCCTCCGCCCTGCTTGCCTGCCTGCTCAGCCTGCCTTCACTGCCTCCCTCTCTCCCCACCGGCCTCCCCATCGTCTCTTCCTCGCCCGGCCTCGTCTGTCTCCCGTCACCCTGTCTGTCTCTCCCTCTGCTTTCCGGGAAGGCAGCGTGATTTATGAGCTGCGGACAGGGCCAGCTGCGGGTGCGGGAGGCCCTGATTACAGTTTCCCGGAGGAAGCTGCCTGCTCGGGGATGGCAGGGTGACAGCGTTTACACAGAGCAGCCTGGGCTCGGAGCGCGGCTGTCAGCCTGAGACGGATGGAGTGCTGGAGAAGGCCCATTACTTCATTCACACCTCTGCGGGCAAACAATAAAACACTTACACACGGCCTTGACACAGGGCGGGTGGGCCTCCCCCTAGATCATTCCCAGCCTGGCCCAGGGGCTGGGCCTCTCTGTTGGGAAAGAGTGTGGGCAGGGGGACAGTGGTGGTCCCGGGGGAGGCCCATCAGGCCCAAGCCCCAGAGAAAGCCCCGGAGCTGGCTCTGAGCCCAGGCTTTGGTACTGCCAGCCACTTCCCGCCGGGCCTCAGTTTCCTCATCTGTGAAATGGGGTGTAATGCTCACACTGGAGAAACAAGAGAAAAGAGTGCCACACAAAGTAAAGTGTTATTATCAATATGAACTAAGAGTCATATTCAGATCACCATCTTGGGTGGAAAGGGAAGTGCTCGGGATTCTAAACCTGGCCTGCGAAAGAAGGTATCCAAGGGCGTGGGCTATGACCCAAGGCTGCCATTGGACAGGCAGAAAACTGTGAGGTTGGCAAAGTCACCCCCTTTCTGCCTGTTTTCTGGGGACCACTTCACCAAGGCATGCAATTCTGGAATCTCCATTCACATGGAGGTGAAAATGACTACGAACAGCTGGGTGGGTGGGGTGGCTCACACCTGTAACCCCAGCACTTTGAGAGGCCAAGGAGGGTGGATCACCTGAGGTCAGGAGTTCAAGACCAGCCTGGACAACATGGTGAAACCTCGTCTCTACTAAAAATACAAAACATTAGCCTGGCATGGTGGTGTGTGCCTGAAATCCCAGATACTCGGGAGACTGAGGCAGGAGAATCACTAGAACCCGGGAAGGGGGCAGTGAGCCGAGATCACACCATTGCACTCCAGCCTAGGTAATGAGTGAAACTCCGCCTCAAAAAACAAAAACAAAAACAGCCATCATGTGCAGCATCACTTCCTTCCCCAGCCATAATAACACCCGTGGGAAGTTGCATTTCACCCGGGAACACAGCTTTCAATTCAGGGAATGCTGCCCCAGTGGCAGAATTTCAGGCACCATCAGGATACAGAGAAAGGACTGAGACTGGGCTGAGGCTGATTTCACTGACTTGTAACTGACCCTGCATTTCTAGAAAATGAAACTAGAGTGGAAACATCAGTCATGGCACACTCACGGGCCATGGGACATGAACCACAAGTGCCACCCCCATTTGTCATACCCCTTCCATGTGCCAGGCACAGTCCATGCCCTTTCTACCCCTTGCCTCATTGGGACCCTGCAAAGTGGGTATTGTGTCCACATTGCACAGCTGAGGAAACCGAGGCTCAGAGAGATTAAGCAGCTGGCTCAGGCAGCTTGTACACAATGCAACTCAGGTTGGAATCCAGCTCTGAAGCTGTGTTCCTCCCCCAGACATGGGAGAGCCATGGGTGGGCTCTGGAGCCACAGCGCCTGGGTCCCAAGTGCTGGCTTCTTGACTTTCCAGCTGTGTGACTTTGGGCAAGTAGCTCAACCTCTCCTGGGCTCAGCTGCCTCATCCAGACACTGGGGAGAATGATGCTGAGGATCTTCAAGGATGGTCGTGAGGATGAACTGGGATGATGCATGAGAAGTGCTGGGAACAGCGCTTGGTACACATAACATGCATCCAGTCAATTCCAGGCCAGAGCCTCTATCCACGTCCACAGGCCACAGACCAGCCCCTGCTTCCTGCCCCTCCTTGCCCATCCCTGCCTCTCAGCCACACTGTTCATCGCTGGTGTCAATTTAACACAGATCCTCTCAGGGGCAAGGCAGGAGGCTGAGGCTACACATGATAGCTGTTAACACAAGGGGTTGATCACAGGTTACTTAACTCAGGGAATAAAATCCACCCCCTACCCCAACAAAAGCCTGCACAACCTGCCTGGGGAAGCAGCCTGAGGGGAGCAGAAGCCAGCAGGCCAGTGTGTTCCTCTGTTTCTTTCTTTATGCTGAACCCAACCAGTTGGTGTCATCACACGCCGGCTTGTGGTCAAGAGGTGAGAGGCCTGGGTTTGATTTAGGTTTTGCTGGTTACCGGGTTTGCAGAGTAGCCAATTCCCCTCTTTTCTTGGAGCCTCAGTCTCCCCATCTGCAAAATAGAACTGATGTTGCCTACAGCGAAGGGTGGGTGTAAGGATTAAATGAGTATGGTCATTAATCTAATGAGTATTTATTGAGCATTCACCGTGTGCCAGGCTTTGTTCCAGACACTGGGGACATGTGACAAACCAGACAATGTCTGTTCTCACACTGTGGTGCTCACAGTGTGGTGGGGGGTTTCAGGTTGTGGGAAGGGCTAAGGAGAAGACAAATCAACAAGGTGTGATGTAGGGGGCTGGGGAGGACATCTGTGGCCAGGGTGAGCGGGTGTGGGGAGCAGGCTCTCTGCCGAGCCACTTCTCTTTTCCTACCTAAATTGTGAAGGTCCCATTCCCCCAGGGTGAGCAGGCCCCCTCCTCCAGCGCTGCTTTCTGGGGATCCCCTGACTCCATGCTCACAGGGGTTCTGACCAGACCTTTGAGCAAAGAGGCCATGGGGAAGGCAGTCTCCATCAGGGTCTTCTGAGGACTAAAGCGCCCCTTTTCCCAGTGCAGCCTGGCCCAGCCCCCAGTGTCCCGTGGCTCCCGCCCCCGCCCTGCCCTGCTGCTGGCTACCGATGGGAGGCTGCTGGAGAAGGCATCCTCCATTCCAGCTGGGGTCACGGGGCAGAGTTCACACAGAGGCTGCCGCAGATAGGATGGCCGTGAGCCCAAGGGCAGCGGGTATTGCAGCAAATGTGGTGAGGCCTCAGCCCTGTGGGTGACTGGGCAGGGCAGCCTGATGTCCCGGGTGAGGGTGTCAGGCACAGCCAGTGCCACCGCCGCTGAGGCTGTCTCGCCTTCAGCGTGAGGACTCCAGCTGGGGGGTAGCTGGCCACCAGCATGTCTCACACCCCAAGGAGCCTTCCTGGAGCCGCTGGGGTGAATTTACAGGACATGGTCCGCACCCTCTGGGATCCCCCATTTGAATGGAACCTGGAGCCCAGGCCCAGAAATGACCCTCTGACTTAAACTGCCCAAACGAGACTTCTCTGGACTCCAGGGTTGGGGCCAGAGCTGGTACTGGAGTTGGGGCCAGAACTAGGGCCAGAGCAGCTTTGCTGTTCTATCCTAAACTGAGAGCTTACAGAATATGAGCTGGGAGCTGCTGAGCAGAAGCAAAAAGGGGGAAATTCTTACCTCTGTTAGGCTCAGTCAGAGGAGGCTTCCTGGAGGAGGGGGTATTCTTAGGATGTTAAAATATGGTTATGACAGTAACATTTACTGAGAGTACTGTGGACCCCTATGCACACTGCATCTCATTCATTCCATGAAAACTCACCAGGGAAGGGCCTCCAGAGTCTTTGATTAGAGATGGGGACCCTGAAGCTCAGTGAGGGGCAGGGACCATTCCAAGCATTCATGGTGGGTACAGGAGGGAGCTGAGTTCCAGACCCAGGCGTGCCAGTCCCAAGAACCCATGTGCATAACCACCGTACCGCGGGTGTCCTGAGTTTAGGCAGCAGCATGAGAGACAGAGGGCTCGGGACCCAAACGCCGTCCTAGCTGGAAGAAACCTCCTATTTGCCCACATCACAGATGAGAAAGTGGAAGGCGAAGTGTCCCCCCATTCAGCTCTGTCCCCTGTGAGCTCTGAGGCACCCTGGCTCCTGAGAGTCACATGAGCGAGGAGGATAGTGGCCTGAACCATCATCTCCTGAACACCTGCTATGTCCTGAGAATTCACCATGCGTGGTCTTATCACACACACACCTGCAGAGATGTCAGCGACCCATCCATTCACCAAGGCTTCCATTAATTAATTTTTGTGTTTTTAAATAGAGATGACATCACCCAGACTGGAGTGTAGTGGCATGATCTCAGCTCACTGTGGCCTCGAACTCTTGGGCTCACCTCAAACTCTTGGGCTCAAGTGATCCTCCCACCTCAACCTCCAGGGTAGCTGGGACTATAGGTGCACATCACCACCCAGCTAATTTTTTTTCTTTGGGTAGAGATGAGGTCTCACTACACTGTCCAGGCTGATCTCAAACTCCTGGCCTCAAGTGATCCTCCTCCTGGGCTTCCCAAAGCACTAGGAGGATGGGCATGAGCCACCCTGCCCGGCCACTTTAATGAATCTTTTTTGAACATCAAGTATGCTTTCACAATTGTACTAAACACAGGGCCAGGGGTTGAGGATAACAAATGTCAGGAAATATAAGACACAACTCTTGCCTTCAAGGGGTCTGTGATCCTCAGATAGTGGAAACATGGGCTGGGAGAGTTACAACAGAAGGTGAGTTTTGTTCTTTTAAGGGTCTTATAAGTACGATCTGCAAATGCTACAGGAACCTGGAAGGGGTTGAGGACCAGTGACCAGGGGGCTTTCCAGAAGGAGGGTGCTCAAAAAGCCCTGTGGAAGTTGCCAGCCCCTTTCCACACACAGACACCTGGTCACTCCTGACTGCTGGTTATGTGTGGAGTATCCAGGTGCATGTGCTCATGGTACCCTGCATCTGCCTGGAATGCTTTATCCTTGGTCTACCTGAAAACACCCTCCCCTCCTTCAAGGACATCCTTGATGGTCCCCTCTCTATGGCTTTCCCATAGAGATGGACGGATGGATAGGTGAATGAGTGAATGAGTGATTGAGTGGATGGATGGATGGATGGATGGATGGATGGATGGATGGATGGATGGGTGATTGAGTGGATGGATGGATGAATGGATAGGTGATTGACTGGATGGGTGATTGAGTGGATGGAGGGATGAATGGATAGGTGATTGAGTGGATGGATGGATGAATGGATAGGTGATTGAGTGGAGGAGTGATTGAGTGGATGGATGCATAATGGATAGGTGATTGATTGGATGGGTGATTGAGTGGATGGATGGATGAACGGGTGAATGGATAGGTGATTGAGTGGATGAGTGATTGAGTGGATGGATGGATGGATGGATGGATGGATGGATGGGTGATTGAGTGGATGGATGGATGAATGGATAGGTGATTGACTGGATGGGTGATTGAGTGGATGGATGGATGAATGGATAGGTGATTGACTGAATGGGTGATTGAGTGGATGGAGGGATGAATGGATAGGTGATTGAGTGGATGGGTGATTGAGTGGATGGATGGATGAATGGATAGGTGATTGATTGGATGGGTGATTGAGTGGATGGATGGGTGGATGGATGGATGGATGGATGGATGGATGGATGGATGGATAGGTGAATGAGTGGATGAGTGATTGAGTGGATGGATGGATGAATGGATAGGTGATTGAATAGATGGGTGATTGAGTAGATGGATGGATGAATAGATAGGTGATTGAGTGGATGGGTGATTGAGTGGATGGGTGGATGAATGGATGGGTGATTGAGTGGATGAGTGATTGAGTGGATGGATGGATGGATGGATGGATGGATGGATGGATGGATGGATGGGTGATTGAGTGGATGGATGGATGAATGGATAGGTGATTGACTGGACGGGTGATTGAGTGGATGGATGGGTGGATGGATGGATAGGTGAATGAGTGGATGAGTGATTGAGTGGATGGATGGATGGATGGATGGATGGATGGATGGATGGATGGATGAATGGATAGGTGATTGACTGGATAGGTGATTGAGTGGATGGATGGATGAATGAATAGCTGATTGAATGGATGGGTGATTGAGTGGATGGATGGATGAATGGATAGCTGATTGAATGGATGGGTGATTGAGTAGATGGATGGATGAATGGATAGGTGACTGAGTGGATGGGTGGATGAATGGATGGGTGATTGAGTGGATGAGTGATTGAGTGGATGGATGGATGGATGAATGGATGGAGATTGAATGCGCAGATGGGTAAATGGATAAATGAGTGATTGAGTGGATGGATGGAAGGATGGATGGGTGGTTGAGTGGATGGATAGCCTGGAGGGATGAAAGGGTGGTGGGTGAACAAATCCATCCATCCACTCAACCACTCATCCACCCATCCATCTCCACTTTCCCATCCCTGTCCACTTCCTTTGGCAGAATTAGCAGCTCCAATCTCCGTGGTCTGATCACTATAACTAATATGGACTCTCCCACCTCACTGATCACACAGAAATGTGATCACCTGTTTTTCTCTTCCTTCATAGCCACCATGTAGATGAGGGATCAAGAAGTGATGGCCATCAGGTGTTTCCTTATCACAGAGCCTGGCACCCAGCAGGGCCGCAGCCACACAGGTAGCTCTTGATGTGGCCAGTGGCACTCTGCTTATTCAGCACATGGGTGAGAATGGGAGGAAGAGCACACCTGGGGCAAGGCTGGCCAGGAAGGAGCAGGCATGCAGGGGGTGCATCTAGGAGGCTTGGAGCATTCTGGAGATCTGCAGAAGTGGATGCCCAGTGGAGGAGCTGAGCAGGAGGAGGGAGGAGGGAGGCCATGTCATCCTTCACTGAGATGAATGGTTCCAGCAACAACCCAGACAGGTAAACAGTGGGGCTGGGGCCAGACAGGGCCCCACCACACTCCGCTGGCTCTGCACTGGTGACAACTCCTGTCAAGGCTTGATGGGAGGCTGCTGGCTGCTTCTGCCCCTCTTGCCCTGCTGGGGGATGGGGTTTTACTCAAAGTTGGGGGGCCAGTGGCTACTCTGTTGACTCCAACTGCACGAGAGAGCCCAGGAGGAGAGAAAAGAAGGGTTCTCCTTTCCTCCACCTCCATGGAAATTCAGGAGGATACTGGTCCTGCCAGATGTTCTGTGTTGGTCAATGCCCCCTTCCTCCAGGAAGTCCTCCCTGACCAGTGCTGTTTATCTCTCCTTCTATTCACCACCACTTCACACCCCCGCAGAAACTGATCTCCCATGTGATGGCTCTGGCATCCACTGTCTGTCTCATTCACTCGACACTTGCACTACTGTTTGTACAACTGAAGTCCAGTCTGCCCTCGCTGGCTGTGTGGTCTGGTCTGCTCTAAACTTTGGTTGCTTTACCTAATTCATGGGAATATGAGGTAGATATTCTTTAAGGTGAACTTTGATCCTAGATCTGCCACTTCCTGTTTTGAGCCTCAGCTTTGCACCTGGCAGATGGAGATCACAATACTGAGGTCCGGATGAAGTGAGGCCCTCGTGTGAGGGGCTTGGCCCAGGGCAAAGAAGGCAGGTACTTCCTGAGTGTTAGTGATTGCCTCTTGTGACCAGGTGAGCACAGGGCTCACAGGCTGCCCCTGGACAAGAACTCAGGTGTGAAGATTCCTGCTCTAGTCTCTCTGAGTTGGGATAAGGGATCTGGGAGAGAAAAATGGGGTGTCTGCTACATTCCCTAAAACTCTGTTAACCCAATGACCTGTTCACCTTTTGACGCCCCCCTTCAGTGTTTTTGCACCCACCGAGTATCTGATTTTGTTTGCTCCACTTTTTCTTTGTTGTTTAGCTCCTCAGCTTATAGATATTCATGCTTGATTTGGGGGCGATTAAATAATGATCTCTTAACTACATGGTGTTTTGGTAGGAGATGGGTGTCCCTTTAAAATTTATTAATTTACTTTGGAACACTTCTAGAAAGAACAATCTTTCTAGTTTTTTAGAGTTTAAGATCAAGTCACCAAAAGTAATTTTAGTTAATTAACCTTAAAGTGCATTATTATTTGAGGGAAATTTTCAGTTTTGTTTTTAGTTTCAAGACAATTAAAGAGATGTAAAACCACCCCCAAAGTGGGAGTCACTGTAACAGGCAAAAGGCTCAAATATTCAAGCATTTGTACTGAGGACAAAGGCTGCCTCCTTCCTCCCAGAGGCTGATTTGGGGACCTGAAAGGAGCTGTCAGGACACCCCAAGGAGAATTGAAACTGGGGACCAAAGAGAAGGGTTACTGTGGTCTCCCAGTTGTTCCCTCAAACTTTGCAGGACCGGGCAAATTAGAGTTGGGGGTGAAAACTGTAGGTACAAGGCACTTAGGTGGGGAGAGAGAAGACCAAAATCTGAGCAGAACGGTAGCAGCATCCTTCCATCTCATTCCTCCATCCATCCATCCATCCATCCATCCACCCATCCATCCATCCATCCAGTCAAATTTGTTCACCCACCACCCTGTCATCCCTCTAGTCTAACCATCCACTCAACCACCCACCCATCCATCCATCCATTCATCCAGTCAAGTTTGTTCACCCACCACCCTTTCATCCCTCCAGTCTATCCATCCACTCAACAATCCATCCATCCATCCATCCACCCATCCATCCATCCATCCACTCAATCACTCATTTTTATCCATTTACCCATCTGTCCACTCCGTCACCCATCCATCCATCCATCCATCCATCCACCCATCCAACCATCCATCCACTCAATCACTCATTTTTATCCATTTACCCATCTGTCCACTCCATCACCCATCCATCCATCCATCCATCCGTCCACTCAATCACCCATCCAGTCAATCACCTATCCAATCATCCATCCATCCATCCACTCAATCACCCATCCATCCATCTATCCATTCATCCATCCATCCAATCACTCATCCACCCACCCATACATCCATCCAGTGAATACATTTTTTAAAAGAGAAAAATAGAAGTAACAGTAAGATCCCTGGGGTAGGTAAAAACAGAGAGTTTGAGGATTTGAAAGAGGAACCACATGACTGAAAGTGTTGAGTAAAAAGCAAAGGGAGAGAGAGCTGTTTGAGTACCCGGGCAAGGACTAGGCAGTGCTGGGCCTTATGGGGCTTGAAGTCTGGGTCTGGGGCCTGAGGCCAAGCTGGTAGCAAGGTGGAGGTGACAAGGAAGGCAGAAGCCACAGGAAGCCCAGACCCTGAGGTCTCTGCAGTAGCCTTGCTGCCACCACCAATGACTCAGCAGCCGTGGCAGAGGCAGGAGCTGGGACTAGGAGAAGAGGGTTGGGTTTGGAATCTGCCTGGGTGTGGGTTGGGCTCTGCTTCTAATTGTCTGTATGACCTTTCCAGGCCTCAGTCTCCTCATTGACAAAATGGACATAATCTTTCTATCTCCTGGTTTGCTGGGAGAAGCAAATGAAATAATGGTTGGGAGGTGCACAGGTGAGGTTATGAGAAGCCAAAGAAATCCAGGTACGCCTGAAGCACCGGTGCAGGGAGAGGGTGAAGAATGTGGGCAACTTGCCCAAGTGGCCAACAGGCAGAGGTGGGGTGTGCCCAGGCTCTCGGACTGTCCAGGGGCTCTAGCTGTGGGGTTGGAGGCTTCTGATAGCAAAAGATGGGCAGGCAATTGTGTTCGAAAGGGAAACTCTATACTCAACCCCACTTGCTCAGGGGAATGAGTGGGGAGTTTCATAACAGAATGCTTCAAGAAAGGTTTCCATCTGTCCCTCTGCCCTTGCAGGTGGGAGCCACCACCTATAACTGTGCGACTTGGATCCAGCTAGTAACCTCATCGCAAAGTGAGGGCAGTTGCGTGGCTAGGGGGTGAGGTAGAAAACATCCTTCTCTCCCCCAACCCTAGATTTGTTCCAGAAAAGTATTTAAGGCTGATGTAAGGTACCTGGCACACAGCAAGTGCTCATTCATCCAACAACATTCTCCAGAGGCCCTGAGTGGTCAGCCCTGTGCCCTCCCACCCGCCTTGGCCTGGCAGAGGCCCCGTTGCTACTTTCCCCTGGGACTCAGTAGGCTTTGAGGAAAGTAGGAGCAGAGACTTGGGAGGAGAAGGCTGGGGCGCCAGTCCCTGGCAGCTACCCCCAGGATAATCTCTCAGAGATCTGAGCTGGGCCGGGACGCACTCAAGCATGTGCTGGATTCGGGAGCATCCTGGAATCCGTGATGACTGTTTCTTTCCATCTACTCATGGCCTTTGCAAGCATTTGCTGAGCACAGGTTCTGGCTTCCCTAAGTGTGGGGGCCTGGCTGGGGGCCCTTGGGCCTCCGATTGACCTGAACACCTGGCTCACTAAGCCCAGGACTGGGGAGAGAGGGGTGGGTGAGGGTGGGAAGTATTGTCCCAGACAGACAGGCAGACAGACAGACAGAGCTAAGATAGCCCCCAAGCTTAGTCACCATTTCAACTTTTCACATCTGAACCCAAGACAACAGATGTCAAACTCAGGCCCTGCCCAGACTCCCACACCCCACCTCCCCTCTCTGGGCCCCTCTCCATCCCCCACCCCTGCCTGGAGTTTATGGATGACTCCCAACCTTGTCCTGACACTGTGGGATCCTCACTTCCTGTGTTTATCTTGAAAAGGGATGGGGCTTTCTCCTCTCACCCACCCGGTCGGCTGACAGAGCCACCCCACGCAGGTTACAGCGTGTACTCATGAGTGCACCGTGCGTGTGTGTTTGTGCATACGGGCACGAGGGTGAACCAGGGCACATGTGTGGGGCCAGGAAGTCTTGCTGTCCTTCCGGGGTCTGTGGTGTGTGCGGGCTCTCACTCGTGTGGGTGCCTGAGTGTGTGTGGGGGGCAGCACACAGGTGTTGGGCTCCTACCAGGTGTACCCTCAGTACCGCCCCTTTCTGTCCTCACTGCATCCCCATTAGTGATGCCCCCATTTTGCTGGGGAGAGAGATGAGGCTCATTGTGATGAGGTCACTGAAGCAGAGTCAGAGAGATGCTGAGTGGATGGAGGAGAGTCTAGAACACAAGACATTCCTTTCTTTTCTTTTCTTTTTTTTTTTTTGAGACAGACTTCCACTAATACCCAGGCTGGAGTGCAGTGGCATGATCTCGGCTCACTGCAACATCTGCCTCCCGGGTTCAAGTGGTCCTCCCACCTCAGCCTCCCAAGTAGCTGGGATTACAGGCATGAGCCACCATGCCCGGCTAACTTTGTATTTTTTGTAGAGATGGGGTTTCGCCATGCTGCCCACACTGGTCTCGAACTCCTTGACTCAAGCAATATGCCTGTCTTGGCCTCCCAAAGTGCTGGGATTATAGGGGTGAGCCACTGCGCCCAGGCCCCTTTCTTTTTCTTAATAGTTGTGTTATTTCTTCCCAATTAGAAAAATTAAAAGTACAAAGAAGAAAATAAAAATCACCCATAACCCTACTAGAGATAGCAGTTGTAAATATTTTTGTACATATGCTCCCAGACTTTCTTCATGCATACAAATACACACACGACTCATTTACTCAAAAAATGGAATCATATATGGAATCCTTCTTTTCTTCCCTCCCTCCCTCTCTCCCTCCCTCCCTCCTCACTCCTTCCTTCCTTTCTCCCTCCCTCCTTTCTCTCTTCCTTCTTTCCCTTTCTCCTTCCTTCCTTCCATCCCTCTTTCCCTCCCTCATTCCTATTTTTCTTTTTTACTTTTTATTATAGAAAAGCTCAGCATATACAAAAGTTTAAAGAATAGCATAAATATCCCCCAACAGACATTTTAAAACCTTCTCTCTTCTCTTCATTCATGTGAGCAAATGAAGACTCATGCCGTGACTTTTGCCCACGTATGAAGCCCTGACCATCAGCTGTGTAGACAGTGGGAGTCCTGAGGCATCGGTTTGTGATTTGTCTTTTTAAGGGCACAAAAGCTGCGCAGCTGTTTCTTCCCTTTCCATCCCAGCCCCCCCAGACTCCAACAGCTGGTTATAAACACTCATTTCTGGCCTCCTGAGCACAGGAAGGGGCTGGCACAGGGTTTGGGGTGGTTAGTCTGGGGGCACTGCCTGTCAGAAGTCGCCTTCCTTGTCCCTGATTGCTTCTTCAGAAGGCATCCTTCGAAGGAGAATGACCTAGAGCAAGGGGCACAGAGGCTACGAAAGACCCTGCTCCTGGTGCCATGTGGCCGCCTCACAGACCAGCGTTTACAGTTCACCATCCACCCACCCACCTTCCGCCTGCAACACAGGAGAGGGTCCAGGTCCCTCCCCCTGGGAACACTGATGTCGCTCTACAGACCAAGAGAGGGCCAGAGGGGTCTGTGGGTGGCGGCTGTGCAGAGAAAGCCCCCTCCCTCCCAATGCGTCTCCCCTGGTGGCATCCCAGGTCCCCACAGTGGCTCACCCTGTGGGGAGCTCTGGCTTTCTTCCCTCTGGGATGAATCCCTCTCTTCTCCACCTGGAAGGAAATCTGCTCAGGGAGTGAACAGATGAATTCACCCTTAAGGGTCACTGCCTGATGACCAGTTCTATGTCCTCCCCCGTAGCACTCACATGTGACATATGGGAGAGTCCCAAAGGTGAGCAAGGCTCCTGGGGACTCAGGCAGTTGGGTAGGCATGGTGGACAAGCAGACTGTGTCCGGGCTGCAGCTGAGATACACTCACCCTCAGTCTCCTCGTCTGCAAAATGGAAATAACCCTTGCCTTGCCTTATTGGGTGGCTGTGAGGATTAAATAAAGTCATGTGGAAAATGCTTTGCTCCTAGGAAAAGCTAAACATCATTTGCTGTTATCGTCAGAAGACCTGATACCTGGGCCCAGAGCAGTGAGTTGGTGGCAGAGCTGGCCCCATTTACCCAGAGGGCACAAGGAACACATCCTCATGGGGCCTTCAGATAATCATTAAATCATTCAATAATCTATAAATGATAATAATTATAATTTATCAACAATCTAATTGATATGAAAATGTTAATTTATTAAATCACCTATAATCACTACAACAAATGATTATAAAGTGTGCCAAGTACATTAAGAAAACAGAGGGCTGGATTGGAGAATGGATTGGGTCACCAGTCGGAGGCTCTTGGAGGAGGCATCATTCAATCTGAAACCTGAAGGCCGAGGAGGTCTCGGGAGGGTGCGGAGGAGAGCATTCCGGCGGTGTGGGCACTGTGTGCAGAGGCCCTGGGGTGGAGGGAGATGAGCTTGCTGAGTTTCAAGGAACAGAAGGAAGCCTGAGTGGCTGGAGTAGAGTGGGCAAGGCAGAGTCCCCAGGGGCGGTGCTGGAGGGGCCCCGGGGTCATTTGTCATCACCCTGTCTGACTCTAGGCTCTGCCAAGGCCCCCTTCCTGGCATGCCAGCCGATTGCCCCCAGAAACAGGGCCTCCATTTCCTTTTGCCTCCCCCAGTACTTCATCCGAGGCTTTGCACCAGGGCCCCTGGAAGCCCCAGGCCCATGGGTGGGCAGGAGCCTTCTGGCCTTCTCCAGACGTCCCAGCCCTGACTTTGCCTTGACCACAATGTGCAGTGGGCCCAGGGCCAGGCCAGGGCTGGGGGAGGCCGGTTTCCCTCTTGCTTTCATCTGCAGGCAAGATCTCTTTCATCGTATCTGTTGTTTTTAGGCCATGTGTTGGGCTGTGGACAGTGAATGAGAGCTCAGGAACACACGCCTATAAATCTGCATGGAATGAAAGAAAGGTCCAAGCATCAGGGCGCCTGACGCCCCACGGGCCCTCCCCCTTCCCCCGTCCATCTGAGGACTCCTTGGGGTCTGATGTCAGGGGACAAGCTAAGAAAACTAAGGAACAGGGGTGGGTGGCAGACAGATGAGACCTGGAAGGGAGCCCAGAAATATCAAACCCAGCACAAGACGGGTGGGGGACTCGCTCAGCACATTCGGCCAGAGCCAGAACAGAACCAGGGTCTCTGACGCCGTCCCATGAAGGACCTGAGCACCTACTGGATGCTGGGCCCTGGAAGGAAATGAACAATCACTGTGAGAAATGCCCCGATGTGGGATGGCCACCTGACTGAGCAGAGCCAGGAACTCTGGGCCAGTTGGGTGACCTTGGGCAAGTCGAAACCTCCCTGAGCTTTTCGTCTTTCTTCTCTGCAAAATGTTTCTGCCAGTGATGTTGGGAGGTTCTAAAATCACATGAAGCCACCTATGTTGAGGGGCTCTTGGAGCTGCTGTATCTGTGCAAGCCTCTGAATCCTGTTTTTAAATCATTTGTTATTTTTTTAACCAGTTAGGCATGGGGCTTCATCCTTGTAAGTACATCCCATTTCTGTCCAGCCTGAGTTAAAGGTGGAGGACTGGGAAACAGACTAACTCACATGAAACATAGAGCAAACAGTTCAGCATTAATCCTGCATCTGATATCTCCTCCTATGCCTCCACAGATGGGCAGCTTACTACCAAACAAGGCTGCCGTTTTCCATGGTGAAATAGCACTAATGGGTTATAAAGCGCCTTCTACACCAAGGTGCAGTCAGCTCTTGCTCCTGACGCCACTAGACCTACAATAAGCCTGGTTACTCACCCATTTTCATGGTGATCCTTCTAGAATCCTCTGGCCTTGAGTATGCTTCCCTGCCAGCTCCCAGAACCCAGGCTGACTCTAGTTTCTGAAGCCTTTCTCATCTCTCTTGAGTTTTCTACAATGAGCATGTGCTGCTTTTTCTATTTTTCAAATAGATTATATTATTTGTGATAACCAATCAATACAGAATGCAAGAAGAGGAAGTGAAAGTCTCCCTATTTTTCTCTCTCCAAACCTGGCTCCATGCAAGGCCCAGTGGCACCTTCCTCCCGGCTTCTCTCTCCCTTTGGTTATGTATTGTTTGGAAGCACAGATTAGCACTGAGAATGCAGCAGGCAGCACAGGGGAGAGGTTGAGAGCACAGGTGCTGGAGCCTGCCTGTGGCCAGGGCTTGAATCCCTCCCCTGAACCTCAGTCTGCTCATCTGTAAAATGGGGTCATTAGGGTACCTGCCGCACAGGGTCATTAGGAGGATCGAGTGAGTCCATGCACGCAAAGTGCTCAGACCAGTGCTGGGCGCACATGAGCCATTATAGGCGTTTTGCTTTGTTTGTTTAATTAAAAACGAATGGCACCACACGTACATTTCATTCTGTAGATTACATGTTCATCATGGACAGCTCTCCGTGGGAGCTCAGGTAGGCCTATCTCATCTTGCCAACAGCTGTAGAGCTGTTCTGTGACCACACTCATGCTTTATCCACGTTAAGATCAGGAAAAGTCACTTTTAAGAAAGGACCCAAGGTGGGGCCCTTAAGCAGCCTTCTGCCACTCTTGGTATCATTTAGTCCCAAGGAAATCCTTTGGTTCTCTCCTCGGTGGCCCATGGCGGCCCTGAGCCGGCCAAGCCAGCTCCAGGAAGTGGGAACCAGGCCCTGAACAAGAAGACAGCTGGGCCCAAAGAGGGTTTGTCCCCAGGGAGAGGTTGGGTACAGATGAGAAGCGACCAGGCTCCTCCCGGTGTGGCCAGAACCCCTCAGAGAGGATCATGTGGGCAGGGCTAGTCACAGAAGGCTTCCTGGAGGAGGCAGGGTCTGAGTGGGGTCTTGAAGAGTAAGAGAGAGCTGAACAGACAGAAGTGGGTTGGGGGAGAGGCACTCGTGGCAAAGACAAGGCTGTTTGGGCTGGTGAGGAGTTAGGATGTCTAGAGCCAAAGGGCCACATAAGGGAAAAGGGAGAGTACCTTGAACACCAGGATGCATGTGGGTTTGCCCTGCCAGCAGTGGGGAGCCACAGAAAGTTCTGGATGATAACAAATAATAACACTCTGTGTGACCCTGAGAAGGCTCGAAGCCTCCCCAGGCCTCAGCTGCCTGTGGGTGCTGGAATAGACCCGAGGGAGGCAGAGGGGACTACTTAGGGGCAGGAATTTGGGATCAGGCCCTGCTTCCTCTAATCAAGGGGACCCAGAAGTGTGAGGGCAGTCCCAGAGGTCAGTCCCTGCCTTCAGATCCCCACTCCACAGAATTCAACGTTTCCTTTCCTTTTAACCTGCCGGCTTTCCAGGGAAATCTGATTTTGCGAGCATGTTTTCTTAGCCAGGGGAAATGAGCACCATGCAAACAACGAAGACGGCTGCGTGTGATAAGGGGCTGGGCTGCTCCAGTGTGGCCTGGAGGGGAAAGAGGGACTGGTCACTGCTGGCTGCCTTAGGTGGAGAGAAGACATCAGGCCTCAGAATGTCTGAGCTGGAGGGGGCCTTGGGAAGTGTCTAGCCACAGATGTGAAAGTAGAGGCCCAGACAGGGAAGGGGCTTGCCCAGCCAGCATGGAGGGCCTGAGTCTGCTGTGGCTCATGCCCCACACTCCAGCTGGAGGGGCTGCGGTGGGACTCCCTTTCTCTCTGTAGCAGGCTGGGCCAGTTGAACCCATGCTGGGATTCAGAGTCTGGCTGATGGTGGCCCTGCTGGGTCCTCTCTGGTGAAGATTCACAGAGGGAGGGAGGAGCTGGGCACTTGAGGTCAAGAATGAGGGAGATGAGCGTGACAGGGGGAAAAGGGGGAAAAGGTATGTCCTCCACCTTGGTTTTGAGTCTTGTTGAGAAAAGGACAGGGAAAGATGCGGCCCAAGTCATTGTCATGGAGACCATGCAAGACCCAGGGCCCTGGAAGGGCTGCCTTAGGGCCCAGGTGACAGTTTGCAAACTGGAGTTGGCCTAAGCCCACTGCTTGACCACCTCCATGGTGATGTGGCAAACATGGCACCTCCATGGCCATGACAAACGTGGCACCTGGAAGCTCAGGGTGACCAGGGTGGAGGGTGGCCACACCTGGTGCAGCGTTTTTGCAGGCGCGCCTGTGGCCAATGCAGTCACCAGGCATCTCACCAAGAAGTGGAGAAAACTCCCGGCTGGGGTTTGGACACCACTTGGGGAGGCGCCGGGAGTAACTGGCCTTCTGGCTGGGGCTGGGGAGGGGTGTTTGGAGGGGATGAGGTCTAAGAAACTTCTTCATCTGGATATTAACATAAGTGTGACCTGGGTACCTACAGGCTGGTGAGGCCTGGGCACAGCAGAATTCCAGTGAGTTGCCATCCTCCTGCATTCAGCAGCAGGGCCAGAAGCTCCAGGTCTGCTGGGGGGCCCCTCCACTCAGGAAGAACACACCTCCTTTGCCCCCTGGAACTGTGTTGGGAGTTTTCACAACCTGAGGGGGTTGGTGTTGGTTCCATTTTTGAGATAAGGAAACTGAATCTCCTAGGCTACTGTGCAAGTGACCTCACGTGTGACTTTCCTTTCTTCTCAACAAGGTTGTGCTTTCTCTAGAAGCTGTTCATGGTGGAATTTCTAATGTTGCAACAGACTAACAGCAGAGGACGTTGCTGGGCTATTTGGGCTCCTGGGGGCACCCACAGCTTCAGCTGAGCACCAGTAAAGAGTACCAGCTTCCTTTGCAGCCCCCCATTCTACCCCCATCAGTGACTGTGGGAACCACGGATGTGGGGTGTTTTCCTACATGATTTCATCTTCCTGAGGACCATTCTACACAGAATGGGCTGCCCCCAGGGAGGCCCAGTCACTTCCCATCCCCGCTATTCTTGGGCAGTAAGATGCCAAAGTCAGTTCAGTCAACATCTCGCACACAAGACTGGTACAACCGTGACATTCTGACCTGACTTAACCCCGGACAGTGAACCAGGCACTTTCCTCTTCCAGGCCATTATTCTTTCTAATCCCCTTTGGGCAACCTCTCTGAGCCTCAGTTTTCCCTGCTGTAAAATGGGGATTCATAGAGACAACACCTCATAGGCCTGTTATCTTTCTCCAAGGCCTGACTTTGTCACTGAACAAACTCAGAGACAGAGGTTCAGCTGGGTGCGGTGGCTCACACTTATAATCCCAGCACTTTGGGAGGCTGAGGCAAGTGGATCATTTGAGGTCAGGAGTTCAAGACCAGCCTGGCCAACATGGCAAGACCCCATCTCTACTAAAAATACAAAAAATTAGCTGGGTGTGGTGGTGGGCACCTGTAGTCGCAGCTACTCAGGAGGCTGAAGCAGGAGAATGGCATGAACCCGGGAGGCGGAGGTTGCAGTGAGCCAAGATCGTGTCACTGCACTCCAGCCTGGGTAACAGAGCAAGACTCGGTCTCAAAGAAAAAAAAAAAAAAGATATGGAGATTCACTTGCTTCTTATCCTGCGAGCTCCCACCCAAGTACCCTGTGGGCTTCCCATCCAAGCCAGGGCCACCAGCAACCCACAAGAGACCATGCAGCTCTCCGGACCCGGATCCTGATACCTTTACTTACCCAATTACTTACCATGACCTCAGAAAAGTCCCGTAGCCTCTAAGTGCCTCAGTTTCCACATGTGTAGAATGGGGACAGTAACAGTACCCACCTCATAGGATGAAATGAAACTCAGCCCAGGGCCTAGTTCTCAATTGCTACATAATACATGGCAAACTTGAGTGCAACTGGGAAGCACAGTGAGTATGGGGAATGGAAAGTGTTTCATCCCCGGGGAGGCCACATCAATCTCACTTTATTAGATCATAAGTGCTTTTAACAAGGCAAACAGCAGAAGGCCAGCAGCCCGCCAGCCAGAGCCAAGAACTGAAATCCAGTTCTCCAAGACCCCGGACATCAAAACAACAATGCAAAAGGCTGAACATCAAAGAATGAACAGCAAGTCCAAACATTTCACTGTGCTCTTATCTTAATTAAAGCAAGTCATACTCAGAGTTTTGGATGACACAAGTTGAAAAGCGGGGTCTGGTTTTATTAGCTTTTGCTGACACCCACAGAGAAGTCTGTGACTTACCCAAGGTCACCCAGCACCCTGGGGCCAGAGTTGGGGTCCAAAACCAGGCCTCAGCTGCTGGAGCCGGCGCGCCTTTCATAACCTCCCTGCCCCCACCCTAACCTGAGCTACAGGGACCCAGGGTTGTCATTTCAGGGGAGAGGTCTCCGTTCATTCATCCAGCTATATATTGAATCATGTTTATTGAAGGTCTTCTGCTTTCTAGGCACTGTTCTAGGCTCTGGGGATACAGCAATGAACAAGACAATCTAAACGGTTGGGGAAAGCAGACATCAGTAAATAATTACGTAGATAATCATAGTCACACGTTACATAATGACGTTTTGGTCAACACTGCACCGCATATATGACCATGGTCCCATAAGATGATAATGGTGCATTCGCTTTGCAGACACTGCCACCGCCGGGAGCCCCGTACTATCAGCCATGGTCAACCCCACTGTGTTCATTGATGGTGAGTCCTTGGGCCACGTCTCCTTCAAGCTGTCTGCAGACAAGTTTCCAAAGACAGCAGAAAACTTTCGTGCTATGAGCACTGGAGAGAAAGGATTTGGTTATAAGGGTTCCTGCTTTCACAGAATTATTCCAGGGTTTATGTGTCGGGGTGGTGACTTCACGCACCATAATGGCACTGGTGGCAAGTCCGTCCACCAGGAGAAATTTGATGATGAGAACTTCATCCTAAAACATACAGGTCCTGGCATCTTGTCCACGGCAAATGCTGGACCCAACACAAATTGTTCCTGGTTTTTCATCTCCATTGCGAAGACTGAGAGTTTGGATGGCCAGCACGTGGTCTTTGGCAATATGAAAGAAGGCATGAATGTTGTGGAGGCCATGGAGCCCTTTGGGTTCAGGAATGGCAAGACCAGCAAGAAGATCACCATTGCTGACTGTGGACAACTCCAACAAATTTGACTTGTGTTTTATCTTAAACACCAGACCATTCCTTCTGTAGCTCAGGAGAGCACCCCACCACCCCTTTTGCTCTCCATATTCTAGAATCTTTGTGCTCTGGCTCAGTTCCCTTTGAGTTCCATGTTTTCCTTCTTCCCTTCTATACTTAGCTGGATTGCAGAGTTAAGTTTATGGTTATGAAATTAAAACTAAATAACAAAAAAAGATTATAATGGTGCTAAAAAATTCCTATCACCTAGTGACGCCCTAGCAATGCAACTCATGACCTTTTCCATATTTAGATACACAAATACTTGCCATTGTGTTACAATTGCCTACAGTATTCTATACAATAACATGCAATAAAGGTTTGTAGCCTGGGAGCACTAGGCTAAGCCATAGAGACCAGGAGTGTGGTATGGTGTACCATCTAGGTTTGTGTAAATGCACTCTATGGTGTTTGCACAATGACAAAATTGCCTGGGGATATGCATTTCTTAGAACGTATCCCCATCATTACACGAGGCACGGCTGTATTTTGTTGCAATTATAAATGCTATTTCTTATGTCCCTTCTCTCTGAATCTGGGCTTGACTGACAGATTTCAATGGAAGTGTTTGCTGTAATGCTTTCCAGGCCCAAAGCTACTTTCCCTTCTCCTGGGATGCTCACTTCTGAAACCCAGCAGCCATGGTATAAGGAAGCCCAAGCCGCCCCGTGGAGAGAACCAGGTGGGGAGAAAGCAGTCAAGCCAGTCACCACTGCAGAGGGGAACCCCCAGGCCCTGTCAGCCACCCCCAGCTGCCGCCACCTACACTATGGGGAGGGGAGCGAGATCAGCTGGCTCTGCCCAGCCCTGCCCAAATTGCAAATTCATGAGCAAAACAAAGGATTGTTGTTTTGAAGCCATTCAGTTGCAGAGTGGTTTATTATGTAGCAATGGACAACTAGAGTGCCACCTTTTACCCTCGTGGGGTAGCATAGACCCAATTATGAGCCCCATTTTATAGACGAAGAAACTAAGGTTCAGAGAGGTAAAATGACGGGCTCAAGGTCAGACGGGTAACGAGTGGCAAGGCAAGATTAAATGACGTCAACTTCTGTGTTTTTTCCACACTACCCCTTTACTGTCAGCGCAACAGCATGGCGACCCGGAGGTTTCCATTAATGCCATTCTCACTCAAAAGCAGGAAACTCCAAAGGGGGATTCTTGGGCATGGCGAGGTGGCTTGGGGAGACAGTGGCTGAGCAGGGGAGCTTACAGCAGTCTTAGAGTCCTCCCGAGTGTACCAGGTAGATGGGAGTCTGCTCGTTGTTTTGTAAGGAGAGGCCACGGAGACCTTTTGAGATGAGCAAACACAGGCTCGTTTGTGTGTTGAAGGCCTCTGTTTCCCCTTTTGTGAAAGGGGGATGGGAAAACCACCCTTGTCCTGATCTAGCCGGTGCTGGAGATGAGCGGGCCCCTTGTCAGCTGCTAGCATTCCATTTTGAAAGAAGTGAGTAATAGCGGAGACTCCCACAATGAGAATTTTTAATGCAAGAAAGTCCGTGGTAGGCAAGAGGGAGAGGGCAAAGCCCGTTCCTGAAAGCTTTGTAAGCAAAGCCCCTGCCAAACTGTGTTGCTTCTGAGGCCAGAAGCAGCATGAAAGATCCAACCGGGGAGGGAGGCAGGGGCTCTGATTCTGGTCCCAGCTCTGATCTTGACCTACTGTGTGACCTTGGGCAAGTCACCGTCCCTCTTTGGTCCTTATATGTACAATGAGAGGATGGGCTGGCTGATCTGGAAGATCCTGACAGTGTCCAACAGGCAGGATGGACAAACCCGAAGAAACTGAGAAGCTTCTCTACCCTGCAGCCCCAAGAGCTTGCAGAATTTAGCAGTCAGTGAGGAATCAATCAGTCCCTTAGGCTGTTCTAGAGGCAGTGATGTAGGTGAGCTCCTCCAGGCAAATTCTTCTCCCCCTCCTCTCCCTCATTCCCCATTGTCATCATTATTATTTATTTGCCTTTCAAATGGGCCACCCGGAGCTCTTTATAAAGATAAAAATAGCATAATTCAAAGCCTCCACCAGCAACCCAATCCCATCTGGTGATGGAGGGTTGCAAACAATCGCTTTGTTCCTCCCAACTCTGACTCCTTCAGGGTCTTATAAAATGAGAGCACGCACTTTCAACATCTAATTGAAGATAATGAGGATGATGCCCATGCTGAGGGTGGTGGCTGTCATGTGCCAGCACGGGCTTTGTGTCAACAGGGTGTATAGCATGGTCTCATGTGATCTTCTCAATAACCCTACAATGTAGTCAACTATCATTACTTTTTTCTTTTCTTTTTTTCTTTGGAGACAGGGTCTTGCTCTGTCACTCAGGCTGGAGTGCAGTGGCATGATCATGGCTCACTGCAGCCTCATCCTCCCAGGCTCAAGTGATCCTCCCGAGGAGCTGAAACTGCAGGCATGCACCATCACAGCTGGGTAACTCTTTAGTTTTTTGTGGAGAGGGGGTCTCTGTTTCTTGTCCAGGCTGGTCCCAAACTCCTGAACTCAGAGGATCCACCCACTTCAGCTCCCAAAGTGCTGAGATTACAGGCATGAGCTGCCACATCCGCATCCCGTTACTACTTTTACACAGATGAAGAAATTGAGGCCTACAGAGGGAAAGTAACTTGTCCAGGATTGCAGAATTAGCGACTGGGATTCAGACCCAAGCATCCTGACTCCAGAGCCTCGATTCTGAATTATTAGGCTATTTTGCTTCCCAGCAGCATCAGCAACAACAACTACTACTATTACTATTACCCACTACTACTTCACTGAGCACTTATTGTGTGCTAGGCATGGAGCTCAGGGTTTTAATTCTGTTCTAGCAAATCCATGCTGCAGAACAAATCAATCCAAAGTTGATTAGAACAATAAGTTATACTTTTGTGTTCATGCATCGGTAATTTGGACAGGGCTCAGTGGAGACTACTCATCTCTGCCTCAGCTGGGATGATTCCAAATGCCTGGAAGAGCTGGGGCCTGGCTGGGTACCTCCCTCTCTCTCTTCCTGCAGGTCAGGGCCTCCACGTGGCCTCGCCAGCATGGAGTTCCCAGGGTCATCAGTTTCTTTTGTTTTTTCTTTTTTTTTTGAGACAGAGTTTCACTCTTGTTGCCCAGGCTGGAGTGCAATGGCATGATCTTGGCTCACCGCAACCTCTGCCTCCCAGGCTCAAGTGCCTCAGCCTCCCGAGTAGCTGGGATTACAGGTGTGCACCACCATGCCTAGCTAATTTTGCATTTTTAGTAGAGATGGGGTTTCTCCATGTTGGTCAGGCTGGTTTCAAACTCCCGACCTCAGGTGATCCGCCCGCCTCAGCCCCCAAAGTGCTGGGATTACAGGTGTGAGGGTTTATCCGTTTCTTACATGGTGGCTGGCGTCTCCTAGAGACTAACACAGAAGCAGCAAGGTCCTTCTGCCCTGGCCTTGGAGGGCAGCAGCGTCACTCCTGCTGCATTCTGTTGGCTACAGACGAACATAACGTGGGTCCAGATCCCAGGGGCACGGGAAGTGAATCCCCCCATCTCAGTAAGAAGCTTGTCAAAGCACTGATGGCCACCTTCAACTCGCCATGCTTATGTTCTCATTTAAGAACTTTTACAATGATCTATGGGATTCATTTATCCACTCACATCCATTGAGCACCTACCGTGTGCCCGACACTGCTGCAGGTCCTGGGAGAGAGCAATGAATGTGAATGTCATTACACTCACTTTACAGATGAGGCAATGGAGACTTGCAGGGGTCTCAGGGACCAGCCCTTTCCCTGTAGACCCTCACGAGTTCTTTACAGTGAGCCCATGAGGCTGGTACTGCGACGGCCAGCCTTGAAGTGGAGAAGCGGGATCCGCATGCTGGCCAGGCACTTGCTCAGCACCCCTTCCTTGCCTTAGTGAGTTCCAAGTCTGCACTTCACTGTGACAGGGATGCATGGGTCCCACTGGACTTGGGGGGCATCCTGCAGGAGGGGCCAGGCTTATGGAGAAGAAGCCCGCGGTGCTGTTCAAATGCCAGCCCTGATGCGAGCGAGGGAGGGAGGGTTGCCTGAGGGCGGGAAGCGGTGAGGGAGCCGGGATAATGGCCCAGCCTGAACCTGTCGCCACGGCAACCGCAGGGGCCGTCTGGAGCCAGCAGCCTGCCAGGCCTTGGCCCCACAAAGCCCGAGAGGGAGGCAGAGGGGGCGGACCTGGCGGGGCATAAATCAGGGAGTTCTATGCCCCTGACTCCGGGCAGACGATTTATGGGACTACTCCAAGCCCACGAGATGCACAGGGGAGAGCTGAGAGGGTCTCCCTGTTCCCACCGCCCCTGGGGCCCCTGCTTGGACTCGGATGCGTGTGCAGGGTGGGCAGGAAGAGGCCCCTCCAGGCCACCCTCAGAGCTGCTGGAGGCCCCTGCCCCCACCCATCCCATAAGACACCTCTGTGCCCACTGTACCAGCATGCGGCCCCCACGCCAACAGCAAAAGTCTCAAGAAAGAGATACCTCTAAATTCTTGAAATGCATGCTGATATTTTCTATCTTATTCTGTTCTATTCCTTTTTAAAAATGCTGGTCACAACTCACTAAATTAATGTCATGACTCATTCATAGTTTGTGACCTGCAGTTAGGTCAACACTGATCCAAAGGAAGCCAGAGGGGGAAACTGAGGCTCACCGACTCCCTCCTCTCACACACAACTGGAGCAGACTTATATGCATCAATCAGCTCCTCCAGTCTCCCCACACACCTGGCTCTGCCTCAGGGCCCAAGCTTGTTCCCCACCACCCATTGTAGTCATTCAAGATGGAACCAGCTTCCTTGGAAGGTAATGAGCTACCCATCTCTGAAGTCATCCAAACAAAAGTTGAATGACCACCTGCCGGGTGCTCCAGGGAATCCCGGCATCCCTTAGAGAGAGGCCAGACTAATGCCTCTGAGCCTATACGGGGTGGGAAGCAGGCAACGCTGACTACTTTGCCCACATAGCGGCTGAGCCATGGACAGGATGGGAGAGAGGCTGCAGGCCAGCCAGGCCCACTGGAGGGGGCTCAGAGCTTCAGGCTGGCTCAGATAGACAAGGGGCAAAGATAGCATCAAGAAGGTGAGTGTCCAAGGATGGTGGCTCACACCTGCAGTCTACCTCAGTACTTTGGGAGGCCGAGGCCAGAGGATCGTTTGAGCCCAGGAGTTCAAGGCTGCAGTGAGCTATGATTGCACCACTGCACTCCAGCCTGGGTGACAGATGAGACCCTGTCTCAAAAAAAGAAGGTGAGTATGCCTGGTGGGAGCCTGGCAGAGACAACAGGGGCCACTTAAGAGGTCCCAGCACCCAGCCCCCTTCCTCCTGGCCCCTTTGCATTACCCGCCCAGACCTGCAGGGGGCTGTGCCTTCCCTGGCTGGGCCCCTAGTCCTGGAACAATGTTCCCAGCCCCACAATCACTGTTTCTGCCCTATCTCCTGCCTCTCTCAGCTGTCTACCTCCAGAAACAAGTTCCTCTTACCAGGAGGTGCCGAGATGCTAAGAACGGCTGATGACTGTGTTTCCGCACAGCACAGAGGCCTGCTGCTCCAGATTCAGACAGACCCGGATCCCAGGCCCAGCTCTGCCACTCACCTGTGTGTGATCTTGAGCAAAAGCCTTGACCTCTCCCAGCCATTTTAGTCAATAACATGAGGCCATCATATCTACCTTGTGATCATTGATAAGGGAAGACATCCAGGGTATATTAAGTTAAAAGGGCAAATCTGTTCCCATGTTTGTTAAAAACAAAAACAAAAGCAAACCCCTTTATTTATATGTTCGCTATGCATGCAAAAGCTTGGAAGGAAATGCCCCAAACAGGTGGTAGAAGGGTCATGGAGAGGGAGAGGTGGATGATTTTCATTTCCTACTCTATACACTCTTTGAATTTTTTTTTTTTTTTTTTTTGAGACGGAGTCTTGCTCCGTCATTCAGGCTGGTGTGCAGTGGCGTGATCTCGGCATCTTGGCTCACGCAACCTCTGCCTCCCGAGTTCAAGCAATTCTTCTGCCTCAGCCTCCCGAGTAGCTGGGATTACAGGCACACACCACCACACCTGGCTAATTTTTGTATCTTTAGTAGAGACAGGGTTTCACCATCTTGGCCAGGCTGTCTCGATCTCCTGACCTCATGATCAGCCCGCCTCAGCCTCCCAAAGTGCTGGGATTACAGGCGTGAGCCGCAGCTCCCAGCCTGAAAAATTTTAAACCAATAAGCATGTACTAATTTTGTAACCAAAAAATTGAAATTAAAAACAATCCAACCCCAGCCCCATTCCTGCTGTGAGGACCTAAAGGGTAAATGCATACAGAAGGCTGGTGGTGGCGGGGGGTGGGAGACAGCCCAGCCCCCACCTTCTCATTCATTTTTTCTCTCCAGGGGTCTTGTTCATTCCCAGTTTGTGTTTTATAAACTGGTGAATTAAAGATGTATAAAGATGTATTAGTGTTATTCCAATTAATTGGACACCAATGACTCTCCTTCACCCCAGAAAGCATTTGTTGACCACTGTCCAGCATCCTGCAGGAGTGAACAGTGGAAATCCAAGCACAGAGGGACTTGCACCTCCATTTAGGGACCCCCACTCCCTTTAGGGACCCCTGGGGAAAAGGCAGTCTTTAAGCGTCACACCAGTCTGAAGAAGTGCATGCAGTTATGACGGCCATCTTACAGAGTGAGAAAGTGAGGTTCAGCGCTAACGCCTCGTCCAAGGTCAAAGGCTTGTGAGGGGCGGGGACGGGGGAGTCCAAGTCCTTCCCCCTCTGACTCCTGTGCCCAGGGCCTCGCAGGGCTTCCCTCAGACCAGGAAGTGGAGTGACTGCTCTGGGTGGCTGGAGAGCAGCACCAGCGTCAGAAGCCTGACATGGGGGGAGTGAAGCCAGTTCTGCCAGCCTCCTCCGCAGCAGGCCGACGCCGGGTCCTCTTGCTCATTTCATCTTCACCATGGCCCTCCATGCCCTCAGGGCCTCCGCACTGGCTGTTCCCTGGCCTGGAACGCTGTTTCACCAGATGTCTGAATTTTTTATTTTCTCAACATGCAGGTCTCAGTCCCAGAGGCTACTTCCTCAGAGAAGCCTGTTCTGACCATCCGGGCAGAATGAACGCCATCCACGTGTCCCCCAGGGACCTTGGCCAACCACCTACCGCTGTGTGTTCACTGCCTGCTCTGTTGGGCATTATCCGCTGCCTCGGGGCTTGCTCGTCACCATCTGCCTCCCTCTCTGAGTGTCAGTTGTGGAGCTGCACTCCATGTGTTTACAATGGCGCCTGCGCCACACAGTAGGCCCTCAGTAAAGACCTGACGGACACTGTTGCTGGTCCACCCACACCCCCGCAGCCTCCCCTTCCTGCGCACCCTGACTCCCAACACTCCCAACTGGCAGCACCTGCAATTCTCACCTAGGGACTTTTTGGCAGCCTGAGCCTGCCCTGTCCACACATTGGTCAGACCATAAGTGTCAGGGGTGGGTGTTCCCCAGGAGCACCCTTCGGGCAGGGACAGATGGAAGCTGGTGAAAAAGATCCCAGCTCCTTCCCCTAAGATGGGGTAACTCCGAGGCACGTTCCCCCGTCTCCCCGAGCACCCCCAAGGGACTGGGCCTCAGTTTCCCACATTGGAACCTGTTGTACATGCACACTGCCCTATGTTGACTCTCTCCCCTTTTCTTCTAGTGTCCTAGGGCTGCCGTAGCAAACTTCCACCAACGAGGTGGCTTAAAGCAACAGAAATGGACTCTCTCATAGCTGAGGAGGGTAGAAGTCTGAAATCAAGATGTTGGCAGCATTGGTTCCTTCTTGGGGACTCAGAGGGAGAATCTGTTCCGTGCCTCTCAACGTCTGGTGTTTGCTGGCAATCCTGGGTGCTCCTTGGCTCGTGTCAGCGTCATGCCGTCTCCCTCCATCGTCACATGGCGTCCCCCATGTGTGTCTCTATGCCTTCACGTGTCCCCCTACCCTCTCTGTGTGGCAATGAGCCCCAGTTCCCTTCATTCAATAAGGACACCGGTCACTGGATCAGGGCCTACACTAACCCAATATGACCGACCTCAACTTGATCACACCGGCATGACCCCATTCCTATGCTAACCCAATATGACTGACCTCAACTTGATCGCATCTGCAAGACCCTATTTCCAAGTACAGGGTCACATTCCCAGGTGTCAGAAGTTAGGACTCTTTTTGTGGGGGACACACGATTCGATTCACAATACCTTCCCTGTCTCAATCTCCTCTTCCCCAAGGTCCTTCCTGAGCTTCCCTTCCAAACTACTTCACTTCAATCCTTGTCTCCAGTCTGCTTCCGGGGAGGCCCAGCCAAAGACAAAATATCTGCGGAATACATGAATGCAGGAATGAATGATTCCTGGCAGAGGAGGAAGCTGAAATTCACAGAGATGACAGCCATTGCTCAGGGTATCCGAGCTGGGATTTTACCTCAATCCACCTGTTTCCAAAGCCCCCTAAGCAGAGAGACTATGGAGAGCTGCCTATTAATGGCATGATTGCTCTGAAAGGTAGTGAGTTCCCCAGCCGGGCACGGTGGCTCGTAATCCCAGCACTTTGGGAGCCTGAGGTGGGTGGATCACCTGAGGCCAGGAGTTCGAGACCAGCCTGGCCAATATGGTGAAACCCCATCTCTACTAAAAATACAAAAATTAGCCAGACGTGGTGGCAGGCACCTGTAGTCCTAGCTCCTGGGAGGCTGAGGCAAGAAAATTGCTTGAACCCGGGAGGTGGAGGTTGCAGTGAGCCGAGATGGCACCACTGCACTCCAGCCTGGGCAACAAAGTGAGACTCTGTCTCAAAAAAAAAAAAAAAGAAAGAAAGAAAGAAAAAAAGAAAGAAAAGAAAGGTAGTAGTGAGTTCCCCATCCCTGGAAGGCTGCAACCAGAGACTGCTCAGGGGATCCCTGCACAGGGCTGAGAGTTGGCTTGGGTGACTTCAAAGGCCCAACTGGCCCTGACGTCCGAGTCTACATTTTCAAAGCATGTGGTAAAACACCCAGGCCTCAGGGTCAGCAAGCAGAATAACCTTCCCCTGACCTCCCCAGAGCCTCTCAGCAAAGCCAAGTTTGTCCAGAATCAGCTTTAATTTGATGTCTCTTCTTCTCGTTTATTAAAGGGACACAAAAGAGAGAAAACCACTTGAATGGTCCCCCAGGCCGGCTGGCTATAAATGTCTTCATAGAAGGGCCCAGCCTGGACTTTGGTGCCCAGCAATTACGGCCTCCGTACACCCCGCCCAGATGACCAGCCTGAGGCACCTCTTTGGTCTTCTCCCTGCCCAGGCAGGTCACAGCCAGCAAGAGTCCCTCTAGGAGAGCAGGCCAATGAACCCAACGGGCCGGCCACCTAGCAACTCAAAAAGCACACCCAGCTACTCTTGCCCAGCACAGGGATAGCGTGGCTGTGGGGGGCATGTTCCCCCCAGTTCCCACAAGGGCACAGCAAGCTCAGCTGAGAGGGTGTGGAGGAGGGAGGGTCATGGGTGAGTTCTCGTACACAAAACACCCCTCACCTCTTCAGTTTCCATATGGGACTCCAGCCTTCCACAGAAGAGGGGTGGAAAGGGTTGGCTCCCCAATTTCCTCCTCAAGAGCTGTGCACAGCTCTCTGCTGCCTCATGAACAAAGCCCCAACCCCTAGTCTGGGAGAGAAAGAGATAGAGTTAGAGAGACCTAACAGAACAGAACAGCGGCGACAAGCACAGACTCTGGTTCAAATCCCAGCTTCCACGCTTCTGAGCTGTGTGGCTTCAGGCAACTCTGTGAACCCCTCTGAGCTTCTGGGTTCTCATTTGTTAGACGGGTTGATAATAATGGTACCTACTTCAAAAGGCTGTTGTAACTCTTAAATTTAGATTTAATCCATGAAAAGCCCCTAGCACAGTGCCTGCTACCAGGCACTACCCAATAAAAGCCGGGTTTAATACCCGTTGGGTACTTGCTATGTGTCCAGCACCACGTAGGGCACTCCAGACTGTCATAGTTTATCTTCATGATCACCTTGTGAAGTAGATGTTATTATTGTCCCCATTTTGCTGAGGACAACACTGAGATTTCAAGCAGTCAAGTAACCTCCCCACAGTCTCACAGGAAAAGGGTGGGGCTGGGATTTGGAACCTGGTTTCTCTGATTCTAGGAGCTGAAGTCTTGCAGGGATCCAGGCAGCTCCTGGATAGAAAAGGAAGGTCTGGCCGGGCGCCGTGGCTCACGCCTGTAATCCCAGCACTTTGGGAGGCTGAGGCAGGTGAATCACTCAAGGTCAGGAGTTCGAGACCAGCCGGGCCAACATGGTGAAACCCCGTCTCTAATAAAAATACAAAAATTAGCTGGGCATGGTGGCACATGCCTGTAATCCCAGCTACTTGGGAGGCTGAGGCATGAGAATCGCTTGAACCCGGGAGGCGGAGATTGCAGTGAGCCTTGAACCCGGGAGGCGGAGGTTGGGGTGAGCCAAGATCACACCACTGCACTCCAGCCTGGGTGATGAAGCAAGACTTTGTCTCAAAAAAAAAAGAAAAAAGAAAAGGAAGGTCTGCGTCTGGCTCTGCCCCAGACACATTTATTCATTTGTTCCTTCCTTCTGTCATGTATTCATTCAACAAACATATAGATGTTGTGTCAGGCCCTGCAGATGGAGGCTAACAAGAGACACAGAGACCATGCTCTCAGCGAACTCACAGCCTACTGTTCCCTCTGGCTTCCTCTAGATATCACAGTTTTCAACTATAAAGGTTCTAGAATATACTAATAACCCTTCCAAGCCTAGCTCATATGCTTCTTTCTGAAAAGCCTGTCTCAATCTCCTCCCACAACCTGATAATCACAAGTGACATTTCGTAATGCCAATTGTGTGCCAGGCATGGTGCTGGGGGCCATTCAGGTATTAGCCCACTGGGGGAGTAGGATAAAGCAGGCTCCTGGACTTTCTGACTTCTGAGGCAAAAGGCACATGGTAGATCCACGGAAAATGCTAACTGACTTATGGTCCCTCTTTCTAGGAGCATGGTCCATTGAACATTTGTAAAAGACCAAATCCTTCCAATGGTTGAACTTGACCTGCCCCAGCCCTGAACTCATCTTCTACTACTCACCCCCTCCCTCACTCTGCTCCGACCACACTGGGCTTCTTGCTATTTCTAGGTTCTCCAAGCACACTCGCACCTCAGGACCTTTGCACGTGTCCTTCCTTCTGTCAAGAAGTCTCTTCTCCAAAATACCACCACACCTGGCTTCTTCAGCTTCTTTACGTTGATGCTCAAATGTCACGTTATCATTCAGGCCTTCCTTGACACTCTGCTTAAAATGACAGCTCCACCCCACCCCACACCCCATCCCCTAACCCTGCTTTTTCTTTCCCATTAGAGTACCTATCATTGTCTAATATATGAGATATTTATTTATTATTATTATTATTATTATTATTATTATTATTATTATTATTATCATTTGAGATGGAATCTCGCTCTTTTGCCCAGGCTGGAGTGCAGTGGCGCGATCTCAGCTCACTGCAACCTCTGCCTCCCTGGTTCCAGCGATTCTCCTGTCTCCGCCTCCCAAGTAGCTGGGATTACAGGTGTGCACCACCATACCCAGCTAATTTTTGTATTTTTAGTAGAGATTGGGTTTCACCAGGTTGACCAGGCTGATCTTCAACTCCTGACCTCAAGTGATCCACCCACCTCGCCCTTCCAAAGTGCTGGGATTACAGGCGTGAGCCACTGCGCCTGGCCAGATATTTATTTACTAGCATTTATCTCCCCACTCTCCACTTTTCCCTCCCAAGAATGTGAATTCTAAGAGGTCAAAAATATCATGTGTATTTTGTTGATTGAAGTATTCTCAGACCTTATTACAGTAGCTGACACACAGTAGGTGCTCAAAAAATGCTTTTGAGTGAACAAATGAATGTATGTCTGTGGTTCCAAAAAAGGTTTTTATTAATAATAAGTAATAGTTTGTGAATAGCAAGTAACCAATAAGTGTACGTGGCTTTTACAAACAGCTTTGGCCGGGTGTGGCGGCTTATGCCTGTAGTCCCAGAACTTTGGGAGGCCAAGGAGGGAGGATCACTTGAGGCGAGGAGTTTGAGACCAGCCTGAGCAACAGCGACCCTGTCTCTACAAAAACATTTTTAAAAAGGCTGGGTGCAGTGGCTCACACCTGTAATCCCAGCACTTTGGAAGGCCAAGGCAGGCAGGTCACGTGAGGTCAGGAGTTTGAGACCAGCCCGGCCAACATGGTGAAACCCTGTCTCCACTGAAAACACAAAAATTAGCTGGGCGTGGTGGTGAGTGCTTGTAATCCCAGCTACTAGGGAGGCTGAGGGCGGGAGAATCATTTGAACCCAGGAGGCGGAGGTTGCAGTGAGCAGAGATCACACTATTGCACTCCAGCCTGGGCGACAGAGTGAAATTCCATCTCAAAAAAAGAAATTTTTTTTTAAGATAAAAATTAAAACAGCTCTACTGAGCTACAGTAAGCTTGTACAGTTAGATGCATTTTGACACGTGGATGCACCTGTGAAACCAACACTACAAGCAAAAGAGACTCTTTGTAATTTTTCCTTCCTCCAACCCACCCTCTTCTCCAGGCAACCACTGGTCTGCTTTCTGTTACTAAAGATTAGTTTGCATTTTCTAGAATTTCATATAAAAGCAACCATACAGTATTTACTGATGGTTTTTTCACTCTGCCTAATTATATTGCTATGTATCTACGCAGTCTCATATGTTAGAGCGTGTTCCTTCTTATTGCTCCATTGCATGAATATACCATAATTTGTTCATCAATCACCAGCTGAAGGACATTTGGTTGATTCCAGTTTGGGGCTATTACAAATAAGTCTGCTATGAATATTTGTGTACAAGTCTTTGTATGAATAGATGGGACACATGCTTTTTTTTCCTCATGGGTTATGTGGTACGTGTATGTTTAACTTTGTTAGAAATTGCCAAACTCTTTTCCAAAATGTTTGTACCAGCTTCCATGCCCACCAGCAGCACATAAGAGACCCAGTCATTCCCCACACTCAGCACCAACACCTGCTATGATCAGTCTTTCAAATACCAGCCATTCTAATAGATGTGTAATGATAGGTATCTCCTTGTGCTTTAATTTGCATTTTTCTAGTGACATGTTTTACTTTTTTGTGTGTGTGAGACAGGGTCTCACTCTGTCACCCAGGTGGGAGTGCAGCGGTGCCATCATGGCTTACTGCAGCTTGGACCTCCTAGGCTCAAGCAATCCTCCTCTCTCAGCCTCCCAAGTAGCTGGGACTACTGGTGTATGCCACCACAGCCAGCTAATTGTTTTATTTTTTGTAGAGAAGAGGTCTCACTATTGTTGCCAAGACTGACATGTTTTCTTTTTTTTTTTCCCCTTCAACTTTTATTTTAAGTTCTGGGCTACATGTGCAGGATGTGCAGGTTTGTTACATAGGTAAACATGTGCCATGGTGGTTTGCTGCATAGATCAACCCATCACCTGGGTGTTAAGTTTAGCATCCATTAGCTATTCTTCCTGATGCTCTCACTTCCCCCAGCCAACCCCGACATGTTTTCTATCAAACATCTTTTCACATGATTATTTACCATCCGAATATGTGATTTGGTGAAATGACTTCAAATCTCGCCCATTTAAAAAAATAAGTTGGGCGCTCTCTTATTTGAGTTTTTGAGAGTTCCTTACGTATTTTGGATATAAGTCCTTTATCAGATACAGGATTTGAAAAAATTTCCTCCTATTATGTGGCTTGTATTTTCATTCTCTTAACATTGTCTTTTGAATAGTACAAGTGGGTTTTTTTAATTTTTAATAAAGTCCAATTTATCCACCTCTTTTATGAGCCATGCTTTCGGTGTTGCAGCTAAGAAATATTTGCCTAACCCAAGGTCATAAGGATTTTCTCCAACGTTTTCTTCTAGGAATTTCATAGATTTAGATTTTACATTTAGATCTATGATCCATTTTGAGCTCATTTTTAAAATATAGTATAAAGTATAGATAGGTCTTTCTTTCTTTGTTTTTGCAAGTAGATATTCAATTGTTTCAGCACCATTCCATAAAAAAACTGTTCTTTCTCCACTGAATTGCATTTGCATCTTTGTCAAACATCAGTTGTCCATACACATGTGTATCTATTTCTGGATTTCCTTTTGTATTCCATTGATCTATGTGTCTATCATTAAGCCCATGCCACACAGTGTTGGTTACTGTAGCTTTATGCTAAGTCTTGATATCAGGGAGTGTTAAGTCCTCCCACTTCACGGTTTTTCAGGGTTGCTTTGACTATTCTAGGTCCTTTGCATTTCATGCAACTCTTAGAATCAGCTTATCAGTCTTACACAAAAGACTGGGATTTTGATTGGATTACATTGACTCTATGGGTTAATCTGGGGAGAGCTGACATCTTAACAATGTTGAGTCTTCTAACTCATGAACATAGTATACCTCTCCATTCATTTAGGTTTTCTTGCACTTCGGCAATGTTTCATAATTTTCAGTGTGCACGTTTTGCACATCATTTTTCAGCGTTTGCACTGTGTTTCAGTGTTTTCATGTCTTTTGATGCTGATGTGAATGTTGTTTTTAAAATTTTCAGTTTCTGTATTGTTCATTGATAATACACAGAAATAGAATTGAATTTTGAATGTTAATCTTGTATCCTGCAATCTTGCTAAACTCAGTAATAAATTACAGTGCAAATTAGTTTTTCTACGCACAAGATTATGTCATCTGCAACAGATTTACTTCTTTCATTCTAATCGGAATGCCATTTATTTATTTATTTATTTATTTTTCCCTCATTGCTCTCGTGAGGACTTCCAGTACAGTGTTGAATAGAAGTGGTGAGAGCAGACATCCTTGTCTTATTCCTGATCCTAGTTTGTTAACAGAGTGAATTACATTGATTAATTTTCAATGTTAAGCCAAATTTGCATTCCTGGAATAAATCCTACCTGGTTATGATGTATCATCCTTTTGATATGTTATTGGATCCAATTTGATAAAATTTTGTTATGAATTTTTACATCTATGTTTATGAGGGGTATTAGTTGTAGTGTTCTTTCTTGTAATTTTCTGATTTAGGTATACGGGTGACGCTGGCTTCATAGTATGAGTAGGGGAGTATTCCCTCCTCTTCAGTTTTCTGGAAAAGATTGTGCAGAATCGATATTATTCTTTCTTAAATATTTGGTAGAATTCACCAGTGAAGCCTGAGGTTTCCTTTGAGAGAAGTTTTCTAGGTATAATTCAATTTCTTTAATAGATATGGATTTACATCTATTTCTTATTTATTTCTTTTTGAGTGACCATTGGTAGCTAACATCTTTCAAGGAATTTGTCTATTTTTTTAACTCATGGAATTATTAGCCCAAAGTTATTCATATTTTTCCTTTATTGTCTCTTTAGTATCCATAGAATTTGTAGTAATGCCACCTCTCATTCTTGGTATTGTAATTTGTATCTTCCCTCTTTTTTGACTAGTGTGACTAGACGCTTATCAATTTTATTGATCTTCTCAATAACCAGCTTTTGGGTTTACTGATTTTTCTCAGGTTTTTCTGCTTTCTATTTCATTTATTTCCTCTCTGAGTTTTATTATTTCCTTTCTTCTGCTTCCTTTGGTTTTATTCTGCTCCCGTTTCTCTAGTTTCTTTAGGTGGAAGCTGAGGTCCAGGATTTGGGAACTTTTTTCCTTTTCTAATAACATATTAGTGCTGCAAATTTCCACCTAAGAACTGCTCTATCAGCATGCCACAAATTTTGATATGTTGTGTGTTTAATTTCATTCCATTAAAATATTTTCTAATTTCCCTTTTAATTTCTTCCTTGATCCTTGAGTTATTTAGAAGTGTGTTATTACATTTCCAAGTGTTTGGGTGATTTTTCTGGAGATCTTTCTCTTATTGATTTCCAATTTAATTCCATCATGGTCAGTGAACATTCTTTGTATGACTTGAATCATTTTAAATTTATTGAGACTATATTGAGACTATAGTCTATCTTGCAACCATTTCATGTATACTTGAAAAGAATATGTATTTTGCTGTTTTGAGTGGTGTGTTCTATGAATATCAATTAGATCAAGTTGGTTGATAATTCTGTTCAGACTTTCTGTATGCTCACTGATTTTTTTCCACTAGTCCTATCAATTCTTGAAAGAGGAGTATAGAAATCTCTGATTATAACTGTGGATTTGTCTGTTTCTCCTTGGAATTCTATCAGTTTCTGTTTCTTCTACTTTAACCTCTTTATAAGGTGCATATATACTTAGAATTGTTATGTCCTTTTGTTGAATTGACTTCTTTATTATTATGAAATGACTTTATTTATCCATTGTCAAATTATTTGCTTTGAAATATACTTTGTATGGCATTAATATAGCCATTGCAGCTTTCTTTTTATTAGTATTAACATGATATATATTTTTCTATAATTTTACTTTTAACCTATTTGTGTCCCCATATTTAAAGTCAGTTTCTTATAGGCAGCATATAGTTGGGTCTTACTGTTTCATCCAACCTAACATCTCTATCTTTCAATGGAGATGTTCAGATCATTTATATTTAATGCTATTATTGATATAGTTAGGTTCAAATCTAGTATCTCAGTATTTGTTTTCTAATTGTCCCATTCGTTCTTTGTTCCCTTTCTCCTCTATTTTCCCCCTCTTTTTGGATTAATTAATTTCATTTTCTCTTCTTTATTTGCTTGTTAGCTACAACTGTTTGTTTTGCTATCTTGGTCCCTGCTTTAAGGTCTATAGCATGCATATTTAACTTATCATTCTACCTTCAAGGAATATTATACCATTTCACAAATAGTATAAGAACCCTAAAATGGTATTCTTTCAGGCTGGGTGCGGTGGCTCACGCCTGTAATCCCAGCACTTTGGGAGGCCAAGGTGGGTGGATCACGAGGCCAGGAGATCAAGACCATCCTGGCTAACACGGTGAAACCCCGTCTCTACTAAAAATACAAAAAAATTAGCCGGGCGTGGTGGTGGGCGCCTCCAGTCCCAGCTACTAGGGAGGCTGAGGCAGGAGAATGGCGTGAACCCGGGAGGCGGAGCTTGCAGTGAGCCAAGGTCGCGCCACTGCACTCCTGGGCGACAGAGCAAGACTCTGTCTCAAAAAAAAAAAAAAAAAATAGTATTCTTTCATTTCTCCTCTCTCAGCATTTGTGCTATTTTCATACATTTTACCTCTATGTATACTATAAATTCCTCATTACCTTGTTATTGATTTTGTTTAGTCCGATATCTCTTAGATTTTTTAAAAAATTAACAAACAATAATTGTATATGTTTATAGGGTACAATATGATTTTTTAAATATATGTGTGTGTATATATATAGTGAAATGATTAATTCAAGCTAATATATTCATTGCCTCACATACTTATTTTTGTGATGAGGTCATTTACAATCTATTCTCTTGGCAATTTTCAAATATATAATGCAGGATTATTAGCTATAGTCCATGCTGTATAACAGTTCTCCAAAACTTATTCCTCTAGTCTAATGGAAACTTTGTACATTTTGACCAATATTTCCCCATTTCCTGCCCTCCCACCCCAGCCTTTGGTAACCACCATTGAACTCTCTGATTCTATGAGTTCAGTTATTTTAGATTCCACATATAAGTGATATCATGCAGTATTTGTCTTTCTGTACCTGGCTTATTTCACTTAGCAGAAGGCCTCCCAGTTTCCTCCATGTTGTTGCAAATGACAGGATTTTCCTATTTTTAAAGGCTGAATAGTATTCCATTGTGTTTATATACCACGTTTTCTTTATCATTCATTCACTGATGGACACTTGGATTTATTCCGTATCTCATCTGCAATAATGAATTGTGAATAACGCTGCAATGAACAGGGAATGGAGATGTCTCTTCAATGATTTCAATTCTTTTGGCTATGTTCTCAGAAGTGGAATTGCTGGATCATATGGTAGCTTTATTTTTAGTTTTTTGAAGAATCTCTATATTGTTTTCCATAATGGCTATACTAGTTTACATACCTACCAATCATGTACAAGATTCCATTTTCTCTACATCCTCACCAACAATTGTTCTCTTTCAACTTTTTGGTTAACAGCCATTCTAACAGGCGTAAGTAGTCAATTATCTTTTAAAGAGATTTAAATAATAAGAAAAAAGTTTGCATTTTTAATCTTTAGAGTGATCATGTCAGGTGCTCTTCATTCTTCTGTGTAATTTCATATCCCACACGATACCATTTTTTCTTCTGCCTAAAGAACTTTCTTGAACACTTCTTACTGTGTGAGTCTGCTGATAGTGAATTATTTTGGCTTTTGTATGTCTGAAAAAGTCTTTATAATATATATATTTTGAGACGTGGTCTTACTCTGTTGCCCAGGCTGGAGTGCAGTGGTACAATCATGGCTCACTGCAGCCTCAACCTCCCAGGCTCAAGCAATCCTCCCATCTCAGCCTCCTGGGTAGCTGGGACCACAGGGGCAAGCCACTGTGCCTGGCTAATTTTTTTATAGAGACAGGGTTTCACTGTGTTGCCCAGGCTGGTCTTGAACTCCTGGATTTAGGCAATCCACAATCCTCAGCCTCCCAAAATGCTGGGATTATAGGCAAGAGCCACTGCACCTGGCCTTGAAAAAGTGTTTATTTTACCTTCTCTTTTAAAAGATATTTTTTCTGGGTATAGAATTCTAGATCAATAGTTTTTTATTTTTCTAATACTTTAAAGATGTTGCTCCACTGTCTTCTCACTTGCATTGTTTTCCATTGGAAATCTGCTGTCATCTTTACTTTGTTCCTTCATACACTGTGTCTTTTTTTCCTCTGGCTCTTTTTAAGATTTTCTCTTTCCCATTGGTTTTGAGCAATCTGATTATGGTGTAACTTGGTGTAGCTTTCCTCATGCTTCTGTGCTTGGAGTTCAGTGAAAGTCTTGGCTCAAATTTTTAAAAATACAGTCATTTTTTTGTTTGAGTATTTTTCTTTCCAATGATTTTTTGCTTTCCCTTACCCCCTTTCTCTCCTCTCCTTTGGAAACTCCATTTACCTACGTATTAGGCTGCTTGAACTTGTCCCACAGATCAATGATGCTTTGTTCATTTTTTTAATTGAATATCTTTTTTCTCTGTGGCTCATTTTGGTTTTTGTTTGTTTGTTTTGTTTTGTTTGAGACAGGGTCTCGCTCTGTCACCTAGGCCAGAGTGCAGTGGCATGATCTTGGTTCACTGAAACCTCTGCCTCCTGGGTTCAAGCGATTCTCATGCCTCAGCCTCCCAAGTAGCTGGGACCACAGGCATGCACCACCATGCCTAGCAAATTTTTGTATTTTTAGTAGAGACAGGGTTTCACCATGTTGGCCAGACTAGTCTTGAACTCCTGGCCTCAAGTGATCCACCCACCTTGGCCTCCCAAGTGCTGGGATTACAGCCATGAGCCACCTCACCTGGCTTTCTGTGGTTCATTTTGGATAATTTTTATTGATATATCTTCAAGTCCACTGGTCCTTTCTCCTACAATATCTAGTCAGCTATTATTCCCACCCAGTTTATTGTTCATCTCAGATGTTGACATTTTAATAGATTTTTTATTTGGGTCTTTTTGATATCTTCTCTGATTCCACTTAACCTGTTCAATCTTTCCTCTCATTTTTCTTTAACAAATAGAATACAGTTATAATAACTTTTTGAATGTTTTTTGTCTGCTAATTCGAACCTCAGTGTCAGTTCTCGGTTGGTTTTGATTGACTTTTCTCCTCATTTTGGGGTTGCATTTTCCTGCTTCTTTAAATGCTTGGTAATTTTTTATCAAATGCCAGACATTGTGAATTTGACTTTATTGGGTGCTGCCTATTTTTGTATTTTTATTAAAATGTTTGATCTTTGTTCTGGGACACAATTAAATTGCTGGAAAACAGTTCCGTCATTTCAAGTCTTGCTTCTTAGATTTGTTAGGAGTGACGAGAGCTGCATTTTGTAAAGGGATAATTATTCCCACTGTTGAAGCAAGACTCTTTTGAGTACTCTCCCCAGTGCCCCATGAGTTATGAGGTTTTTCAACTGACAGGTGAGAATAGGCTCTGTTGAGTTCTGTGTGAGTGTTCTGTGTGAGTGTCGAGTACGGTTCCCTCTTGTGCTCTGGGGTGGTTCTTCTTATCTTGGGCAATTTTTTCACATGCACATATGCTTATGGGACTTAGGGAATCTTCAAAAGCCCTGAAACTATGCACAGAAAGACCCCTGCATATTCACTTGTCATCTGGAGCCTCCTATTTTCTTTTTTTTAAAAAGAGAAAAAAAACCTTTTATTTTAAGTTCAGAGGTACACGTGCAGGTTTGTTACATAGGTAAACTCGTGTCACGGGAGTTTATACATTATGTAATCACCCAGGTATTAAGCCTAGTACCCATTAGTTACTTTTCCTGATCCTCTCCCTCCTCCCACCATCCACCCTCCAATAGGCCCCAGTGTCTGCTGTTCCTCTCTTTGTGTCCATGTGTTCTCATTATTTAGCTCCCACTTATAAGTTAGAAGATGCAGTATTTGGTTTTTTGTTCCCATGTTAGTTTGCTAAGGATAATGGCCTACAGCTCCATCCATGTCCCTACAAAGGACATGATCTAGCTCCTTTTTATGGCTGCATGGTATTCTGTGGTGTATATGTACCACATTTTCTTTATCCAGTCTATTATTGATGGGCATTCAGGTTGATTCCATGTCTTTGCTATCATGAATAGTCCTGCAATGAACATACAGGTGTATGTGTCCTTATAATAGAAGAGTTTATATTCCTTTGGGCATATAACTGGTAATGGGATTGCTGAGTTAAATGGTATTTTTGTCTTTAGTTCTTTGAGGAATTGCCACACTGTCTTCCACAATGGTTGAACTAATTTACACTCCCACCAGCAGTGCATAAGTGTTCCTTTTTCTCCACAACCTTGCCAGCATCTGTTATTTTTTTGACTTTTTAATAATAGCCATCCTGACTCGTCTGAGATGGTATCACACTGTGGTTTTGATGCACATTTCTCTAATATCAGTGGTGTTGAGCTTTTTTTCATATAATTGTCAGCCACATGTATGGCTTCTTTTGAAAGGGTCTGTTCATGTCCTTTGCCTACTTTCTAATGGGGTTGTTTGTTTTTTCTTGTAAATTTTTTCAAGTTCCTTATAGATGCTGAATATTAGACCTTTGTCAGATGCATAGTTTGCAAAAATTTTCTCCCATTCTATGGGTTGTCTGTTTACTCTGTTAATAGTTTCTTCTGCTGTGCAGAATTCTTTAGTTTAATTAGATCCCATTTGTCAATATTTGCTTTTGTTGCAATTGCTTTTGTCATCTTTGTCATGAAATCTTTGCCTGTGCCTATGTCCTAAATGGTATTGCTTAGGTTGTCTTCCAGGGTTTTTATAGTTTTGGGTTTTACATTTAAGTCTTTAATCCATCTTGAGTTAATTTTTGTATATTGTGTTAAAAAAGGGGTCCAGTTTTAATCTTTTGCATATGGCTAGCCAGTTATCCCAGCACCATTTATTGAATATGGAGTCTTTTTCCCATTGCTTGTTTTTGTCAGTTTTGTCAAAGATCAGATAGTTGTAGGTGTGTGGTCCTATTTCTGGGATCTCTGTTCTGTTCCTTTGGTCTATGGGTCTGTTTTTGTACCAGTGCCACGCTGTTTTGGTTACTGTAGCCCTGTAGTATAGTTTGAAGCAGAGTAGCATGATGCCTCCAGCTTTGTTCTTTTTGCTTAGGATTGTCTTGGCTATTCAGATTCTTTTTTGGTTCCATATGAATTTTAAAGTAGATTTTTCTAGTTCTGTGAAGAGTCTCAATGGTAGTTTAATAGGAATAGCATTGAATCTATAAATTGCTTTAGGCAGGTCATTTTTACTGTATTGATTCTCTCTATTCATAAGCATGGAATGTTTTTGCATTTGTTTGTGTCATCTCTGATTTCTTTGAACAGAGTTTTGTAGTTCTCCTTGTTGAGATCTTTCACCTCCCTAGTTAGCTGTATTCCTAGGTATTTTATTATTTTGTGTGTGTGTGTGGCAATTGTGAATGGGATTGCATTCCTGATTTGGCTCTCTGCTTGACTGTTGTTGCTGTATAGGAATGCTAGTGATTTTTGCACATTGATTTTGTATCCTGATGCTTTCCTGAAATTGTTTATCACCTTAAGAAGCTTTTGGACTGAGACTGTGGGATTTTCCAAGCTATAGGATCATGTCATCTGCAAACAAGGATAGTTTGACTTTCTCTCTTCCTATCTATTTCTTTCAGTGGTGTTGATGCCCTTTCTTTCTCTTGCCTGATTGCCCTGGCCAGGACTTCCAATACCATGTTGAATAGGAGTGGTGAGAGAGGGCATCTTTGTTCTGTGCCAGTTTTCAAGGGAAATGCTTCCAGCTTTTGCCCATTCATTATGATGTTGGCTGTGGAATTATCATATATGGCTCTTATTATTTTGAGGTATGTTTCTTTAATACTTAGTTTATTGAGAGTTTTTAACATGAATGGATGTTGAATTTGATCAAAAGCCTTTTCTGCATCTACTGAGATTATCATGTGGTTTTGTCTTTAGCTCTGTTTATGTAAGGAATCACATTTATTGATTGGCATATGTTGAACCAACCTTGCATCCCAGGGATAAAACCTACTTGATCGTGGTTGATGAGCTTTTTGATGTGCTGTGGGATTCAGTTTGCCAGTATTTTGGTGAGGATTTTTGCACTGATGTTCATCACAGATATTGGCCTGAAGTTTTCTTTTCCTGTTGTATCTCTGCCAGGTTTTGGTACTAGGAGGTTGTTGGCCTCCATCCTATTTTCCACAGTTGTTTTATTTTCCAAACATCACAGCAATGAAGACAAAGAGCCCACCCTCCAACCCAACACCTATTCTGAATTTAAAAAGCAAATCCAATGATAATGACATGAACTGGGGACACTGTAGACCAGCCAGGTGTAATCCTTGGTCACCAGTTTTGGTCTTCTATTTCTCCCTTCTTATTCTATTAATGCCATTATCAAGCATAACAGAAAATCATTTATTAAAATGAGGGACTCTGGTGACCCAGAGATTTGAGTCTTTTTTTTTTTTAATTCTCTGCAAGTGTTGCACAAAATGATTTGAGGCTTTTAAACAAAAACAGTACTGAAAAGATAAGCAGTTTACCCCACCACGAAATTCCCAAGCTGAAATTATTTTCAAACTGTACCCCAAATAAAATTATATCATCTTTTTTCTTCATTTACTGAACTTAATACTCTTAATGTGCTATGTCAGTATATGGATGACATTTACTTCAATTTAATAGTCTCATGCATGCGGTACTTTGGTGCATTGCCACACCAAAATGTGCTAACTTGGATCAGATTCTTTAAGGAGTCAGTGACCAAAAAGCAAATTAAGAATAACCATCCAGGCCGAGCGCAGTGACTCACACTTATAATCCCAGCACTTTGGGAGGCCAAGGCGAGTGGATTACCTGAGGCCAGGAGTTTGAGACCAGCCTGGCCAACATGGTAAAACTACATCTCTACTTAAAAAAAAAAAAAAAAATTAGCCGGGTGTGGTGACATGTACCTGTAATCCCAGCTACTGGTTTGGCTGAGGCAGGAGAATCACTTGAACCCAGGAGGTGGAGGTTGCAGAGAGCCGAGATCGGGCCAGTGCACTCCAGTCTGGGTGAACAGAGTAAGACTCCATCTCAAAAAAAAATAAAGAAAGAAAGAACAACCATCCAGCTGGGCGCAGTGGTGTGCACCTGTGTTCCCAGCTCAGTAGCTGTGGCAGAAGGCAGAAGGACCACTCAAACTTCAGGAGTTTGAGCAAGAGTTCTAATCCAACCTGGGAAATATAACAAGACGGTGTCTTTAAAAAAATAATAATAATAGCCATCAGAGGAAGAAATTTTAACATTCAAAGCTTCCTCCCATTCCTCTTCCTCTGTCCTCTCTTTTCCTCCACTACCCTCTCGGCTCTTCTTCTTCTTTCCTGTCCTCTTCCCTTCTTTCCCAGCTTCTCCCACCTCCATATCAAGTTAAAGTCAAAAATATCTGGGCTTAAATCCTGGCTCCACTGCCTTCTTCTTGGATGACCTTGGTAAGGTGACTTCTTAACCTGTCTGAACCTGTTTCTTCACATATAAAAACAGGACGATGCTCTTTAGCTAAGAGAGTGGTCACGAGGATCAAATGAGATAATATGCATCAAACACCTGGCACAGCATATGTGCTTAGTAATGGAAGATATTAATCCTTCATTTGATAAACGTCTGTTGAGCACCTGTTCTGTGGGGGCCTTGTGCTGAAGACACAGAAACCAAGGAGTACAATAAGGGGTATAGGCAAACAAATAAATTGCACTGAAGTATGGTAAGAAATATTATAGAAATCTGAATAAAATTATCAGAGGACAGGGATGCCCCTAGGCTGAAGAGTCCTCCATCACTAGAGGGGTATAAGCAGAGAGCATGGGTACCATGTTTTCTTGCTGCCTGGTGTCTGGGTATAAGGGTTGGGTGGGAGAGGGACCTCTGAGCTTCGGGTGGAGTTGACTCCACTCCCAGCTGGTAAGGATAGCAGTGCATGTGACTAATCCTGGCCAATGGGAACTCACATCCCAAGGTCTTCTGAGGGACTTGATAAGGGTCTGGGGCTGCTGGCAGGCACCTTGCCTCCTTATAATACTGAGAATGAGGCTACCATGGAGGGAGCAGAGCTGAGGGATGTTCAGAGACCCATCTTTGATGATATGGTTGGAACAGCTGGATTCAACCATACCTGAAGCCAAACTCTCCTTGGATTTTGATGTAAATTAAGCCCCTTAAAAAATCCCCCTTTAGTTTTCATCTAGATCAACTTGGGTGCCTTTCCTCTATTCCTTGTGGACCAAAGAGTCCTGTAACTGACAATGAAGATGCTGAGAAGCTCAGTAAATGTTTGGTGAGAAGGGGGTATGGGAGGAGCTAGATGACCTCCAGAAGCCCTTCCGGTGAGAGAGGCTTTGAGTTGGGCATTGAAGGGGCTGAATTGTTGGTTGTTTGAAGGACAGCAGAACAGAGCAGGCAGTGCAGTGCCCCAGAGTTCCGCCGACTCCAGTTTCCATTCCGGGAGCACTTCCTGGTGCATTTAAATGTGCCCCTGTGTGTGAGTGCCTTCAGGGGGTTTCAAAATAGCCTGAAATATAAACAGACTGGAAACCTACTCCTTCTCTTCCTCTCCCTGCTTTTCCTCTCTCCCGGGGTGGGGATGGGGGAAGCTGGTGCCGGTGCTGCAGAAGCTCCATTTGGAGGATTTAGAAAACATTTCAAGTTCGGTCTCCTTCTTTCTAAGTCTGGCAAGACCGCCTGCCTGGGGCAATTTTCCCCCTGAGTGCCAGGCCCAGGTGTGTGGGCAGGAAAAAGCAGCCCATTGTGTTCCAGCTTCGGGTCCTTCCGGTCCTAGGACTTGGCCCCTGCCAGCCTTGGGTTCCCAAGGAAAAGAGGCAGGGAGCACACTGGAGAAGCAGTGGGGCCTGGCACTTTCCTGCTGATGGAACAGATCCCTTCACGATAAAATTCCAGGCCACAACAGTTTATTGAGCAACTACCCCTGGGAGCTAACCAGAGGGACAAAACTCAGGGAACAGAACATGCTTTAATCTGGGATTCGGGATGTTAGCCTGCCGTGAACCTGGGGTAACTGGTTCCAAAGCCAGCTCCCAGCACACCTCCCAGAATTCACACCCTTGTGGGGCCCCTCCCCTGGACCTGCACAGGCTCCGTGACTCACTTTTAACCAACAGAACACAGCAGAAATGATGCTGTGTGATTTCGGAGGGGAGGTCAGAAGCCTTGCAGCCCCAACTGTCCTTCTCGGGACACCCGCCCTGGGGTGCTCCCTCTAGGGGCCCAGCCACCTGCTGTGGGAAGCCCAAGCCACAGGGAGAAACCACAGATAGTATCATGTGTTCCGTTGTGTTTCCCCACCACACCCAAATTCATATGTTGAAGTCTTAACCCTCAGCACCTCAGAATTTCCTAATCTAGGAATAAGGTTGTTGCAGATGTACTTAGTTAAGATGAGGTCATCCTGGAATAGGGTGGCTAATCCAATGTGACTGGTGTCCTTATAAATCGGGGAGATTTTGGGCACAGAGACATGCACATGTGGAGAATGCCATGTGAAAATAAAGACAGAGATGGGGGTGGTGCTTCTACAATCCAGGAAATGCCAAACATTGCCAGGAAACCATCAGAGCCTGGAAAGTTCTCCCTCACTTGGACTTTGATGTGAACTGAGTCCCCTAAAAGGTCTCCCTTTATTTTTCCTCTAGATCAGCTTGGGTGCCTTTTGTCTTTTTTGACTAGGGGAGTCCTATAACTGACAACGGAGATGCTGAGATACTCAGTCAATGTTTGGTGGGAAGAAGGGATGAGAGGAGCTAGATGACCTCCAGGGGACCCTCCTTCTCTCTCTAGGAGAGAGTCTGGAAGATTCTCCCTCACAGTCCTCAGAAGGAACCGACCATGCTGACACCTTGACCTTGGACTTCCAGCCTCCGGAACTGTGAGACAGTGTGTGTTGAGTGATGACCTGGCATCTCCTCCCTCTGTTTCAGAAATTTCAAAAATGTGGGTACCAGAGCAAAATTATTGGAGGGTTGACGTCAGTCAACCTCCCAAATGGTTCAGACCAAGGCATTCTTAGCCAATGTGGGACATTCTTTCCTTGCTCAGGAAAAAAGCAAACATGCCCTTAATTCGGTGATGCCAGAGTTGTTCTTTTGCAAGGATTAGGGTCAACACATGGCAACAGAGGGCCACGCACTCGTCGTGTGAGACCAGACTGGCTTGGGTCTGGGGAAGAAAAAATCCATGCTTGCTAAATGCAACGTGGGATCCTGAATTGAATCCTGGAATGGCAAAAGGGCATTCATCGAAAAACGGGTGAAACCTGAATAATCTATAGTTTAGTTAAGAGTAATGTACCGACGATGATGTCTTAGTTTTGAGAAATGTTCCATGGTAAAGCAAGATGCTCACATTAAGAGGAATGGAGTGAAAGGTATACAAGAACTCTCTGTACTATCTTTACAACTTTTCTGTAACTCTAAATGTTTTTCAGGATAAAATGTTTATTAAACAAAAAAAGCTAGCATTTGCAGTGATGAAATGTGTTTGTCTTTAGACAGGTCAAAGGGGAGTTGGCCAAGTCCCTTGCTGATGAGGAGGTCATCTCAAAATCAAAACCCTTTGCCCTCCCAAGTGACAAGTGGGGTAATAGTTGTTGTTCATAGGGTTATGTCAAAGACTAAATGAAATAAAACATGTAAAGGGCTTGGCATAGAGCAAGGACCGTGGCAAGCATTCAATAATCGTAAGCTGCTGTTGTTGTTTAGTAAAACCACTTCACTAACAGTATCCCCATGATGCCACATTGGCTGGTGTGAGGAGTTTATAGCTCTGCCAGCCCACTGTGGTTTTGCTCTAATGCACTCTCAAATGTATGAGTTCTCTGTTGCTGAATAACAATATTACCATTAACTTAGTGCTCTATTTGGTTTGTTTGTTTGTTTTTGAGACAGTCTTGCTTTGTGGTCCAGGCTGTAGTGCAGTGGCACAATCTTAGCTCACTGCAACCTCCCGGGTTTAAGCAATTCTTATGCCTCAGCCTCCCATGTAGTTGGGATTACAGGTGTGCACCACCATATGTGGCTAATTTTTATATTTTTAGTAGAGATGGGGTTTTACCATGTTGGCCAGGATGGTCTTGACCTCTTGACCTTCACTGATCTGCCTGCCTTGGCCTCCCAAAGTGCTGGGATTATAGGTGGGAGCCACCATGCCCAGCCAATTTAGTGCTTTTAAAACACGTTTATGGCCAGGCATGGTGACTCACACTTGTAATCCCAGCATTTTGGGAGGCCAAGGTGGGCAGATCACTTGAAGTCAGGAGTTCGAGACCAGCCTGGCCAACATGATGAAACCCCATCTCTACTAAAATACAAAAAATTAACCAGGCGCAGTGTTACGCACCGGGAATCCCAGCTTCTCAGGAGGCTGAGGGATGAGAATCGCTTGAACCCAAAAGGCGGAGGTTGCAGTGAGCCGAGATTGTGCCACTGCACTCCAGCCTGGGCAACAAAGTGAAACTCTGTCTCAAAAAAATAAAAATTAATTAATTAATTAATTTAATTTAATTAAACACATTTATTATCTCACAGTTTCTGTGGGTCTGGAGTCTGGGCATAGCTTACCTGAGTCCTGTGCAAAGCTGCAATTGAGATGTCAGCCAAGGTCAGGGTCTCATCTGAAGGACCAAATGGGGAAGAATCCACTTCCAAGCTCATGTGGTTGTTGGCAGGGCTGAACTATTTTACAGTGCAACACCTCTCACACCAAATGTGTCGGGGTTTTTTCCATACCACAATAACCAGTTCTCCAACTCTCCAGATATCAACTAGGTGTCCAATGATTCCATTCAAGTCTGACACTAACTACTGGGAGTTAGCATCTGTCCCCACAGGTTAAGGGCTCAGTCTGGCAAGACCGCTCCCACCCAGGCACCAATTGCAAGTTCTGGGCCTCCTGTACTTCTGACCAACAAGCTATAAATCAGGAGTTCCCATGACCACCTCTCTATAATTTGCTAGAAAGACTCACAGCACTCAGGAAGCACTTTACTTACTACTACTGGTTTATTATAAAAAAAATACAACTCAAGGACAGCCAAATGGAAGAGTTGCATAGGGCAGGGTGTGTTGTGGGAGGGTGCAGAGCCTCCATGCCCTCTCAATGTACCATCCTGGCAGCACCTCAATGTGTTCACCAACCCAGATCGCCAAACCTGTTGTTTAGGGATTTTATGGAGGTTCCATTATGTAGGCATGATTGATCAAATCATTGGCCATTGGTGATAAACTCAATCTCCAGCCCTTCTTTCTTCCCCAGAGCTCTGGGGGATAGGGCTGAAAGTTCCAACCTTCTCATCTTGCCTCAGTCTTTCTGGCAACCAGCCCCAGTCCTGAAGCTATCTAGGGACCCCCAACCACCAGTCATCTCATCAGCATACAAAAGATATTCATCACTCCAGAGATTCCAAGGGTCTTAAAAGCTCTTACGCCAGGAACCAGGGACTAAGACTAAATATTATAACAACAGATGCTCCTATCATCCCATCGTGCAGGAAATTACAAGCATTTCAGAAGCTCTGAGCCAGGAATCAGAGATGAAGAATAAATATATATTTTTAATATTCATAGTATCACAGCAGCATTCAGTTCCTTGTAGGTTGTCTTGCTAGTATTGGCTGTAGACCACCCTCAGCTCCTTGCCAAACGGGCCTCTCCATGGGGCTGCTTACAGCATAGCAGCTGGCTGCAGCAAGCCAGCCAGGGAGAGAGGCTACCAGCAAGAAGGAAGATACAATCTCACCAAACGTCATCCCAGAAGTGACATCCTGTCACCTCTGCTGGTTAGAAACAAGTCACAGGTCCTCCCCAATTCAAGGGGAGGGGATGACACAAGGCATAATAGCAGGAGATGAAAGTTAAAATAAAAATAGGTAAAAATCACTGGGGATCATCTTTTTTTTAATTTTTTGTTCTTGTTTTTGCATTTTTTGAGACAGGGTCTGTTGCCCAGGCTTGAGTGCCATGGTGTGATCTCAGCTTACTGCAGCCTCAACCTCCTGGGCTCAAGCAATCCTCCCACCTCAGCCTCCTGAGTAGCTAGGACTACAGGCACATGCATGACCACACCCAGCTAATTTTTAAAATTGTTGTAGAGACAGGGTCTTGCTCTGTTGCCCAGGCTGGCCTTGAACTCCTGAACTCTGTTGTCCAGGCTCAGGTGCTCTTCCCACCTCAGCCTCCCAAAGTGCTGGGATTACAGGCATGAGCCACCATGCCTGTCCCCTGGGGAGGGACCATCTTAGAGTCTTCTGAGCCCAGAAGTGTTGAATCAAGGCCTGGCAGTTGGTGAATGCACAGCTGCCTAGTACCATGAATTAAAGGAAGCTGAAGAGGGGCTGAGGTGTCCAGGGACATAGACAATAGTAGCTACTACTTACTGAGCACCTACTACATGCCAGACACTGTCCTAAGCACTTTGTAAATACTTGTTCATTGGCTCCTTCAACAACTCTTTGAGAAAGGGGTTACAAATACCTCCTTAGAGAAAAGGCCCAGTGAGGCTCAGAAAGATTAAGCGACTTGTCCAAGGTCACACAGCAGAGTGGTGGCAGAGCTCAGGCTGGGATTCAAGCCCAGGCTGCCTCACATCAAAGTCCTGGCTCTAAATGCTTATGGTGCCTTGTCTGTGTCAGCTAGTTGAAAAAAAAAGATTTGAATCAATGGCTGCTGAATCTGGACATTTCTCTAAAAATAAAAATAAAGGTCAGTCCCTGTCACATGAGGGAAAGATGAAAGAGCTGGGTGTGTTCAATTGGAGAAGAAAAGGAGAAAGGTCATGTTCGCTGACTTCAGAGCTCTGAGTGGTTGTTGCAGGGAAGAGCAGGGACACTTTTGCTGGATGGCTCAAAGGCAGAAATGGAGGGGCGGGGGCGAGCTCTGGGAGCCGCGGGAGAACCGTGGACAGACCCCAGCCTGGCCAGCGTCTTTCCCCTTCATGTGGAAGGAGAGACTCGAGCTTGTCCTTGCAGCTGAGCAAATATTTCTACTTCCCCGTTGCAGGCTGCATTCGGCCTCTTCTCCAGCCAGCTCGGCGGGCCTTCAGAGCAGCGGCCTCGGGCCGTGGGGTGGAGGTCAGCTCAGCCACCCTGACCAGATGGGACCAGAGTGATGACTGCCAGGCCCAGGTCAAAGAGCTTTGCTGACATCCTGTCTCCTTCTGAGCCTCACCACCGTGACTGCAAGGGGCTGCAGAGTCCCCCTTTCCAGCCCATTCTCCATGCCACTGCTGAGTTGTCTTTCTAGAACTTAAAGCAGACCAGGTCACTCCCCTTCTCAAACCCTTCCATGGCTCCCTACTGCCCTCAGGATACATTTAACTTGGCCCAAAGGCCCCACATGATGTGGCCCTGCTCACCTCTCAGGCCTTGCCTCCAACTGCTTCCCCTAAAAGTCCCATCCCACCTTTCAGGCCTCTGGAATGATATGCTGTTCCCAAGACACCAGACAATTCCAGGCCTCTGGGCTTACTCTGCCTGAGCTGCCCTTCTCCTGACACTCTCCTATACATCCATCAAGACTCAGTCCAAACATCATCTCCTCTGAGAAGCCTTCCCTGGCTCCCTCCTATGGAGTTGCTTCCCCTTCCTGTACCACATTAAACCCAGGCCTCACAGAAGCTCACATTTGGCTGGGAGCAGTGGCTTGTGCCTGTAATCCAGCACTTCAGGATGCTGAGGTGGAAGGATCGTTTGAGCTCAGGAGTTCAAGATCAGCCTGGGCAACATAGTGAGATCCCGTCTCTATATAAAAATTAAATAATTTAAAAAAAAAACAGAAGCTTACATTTCCTGAGCACTCACTCAGTGCTTCACATGCATGAGCTCACTCAGTCCTCCCTGCTGTTTCAGTTTCTCACCATCCTTATTTCCCAGATGGAGAGACAGGAACAGAGAGGTCGAGCACCTTGTTCTAAGACACACAGCCAATAAATGGCAAAGCCAGGACAGGAACCATTTGTGTCTGACTCCAGAATCGGTGCTCTTTAAGTTTCATTGTTTATGTGTTTAAATAAAGGAAGCCATGCAAATGGTAACAAACAACAAACGCAGGAGCGGCAGGGACAGAAGAGAGGTGAGGGGAGTCGGGGGATGGGGAGGGGAGGGGAGGGGAGGGGAGGTCTCTACTCCCACCCCACACCAGCGACATCAGCCAGAAAACTTTTTTGATGTGTTGAGAAGCTGGGCCCAACAAAGCCCTCAGTTGCCCAAATGCCTGTGTAAAAGGTCCATCTTGCAGGGCAGAACAGAATCTCGCTGCCCAGGGAGCTCAGCACCAGAGCTGGGGCAGCTGCCACCTGCTTCTCCACGTTGGCCACAAGGCCAGACGCCCTGAAATGGCCTGGAGTGAGAACATCAGCAAGGAGTGACTTCTCACAGAAATGTCGAGTGGCTTTTTCGAGCTGGGAATTATCCCACAGAGGAGCGTTGTGCTGGAGGAAGACACCAGCGCCAGGTGGGTCTAGGGGGTCATGCCCAAGAGGGCACCGGGGGGCAGATTCCCAGACATTTCTTAAACAACAAAAAAGACCCTTCTTTTTTCTTATGGAATATTCCGCTGAAACCCACTAGGAAAAGCAAGAGTAACAGTAGTTCTCGTGTGTTGAAGACTCATCACAGGCCAGCACTTTTGAAGCCTTAGGTAGCATACGTTCCTAGAATCGTCACTGCACCATTCTGAGGTCTCTCCATTCTCGTGTTACCGATGAGGAAACTGAGGTACAGAGTGATAAGTGACTTATCCAAGGTCATATAGCTCATGCGTGGTGGAGATGGGATCCAAACCCAGGCAGCGTGGTCCCAGAGGGCATGCCTCTTGAATACTGTGCTAGGTAAAGCCACTCTGGTTAAAATAGGTGTGGGGGTAGGGAAGGGAGTGAGCCCTTGTACTCAACTGCCCCAACGCACTCTCAAATCCTGACAGCCCATGAGGGATCTCTGCAGACACCACAGCTCAGAGGGAGGTAGTTTGGAAGTCATTGTTGTTGGACAGTTTTATGGCATCTCAAACCCACAAAACTCTTCATACCCCGGTTCTTCTCAGACAAATCCTGTGACTTGGTTGGTCCCACCAAGGTCAGCCTTGAGGTCTACAGGGCTCAGGCATAGAGATGACTGTGGGTACCAGGAGGGAGGATGATGGCAGGAAGAGCCCAGGCATGGGAGACAGAGAAGCGTAAGGTTCAAGCCCACCATGGCCTGGAATTAGCCAGGCCTCCCTCATCGTCAGCAGCCAAGTCAGCCCTGGCTGACATAAGCAGAGGGGAATGTACTAGAAGGAGCACAGGGGCTCTCTGAACCAACAGGAGGCTGGAGGAGTAAGCTCAGGAGAGGCAGGTCTCAGGGAGGCTCTGGAAGGACTGGAATGAGGGGAGCAGGGAGCTGCCTGTTGTGGGCACTTCCGGGACCTGAGCCCCCTGCCTGGTGCCTGGCTCCAAGTGGAGCTCCGGGGATAGCTGCTGAATGAATAAATCCACGGGCATCTGATGACAGGAAAAGGCTGATTAAGACATTGCTACAACCACCATAACAACAACAACAAATCCCCAGCCGTTGTTCCTTTTGACCTTGGATCAACGCTCAAGATTCAAAGACTTAGCAGAGCACAGGCAGCTGGTCAAGTGGGAGTGTGCGCTGGATGGGGGTGACGGAGGGGGGCTGTGGCTCCCTCTATTCTCACAGAGGGAGAGGAGCACCTAGAACTACCCCTACCACCACCATCCCCACCGAGATGGCACACAGAAGGCATGGCCATTTGCCCCAAGGAATCCAGAAGTTGGACTCTGGCAACCAATCCAAGAAATGTCTGCTATAACCGCCTACTTCTGTTGGTAGTGATAATCACACTGACATTGGCACGACTATTCATTGGCATGAGGCTATCCCAAGACTGTGCTGAGCGCTTCCCTGTATTGTCTTACCAAGTCTTCATAACAGCCTTACAGTTACTACTCCTATTTTATCAGTGAGGAAATTGAGGCTCAGAGAGACAAAGTCACTTGGCTAAGGTCACAGAGCCAGTGGGTGGTATTCACAGAACCCAGACTGTTGGCCTCTGAACAGGGTCTTCCTGACCATGATCACATGGCTTTCTCCTCTGCTGTGGTGCAGTGTGACCTTTGGCAAGTGAGTCAGACTCTCTGGCCTTCTGTGCTCTGCTCACCAAGCCATGATTGCCCAGAGGGGCATATTTTTCTAATATATACAAAGGTGCCCTAAGGGCCTGCAGTGGTCCCGACTCTGAACCTGAGTTTCTGTCTCTATAATGACCCACTCATTTTCTCCTACAGAGATACGGTGAGAACACAGTAATATAATCTATGCTAAAGCACATAGTAGGCTGACAGTTCAGGGAACCAAACGGGGCATCCACCTGTGTCTCCAGCCCTGACATCATGCACATATCAGGTCCAGAGAACTTAGCTTGCACTCAGGGCCTCCCCTATCAGTGCCTGGGATTTTTCACTCAGCTGTACAGGCTTAGGCAAGTCACTTTCCATCATGGGCCTCAGTTTCCTTATCTGTCACAGGAGGGGGTGGGGGAGGTAATCTCCAAGGGCATGGAAGCACTGACATTGGATTTTAGGCAGTAAAATACCGGTGCTCACCTCCGGAAGGCATTTCATGCAGGCCTCACGGTGTCCTTAGAATGGGCCAAATGAATGCTGTAAATTTCCCCTCCTCCGAGGACCTCTCTCCTTCCACACGCTCCTTCTTGACGGCTCACACTTTCTCTGCTTTCAGAGAGATGTTTTTCAAGCAGCCCACGTGGGGGCCCAAGCAACAGCCACGTGCAGAAGCCCAGCCCCGGCGGTAATCCCGGGCGGAAAGCAAGCGGGAAGAAACATGCAGGATGAAGGTGCCAGGGAAGAGGTCTTGTCCCTGATTTCCCAGTGGCCAGTGTGGGGTGGAGGCCAAGGACCGGGCCTGCGGGAAGTCCAGTGGGTCCTCTGAGAGGGCATCACTGGGACTATTCATAGCCCAGGATCCTCACTGGAATCTGGCAGGCAGGGACAGGCACCAGCAGGAATGTTGCCTGTTTGTGGCACAAACGCAAGCTAAGTTGTTTACGCTGTTCTTCCTTCCACTGCCTCACTTAGCCTGAGACCAAATGCCAACCATCCTGGAGCCTGAATAGATGTCCAAGACCCAGAATATGGTCTGTGTGCTGCATATAATAAAATGAGAACTGGATTTGGAGTGAAGGATATAACCATGGGATTTGGCAAGACACTGAATAGGGTTGCTGTGTGTGGTTGTTAAGGTCATGCACTGAACAAATACACCTGGGTGATGAAGTGAATGGGGCTAAAATCTACCCTGTGCTCTGCTCACTAAGCCATTATTGCCCAGAGGGGCATAGTTTTCGAATATGCACAAAGGTGCCATATGACCCACCCATTTTCTCCTGCAGAGAGATGGTAAGGACATAGTAATATAACCTATGTTAAAGAACCTAATGGTTATTTGCAATGAATTACCATTATTTATACAAAGTCTTGTTCCACAAAGGTTTAAAGGCAGCTTATGAAATTATATATGGTTAAATAGAAAATATGATTAGATACAATATTATACATTGATTGAATGAGGGAAGGCAAAAATGAGGCATATGCACCAGTACTTCCCTTCGTGTGCCCATGGCAGACATCACTAATGGATAAATCCATCATGCACCTTGTTCACGTTCTGAAAGTCAGTTTTCACCCTGGCACAAAGGAAATGAGGAAATCGGTAAAGGGCTGTATCTTCATGCTGCACAGTAGGTCAATAAATGAAAATTATATTCTGGGGCCTGTGGCAAGGGGAAGGGGAGGTGACCTGGATCAGGAAGTCCCACACTGTCATGTGTCATAGTTTTAGCCTTGAGCTTCATCATGGGCAAAACAAAGATGTAAACACTCAGGCAAGCATGCACACACACAGACACAATCAGTGTCCAAAATATAAAATTATACCAATTTCTCAGACTTCATGCAAATTGCCTACACTGAATTCTCGGCGAATTTTTCCTGGGGTTCCTCATAATGGGGTCATGTGATGAATCAGAAAACACCCTCAACAGCAGCCCTAGAAGAAGCACATTGGCAGATTTTCATTGGTGACTCCTTATAGTGAAAACCCTGGGTAGAAAACTTAATCAGAGCCCAGTGAGAGCTCTGTAAACCCTTTCCCCCATGACACCCAGCTTGTGGGAAGGGAGCTGGAAGAAATAGAAGCCCAAAGCTCTACTAAGTCTCTGGTATTGGGGAGTAGGCCTTCAAATGGACCCCAAGCCCTTTTCTATGAATGAGGAAACCAAGACCCTGGGAGGTTAGGGAGGGGCTCCAGGTCCCCAGCTCCAAGCCCAGGAGTATTTCCCCTCTACTTCACCACGCCCCCTGGAGGGTGCTCACCCCTGAGCAGCACTTCCTGGTCCAGCTCAACCCACCAGCAGGGTTGACCCACCAGCCTCCAAACCCCACGGCCAGACCCCCAGGCAACACCAACTGAGGGCCCCCTCACTGGAGAGCAAGGCTGTGGGCTACATTGTCCCCAAGGAACCCCTCTGGGGGAGCACAATCTACAGGTGGTCCTGGGGCCCCCCAGGGGAGGTGGCATTTGAGTAGACCTTCAAGGACAGGCCCCTCCTGCCCCACAGCTTGGCAGAACAGACAGATCAGGCGGACCACAGTTCAAATCCCAGCCCTGCTGCTCCCGGGCTGTGTCCTTGGGAAAGTTATCTCACCACCTCTAAGCCTTAGCTTCCTCGTCTGTAAAGTCAGAACCGCTCCTAGGGCAGGCAAGAGGGCTGCGTGAGACCAAAAACTTCACTAACTGAGCAGTTTATTACTCACACTATTATCACGACCGACGATAACTCACTCACGGCGTAGACAGAGCACTGGCCAGGAGTTGGACAGATCTGAGTGTGGATCCTGGCTCTGATACAACTGGCTGAGTACCTTTCTAAGCCTCAGTTCCCCCATCTGTTAAATGGGAGGCAGGACTATTCCAAAGGTCAGTGGCCTGTGAGGGTGCAGTTCCAGTTTTGGCCCCTCAGATGCTGGAAGCACAAGGGAACCGGGACTTGGGCTAGAGGGAGGCAGGGCCCGAGAGGCCCTGAGGCCTGGAGCTCACCAGCAGCTCCCCTCTGGGGCCTGGGCCGGGGGAATGTGTAGGAGGGAGGTCCAGGGAGGGGGGCCCTGGAGCCAAGAGGAACAGCCCTGGCGGCGGGCAGCGGTGCGGTGACCCAGGAGGGAGGGAGAGCTTGGCTCCGAGCTCATCACTCAGCGAGCTGTCTCCCCCCGGGCCGGGAACCCCGGCGGCCTGTCCTCCCCACTTCCTGCGCGCTGGGTCAATATTGTGATTTCCACTGTGCAGCCCGCCTGGGACGGCCTGGCCCTGCGCGCCGCCCAGGGTCACGGGGCTGCGGGGAGACAGGGGTATGGAGAGGTCACCCGCTGCCTGGAAGATGACTCAGGACCTGTAGGCTGCAAGGCGGCGCGGCCAGGAGCCAGGAGCCCCAGTGCAGCCCCACCTCCAAATGCACAGAAATGGCGCCGGAACAAGGCCTGTGAACTCTCCCATCCAAACCGAGGGATCAACCAAGGCCCGGAGAGGGCGGGGACTTGCCCAAGGTCACACCGTGAGTCTGTAGCTGAAGGAGGCCCTGAATCCCATCTCCTGACCTCAGATCCTCACCAAACCTCCATATTCTACCTTCCCTGCCCAAGTACCTACCTTCCTCTTCATCAGCATCCGGAACGGACATCTTCCTACACCTCCGCGGGAGCACAAGGAGAGAGGACAGGCTGACCCTGACCAAGGAGGGCTGGTGTGGAGGCTTCTCCAGGAGTGAGGGGTGGTCAGGAGGACACAGTTCAGGACACCCACACACTGGGAGTTATGAGGATGGAGGATGCGAGGCACCAGCCCTGACGATCCGGAACCTGTGGCTTCATTTTTCCCAGTGAGTGCCTCTTGTCAAGGCTGAGTGCAGACTTAGCCTCCTCCCTGGAGCACCCACCGCACCCCTGCTCTCCTCCAGACCGCCTCCTCCATGCGGTGCTCTTCTTACACCACACACCTGCCTCCCCTAGTGAATCAGGAGCTCCTGGGGGAAGGGGCCCAGGCGATCTCACTTCCAGATCCCAGGCCCAGCCCAGGGTGAGGCCATCCTGGGCCCTGTTAGCACTGCTGAGTGAGGGAAGGGAGGAGTCCTGTCTTCCCACATCACTGTCAACGCCACAGGGGCAGAAACTCCTGCCCTCCCAGTGTCACCTCTCCTGGAGACTCTTTTTATTCTTCACTTGGTTACCTCCTGCTCTTCCTTTAGGTCTCTGCTTAACTGTCACCTCCTCCTGGAAACCCTTCCAGACCACTCTGCCAAAACTACATTAGCTGGCCCTGCTCTGAGTCCATTATACTTCCCTAAAAGTGCTCTTACCCCAGGGGAATATAATGGCTTCTTAAATGTTCTTCCCCTCTAGGCTGAACTAGGGCTGAAGTCCCTATCTCTGAGTGAGATGAGACTCACTATTGTGTTTCTAGCTCGGGGTCTGGTGCAGAGTCAGTGCTAGATGGATGGATGGATGAATGGATGGATGGATGGATGGATAGATGGGCCTGGTGCAGAATCAGTGCTGGATGGATGGATGGATGGATGGATGCATGCATGCATGCATGGATGAATGGATGGATGGATAGATGGGTGGGTGGATGGATGGATGGATGGATGGATGGATGGATGGATAGATATATGGATGGATGGATGGATAGATGGGTGAGTGGGTGGATGGCTGGCTGGCTGGCTGGATGGATGGATGGATGGATGGATGGTTGGATGGATGGATTCCTCCCAGAGCCAGGCCCATAGTAGGGATTCAGGAGATGCTGGCAGATGGAGATGATGGTTGTGATGATAGTGGTATCTGGGGTGGATATCTCTTGCTCTTTTCTGCCCAGCATCCCTCTTACCCCAACCTTAATTTACTATCAGCCACCTGGTCCCCTGTGGGAAACTGTTCTTCCTTCCTTACATAAGTCTGTCAATTACTGAACCCCAATGCCTCATCCACATGACCCAGACTTGGTCAATGATTGTCCCCCACTTCCTTGGCTGCAGTGATTGCCCCGCAGGCACATGGCCCAAACAAGGTCAGTCAGTTCTTCCTTGGAACTGACATATGGATCTTAGAAGAAAACAGCTCTCTGGTTTTAGACTGGGGTTCCCAAGCTGGGCTGATGGTAGCCAAGTTCTCCACCTCACAGAAGGGAGAGAATGAGGCCAGCCCCACAGGGAAGCAGAGACAGCAAGGGTGAATGACAGACAGAGATAATCCTGTTGGCCCTGAGCTGTGATTCCAGCCCCCTAGCCCTACTCCTCAGGGCAATTCCCCAGGCCAGCAAGTCCCCTTTTTTGCTCAAGATGATGTGATGTGGCTTCTCTCAGCTGCAATGGGAAGGATTCTGAATAACAGTAAACCAAAGAGAAAACAGTGAGAGGAGCAGGGTGAGTCCAAGTGGAGACACAGATGTTGAGCAGCAATTGACCAGCAGACTCAAGGAGATGAAGGAATCTCCTGCTAAGGGCATGGCCAGAGACTCTCCAGCCCCACTGTGGGCAGAGCCAAAGGACAAAGGCTGTGGGGCAGAAGGAAGGACCTAGGGTGGGGTTGGAGCACCTTTGCTGCAAATGACTGAAACCTCACTGAAACTGGCAGGAAGGGGAGTTTATCAGTTCACATATCTAAAATGTCCATGGTTTTTAGCTTCAGGCATGGCTGGATCCAAGTACTCAACTGCAGTTGTCAGGAGCTGTCTCTCTCCAGGCCTCCAACCTGTTTTCCTCTGTGTTGGATCCACTCTCAGGTAGGCTTTCTCCAAATGATGGCAACTTTAGGCTTCCATCCTAACAGCAAACCCAACTGAAAGGACACCTCCTTCTCCGTTGTTGCAGCGAAATCCCAGAACTTAATCTGATTTGCCTTGATTTGATCACTTACTCACCCCCAAACAAACCCTGAGACAAGACGAGAGGAATGTGGTGCTCTCATTGGCCAGGCTTGGGCCACAGGTGCACTCAAGGTAAACCCCACCCAACTCACAACTTGAGAGTGGGGAGGGGGCCTCTCTAAGGGTGCTGCCATCAGAAGCAGGAGCATGGGCTGGGCAGGCAGGATTAAAGTTGGCTACAATCCGTGGGAAGAGGTCTTTGGCTGGAAGTTGCTCCCCACAGGAATGAAGGCCCGAGGGAGAGGAAAGGAGCTCTTTGGGGAAAAGATAACATTCCCTTTGGCTGGGATGGTCTTCGGGGGAGGGCGGAAGTGCCCCTGAAGGCAAAAGGATGGATGAGAGGAGCTCTCGGTTACTCCCAGCTCTGGAAGTCTCTAGTTTGCAGCTGTGACGCCAATGGTCTGAAGCCAGACACATTCCTGGACTTAGCCAAAAAAGGCCGAGATGAGATTCAAAGATGTAGGAACACCTCTGATGTCCGCATCTGCATGCTCCAAACTCATGTGTGCACCAATCCTGCAGCCCTGCAGAGAAAATTGCAGCCTGACCTGCCCAAATTGCCCAAGTTCTGCAGTTTGCAGGAGAGAGAACTGATGGCTTCCAGGTTGTCAGAGGGCAGCAACGTCCAGGGCCGCTCTGGAGTGGTCACTGAGCCCGCCCTGGGAGGAGACTGCAGCTGCGGAGCTCAGAAACCCTTGCTTTGTGCTTGGAGAAAAAGAGGGAAATGCCCTCTTGGCTCTTCAAGGCTGCCAGGCCCCCGCCCCATACTTCACAGTGACAACCCAGCCTCATACCCATGTTCCCCAGCCTGGCTTCCCTCGGCCAGGCACTTCCCCTTAACTCCCTGCTTCAACTCCTCCTGTCATCTGGAAAGCCGAGGATGGATGTGCCATCTGGGGAGCTACACACATCTTCATGGATGAGGCACATGTTACTCTGAGAGTCTATGTCCTCAGCTGTGTGATGGAGGGGAAACCTTCCTGGCCAACCCCTCAGGCATGCTAAGACCATCACATGGCCCGCGGCTATGACCATGTCTTGGGAAATTAGAAAGCCTCTGTCACAGGGCACTTCATAGTGACCCCCTGCATGGATATGGGGGGTGGGGGTGGGCGCAGGTTCTGAATCCTCCAGTGTGCTGTCCCTTGGAGCTGGGGTTTGGGGAGAGGATGAGTCTGTCTGGTCTGGAGGCAGGAGGATGGAGGATGGCATGAGGAAGTCTCAAAATCCTTTCAAGCCTTCAGTGGCTTCGCCCAGCCTGGAGATGGTGTGGTCAGACTTCCCTAAATTCCCACCAGACAGGAGCGCAGCCCCTTTGTCATCTCTCCAGCATGTGCTGAGCATGTAATGTGAGCTCTGAAGTCACATATGGAGGGAGCCTTCCCCAAGGCTCCCCACCAGTGACACTTCCTCTTGCCTTCCCATTCAATCCGCCACCGGTCCTGTGATGCTCCTCCACAGTCCCTCCAGAATCCACCCACCTCTCACCACATCTGCCGCTACTGCCCTAGTCCAAGCCACCCTCTCTCCCAGCCAACTTCTCAGTCTCCTCACTGGCCTGTCTGCGTCCACTACCCTGGCACCCTTTCTTCATATGGTAGACAAAACACAACAGCCCAGCAACAAAACACAACAGCCCAGATATTTAGGGCCATCACCCGTCTAATGGTATCCCATTACTCTTAGAAAAATAGAAAAATATCCACACTCAGCCAAGGAGAAAAGATGATCAAATGTTTCTTTTTTCTTTTCTTTTCTTTTTTTTTTTTTTTTTGAGATGGAGTCTCGCTTTGTTGCCCAGGCTGGAGTACAGTTGTGAAATCACAGCTCACTGCAACCTCCGCCTCCCTGGTTCTAGTGATTCTCCTGCCTCAGCCTCCCAAGTAGCTGGGAGTACAGGCGCCTACCACCACCCCCAGTTAATTTTTTAATATTTTTAGTAGAGACGAGGTTTCCCCATGTTGGCCAGGCTGGTCTCAAACTCCTGACCTCAAGTGATCCACCTGCCTCGGCCTCCTAAAGTGCTGAGATTACAGGTGTGAGCCACCGCATCAGGCCCAATGTTTCTTTTCAAATTGTAGTAAAATATATGTAACTTAAAATTTACCATCTTAACCATCTTTAAGTGCACAGTTTACTAGTGTGAAGCACATTCACATGGTTGTGCTTCCACCTCCAGAACTTTTTCATCTTCCCATACTCATCTCTGTCGTTAAACAATAACTCCCAGTTTCCTCTCCTCCCCAGCTCCTGGCAGCCACCATCCTACTTTCTGCCTCTATGAATCTGACTCCCTTAAGTGCCTCATATAACTGGAATCATACCATATTTGTCATTTTGTGCCTGGCTTATTTCACTGGATATAATGTCCCCAAAGTTCATCCATGTTGCAGCATGTGTTAGAATTTTCTTCTTCTTCAGGGCTGAATAATATTCCACTGTACGGAGATACCACATTGTGCATATCCATTCATCCATCAGTGGACGCCTGGGGTGCCTTCACCTTTTGGCTATTGTGAATAGTGCTGCTATGAACATAGGTGTGCAACTATCTCTTCAAGACCCTGTTTTCAGCTGGGCACAGCGGCTCACACCTGTAGTCCCAACACTTTGGGAGGCTGAAGCGGGCAGATCTCTTGAGGTCAGGAGTTCAAGACAAGCCTGGCCAACATGGTGAAACCTCGTCTCTTAAAAAAAAAAAAAAAATTAGCCAGGCGTGGTGGCAGCCAGCTATAATCCCAGCTACTCAGAAGGCTGAGGTAGGAGAACTGCTTGAACCCAGGAGGCACAAGTTGCCATGAACCGAGATCACACCACTGCACTCCAGCCTGGGTGACAGAGCGAGACTCCATCTCAAAACAAACAAACAAACAAAAAACCTGTTTTCATTTCTTTGGGGTACACACCTAGAAGTGAAATTGCTGCATCATATGGTAATTCTGTTTGATTTTTTTGAGGAACCACCATACTGTATTCTACAGTGGTTGCACCATTTCACATTCCCAGCACAAATGGAATGTCCACAAAGCTTCCAGTTTCTCCACATCCCTGCCAACACTAGCTATTTTCTGTTTTTTTGATAGTAGCCATCTTAATGGTATGAAATGGGATCCGATGTTTCTTTCTTGCTTTTTTTTCTTTCTTCCCTTCTTCCTTTCTTTCTTTCTTTTTTTTCTTTCTTCCCTTCTTCCTTTCTTTCTTTCTTTCTTTTTTTTTTTTTTTTTGAGACAGGGTTACACTCTGTCACTCACTCAGGCTAGAGTGCAATGATGCAATCTTGACTCACTGCAGCCTCCACCCCCCAGGCTCAGGTGATCCTCTCACCTCAGCCTCCCGAGTAGCTGGGACTACAGGCACACGCCTTCACACCTAGCTAATTTTTGCATTTTTAAAAATAGAGATAGGGCCTTGCCATGTTGTCCAGGATGGTCACGAACTCTGGGGCTCAAACAATCTGCCCATCTCGGCCTCCCAAAGTGCTGGGATTACAGATATGAGCCACTGCGCCTGGCCCCGATGTTTCTTAATGGGGGAAATTACAGTATTGTGTGGGACTTCTGGGTATTGCAGAACATTTGTCATCCCTCCCAGCACCAAATGCCAGTAGTTTGTCCCCCAGTCCCTGTGACAACTAGAAAATATTCACTGGGGAGGGTGGTGCCTCCCTGACTGAGAGCCATCCACCCTGCCCACCTCCCCTTTCTCACCTCATACAACTCTCCCCTTGTTCACCACCCCAGCCACGCTGGACTTCTTTCCATCCCTTGGTCACTCCCACCTCAGTCCCACCTCAGGGCCTTTGCACTTGCCATTCCCTCAGCCTTGCCTGCTCTTCTAGATCCTCACACGATGGAGCTTTCTAGATCCTCACAAGATGGAGCTCATCCTTCAGGTCTCAGCTCAAACAGCACCTCATCAGGGAGCCCTTCTCTGATCACCCCATCTAAAGCATCTTTCTCTCTCTCACATGGCAGTGTTTTATTGTTCCTTCTTGATATCTGAAATTATTTTCTGAAACCAAGGTGACCTTTTAGAAAAAAATAAAAATAGGCTGGTGTGGTGGCTCACACCTGTAATCCCAGTACTTTGGGAGGCTGAGGCAGGCAGATTCCTGGAGCCTAGGAGTTTAAGACCAGCCTGGGCAACAGAAGGAGACCCCATCTGTACAAAAAAATTAGCCAGGCATGGTGGAATGCACCTGTAGTCCTACATACTTGAGAGGCTGAGGTGGGAGGATCACCTGAGGCTGGAAAGTCGAGGCTGCAGAGAGCTGTGATCACACCACTGCCCTCCAGCCTGGGTGACAGAGCGAGACTCTGTCTCAAAAAAAAAAAAAAAAAGGAAAGAAAGAAAAATAAAAGTAATAAAAATAAAAATGGAATTACCTTATTTACTGTTAGTGTATTCACTATCTCTCCATCAAGAGTACAAGCTCCTTGAGAGTAGAATTTGTCTGTCTCCCTCTCATTGGCTCATTGATAACCCGAACACCTGGAGCAGAGCCTGGCACATAACAGGTGCTCAATACATGTTTGTTGACTGAATGAATGATCAGTCAAATTCAATGTTAGAGCTGAAAGGGACATCACCCATTCTTGCCGTTACTCCATTTTACAGAGGGGGATCACAAGGCCCAGAAAAGAGAAGGGACTTCCCCAAGTTCACTCAAGGTCTAAGACAGGGCCAGTACCTGGTTTTTGTGACCCCGGCCTGGTGCTCTTTCCTCTACGTCTCACACCTGGAGGGTTTCTGCACTGGGCAGAATGAAAATCAGTATCTTTACAGGGCAGTGAGAGTGAGAGGGGCATGTGGAACTGAGGCTGCCTGCCACCTGCAGAGGTTCATGGGCACCAACTGCACACAAAGCTGATCAGCAGCTAGTGGGCAGAGTGGCCCTCCCCGTGGAATGACCCTCCATCCATCCTCTTTCTCTTGCTCCTTCCTCTCTCTCTTTTATCTCTCCATCCTGAGCGAGTCCAGTCGAATGAACTCTACGATCACTGTGTCTGCCTTCTCCCGAAAATGGCCACGGGAACCCGTAAATATCCCCCCTCCCAGATCTGCTCCAATTCCAGTCCATTTGGAGAAACTAACTTTGGCCCCCTTGATCCACAAAGCTCTCGGTCAGTGTTAACCTGACATGGGCTGGAAGGTACTTCTCCAGGGAGGCAGTTTTGCCTAGAATCAGGCTGACCCGGGTTCAAATCCCAGTTCGGCCCCTTGCAAGTCAGAGCCAAGTCACCCGTTCCTGATTCAGGGGTTTCCTTGTGTGCAGGGTGAGGCCGCCTTCCCAGGGGCGTGGTGAAGAATGATTTGAGATGATCGTGCATGTGCAGGACTCGGGACCATCCGCTGCTGTTTGTGTCCAGCAGCTGAGAGGCCTGCTAAGCACCATCCTCCTCTCCCGTCTTGCCCATGCTTTCCCAGGAAGCTCCTCCCATGTTCATTTCCAGAGGATCAGGAAAGACTCAATGGCCAGTGCATCTAGAAAAACAGGATAAGTGCAATAATAACTAATACGACCCCATTTTTGGAGCGTTTATGATGTAAAGATGCCATCCTGAGCCTTCTGCAATTGACAACAGATGCAATGCCCACAGCCACCCTGGAAGCAGGTGTGATTTCTATCCCCATTTAACAGATGAGGAAACTGAGGCAAAGAAAGGCATATAGAATTGCCTGGATCACATGGTTCAGAAGCAGCTGGGCCTGGCAGCCTGGAGCCAGGAAGAAGGTGCACACAAAGGCCATGGAGCACCAGAGGGTGCCCAGCCCAGCCAGGAAAGTGGGACAGGCTTTGCTCCCAGGGCCTGAAGGGGAAGCTGGTGAAGGAGAAACACTCTGCTGTAGTGTCACCTTCTCAGGGAGGCCCCTGCGCTAACCACCCCACCTAAACCAGCACCCCTTTGCCCCAGCCTCCCCCACCGGCCTCTGCTTTGCTTACTGTTCTCGTAGGGCACAAAATTACCAGGCTGGAGCAATGGACAGAGATCAATCAGGAAGACCCAGGAAGGCTGGGTCAAGGGTTTGGACCTTACCCTTTTTACCCTTGACTACCTGGGAAGAGGGGGAAGGATCATGGGAGGCAGCCCCTACAACACACACACACACACACACACACACACACACACACACACACACACCCTCACCCCAAACAAGGCTTAGCCAGTCATCCGCAGGAGCATGCTTCAATTCTTCATTTGAACATGGATCCACCTCCCTGAGCATGGATCCATGGCTGAACCCTAGAGAGTTAGGTGAAGGTGAGTGAGCAGACAGACCACTCTTGGGGTGTCCACAGTCCTCCAGGAGACGTGACACATGAACCCACGTATACAACGGCCTTCCATAGACAAAGTGGCAAAGCACCGTGGGGTCCCAGAAGAGGAATTAAATTTCTCATCCACTGTTGAGACCAGATCGTGCATACCTCTATGCCTCTCCTACACAGTCCTGCTACTTGGAATGCCAACCACTCAAACAGCAAATATTTATTGAGCTTCTGTTACATACTAGGCACTTGAGAAACCATGACATTTATGGTTCCTGCTTGCACAGAGCCCTGGTATATCAAGGAAACTCCTGTACATCCCTCAAAACCCTACTATAATGTCCTCTCTTCTCTGTGAAGCCTCCTGATGCCTCCAAGCAGCACTGCTTCTTTTCCAGTGCTCTCCTAGCATCCTAGGACTTCATTTGTAGAGGAGGGAGACAGGGAATGACTGGCCACTGAAAACTCACCATGCCCCAGGCTCCGTACTAGGTACATCACAGGCAATATCCTTCCTCAGGCTCTTAGCAACTCTGCAAGGGAGCAAATAGTCCTCCTTTTTGCAGACAGAAAATGGGCTCAGAGAGGCTGTCTCTTGCTCAAGGTCACACCGTCAGCTGGTAAGTCAGAAAGCAGGGACAGGTAACCAAAGCAGTGTCACCCCAAGGTCAGCCACGTTCTGTGCTGTGGATGCCTGAAAGGCCAGGGTGGTGGGTCACACTGGGATTGCCCAGGTCCCAGTGCCAGCAGGGCACACAGCGCGTGCCTGTGGGTAGGAAGAACCCAAGAGATGGTCCTGGAGCCCGGTGGGGGCTGCACTGCCTTCCTTGGGGCCTAGGTGGCGATGTGCACACTCGTCTCCCCAGTCCAGTCCCTGCAGACGTCCACCTTCTGCTCCTGAATTCGATGCCCTGAAAGGCACTTCTCTCCTTCCCCAGCTTCCTCTCCCTGGCAGCCCCGGGGCAAGCTCAGCCTTTGTCCCTGCCAACTGGGGTGCCTCCCTGGCTGAAGCTTGCCACCAGAATGAGGTCTCAGGATGGGCCAACTCTCCTTTCCCAAGATGTTTCAGGGAGCGGACAGCAAGAGGCGTGGGGAGGACTCACTCACGTCCATGGTCAGACCCAGTAAGCGTCTGGTTCAGGCACCCAGGGGGCTGCCATGGACCCATCCTTGCCTGGTCTCCCCACTCCCTTGGTCCCAGTGGCGCCTCCTCAAACCCAAACAAGGCCAAGAGCTGCCACCTACAAAGTTCCAGGGACAGAGACAGAACATGTCGTCCACCTGCACCATCCAGATGGGAGACAGGGACCAAGAGAGGGACAGGAACCAGATCTTGTCCAAAGTGCCCCATGAGTCAGGAGGGAGTGAGGGTAGAGCCCAGATTTCCCGATTTGTGTCCTCAGCAATTTTCAGCACAATTTGAAGCTGTTTCTACAGGGCCCCGGGGGCAACCAGAGAAAAATGCAGTCCAACCAGTTATCTGATGTAGTAATAATAAAAATAACAACAACTCCCATTTCTGTCTAGTTTCCAGCCTTTCACCTGCATTACCTCATTTGTCCTGTCACCTGCAGGGGAGGTACATGCCACTGTCCCTCGTTTTATGGGTTCCCCAGGGAGGAAGGGGCTTACTCAAGTTTCTAGAGTCTTGGGACCAGGTCCCAGCTCCTAGGCTGGAGTCTCACCAAAGGGAGGGCTAGGAGGGGGCAAGGAGAGGCATGATGGGAGGGAAAGAGGCAAGGAAGGCTGTGTTTTGGGTAGGGGGAGCAGTCAAGCTATATAGTGTGAGTGGGGAGTGCCCGAGGGCTCTTCCTCCTCCCAGACCTGCTCTCGCCTACCCTCTCTTCTAAAGCAGCAGCCAGGCCCTCCCCCTGGCCACCTACATCTCCTCCATCCCTTCCTCCCCTCCTGCAGCCCCCAGACAATTATCTGGGCCTCCACTGACCATCAGGCCTGGCTTTCTCTGCCTGATTTAGTCAAGATCCTCCCCTGACCTTGGACTCAATTTCCCTATCTGTTAAATGAGTGAGTTGGGCTTTGGCTTGGGCCTTTTAGCTCTCATGGTCCGACCCCTCTAGGGAAAAGGGTGAGGGCAAGATAAAGGAAATAGGAACAGCTGGGTATTAAGCATCAATGATGTGCTAGGTGCCAAGCCCTGGGTTCCTTGCTGGTAGCACAGAGCAGTCAAGGCAAATGCTCAGGGTCTTCCTGAACCTCAGTTTCCTTATCTGTCTAATGGAGATGATTAATCTACCTCATAAGATTGTAGGGAGAGCCCAGTGTGATCACATATGTAACAAACTTCACATAGCACCCGCCCAGCACCCATCATCATCACCATCATCATCATTATCAGCACCGCCATCTACCCCCTCCTTCTGGTCTGGTCCGGCCCATGCAGGACTCAGCCCTAAAAGGAATCTCCTGAATCCAAATCAGAAAAGCCTGGGCTCTCCTCCTAGCTCTGCCATTAACCTGCTGAGTTGCCCAAACCTCAGTTTCTTCACCTGCAAAAGGAGACCAAGGTCTGTGTGGGAACGCACTAGGGACAGACGGCAAGGTCACTCATGGAAAAGCATCTCGTGCCAGGCCTGGCCAATGGCAGCTGCCCATGAACACTTGTTTCCTTCCTTCTTTGTTGACTCAAAAGGAAATTGTATGACAGGATAGAGCAAAGACGTGACAATACTACAGCTAATGCTTAATAAGCACATACCATGTGCCTCTCGCTTGCCTGAGGATTTTGCTCATTTCACTCAATCTTCCTAAACAACACTATGAAGGGGGCCAAGCCATTATCCCCATTTTACAGAGGGGGAAATTGAGTCACAGAGAAGCAAAATACCATCCTCTTGAAGCCTCCAATGCTGCTTAAAGCCCATCAATAGTAGGCACTCAAGTTTATTAAATAGCCACTATGTGCCCAGGAGTGTCTTAATCCCTTCCCCCATGTGAGTCACTTCAACCCTTCCAACTATGCTGCAAAGTAGCTACTATCTTTGACTCCATTTACAGATGAGAAACTGGGTCATAGAGAAGTGAAGTCACTCATCCAATCAGCAAATGGCTGCATCAGCTTCAAACCCAGGTCTGGATGATTCCTCTGCCTGGTTCTCTTAACCACTATGCCAGACCTCACCTGGAGCCTGGCACTCCCCTCAGGCCTCAGCACCACCCAGGGGTGTAGGCCAGAACCCATGGCTTCAGGGGGTGATAGGGAGGTGAGTTCTCATATTAAGTATCCTCAAGGAGCTGGGGTCTCAGGTGGGGCAAAGCTACCTTTGCTGAAAGGACAAAAACTTACTCCCCCAACCCCACCGTTTCCCTAGACGGGCAGGGAACAGGTGCACCAGTCCCTGGCCCTGGGCTAGGTGGGGGGAAACTTGTTTGGCAGCCAGGGCCCTGCGTGAACAAGAAGAAACCCAGCCTGCAGCCCCTCAGCCCTGGTGGGAGATTAACAAAACAAATACCCGAACAATCACATTTTCAACACTTGGGGAGGGGGGCCGTGTGTCAGGGGACAGGGGGCAGGAGGGAAACGCAGAGACATTTTACCACCTAAATAACTTTCCCTCTGTTTAGTTTCACACAAATGTACACTCAAGTGCTCGCAATTTTTTTTTTTACATTTTTATTTTATTTTGACAAATGCTCAAACTTTCCTGCCACAAATTATTCTTGGCCAGGTTACAAGTAGAAAGGCCGTGTGTATCCTTTACTTGACAAAAAGAGAGTGGGGGGGGAAGGGAGGGTTCTTATAAAATATTTTGGTTGTGGGTTTGAGGTGGGATTGCTTTCTTAATGTTCCCGATGGTGCCTTTGCCCAGGAGTCCACGGGTTCTCACCCTCTTGTCCATGAGCCGTTTCGACGTGGTCTAAATCCTTCCACCGCTGTGCTTACCTCCAGCTATCCTGACGGGATTTCACGGTTCTGGTTTCACGGAGCCAATTTGGAAGAGCATTTGGCAAGGGCAGATTGGAGCTGGCACTGGTGCATCTCACCTCACCCAGGCCCAGCAGGGTCTTGCACCTGGGCAGGCTGGAGGGTCCTGTTTGGTGTGTCTGGGGGTTGAGACAGAAGTTCCAGGTGGACCTGCCCTGCCCTACGCAGGACCCAAGGAAAGGGCTGGCTCTGGGGCCTCCCCAGGTGGGAGGAAAGGAGTGAGTTGTTTCGTTCACCCTGACCCTGCCCTATCCATCCTCCAGCCTCCTCCCCTCCTGCAGGCCCAGCCCAAGCTCCACTCCCCAGCCTCACTCCCACCACCCCGTCCTCCGTGGCTTCACTCCAGCCAGGGCATCTCTCAGACATAGGGATGGGCCCGTGCTCCTCCTCTGCCTGGAATCCCCACCCCTCCCCTCTTCTCATGGAGGGCTCAGTGTGGCTGTCACCCCACAAACACTTTCCTGACTGCCTCCTCCAAAGCAGAGTCCTTGCTCTTTGCCACCTCAGCCCCTGGTTGGTTTCCTCATAACACTTAGGCAATTTATTCTAGCTTTATTTGTCTATGTTCTTTTTGGTTTTTGTTTTTGTTTTGTTTTTTTTTTTTTGCTGATTCTTTCTAACTAAAGTGAATAAATGACAAGTAAATAAATGAATGAATAAGTGAGTGAGTGAGTGAAGGAGTGGTGAGTGAATAAATAAGTAAACAAATGAAGTGAATGAGTGAATGAATGAGTGGTGAGTAAATAAAAAAAGTGAATGAGTGAACAAATGAGTAAGTGAATGGATGGATGAATGAATGTGTGAATTAGTGAATAAATGAACAAGTGAATGCATGAATGAATGAGTGAATGAATGAATGGTAGTGAATGAAGAAATTAGTGAACGAGTGAGTAAATGAGCGAATGAAGGAGTGGTGAGTGAATAAATGAATGAATGAGTGAATGGATGAATGAATGAGTAAATTAGTGAATAAATGAACAAATGAATGCGTGAATGAATGAGTGAATGAATGAATGATGGTGAATAAATTAGTGAATAAGTGAGTGAATGAACCTGAGTGAACAAATGAGTAAAGAAGTGAGTGAATGAACGAGTAAGGCATCCGGCCTGAGAGGATGTTACAGCTCTACTGGAGGGACTGGGGACACCTTCAAACTCTCCTCTGGGAGGAAAATCCTGCCACCACTGCGGAAATCATTAAAAGTTGATTCCTTTTGTTTCCACTTGAGGACGAGGAGCCTGGAACCATTTGTTCCCCTGGCCAACCCCAGGCCACAAGCAGCTTCGTTTTTATCCCCAACTGCCACTGACAAGGCTGCATTTGGTTTCAGTGTAAGTGAAGACCCCACGTCTCTGAGCCTCTCACTCCCCCTGAAGCCTGGGCCAATTTTCCATTTCCTAACACTGACATTAACCCTTGCCGTGCATGGCTGCCCTTTGTGAGAGGCACTCCCCACTGGGCCGCTTAGCAGGGACCACTGTGGTGCTGGCCTAAAGGGCTTTGGGTGTCCACCAGTCCAGTGGGGGTCTTTGTCCCCAGCAGGGAGGGTCTAGGCCCTCTGGGGACCTGACTGTATCACCAAGAACATTTCAAGGCTGCTTCTTATAAAAGCAAAATCACCCAGCCACCTGAATTAGTGACCACTTCTGTGCCTGGTGTCTAAGGGTGGGTCCCACACTCATTCCATTTAAGTCAGGCAGAACGTACTCAAATCGTGTGTCTTAAGCAGATGTCACTATGAACTTTTCAATGCATGCTCTCACTCTCAGAGGTGCTTTGAGGTAGAGATTCTGAATCCCATTTGACGGATGAAAACACTGAGGCTCGGAGAGAGGCTGTGAATTGGGCAAAGCCACGCAGCAGCTCTCATCTTTGTCTCTCTGCACTGTCACTGGGCCTTTTCTCCGGCTTTGATTTGTCACCACCACTGCCCCCCATCCCCCAGTGTGCAGGCCAGACATCTGGGAGTCTTTGATGCCTTCTTTGATGCCTTCTCCTCAGCCCACATCCGAAGGGTCCCAGTGCCGTGGGGTCTGCCTCTGCACCCCTGTAAGCACCAGTAATTGCTGGACAAATGTGTTCTGGGTTCACAGTTATCAGCCTCAATTTGCACGGCCACGGAACAACTGGTGAAACCATGAGCCCTGATGTTACTTCAGGAACGTTTCATTTTATTAGCGTGATGAAAGCGTTTATGGAGCTCTGTGATATATAATTATGCTCTCATTTTACAGATTAGTAGCTTGAGGCTGAACTTACTTTTTTTTTTTTTTTTTTTGAGATGGAGTCTCACTCTGTCGCCCAGGCTGGAGTGCAGTGGCACAATCTCGGCTCACTACAACCTCTGCCTCCCAGGTTCAAGCAATTCTCCTGCCTCAGCCTCCTCAGTAGTTGGGATTATAGGCACTCACCACCATCCCCAGCTAATTTTTGTATTTTTAGTAGAGACGGGGTTTTGCCATGTTGGCCAGGTTGATCTTGAACTCCTGACCTCAGGTGATCCACACACCTCGGCCTCCCAAAGTGTTGGGATTACAGGCATGAGCCACCACGCCCGGTCAAGGCTGAACTTTCTTATCCCTTCATAGAAACCCTGCCGCTTCTCTCCACCAATTATAATGAAAATTAATGGCTACTTCTATACAAGTGAATTCATAAGCAATAATTTTGGGACCAATGACATGTGAGTTGTGAGAAATAAAACTGCATCTTTCCAGAGAGGATGTCCAGCCAGCATCCCGGATAGAGGACCCTTACCCTCATGGTGGTCTTCAGTGGGCTGGATGGTAGTTATGGTGGGAAGAGTGGAGTATGTCGCCTGCCTTCTGTGAAGCTCTGGAGGGAACATGGCTCCCCCATCACTGCACCCCAGCTCTGAGCACCACTAGAACCCAACAGGCCTTTGCTGAATGGATGCCAACGTTCCTGCATCCACCCCTAGTTAGGGAGGAGAGAGATTAGTGGGGAGCTATGGGGGAGTGTGTGGGCTGTGAGGAGAGGTGACAGAAGGGACTCCAGGCTAGAGGAGGCCCGCCCACTTGGAGCAGAGGCCCCTGGACAGGTAAGGGGAGAATGTTCGGGGAGGGAGCAGGAGACTGGGCTGGGGCAGGTGATTTACCTGAATGTACAGGTAAGTACTCAACAGATGCGTTCTGGGATTGCTGCTATCAGCCTCAATTTGCACAGCCACAGAACAATTTCTCTGCTAAACACCTTCTCCGTCTTGGGTCTGGGACCTGGGCACACATCCTGGTCCCACATGCAATATGATGTATTGCTCACCTCCCATACACCACGCACTATCTAAGTGCTGGGCATATTCAAGGAACCTCTCTGCCAGTGGGAGATGAGAAACAACAAACAGATGGCTCATGCCTGTAATCCCACAAACAGGCCAGACGCGGTGGCTCATACCTGTAATCCCAGCACTTTGGGAGGCTGAGGCGGTTGATCACAAGGTCAGGAGTTCAAGACCAGCCTGGCCAACATAGTGAAACCCGGTCTCTACTAAAAATACAAAAACTTAACCCGGCCTGGTGGCGGGCACCTGTAATCCCAGCTACTCGGGAGGCTGAGGCAGGAGAATCATTTGAACCCAGGAGGTGGAGGTTGCAGTGAGCCGAGATTGCGAGATTGTGATTGCGCCACTATACTCCAGCCCGGGCAACAGTGGGAGACTCCTTCAAAAAACAAACAAACAAAAGCATGATAATCATGGGAAGTGGGGCAGGAACAGGCAGAGGACAGAAAGAAGAGAAGAGAACGGTGAGCGCTAAAAGGAAACATTTTCAGAATCTTGGGTAGGGAAGCCCTTCCTCAGCGTGTTACAAAACCCAGAAGCCATGAAGAAAAAGACGGGCTAATTTCAATAAGTAAACCTTAAGCTCTGTGGAGGAAGAAGGCTTTGGGCAGGAGATGAGAGAGGGGCAAGGAGGGGTGAAAGCAATGACCAGGACCACAATGACCACAATCAGATGGTGGCCCCGGGCCCCTGAGGCCCCAGATGGTGGGGTGGATAGACAGGGCGCCCAGCACACAGCTCCACCCCATCACCCCCAAGGTCACTCCACTCCTGTCCCTGCCACTCTGGCCTCCTGCTGGCACTCCGTGCTGTTCCTATCCCCGTCTCTCCTTTCTCAGCCCCACAACCCGTCAGTGGACTCTGGGTTCAAGCTGTCTCTGGTCTGGCAACTCCCCTGCTCATCCCCTACTTCCTCCGCCTCCACTCCCACCCATGGACTTGACGGTGAGAGAGGAGGTAAAACCAGTCACTTGGGCCCTGAGGAAGGCACCTGTCCCTGCCTTGACACAAGCCTGCCGGGGGCTCCCTCACTCCGCTTTCCCAGGCACCCCCGCCCTGCCCTGGACATGCTAGAGTTCCTCCCAAAGACGTTCAGGCCCGAGGAGTCCTGAGGGCTGTCCCCACCCTGCCCCAGAGTGGCCACCTCCCTCGCAGTCCCGCCTGGGCGTCCTAGCTCAGGTGCCCTTTCGGGACCTGTCACAAGGCCATCCACAGCCTCAGCAACCTCTGCCCTCCTTTGCATCTGCACCTGCCCACTGCTGACCACCCCATAGGCCATGCCTAGACCCTGCCTGAAAGCTGGGCTTCTTGGCCCCTTAGGACCAGGGAAAAAAATTGAAATTGTTGGGACATCCAGGGCTTTCAAACGCCTGGAGTGGAGTCCAGGAATGTCAGGCAGGGAGGCAGGAAGAATAAACCCCGTGGGTCTAGGCAGAAGACAAGGCCAGTGAAACAGTCGCATTGTCCCTGGAAGAATGGAAGCAGAGCCAGGTGTGGGGAGGCAGGCCCAGCCCCGAGCGCCAGGGGTGTGCTCTGGACCCCGCCCCGCTGGACAGGAGCTGGGTTGCTCAGTGATATGCACAAGCAGCCAGGTACCAGCAAGGCCATGCCAGAGAGAAGGAAGCTTCCTGTATCCCAGGGACACCAGACCCTGCTGCCCTGGGCCAGCTGAGAACCCCCTGCGCCCCCCCTCCCCTGCAGCCCCCAGGTGCGGAGGAGGGATCTCTCCAAGGGAGCGAGACGATCAAAAGGAGGTGCCTGTAAATCACCACGGAGCCTCCCTCTCTGCTTTCCATGCACCGGGGAGCCTTCCCAGAGCTCAGATGTGGTTCAAGGACCCCTCGGAGATCCCAGCCTGACGTGGCTCCCTCCAGCCACGGTTCAGCCCCCTCGGCCAGGGAGGAGGGTGGGTAGGGGCAGGGGAGGCCTTCCACTAGACTCAGGTTTTTGCCACACAGGTCTGACTTCCCACTCCCACCCCAACAACGCACACACACACACACGCATGCACACACACGCATGCACACACACACATGCACACACACACGCACACACTCAGGCCCAGCGATGCACACGCCACACAGCTGGGGGCCAGCCACCCAACACCTTCCATTGGGCGGGAGGTCCAGCTTTGACCACCTGCAGCATCCCTGCCCAAACTAAGGCCATCTCAAAGGGTCAGTATGCCTAGGGCCATGTGCTCCTGGAAATTGTCCGGCCACACCTTCTCCCCAGAAGCCAACATTTGCTTTAGAAAAATTGGACTGATGCTTGAACCGGGAGGCGGAGCTTGCCATGAGCCAAGATGGCGCCACTGCACTCCAGCCTGGGTGACAGAGCAAGACTCCATCTCAAAAAAAAAAAAAAAAAGAAAAGAAAAATCGGATTGAAATGAACACCCAGGGCCCTGTTGCAGGGGGAATGGGGGATGCCATGAGGCTGCACCACGGCAGTCCTTACACCCCTGGGCAGAGGTTCCTGGACAGGTGAGTCAGTCTTCAGACCCCAACTCCTTCCGCCTACCTGGAGCTTCCTGTGCAGCGGCAGCTTGAAGCTGTGGGGAGCATGGTTAGAAGTCAGTTCCAATGACAGCTTCACCCTTTCCTTGTGGCCTTGGGCAAGTCACTTGGCCTCTTTGATGAGCTCCAGGTTCCCCGTTTATCAAGTTTATCAACCGTAGAGGGACCAGGCACATAGTAAATACCCCTCTCCTAAGCCCTGCCAGGGGCCACCATAGCTCATGGTCAATATGAATAATAAGGGGGCTGTGTGTCATCTCAGTCCCACACAGGCACCATCTCATTCAACCCTCACAAGCAGCCCGCCTGGGAGATACTCCTATTATCTCCACTTTACAGATGAGACGATGGGGCTCAGGGTGGTTAAGAACTTGTCCAAGGTCACAGGAAGATGCAAGCCAAGGTCTGTCTGATGCCAACACCCAGGTGCCCTGAATCAACTGCTGGCACTGCCCCTTAGTTCGGCTCGGCCCCACCTCAGCTGACCCCTGGGGCCTCTCCTAAGGCTCTAGAGGGGAGGGGCGTTGAAGCTTTGCACACACAAGAAGCCACACAGCCAAGCAAATGAGCGATGTGGCTCCCAGGGGAACTGGGCTCATGCCCCTGGACTGCTAATGGCCCCCAGGTTTACATCTTCCACTCCAGGCTTGGGTCATCAAATCCCTGACGTCCCACTCAACTTATCTGAGATGGGGCCTCCCCCGCCTCCCCTGCTCTGCCCTCTGTTCCCAAGCCACCACCACGTCTCAGTGGGTTCTGGCGACAGCCTCCTCACTGGTCCCCCACCTCCCACTTACTATCCAGAATTCCTGCTGAGTCCTGCAGTGACTCCCACAACCACCACGGTCACTCAGAGCAAAAACCAAAGCCCCCAGGAGGCCCCCCAGGCCCCTGGGTGACACAGAGGCTCTGCTGACTCCTCTCCTCCCACCCTCCCCCTCACCTGTCCACTCCAGCCACACTGGCCCCTTTGCCGTCCCTAGAACCCCCCAAGCATGCTCCCACCTAGGGACCTTTGACTAGCTGCGTCCTCAGCCTGGGCACCCTGCCTCCAGAGAATGACATCTCCAGCCTCTCATCCTTCAGGTCTCTGCTCAGGTATCTTCTCAGTGGCCCTCCCTGAGAGGCCATGTAACACAGCCCTCCTTTTCCCCTCACGCTGCTGAATTTCGTTCCCTAGCATGCGTCACTATGTGCCATATTACTAATGGCTTGTCTGTTTAATGTCTACCTCATCACAGAGGACACACGCTTCTATGAAAGTAGAAGCCTCTCCCGCCTTCTTATCTCCCGTTCATGCTTGGAGCCTAGAACAGTGCCTGGCACAAAGCAGACCCTCGAGAAACATTTTTTGAAGGAATGAATGAAGGAATGTTGGCATAGTGGTGGGGCTGAGGATTGGGAAGGAAGGGTGGAGAGAAGCAGGAAAGGGAAATGTATGGAAGCAGACATGAAAAAGCTGCGCAGAAGTGTGCATGTGTGTGCAGGGGTGGACACGACACACACACGCACACACACACAGGTGTCAGTACGGTAACCATGGATGAATCGCGAGGCCAACAGGCAGAGACACAAATGCACTATCTACTAACAAACACAGACGCACACCACACAGATACGCTCACACACAAATACACACACACATGCACATCCCCAGATATACACATACGTCCTCATACATGCATCCCCAAATATACACATACATGCACATACACCCTGGCGCGCACACACACACACACACACACACACACACACACACACACACACAGAGCTCCTTACCAGAACTCTGCTCTGGCCCCACATCCCCCTCACCCCAACTCTACACCCGGCTCCCAGGCAGGGAAGGAGCTTTTCCAGGTGACCTCACTGAGCGGGAGTTAAACTCCACCAGCTCTTTTTCAAAGCGGATTTGGCTCCAGTCTCCCTTGTAATCTGCTCCTGGATCAGTGCTCACAGGGGCGCTGGCCCTGGCCTAAGGTCAGGACCTCTCACCTTCTCCCAGGAAGTCCCACTGAGTCCTCCCCCACCCCCAGACCCCCAATCAGCTGCTTCCCCTGACCAGTATAACCTGCTGAGCTGAATTCTTGCTGGGTATTTTCAAACAATTCCAGTTATTTGGGGGGAGGGGTGGTACTGTGATCCCCAGGAGGGGTTTGGTATGGGGGTGGGGGCTAGGGAGCAGAGGGGATGCCCGTCAGGGTGGGACAGCCTCTAAGTTGCCTGTGCTGCAACAGCGACCTGGCCCCACCCCACTCTCTTTTTCAGCCTCTTCCAGCCCGACTCCAGCCTCTGTTTCCCGAAAACATGCCACCTTTCAAACCTCCAGGCCTTTCCACTTGCAGGGCCGTCTGCGCTTACTTCCCCAGTGAGTAAACTCCTCCACATCCTTCAAAGCCTCAGTCCGATGTCCTTGCCACTTCTAGGCTGGGGCTGCCACCGCCCTCTGCCCGTCCTGGTCTCTGTGTTATCCTGGCCTGGCTGAGTGTCTCCCTCCTGTCTAGATGGAGGTCTCTGAGAGCAGGAGGCACAGTGATGCCGCCAATACCTAGTGCAGATGCCAGTGCAGGGCCTGACCCCGAGCACAGGCCCAGGAAATGCTTATAGAATGTGAAAAAGGGGTTGGGGGAGGGTAATGCAGAGGTCTGGACGAGGCACCTGGATCCGTCTCTCCCTTGCTTCTGCCTTGAGCCAGACATGTACCCTCTCTGGCCTGCTGTTCCTAGGAGCCTGGGCTCACTGAGGCCTCAGAAGGGCTGACCCCAGAAGGAAGAGGTGGGGCCTAGAAGGAGCTGCCATGGCCAGGTGGGGGCTGGTTGTGGCCCTCAGGGTCGAGAGAGGGAGGGCTGCTGCTGTCTCACACGTCTTTACTGTCACCAGCACCACTGTCACCAGCACCATCCCTAAGACCACCGCCACTAACTTCAAGACCACCACCCTCCCCCGCAGCACCATCCTCCTGTATGGTGCCAGCACCACTGTGATCATCGGCACACTGCCCACACCACTCTTACATCCCTCTATCTGCACAAGCGCGTGTGTACACACACACATGCACACACACACTGTTCTCCAAAGCACAACTGTATCATTTTTGTCTCTGGACACCCCCACCCCACCACCACCACCCAGTGAAGAGCCTGGCACATTCTAGAAGCTCCATGTCGAGGACTGAAGGAAGGACTCGGTGGAGGAGGATGGCTCCCATGATTTGGCCCCACTTGCTCCAGCTCGCCCAGCCAACAGAGAAGGATGGAGCAGGACAGGTCCGAGGTCTAAGGGGACCCCAATGTCCCCCGTGTCCCTGCCCCTGTTCTGGCTGCCCAAGACCAACAGGGCCACCAAGGGAATGATTTTCTCTCTAAGTCCCCAAGTTCTTCTACACAAACCGGGCTGAGCTTCCGCCTGAAATCCCAGGACCCACAGAGTTATATCAGAAAGTCCAAGACACAGTGAGAGCTCCTGAAGCCCACCAGCCTCCGTTTCCTGGTTTGTAAAATGAGGAGCATGGGCCCCGCCTTTCAGGGCTGCTGGAAGGATGCCACGAGAGGCAGCAGGGCAGGTGGCCGGCTCCAGGGCCTGGCATCTAGCGGGGGCTTTCCCTCGACCTGGCAGCCCCTCGTCCCCTGGACTGCACGGCTGCTGGGGTAGGGGTGTTGCTGCACTCTAGGGTCAGGGCTGCAGAGGGACACCAAATGTGAAGCTGCCTGAGTCCTGAGCATCACCCAGATGCTCCCATGAGCTCCTCTCCAGCCCTACGAAGAACAGTCTGCATTCCCACTGGGCACATGAGAAAACAGTGATTCGCTTAAGGCTACCCAGCCATGAACAAGGCTCCCACGGCCCCTCGGCATGTCAGGAGGCTCTTTGGAGTGCTGTGAAGCCCTGGTCACTGAGTCACCAGCTGCCTTGACCTGGCGCTGCCACCCTCTTGGGACAGCAGGGGACCACAGCCTGGCTTGGATGTCCCACTTGGATGCATCCTAGGAAAGGAGTCTGCCCAGCCCCTTAGGCTGCGGAGCCCGAGCTGCCTGGGGAAGTTCTTCCCACAGTCTAACCTCAGTCAGGACCTGGGCAACTGTGTAGTTCGGGGGTCATCCCTGCTCTGCCTCACCCCTACACTCTCCAGGGAGACAGGAGATTGGTGGCCCACACCAGGCCCTGCCCCCTGGACCTCTTCCTCTAGAAGATTAAAGAGTCTGGGTCTCTACCACGCCTGCCGATCCCACCACCAGCCCAGGAGCAGCTTCCTGTTTGCAGGCATGGGCGCCCGTTGCCATGGTGACTGCAGGAGGTGCTCCCTCCAGGTGGCTGATACCAGGCCCGGCCCCACCCAGGGCCGGCCCCTATCACTGAGGCCTGGCTCCTCCAGCAGCTGGGCTGGTAGGACCATCTGGTCTGAGATCAAAGGGGCCGCAGGCAGGCGCTACCCAGGAACCTGGGCAAGGCAGCCCTTATCTCTCCTAGGCTGGGGAACTTTCCAGACTCAGGGCATCAGCAGCCCAGTGGGGCAGGAGGGCAGTCCACAGGGCGTGGGAACAGACTAAGGGTCCCTGTGAGTGGCATGGAGAATGTAAAAGTCAAGCCTGAGAGTGGAGACAGGCAGAAGTGGTCAGTAGCTCGTTTTTAGGGTTTGCTACCCCACATCCCCCTCATCTTGCCCTGGCCTCAGCCTGCTGTGTGACCTGGGGCACAGCACTTCACTTCTCTGAGCCTTGGTCTCCTCTCCCGCCAAGTGGGAACCACACTGACAGGTGGGAAGATCCGAAGGTTCAAGACCCATAGGACACTGGTGGGTGCTTGGTCCTAATAAAAAAGATGTTAGTTACCATTTATTGAGCACAGGCCCTTCAAGTGCATTATCTCTTTCAGTGCGCACAGTCCCCTGAGAGGGCCTTACCATCATCCACCCTCTACAAAACACTGATTTTCAAAGAGGTGAGGAAATTGCCCCAAATTGCACAGGTGGCTAGTAAATGTTGCTATTTTCCTCCTATTATATTTTCGCTGAACTCACAACAGGCCCCAAACCTCCATCCTCCCACCACAGCCCATCCTGCCAGGCCAGTAGCATGATCTTTACCTGGCAGCTCATTTCTTTCATTCACCTAACAATAGTTATCCTGAGTAACAATTATCAGTGACTCGTGCGTCTTAGCCTTGATAATAACTAGCAGGTGCTGAGCCCAGGTACTGAGCCAAGTGCCCTGGAATCTTTGTGATAGTCCCATGAGATTGGAACTGCGCTATGAGTGGGGAAATTGAAGCTCAGAGAGGGGCAGAGGCTCCCCCAGGGCCACACAGCAAGCTGGTGTCACAGCGGAGGCTGCCAACTCTGGCTGCCTCTCCATAAGCACTAGGGGCAGGGTGGGAATCCTGGGAGTGGCCTCATAAGGCCCAACATTGTGGACCCCAGCCTTAGCTCGGGGTGGGAGTCCAAGGAGGCAGGAAAAGGTGGAAATGGTGAGATCGGGAGGCCAAGCGTGAGTCTATTCATGAGGGAGAGGAAAGGAGAGAGGCATCTCCCCACCCTCACCCACCACCTCCTGTCCCTCAGCCCCACCCCTGCCTAGGCAACCTAAACTCCCAGAAAGCACTGCTTCTGTCTCTACCACCCCCTGCCTTGTAGGGAAGGCCCAAGTGGGAGGAAAGGGCAGCCACAGGTGTGGGGGGCAATGGTTGCAGGAAGTCCACGCTGGAAATGCCCCCCTTCTGGCCCAGCGGAAAGGCCCCTTCCCCGGGGAAGCCCTCGCCGAGGCCCACATCTAAATAACCCATTCTCTGCAGATGGTCAAGAGGTTGCTTCTAAATTCCAAGCCTACCATGCCCTCCCCTGCTTACAGCTCTGTCTTACAGCCCCCCATTGTTACCAGTATGAAGAGTGAAGTTCCTCGGCCCAGCATTCAAGGCTCTTCGGGTTCCAGCCCCACTTCTCACCACTTGCTGCACACCTGCCACACACCTGCACGCACACCTGCACGCACACCTGCCACACACCTGCACGCACACCTGCCACACACCTGCACGCACACCTGCACGCACACCCGCCGCACACCTGCACGCACACCCGCCGCACATCTGCACACACACCTGCTGCACACCTACATGCACACTTGCCGCACACCTGCACGTACACGTACACACAAATGCGCACACACTGTGCTCCAATCAGACCCAACTTCTGTTTCTGGAACATACTTCCCTCTGTCTCACCTCTTGGTCTTTGTGCTCTTCTCCCTGCCTGGAACATCCCATCTATTTACAACCTGAGTCTAGACTGGAACACAGGCTCCAGGAAGGCAAGGACAGAATCTTTGCTGCTGTATTCCTAGTGCAGAGCCTCAACTAGAGGAGGATTTGGGTATGCAAACAATGCAGGACTCATGAGTGAATCAAGAACTGCCCAGAATCTTCTTCCTATAAATGTAACAGAGCCTAAGAGACAATCATTAATCCCTGCACTTTCCAGAGTCTCCCCAGATAAAAGAATTCCAATTCCTTTAGCGTTTCCACATTTTCCACAATAGAACCCTGAGCTTCCAGTAGAGTAAATGAATAAGTGAGTGAATAAATGACTGGATGAATTCATAAGTGAGTGAGTGAGTTAGAGAGCTAGAACAAGAAGCAGAGATTTGTTGAAACAATGAAGTATATGGCTGAATAGAGAGATAAATGAGTGAATGGGTGGAAAGGAAGGAAAGGAGGAAGGAAGGGAGGGAGGAAGGGAGGGAGGGAGGGAGGGAGGGAAGGGAAAGCGGAAGAATAAACCCATCGAGGGAAGAGAAAACGGAAGAATAAACCCATCCAGGTGGAGCGGCACCACCTGCAAGGTCAAATGCAGAAGAGTCACGTCATTGCCCTGCAATCCACAAGCTTCCAGGAGGCTCTATACAGTTGGCAAGCGGTGGCTCAGGGTCCACCCCTGGCCCACTGCCTGTTTTTGTAAATAAAGTTTTATTTACAAAACCACACCCACATCCATTCATTTATGTATTGTCTGTAGCTGCTTCCAAGCTACAGTGGCAGAGTTGAGCAGTTGCAACAGAGATAGCAGGATGACCCGCAAAACCTGAAATATTTACTATCTGGCCCTTCCCAGAAAATGTTTGCCTGCCTCTCTGGGAGAGTCTCATGCACGAAGGACCTGAACTGGCATCCTGCCTGGAGTACTCCCAGCGCCAACTGGAATCCTCCTATAGTCTTCAAAGGGTACCCAGCTTGCACACCTCTGGGACCGGGTCCTCACGACCTCTCCAGGCAGCGCCTCCGGCTCTAGGGCAGCTCAGGCTCTTCTTTCTGCTGAGTGGAAATGTTGTCCTCCTTGTCACCACCCCCATCCCGACCTCCCGCCTGGAGCACGGGTGTTTACCCCGACCTCTGCCCTGCGTCCAGCTCCCCGCCAGCCAGGACAGCTCAGGCCCAGCCGGATACGATTCTCAACCAGGGAGGCAAGTGAGTCACCGAGTCCAGAGAGGGGACATCTGCTGGGCTCTGGTTCTCAGCTAATCTCACTAATTCTGTGTGAGGGGCCCAAGCCACCCCTGCTGCCTCTTGTTTGCATTCGGGCCTGGCGTGGAAGCCTGGGAGGAGATTCCCTCACTCAGAATTCTGGAGTGTTTGGACCCCCATGTTTATTTCAACTTCAGTTTTGTCTTTAGCCCCTGGGATGATTTCCCAAAAGAGCCAGGGCCTAAGAGGCTCTCTGACCTCGACGCGGGACTGTGCGCTGGGAGGCAGAGCTGTTCTCATTTGACCCCCACGCGGATTCCTAGCCCCACTTTACAGACAAACACACACAAGTTGTCCAGTTTCTGGCCCTGGGTTCCTGCCTTCTTGTTGCCTTCTCTAGAGCCTTCCAGAATTATCCAAGAACCACACAGAGCCTCTGTGGGTGGCTTTGGACCCATTTCCGCTGTGCTCCACTGATGCCTGGCTGGTGCCTGGAGGAGACTTAGCACAGCGGGGACCAAACACGGTGTCCTGGGGTGGCCATGGTCTCTGCCAAGACAGAAGGCAGCAGCTGCATCCTCATAGACATCCCAAGGCCCCTTCCCCGAAGTCAACACCCAGCATGGCAGGGCAGGACTCCTTGGCCCCACCTCACAGATGTGAAGACTGACACTTCTGGACACGGAAGGTCTGGAGTCTAGAAGGCTTCCTTCCCCGTAGATTCTAGGTCGTGTTTGTTTTCTTTCCTCTCTTCAATGTGTCCATTGCCTCTGTAACTATGACTACATGGAAAGGACCCACAGACGTGGGGGAGAAGAGGAGGGAGAAAGGAATGAATGAGAACAGCCTAGCAGTTAGGAACTCAGGTTCTAGAATCAGACTGGCTGGGTTCAGAGCTGACACCGCCACTCACTCACCAACAGAGCCCCACTTTCCTCATCCATCAAGTGGGGTGCATAAGGCTATCTCATGGCCTTCTGAGGGTGAAATGAGGTCATGTGCAACAAACGCCGGCCCAGAGTCTGGCACAGGCCAGTGGACGCCCCTTCCTTCCTCTAGACACAGGGGGTTTCTAGTTCTTGTGTGTGCTTATTTGTTTGTTTATTTGAGACAGGGTCTTGCTGTGTCGCCCAGGCTGGAGTGCAGTGGTGTGATCCTAGCTCACTGCAACCTCAACTCCCAGGCTCAAGCCATCCCTCCACCTCAGCCTCCCGAGTAGCTGGGACTGCAGGCACATGCCACCATGCCCAGCTAATTTTTAAAAATTTTTTGTAGTGACAGGGTCTCGCTATGTTAACCAGGCTGCCCTTGAACTCTTGGGCTGGAGAGATCCTTCTGCCTTGGACTCCCAAAGTGCTGGGATTACAGGCGTGAGCCACTGTGCCTGGCCGCCCTGGCTATTTAAATCCAGGGCATGATCTTGAGCCGCAGCGTGATGCTATTTCTAATCCTTGTTGGTACAAAACCCGCTGTGCCATCCCCAGCCCAGCCCAGCCCAGCAAGGTCCAGCCCAGGCCTTGCCGCCGTGGGAGCCTACCTGGCCTGCGGCTGCCCCGTGGCGTCACCTGTGCACATTAATGAAAAATTCACGGTGCGGAGCAGAGCCAGGCCAGACCAGGAAATTGGAAAGTCGCGGGCGCCTTACCTCAGCCCGGCCGCACACTCTCTGCTTTTATAGCTCCACGTGTAATAACATAAAAGCATAATTTATTAAAGTATCACTTTAAGTGGGGATGGCAGGAGGGGGTCCATGCCCAGGGAGCTGTGAGTGCCATATTGACCGGAGATGCCAAGGGCGGGGGGCAGGGCAGAGCCTTGGCACTCCCCCGCCCACTGTCACAGCACAGCCAGCTGGGAGGGCCGGGGAAGGGTCCAGGAGCCAGGAGAAGCCACATGCAAAGGCAGAGCCTGGAGGCAGGAGCTGAGCGGTATGGCTTTGAATCCTGGCTGTGCGGCCTTGGCTGGGTCGGCTGCCGTCTCTGAGCGGCAGTTTCCTCATCTGTAAATGGAAGGATTTTCTCAGAGGCCCTGAGCCCCTCCTCAGCGGCTCTCCTCCTAGGACTGTTCCTCCCAGAGCGAGAAAGACCTCCAGGCCCTGAGCCGTGCCAGGAAATGGCCCTAGGATTGCCTCATTAAACACGAAGGGCTATTTACACTGGAGAAACAAATATTTATCTCTGGATCGAGAAGGAGGAAGGGCTTTGGAACCCCAGTCTGGCTCAGCCCTGCCTGGTAGGAGGGGGAGGAGGAAGGGGCAGGGGGAGGGTGCAGCCCCTGAGAGGACAGGAACAGGGCTGGGAGTCATGCAAACCCGGGTTCAAATCCCAGCTCTGCCACCACCCAGGGCAGGGTCCTCATGCCCCTGTGCCTCTGTGTCCTCCCTGGAAACATGGTCCTAAGACCACCCTGACGTCTCAGGGCAAATGAAGGTTCAGTGCCTGGAACAGGGTAGGAGTCCAGCTATGGCCGCCTCTATGCCAGGCACTGGGCAAGCGCTTGTGATCCTGCAGGGAAGAAGGCAACAGGTAGCAGGTATTTCTATTAGAGAAAAAAAGGCGTGCAGGGAGAAGGTCTCACGGGGTAACCTACAGAGCTCTGAGGAGCTGGCAGCACCGGGGAATGGGACATTCAGCACACCTCCTGCAGAGGGTCAAATAAATCGATCAATATGCCCCCGACGACTAGACGCACAGCAGCGCTCTCCTGGTTTCACAGGCCCACTCACCCTAAGGGAAAAATGGCTGGGCCGCCACATGGGGAACAGGATGCAAAATTTCAGAACTCAAATTCAAGAGCATCTTTTTTTTTTTTTTTTTGAGACAGAGTCTCTCTCTGTCACCCAGGCTGGAGTGCAGTGGCCTGATCTCAGCTCACTGCAACCTCCGCCTCCCTGGTTCAAGCGATTCTCCTGCCTCAGCCTCTTGAGTAGCTGGGACTACAGGCGCGTGCCACCACACCCGGCTAATTTTTTGTATTTTTAGTAGAGACAGGGTTTCACTGTATTAGCCAGGATGGTCTCGATCTCCTGACTTCATGATTCACCTGCCTCAGCCTCCCAAAGTGCTGGGATGACAGGCACAAGCCCCCGCACCCAGCCAAGAGCATCCATTTCTACTCTGCATGGAGTCTGGGTGCCGAAATGGGAGAATTTCTGGAATCCAGCCAGTTTCCTCCACCTGCCACCCTTGTCCAGGCCACCATCCTCTCCTGCCTGGATTATTTTGGAAGCCTCCTGGCTGGCCCCTTCCTCTGCCCTTGCCCCCTACAGTCCTTTCACAGCAGCCTGTGTGTTCTTGCACCTTGGTAGCAGCTGGGGTTGTTGACGGTGGCTGAGAAGAACCCTATGAAATGGACAGAAAACGGGGTGATCAGATGTGGGAAGAATTCACTGCATGGGAGAAGCATCATTGGTACACCCTGGGAGAAGCTGCAAGGGGCCCAGCGTCAGGGCTTCTATGAGGGGCCGTTTAGCATCTCTGTGGGCCTGAGGCACAGCGTGGGCCCGGAAGACCCCAGAGGGTTGCACACACCAGAACACCAGCAAGCTCAGGGTGTGAGCAGACCAGACGGGTCAGACAGGAGCAAAGGCCTTCCCCAGAGCTCCGGGGCTGAGCAGCCACCCTGCCTGCCAGACCTTATTTATCTAACATTGTGGTTGTTGAGTTTGATGTTTGTGGAAATGATTCTGGGGCTCTCCTCCCACAGAGCTCTGGACCCACTGAGAACTTGAAAGTGACATTCCTCAACCCAGCTAAGGGTAGGGTGGGAGCCCAGCCAGAGGAGAGGGAAGGGAAAGCTAGCTGGAGACAGGGCAGGGCGACACGGTCAGTGTCCCAGCAGGAAATAGCCTCACAGAAAAGGGATTTACAGTCCCGGCACTGTGGCTCACGCCTATAATCCCAGCAATTTGGGAGGCCAAGGAGGCAGGATCACTTGGGGCCAAGAGTTCAAGACCAGTTTGGCCAACATAGTAAGACCCTGTCTCTATTTAATACATTTTTAAATAAATAAAACCCCGCCACTGTGGTGTGGGTGGGGTTAAGAGGAACCCATCAGCAATTGTGCTGCACCCAGGGGCTAGTAGGAGTGGAAAGCTGCTACCACCCTCAAGCCTGAAGGGGGAGGGGTAGGAACAGTTACTAGAACCCAGAGAGGATCTGTGTCCAGAGCAGGAGAGGGACAAAGCCAGTCCATGGCAACTCAGCAGGGAAATAATTCCTATGACCCACTTCAGCTCTCACCCCCCCAGTTCGCCAAGGCCAACCAGAAACCAGACAACAAGGGGCCCAGATGATGCCATCTGGGGTTGTCAGGTCCCAGAGCCCAGGGCAGGTCTGGGGAGAGGGGCAGGGTGAGTCTGGACGGGCCAGCAGCTCTCACAGGCTCTAGGAATTATCCTTCTGCAGGTGGAATTTGAGCAGGGCCTACTGTGGGCTCACATTTTCTTCGTTAGCCTTGACCTAAAGTTCCAGGCATCCCAAAGACCCCTAGCAGCATGCGCCTCCGTTGCCTGCAGGGACTAGGTAAAGGGGTTCTAAGCTCTTCCTTGCAGTGGACAAAAAGCACAGGCCACTGTGGGGGTAGGACAGTGGGCCACCTCCCTGCCTTTGCTCACCGTGTGCCTTCTCCCGGGCTCCTCTCTCTGCTTCCCTGCAGAAACCCTGCTCCTACTGGAAGGCCCAGCTCCAGGGCCACTCACTCTTCCTCTAAGTTCAAGTGTGAGGCCTCTCAGGGGAAAGCTGATGGGGAGGAGGGGCGAGTGGTGAAAAAGGCCAGAGTTGGGGTCGTCTCCAGCCTAGCAATCCCGCCCCCTACCCCATCAGACCTACTACCTCTTGCCCAGATGGGGCACTCGGCTGTTTGGTGACAGTGGGCCCCAGCAGCCCCTCCACCTCCCCACAGAAGCCAGTTCTCCTTCTGAAACCCAAATCTGTGCCCGTCCCACCCACTACCCTTGACCCTCTAACCCCTTCCCATTCCCTTCAGGAGCAAACCAGGCTCCCCAGGCTGGTGGGCTGGACCCCCACAATCTAGCCCTGCCTGCTTCTCCATGGCTGCTCCCCCAAAACACAGACATATCCCCTTTCCCTTTCGCAGAGTCCCCTACTTTTCTAAAAGTGGCTGCAACTCAGGATTCTTTCTGTCCAAGCACCCTCCACCCCTCAGCCTGACCCAATGCTTACTTAGCCCATAGCAAGTGCTCTTCAAGGGCTATTTGTATCGGAAACACTGACCTGGGAGAGCTGAATTCTGGTCCCAACCTGCTCCCACTCATTTGTTCAGACATGTCCCCTCCCTGCCCCTAAGGCTTGGGGTCCCCATTTGTACAAGGAAGGGCATGAGCTGGGAGCCCACCAGCTTGGAAAAATGCAAGTGTCTCCTCTCTCTCTGCTTGCCTGTCTCTCTCTTTCTGTCTCTTTCTCTCTCTCTCTCTCTCTCTCTCTCTCTCACACACACACACACACACACACACACACACACACACACACACACACACTGCCCATGCCAGCCTCTCCCCGGGACATCGGGCTTCTCCGTGGATTGAATTACCAACATTTCATCGGTGGGAGGAGGGGAGGTGGGGCAGGGGAAGGAGCTGTGAATTCCGCGCACTGAGCCTGTCCCCGCAAGGCCTGGACCAAATGCCACAGCGTGTCTGTGCCCATCTGCCTCTGGGCGGGGTATGGGTGGGGGTGGAGGTGCAGGCAGGGAGGGGCTCCCTAAAACTAGAATGCCAAAGAAAAGACACCGAGGGATCACACAGACTCACACACACTCTTTCCCACGGCCACTACTGCACATGCATGCATTCACGCATGTGCACGTGCTTAAACACACATGCATCTCCTCCACACACAGTCTCTCACATATGCGATCGTCCTTTTTATTTATTCAACAAATACCCATTGAGCCAGTTTGCCATGACAGCCTTGCTCTCCATCTCTCTTTTGTGAAACAGGCCCCCACATTTGGTCACACCCGCACACACACCCACGCCCTCAGTCGCTCACACAAACTCACACATCCCAAGGCTGGAGCTGCAGCCTCCTTCCAGAGCCCCGGGAGGGCCCTTGCAATGTGTTCACACGATGGTCAAAGCCAAAAAGAGAAATAAAAATCAGTAGTACAGGAATGTGCCAGGGAGTTAATTAATAAAAATATTATGATTTTTTTCTGGATTTGGTAATGTTTGTGGTATTTGTCAGCTTAAAAATTGAGTAATTCGTTGTGGTTTCTTTTCTCGTTTTAAAGTCTCTTTAGTATTTGTCATTTTGCATTCCTTTTAATAAAGAAAGTCCCCAAATTGAAGACATCTTGGCCCTTACCAAGCCTCACCCGCCTCTGCAAACATACAAATATTCAAACAATCACACCCACCCTGTCTCACACTCACACTGTTGCACATGAGTTCACACTCCCACACATTCTTATAAATCAAAGACTCGTCACACATGACCCAGTGTGCACGAGGCTCACCTACCTGCCCGCTGCAGACAGGCAGCCCACCCAGGGCACCCCCGGCCAGGCCCGACCTCAGGGCAGACCAGACCCCATCTCTCCAGCCTCCCAGGCTCCTGGCCTCTGACTGCAGACACTTGGCACTCCCTTGCCTACGGCCAGCTCCCAAAAGCCCCACAGCTGCTTGCCACAGACGCCGACCACTCACCCTCCCGCTCCAACCCTGGAACTGGACCATAAGCCACACACCCTGATTCTTTCTCACCTTGGACCCTCGGATGCTCCATGCCCAATGCCGCCTCAGCAGGTAACCACTGAAACCCACAGAATGTTCTGGAGTTTCCTTGGAGACCTTGTTGCCCATAGGTGGCTGGTATGGAAAAGAGGATATAAGAATTGGAATTGTACAGCCTTTCCTGGGTTCAAATCCTGACTCTAACGCCTGCTCTGTGCTCATGGGCAAGTGAGCACACCTCACTGAGCCTCAGTTTCCCCATCTGTAAAATGAGGGGCAATCATCTTACCTTAGAGGCATGTTGGGAGGATTAACTGAGCAAACACAAGCAAAGCACAGAGCGAGAGCCCAGTGCACAGTAGCGGTCATTACCACTTTTCTTCTCCACGACAGCAGGAAGGTGAGGTTGGAGCCCCGTCCCCTCGGGACTGGCCCCTCCTCCAGCCCCCAGCCCAGTCCAGCCCCCTTTCCCTGTTGCCTCAGCCACATCGCCCTCTCGGCCACCCGAGTGTTAGGATCCCAGCGCACCTGCTTCCAAGGGCTCTAATTTCCTGTAAGTGTAAGAATTCAGGTCAGACACGGCCCGCGGCCTGCAGCCCCCCTCCCGGCGGAAACCATAAATAACCCAGCTCCGCCAGCCTGGCCCAGGCACGAGACTTTCCCTCCTTACCCACTGTGCCAGGCAGGTACAGCGATTTCCATTCACACACAGGGAAACTGAGGCCGTAGAGAGGAATCTGAGTTTGAGATCCTGACCAGTGCACTAGAAAAAACTTCCATCAAAATATGCCCTTCCCACGCCCCCTGCCAAACAAATACCTCTCCTCTAATTCCCAACTGGCCAGTGACTTACACCTGAAATCTGCCCATTAGTGTGGGGGAGCCAACAACCTTTTCCTCTAAGGGCCAGAGAGAAAATATTTTAGCACTTGAGGGCCAGACAGTCTCTGTTGCAAGTACTCCACTTTGCTGATGTAGCCATAGACAGTGCAGAGACATTATTTTTTTCACAAATGCAGGCGCCCAGCTGGATTCGGCCATGGCTTGCCCACCTCTATGCTGTACCTCAAGCCCCTCCACCACACTGCAAATGAATTGAGTCTAGAATCCAAGACTGGCACAGCTCGGGCCCTTAGAGTTAGAGATTTCAGCTCAGCAATGACCAGAGGACAAAACTGAGGCCCAAAGAGGGGGACATGGATGGCTTGTCTGTGTTTCTTCAGCTGGTCAGAGCTGGGACTGCGGACTCCTTGTCTAGTGCTCTTTCCCTGACATCATGGGTCTGTCCTCCAAGCCCAAGACTCGTGACCTCCTGCTTGCTCTTCTGGAAGTTCCCTTGCTATGGTGGCTGAGAACAAGCCAGGCACTTGTCTGTCTCGCATGCCAGACTGGAAGGTTTCTGGACCACCAGGATTTGAAACTGGATCATCTCAGCGTCTCCAGTATCAGCTCCAGGGTCTCCCACAGTGAGAGGCTTACAGAGAGTGTGTGCAATGGGGACACTGAATCCCTATTCCAGGCCTTGGCCCGGGGGACTCCAGGCCAGGGTGCCCCAGCTTTGGGACAATCGATGGTTCTCTGTTATGAGGGCTGTCCTGTTCATTGTAGAATGTTTGGCAACATCACTTGCCTCTACCCTTATCAATGCCAACAGAATGGCAGGGCACACCAACATCGCCAGTTGCAACAACCAAAAATGTCTCCAGACATTCCCAAAAGTCCCCCGAAGGGCAAAATCTCTCCTGATTGAGATTCACTGCCCTAAGCCAAGGGCATCCCCCAGGTGAGAAGGTCCTCTTCCCTCCCTCACTCTGTGTGGCACAGTATGGAAACCAGTACCCATCCTCCAGCGGCCTCAGTCTCCACAGCCCAGGATGGGTCAATGCCATTAGCAGCAGCTCCAGCTGGAGGGACCGGCGGGAGGGGAGGGGAGGACGAGGAGGAATGCGGCCACAGCTGCAGGGCCCAAAAGTGCTGAGGAGTCACGAAGACGAAGACGTTTCCCTGTGAGTCAGGACCCAGGAATGTGTCACCCAGAGTGGCCACGAGCCAGAGCCCCCCACACACTACCCCCATCCACCCCCAAGGCATCTGCCTTTTATTAGAACAGAAAAGGCGGCAGGTGCCAGGTCTCTGAGAGCCCATTAAGGACCCAATAAACTCCACGGAGGGGGCTGCTGAGCCCCTGCTGAGTCCCTGAGAAGGAGGCCCCTGCCCCAGTCCAGCCCAGAAGAAGGAGCACAGGCTTTGGTGGACACCAGGGGCTTCCACCCAGCTGTGTTACGTCCCGACTGTGCCACCCCAGCCTGGCTGCCTGGGCTCCCTGGCCTGCCTTTCCTTCTTTTTCAAATTATTGTTTTTTACTCTTTATTTGATGAGGGTTTTTAACATTTTTTTTGCTTGGAATGAAACCCAACACATCACAAGCTCAAGCAAAGCTGCTCATGTCTGTCTTCCCCCTCCCCATCTGAGTCACCAGCATGAATAGCTGCCCAAGAGCCCTCTATGGGCCTCAGTTTTCACATCTGTATAGTGGGGCTCACCCATGCATCTTCCCCACAGGGTGTCTGGGAGGGGGCTGAGAGAATATAGGTCTCTCTTCTCCTTTCCCTTCCATCCCATTCCTCGTTTTAGGACAGGCCCAGCAAGCCCAGTCCCCCAAATCACTTCCCTCCCTCATCCTCAGGGCTCTACCAGCAACCTCCTGAGCTACCCGTAGCCCACCCTAGGTGCCCACAGCCCCCGGCTCCTCCTCCTGGTCCTGTTTCCACAGGCTCCCACCTGGACTCTCAGAACAGCTTCGAAGGCCACGCCTCCTCCAGGAAGCCTGTCTGGATGACACATTTCCAACACAAATCAAGCGCAAAACTTCAAGAAGCATCTCCATGGACCCGTGACTGCCCCTGCACCAAGCAGAGACCAGGCGCTCTGTAAACACTTGATCATTTAATCCCCACATCACAGCAATGAGACAGAAACTGCTCTCCCCAACTTCCAGATGTGGAAACTGAGGCTCAGAGAGGTCGAATGACATGCTCCATCTCCTGCATTTTCCACAGTACCAGGAGGCCCAATCCCGATTTTTCAAAAGGTTTATATTAACTTTTCAGAAACTGTGCCAGTCATTCACATGTACAGCAGAAACTTCTGATTTTTTATTTTTTATATTATTCTTTTGGATTATACATTTCTTCTTGCTTAATGAAACCCTTTGTGAAGCAAAATAACTTGGATGAAGAAACTACTTATTGATAGATTATAAACTCAATACAGAGATAGTTAATATTGATATGGAGATAGCTCCTGCACACACAAACACACACACACACACAACCCTGAAATCATGTGGCCCCAGGACATTTTGGGGACTTGCCAGTCCCCTGCGTCCCCTCCTATTTCCCGGGGTCTCAGTGTGACTTGAGGAAAGACAAGCTCCCCTCCTGACTCGGTCTTCCCCAGGTCTCTGGACCTAGAATTATATCTGCAGCCTCCTTCTTACAGCCAGCCCTGGATCCAGCTTTTCATTAACTGGTAAATGGAGATTTTTCATATTTAAAAATTCGGGGGCAAAGAAAGGCAGCTGTGGGGGTTCTGGACCAAGTCCTGGGCTGCAAAGCAGGAGCCCTTGGGCCCGGCCCTGCCTGCAGGAGGTGCTGGGGTCTTAGGTCCAAGGCCTCTCCCCTGAGAAGTGCCCCCTTCCTCCCACAGAGCCTGCGTCCCTCTCCCTTCCAGCTGCCCCTGGCCCCAGCCTGTAGATCTCCATGACTGTGGGGTGTGCAAGGCATCGTCCTCTGCTTGTATCATTTCATCTAGGAGTACCCGTGTCCTCATTTTACAGATGGAGCAGTGGAGGCTCCGAGAGGTTAAGCCATGCATGGGGCGTGGGTTGGATGGATGGCCTAGGAGCTCCTCCCCCCTGCCCCACACCCAGACCTTGCCAGGGCCAGGTCCAGTCTCACCAGCTTCCCAGAAGCCCTGGCTCAACAGGGCTCCACAAGAGCTTATGCCCAAGGCAGCTTTTCCCCAGGGTCCAGGCTGTGCCAGGAAGGCAGCCAGCACCCGCCTGGGAGGCTGCAAGGCAGGACAGGAGCCCAGCGTCCTCAGGGGCTCTCTGTCCATGCTCACACTCTCGCTCTGCGACTCTGGCAGACATTGCCATCAGCAGCAGCCCGGTGGGTCCTGGCAGAAAGGCCAGGGCAATCAGAGAGTATCAGCTGCTCTCCTGGCCTCAACTCAGGATCAGATCGGGTCAGCCCTGGGGGGCCACCTGCACCCGTCATGGCCACTGCTGGCCCTCCCATACTCCCTCTCCCCCCAGGGCTTCCACTCTCATGGGCTGTGCTCTAGGGGCAAATATACTTTCTGGACCACCTAGTGATCATGTAATAACCCCAATATCACTAACTCAGAATGCTTGAACCATTCTTTTTACTCATGAATTCTTCCCTTCATCTTAAAATGTCTGAACCAGCCCCTCTGTCCCTAGAATCTTTGAGCATGCGGATCTTTTTCTTTCTTGCCAAGAAGATGGAATCCCAGAGCTGGATAAGACCTGAAGTAGTGAGGACACCAATGAGGACACTGAGGCCCAGAGAGGGAGAGTGACTTGCCCAAGGTCACAAAGTGAGATGCTGGCAGAGCGGTGACAAGGACCCCTACGCATTTCCTCTGTCCCTGCCTGTGGGTCTGGAGCCTTCAGCCCCTGAAGCAAGGGAGACTTTCTCTGCGACCCTGGCCCTGCCTTCCTAGTCTGCCCACCAGGGATCAGGAAGAGGTGCCCCGCCCCTGCTCTCTGGAACGGCCCACGGGCGAGGGCCTATGTTCCAAGCCTGTAGCAGGGGCAGGAGGCACCCCTTCCCCCAGTCAGGGTGCCTGGGCCTCCAGTGCCACCCCCGAAATAGAGCAGCTCTCAGCCCGAAGATCAGGTTGCAGCCTCGCTGTCCAGATGGGGCGCCTGGCAGGGCGGGAAGCGCTTCCCCCACCACCCACGCTGCCCCCACCTGCTCCCCACTCACATGTCAGCACTTAAACCAAACCTTAAATCACAGCCTCCCCTGGAGGACATAGCCTTTTCTGGAGGCTGTGGGGACAAGAGCAACGGGTGCAGTGTCTGGGGCTGGGGAAGGGGGACATTAGTAACCAGAAGAAATGGTGGTGGGATGTCCCAGAGAGGAGAGTGATTTGAGGGTTCTTGTACTGTTGTGGATGTGCTGTTTGGCCTTAGAAGAGCCGCTTGTCCTTTCCGAACCTCAGTCTCCCTGTCTGTAAAATGGGGAGAGTGCTCCAGCTCATGCAGAGGCTGTGAACAGATAAAAGTCCCCATCCTCAAGGAGTCCACCTTCCATGGGTCAGCAGACTCGGGCTCAGGCAGTGGGGCTCTAGAGCCCGTGTTAGCAGCCAGCGGGCCATATGCCAGTGGGTGCTGGGAAGCCAGAAAAGAGGTTACGCTCTTTTATTTAGAGTGATCCAAGAAGTCCTCATCAAGGATCTGAGCAGGGGTCTCTACCCTGGCTAAGAGGGATGGGGATTATGGGTGGGGCCACAGGAGGCATACCCCTCTGCCATCCCAGGGTTCTAGGGATGGAACTGAGTTTTCTGTTGCAAGCCTCCAGCTGGACTTTGCCCAACAGCTCCCATTCCCCTAACACCCAGCAGTGCCTGGCCCCTGCAGTTCAGAGGAGCCCAGCTAGCAGGGGCCTGGACAGCCCAGGAGTCCTGGACTCCAGCCCTAAGACAACAGGAAGAGGCTGGTGTCCCTTATGGCTTTCTCAGTAGGGCCCTGGGGAGTGAGCAGGAGGCTGTGGTGTGAAGTCCCCAGCTTTAGGGACACCCCTGTAAGGCACGGTTGGGGCCCTGGAGCTTCAGGGGTGCTGGTGTCTGCAGTGGGTGGGCGCTGTGATGGTCCCACAGTGAGGGGCTCCTTCATCTTAGGGGCCACACCCCCAATACTCCAGGGGCCTAGAGCAGTAGTGATACATCTGACCTTCCCAGCCATGAGCCCATGTCATCCCCCAGCAGCCCTGCGAGGGTACAGATGAGGGCACTGAGACTCAGGGAGGCTGAGTCTTGCCCAAGGCCACACATCTGGGAAACAGCAGATGTGGCTGAGTCCAAAATTCACATGTTTTATTTCTTAGGGGAAAACTACAAATCTTATACTTGGTTTGTTGTCATTAAAGTACTTGTTTATTCAATCTCTTTTTCATTTCAAGATTTTCTTACTCGCTTTTTCAAAACACAAAATAACAAATGCACATTGGAACAAGTGACGTAGCGTTGTGTCAGCTGGTCATTGATCCCCACCTCCCAGTGTTGGCAGGCTCGAGCATCTCCTTCCAGGCCTTTCCCCAGGTCCGAGCATCCTCCTGGCCCTCAGGGTCTACCTGCCTTCTGGATGGTTCTTTCCTTCTTTGGCACAGAAACATTTCCAAAGAGCCTACTATATGCCAGGCTTTGTCATGAGTGCCGAGCTGGGCAGGCTCAAGGCACAATCCCGCCTTTCTAGAAACTGTGAGGACAAAGCATACAAACAGGTAAATGCTAGGTTACCAGCTCCACAGAACAGGGAATTCGGGTGTGCTTGTTCACGGATGCACCCTTGGCCCCTAGAGTGGGATCAGCCACAGAGTAGCTACTCAATAAATGTGTGCTGAATGAATGAATGAATGAATTTGCTGAGATGAACAATATAGAATCTGGAGTCAGTCTAGGGGGAAGTTGATGTTGAACTTGAGATCCCTGTGGGCCACCGAGGGAGGAGGGCGGGGGTCAGCCACCCTGCGGTGTTGGATGTCAGAACTTGGAGTGTGGCAAAGAAATGCAGCAGGAAGAAGTGTCCCTTTGGCTCAAACTCAGCTGCTCCACCCCCAAAGCCGGCCCCTCCCTCATGCCCCCACACCTCCCTTCCCAGGGTACAGACAGGAGGGTCTGAGCAAGGCCCCCTCCCATCAAGCCCCTCCAGCCCCAGACTGGCCAGCCCTGCCTCCCTCCCTCTCCTAAGCCGCCCCAACAAAAGCTGCCGTTGTAGGAGCCAGGACCATTGTAATTAAAAAGGAAACATAATAAAGCCCCTCTCTGAAGCCAAATCCCATCCCTAGAGCAGACGCCCGGGCCCGCCCCTCACTGCCCACCGAGGACACATGGCCCCTTTGTGTGCCCTGGGTGAGGGCCACTCCTGCCCTGCCCCACCCAGCCACTGCCCACCCTCCCCTCTCTTCCCTCGCAATCTGATGGCCCAGTATCCCCTCTGAGAGAGCCTGGCCTCCTTTTTTCACAGGGGGGAGACTGAGGCCTGAAAAGGCAGAGCCTGGACCTAGGCCTCCTGACTTCCAGGTGGCTGCTCCCTTAGCCCAGCATCTGCCCAGGGGGAGCCCTCTCTCCTGGGATCCATGCCCCAGAGCAGGGGTCCCAGACGGACAATAAAGAGCCCCTTCTCACACAGCTGAGCTCCAGGGACCTCTGAGAGACCAGGTGCTGAGGCCCAGAGAGGTTTGATGGTCCTGAGGCCACACAGCAGGGCAGAGGCAGACCTAGGACAAAGCTCCGAGTCTGCACAACTCTCTGCATGGAGCCACCAGCTTCTCCTGAGCTCAGAATCTGTCACCCCAGGAGGGGCCCTGAAGGACTCAGCCTCCAAACGTCGGCATCAGGTCTCTGTGGAGGCCGTAGGAGTGGGTGAGGGAGGAGGAGCGCCCCCTGCCTTCCTCCTGCACTGGAATGAAGACCCCTGCGGGGGATATTAGAACTCCAGGAGGCCTCCAGAGGTGTAGGACAGGCCTCCCTGCACCAATGAGTGGAAGGTTGGCCATGAGTTCTCAGAGAAGACGACAGCCAATCCCATTTCATCCCTTCTGAACTTCCGGAAACTAAGCAGTCTCTTCAAGGCCTCTGCTCAGCATCTTCTCCCAAACCTGCCAACCCCAGCTACCCTGGCCATCTGAACAGCCTCAAACATGGAGGTCAGAGCCGTCCGGCCGTTTCAACTTATCCCAGGGATCCTCTCCCCCATCATCCCCAGGTCCTCAGCTGGGATCAGCCCATGGCTAAATCGTGGCATTGGCTAAGGTTATCCGTGGTCCTGCCTGCCTCCCGTGTTGGGGATCCTGTTCCAGACCCCGGCTGCCTCCCCCCAGCACCCCACCCACCTTCTCCCCTGGTTATCAGTAACCCATACAGAGGCGATCACAGCAGCAAAGGCTCAGAGGGCAGCCAGGGAAACACCACAAGACTTCAAGTGACCAAGGATTGGGTCCCCTTCCCAACAGTGCAATGTTAGGTACGGTGATGGCAATACCTGGGGCACGGCACCCCACCACATGCACAGATGGTCACATCTAGACAGGCACTCATTTGAGACACAGGCACCTCAGGGTGTGCAGAGAAGCAGGACTATGACCAGGAAATGGTTTTGTTCATAACAAGAAGCCACCATTCATGGAGCATCTCCCCCAGAGCCCTGCTCATGCTACCTCCTTCAAGCCTCCCTTCCTTCCGGGGAAAATACTCATGATTCCCATTTGACAGATAAGGAAACTGCTCAAGTACATGCGGCCAGGGAGTGGTGGAGTTTGGATTCCAAGTTAGGTCTGTCTGGCCCCCACCCCCTGCAAGAGGATGTACAAAATGTCTAACACCCAGCCCGTCCCATCGGACACTGTGACATCAATCCCACCCTTTGCACAGCTGACCCTTTCAGAACTAAGTGGGGGTGCAAAGGTACCACTCACCCGCCCGTTCTATTCACATCAGCCAACCCAGAAATTCCCCAAAAGTGTGTCTGCATGTGAGGGTGGGCATGAGTGTGTGTACGTGTGTGCCCGTGTTTGTGTTCAGCGTCATGCTAGACAGGCCTGGGACATAGGACCCATCCATGGCCTGCCATTTTCTCTCCCCATGGTCCAACCACCTTGGCCAAAAGGACTGGGGCAGGGATGCCCCTGGGCACCCAGGGCAGGGAGCAGCCAGGAGGGGGGCAGCGTGGGCCCCACGCACTCCTGTGCCCCAGGAGCCAGCGAGGGCGGGCAGGGATTAGGCAGATAATGCCTCTTGTAAGAACAAGGGATTGTTGCAAAGGGGAAACTAGAGTGGGGGATCGGGGGGCCAGTTCAGATTTCCCCTGGGGTGAAAACTGAGCCCCCGGGAGGAGGCGCCCTGCCTGCCAGGCCCTAATCCCTATGGTTCTCACCCAAACCCCAAAGAAGAGGCTGTTCACAGGCAGCAGATTCCTGGGATTCATTAATTCAGGATTTGCAAGAGGGGCTGCCCAGCGTCCCTCCCTGCAGGCAGCAACCTGAGCAGGGCAGGTGGGTGCTGATGGTCGGGGACACCCTGGGAGCCACAGGGAACGGACGCTGGGCTGGGAGCCCCAGGAGCCTGGGGGCAGCTCAGGGTCTGCTCTGGCGGTGAGGGGAGCAGAATTCACCCCCAACTTTGCCTCACCCCAGAGCTCTTTGCCTGCCGGCCTGCCTGCCTGCCTGCCTGCCTGCCTGCCTTTCCTTCCTTCCTTCCTTCCTTCCTTCCTTCTTCTTCTTTTTTTTTGAAACAGGGTCTCTCTGTTGCCCAGGCTGGAGTGCAGTGGCACGATCTCAGTTCACTGCAGCCTCAACCTCCCATCCCACCTCAACCTCCCAAGTAGCTGGGACTACAGGCATGTGTCACAACACTAGCTAATGTTTGTATTTTTTGTAGAGACTGGATTTCAACATGTTGCCCAGGCTGGTCTCAAACTCCTGGCTCAAGCAATCTGCCCAAGTCAGACTCCCAAAGTGCTGGGATTACAGGTATGTATGAGCCACTACACCCGGCCACCCCAGAGCTATTTCTGTTTTACCAGTTTTTAGCTACTAGATTTTTCTCCTTCTCTTTATGAGATATAATTTACACACAGTAAAATGCACAGGTCTTAAATGTACAGTTGGATGAGTGTGGCAAGTATCTACGCCCAGGTAACCATCATGATCAAGCTCTAGAACATTTTGTCACCCTAGAAGTTTCCCCTGTACCCCTTCATATGAGTGCCCCAATCCAGGCAGCCACCGATCTGCTTTCCGTCACCATAGATCAGTTTTGTGTCTTCTAGAACTTGCGTAAATGGAATCCTGCTGCCTGGCTCTGCAGTAGCTCCAGCCCCATGTTCATTTGAGTGGTTGGGTTTCTGTGGAAGATTTCATCCCAGCTGAGGGCTCGCTGGCTAAAATCGGGGTGTAGACCCTGGAATCTTCCCAGACCTGAGGATTCAGGACTCCTGTGCATCTGATTCTTTGGATTCACCTCCTGGATTTTTTCAAATCTTCCACCCCCTTCCTGTCCCCACCCCAGTTCTGTGTCAGTCCCTCCTCCTGTCACTGCCACCTCTGACCTCTACCCCAACCCTTCGGGGTCCCCACAATTGCTTGCCAGCCCCTCCCTCAGCCACTCCCACCTCCACCTCCACTCCAGAGCAGCTTTCCAAATGCATAAGCTACTCTCCTTCTAGAATCCTCCATGTCTCCCTATCGCACACAGAAGGTCTGAGCATCTTTGCCTGGCATTCTAGGCCCTTCAGGGTCTACCCTGTCTCCATCTCTCAAATCTCATCCCTCACACTCTGGGCTCCACCCACAGAACCACTCTAGGCAAAACCACTGCACCCTTTCTCCCTGTTACTCTCTTCCACACCTCTACTCATGCCATTCCCTCAGGAGCCACCCGGATCCTACTCAAGTACTGCCATCCCAGGAAGCCTGCCTTGAACTCCACCACCCAGACTGGGTCATGTTCCCCCCGCACCTCCCGCCCTGTCGCCAGGTCTTCCATGCCAACGCCTCCCCGCCTGCACCCCCTCCCCCACCTTGATTTCCAGCCTCCAGGGATGGTGTCTAGTTCAGATCTGGATTCCGGGGCCCAAGCCAGGGTTGGCACATCATAAATCCAGCAAGGTCCTGCCCTAGCATCTCCCCTTACCCTCCTCAGCCCTGGCCCACACACACTCAGGCATGAGGTTTGGACTGGACTGGATTGAATCGGCAAGGTGGCACTGGGGCGAGCTGAGATCCAGGGTGGTGGAACAGGCAGGAAGGAGGGGGCATATCAGGTTTCTCCAACAACTGGACAGGTCTGGGTTCAAATACTGCCCCAACAGTTGCAGGGCTTGGCAAATTCACTTCGACTCCTAAGCTTAAATTCCCCTGTCTATAAACTGAGCATGCCAATAATATCCACTTCGCTGTGTGTGTGCGTGTGTGTGTAAGTGCGTGTGTGTAGTGTGTGTTTGTGTGTTTTAGGATCCATTGACATTCTGTGCTCAAAAGGCCTTGCCATAATGTTGCCTCTGACTGTCACTATTAAGGTGAAAAGAGAGAGGACAAGAGGGAGGAGGATTTAAGTGTCCCAATGGGAACTGGTGGGAAAGAGGTGGTCTCCACCCCTCTAAGACCAGCTATCTCCTCCCCAGCCTCCAGAATCCCCGCCTCACATACTGAGCCCAGCTTGTCTAATTGTCCTCCCACACTGGCCTGCCTGCCTCCAGCTTGGCTAAAAGCCAAGAGGCTAAACTTAGCAAGTTAGGCAAAATCAGGCAGAAGGTAGGTAAGGCATGGATGTTCATAGCAGCATACTCCAACAAAACAGGCCAAAACATGGAAACAACCCATATGCCCATCACCAGATGAACAGATAAACAAAACACGGAACATCCCTGCAACGGAGTGTTATCCAGCCATGAAAAAGGAGGTAGTGACACAATGCTACAACATGGATGAAACTTGGAAACACTGGGTTAAGTGAAAGAAGCCACATATCATCTCATTTCCCTTACACAAAATGTCAAGAATAGGCAAATGTATAGAGACAGAAAGTGAACGAGCAGTTGCTTAGGGCTGCGGGGTGGAAGGACAGCGGAGTGATGACTAAAGGGCACAAAGTTTCTCTTTGTGGTGATGAAAACGCCCTAAAATTGACAGTGATGGCCGGGCATGGTTGCTCACACCTGTAATCCCAACACTTTGCAAGGCTATGGTGGGAAGATTACCTGAGGCCAGGCATTCAAGACCAGCCTAGGCAGCAGATTGAGACCCCAGCTCTACAAAAAAACTTTAACATTAGGCAGGTGTGGTGGAGTGTGCCTGTAGTTCCAGCTCCTTGGCAGGCTGAGGAAGGGGGATCGCTTGAGCCCAGATGGTCAAGGCTGTAGTGAGCCGTGATCACACCATTGCACTCCAGCCTGGGTAACAGAGACAGACCCCGTCTCTAAAATAAATAAATAAATAAATTGATAGTGTGGCAATAAATTGGTAGCGGTGATGGTTACACTACCTGTAAACATACTAAAAGCCATTAAACTGTACCCTTTAAATGGATGAATTGTAGGGTATGTGACTTCTAGCTTGATCAAGCTATTTTAAAAAAGAACAGGTGTGACCTGGGTGCGATGGCTCATGCCTGTAATCCCAGCACTTTGGGAGACCGAGGCAGGTGGATCGCTTGAGGTCAGGAGTTCCAAACCAACCTGGCCAACATAGTGAAACTCTGTCGCTACTAAAAATAAAAAAATAAAAAAATAAAAAAAATTAGCCGAGCATGGTGGCAGACACCTGTAATCCCAGCTACTCAGGAGGCGGAAGCTTGAGAATCGCTTGAACCCAGGAGGCAGAGGTTACAGTGAGCTGAGATCTTGCCACTGCAATCCAGCCTGAGCAACAGAGTGAGACTCTGACTCAAAAAAAAAATCAAAAAAACTAAAGGCTGGGCACAGTAGCTCACGCCTGTAATCCCAACACTTTGGGAGGCCGAAGTGGGTGGATCACCTGAGGTCAGGAGTTCGAGACCATCCTGGCCAATATGGTGAAACCCTGTCTCTCCTAAAAATACAAAAATTAGCCAGGTGTGGTGGCATGCGCCTGTAATCCCAGCTACTCAAGAGGCTGAGGTAGGACAATCACTTGAACCTGGGAGGCAGAGGTTGCGGTGAGCCGAGATCTCACCATTGCACTCCAGCCTGGGCAACAGAGTGAGACTCCATCTCAAAAAAAACAAAACAAAACAAACAAAAAAGAACAGGTGGGGACAGACTAGGGAGTAGGCCTTCAGCTGGGGGACAGAGTGACAGCCCCCGGCAGGAAAGTCAAGCCCTAGATTTCACACTAGCTTCCTTGTTCTCCCAACAACCACGAGGGAAGGTTGTCATCATTCCTATTTTGCAGAGCAGAAAGCTGAGGCTTGGAATATGTCGCCTGAGGTCACGCAGCTGGGATGCTGAGATTCGAAATCAGAGAGAAGGGCCTGGCCCGGGCCTGCCCACCGTGCCCCTCCTCGGGCTTCTCTGACACTCCCAGAATGTGAGGCTGGCATCCCCAGCCTGGCATAGGCTGCCCTCCGATAGGCTGGAGGGTAGAGGGAGCGGCCACTGTGCTGGCACCAGCCCCAGGCACGTCCACACAGGTGTGGGCCTCCTGGCTCTGCCCCAGCGGCTGCCTGGCCCTGCACCCCTGGCCAGGGCCGCATCTCCACCCTCAGGGCAAGCCCAAGCAGCTGAGAACATCTGCCCCACCTGAAGGGGATCACCCTGGATGCCTGAGGCACCTGGCACCCCTGGGGTGGCATCTGGGACTGGGCTGGTGGCCGGGCATGAGGGGTGGCAGGTGTGTGGCTCGAGAGGGGACTCAGGCCATGAGCATTTGCATGGTGTATGAGCGTAGAGTCTCCCTGGGCTGCTCAGGGTGTGAGCCCAAGTTCAAGCACACGTGTGTGGGTGAAGAGGATGTGCCAGCCGAGGGGTGCAAGTGTGTCTCAGTGTGTCCTGCTGGAAGTGGGGATCGTGGGTGTACAAGGGATGAGCCTGGGGACAATGAGTGTGTAAATGTGGGATGCCTGGGAGCAGACGCGAGGGTGACAGTGGGCTGGGGCCTAGTGAGCATGCGAGTGGGTCTGTCATCACAGGCGTGTGGCGGCGTGCACACTTGCTCGTGTCTCCTCCTCCTCAAATGGCTGTCACCCCCCAGGGCCTGCCCAGCCACCTCCTTGATTTATTTTTCTCTCCTTCTTGTCTCCCTTCAGGCTGTGAGCATATGGAGGGTGGACACCACCCCCGAAGCCTACCCGCCACTTGTTGCAAATTACAAAGCCATGGGAGAGCGCTTGCCTCTGAGCCTCAGTTTACACATCTGTACAATGGAGATAAAATAGCTCCTACCACAGGAGGTTGCTGGGAGACGTGGACTAGAGTAAATACAGAATGCAGCGGCCCAATGCAGAGAGTAAAGGCAAGAATTCAGTGGCCCAATGCGTGGAAACATACGCAGCCACGCTCCCCAACCCATCCGCTGATTTTGCCCTGGCCACTCCCCTCCCGCCAAGGCCCCTGACAGTTACGGGCTCTAGGCAGCTCAGGGAGGTAGGAGATTTCTGAGGTCAGGACGCACCCTCCTGGGCGGGCAAAGGCAGGCCCGGGGCAGCTTCTGGGGAGGTGACGCCCAGAACACCAGGTGTTCTGCCTTGATGAGGACAGGTGGAGATCAGAGGACAGGGTGTGGGCTCGGTACCAACATGTATTCATTCAGCAAACCCCTTCTAGGCACTAACTGTGCCAGGGCCCGTGCCAGAATCTACAGAGCCCCCAACTCTGTCTGCCAGGCATCTGGCAAAGGAGGAGGTTTTCATCCAGTGTGGTGTGTGCAGGATGGAATTGCAGAAGCGCAGATGAGGGCCCCAGAGCCAGCCTGGCCCAGTGAAGGGTCTCAGAGGAGGGGGCTATGGAGATGAGACTCCTAAGGAGCAGTGAGCCAGGCATTCCAGGCTGAGGGGACATCTTGAGCAGAGGCCTGGTGCCACCTGAGCATCCACCTTGAGGTAAGAAATGAGGGAGACAGTGCTGGAAACGCCGTCAGCACCAGCGGCAGGTTAGACACGATAAGGTTAAGGCCTAAGGTTCAGTCCCAGTGGTGAAATCAGATATTGTTAACAATCATTACTCTCACCCCACCTCAACAGGGGTCTCGTGATTTGCAGAGCACTTTCATATCTAGGATCTTACTTGGCCTTTGTTGCAATCCTCCCATGGAAGTGGGATAAAAGGCCCACTCATCCCTTTTTACTTTGGCCACTAGGGAACTCAAAGACTCCACTGAGCACTTACTGGCAATTACAAAGACAGCGCAGGCATCACTTCTCTTTCTACACCTGTACACCTGCTTTTCTCTCTTGTACTTTGATTTTTCTCCTGGCAGTCTTTTTTTTTTTCTGAGATGGAGTTTCCCTCTTGTCACCCAGGCTGGAGTGCAATGGCGCAATCTTGGGTAATCGCAACCTTGGCCTTAGGTTCAGGCGATTCTTCTGCCTCAGGCTTCCGAGTGCCTGGGACTACAAGCATGTGCCACCACGCCCGGCTAATTTTGTATTTTTAATAGAGACAGGGTTTCACCATGTTGGACAAGCTGGTCTTCAACTCCTGACCTCAGGTGACCCGCCTGCCTTGGCCTCCCAAAGTGCTGCGATTACAAGCTTTAGCCACTGCACCCAGCCTCCCTGGCAGTCTTTTGGGAAGTAAGAGGGCAGAGAAGAGGGCAAAGAAGAAGTTGCCACTGATGGCATATTTTGCTGGGGTCAGGGAAGGCTGTGTGCACACACCCTGACCCACCCAGGCACCCGACTCCCTTGTTCTCCCACCAGGCTCTCTCCCATCATCCCTTCCAGCAGACCCTCTTTCTAAACTCTGCCTGGCACACTGTCAGCTTCAAAGGAAACTGAGGCCCAGAGGGAGATGTCACCTGCCCCAAACCTCTCAACAAGGCCAGAATCTGAGTCTCTGGAGCCCTGGCTTAGGATCATGCTACCCTTCACCTACAGGAGCAGCCCTTCACCACTGTGTGACGGGGGACGTGTCACTAAACCTCTCTGAGCCCTTGCTCTAAGCCGGCTTCCACACTCACGGAAGTTGCTTAAGGAGCTTAGAGGCTTGTTCAATGCTGATTGACTTTAAGCAAAGCAGAACCCCTCGCTCTATTTGTTCTTTGAAAGGAAACAATTTTCGGCTCCCATGGCTGAGAGGAAGGTGCCCACAGAGCCCTGGCTATGGGGCCACAGGACAGTAGCTTCTCCTTTCTGCGCCTCAGTTACCTCATCTGCAAAACGGGGAGGAGCAGGTTCACTACACCCACGCACTGTCCTTCCTGGACTTCACACAGAGGACCTTCATTCCATCCTCCCTGCAACGATGGAAGGAGCTGGTGCTGTGCCCATTTTACAGATGAAGATACTGCAGCCCAGGCCACACAGCTCCCAGGTCTGAGTGAACAGCCCAGGTTCTTCACCGCGACCCCATACCACCTCTCGGAGAGGACAGTCTCCTGCACACAGTAGCGGGTACCTAAGGCTCAGGGACCTGTGGGTCCCCATGGCCCAGAACCTAAGAAGGAGGGTATTAGCCCCAAAGAGGCATGGACCCCACCCTGGGAGCTCCTGGGCTGGGCATCACTCCAGCAGGGTCCCAGCGGGGCTGTGTCGGCCATGTGTGATGCAAAGTAATGACACAGCCTAATGGGAGAAGGTGCCAAAAACATGCGTATGTACAAACCAGCTGCCATCCTGCCGAGCTGCAGCCCAGGATGGTTGCAAAACTCGGCCTGGCAGGTGGACCCTGGAGGTAGCTCCCAGGCTGGTACTGGAGCCCAGGCTGGCACCATCTGAGCCATGGATACCAGGGGCTGAGGAGGGCCACTGCAGGCAGGCAGGTGACACTCAGGGGCAGCCCCCTAGGGAGGGCCGGGCAGAATCAGAATCAGCCCCTTGCTGCTGGTTCTTGGCCCCCGGTCTTCCTGCTGTGAGGCCGGAGGCAAAGCTGGATCTGAGGGAGCCCTTTCCACCCTTTGAGGCTCCGTCTGCCTCCATCTCATCACAGGTCAAGTCCAGCCTTCCTTGTGGGGAGAAGAAGAGGACAAAGGAAAGGTCAGGACTTGGAACACGTCTCGGCGACCCTCTCACCCAGACACCCACCGTTCCAGGAAGCCTTCCCAGGTCTGCCCCTCATTATGACTCTGAGCAAATGACTTCATCTCCCTTGTGCCTCAGTTTTCACAACTGTAAAATGGAGACAATAACAGTGCCACCCTCACAGGGCTGCTGTGAGGAGGCAACATAATGCACGTATAGCCTGACAACGGTATAGCCTGGCATGCAGTGAGGTCTTGCTAACTGTTAGCCAGCAGTGCGCTGGTAAATGCTTACACACGGGGTAGGGCGTGGTGGCTCATGCCTGTAATCCCAACACTTTGGGAGACCAAGGTAGGCAGATCACTTGAGGTCAGGAGTTCGAAACCAGCCTAGCCAACCCGGCGAAACCCGTCTCTACTAAAACTACGAAAATTAGCTGGGTGTGGAGGCAGGCGCCTGTAATCCCAGCTACTCGGGAGGCTGAGGCAGGAGAATCACTTGAACCCAGGAGGCGGAGGCTGCAGTGAGCCAAGATCACGCCACTGCAATCCAGCCTGGGTGACAGAGTGAGATTCTATCTCAAAAATAAATAAATAAATAAATAGAAATAAATGCTTAATAATAGGCTTCTGGGGGTATGAGGGGTCCTGGTTTTGTAGCATTGCCCAGTTTCCATGGTACAAATACTCTCACCGTCACCAATATGAAGCTACCAACATGACATCCCAGAACACGAAGCTGGGGAGAACTGAGAAACAGCACACTCTTTCATAGGTAGCGTTTCTACCCTACATTAAAGTGGAAGAATTTAGCACTAAGAGGAGTTTGTAAACAGACATTTAGAAGCAGCTAGCAGAAGTTTCTTACACCCTTGAAGTGAAAAGGAATCACTATTATCTATTAAGAGAATAGATAATATTACAATTATAGAGAGAATCTATAAGAGAATAGATAATAGTACAAATCTATAAGAGATAGAGAATAGATAAAAGTACAATCTATAAGAGAATAGATAATAGTACAAATCACTATTATCTATTGAGAGAATAGTTAATGGTACAATTATTAAGAAGTAGTGAATCCAGTGTTTATTACCTTTGTAACATGATTTGCTCAATTGCAAATTTACAAAATTTAACTTTTGCTGATAGCTGTGCCTAACAGCTGCTTTGCAAATTCCTGAGAATTCACCAACCAACTCCTGCAAGCCGGTGCAAGCCAGCTCCAGCTCACCCCTGATTTTACTCTTTCTATTCTATCACACCTCCTTGCTTTCACATAAGCCACTTCTTCTGCTTGGAATACCCTTTTTTGCATGCCTTTTCTCTTGGCAAACTCCCACTGTTTCCCCAATAATCTAGATAATATCATTTTTTAAATCCCTCCTCTGTGAAGACAGCATGCCGTTGATTAGAATCTCAATGAGCCCTCACGACTCTATGAGCTAAATCTTGAGGGCCCCATTTTTCAGATGAGGAGGCAGGCTTGGCAAGGTCTGTCAGCTGAATGGTGAGGTTTCTGGTGGGGCCAGACTGTGTCAGGCATTGCCTTTTGCAGAGACCAGGTGCACAGATGCCTTCCCGGCATACTTGGAAGAACATTTCACTGATCGCTTGCATGTTCCCTCTCATGCCCTTGACTCAAGCATCGGGCTCCATTTCTCTGGGTTAAGCATTGCCCTGTCTGGGTAGTCTGGGTACAAGAAGCTGGGGGAGGCCCTGGGATGGAGCGGGAGAGCCGGGCAGAAGCTGGATGGGGCTGAAGAAGCCAGGAAGTTCTGGGACCCACTGCCAAAGAGCTGGGGAGCAGAGCGGGCGGGGAGGGCTGTGCATGGGGAGGTGCTGACCGCCTGCCCGCCTAGGGGAGAAGCTTCTGGAGGAATGTAAGCTATGAGGGAGAAGGGGGCAGGCAGGCCCGGGCAGTCGCAGCGTGGCCCCCTGGGGAAACTGGTGGGGGAGGGGGGACATAAGCCAGAGAAGACCCTGGTAGGGCCCTTGGCCTTGGCAGCTGCCCGCAAAGAAAGCAACCCCAGACTCATCCATCATGGGGGCTGGGAACCAAAGGGAGGGGGTACCTACTGGGGCCACGGCTGCCCAGCGAGGGCAGAGCCGCCCTCCCAGGGCTCTGCTGAGGCAGGGTGCTGGCACAGGGAAGCCATTGGGGTGTGGCAGCCAGAACTGGGTTCACACCCTGCCCAATCATTTCCTGGATGTGTGACCCCTTGGCATGGCACCTCCAGCCTGAGCCTCAGTTTCCCCTCCTGTAACTCCACCTCTCAGAGTCATGGTGTATCATACCCCGCGGGCAGTATCCAAGGTGTCTGGCCCATAGCAAGTGACAATTGGAATCATGATAATAAGAGCAGCCAGCCTCTACCGGGAGCTTCCCTAGGCTAGCACCGTGCTGTGCGCTTCCCATGGTCCCAGCCTTCAGCTTCTCAAGGCCCCTAGGAAGGGGCTAGCCCAGAGCTGCCCTGGATAGGAAAGAAAACCCAGGCACAGAGGTTCAGGGTGTTCCCAGGGTCACAGTACAGCAGTGAGTAGCTGGGAGCCTGGCCCTGAGCTGAGCTCCGGGCCCCTCAAGACAGCAGGCTCCTCAAGGGTGTGCCCCGTCTCTGAGTCTTCAGCCAGGAGCACAGGGAGCGGCAGACCACAGAGCTCAGTGGCTGCTGAATGAACAGAGATGCCTCCCAGATGTGCCGCCACCCCAGTGATCCCCCAGATTTGAGACCAGCTTGGTCCCCCACCTCCACCCAGGATCCAGGCCTCCATTGGCCAATGCAGACACAGCCCGTTTTGCCCCCACACCCAGCCTTGGCCCTGAGGGGCTATGGAGCTCAGGCACCCCGTCTCAAGCTCAGTTTCCCCACTTTGCTACTGGGTGATGGGAAGAACTCAGACGGGGTGGGAGCTCGAGGGGCTGCCTTCGGAACAGGAGCCAGAGGTGGGTGAAGGCGCTTCCTCCCTGGTGGGACTCAGGCCTGAGGACTCCCTACCACCAAATGGCTGCTTCTAAATCATCCTTACAAAATACAGAGATGACCCAAGAGTACCCGTCCCCCCAGCCCTTGGGGGACAGGGGGAAGCTGGCTGAGTAAAGACAGCCCATGGAGGGGGAGGAGAGGGCTGCAGGGAGTGAGAATGGGCAGGGAGTGACAGGGCTGCCCCCTGGTCATCAGGCCCCAGCCCTGCGTGCTCAAATGCACACACTTGAGCCCAGCCTGGGGAGGCCCTGCCAGGCCAATCTCTTCTCTCCGCATGCCCTTCCAAAGGCTGGAGCCCCAGGAGTCCTCACACCCCTGGGGCCTTGGGGGACCTCACAAATGCAGGACACAAACACAAGGCACTTTGCACATTTTATCCCATTTCCCCCTTCCATCCTCCTTGTAGGACAGGTGTATATTTCTCCCCATCTACTGATGAGAAAATCGAGCAGCCCAGAAAGGTGATGTAACTCACCCAGGGTCACATAGTAAGGAAGGAACAAAGCCAAGACCGTGACTCCTATCTGACCTGTCTGTCCTACCCCAAACCTGTATTCCGAGTACTAGAGAACTGTTTGTGACCTTTGGCTGAGAACAGTTTGTGACCACATGGCCCCTGCATCCTCCACCATGTGTACATGTGTCATGGGCTCTAGAACCTGGTCCCTGGGGAAGGAAAGAGCCATTTAGTCTCTCTGAGTCTGAGTGATGATGAAGATGGTGGTGAAGGAGGAAGGAAGTGCTCCAGGGCTAGAACAGCGGTTCCAGGTGCATGGTCAGAAAAAGACGCTGAGACTCAAGTCAAGGGGACCTGGGACCATTCCCGCATTGATATTCACAGGCTGTGTGGCCTCCAGCAAGGCACTTTCCCTCTCTGAGCCTCAGTTTTCTTGAGTGTACAGTGGAGGTGAGAATGCCTCCCTCTAGTGTTGACTTGACATGAGGGTCCAGGGACACCCATCATGCTGAGTATGTGGCACCCACTAGGTGCTCAATAATGGCTTTCTGTGTCCCCTTCCTCCACAGGATGTGAGCCCAGGACAACCTTTGTCCAAGCAGGTGGTCTTTCTGGGTGCCAAGAAGAATAGTAGGGAACTTGGTTCTGGTAGCATCCATGGCACTGCCCCAACTTCCAAAGCTGCTCAGCAAAGACTCACTGGATGTCCTCAGACCGGCCCTGGCACTGGGACAGGAGGGCAGGTAAAGCCTGCGTGAATCCCTGTGACAGCACAGGGTCTGCGGTTCCAAGCAGCCAGCCCATGAATGGGGACTGTGTTTCCTCTGAGGGGCTTCCTGGAATGACAGCAGTACCAGCTATCTCTGGAAGCCTCTGAGGAGCTGGGGGACCATGAACCCAGACATCCCAGGGTTGGGAATCAGGGGCTACTAGCCACAAGAGCCAGCCCACCCATTCCCATGTTGTCTGGTCACCTCACAGCAACCGCCAGAGATATGCAGCCCCTTCAGGGAATGGGGGCGACTGGAATTAAGTCTGGGGAATCATCTCTGGACCTCCAGGGCCTCGAACTGTGCCTGAGACCCAGGATCTGGGAGATGATGGGTGGATGATGGATGGATGGATAGATGGATGGATGAATGGTTGGATGGATGGATACATGGATGGGTGGGTGAATGAATGGGTGGATGGATATATGAGTGGGCAGATGGATGGATGAATGGATGATGGATGGATGAATGGATGGATGGATGGATGGGTGGATGGGTGGATGAATGGATGAACAGATGGGTGGGCAGATGAGTGGGTGGATGATGGGTGGATGCACAGATGGATAGATAAGTGAACGATGGATGGGTGGGTGTGTGAGTGGGTGGATGGGTAGATGGATGGGTGGGTGGACAGACGGGTTGGTGGATGGGTAGGTGGGTGGATGGGTGAATGGATGGATGGATGGATGGATGGATGGATGGATGGATGGATGAACAGATGGGTGGGCAGATGAGTGGGTGGATGGATGATGGGTGGATGGACAGATGGATAGATAAACTATGGATGGGTGGGTGGGTGAGTAGGTGGATGGGTAGATGGATGGGTGGGTGGACAGACAGGTGGGTGGATGGGTAGGTGGGTGGATGGGTGAATGGATGGATGGATGGATGGATGGATGGACGGATGAACAGATGGGTGGGCAGATGAGTGGGTGGATGGATGATGGGTGGATGCACAGATGGATAGATAAGTAAACTATGGATGGGTGGGGGGGTGAGTAGGTGGATGGGTAGATGGATGGGTGGGTGGACAGACGGGTGGGTGGATGGGTAGGTGGGTGGATGGGTGAATGGATGAATGGATGGATGTGTGAATGATAGATGGACAGATTTTAGTTCTGAAAATCCACGTTTTGAACATTTCTGTGGCAGCAGCTGTCACTGCCCATCTATACCCACTATCCCATTTCTCACTGCAAATAACAAACAGTGACTCTGCCTCTACAGCCGCAGAACATACTGGCCCAGAAGTGCCTGAAACAGCCTTCAGCCAAACACAGATGAGAGTGGAGGAAAAATAACCCAATTTCCTCCCCTTTGGAGGGGCAATGCTGAGGCTTGTTCTGTCCCTTCTCCCAGACTTCCCCAGGGGTCTGTGCCCAGCTGGCCAGAGTGCTCACCTGCTGACCGACACACCCTCCTCTTGTTGGCCTCTTTCCCTTCCTGTCTCATTTCCTGACTCATCAATCTGGACATTAGGAAATCAGCTCCCAGGTAAACTGTTTGCACTCAAATCCTTGACTTGGGGTTGGCTTTTGGGGGACCCAGCTTAAGACAACTACCTCTGCCTTTTGCCTGTTCTAGGACCTTGGACGAGTCATTCCATTTCCTGTGCCTCAGTTTCCTCACCTGTAAAATGGGGACAATTATTTAATGTTCACAGCACATCCATGTGGTTGGCACCAGGCAGGGTCCACCATGTGCCCCGCCTCACACTGGCACTGAGGGCACAGAGAAGATCAGCCCCAGTCCCTGCCCTGGAGGAACTCACCAACGACAGTGGAGAGGGTGGGTGCGAGTCCAGGCCACTGGGTTGGAAGACCCAAAGCCAAATCCTAGCTCTTCATATCTTCGCTGGGTGCCCCTGGTCAAGCGACACTTCACTCTATGCCTCAGTTTACTTTTCTGTCAAGTGGGGAGAGCACCAGAAACCACTTCATGGGGCTCTTGTGAAGAGAAGGAGAGAGAATGCAAGAGAAGTGGTCAGTACACGGCCTGACACACAGTGTGTAACAAAGGGAAGGCAGTGCTATTGTCATCATTGTCAAGAAGGAAATGCATAAAGTCATGCAAAATGTGAGCTTGTGTAACTGACAGTTCAGTTAGAAAGAGAGGGAGAGAGTCAGTGCCCTGGGAGGTCAAAGAAGAGAGTCATTAGGTGGCCTGAGAATGAAGCTGAGATAAGGAAAGCCTCATGCAGGAAAAGAATCCTTGCTGGCCTTGAATTTCACTCTTAGTCATGCACGGAAATTCCCAGCACCTGAAATTTTACTCTTAGACATGCATTCCTTTTGCTTAGCCATTGCTGTCCCAGGCCTTGAGCTACACCACCTTTGTCCCCACCCCACAACCTATGCTCCCACCACTTTCCCAGAGGGCCTCACAGTTTCCCTGGCCTTGCCATGCTGTTCCTTCTACAGGCGGCTGTGCCCTCCCCCCAGCTAAAGCTGTGGGAGGCCTTTCTGAAGCCCATTCACAGCGATCCTCTCTGGCCAGTGTGGCATGAATAGGCAGGGGGGCTGGACCAACTGCATCATGCTCCCCGTGGGGCTTGGTAAAAATGCAGGGTCCTGGGCCCTGCCTTCTCAGATTTTGTCTGGGATGGGGTCCAACCAGATTAGAAAACCACTTATTTGGCCATTCATACATGCCATATTACATATGGAGAAACTGAGGCCCAAAGAGCATACACAGGAAAGTGCCCAGACCAGAGTTTCTAATTCCCCATCAAGCCCCCACCTTCCCCTCTGGGATAAAAGCTGCCTGGTGTGGGCTTCAGCACAGCCCCCTCTGGGTCCCGCTTCAGGTGTCCCATCTGCCAGCCACCCCTGCTCAGTCTAGGGGGGGGTCACAAAGCTCCCATGGGGCCGCCAGGTGTGCAGCCCCAAAATGCCTCCAAGAGGCTCTGCCAGCGTTTGGCAGGTGACAGGACTTGGGTGCGGGGGTGGAGAGGACCCAGCCTTGAGTATTTAAATATTTGCTTTCTTACAGAATGGCATTCTTCAGAATATCAGCCAATTTGTATAGAATTAGTCAGTGCCTGGCCCCCCAGCTGCAGCACCGGGACTCCAGGGAGGAGGAATGTACCTGCAGCCTCGCCTGATGCGGAGGCTCCGGCAAGTCCCAGCACAAGATTCGCCTGCCTGCCCACGACCAGGAGGGGAGGCAGGTAGCAGCAGGGCAGACATGGATCCCAGCCACTCCTGGGCAGCCTGTGCCCCACACCAATCATAAGCTGCAGCTGCCAGAAACTTGCTCAGGAACAGCAGGGGTGAGGCCACTGACTTCACACATGTGCACGCACTCACACTCACACTCACACACATCCTGGCTGAGCAAGCCCAGGGCCAGCCCTGGCCCCTGGGTCCATGTCCCCATGGACCAGCCCAGGGACCCCTGGAAAGGGGCAAGAGATAACTGGCTGAACTCTCTGCCAGAGTTCCAGAAAAAGCCGCAGAGGTTATGCAAGAGCTAAGTTCAAATCCCAACACTACCTCTTAACTTGCTGTGTGACCTTGGACAAGATGCTTTACCTCTCTGGGCTTCACTTGCCCCATGTGTAAAATGGGAATCATAAAGTGCTTACCTGCAATCACGTACACGAATGTGCTTTCGGACACTGAAGTGCTGAATGCGCTGGGAGTCAAAGCCGTGCTACTGAGACTTCCAAACAGGTCGTGCCTCCTCTGTAATGTGCGTGTTTATGTTGATTCAATTAATAAGCACTTAGTGAGCACCTACTATGTGGTGACTTTGAGGACATTATTTCTGCTTTCTGGGCCTCAGTATCTCCACTTATAAAATGGACAAGTTAGAACACAGCCTCCAACACTCCTTCTGTAACTACCATGTTATGCATCTACAATAATCATTCATGTAAAATTCTCTCACTACTAACTAAGAGGAAAGGTAAGAAGAAAGAAAGAAGTTCTTGGCCAGGCGTGGTGGCACACATCTGTAATCCCAACACTTTGGGAGGCCGAGGTGGGCAGATCACCTGAGGTCAGGAGTTCAAGACCAGCCTGGCCAACATGGTGAAACCCCACCTCTACTACAAATACAAACATTGGCCAAGTGTGGTGGCGGGTGTCTGTAATCCCAGCTACTTGGGAGGCTGAGGCAGAATTGCTTGAACCCCAGAGGCAGAGGTTGCGGTGAGTGGATATTGTGCCACTGCACTCCAGCCTGGGCGACAGAGCGAGACTCTGTATAAAAAGAAAGAAAGAAAAAGAAAGAAAGAAAGAGAGAGAGAGAGAGAGAAAGAAAGAGAAAGAAAGAAAGAAAGAAAGAAAGAAAGAAAGAAAGAAAGAAAGAAAGAAAGAAAGAAAGGAAGAAAGGAAGGAAAAGAAAGAGAAAAAGAAAGAAAGAAAGAAAGAAAGTTCTTGAGAGGGCAATGTCCAAGCAAAAGGAATGCATATCTAAAAGTAAAATTTCGGGTGCTGGGAATTTCAGTGTAAGAATGAGAGTGAAAATCAAGGCCCCTAATATTATTTTCCTGCAAGTCTACCGCCTGTGTGGGCTTGGTGGGTTATTGAACCTTTTCCCCCTTAGTTTTTCATCTGTAAAAATGGGATAATAATACAGGTTTCACAGGGCAGCTTTTGGTGTCAAGGGGAAGCATATCTGTGATTCACAAGTTGAGCAGGATCATCCCTTTTCAAGTTTTTCTCCTTCTTCTTCAAGTAACTCTGTCCTTTCCCATTCATTCATTCACTTACTCTGCACATGCACTGAGAACCATGAATCACTGGGTATTATTCTTAGAGGGGGTTATGGCCAGGAGCCCAGCGGACGGGGCCCCTGCTCTTCAAGGTCTCACTTTCCAGTCGGAGGAGACAAGGAAAGGCAAGAAATAAAACTGAGACACGGGGTGACATGACAGAGTGGGACCATGGGGCCTTGGGGGAAGTAACATTGCAGCTGAGATCTCAGTTATTTTGTTGTTGTTGTTGTTTTTTATTATTGAGACGGAGTCTTGCTCTGTCACCCAGGCTGGACTGCAGTGGCGCAATCTCAACTCACTGCAACCTCTGCCTCCTGGGCTCAAGCAATTCTCCTGCCTCAGCCTCCCAAGTAGCTGGGATTACAGGCACACACCACCACACCCAGCTAGGTTTTGTTGTTGGTTTTTTTCTTTTTGGTTTTTGGGTTTTTTTGTTTTTTGTTGTTGTTGTTGTTGTTGTTTAGTGAAGACAGGGTTTCACGACGTTGGCCAGGCTCGTCTCAAACTCCTGACCTCAGGCGATCCGCCCACCTTGGCCTCCCAAAGTAGAGATCTCAGTTACAAGCAAGAGCAGCATGCAAGGATCAGGGGAGAGAATCTCCAAGCCAAGGGGAAGTCTGTACGAAGGTCCTGAGGCAGGAAGCAGCTTGGGGAGCCTTAGGATCCGAAAGACAGGTGGCTGGAGCTTGTCAAGTGAACAATGAGGTTAAAGAGGAAGCTCACATCAGGCCTTGGAGGTGGTTAACCGCTGCCCCCAACAGGTCTTCATTCTTGCCAGCATCTCCTTCACCCATTTCCTTGATGGCACAAGGCCCAGGACCCAGGCATCAAAGACCACCGTCTCCTCCAAGGAAGCAGGTCAAACACTCCAGATTCTCTCACGGCCATCTTAACTTTCCCTGGATTTATGAGCACTGTCTCTTTTTCCCAAGGATGAGAAGCCCCATGCCGGGGTGGGGAGAGACCCTGATGAGTTTCCTCCTAGGAGCGGGGATGCCGTGGGCAGGAATGTGGGCCCCTCTGGGAGCCTTTCAGGCCAAAGTCAGATCTTGAAAAGGCTCAGCCCCACGGGTGGGGATTAGACAGGCTGCAGGGAAGGACTGGGATTACAGCAAATCCCTGAATCACAAAGCCAGGCAGGGCTCCCCCTGCCCTCGCTGCTGCCCCGGAAAGCCCCCTCAGCTGACCCCAACCCCAGTTGGGGGCTGAGCCTTTGTCCCTTCCTGTCCATCAGCTCAGAGAGCTAAGGAGGTAAGACTTCAAGCCAAGGCCCTGGGGACTAGGAGGTCCCAATACGGCCACCCCAACCCTTTTTCTTTCTATCTCATGACCTGAATGCTAGTCTTTCCCTCAAAGGTTTCCAGGCCTATAACCTCGAAAGCAGTGTTCATCCTACAGCCAGATGTGACTCCTGAGCAGCCCAGTTTTCACCCGGCATACACCCTATTCCAAACTGGAAGATTTTTCTGTAAGGTCTAATATACAAACATGTGTTCAAGTCATAAATCTACACTCAATGAGTTCTCACAAACTGAATGCATTCATGTAAGAAGCACTCAGAAACCCCCTTCCGGCCCCTCCTGGCCACTCCATCCGGGCCTGCCCAAGGAAAACCACTATCCTGATTTCTATTATTATAGATTGGCTTGGCCAGTCTTTGTATTTTATATGAACGGAGTCACACAGTATGTGTTGTCTGGTGCAGCTTCTTTTGGTCAAGATGTTTGTGAGCTTCATCCACACTGTTGTCTGTAGTGATGGTTTGTTCCTTCTCATTGCTGTATACTATTCTATCCTGGGACTATATCATAATCTACTGTTGATGGGATTTGAGCCATTTCCACAAAAATGAATGCATTCATTATTTGCTGCCGCATAACAAATTATCCCACAAACAACAAGAAATGTTTATTATTTCATCATTTCCAGGGTCAGGAATTCAGAAGCAACTTACGGAGTGGTTTTGACCCAGGTCTCTCCTGAGATTGCAGTCTAGCTGTCAAGCAGGACTGCAGTCATCTGAAGGCTTGACTGGGGCCGGGGAGAGGGGAGAGATCTGCTTCCAATACAGCTCCCTGCCATGGCTATCGGCAGGAGGCCTCAGTTCCTTGCCAGGTGGGCCTCTCCATAGGACTGCTTGAGTATCCTCATGACATGGCAGCTGGCTTCCCCCAGAGTAAGTGAAGCAAAAGAGAAGAAGGAGGAAGCCACAATGCCTTCTGTGACCTAGTCTTGGAAGTCACACACATCTGCCATATTCTATTCATTGGAAGTGAGTCACTAGGCCCATACTCAAGGGGAGGAGGATTAAACCACCTCCTGAAGAGACTATTAAAGAATGTATAAACATATCTTAAAACCATCACAACAAACAAATCTTTTTTGCATCAAGTTCAAGGTCCCTGGTCCTGGGGAGTGAGGCTGACATTTCCTCCTCCAGTTCAACCAACCCTGAGGGGACGATGGCTCCATGGGAAAGGCATGCTCAGGTTCTGGTCTCAGCTTGGCCAAGACCCTCTCTGAGCCCCAAGTTCCTCCTCTGAAAAATTGAGATAACAAGAGTGCCCACTTAGGGCACTTTGGGGGCTAGAATTCCCCAGAGAAGTCATTTGTCCCTGAATTCCATTCCCTGACGGCACTTATTTTATAATCTTTAGTGTGAACTCAAGACAAAGGCTTTTAGAAGATTCAAAATAAGTCAGGCAAATCTTCTTGCAGAAACTCCCCTGTCTTTCCTGCCTCCCTTAATGGCCCCACCCACTATCCTGCTTCCAGTCAATGCACCTGCTGTGGAGCTGAGACCTCAACCACGTGGGACCCAAACTCCCCGTGGACCCTGCTTGTGCCCAGATGCCAGCCTGGCTGTCCACCACTCGGTCCTTCCTCTCAAGCACCTGCTTTTTGCCAGGCACTGTGTAGATGCCACCAACACATAGCAAAGGCAAGAACACACCTCCTACCTTGCAGAGCCGACCTATCAACAGAGAAGGCAAATATGGTGAGAATTGCTGCAAGGGCCGAGGACCAGTGCATTGAGAGCTGAGACCTGGGCACCTGGTCTTGCCAAGGTAGAGAGGTGGGGAGGGGAGGATCCCTGGAGCTGGTCTCTGAGGGCTGAAGCCCAGGAAGGGGACCAGGAACCTGGCATTAGAGAAGAGACAGCAAGAGTCACTGTAGTGCCACCCGAGGCTGGAAAGGTGGCAGGGCCCAGACCCCACAGCTGACAGGCCAGGTGCTTGGGCTCTAGCCTGAGGGCAGGGGAGGTTGCAGACACGTTTTAAGCCAAGAAATAATGTAACTCGTTTTGTGTTTTTAAACTTGCAAGGAACACATTCTTCAGCACGTTCCTGGTTCCCCTAGAAATGCTGGCCGTTCCTGCCTGGCCAAGGAGACATCCACGACAAGGGAACCCGTTCCTGGACTTTTCCTGGCTGTGTAATCTAAGCCAGGTCGCTTATCTACTCCGTGCCTTGATTTCCCCAGCGGATAAGATCGACCCTCCAGGGTTTCCAACTGAAACCAATGGGGAAAATATACTGAGCCCCTGCCTGGGTGCCTGGCATATGGACTGTGTCACAGATGACAGGCCTCACAGCCCCCCAACCCCAGCTTGTCTCCTCTGCCCCATCCTCAGAGGCTTCCGGGGCACCAGAATGGATTCCTCTTCCCCCACCCTGCCAGTGCTTTGGCAAGGAGGCTTCTGTGCATGGCTTCACGTCCTGTCCTGTTTGTTCCTCCTGAGTCACCCACCCTCTTCACCCAACTCCCAGGGACTGACTGTGCGATGGTATCACGTGAATTCAACCAGTTCGACTCCAAGCACATCTGCCAGGCTGTGGAAGGAAGGCATCGCTGAAGATAGAATTATTCTGGCCCACTCACCACTGCTGTCATGTTTTAGGGCCTCAGTCAGTGGCAGGCACTGTGCCAGGCTCTTGATCTGTGTGATCACCTTTAATCCTCACAATAACCTGGGATTTAACTCCATCTTCCAGGAGAAGAAACTGAGGCTCAGGAAGAGATACCATATTTGCTCAAGGTCACATAAGAAGGCTCAAGCCCAGGTTCACCTGCTTTGAAACATCAATCTATCACACACACACACACACACGTGTGTGCTCATTCATGCACCCACACACACCACTGCCACCATCACTCTGGCTGGCTGCTATACTATCGACCGCTTACTCTGCGTCTGACCCTGTGCTACGAGGCTCCTTTGGACGATCTCATTCAATCCCCGCCACAAGCCATTAAGATAGATCCTACATCATTGCCATTTTGCAAATGGAGAAGATGAGGCCCCGAGAGGTGGAGTCACTGGCTAAGCTGGGCTTTGAATCCAGGATCTTCTGACTATACTGGGAGACTGCTTGTGAGGGATTGGTTCCCTTGGCCAATGCGACACAGAGGCCTTAGCACGCCTCCAAGCTGGGACACCTGGAACGCCGAGACTGTGGGTGGGTTCTACCATGACCTCCCCTCCAAGTCTTGCGGTGACTTGGCAGGGACCCCCCTAGCCTCACGCTACCTGGCTTCTGGGGCTCTTTCTGACCATGAGATCCCCACCCTCAGGTTCCTGGGCCCTGGGCTCTTCTTCTTTTCTTCTTTCACTCTGTGCCAAACAGGCTAAAAACACGCCAAAAATGAGCCCCTCTCGCTTTAGTGCACTCACATAATGTGTGGCAAAGAAGGCCGCATTAATCGCTCGGGACCCACATTTTTCAGTGACATTAATCTCTAGCCGGAAAAGCCTCTCTGGACGGTTCTTTTCAGTCTGAAGGCACTTAACGTTGGCCAGGAGAGCAGAAGGGGCCCGCCTGGAATTCCTCTCTAACTCCCAAACACCACACGCACAACCCAGCCCGGCCAGCTTCCCTGGTTATGACGGGGTGGGGGAGATGCCTGCAGGGGATGTGGGGGGACAGGGGGGTGGGCAGGGTGGTGAGTGAGCCATAGGTGTGCCGTGGGGCATGCATGAAGGTGAGAAAGGCTGGGTTTCAGCCCTTGCTTGTTCATATCCAGGCATCTGCTTACCTGAAGAATGTGCATCGATGTGTGTGTGTGTGTGTGTGTGTGTGTGTGTGTGTGTGTGTGTGTGGCGCATGCGCTAGGACACACATGCCAGTGACTGTGAGACACCTATGCGTGCCCATGGGTGTGCCCTGGCAGGTGTGTCTGTGTTTATGATTGAAAGTGTACAACTGTGTGAGAATATGTGTGCAGGAGGAACTGAGACTACGGCCATGGGTAGAGCTGGGTGTGCCACACTTAGGTGCATGTGTGATTTCGTGTACACATGTTGCTGTGAGCAAGATGGTACACAAATGTGTTTGCTGCAGCACACCAGTGCTTGGGAGCCATTGAGGGCATGCCTGACCCTGTGAGTGTGCACAGATGTGGGGAAGGCAGTGATCAGGTCTGGGGTAAGTGACAGGGATGTGGTGTCCCTCACATGTGCACACAATGCATTTTGACAGACATAGGTGAGCGCTGCAGGCTGGCCACTGCAGTGGAGAGACAGGGCTGGGACAGGTGCAAGGTGCTGGAGCCCATGCAGGGTGCTGGAACCCAGTTGAACCTGCACAAAGGAGCTGGCTGCACATCTCTTCCCAATTCCGCATTCAGCAACTTCACGCTGCGGGCTCGACATTGACCACAGTGGGAGTATTTACACCACGGGAATTGGCAAATGCCAAATCAGGGCTTGCTTTCTCGAGAGGGCCTTTTGTGAAATATTTGCCAGCACACCACTGAGCAAGACACAGCCCAACCCTATGTGTGCTGATTTTTCTTGTACTAAAGTGAGTACGTGTGTGCATGTGTGCACCCCAAGGTAGCTCCAAAATTGTGTGGGAGTAGCACATAAGATTAGAACACAGATTCAGAAAAAAGGGACAGAAGAGGCAGACGGAGGTGGCTTGAAGAGCATCGGTTTTGCAACACTCCAGAGAATGGATCCCTTTCTGTCTCAAGGGCTTTTTGTGAAATTCTCCAAAAAATAAAACAACTGCCAAAGAAAAACACTTAAACTCATATGAACGTGAGAATTGTCATGATCCTCTCTCAGCACTGAGCACTGTCAAACCAAACTGAAGTAAGACTCAGTGCTCCAGAGAGGCAGGGACACTCTGGGCCAGGCGGACTAGGACGGGGAGGATGGAGACAACTGTCCGAGGGGGAAAGGCTGCCAGGATCTTGAGAAGAGAACTGCGGTTTCCAGTCCTGTTCCCCCACCAGGTAGTTGTATGCCCTTGAACAAGTGGCTCAGCCTCTCTAGGTCTCAGTCTACTCACTGCAAAATAGGGTCTATAATACTGTCTTCCTAGGATTTTGCTGCGTGGATTAAATGCATGTAAATGGAACACAAAAACTAAGGGTTAGCAGAGCTCTTGTTAATGTAAAGTACATGGCCTAAGCAAGCACTTTAAATTGTCAATGTTGTTAAAAAGGCTGACTCTCAGGGACTGAGACAGGAGAATCACTTGAGCACAGGAGTTTGAGACCAGCTTGGACAACATAGTGAGACCCCTGTCTCTACAAAAAAATTAAAAAATTAGCCACACCTGTAGCCCCAACTATTCAGGAGGCTGAGACAGGAAGATCATTTGAGCCCAAGAGGTCAAGATTGCAGTGAACTGTGATTTCGCCACTGCACTCCAGCCTGGGCAATAGAGCAAGAACCTGTCTCTTGGCCGGGCGCAGTGGTTCACACCTATAATCCCAGCACTTTGGGAGGCTGAGGCAGGTGGATCACCTGAGGTCAGGAGTTCGAGACCAGCCTGGCCAACATTGTGAAATCCCGTCTCTACTAAAAATACAAAAATTAGCCAGGCGTGGTGGTGCACACCTGTAATCCCGGCTACTCGGGAGGCTGAGGCAGGAGAATTGCTTGAACCCAGGAGGCAGAGGTTGCATCGAGCCAAGATCGCACCACTGCATTCCAGCCTGGGGGACAGAGCAAGACTCTGTCTCAAAAAACAAAACAAAACAAAAACCCGTCTCTTTAAAAAAAAAAAAAAAAAAAAAAAAAAAGACTCTCTTCTATAGCAGGAGCACTGAGCCCCAGACTGAGAGAGCAGGAGAGGACGTAGCAGGTGACCAGGCCTCCAGCTGTGTCATGTTAAGACAATTCCTCCTGCTGCAATCTCCGTTTACCCTTCTGTACCCTTCAGAGAACGCTACCTGCCTCCCGTGGCTCTGGGGAGAAACAAAGAAGAGACCGTCTGGGCCCAGGATGAGAGAGATGCTCCCCTCCTCCACCAAAGGGGTTGGGGTCCAAAGAGTCATCATCATTGTCACCACTACTGAACATTCATGCACAAGCCACTCTGTGTTAAACATGTCATGGCTTTAAGTCACATGATTTTCTGTACAAGCATAGCTATTACCAGCCTCAGGCTACAGATGGCATAACGGAAGCTCAGAAGGGTCAAAAGACTTGCCCAGACCACGCAACTGAAAAGCAGTGAACCCAAGTCCGTGTGACACCCAGACCTGAAAGATCAGCCACTACCCTGTGGGAGTCCTAGACGGCCAGGGCAGAAGGACCTTGGACAACTTCTAGACCACCAGCCGGTCTGGGTACAAACCAAGCCTGGAGGAAAAGTGTTTCACCCAGCTGGAACAGTATGTGCAAAGGCCCAGAGGCAGAAGAGGAAAGGCCACTTGCTTGCCTGGATCAGAGAGTGAGAGGCAGCCTGGCTAGAGAGGGGATGGGGCCCAGAACCTAGCGGGGAGACAAACCTGGAGGCAGAGAGATCTGCTGGGAAGCAGCTGCATTGTCCAGGTGAGAGAGGGCAATGACTTGGGCCCAGACAGTGGCCAGGGAGATGGAGAGAGATGGACGATTCAAGAGAAGCTTGGGAGCCATCCGTCTCACAGGATCTGGTGATGGATAGAAGGCACGTTTGAGGCAGAGGGAGAAATCCAGGTTGAGACCACTGTTTGCAGCCAGGGAGACTGGGTAAATGGCAGTGGCCCCGAGGTGGGGACTCAGGATGAGGAGCAGGCAAGAACTTGAGTTCACTGGAATCTGCCCAGTCAGTGATGCCTATGAGTATCTGGGCGGGTTGGGGCGCTGCAGTCGGGGCTATGGGGCTGTGGTTCAGGAAGCAGGAGCAGAGATGCCAGAGGATCAGCCAGTGGAGCTGGAGAAAGGGATGAGCTTACCCGAGCAGAGTGGGTAGAATGAGAAGAGCTGAGTGACAAAGCCCTGAGGACCAGCATTCAAGAACCCGGCCGAGGAGAGCACCTCAGCCAGCCCAGCACTTCCACCTGCCGGACACCAAAGCACTTTACTTTGATCAACTCATTGAAGTCTCGTAGCAACTCTCTGAGGGAGGCACCAGGATGGGCCTCCTTCTGGAGATGAGGAAGTGAAGGACTTGCAAGGTTAAGCCACTTGCCGGGGTCACTGGGCTAGGAAGTGGTGGTGCTGGGTCTCAAACCCAGGAACTATATTGGCTGGAAGTGAGTAAAGACAGCGTGGCCAGAGAAGTAGGAGGGAAATGGGTGTGTGCAGGGTCACCAAAGCCAAAAGACAAGGAATTTTGAGAAGGCAAATGACCTTCAGGACCTGCAAGAGAGGCCCCTCTCTCCCTGTTTTATACAGGAGGACCCAGAGACGCTAGAGGTCAAGTCAAAAGACAAGTTCAGAAGCAAACCCAAGATGATCTGAGGTCAGGACGCCTAGAAGGGGCTGGGGTGAGAAGGACAACTCCAGACCCTTTTCAGCTTCCCAAGGCCCCAAAGCACAGGCTCAACTCCTCTGTCCCTCTCTGACCTCGGCCACCAGCCCAGCTGCCCGGTCACACTGACCATGCTACGCGAACCCCAGCCAGGCAGGACCCAGCCTCAGGAAGCCTCTTTGGGAAGCTCAACTCCAGCTGGCTCCCAGGAAGCTGAGCACCAAGGAAGCGAGGTGGGCACCAGGGAGAGGCCAAGGAGACCCCCGTCCCCCAGCAGCCCAACTCCCCTCGGCTGCCTCCATTGATCTCCCTAGCGGGATAACATCAAGGGATGTTTTTAATAAGAGGGCAGGAGGCCTTGGGAGCTGACCGGGCAAGGCAGTGCCGGGCAATTAATCACCTGGTTGAGAAGCCACAGCCATGGGTAACCGGATCCCCAGAGGGCCGTTAGGCACACCACGCCTTTCATCTCTGCCCGTGGCCGCACTGTGTGGGCTCCTGGGGCATCTTCATTAACTCTGGGCCCCAGGGGACCAGCCAGGCATGGGGGGTGCGTGTGTACCTGTACATGGATTCTTCAGGAGTGTGCATAAACGCGCATGTGTAGGCACATGGTCCTCTGTGTTCATGTGTGAGACCAGAACCCTGGTTAAGAATGCAGGCCTCTGGCCAGGCACAGTGGCTCACACCTGTAATCCCAGCACTTTGGGAGGCCAAGGCAGGTGGATCACCTGAGATCAGGAGTTCGAGACCAGCCTGGCCAACATGATGAAACCCTGTCTCTACTAAAAATACAAAAATTAGCCAGGGGTGGTGGCAGGTGCCTATAATCCCAGCTACTCGGGAAGCTGAGGTGGGAGAATCACTTGAACCCAGGAGGTGGAAGTTGCAGTGAGCTGAGATCGTGCCACTGCACTCCAGCTTGGGTAACAAGAGCAAGATAGATTCTTCTCAGAAAAATAAATAGAATGCAGGCTTCAGAATCAGACAGACCTGGGTTCAAGTTCAGGCCCCACTCCCTATTAGCTAGGTCACCCTGGGCAAGTTATTCAACTTCTCTGAGCCCCTATTTCTTCATCTGCAAACCAGAGATAGTAACAGTGGTAGTAACTACATACCCTTGAGGGGATCAAGTGATACTATTCCTATAGAAGTATCTAGAATGTAGTACATTTAATAAACATACATTCTTATTCTTATTACACATGCATGGGTGTATACATGTGCATATGTGTAGTTGGCAGAGGTCTAAGAATGATCCCAAATGACCCTTATGTCACCTCCACCCCTCTGAGTGTGGGTGGAGCCCAGGAATATGATCAGATATAACTCCCATGATCCTGTTCCATCATATGGCAAGAGGGAGATGATCCAAGTGGGCCAAGTCTAACTACATGAGCCCTTTCAAAGCCGAGCTTTCTCCAGTTGCTGGGCAGAAACCGGAGAGACGAAGCACCATGGAGGCAGACACAGGGAGCCACCCCTGCCCTTGCAGAGATGGGGGCCCACACAAGCGGCCCCAGGAGCTGAGAGGGACCCCCGCCAACCTCCAGCAAGAAGGTAGGACTTCAGTCCTACAGTTGCAAGGCACTGAATTTGGCAATGACCTGAATAAGCTTGGAGGTGGATTCTCTCCAGATCCTCCAGATCAAAGCCCAGCCCAGCAGACACCTTGATGTCAGCCTTCAGAGACTGGGGCAGAGACCTCAGAGGAGCTCACCCCACCTCTGACTGCCCAGGTCAAGGGGCCACTGGTAGAATTTTGACAGCTTCAGGAGACTCCCAGCGCCCTCGTAACGTATGGTGACACACAGGTGTCTGATCTGGGCTCTAGGCAACACCTGCTGTAGCCTCCAGTCCCAAGCTGTCATGAACAGAGGGAACAAAACATGTGGCCTAGAGCAGGCAGAGAGGTGCCCTGGGAGAGGCTGACTGAGCTCTGCGGAGGGGACTCTAGCAAGTCACTTACTCACTCAGCACCGTCTGCATCATGAGCAGAGGTGGACTGAACACAGGGCAAACACTGGTGAGGCAGAAGAGCTGTCCAGCAGCAGAGACGGCGACCGGCTCCCTGAGTAAACAGTCTCAGGCCTGGGTCTAGAGTCCCTCAAGAGGCTGGCCGACCTCAACCCGCACCAGGGCCAGCTTCCCCGCCTCCACCCGCCTGGTCTACTCAGCTCCATGGCTGCCAATTCCACCATCCAAAAGCTTTTCAAGCACCCTCTCCTCCCCATTCCCACTGCCTTGCCTACAGTCCAGCACCTAAGTGTTGCCTAGATGACCACTCCACCTCCTCCTGGCCTCCTGTATCCAGCCTCAGCCCCTAATTCAACCTCCACTCACTCACCTGCTCACAGCTAGTCCAGGGCTCCTATTGTTGTCAGGATGAAGTCTAAATTCTGCCCTGAAGATTAAAAGTCATTTTCACTTCTGCCAAATGAATGAGCCAAGAACAACAACAAAATATTTGAGTTCATGCTTCCTTGCTATGAGTATGCTTGAACAGCTTTGCATCTGTTTATTACCCTGGCATCTTTTTACCCGCCCAACTCCTACTCATCTTTAAATTGTTTTAATTATTCCAGTTTTTTGGGGGGGGGGGGTTGGTTTTTTGTTGTTGTTTGTTTGTTTGTTTTTTGAAACGGGGTCTCACTCTGTCATCCAGGCTGGAGTTCAGTGGTGCGTTCTTGGCTCACCGCAACCTCCGCCTCCCTGGTTCAAGCGATTCTTCTGCCTCAGCCTCCCGAATAGCTGGGATTACAGGCATCCGCCACCATGCCCGGCTAATTTTTTGTATTTTTAGTAGAGACGGAGTTTCACCATGTTGGCCAGGCTGTTTCAGTTTTTAAAAGGTACCACATACACATGGCACAAAATTCAAGAGGTATTTAAAAAAAAAAAAAAAAAAGACAGTGGAAGGGCAGTTCCCAACCAGCCACTCTGTATGGAGCCACCCAGGCACCACCCAAAAGAAAGGCCCTCTTAACTAGTTTTCTGGACACACACAGATTTATTCCAGGCAGATACTGGCAAATACATATATGTGTTCTTTTTTATACAAGTAATAGTGTATTATACTTCATTTTTCCAGCTAACAAAATATCTTAGCAATTGTCCATCTTGGTACATAAAGAGCTATCTCCCTTTTTTTTTTTTTTTTTTTTTTTTTTTTGTTAATTACTGCGTAAGTTCCACTGCTGGAAGGTTATGCAGATATTAACTTTTCCTCTTGGTGATATAAGGCTGTTTTCCATCTCTTGCTACTACAAACAATGTGTCACTGGAATATCATTTCACACACATTCAAGTTTGTTTCTAGAAAGTTCCTGGAACTCAGATTGTTGGATCAAAGGCTATGTCAAAGGCAAAGATATTCTCAGTTGCCCTCCATGGAGGTGGTAAAATTTGCATTTCTACTAGCATTTTATGAACATTCCTACTTCCCCATATACTCACTAACCTGGTGATTTATTCAGTTTCATAACTATTATCTGATAGGTGAAAAATGGCATCACATTGTAATTTTAAATGCAGTTTTCGAGGCCAGGCATGGTGGCTCACACCTGTAAACTCCCAGCACTTTGGGAGGCCAAAGCGGGCAGATCACCTGAGGTCAGGAGTTTGAGACTGTCGGGACAACATGGTGAAAGCCCGTCTCTACTAAAAATATAAAAAAATCAGCCAGGCGTGGTGGTGTGTGCCTATAGTCTCAACTACTTGGGAGGCTGAGGCAGGAGAATCATTTGAACCTGGGAGGTGGAGGTTGCAGAGAGCTGAGATCGCAACACTGCACTCCAGCATGGGCAACAGAGGGAGACTCTATCTCAAAAAACAATAATAAATAAATAAATAAATGCAGTTTTCTTGTTTTGAGTAAGATTGATCATCTTTTCCTGTTCTTCTCTAAGAGGAATTGTTTTCTGTTTCTGTGAATGATCTGTTCTTATACTCCATCAGTTTTTCTATCAAGTTATTAGCCCTTTCTTTTTGATTTACAAGAGCTCTGTATATATAAAGGAAATTAACCCTGGGCCAACTTAAATAATAATTTAAATCATTGAAATTGTTCTCTAAATGTTCAGTTAAATTCCCCTGTGATTTTTTTAGGAGTAATTATCTCTATTTCTTCTATGGTTATTGGTCTGTCTAGATTTTCTGTCTCTTCTAGGTATATTTTTATAAGTAACATTTTCTTTAAAAATCATCTATTTCATCCCAATTCTCAAATATATTTGCATATTCTTTTGATTTCCTCTGAAACTGGCATTATTTCTCCATAACCATTTTTTATTTTAGGAAATAGTGCTTTTTGCACTTTTTTCTGGATTAGATTATCTATGTTATTTGGATTACCTATGTTATTTGTCCTTTTCAAACAACCTTTGTTAGTTCTAGCATTTGTATGACTTCTAACTCATAAAGATCCACTTTTATCTTTATAGATTTCTTTCTTGTGATTTCTTTAGGTTTATTTTATTGATGATTTTCTAACTTCTTGGATTAATGTATGGACTTTTGATCTTTATTTTTATTAATAAAAACACTTAAAGCTATGAATTTTTCTCTGAGTTCTGCATTAGTAGTATTCCATCATCCTGATATGGATTGCTATTATTATCTCCATTGTCTGCATTTCTGAAATTTGATTTGATTTCCTTCTTGATTCAAGAGAGAGTGGTAAAATTTGTTATGTTTCATTGTTAATTTCTTCTTGTATTGCATTGAGAATGTAACCATTCCTAGGAGGATTGGTGGAATTCTTTTTTATTTCCTCTCCCATCCGCTTCCCATCTGTGACTCAAACTTATTATTTTGTATTTTTAATGTTTACCTTCATATCTTTAATATTAAAAGTAATTATATCTCTATTAATTTCATATTTAAACTCTATCTTTTGCCCCGGCTATAAAAGATAAGGAAATCTGTGTATTTCCATTACTTCATATCTTATTTCCCCCTTTCCCTCCCACTATACGTCAGTCATCATTTCTACATAGTTTTATTTATTCCATGTTTCATTCTGTTCCATAATCACGACTCTCAGGTAGGTTTTAGTCTTGGAGACAAATGGGTTTAATTCCCTGGTCAGTCCTCAGTCCTTCTGCCATAGTTTCTCCAAGTTCATCTTCCAAAAGGGATCACAGGACTTATTCCCAGAGTCCTTAGATATTAAAAAACTAGAACTGATTTCTTCAGAGCCCAGCTCGGGAAAGGCTGGTGTAGCCCAGCTGCTTATCATACATAGGGAAGCTGTAGCCCAGAGACAGGAGCAGTGGCCCACGTTGCCCAGGCTGGGGCCAGGGACAGAGCTGGGACCAGCCACCTTGAGGGGGGGCTTTCCCCTCCAACCCCTCTCATCTGCTGTCTTCCTGCCTTCTTAAGTAGGGGTGGGAAGGTAGCAGCGGGGACCCCAGGGTGCTGGGGATACCCTTTTCCACTGATCCCCTGGAATCCCACCTGGAACTCGGTGGGAAGCGACTGGTGGAGGATTCTCTCCCCTCCCCAGAGGATTAGCGTGGCTGGGAGGCCCCCAGCGGCACATCCTCCCCGGAGAGAGGGAAACTGTGAGCTCATCTTTGCCGCCGACAGCGGGCAGAACGGGTGGGGCAAGGGGCTCCACCTGTTCCCGATAATCTCTCTAATCCAGCCCCATAATTATTCTTTATTAACAGAGGCTGCTGCCTTCGTTACACGCTGAAAAGAGGGCGTCAGGAGTGAAGACACGGGGATCAGAAACTGGTCACATTTTCCAAAGGGGTTTATTTGCCATGACCAAAATAACCTCCCCAGGAAAAGGCTGAGTTCCTGCCTTGCCCCATCCCGGTGCCCAGCCTGGGAGCTCCAGGACCCGCATCCCCCAGGTTAGGCCCAGAGGTCCCTGCCAGGCTCCCACAGCCCCCAGTCTTCATGCATTCAACCATTTCCTAAGAGCAAGAGTTTGCACAAGGCCTGCTACCAGGCTTTGCAGATACACAAGTAAATCACACATGGCCCTGCCTGCTTGGGGCTCGCTATTTAAAAGGGAAGGGATGAGTATCCCAACCACTACAGGGCAAAGCGCTACATGTGCGCCATCCTAGGGAGGACTGGGGGGCTCCAGGAACAGCATGGGGGTTGTGGGGAAGCCTTCCTGGAATGAGGGACGACAGAATTCTGCTTTGAAGTATAGAAGTTCCCCAGTGGACAAGGTAAGGAAAGGACATTCTGTAGAAGGAACAGCATGCTAAAACAAAGCTGAACCGTGATTCCTGCTGGCCAGAGCAAAGGTTTGAGATGGGGAAGGGTGATACTGGGGTTGGAGGGGTAGACAGGGCCATGTCACACAAGTACCCATTCTGTGGGTTCTAGGGAATCACAGAAGGTTTTAGGTCAGATTGTGCTTTAGAAAACCCTTCTGGCAGCCGGGCTCGGTAGTTCACGCCTGTAATCCCAGCACTTTGGGAGGCTGAGGCGGGCGGATCACGAGGTCAGGAGTTTGAGACCAGCCTGGCCAATATGGTGAAACCCTGTCTCTACTAAAAATACAAAAATTGGCCGGGCATGGTGGCATGTACCTATAGTCCCAGCTACTCGGGAGGCTGTGGGAGAAGAATCGCTTGAACCCGGGAGACAGAGGTTGCAGTGAGCCGAGATTGTGCCATTGCACTCGAGCCTGAGCAACAGAGCAAGACTCTGTCTCAAAACAAAACAAAACAAAACAAAGAATGAAAGAAAAGAAAACCCTTCTGGCATCAGGAGAGCTGGCTCATTCCTATAATCCCAACACTTTGGAGGCCAAGGTGGGAGGATAGCTTGAGGCCAGGAGCTCAAAACCAGCCTGGGCAACATAGCAAGACCCCATCTCTCAGAAAAAAATAAAAGGCTTAGCTGGGCATGGTGACACATGCCTGTAGTTCTAGCTACCTGGGAGGCTGAGGCAGGATTCCTTGAGCCCGGGAGTTCGAGGCTGCAGTGAGCTAGGATCACATCACTGCATTCCAGCCTGGGAGACCCTGTCAAAAAAAAAAAAAATGGAAAACCCTTTCAGCTACAGATTGGAGACTGGATTGGCTGGAAGCTACTGGATGCAGGGAGTAGTTAGGGATGCTTGTGACAGGTGAGAAATCAGGAGTTTGGAACCTGAGCCGTAGCAGGAATAGAGAGGAAAGGCAGGAGCATCCGGTGATGAAGACACAATCCCCCTGACCCTACTGGCCAGACTGTCCACCAGAGCACGTGGTCAGATGAGGAATCAGGGTGTCCAAGGGTCCCCAGGATTTCATACTCCTATCACCAGCACCTATGTTCAGCCTGACATTCGATCTTTGCGGGGACCAGAGGACCTTGGGCCACACTTCCTGCACTTACAGCTCAGGGGGATGAGATGTAGGGAACTGGGAATTTTGAAATCCAAACTCCTGGCTTCCTGGCCTTTGATGCCTCCCTCCTTCCCAGCCCACCCACCAGCAGCGCCCTCTCCCCTCACACATGCCCCTCAGCCTCTGCCCAGGGGCATCCTCTTCCCCCCACAAACAAGCCCTGCTCACTGCCTCCTCCGAGTGCTTCCTGACCAGCCCATCCCTGCTCATTTCCTGCCCACACCTAGGTCTTACTGAAAAGCTTGGCTTACAGGTCCCTCCTTCTGGGAAGCCGATCCTCCCACGGCAATGGCCTCGCACCTGCCTCCCCCAGTCTCCCTGCCTCTCTGGGGGTCCCTGTATCTGTGCATCCCTTTCTGCCTCCACCCGTGTCTGGGTTGTCCTCTGCATTCATCCTTCTTGGCATCACAGCTTCAGCCTCGGCAGGGACAGAGCTCCCTCTTTGGCCTCCTCCACCTGTTTCTCTCCTTGCTCACTCTGTACCTAATCCCCTCCCCAGAACGCATACAATGCACGGTCCCTTCATTCAAACTAACACTGGACACAGAGTCTGAGCTGGGCCCGGGCTGGGGTCACAGAGGAGGAAACGGCGTTGTGGCTCTGGCCTCTCACCCTTCCCTGGCTGCTCCCACCCTAGCAGCCAAGGTGGGGCGGCACCAGTCAGAAGCAGCAACAGAAGGGAGATGCTGCAGGAACGGCAACAGGCAGAAACGGCACACACTGGGCTCTGAGAGGCAGTGATCACATCGGAGACCCCACACTTGATTTCAAGATCCAGCAAAAGGGCTGGCACTGGGGTCAGAGATGAGAGCAACCCCTTCCTGTCCTCCAGAAGTCCGCGGTCCGGTGTTGGAAACGGACAGATAAGCTCATCCATAGGAAATCATGTGGCCTGTCCCACAGCAGGGCCGGGCTAAACCCTCCCCACGGAACTTGGAGCCTGGAATGATACAGGAGATGCTCTGAAATTGGGCAGGCTGGGCTCAATCCCAGCTTTTCCAGTCATCTTGATTTCTCTAAGCCTCAGCTTCACATCTGTATCATGGGTACACAATAGTTCTCTAGAGGCTAATATAGGTAAATAGACAATATATGACCCAATGTATGTAAGTGTGGCTTAGCAAAGAGCCTGCCATTACATAAGCGTTCAATAAATCATACTTATAATTTGTATTGCATTTATTCCACTGCTGTCTGGGAGGCACCGGACTGGAAGTTAAGAGACCCATATCTGGTTCCCTTCTTGCCACTACCTCGCTATGTAACTCTGAATGATTCCCGTCCTCACCTCGCCCCGTTTTCTGAACTATGAAATGGGGGATGAATATGGAACTTCCTTCCTACCCCGACCTCCTAAGATTTGAAGGGAAGGCAGCCCCCGCCATGCTCTTCAGTCTCCTCCCTGCCTCTTCTTTCTCTCTCTCTCTCCTCCCCCTACCCTGCTCCCTTACTCCAACCACTCAGACCTCCTTGCTCTTCCTCCAACTCCCAGCCACGCTCTGGTCTCAAAGTGTCCACATTTGCTGTTCTCTCTGCCCCAGTCCCTACTCCTGGCCACCTCCAACATCCACACAACTCCCTCACACTTCGTTCAGGCCTTCACACAAATGTCATCTCCTCCCGGGGGCCTTCCCTGACCACCTCCATCACTGTCTCCTCAGTCTGCTTTATTTTCCTTCACAGCACTCTTCAGAACCAGATATGTGATGGGTTGCCTTCTATCTCCACTCACTAGAATGCAAACTCCAGGAGACGGGAATGCAGTCTGTCTGGTTCACAGCTGTAGCCCCAGAATCTACACAGTGCCCGGCCAGAGGCGGCACTCCATTCTCAAATGAGGACTAGCATGTGCCCAAAGCTCTGGAGAGGCCATACGGATGCGGCGGGTGGACAGAAGTCTCCAAAATCCCCTCCGTGCCAGCTCCGAGCCTGCTGCGCCTTCTCACAGCCTGGAAAAGCGCAAAGCCCCATCCACCCCTGCTGGGCACATGCCCCCTGCCCTTGGGGTCACAGACCTGAGACGACCACCCCCGGCCCCGAAGCCCTCAGATGTTTCCAGGTCGGGGCCATGAGGGAGGGGGCGGCCGACTCAGGGCCCCATCCTTTGTCCCAGGCCCCAGCAGAATTTAATTCCAAGGTTCAAAGCGCCTTTGCCCCTTCCCAGATAAAAGGCCGCTCAGCTGGAGAGATGAGCTGGTTAATAAAGGCAGGAGGGGGGCCCTGGAAAGACAGGCCCACCGTCGCTCCCTGCCCACACCCTCTGCCGGTGAATGCTCTCAGCCCTCGGCCGCCGTTCCGGCCCGCTGCCCCACAAGAAAAGCCCATTAATTGAACACTAATAGGATTTTCAATTTGTCACAATCCTTAGAGATCCCGGGGAGGCAGGGAGGAGAAGGACAGGATTCCTGTCATGACTGTGTTAAAGGCGATCTTAGCAGTGAGCCTGGCCTGGATGCCAGACAGGTCCTGCCTCTCTGGGGCCTTCAGGCAAGCTGCAGCCCTCTGGCCTCAGTTTCCTCAACAGAAAGTTCCTAAAACCTACTTCAAAAGAAGGCTGTATGGATTCAATATGATCCTGAGGGAGCAACCTCTGGCAAGTGCTGCCCGGCCGGTAGTGGGCGCTCTGCAATGACTGCCCCTCCCGCGTCAGCCTCTCTCCCTGCTCCTGCCAAGATCTCCCCGCCAGGTAGCAGTGTCCGCACGGGCTGGAGCCGTATCCCCCACCTCTGCCCCTGCCCCTGCCCCAGCCACTGTGTCTCCATTCTTCTGTGGCTTCAGCCAAACACCCCCTGGGGAGTAAGAGGGTGGGGTGTCTGGGAGCCCGTGGCCTTTTCATCCTCGGTGGGATCAGCATCCTGAATTCCTCGTTGTTCAAGGAGAGCCAAGGATTTGGAGCTTGCAAACACGGCGGCCCAATCAGAAGGCCCTAGCCCGTGCCAACCAGCTGCGTCTCGGTTACAGCACACCAGCTGCCCAAGCTCTGTTCTCCAGGCGAATTCCTCCCGGATCAGGAGATGCCAGACAGTGGGGACCGAATCTGTGTTGCTCCCTGGCCACGGGCTCTGCCTGCTCTGCGCTTCCCCATGGCCTGAAAGTGAGGGACACCCTGGCACGGGAAGGGGTTTGAGGGTGGGGGATTGGAGGGAACGTGTCTATTGCTACAGTTGACAAGTGACAGAGACACACAGGGTGCAAGGACTGCCTCCAGGATTTCCAAAGCCAATGGACAAGCCACCTGGCCGGGCCCCATGCCTGGCTCAGAGCCACGCACCCTGGATTCGCTGCTGCTGACACCACCCAGGAGAGAGAGGTGGGAAAGGGGGACTCAGGAGTCTGTCCCTCAACCCCCAATCTGGCTCTGGGCAGCTGCTTCCTTTGCAAAGCCTTCATTACTAGACTGGACAGGAGTGGAGGGAGGGAAGACGGCAGCCAGCACCGCCTGTGGTCCCTGCTCGCTTCTGCCTGATCCAGGCCCCCCAGGAGCCCTGACCGTAATTTACAACATCTCAATTCCTCAGCACCACGTGGTCCCAACCCAGACAGAGATGGGAAAGGGGAAGGGAGGAGAGACAGCAAGGAGACAAAATTGAGGGTGGTTTCAGTTACTCTATATTTCAGTTACCACAGACCCATTCAGGTGCAAAGAGAATCATATATCTTGTTAATAAAAGAAATAGAAGAAGCAAATTGGCATTCACCTCATTTTAATGGTTACAGGGGAAGGCGTGATGAGGCTCCCACACGTGGGAACAGTAGGTGAGCTTTCACCAAACCAATGTCGATGAGCCCTAGGATCCTGGAATGGAAATCTGTGGGTTCTCAGGCCCAGGACAGAAGGCTAAGTGGAGGCCAAGGAGAAGATTCTAGAAGAGAATGCTGTCTGAGTGCCACAGTGTAGACTGTGGAAAGTCTCTGTGGGTTTCAGGTGGAATTCTCAAAGAGGCTAGAAAGAGGGGCAGCCTGCCTGATAGAGGGACAGTGACGTTCTGCCCAGCGGCAGATGAGGGGGCGAGGAAGGACCCTTAATCCATGGGCCCCATCTGGTCCCCTAAACTTTTCAGAACATCTTTGCTTGGGCCTGAGTCACATCTTTGACTCATGCAGCAAGTGTCCAGCTCTGCTCACAAGCAGAAAGTGGCCCCAGGAGTCAGTGGCAGTACGTGCTCAAGCAGGAAAAGGACCATGTCACCAAATCGGAGAGTCCCTGGAGGGGCCCCCTGAGGCAGCATTCAGACTACCCACCCACTGCTCTACTGGGGATTCCTGAATTGTCAGCTCCCACATGAGGAATGATCCCCAGGATCCTCCGAGCTCCCAACTAGAATCTGATCTGGCTGTGTGAGCCTAGGTGAGTTGCTCACCCTCTCTGTGCTTTCAGTTCACTGGGCAGAAGATGTGAAGAAATAGGAGAACCAAGAGTGTTCCCCTGCCCTATGGAGGGTGAGGGCCCTTTATAAAAGAGCTTGGTGAGCTATATTCAGGGTGAAGAGGGTAGTCTATTCCTGTAATGAAGAAATGATGGCATTTATTTATTAGAAAGGGTTTTAAGAATGGGATGGAAGTTATGGATCGGGAGTGTAACATACGTCATTCATGGCCGGGTGCGGTGGCTCACGCCTGTAATCCCAGCACTTTGGGAGGCCGAGGCGGGCGGATCACGAGGTCAGGAGATTGAGACCATCCTGGCTAACATAGTGAAACACCATGTCTACTAAAAATACAAAAATTAGCCAGGCGTGGTGGCGGGCACCTGTAGTCCCAGCTACTCAGGAGGCTGAGGCAGGAGAATGGCATGAACCTGGGAGGTGGAGCTTGCAGTGAGCCAAGATGGAGCCACTGCACTCCAGCCTGGGCAACAGTGCGAGACTCCGTCTCAAAAAAAAAAAAAAAAAGATATGTCATTCATTCATTTATCATTCATTTATTCATATAACAGTGATGTATTGAGCTCCTACACTAGGTCAGACCCCACCCCAGGGACACAGTGAAGAACCAGACAGGCCCTGCCCTCAAGGATCCAGACAAGTAAACAAGGACCTACCAGGGTGATGGAGGCTCTGCCAGAACCCACACAGGGGGCTGGAAAGCACAGAAAAGGTCGGGGTTGGGGGCTAGTCTGGGTGGGAACAGGAGCTTCTAATAGAAGTAACCTCTAAGCTACCGTTTAAAAGATGAGGATAGATAGCCAGCAATGTGGGGGTGATCAGAAGGGATCCCAATGGGGGGCCTGACATTTGCAAAGGCATGAAGCATCTTCCTCCTTGCCTCCCTCACTTCTAACCACCATGCAATACCTCTGCAAAAATGAATGAATGAATGAACAAATGAACGAATGAATGAACAAAAGGTGGAAGGGTTACAGACATACCTATTACAGAAGAAGCATCCGAATACCTGAAAAAACTCCATATATTCAGGAGCACTTTGCCTAAGGTGGATCCAGCCATCTGGTTATTTCAGCACCAAATGGAATGGTCCAAGGCTGTGGTTTCTGATGTCCTCAATAAACCCCAAAAACGAAACAACGGCTCTGCCCCCTCATCCACTGATGTGGCCTCTGCTACACATCCAGTTCCTTCCACTTGAAAAGCTGGCACCATCCCATTCATTCGTGCATTCACGAATCTCTTGATCATCACCCACGTGCCAGGAGCTGTGCCAGGCACATGGAGCGAGTGCCAGTGGGAAAAGCCTGCCTTGGCGCTGCCCTTCTTGGCACATCCATCACCCTTCAGTGGTCACGGTCACAGCAGGAACCTGGAACTACCTGGGAGGATCCTGAGCTGTGGGAATCTTCCCAGTAAGTCCTCAGTCAAGGGCAGGACGGGACCTGTGAAGGGACAATCTTTCTCCTGCTTTCCCGCCCAAACTCGTGGCCAAAGGCAAGGCACATGCACGGGTGGAATCCCATCAGTGGCACCTGGCCAACTGGCTGCCACTTGCTTATTTGGCTTGGAACAGGAAATACATTTTTCTACTATTTAGACTGCTGACCTCAGGAATAAACTAATTACTGTTGCGAAGCTGCATTCCCACACTGTCCAGCTCACATCTGTAACCCCTGGTTGGGACCAACACAGAGGAGGTGCCAGATGGCTGGGAGGTCCAGGAGTCCTGGTGCAGTGGACACTCTTGTCCTGCGCCCTGGGTCTTCGGGGGAGAAGGACTTGAGACCACCTTTCCTGGATCTTCATCTCAGACCCAGAAGAGCTCTGTCTGCATCTGCCCTTTTGCCTTGAGCAAGTATCTCTCCAAGTCTTGGTTTCCTATCCACGCAATGGAGGCATGGTAATGTTGACCCCCAGGGACTGTCATTAGGAGTAAACGACACCATGTCTGAGAATCACTTCGTGGAAACGCGATCACCCCAGAAGACCCGAACAACCCAGCCCCAGAAGCCAGCTTGGCTCAGGCTGGCCCCACATCTCGGCCAGCAACAGCATCAGCCAGGTGTGCTACAGATCCCACCACAGGCATGCGCCCTGGTGCAGAAGCAGGCATCTGCCTCTAAGACTGCTGCCCGCAGCAACCAGAACAGTTATTTGGACTCAGGCAGGCAGGGCCAGCACCATCAAAGAGGGCCAGGAAATAGAAGATGAATGAATGAAGCAATGACAGCCTAAGCATAATACTATTTTAACTCATTCTAATAAATTTACTGAAATAAAAAACTGTTCAGCTCAAGAGTCAGCAAACTGATCTGTAAAGGGCAAGATGGTAAATATTTTAGGCTTTGAGGACCATACAGTCTCTGTCACAACAAACAAGTGCTGCCGCAGCATAAAACCAGCTGTAGACAATGCATACATGAATGGCCATGTCCGTGTTCCAGTAAAACTTTATTTACAAAACAGCTAGTGGGTCAGATGTGGCCAACCACTCTGGTGGAACCAGCCAAGTTGTAACTACATAAGCTCAGCAGTGTCCTTGAGACTTCCTCATCACCCCTTCATCTGATGGATCACCAGGTCCTCTCTCTTCTTCCTTCTATATAGCATTGTTTCCTTCCCACACCACAACCATTCCCCAGTCTAGCCACATCACCCACGACCTGGAGACTCCAGCAGCTTCCCACCTCTTGACCCTCTGGTCCATCCTCTACTCAGAAGCAAAAGAGATCTATCTCAGTGGCTGATCTGACTGTGTCATTCCCCTTTCCTGGCTCCCATGTCCTGATTGTCACAATCATTCAAGCCTAGATCCCACTGTTGGTCCAGCCTCATGGCTCACTGCCCTCCCCAGCCACCAGGCTCAGCTCTAGCAAGATTGAATATCTCTTCTAGTTCTCCTAACACATCACGCTCAGCCTTCTCCTATGCAAGAACACTTCTCTCCCTCCTCTTCCCCTGGCCAACTCCTATTCATTCTCCAGGTCTCAGGTCGGATGTCACCTACCCTACAAAGCTTTTCTGAGGTGCCCCCACAATACTTCTAGCTTATCTCTAACTTAGAAGTGATCACACTTTTGGCACAGACTACAGTGTGCTCAACAAACCACATCTCCCTCTCTTCCCAGTCACACAGCTAGACTACATTTCCCAGCCTCCTTTGGAGTTGGTGGGGCCATGTTGTTGAATTCTGGCCAATGGAAGAAGGTCAGAAGTGATGGATACCATTCCAGGCCTGGCCTTGACTTCCCACAAGATCCTGCATGCTTGCTCATTGTCCCCATCTTCCAGCTGAATGGAGAGGATTCTGAGGATCTGCAGAAGGGCAGAGCCACCAACAGAAGGAGCCTAAATCCCTGAATCACTTAGATGAGGGCAGCTGAAGAAAGCCACCTGCCCAGAAATCCCACTTTGTATTGAGCTCCTGAAATTTTAGGATTGTTTGTTACAACACTTGGCCTACCCTGACTAAACCAATCTTCAAATGGAATCAACTGTTTATTTGTCCACCATCCCTACTAGACTGTAACTAAGATGCATGCGGGCAGGGACTCATTTAAATCACACAACACCATCTTCCCAGAACTTAGCACTATATCCTGCATATAGTAGAAGCTCAATAAATACTTGTTAATTGGATGAATAAATGACTGAATATAACCTCAGTGGATGGCATAGGCTCCTCGTGTCACCATGGGGACACTGTAGCTCCTGAGAGCCCAGATAAGCTGAGTCCAAGGTGAGGGGCTGAAGTTAACACTTCAGCCTAGGGAGAGCAGCCTGTGCAGATTCCACTCCAGGGGGCTGAGCTCAAGTGATGCCAGGGCCAATGTCACCAACCAAGGAGGGGGCTGAGGGCAGCGTACCCATCCTAGGCTGGGGGTGGCAGCCACAGGAAGACCCTGGAGGTTGGAATCAAGCCAGCACTGGACTAGGCATTAGGAGTCCCAGATTCAGAACAGTTCTTCCCTCAGACTTGCTGCAGGACCTCAGTAAATAACTTTCTCTCTCTGAGCCTCAGTTTTCCCCTTCTGTTAAAAAAAAAAGTGATGCAGAGTGGACTATGAGGCTTTCAAATAGTTCCTAGTGGCAGGACCCCTTTCCCCACTACCCCCCCCAAAAAAAATTCTCTCTGGATTTTCAAAATATAAAACAGATACAAGTGGAATGGCTCTAATTAAAGCTGGGAAAGGGAGTCTGAGCCAGTCCCAAGCATTTTTCTTTATCCTTTTTTGTTTTGTTTTGTTTTTTGAGAAGGAGTCTCACTGTATCGCCCAAGCTGGAGTGCAGTGGTGCGATCTCGACTCACTGCAACCTCCGCCTCCTGGGTTTCAGCAATTCTCCTGCCTCAGCCTCCTGAGTAGGGTAGCTGGGACTACAGGTGCACACCACCACACCCAGCTAATTTTTGTATTTTTAGTAGAGATGGGGTTTCACCATGTTGGCCAGGCTGGTCTCGAACTCCTGACCTCAGGTGATCCATCCACCTCAGCCTCCCCAAGTTCTGGGTTTACAGGCGTGGACCACCACGCCCAGCTCCCAAGCATTTTTCTAAAGCACCTTCTCAGAACCTTGAGCTCCATCCTCTCTGACCCCCGCTAATACTTCCCAGAGTCTCCACCTACAGAGAAGCTTCTGGATCATCCAGCCAAACCTGCAGCTTCTGCTTAAACACCTCCAGTGACAGAGGGCACACTACCTCCTGGACAGGCTCTAGGGCAGCCCTAATGGTCAGATTACCCACCAGCTGCATGCTGCTTCCCTAGACTGTGCATCCCGGGTCTGTGTCATCCAACAGTCTCTGAGTGACCCAGCTAGAGACTGGGCCTTGAGAAGCTGGACTCCAGAAATAATGATAATAATAACAATAATAATAATAGCAGCTAGGCACGGTGGCTCACACCTGTAATCCCAGCACTTTGGGAGGCTGAGGTGGGTGGATCACCTGAGGTTGGGAGTTCGAGACCAGCCTGACCAACATGGAGAAACCCCATCTCTACTAAAAATATAATGTCAGCCAGGCGTGGTGGTGTATGCCTGTAATCCCAGCTACTTGGGAGGCTGAGGCAGGAGAATCGCTTGAACTCGGGAGGCAGAGGTTACAGTGAGCCGAGATCACGCCATTGCCCATTGCACTCCAGCCTGGGCAACAAGAATGAAACTCCATCTCAAAAAATAAAAATAATAATAATAATAGCCAACAGGCTTTGGCAAGCATTTTTCTAAGTACTTTACATATGCAACTCACTAAATCCATATATTAACTCCACAAAGTAGGTACCTGTACTGTGCAAGTTTATGTCACTTGTCTAATGTCATGCAGATAGTAAATGAGAAAGCTGGGACTCAAATCCAGACCATCTGACCACCTATTCTCAATTGCTTCTCTAATGTGTAGAAATGCAGCTGAAATTAAAAGGAGGGTAACCACGTGGTTAATAGCATTAATAATAACAACATAATTAATAATAATAGTAATAGTACTAATAATACTTGATACTTACATAACACTATGTGCTTTTATAAGCTTTTACAAATAATTCATTGATTTAATCCATAAGCAACTCTATGAGAGAGATACTATTATCATCCTCCTTTTATAGGAAAGGAGGAAAATGAGGTGCAGAGAGGTTAAGTAACTTACTCAAGGTCACACAGCTGATAAGTGGTAGAGTTAGGATTTGAACTCAGGCAGTCTGGCTCTGGAGTCTGTGTGTTTAACACAAAATATTTCCCTTCAGTTATAACATATGTTGAACCTACATGCCAGCCCCTGTGCTGGGTGCTCCAGACCCACTCATTTAACCCTCTCAAAGCCCTATGTGGACAGAAAAACAAAATTCAACATCCATTATCCATTCATGATAGAACATACACACACACACACACACACACACACACACACACACACACACACACCAAAAACAAAAAACACCTCTCAGCAAATTAGGAATAGGGGTAAACTTCCTCAACTTGATTTTTTCAAAAACTACAAAAAACACTACAGCCAACATCATACTTAATGACAAGCAACCAGACACTTTCCCCCTGAGATTGGGAACAAGGCATGGATGTCCTCTCTCACAACTCCTATTCAACATTATACTGGAAGTCCTAGCTAATCTAATAAGACAAGAAAATAAAATTAAAAGTATGTACATTGGGAAAAAAGAAAGGAAAACTATCTTTGTTCACAGATGACATGACTGTCTAGGTAGAAAATCCCAAAGAATGGACAAAAAAATAAAAACAACCCTCCTGGAACTAATTATAGCAAAGGGTTATAGCAAGGTTGTAGAATATAAGGTTAGTATACAAAAGTCAATTGCTTTCTTATATACCACCAATGAACAAGAAGAATTTGAAACACAATACCATTTACATTTGCACCAAAAAATAAAATAACTGGAGTACTTAGGTATAAATCTAATAATACATGTATAAGATCTATGTGAAGAAAACTACAAAACCCTGATGAAAGAAATCAAAGATCTAAAAAGATATTCCATATTCATGAATTGGAAGAATCAATATGATTAAGAGGTCAGCTTCTTCCCAATTTGCTCTATATATACATGCAATGCAATGTTAATGAAAATCCCAGCAAGTTACTTGTGGATATTGACAAACTGATTCTAAAATATATATGGAAAGACAAAAGATCCAGAATAGCCAATACGATACTGAATGAGAACCAAGTCAGAGGCCTGGCACTACCTGGCTTTAGACTTACTAGAAAGCTACAGTAGTCAAGATAGCATGGCACTGGCAAGGAGAAAACACATAAATCTATAGACCAGAAGAGACAGCCCCAAAATTTAACCCACTCAAATATAGTTATCTTATAGTTGACAAAGGCGCAAAGGCAATTCAATGGAGAAAGGATAGTCTTTTCAACAAACGGTGCCGGGACAACTGGACATCCACATGCAAAAATAAAATTTTAAAAAATCTAGACACAGACCTTACACCTTTCACAAAAACTAACTCAAACTGGATCATAGACCTAAGTGTAAAATAGAAAACTATAAAGCTCCTAGAAAATAAAACAGGAGAAAAATCTAAGTGAGTTTGGGTTTGGCAATGAGTTTTTAGATACAGCACCAAAAGCATGACCTCTGAATGAAAAATGTGATAAGCTGGACTTCATTAAAATTAAAAATTTCTGTTCTGTGAAAGACATCATTAAGAGAATAAAAAGCCACAGACTGAAAGAAAATATTTGCAATACATGTATCTCATAAAGGATTTGTATCCAAAATATACAAAGAACTCTGAAGTTCTATAAGAAAAAAATCCCATTTAAAAATTGAAAAAGATCTGAACACCTTACCAAAGAAGATACACAAATGGCAAATAAGCATATGAAAAGATGTTCAACATCGTATGTTGTTAGGGAATGGCAAATTCAAACAACAATGAGATACCACTACACTCCTATTAGAACAACTAAAATCCAAAAACTTGACAACACCAAATGCTAGCAAGGAAACAGAACAACGGGAATTCTCATTCACTGCTGGTGGCAATGTAAAATGGTACAGGAAGAAAGTCTAGCCATTTCCTACAACGCTAAACATCATCTACCACACAATCCAGCAATCATGCCCCTCAGTATTCATACACATGAGTTGGACACTTAGGTTCACACAAAAACCTCCACGCAGATGTTTATAGCAGCTTTATTATTCCTAACTGCCAAAATCTGGATCAACCAAGATGTTCCTCAAAAGGTGAATAAATAAACAGTGGTACATCCATACAACAGAATGTTACTCAGCAATGAAAAGAAATGGGCTGGGTGCGGTGGCTCGTGCCTGTAATCCCAGCACTTTGGGAGGCTGAGGTGGGCGGATCACGAGGTCAGGAGTTTGAGACCAGCCTGACCAATATGGTGAAACCCCACCTCTACTAAAAATACCAAAATTAGCCGGGCGTGGTGGTGCATGCCTGTAATCCCCGCTACTCGGGAGGCTGAGGCAGGAGAATCACTTGAACCTGGGAGCCGGAGGTTGCAGTGAGCCGAGATCATGCCATTGCACTCCAGCCTGGATGAAAGGGGAGACTCCATCTCAAAAAAAAAAAAAAAAGAAGAAGAAGAAAAGAAATGAACATCAAGCCACGAAAAGACATGAAGGAACCTTAAGTGCATATTACTAAGTGAAAGAAGCCAATCTAGAAAGGCTATACACTGCATGATTCCAATTATATGGAAACCTTCTAGAAAAGGCATAACTATGAAGACAAGAAAAAGATCAGTGGTTTCCAGGGGTTCCTGAGGTACGGGTGTGGTGGAGTGAAAGTAGGTGGGGAAGGGGGATGGCTAGGAGGCACAGGGGATTTTTTAGGCAGTGAAAGTATTCTGTATTATTCTACACTGGAGGCCACAGGACATCATGCATTTGTCAAAACCCATAGAACTGTACCACTTAAAGAGTGAAACTTAATGTAAACTACCTGTGTTACCTAATAATAACTATTAATATTGATTCATCAATGATGACAAATGTATCACATTTATGCAAGATGGTAATAAGAGGGGAAACTGTGTTTGTGAGTATGGGAGAGGGAGCAGTGTGTGGGAACTCTCTGAACTATTGCTCAATTTTTCTCTAAACCTAAAACTTTCTAGAAAGCAAAGTCTATTAATTTAAAAGAAAAAACCCCATATGGACAGATTATGATTACTCCTATTTTATAGAGATGATTATCACCCTCATTTGAAGGAGGGATATTTAATATACCCTCTTTAACAGAAGAGGAAATTAAAGCTTAAGGAAGTTGCCTGCACTGCTCAAGGTCACACAGCTGCCAAGGGACAGGGTCAAGCTTTGATTAGTGGACAAGTGGCCAGAAAACCCTCTGGGCGGGATGCCCAGAACCTACTAGTTCTTGGAACAGACACAAAGACACCTGAGTCCTACCCAGCTTTCTCTAACTCATCTCTGCATCATGAAGGACCAGAGCAGAGATCTGCACCCCACACACTGAGCCTGCTTGTAGGAGGTCATCGCTGGGCTCTTTCTGCTAACACTCCTCACCTTCTACATACAGGAAACCCAGGAGATGTCTGCAGAGGTCTAGCCCTGTCCAACTAGTTCTGTCCCAAGAGATGAGTTGATGTGCAGAATAGAAAGGTAGCTCAGGGTAGGAGATTTGGCCTTTGCCCCAGTTGTCACGGCACCAAATAGACCAGAAATAAGGGATGTGAGCATAAGCTTGTGCTGCCGCCACTTCTTCCAGCATGGGAAGCCACATATGAATGGGACCTCTCATGGCATCAGGTCCAACCATCCCCTCCCATCATGATCAAGCCTGAGGGGCCTCAGCTCATGAAGAGGTGACATCTACTATGGGAATTGCCAAGATCACCTCTGAGTGGGAGCCAGTCGGGGAGCAAAGGGTAGTTGTCCTGAGTGCTAACCATGATGCCCATCTCAGACAAGACAGTAGCAAACACCCAGGACAACGGGGGCACCCCTCTGAGATGCTGACCAGGGTCCCTAAACTCTTGCCAAGACCCTGAGAGCCATCAGGAAGGAAGGACACATGTCCATGGGATGCCTCATCAGAGAACCACAAAGAGTCCTGGAAGCAGAAGAAACCACGACCAATGACCCTTCGGCTAGCCCAGGGAGGATCTTTTGGCTGGGAGGAAGAAACAGGAAAGAATGTGAGGATATGGTGAGATCTAAGATCGTCCTTTAGGGATAAGAAGGGTTTTTCCCCCTAAATGCCTATGTTTGAGCTCCTGACCTGAGCCATTTACAACGGCCTGTCTTCCACTTCATCTTGTTTAAACTCTCAACAGCCCGGCAAGATGGGTGTATTGTACCCATTTTAACAGATGGGGCAACTGAGGCTCGCAGAACTGACATCACCTTGTGCCCATAATCACAAAAGAAATAATGACCAGAAGGCTGGGCACAGTGGCTCACACCTGTAATCCCAGCACTTTGGAAGGGCAAGGCAAGAGGATCGCTTGAGCCCAGAGTTCGAGACCAGCCTGAGCAGTATAGCAAGAGCCCATCTCTACAAAAAAAAAAAAAAAAAAAAATTTAATTAGCTAGGCCTGATGGTATGCATATGCAGTCCCCACTACTCAGGATGCTGAGGCAGGAGGATTGCTCGATCCCCAGAGTTCAAGGCCCCATTGAGCTGTGATTGCACCACTGCACTCCAGCCTGGGTGACAAAGCAAGACCCTGTCTCAAAAATAAAATAAAATTATATAAATGAATGAAAGAATAACAAGGAAGAAAAGAAGAAATAATGACCAGAACTCCTCCCCACACCTTCTGAACCTATACCCTACCTCTTCCACTATCCCCACTCTGCCCAACACCTAGAAGGCGTACAGGAAACCTTGGCAGAGCTTCGCCAAAAGGAATGTTGTCCTTCAGCTCCACTCCCTCAGGGCCCAGCAAAGGGCTGTCTTTTCTCACCATGACCCAGATCAGTGAGGGCAAGTGGCTTCCTCTACCTCTCTGGCTCATGGTTACCCTGGTCACCATGGTTATCCAGCAGGAAAATCCTGGGGTGAGGCCAACGAGAATGACCCTGAGTCTGAAGGAAAGAGGCTGTGTCTCCTCTACTGCCTGGGAGCCCCAAGGCCAAGGGACTTGGCCTTTGAGGAAGAGGACTGGACAGGGCCAGGGCCTCAGCTTATAGTCCTGGCTCTACCACTGACTGGCTCCATGCCAAGGATCAAGAGCCTTAAAATGTTCATACCTTTCAGTCAATCATTTCATTTCTGGGAGTCTCTCATAATCAGATCCAGATAAGGACCCCTGTGCAAAGATGTCACCACTGTGTCATTCATGTAGAAAATGTTGGAAAACAACCTAAGCATATGATAATAGGGGAGTAGTTAGGTGAACTATGGAATATCAACTTATAAATGGCTTTCTAGTAATTGAAAGTTATGTTTACAAAGAATTTGAAATAACATGAAAAAAACATATTCTACAGTTAAGTGTGGCGGGGCGCAGTCGTTCACGCCTGTAATCCCAACACTTTGGGAGGCTGAGGTGGGCGAATCACCTGAGCTTAGGAGTTCGAGACAAGCCCTGGCCAACATGGTGAAACCCCATCTCTACTAAAAATACAAAAAAAATTGCCTGGCGTGGTGGCGAGCACCTGTAATCCCAACTACTTGGGAGGCCGAGGCAGGAAAATCACTTGAACCTGGGAGGCATAGGTTGTTGTGAGCTGAGATTGTGCCACTGCACTCCAGCCTGGGTGATAGAGCGAGACTCCATCTCAAATAAATAAATAAATAAATAAAGTTAAGTGTAAAATAGAATGTTGCCCACTATGACATCAGTGATGTAAAGTAAAATGTGTAGAAAAAAGACCCACCATCATCTTAGCACTGGTGGGTATGGGCATTAAATGAGCACAAAAGAAAACCACTTTTTTTTTTTTTTTTTTTTTTTGAGAAAGAGTCTCGCTCTGTCACCCAGGCGGGAGTGCACTGGCACAGTCTCGGCTCACTGCAACGTCCCCCTGCCGGGTTCAAGTGATTCTCGTGCCTCAGCCTCCCAAGCAGCTGGGATTACAGGTGTGCACCACCATGTCTGGCTAATTTTTGTATTTCTAATAGGGACGGAGTTTTACCATGTCAGCCAGGCTGGTCTCGAACTGGGATGACAGGTGTGAGCCACCACATCTGGCCAAAACTCACTTCTTTCTGTATGTTTACATTTCCAATTCTTCTGCTTTATTACTTTACAAAGGAAAATATAAAGTCAACTTTATTTTTTAAACAAACTATAAGCTGGATCAGAAGATTCCCTATTATAAAGATGTCAATTCTCCTCATATTGATGTGGAAATTCAGTGAAATTATGATTTAAAATCCCATAAGTGTGTGTGTGTGTGTGTGTGTGTGTGTGTGTGTGTGTGTGTGTGACAGAGAGAGAGACAGAAAGGTGTCAAGATGATTCTAAAATTTGTTTGGAAATGCAAAACACCAAGAATATCCAAGTCAAACTTGAAAATGAAGAACAAGCTAGAGGACTTGTTCTCTGAACAAGATATCACCAGATGCCAAATAAAAGTTGATATTTAAAAAAAAAAAAAAAAAAAAAAAGGCTGAACATAGTGGCTCACACCTGGAATCCCAGCACTTTGGGCGGCTGAGGTGAGCAGATCGCTGGAGTCCAGCAGCTGGAGACTAGCCTAGGCAGTGTGGTGAAACCCCATCTCTACAAAATACAAAAAAATTAGCTGAGCATGGTGGCACACTCCTGTAGTCCCAGCTACTCGGGAGGGTAAGATGGGAGGATCACCTGAGCCCAGAGAAGTCGAGGCTGCAGTGAGCTGAGATCGCACCACTGCACTCCAGCCTGGGTGACAGAGTGAGACCCTGTCTCAAAAAAAAAAGGCATTGTAATATTGGTGTAAGGATAGACAGACCCATCAATTAGCTTAGGGAGTCCAGGAACAACCCCACACCTGTGATACCGGATGCATGACAAAGGTGATACTGCACTGCAGTGTGGGAAGCAAAATCTTTTCAGTAAAGGATCAACTAGGTGTCCCCACAAGGAAAAAGCCTTGACCTCTACTTCACAAACCATGCACAAAGTTATTCCAGATAAACTGTCTGTCTAAATGTGAAAGATAAATAAAAGCTTCTAAGCATAAGAGAATAGCTTCATGACCTCTGGGCTGGCAAAAGTTTCTTAAACAGAAAACTGAAAGCACCAACCATAAAAGAAAATAATGGATACATTTAGCAGCTTAAGGTTTAGAACTTCCGTTCACTGAAAGACTCCCCTAAGTGAGTAGAAAGACAAGCTAATGAGTGGGAGAAAAATATTTGAAATCCATACATCTGACAAAGAACCTATGTCCAGAATATATAAAGAATTCTACAAACCAGCTGGGCGCCGTGGCTCATGCCTATAATCCCAGCACTTCGGGAGGCCGAGGCAAGTGGATCACCTGAGGTCAGGAGCTCGAGACCAACCTAGCCAACATGGTGAAACCCCGTCTCTACTAAAAATACAGATAATTAGCCGGGTGTGGTGGTGGGCACCTGTAATCCCAGCTACTTGGGAGGCTGAGGCAGGAGAATCCCTTGAACCCGGGAGGCGGAAGTTGCAGGGAGCCGAGATGGCACCACTGCACTCCAGCCTGGGTGACAGAGGGAGATTCCATCTCAAAAAAAAAAAAAAAAAAATGAATTAAGAAAAGAAGACAATCCAATACAAAAATAGGCAGAAGAAATGAAAAAGCACTTCACCAAAGTGGCTATCCAGGCCAGGCGTGGTGGCTCACGCCTGTAATCCCAGCACTTTGGGAGGCCAAGGTGGGTGGATCACGAGGTCAGGAGATCGAGACCATCCTAGCTAACATGGTGAAACCCCGTCTCCACTAAAAATACAAAAAAAAATTAGCCAGGTGTGGTGGCGGGCGCCTGTAGTCCCAGCTACTCAGGAGGCTGAGGCAGGAGAATGGTGTGAACCAGGGAGGCGGAGCTTGCAGTGAGCCGAGATCGTGCCACTGCACTCCAGCCTGGGCGACTGAGCGAGATCCTGTCTGAAAAAAAAAAAAAAAAGAAACTATCCAATGGCCAGATTAAAACCATAATGGGACACTGGTTCAAGCTCATAAGAATGACCAAAATGAGAAAAACTGACAATAAAGTGTTGGCAAGGATGTGGAGCAAGTGAACTGGAACTCTCGTTCACTGCTGGTGGAGTGTAAAGATGTACAACTGCTTTGTGAAACTGGCAGAATTTACAAAAGTGAACGTACACATACTCCATGGCCCAGTAATCCCATACGGAGGTTTAAACCCAATAGAAATGAGTGGTGATATGCCCCAGAAGGTATGTATAACACAAAAATGTTCTTAGCGGCATTATTTGTACCAACCAAAAACTGGAAACAACTCACATGTCCATTAACAGTAGAATAACTAATTTGTGGTATAGCCGTATAATGAATTCTATTTGGCAATGAGAATGAGCAATCTACCAGTGCACGCAGCCTGGATGAGTCTCACAGACATGAGGTTGAGAGAAAGAAGCCACACACACAAAAAGAGGACATGCCATGTGATTCCATTTATGTAAATCACAAAAATAGGCAATATTGGCTGGGTGCGGTGGCTCATGCCTGTAATCCCAGCACTTTGGGAGGCCGAGGCAAAAGGATCACTTGAGGTCAGAAGTTCAAGACCAGCCTGGCCAACATGGGGAAATCCTGTCTCTACTAAAAATACAAAAATTAGCCAGGAGTGGTGGCATGTGCCTGTAGTCCCAGCTACTCTGGAGGCTGAGGCACAAGAATCACTTCAACCCGGGTGGCAGAGGCTTCAGTGAGCTGGGATCACACCACTGCACTCCAGCGTGGGCGACAGAGTGAGACTCTGCCTCAAAAAAAAAAAAAAAAAGGTAACATTAATCCATGCTGACAGGAGTCAGGATAGTGATTTCCTTCAAGAGATGGCTAGAGAATGGAATGGGACATGCGGGGGGCTCCTTGGGTACAGATGACATCTTTGATCTGGGTGCTGGGTGTTCGGGGGCCGTGTGAAAGAACACTCACTCTCTCTCCTGGTCTTCCTCCCCATGCTCCTGCACCACCCCCAAGCCAGAACTCTCTCCCTAGGCAGCTGGAAGATTCCAACAGCAGCCTCCAGACCATGTCAAGGTTCTTAGACAACTTTCTCCAGCTGAAAGCCACCCCAAGCACTCCTGGGACCCTCATCAGTGCCCTCACTTCATCCCCCTTCCTGCTTCACCCGCTACTCCGCCTCCAGTGGCCCTGCTGCTCTCCTTCCCAGCCAGCATCCTCTCTTTAAAGCCTCCTAATGGTCTCTGCCCCACTTGGACTCCCTCCCACCCGCTCCTCTCCCCACTGCAGATCCAGAGAGGCATTTCCTTTCATCCAGTCCCTCAAACACTTCAGCACATCTGGTTGGCACACTCTCTGGCCCCTCTCCCCCAGACTCCTTCTCCAGACAACTCTTCTCCTCCTTCAGACCTCAGTTTAAACATCATTCCATCAGAAAAGGCTTTCCCAACCCCATTATACCCACCCAGAGCTTCTCCCTCAGTGTCACTCAGGGCACTTGTCATTATTTCATAGATGCATATCTTCCCACTAAGCTCTATGGAGACAGCATTGTTGTACCCACTGTCTGGCACACAGTAGGTGCTCTCTAAGTCCCTTTGAATGGTCAAATGAATGAATGACTTACGTGGCTATGTCCACAGTTATTACTGTCTCCTCTGGCGTGTGACTCTCATGAAGCCTTCTCCCTTTCCAAACCACATTCTAGGAAGGATATTTTTTGGCTGATCTACTGAGTGTGACTACTTGTCTCCCCCAAAACCAAGCATTTCAGAACAAAGTTTACCAGACTTCTCATAGCCTTGAATTAACCTTCATTACTCAAGACTATTTTAATTACAAGTAACAGAAACAAGCTCTAAAAAGAAAAGTTTTTTGACTCATATGCATGAATCTGCTTTGATTTCAGGCAAGGCTGGCTGCAGAGAATCAAGGCATGACATCAGGTCTTAATCTCTCTCTCTCCACCTCTCGACCAGCCTAATCCTCAGAGGGAGTCTCTTCCCTCATGGAGGCATAACAACTACCAGCAGCTCTAGGCTGGTCTCCTATCCTCTCATCAACCCCAGCAGAAAGAGGGCCTCTCTTCCCAATGGTTCCAACAAAAGTCCCAGGGCTTGAATTCATTGGCCAAGCTTGAGTCACATGTCTATCCAGAATCAGTGGAATCCTCTGATTGACCAGGCCTAGTCACGTGCCTACTTACGGGCATACAGACCCGCCATGTTAGCTCACTTGGCAAGAGCCCCTGGTATGAGTTGTAATAACAGCAGCCACCTTTATTCCATGCTTTGTATGGCCCAGACCTTACACTTGGTCCTACATCTGTGCTTCTGTTTCATTTTCACAGGGACAGTATTATGATCTCCATCTTAAAGAAAAAGAAATGGGAGTTCTGGGCAGGAAGTAACTTTCCCAAGGAAATGGGGGTTAGGGGAGGGTTAGGATAAAAACCTGACTCCTAAGTCCATAGCTTTGGCCACATATCCCAGCCTCCTCCTGCCTCCCTGATCCCATCCCCCATCCCCAACCTGTGCCCCGGCCCACTAGACTCTGCTATCGCCCAGGACTCAGCACCTACTAAACACCAGGAGAGCCCTACAGGAGACTCTGCTGAATGAGAACGGGCCCGTCCTCCATCTGCCCAGATGCCCAAGTCTCCTGCTCAAACAAGCAGGTTGGAGACTGACGGGAGCAAGGCTCAGCCTTGACCCTTCCCCATTCTGGTGCTCCTGTCCCCTTCATGTCCCAGGGCCAGCTGCCAAGGCTGGGGAAGAAGGTGCGATGAGTCCTGATGGGGCAGCTGAGGGGCTCCTAGGCTGCCTGGTCTGAGCAGGGACCAGCCTCCTTGGGAGGTCAGGTCTCTGTGACCCTGGAAGGTGAGTTGGCTCCCACCACTCCCACAGAGGAATGAAGAAAAGGAGTTGAGCCCAGTGCCAATTCAAGGACAAGACAGGATTAGATTCATGCCTTACGTGGATTGTCCTTTGCAAATCCTTGGTCAAACTGGGATATTCCCCACACCCCCTTTTTGCACCCTTCCTCAAATTAAGTCCCAGAAACAAGGTTCTGTCTCCAGCCATGCCTGTGGGTTTGTCCTTTAGTAATAATAAGAACAACAGTGGCTCCCTCTTAAATTGCAACAGCTCTGGACCAGGATGACAGCCAATGAAAAAGTCCATAGATGTAGTGGTTAGGAGCATGAACCATGCAGCCAGATGGTCTGGGTTCAAATCCTGACTCTGCCACTCACCAGCTGCAGGACCTTGGAGAGCTACCTAACCTCTCTGAGTCTCGATTTCCTCATCTGTGAAATGGGGCCTGAATAGTACCAAGAATAGTCATGAGGCTTAAACGAGTTTGCACATGTGAAGTGTTAGAACAGGGCATGGCATACAGTAAGTGCTCAAGGAGCGCTCACCCCTAAGGGTTTTAAGTCCTGTCCTCTGGAACGAGAAAGGATCCCTTTTTGTTACCAGGAGACTGAGGCCTGAGGGACATGGCCACCTCCAAGATGGCACAGGTAGCTCAATCTCTCAATAGCCATATACGAGGGCCTCCTGAGTGTCAGGGCCCATGCTGGATACTGGAGCACCACGCTGCACCAGAACTCATCCCAGAAGTGCTCAACCAGTTGGGACTCAGTGGAAGAACCCAGGTCTCTGAGTTGGAAGCTGGGACCACAGCCCAGCTGGCCCTGGTGATACGGAAGCTGCAGTCCGAGGTCGAGCATTTTTGGTATTCCAATTACTCTCCAGCCAAGCTCAGCTCTGCAAGCTCATGGGACCCAGCCAGCAAATCCTCTGTGCAACGCACACCTTGGCAAGCACCTGCCGAGCGCCCAGCACTCAAGGAAGAAGCCAAGGTGCTGTGCCATGATCCCACCTTTAAGGAAGTCCTCTGTCCTCCACATCCCTCCTGGCTCCTTCCCCAAGACAATGGAAGCAAGATAACACCCACGAAAGCCCCAGGCCAAGGTGGGCGCACAGTAGGCACTTTGTCAATTGTCATCCATTTACCGTGAGGAACACCTCACTGGACAAGTGCAAAGATCTGACTTTATCTGTGCAGAGGAAAATATGCTCAGAATAGGACAGGGCCACAGATAACTCAGCATGCCTGACACTGACCAATCAGTGGCCTCTCTCCACGATACCTGCTGTCTCACCTTCCTGGCTGTGTGCTCTGATGGGACAGACTCTGAAATGGGATCCAGGCACTTGGGCTAGAGTCTTGGCTTTGCTGGTAAATCCATTTGAGACCTTAGACCTCCTGTCCCTGTGGGTAAAACAAGAGATTTAGACTGTTTGTGAGCTCTTACAGCCACTGGGTCTCCAGTCCACATTCACTGGGGCCATTCTCACTCTGTGCCAGGCCCTGGGCTCTATCCCACCATGCTGGAGGGGAGCTCCTGTGCTGGGGACACATGGAGCAGAGTCACTGGGTCAATCCTGGAGGACCTGCTGGAGGAGGTGATACCTGGACTGAGTCTTACAGGATGAATAGGAGTCGAGTGGGTGAAAGAATGAGGATTCCACCTCGTAGCACTGAGCAGTCGCAGTGGACCAGTGTGACTTAGAGAAAGCACTGTGGCAATTTGTGAAGGAAGAACTGGAGGGGGTGCCTGGAGTCCAGGGTTAGGGGCAGGCAGAGGGATCCTGATAGACTCTGAAGGTCATTACAGAATAATGTTCTGTCCAGAATGTTCTGGACTGAAGGCTGGGGAGTCCTCAGGCGGTAGCTGGTAGCTGAGGCCATGGTAGACAAGACTGTCAAGAAAGAGCATGTGGGGAGAGGCATAGGCAGCAGGGAAGGGAAGGAGGAGAGTGAGCGCCAGAGCAGAGAGTGGAGGCGCAGAGCAGGCACAGCTCCTGAGGCCACACACAGGAAGACAAGGATCCAGAAGGTCTGGCCACCGCATATCCCCCCTTAGCACAGCCTGGACACAAGGCAGGTGCTCAACAAATGTTCGGGTTTTTAAAAATCCTTTAAATGGAAAGATTAAGAAAACCCAGGAGAGGCCGGGCATGGTGGCTCATGCCTGTAATCCCAGCACTTTAGGAGGCTGAGGTGGGGAGATCACTTGAGGTCAGGAGTTCAAGACTATCCTGGCCAACACGGCGAAACCCCGTCTCTACTAAAAATACAAAAATTAGTCGGGCATGGTGGCGCATGCCTGTAGTCCCAGCTACTCAGGAGGCTGAGGCAGAAGAATCACTGGAACCTGGGAGGCGGAAGTTGCAGTGAGCCGAGATCGCACCACTGCACTCCAGCCTGGGTGATGGAGCAAGACTCCGTCTCAAAAAAAAAAAAAAGAAGGAAAACCCAGGAGAGGTGGAGGAAAGTAAAGCCTAGGAGAAAAGCGGACTGTGAGGAGGAGGGGCAACCCCCAGCATCAAGGCTACTAAGAGGTCAGAACCACTGGGTTCTGCTCACAGAGGTCCTGGTCACCGTGGAAGGATGCGGGATGGGGAGACGGACCTCAGGACTAAGGGGCGACTGGCAAGTGCAGACATGGAAAGAGTGAGTGCGGAAAACTCTAGACCTTTTGATGAAAAATAGACAAGGAAGAGGAAGGAGAATGGAGTGGAAGAGAAGGGGCTGGAGGAAGGGGAGGGGAGAGGGAAAGGAGAGGCAGAGGAAGAACAGTGGCTAGAAGGGCAATGTGAGCCAGGGAAGGATTTAAACCCTAAACTGGGTATGTGGTGAGTGATCTCAGGTGAGTCAAGTCACCTGCTGAGCCTCATTTTCCCAAGCGTAAAATGAAGGGAAATAGCCCCCACCTGAAAAGTTACTGGGAGCATCCAGCGTTACCTATACAAAGCATCTAGCACAGTGCCTGGCAGGCCACAGGTCCCCAGAGAATGTGTCCTTGTCATCCTCTCGCCAGAGCCCTATGCCACCTCAAGAGTAGCAGGACACTCATTATCAAAGCATTATCCCCATTTTACACATGAAAAACTGAGTCACAGACTTGTCTCTACCTTCTCAGCCCCGCCACCCCCCACCCCAAACACACAGGGCAGCATCTGTTCCTCACTGGTGTGGGAAAGGTGAATGTGGCCCAGGGCCTGGCATGAGAAACATTTGTTGATTGAATGAATGAGACAGCCAGGCACAGTGGCTCACACCTGTGATCCCAGCACTTTGGGAGGCCAAGATGGGAAGATCACCTGAGCCCAGGAGTTTGAGACTAGCCTGGGCAACATAACGAGAACCCCGACTCTACAAAAAAATAAATAAATAAAAATTAGCCAGGTGAGGCCAGGCATGGTGGTTCACGCCTGTAATCCCAGAACTTTGGGAAGCCAAGGGCAGGTTGATCACTTGAGGTCAAGAGTTGGAGACCAGCCTGGCCAACATGGTGAAACTCCATCTCTACTAAAAATACAAAAAAATGTAACTGGGCGTGGTGGCACATGCCTGTAGTCCCAGCTACTCAGGTGGCTGGGACAGGAGAATCACTTGAACCCGGGAGGGGGAGGGTGCAGTGAGCCAAGATGCACCCCTGCACTCCAGCCTGGGCAACAGAGCAAGACTCCATCTCAAAAAGAGAAAAAAATTAGCCAAGTGTGGTGGAGCGTGTCTGTAGTCCCAGCTACTCAGAAGGCTGAGGCGGGAGAATCACTTGAGCTGGGGAAGTTGAAGCTGCAGTGAGCCATGATTACCCCACTGCACTCCAAGCCTGGGTGACAGAACAAGACCTTGTCTCCAAAAAAAAGAACGAATGGGACAGACATAGAAACCAGGGAAAGCCTGCCCTGGCCTGGTGGCCACAGCGTCGCAAAATAAAAAGAGCCTGGAAGGTAATCAGTCAGAGCCAGGAATTTGGGTCTTGGAGGCCCATCAGAGTCAGCCATATGAGCCACAGGAAACACCTGGTTCAGGGATTCTCACACTGGAGTGTCTGGTTAGGTTCACCCGGAGAACTTGTGTCCTGGGCCCCACCCTAGACCCACTGAATCAAGTATAAGGGGGCAGGAGTCCAGGAATCTGCACTTTCTACCCGGCACTCAGGTGTTGCTGATGCCAGTGGCCTGTGGGTCATGCCCCTATTTTATAGAGAAGAGGACCACCTATGAGATCACATGGCAAAGCCCTACAGGGCCTGACCGATCACCTGGGGATCCAGGCTGCAAGCCACTGTCACTTCTGGTGCCTGCAGGTGCCCTGGGAGTGGTAGGCAAGGAAAGGAACCACAGCAGGGAAGAAAGATGAGAAAAGGCAGGATAATGGCTCCCATCTAATACACACCAGTACTAGGTGCCTATGTTCACGTCATCAGCCCCCCTTCAAAACTATATGGTGAGTTTTATTATTACGTCCATTTTTCAGGTGAGGTGAATAGTGTTCAAGAGGTAAAGCGGATTGCCAAAAACCTCACCACTGGTAGGTGGCAGGATGTGAAACCTGGTCTGTCTGGGGTGCTAGAGCTGACTTCCTTAACCACCTGGCACACTGCTTCCCGGAGAAGCAAGGAGAAGAGGAAGAAGGAGGAGAGGAGAGAAAAGGAGAGGGCCCCAGTGGAGGGAGGAGGTGGGGCCTGCATGGAGAGGGGACGGTGTGCCCTCATTGCCCACCCAGGTGGCTGAGCCAGGCTGGCTGCTCAGGGCGGAGAGTGCCTGCCTGTCCCGGTGCCCTGCGGTTGCCATGCCGACCCCCAGGCTGTGTTTGCGGATGTTGTATTTGATTTCACACGTTTGGAACTCCGATTACGTCATTTCGCAACACAGGGTTGCCATGACAGCCGGCCCCATGTTCCCTGGGTAGCTCACACCTTGGGGGAAAGGGAGGGGCCCGGGCCTCTCCCCCAACCAAACCTCAACCCTGAGCCCCCTCGGGGAGAGAGGCCAGGAATGTGGGGTTGGGAAGCACCTTGGGATCAATCAACGTCTACATTTGGGGAAACCAAGGTCTGGGTGGTGAGCCAGCTCCCCAGGCAACGCACCGCCTGTTGATGGAGGCTTTGCACACCTGGCTGCACACGGCTGAGGGCCTGACAACTGGCACCCAGCGACCAGCCTGGCCATCTGCCCTGACTGGCTCTCTGGGGCCTCAAAGTAGCTGCTGTCCTGGTCCATATGTGACTTTCCACAAACTCACAAGTGTCTGGGCCAGTGTGGGGGCGGGCTGGTTGGCTGAGAACACCAGCTTTGGCGTCAGACTTAGGTGCAAATGGTGGCCTCACACTAACCAAGCGTGCACCCTGGAACCTCGCTGAGCTTCCGCTTCCACATCTGAAAATGATGATGAAGGTACTTATCCCTTCAGGTGGCTGGGAAGAGTCACCTTAGCACACAGCGACCTAGCACAAAGTAGATACAATCAATAGTGAGAGTTGGGGCTTCTTCTATTTTCTTTCTTTCTTCTTTCTTTCTTTCTTTTTTTTTTTTTTTTAAGCTGAGTTCTGGCTTTTGTTTTGCCACCAGCCTGCACTGTGTGACTGTGGGCCACTGACCTTCCCTCTCTGGTCCTCTCAACTAGTAATAATGTGATAATCTTTCTCCACTTCTCACTTCCCTACCATTAAACTCTCCACCCCTTGTCCCTAAATTACAATTATTTAGCATCTTATATCCTGGCTTCCATCTATTGGGTAATGTCAAACAGAAGGGCTTCTGGACTTAGTCTGGAAACCTCAGTCTAATGTCACTAAGTCCCAGCTTCTTCTCTACAAGCTGCTAAAGAGACATATACATAGACATGCTTCTGTATCTATTCTGACACCTGTCCATCTGTGTGTTTATATGTACACATATATATAGATAAATCACAGATTCATACAGAGAGGTATTTGTGATTTCAGTTCAACCTCAGAAGGTCCCTTTATTTTTGAGATGGAGTCTCGCTCTGTAGCCCAGGCTGGAATGCAGTGACACAATCTCAGCTCACTGCAACCTGTGCCTCCCAGGTTCAAGCAATTCTGCCTCAGCCTCCTAAGTAGTTGGGATTACAGGTATACGCCACCACACCCAGCTAATTTTTGTATTTTTAGTAGAGATGAGGTTTCACTATGTTGGCCAGGCTGGTCTTGAACTCCTGACCTCAGGTGATCCACCAGCCTTGGCCTCCCAAAGTGTTGGTATTACAGGAGCCACCGTGCCCAGCCACAGAAGGTCCCTTCTTATTATACCTCTCCACTTTCCTTTTTCTTTGCATTCTTTTTAATTAATACTATTTTTAATTGGCATCTCATGATTGTATACATTTATGGTCAGGGGTCCCGTCTATCTGTAAATTGGGACTGGCCATTCTTCTCCACCTCTATGTTATGAAGCTCCCAGGGTAGATGACCAAGCCTCTCAAAAGGACACAGGACTTTTCATCAGCTATCCTGTCACAGCTATCCTTGCAAAGGATCTGCCCACAGAAATCCAAGAGACGGGAAACTAGTTAAATGCCCATTTGGGGCCAGGTCAGGTGGCTCATGCCTGTAATCCCAGCATTTTGGGAGGCAGAGGGAGGAGGACTGCTTGAGTCTAGGAGTTCAAGACCAGCCTGGGGAACCAAGTGAGCCCTCATCTCTACAAAAAAAAAAAAAAAAAATCAAAAAATTAGCCAGCAGGATGGCACGTGCCTGAGATCCCAGCTACATGGAAGGTTACATGGGAGGAGGATGGCTTGAGCCCCCCAGAGCCTCAGGGAGGAGTATCCTTGAAGAGATCACATGGCTCCTCCCAGGTAGCCTCCCAGGTAGAAAGGTCAATGCTGCAGTGAGCTATGGTAGTGCCACTGCACTTCAGCCTGGGTGACAGAGCAAGACTCTGTCTCTGTTTTTCACAAAATAAATAAATAAATAAATACCCATTCTGTAGATGTCGAAAATAAAATGAGAACCAGAGAGGGTACAGGAGTTGCCCACGATCTTAGCAACTGGTGAATGGTAACTCTAATCCTTTCTGCCAAACGCACACCCTCAAACACCGTCCCGGAAAATGTGAGGAGTTACTCCCAATAAGGAGGGCCGTACCCCTGGGCAGCCGTCACAGGTCACAGCTGAGGGCTTCCTGGGATGACCACAGAGACCTGCCCACTGCCCCTGCTGCCGCCCAGCGCCCTGCCCCGCCCCCACCACCCTGGATGCTTCCCCAGACCCGGAGCCAGGACCAACATGAGCTGTTTTCCCTTGATGCCGCCTCCAACTTGCATGTGCTCGAGTTTACTGGAAAAATCAAACACTGCCACATGTGCACAGACATGCACTGGGCGGGGGCCATTCAGCCCAGTCCAACCCAGCACGTCTTTCTGGGGCTCAGCTTTGGCCCGGAGCAGAGCACAAGTTTGGGAGTCTGACTGGCCTGGGTTCGAGCCCTCACTCTTCTACTGTGATGCTTTGTGATCCCAGTCCCTTAACCCTCTTAGCTGCAGCTTCCTCAAACGTAACATGGAAATGACAACGCTCACTTCAGAGTTGTCAGATGAACGACAGGACACAGCAGGCTCGAGAGTGCCTGGCACAAATTTGCCCACTGAGTGTCCGCTCCTGCCCTTCCTCCAGGGAACAGAACTGAGGCCACAGTCCTTACAACAAAGGAGCTTTTTTTTTTTTTAGACGGAGTTTCAATCTTGTCACCCAGGCTGGAGTGCCATGGCATGATCTCAGTTTACTGCAACCTCCGCCTCCCCAGTTCAGGTGAATCTAACCAAGGAGGCTTTTTATGAGCTCGTCCGAGAGCCAAGACTAATCTTCATGAGAGAATTGAAGATAAGACAGGGGAACAATCAAGTGCTAACATGGTGCTTCCGATGGGTTGCAAGAGATTGTGAGCTCAGAGGAGGCGGATGTCATTGTAGGCTGGAAGAAGGCAGGAAGGACTTCCTGAAAGAAAAGGAGAGAAGTTGAAGGAGTTCCCAGAGACAGCCATGCAAGCAAATCATTGCAGAACAGCCAGATGTGTGCAGTAACAGATACAGCTGGAAAGAAACAGCGTAAGGAGAGAAAAGACAGCTTTGTGAGAGCATCACAGAGAAGTCTTTGGACTTCTAGAGACTTAGAGGATGAATGGGCTGGACACAGGAGAGAAGGCAGAGATGTCATGTAGCGGTGTCAGGAGAGAAGGCAGAGATGAGCATGTAGGTGGAGAGAAAGGCACAGGGGTGTGAAACAGCCCAGAGCACTGGAGGAATGACTGAGCCAAAAAGAGGGAGGTGGCTGGGAAGACAGGCAGGGGGCAGATCAGGGAGGGTCTTGAATGCCAGGCTAAGAGGCTTAGAATTAATGCCATAGGCCATGGGGAACCATGGAGGGTTCCATGGAAAGAAATGACACGAACAGATTTGAGGTTTAGAAAAGCACTCTGATGAAGAGGGAGTTAGGCTATGGATGGTGAGAGTGAAATTGGAGGCAGGAAACCCAGAAAGAAGGTTCTCCATTGGTCCCACTGAGAGTCAACTACTATGAAAGAGAAAAGGAATGAATTTGAGATCATTTAGAAAGTAAAATTGCAGCCAGGCACGGTTGTTCATCACCGTAATCCCAGCATTTTGGGAGGCCAAGGCAGGCAGATCACCTGAGGTCAGGAGTTGAGACCAGCCTGGCCAACATGATGAAACCCTGTCTCTACTAAAAAAAAAAAAAAAAAAAAAAAAATACAAAATTAGCTGGGCATGATGGTGGGCACCTGTAATCCCAGCTACTTGGGAGGTTGAGGCAGAAGAATTGCTTGAACCCAGGAGGCAGATGTTGCAGTGAGTCGAGATCACACCACTGCACTCCAGCCTGGGCAACAGAGTGAGAATCCTTCTCAAAAAAAAAAAAAAAAAAAAAAAGGAGTTCTAGACCAGCCAGGCCAACATGAAAAAACCCCGTCTCTACTAAAAATACAAAAATTAGCTAATTAGCTGGGCATGGTGGCGGGCACCTGTAGTCCCAGCTACTCAGGAGCTGAGGCATTAACAATCACCCAAACCCCGGAGGCGGAGGTTGTAGTGAGCTGAGATCGTGCCATTGCACTCCAGCCCGGGCAACAGAGTGAGTGAGACTCCATCACAAGGAAAAAAAAAAAAAAGTAAAATTGCTAGATCTTGTTTTAATTGTTGTAAAATAAAATTTACCATTTTAACCTTTTTAAGTGTACAGTTCCTGCAGCAGCAAGTACATTCCCATTGTGCAACCATCACAGCACCCACCTCCAGAACGTTTTCACAGCTGAAACTCTGTACAAATTAAATGCGAACTCCGCAACCCCTGGTAATACCATTCCGCTTCATCTCTATGAATTTGACTACTCTAGGTACCTTGTGTAAGTGGAATCATACAGTATTTGCCTTTTTGCGTCTGGCTTATTTCACCCAGCACAGACAGTGTCTTTAGGGTTCATCCATCATGCGACATGTGTCAGAATTTTCTTCCTTCTTCTTTTTTTTTTTTTCTGTGTGTGTGTGTGAAACAGAGTCTCGCTCTGTCACCCAGGCTAGACTGCAGTGGCGTGATCTCGGCTTACTGCAACCTCCGCCTCCCAGGTTCAAGCGATTCTCCTGCCTCAGCCTCCCAAGTAGCTGGGACTACAGGTGCCCGCCACCACGCCCGGCTAATTTTTTGTATTTTTAGTAGAGACAGGGTTTCACCATGTTAGCCAGGATGGTCTCGATCTCCTGACCTCGTGATCCGCCCGCCTCGGCCTCCCAAAGTGCTGGGATTACAGGCAGAATTTCCTTCCTTCTTAAGGCCGAAGAGTATCTCATTGTATGTGGATACCACATTTTGTTTATCTGTTCAGCCATTGATGGACACTTGGGTTACTTCTCCTTTTTGGCTATTGTGTGCTGCTGTGAACATGATTGTACAAATATCTTTCTGAGCCCTGATTTCACTTTTTTGGGGGTATATGCCCAGAAGTGGAATTGCTGGATCATATGGTAATTTTACGTTTGATTTTTTAAGGAACCTCCACACTGTAGCCCACAGTGGCTGACCACTTCACATTCCCACCAGCAATGCACAAAATTCCAGTTCCTCCACATCCTCACCAACACTTGTTATTTTCTTTTTTTTTTTTTTTATAATAGCCAATCTAGTGGGTGTGACATGGTCAATCGCTAGATCTTAATGAATGATTGTATGTGAGGAGTTGAGGGGATAAAAGAGTAAGGAAAAGGGAGGGAATGACTCCTGGGTTTGCAACAGGCCAACTGGGTGGTAGAAGATTCATCAGCTGAGTTGGGGTCTCTGGAAGGAGAAACAGGCACCAGGAAGAATTTGGGGTCGATTGAGCTTGAGGATACTATAGGACATCCTGGCTGAATATTCTGGTCTGGAGGCCTGGGAGAGTCTGTGCTGAAGATTCAAAGTCACCTGCATCTGATATGAAGAAGCCACAAGCAAGAACAAGACTGCTTAGGAAATAGGAGATGCAGGAAAAAAGGGGGGCCCAGAACAGAAAACTGGGAGTCCCCATGTTTTATTAGAGGGACAATGAAGGTACCCACAAACAGAAATGGGAAGGTCAACCCAAGAGGTAAGAGGAAAACCAGGAAACACAGTTCCAAAATTGCGTAATAATCTAGGATTGGATTCTGCTACAAGCAGCAGAGAACACAAATCAGTGGCTTGATCAAGACACAGGTTCAGTTCTCTCCTTTGGGAAAGAAATGCAGAGGTAGGCAGCCCACTGTCTTCAGAGCCTGGGGCCCTTTCTCTCTTGCTCAGCTATTCTTAGCTCTGATTTCCATCTTCAAGGTCACCTCATGGTCACAAGATTGCTGCTGCAGCTCTAGCCATCACAGTCATGTTCCAGCAGCAAAAAGGAGGAATAAGCCAGAGCAGAAGACTTGCCTCCTAGCTGAGTGTTCCTGGAGGCCCTTTTCCACCCCGCCCCCTCTGGTTTTCACTTCCACCTCATTGGCCACTCCCAGCTACAAGGAAGGTTGATAAATGTGGTCCTTTAGCAGAGCACATTGTACTCCTGAATAAAATCTAGGCTCTGTTAGTAAAGAAGCAGAGGAGAATGGCCATAGGGGAGGCTCTAACACAGAGAGAGAAGAAGTTTCCAGAAGGAAAAAATGGTAGACGCATTGGCTAAGGCATAAAGGGTTAACCATTGGACTTGGCAACGAGATCATGGGCAGCATCCCTCTGCTGGCTGATCGGGGAGGGGAGATGGAGTTGGCAGTGGCCTGAAGCATGCAGGGGAGAAATGAAGACATGTTCACTGACCACGATTGGGAAATCCCAGGCCAAGGGAAGATCTTGGTGCCCAGAGAGAAGATGCAGGATCAAGAGTGGTTTGGGGTCCTTTACCTTGAGATGTGAGGATTTAGCCATGATAGAAGCTAAGAGGGCTGAGCCAGAGAAGGAAGGAGAAGGAAGGGATGGGGGAGGGTGGGGAGGACTGCAGGTGTGAGGCCCCAGAGGAGATGGTGGGGAACAGGATCCAGAAGACAGTGGCAGGGGCAGCCGGGCCCCAGGCAGGAGCCCTCAACTGGGGTTTCAGAGGACAGCAGGCGAAGAGGGAGTGGAGGGGCCACTGTTGGGTGGGTGGGTGGGTGGAGAAGGCAAGCCAAGGATGTGCCCGCCAAGGGCCTGGGGACCTGCATGACATAGGGGTGACAGCAGCAGAGAAGGGGCAGGTGGGGCCAGTCAAGACTAGGAGTGTCGGGAAACAGTTGGAGCCAGGGAGGCCTGGGGGAGAGAAGAGAGTGCTCCACCGGCCAGGCCTTTCAGGGGGCTGCACAGGAGGTCTCAGGGCAGGTGTAGTGTGCTCGGGGCCCGGGGGGTGGGAAGTGGTCACCATCAGAGAGTGGGGCTCAGCATTTAGCGTTTCGGGGAGGGTGGTCCTGAGGGATGATAAGGCCCAGGGTGGCAAGGTGGTGGGCCTGTGGAGGAGGGAGTCCCTGGAGATAAGAAGGTCCAGGAAGTGGCAGCCAGGGGGCTAGACAGGTCATCCATGATGTCACTAACATCACCCAGGATGGTGATGGGATGGGTGGAAGGAAAGAGCATGAGCCAAGACTTCAAGGAATGCAGAAGGTGTCGGGGAGGTCAGCAGGGGACGGCAACGAAGAAGACCCCAGCCTGGCAGAGTGTGACAGGGACAGAGGAGTGTCCCCAAGGAAAGCAGGGTCCTGGGCAGGCAGGGGGTGCGGGGGAGCCATGGGCAGGCTGAGGGGGTCACAGAGAGGCCTGTGAGCTATGAGGACATCCAAGACCTGTACCTGGGACCAAAGGCTTGGGCGAGGACAGACGGTGCTGGAAAGGAAGGCAAAGAAGTAAGAGGGTGAGAGAAGATCGAATGTTCAGGGCAGACTTGGTTATCCCATTTTAGAGATGAGAAAATGGAGGCCCAGAGAGGAGAAGAGATTCACCCAGGGTCACACGGGGAGTGAGGAACTTGAGCAGGCCCCAGGCTCTGGCCACACAAGCCTGCACGGGTGCCTTCCCCTCTCCAGGCCACAGTTTCCCCATCTGTAAAAGGAGATCAGTGGGTGTGGTGGCTGGACCTTAGCTGTGACCCATGAAGATTTGGTGATGACATAAGTTTTTGGAGTGAGAGATCCCCTTCCCTGGCCCTGCCCTTTTAACTGAGTCATCTCCAAAAAGGTAGACTTTCCAAATTCCCCCAACCCTGTGTTGGGTCCTCAGGGGGCTGAGTCACAGGGAAAGTCGAGACTGGGAGGCAGGTGGTGATTGATGCACATGAGGTTGGGTTGCCTCCAGGACGGGTACCTACGTGCCCTCTTTCCCAAGAGCCTGCCTCTCACCCACCTCGGTCACCCACCTGGGTTGATCTGATCACAGCAAACCCTCTGCAGTGAACAAATGGCAGATGCTTATTCTCTCCTTTTCCACCTTTGTCCCTATCCACTCCTGTCCATCTTCTGCATGCTGCTGGAGCCATCTTCCCACGGCCACCTTGCTCCTTGTCCCTCCCCTGCTCTGAAGTCTTCCAGGGCTCCCCATCACCTATAGAAAGTCAAGTCCATCATCTAGCATGCCAGGCCCTTCATGCTGCAGCCCCACGGCCCTCTTCAGCAACACCATGTGGTGCTCCATGCCAACTTCGTGCCAGGCCTTGGGTCATGCCATTCCCCCACCCACCCCCTTCCAATGAGGATGGCCTTTTGTCTCTGCCAATCCAAATTGCACAAATGTAAAACCATAACCCCAATGTCCCCATGTCCTCTGGGCTCACCCTGTTCTTAGTTTCAACCAATAATTATAATTAATAAAATAGTCCAAAACCCCACACTCTGTACTGCAGGGTCTCCAATGCCCTTCTCAACACTGCTGAGGTCTCCCAAGCAGGACTTCTGTGTCCCTTCACCGCTAGCTCTACCGTTGACCTGAGGCACATCCCCCCTGCACCCTGCTGCCTCCCAGCCTCTCTCTGCTCCCTAACGCTTCATTCCCCAAGCCCCCCACCCCACCCACACACAAGGCTGGGTGTGCAACAGACTCTACTGAAGGTTTGGGGAAAGAGAGAGACTTCAGGACCTAACCAGCAGCAATACCAAACTGAATATTCCTAGACCCTCCCAGCCAGCCCGCTCTATGCCCCCTTGCCCCTGAGCACCCCCTCTGCTGAGGAACCCTGGCCCATCTCCACTCTGCTCCATGTCCCTAGGGCCTGCCAAAGTCCCACTCTCCAGCTGCCAGCACCTGCTCCTCACCTCACAGGGCCACGTCCTTCACTTTGCTCGGGAGGTGCAGGGGGAGACACCTGCCCTCTACGAAACAAAAAGGGCCTCTGAAGGGGATTTCCCGAAGCAAAAGTGCAGCCTCCTCCTGTTCCAGCCCCACCTCAAGCAGGGAGCAGCTGCCTTCAGTCCTTTATTTAAGTAACACTAGGGTTTTTTTTAAGTGTTTTTTTCTTACAATGTGGAATGTTACAGAGGTGGGACCATCAATTCCAATGTCATCACTTAACAGAGGTTGACTGAGACCCAGGGGTCAGGATCCCACCCAAAGAAAGCTCAGCAATTTAGTGCCCTGCCTGGGGCAGAACCTAGTTCTCTGACTCCAGATCTGGGGCATCTGTATTCCCCACAATGCCTGCTCTTCCACATCCAGAACAAGGAGGGGAGGTGGTGAGGAGGAACTGATATTTACTGAGCACCTACTATGTGCCGGGCACAGTGCTAAGCATTTTCTATGCATCATGTCATTTAATCCTCACATCGACCCTTAATGTAGGAACTGCTGTTATCCCCCTTTTACAATGAGCAAACTGACCTCCAAAGAGGAAGCCCTAGTCAGTTGTCCAGCGTCCCTCAGCTTGGTTGGAATTACAACCAAGGCCAACTCTTTAAGGAATTAACCCGGTTTGGTCCGAGGCAGGGTTCTTATTCTTCATAACAGTAAAAGCAAACATTTGTGGACTCTTTGACAGGCAGCAGACTCAAAATCTCACAGGATTTATAGTGTTTAATCTTCACAGTCATTCCAGAAAGCATGTAGGATTATTCCCATTTTACAGATGAGGAAACCAAGGCTCAGAGAAGTAAGGTGACCTGCCAAGCTCTCACAGGTGATGAGTGGCAAAGATATATTCAAGCCTAGATTCATCCAGTCCAAGCCGCTCTCCCCACTCCTCTCCCCAGGAACCCCCCTCATCCCTTCCTGCTGGGAAGGCCAGGCGCGGCCACAAAGGCCAGCCCCCATGCCTGCCAACTGCCTCTTGCCAGCTTTGGGGCCTCCTTTTTTCCCCACTTACGAATTCACTTCTGGGCACCTGAGGACCCTTCAGTTTGGAAGGTGGTTCTGCTCATGGTGCCAGCATAGCAGATGTAGTCCCTCCATCCCCGCTCCCAAGTCTCAACAGAAAGGATTAGATGTGGAGCTAGGAAGCCCCCGGGGCAAAGTCCCAGCTGCTAGGCCCAGGCAACTCCTGGAGCTGGACAATGAGTGCCACTCAGGGACTGAATCAGCTGATCCAAAATAGGGCACTACCCTTCCTCCAGGCACTATCACCACTACCCTGGTAATACCATTCTGCCTCGTCTCTATGAATTTGACTACTCTAGGTACCTCATGTAAGAGGAAATCATACAGTATTTGTCTTTTTGCATCTGGCTTATTTCACCCAGCATACTATCTTCTAGGTTCATCCATGATGCAGCGTGTATCAGAATTTCCTTCCTTCTCAAGGCTGAAGAGTATCTCTTTGTATGTGGAAACCACATTTTGTTTATCTGTTTCCTCCCTGTTGGTGCCCTGGCTCTCAGTTCTGGGCGGCTACAGCTGGAGAGACATGGGTGCCTCTGTCTCAAGAGTTGGGAGTGGACATTTGCGATTTGAGGGGTGTCTCCCTTAGAGCTGCTTGATTGCAAACAGAATCGATTTGACTTCCTGGTGCTCAAGGGGCATTTACTGGGAGGCAGTGGAGAGCTCACAGTGTGGAGAGGAGGCTGGAAAACCATGTTCAGACTCAAGTCCAGGACAAGGAGCGCTTGGGTCTGTCCTAGCAGCCCCAGTAGCATCTCATCATGTCCCATGGGCTCTGACGCAACCAAACAATGAGCAGGTTGGCTTAGGCAGGTCACATGATCCACCTCTAAGAGGGAGGAGCCTCGCCCATAACAGGTGGACTAAGAGTAGGCAGGGAAGGATCTCAGGGTTCCTGGATCCTGGATCCTGCATGGTCAAACCCAACCAACTGCCTCAACAGAGGGCCTCAGACGTTTCTGGCATCTGTCTAGACTTGAGGCTTCTCAGGCTTGCTTCTGTGCTTCTTCCATCATACTAAGAGTTCCCCCTAGACCAGGGAGGGTGATGTTTCCACACACAGAAGGAAGGCAGGAGAGAGGGATGGAAGAAGGGAGAGGGAGGGAGGAGGAAGGTGAGCTTTTAAAGCACCAATGATGAGTTTAACTTAGTGCTGAGCTCTTTCACATAAGTTATCCCTGCAAATAAGGAAAGGGAATCCTAGCAGAGCAAACAAACTGTGAGAAGGCATGGAGGTGTGAGACAGCGGGATCGCCGGGTGGTCCAGGGCTGGAGGGGGCAAGGAAGACAGGGCAGGGGAGGAAACTGGAGGTAGGGGCAAGGACCTGATAAACAAGAGCCTGGAACACTAGGCTAAGAAGCTGGGTTCTCACTGAAGACTGGGCAGCCACTGAGGCTTGGCCTGGCCTCTGCCTCCCCAGTGCAGCCCAGGATCTAGCCACCTGCTAGCTACCCAGCCCACCCCACAGAATGGGGCCCTCCTGGGAAATGTGCCTGGCTGAGCCCAGGAAGCCCTTCCAGAAAACTTCCCGGCATCCAAGTTCAGACCCTCCATTTGGTAAGGCCTTCATCTGGGCCCAGCCTATGCCACCCTCTACCAGGGCCAAACAGACAAGCAACAAAAGACACAGGCCCAGCGGCCACCTGGCCAGCCTGTCTGCAGAGGGGCAGGAAGGGGAGCTCTTAGCAGAAATAAAAACACAACAATGGTAATTTTTTTCTGAGATGGAGTCTTGCTCTGTCCCCCAGGCTGGAGTGCAATGGCGCGATCTCCGCTCACTGCAACCTCTGCCTCCCAGGTTCAAGCGATTCTCCTGCCTCAGCCTCCAAAGTGGCTGGGACTACAGGCATGCACCACTAGACCTGGCTAATTTTTTTTTGTATTTTTAGTTGAGACGGGGTTTCACCATGTCTGCCAGGCTGGTCTCGATCTCCTGACCTCGTGATTCGCCCACCTCAGCCTCCCAAAGTGCTGGGATTACAGGCATGAGCCACTGCACCTGGCACAACAATGGTAATTTTTAAACTACTTTTATGAGGCTAAAAATGAGCTGGAAAACAAAATAATCACTACTTCCAAGCTAGATAAAAACATACAATTTTGTTCTTATTTAGTTATCTCAACTAAAATGATGCTTGGCCTGGTGGCCAGAGATTCGTTATATGATTGGATCAGCGTGTTGACGATTGCCAGCTGCAGATCTCTCTACAACTGAGCTGCTCAAATGCCACTGTCCCTGTAGATCATCCTCCCTTGGGCAGGTCTGTCCAAGGTGCCTGCTGACCTATGCCACCAAGGTATACACAGCCGTGACCCGTGAGGGCAGGGCAGTAAAGCCTTGGGTTGTGGAGTCAGTAGGATCTGAGTGGGGATTGAGAGAGCAGCCTTACATATCTAGAGGTCAGTCGGTCAATGGCCAAGGAACAACCTGGACTTAAACCCCAGATGCATTTCAAAGCCATGAAACCTTGGCCAAGTCACTTCACCTCTCGGAGCCTCAACTTCCTCTTCTGTGAAATGGAGATAATAACAACGACCCCTCAGAACTGTGAAATTAAGAAATCAGATGCAAAGGTGTTTAGTCCAGTGAGATCCACATAGTAAGCCCACAGAAAACGGCCACTTTCCTTGGTCTACCCCACTGGGCTGGTTGAACGCTTTCTCTTGCCCATTGCCCACATCTCTATCCCAGCCCTATCTCTGAACCAGCCCTGTCTCCGAAGTGCCCCCAGCCCTATCTCCAAAGCGTGCAGGAAGATAGCACTCCTTTATAAGGCATCTACAAGAAGCCGGGCTCACTGGGTGGGTCTGGGCCAACCTCAGATGCAGATGCTTCCTGGGACTATCCTGGAGCCCACGGGCATGAGGTGTGAAGGCTGCCGCCGGGTGATAACCTGCCCTGAGTCACCGCAACAGACAAAGCCTGACGCCTCCCCATGCAACAGCCCCACCACCAGGTGAGGCCTGTTTATCTGCAATATCTTGATCGGCCAAGCCAGCGCCCCAGGGCCAGTAGGGCATTTGGTGAAAACCCAAGTCTGAACCTGCCAGGCCTTGTGCGCTGGGCTCCACTCCCTGGGCAGGACCACATGGGACGGTTCATCAACCGGTGTCTGAAGGCAGCAGCGCCGCTGGCCCCCACTCTCTCCGTTCTGTCCATAGCTCCAGGCTGCTTCCTGTAATGGCCAGGTCTCTGCTCCAAGCCCTCACCTGCCAGAGGGTGCACACTCCTGGGCCACAGGTCAGATGCTGGCTGGAGAGGGGTTCTGCAGGTAAATGCACGGAGTCTGGAGCCAGACTGCCTGGGGATGCATCTTGATCTGGAACTTGCTAGTAATGTGACCTTGAGCAAGTAACACAGCCTCTCCACGCCCCGGTTTCCTCACCTGCAGAGTAGAGAGAATAGTCACCTACCTTGTAGATTCATGGTGTGGATAAGGAGCTGAGAAACAGCTCATCATAAACACTCCCCAGTTTTGCCTCTTTTAAAAGTCGAGGCAACGTTTAAAAATAAGATTCCCACTTTGGGAGGCCAAGGCGGGAGGATCACGAGGTCAGGGGATCGAGACCATCCTGGCTAACACAGTGAAACCCCGTCTCTACTAAAAAAAAAAAAATACAAAAAAATTAAGTGGGCGTGGTGGCGGGCACCTGTAGTCCCAGCTACTCGGGAGGCTGAGGCAGGAGAATGGCGTGAACCTGGGAGGCGGAGCTTGCAGTGAGCCGAGATCGCGCCACTGCACTCCAGCCTGGGCAACAGAGCGAGACTCCATCTCAAAAAAATAAAAATAAAAATAATAAAAAAATAAAGATTCCACAGAGAAATCTCAGTTTCTGGCTTTTCTTGAAAAAAATCAAAAACTTTGGAAAGACAAGTTCCTGCAAGGCACCGACTGGCATTCCTTGTGGATCAGTCGTTCTCAGTCCCAGCTGTATCTTAGAATCCAATTAGAATCACTGGGCAAACCGGGGACAGTGCCTCACACCCGTAATCCCAGCACTTTGGGAGGCTGAGGCAAGAGGATCGTTTGAGTCCAGGAAGTTGAGGCTGCAGTGTGCTCTGATCACACCACAGCGCTCCAGCCTGGGCAACAGAGCAAGAATCTGTCTAAAAAAGAAAGAAAAGAAAAAGAATCACCTGAGCGGATATTAGAATATTTTGCTGAGCCCCACTCTGGACCTATGAAGTCAGAAACTCTGGGCACGGGGTCCAGGCAGACTACATTGTCAAAGCATCCCTGATGATTCCGGTGGGTAGCCAGGGTTTAGGGCCACTGCTTTAGGTAGACTTTTCAGCTGCCCACAGTGACATTTGCCCTTTATCATTACACTGTGGCTTCTTTTAATTAGCACTTATTGGATCCCTACTCTTGTAAAAATGGGAAATAGAAGCCAGACCCAGAAGGTCATGGGGTCTTCCTTATACTTGAAAGACTCAGCTCATTCCAGTGCCTGCCTGGTCGCCAAAAGCAGCAGCCTGTGACCGTGGTCTCCGCCTCCTCTTTGGCCAAGCCCCATCCATATGTTGCTTCAAGACAGAGAACCCCCAAGTCCTCATCTCTAATCTAACCTCCTCTTTCTGAACACATCAGAAACTCTTGCTTCTCAGTGCCTTCACCTCCAATGCCTCTCCTGACTTCTTCCCTAACAAACTTCATTTTTTTTTTTTAAGAGACGGAGTTTTGCTCTGTCGCCCAGGTTGGAGTGCAGTGGCTCAATCCTGGCTCACTGCAACCTCCATCTCCCAGGTTCAAGCAATTCTCCTGCCTCAGCCTCCTGAGTAGCTGGGACTACAGGCACATGCCATCACTCCCCACTAATTTTTGTATTTTTTAAAATAGAGATGGGGTTTCATCACGTTGGCTAGGCTGGTCTCGAACGCCTGACCTCAAGTGATCGGCCCACCTTGGCCTCCCAAAGTGCTGGGATTACCGGCGTGAGCCACCGTGCCCGGCCCTAGCAAACTCATATTCATCTGTCATGGCTCCACTTGAGGACCACCTCCTCCAGGAAGCCCTTCTCAACCTGCCAGGCAGAGTTGGAATCTTTCTCCTTGTCCCAGGAGCATCTCGTGCATCTCGTGATGCTTCACGCTGAGACACAGGATTCATTCCTTAGAGGTCTGCTCCCCACAAGATTGGGAGCTTTTCAAGAATGGAGTCACCTGTGGAGGCCCAAGGCCTAGTTTAGGACCCAGACATAATCAGGAGTTCAGTGAGCATCAGTTCAACTTCCACATGGCCACCAGTCCTCCGTGGGCCCTCTCAGGCAGAATCTAAAAGAAACCACAGAAGAAACTTCCCTCTCATTCAAATCTCCAGTCCCTACAAAAGGTAGCCCCTAAAGCTTTGCAAAGTGAAGTCAAGGTCAGGCCACCCAGTCATTCCCATGGCTTCTCATTGGCTCTGATTGTGTCATTCCCCCCATCCCGGAGCCAATCACTGTGGCCAGGGAAATCCAGCGCTCAGATTGGCCAGATCTGAGTCAAATGCCACCTCTGGAGTCAGTGAAAGGAGCTAATCCCCCAGAACTCTCTTTGAGTGTTGTCTTGGAAGGAGGGAAAGTGGGTCTTGGCAGGCATGAAGGATGGAGTGTCACTATGGTCCTGAAAGACACGCCCTCTGCTCATCACACCCCCACAGCTGTGGTTCTAACATTTTCAAGAGAAGCACGCCTTCTCCATGCGAACATTTTCCCAGGTTGTACATTTTGTATTGCTTATATGAGAAATCACCTAATGATAATTTTTTAATGTGAATTCAGGAATTCTTCAGAACTGATTGGTATTTTAGTCATCACTTCAGCATCAATACCTACATGTGTGTTATGTATTCAGCCTGCAGACAATGCCGGAAGCACTATGAATATGAACAGGAGGACCGTTTCCACTCCTCTTGGCCTTCCCAAGAAAGCTCGTGGGAAATTGACAAGGCTTCTCAATGAACAACAGACCCCTCTCCCACCACGTCACAGCCCCTCAGCAGGTGTATCACTGAGGACTTTTTGGTTGCAACAACAGAAATGACCTTTGCTGACTTCAGCTAAAGGAAATATGTTGGAAGGCTACTGGGGGTTCACAGGACCCACAGGGGTCCTGTGGGTCCTTGGTCCTTGGGAACCAAGGATGCTCCAGAGGTGCAAGGACAGAAGGCACAGCATTGGGCTCGCGACCTGAATAGTATAGTGAGGATCCTGCCTAGGAAGGGACGGATCAGTCCCTTCAGCTCAAGATAGAGTGCCAGTGAGGAAGCTTCTGTTTAGCCTGCCTTTAGCTAAGGGAAAGTGAGACCCCTGAGATAATTCCAGCAAAGAAAAGCAGAATAGTGGCCTGCGGGAGAGTGGGTGTGGAAGCCAGGAGCAAGGAATACTCCCTACAGTGGTGACACACCCTTCAGGTGGCTCTGATTGGGATCCACCCTCCTCAATCAGGAGACTACTCACTTTGAGTATGACGGTCAATTATTTCACTATTAGAGTTGCCACCACCTTTTCTTTTCCCCCCCCTTTTTGGTTATTCTGGAAGCATTCACTTGGATTTTTCCCTGCTCTGGTTTTCTGTATGTTTCTATAATCTTTCGGCTCCTGGGTGGTCTGGTTTCCTACAGGCAGCAGAGTCAGCTGGTTCTCACAGAGTCCATGTGCTCATGGAGGAAATGTGGCCTGAGCCGATGTCGCCCCACCCACAGAGAGGAAGTGACAGCCACACAAGGTGGAGGGACGTATAGGCTGTATCCACAAGGGTGATTTTGGTTACAAGGAACAGAAAACCCAATTCAAACAGCCCTAAACAATAAAGGTGATTTATGGGCCCACATTATTGAAAGGTCCTTCAGGAAAGGCTTGATCCAGCAGCTAACCAGTGCCAGCAAGAGCCCAGTTATTTTTCTCTCACTTGGTCTGCCATTTTTAAGACTGGCTTCTTTTATAGGCACAAGACACTTGCCAGAAGTTCCCAAGACAAACATGTGACAGGTCTGGGTCATATGCCCAACCTTAAACCAATCACTGAAATGCACTTAATGACTTAGTTTTGCCCCTCCCTGGCATCAGAAGTGGAGACAGTCCCTGGAACTACATGGATCTCCAAACCAAGATCAAGGTTATCTGGGAAGGGGTAGATACTGGGCAACAACCCGCCCACACAGGTCCGCTGCCCTGGGCAGCAAGGGACATGGGAATTGGTGAATTAACCATCATCATTGCAGCTGCCTTCATGTACTGTATTAAGCATTTCACATGCATGAGTTATATGATTTAATGAACTGTCACAGAACCCTGGGACGTGGCCTGCTAATCCTATTTTGCAGATAAAGAAGCAGGTTAAATGAAGTGACATGAAGCATCATAGCTGGGGTGAGTCAGAGGCAGGACTTGAAGCCAGAACTATCAGACGCCAAAATCCATTTCCTTACCTCTACCTGCACCTTGCCTCTCGATTATGTGCAAGGCTCTGCTGGGGACACCAGGAAGAGGAGCACATTTACTCAAGAGGCCTTAACTGAGCACCTACTATGTACGTGTCAGGCATCCTGCCAGACTCATTGGGGTATAATCCCTACCTTTGGTGAGGTTCTTTTTTTTAGCGACAGGGTCTTGCTCTGTCACCCAGGCTAGAGTGCAGCGGCACAATCATGGCTCACTGCAGCCCCCAACTCCTGGGCTCAAGGGATCCTCCTGATCCTTCTGCCTCAGCCTTCCAAGTAGCTGGGACTACAACAGGCACGCACCACCATGCCTGGCTAATTTTTTGTAAAGAAGGAGTCTTGCTATGTTGCCTGGGGTGGTCTTGAACTCCTGGCCTCAAGTGATCCTCCTGCCTCGGCCTCCCAAAGTGCTGGGGTTATAGACATGAGCCCCCACGCCCAGCCTCTGTGATGTTCTTGATCTGGAAAGGAAACAGTCCCAAATCCACAATGACAACCCCACGGGAAGTACTATTTATTGTTGTGTTGTACATTGATGTCTTTGGGCACTTCCCAAGCATTATCTCACTGAACCCTTACAACAAGCTCTGGGAAATTGATTCCTGAGTTAACAGACAGACAATAAGATTAAGTGACTCCAGGTCATTCAGATGGTCGGGTAACCCAGTCTCACTTTCCAGGAGTCGAAGGGTCATTCAGGAAGGCTGGATCAGTGGGAAGACAGCCATGGCAGGTACAGGTCCACTGGGGATTGAAGGCCTGGAGGAAGGGAGGGGCACTGTAGATAGTGGTGGGCAGGGAAGGCTTCCTGGAGAACAAGTTTTGCTGAGCCATGGAAAACAAGAGTAGAAATTGAAGGTGCCCAGGCTGGCGCTGGTGCCAACCACCTCCTGCAGGTGCTCTGGGGAGCTGCCTTAGCAATATTCCCACCTCTGAGAATTCCTATCCCAGAATCTCCGGCAGGGAAACATGCTTGACTGTCTTGGTCGTGCTCAAACCCCAAGGCCAGCATGAGAGAATTCTAATCCTGGACTGAAGCTTGCAGGCCCCTACTCAGTACCAAGGCTTCATCTCAGCCTTGCAATCAACCTGCAAGGTGGGAATTGCAAACATCACTTTACAAGCAAGGACACTGAATGGTGGAGGGAGCCAGAGCTCAGAAGTCACCAGGCTCAGAGCACCAGGCTTAAGAACCAAGGATGCCACAGAGGTACAAAAACAGAAGGTGCACCACTGGGCTCAGGACCCAAATAATATAGTGAAGATCCTGCCTAGGATTCTACCTCCAGGCCTGACCACAGTCCCTGCTTGTCCTGAGACACTAAAATTCCCCAGGTGCATATACTGGGGATTTACCCAGCTTTGCATATCCTGGCTGTCAGAGGTAGAGGAGGCTGGTGTCCTTCCTGAGTCATCCTCCCCTAGGCTTTCCTCTGACCTGGGCTCCTGGCTGTGGACTTTCTAGAACCCTCAGGAAAACTCATTTGCCTTGGGAGTATCCTCAGCAGGGAGCTGGGTTCCCCAAGCCTCTCTAAACCCGCCACTCATTTCTTAGAGCCTTAATGGAGAAGATAAAGGCAGGGAAAGAGAACCATGGAGAAGAAGAATGTGTGTTTTAAAGACAGACAGGCCTGGGTTTGTACTGTATTAAGCATTTCACATGCATGAGTTACAGACTCAACCACTCACCTGCTGTGTGACCTTGGGAAGCCATCCCCTGTCTCTGAGCCTCAGCTTCCAGTGCTGTTAAATGAGGGGCAACAGGCCGGGCATGGTGGCTCACACCTGTAATTCCAACACTTTGGGAGGCTGAGGCAGGTGGATCACCTAAGGTCAGGAGTTCAAGACCAGCCTGACCAACATGGTGAAACCCTGTCTCTACTAAAACTACAAAAATTAGCTGGGTGTGGTGGCAGGTACCTGTAATCCCACCTACTCGGAAGGCTGAGGCAGGAGAATTGCTTGAACCAGGGAGGCGGAGGTTGCAGTGAGCCAAGACTGTGCCAGTGCACTCCAGCCTGGGTGACAAGAGCAAAACTCCATCTCAAAAAAAAAAAAAAAATGCGGGGCAATAATCCCCACTCCATAGGACTGGGGTCCTACAGAGCAAGCCAGAAATCTAGAAGCTGTCCTTTAAGTGTTTTTCTCTCCCTACCCCTTCCCCCATCCAATCAAGCACCAAGTCCTATTAATTTTACCTCCAAAATGTATCTCAAATTCATCCACCTCTTTCTGTCTCTGGTGTCATTTCCCTCCTTCTTGCCCTCTCCTGCCTGGGCTAGTACCATGGCCAACCAGCTGGTCTCTCAGCACCTGCTCATCCCCTCCATCCATTCTTCATAATACAGCCAGGGAGATCTCCACAGAACTTACACTCCATGACGCCACCCCCAGTTAAAACTCTCCTGTGGCTTCCTATTGCTCTCGAGGAAACTCCAAAATTGTTACTGTCACCTCCCCACAGAAGCCCAAATGGTCTGACCCTAGTTGTTCCTCACTTGTGCCCAACTTCATGGTAGTTCTGTTCCCTCTGCTTAAAACAATCTTCCCCATCCTAGGCCAGTTAACTCACTGATATGGTTTGGCTGTGTCCCCACCCAAATCTCATCTTGAATGGCAGCTCCCATAATTCCCATGTGTTGTGGGAGGCACCCGGTGGGAGACAATTGAATCATGGGGGCAGTTTCCCCCATACCGCTCTCGTGGTAGTGAATAAGTCTCATGAGATCTGAAGGTTTTATAAGGGGTTTCCCCTTTCGCTTGGCTCTCTCTCTCTTGTCTGCCACCACCCAAGACATGCCTTTTGCTTTCCACCGTGATTGTGAGGCCTCCTCAGCCTCACTACCCTCCACTCGTGTGGAACTGTGAATACATTAAACCTCTTTTTCTTTATAAATTACCCGGTCTCAGGTATGTCTTTATCAGCAGCGTGAAACAGACTGCTTATGATTCAAATCTCCATTCAAAGGCCACTTCCTCCACGAAGCCTTTCTTGATTTCTCAGACCCATATTTATTTTTTTTATGTATTTTGTTTGTTTTTGTTTTTGAGACAGAGTCTCACTGGGTAGCCCTGGCCGGAGTGCAGTGGTGCAATCTCAGCTCACTGCAACCTCTGCCTCCCGAGTTCAAGCGATTCTCCTGCATCAGCCTTCTGAGTAGGTGGGATTACAGGAGCCCACCACCATGCCTGGCTAATTTTTTTTTTTTTTTTTTTTGTATTTTTAGTAGAGATGGAGTTTCACCATGTTGGCCAGGCTGGTTTTGAACTCCTGACCTCAAGTGATCTGCCTACCTCAGCCTTCCAAAGTGCTAGGATTACAGGCATGAGCCACCACGCCCAGCCTGACCCACATTTATTGATTTCACCTCGTACTTCTTTGTAGCACCAGTCACAATGATAATTACATTAAGTATTGGTTAAATTGGTCCCTGAATGTCCATCTTCCCACTCATAGACACATTGCTTTTTGCCTCTTTCTCAGGATAACGATTTCACCCACATCCAATGGTGTCAAAAGTGGGTCTGGATTAAGCCCGGACGTACGGACGTTGATAGAGGGCAGAGGCGCTGCAGGGAGACTGGTGAGGGCAGCCACCTTCCCTGCACCATGGAGAATGCCCAGATGAGAATGAAGCCCCAGACAGAGAAAGCAGAAGCAGGAGGCAGAGAGAGCAGCTAAGGCCAAAAATGTTGTTTTGCCCTGAAGCCAGCACGTCTGAAAGTCTCCCAATTACATGATCCTCTCCCCGCTGCACTGTGTTTTGCTTTGCTTTGCTGAAGGTGGTTTCACCTCGCAATTCCAGACTGCAAGTGCCTCGAAGACAGAGCCTGTGTTTGTCTTCACTGCTGTACCCCAGGCCTAGTTCAGAGCCTGGATTGATCACTATTTGTGGGCTGAATAAATGAAATGGAAAGTAGACAGCCCGTGGTATGGGATCAGAAAGGACTCATGATTAATAAGAAACCAGACGCTGTCTTTCTCTCCCATCACACGGGAAGCAGCGGGCTCAACCAGAGCAGAAGCCTCCCTGGGGTCCTGTTGCCAGGACCCTGCTCCCTGGGGAGGAGACAATCCCAGCCCTCCCACATGGCCTGGCTTCTGTGTAGCCAGCATTCTAGGACAGAAGACGCCCTCTTGGGCCCTCCCGCTCATGGCCTCCACCTTGCTCTCACAACCCGAGGCCTCCCATTTCCTTCCTTCACTTCCCGGAATATTCCAGAGCTGACCTACCACCACCCATGGCACGCCCAAGTAGCCAAGGTGACTGTTTACCCTCTGCCCTTAGAAACCATCTCTGGCTGGTGGCAGCGGCCACCCCACACAGCTGCCCTCTGCCCACAGGCTGACTGAACAAGCAAAGGTGCTTCCTGCTAGGATTGGCACTGCCAGGCTGGGTTTCCCACCCCTCCCCAGCCCCTGCCCCCACTGCTCCTGGCCCACCCCAGCTCCCCACAGCCCCAGATGCCACACACCTCTGGTCAGTCTGGGAGCAAGGGGAGCCAGGAGCAGAACTCACCCCTTCCGGATCCTCTGGCCACACTGTCCAAGGTCCAGCAACACCCAGGTGGCACACGGGGACCGCTCCTGCCTTGGCAGCCAGAGAGGCCTGGGCCAACCCGCTCCCCTGCTACCTGCAGCTTCCTGACCTCAGGCAGTGGCTCCACCTCTCTGAACCGCAGTTACTGGACGTTACTCATGACGCAGTGACGCGGCAGCGTGAGGATGACAGCTGTAGCCACCCCGGGGGCTGCTCTGACAATGAAACTAGCGCAGTGCCGGCATGGGACTCAACACTGACTGACCGAGGGTGCTGTCAGGAGGGCCACCATTCCCTGAGGGGACACAGAGGTTCACCTTTGTTCTGAGGGGATACTGAGAGCTTCATCCCCTTCCTGAGGGGACACTGAGGGCTCCATCCCCTTCCTGAGAAGACACTGAGGGCTCCATCCCCTTCCTGGGGACACTGAGAGCTTCATCCCCTTCCTGAGGGGATGCTGAGGGCTTTATCCCGTTCCTGAGGGGATACTGAGGGCTTCATCCCCTACCTGGGGACAGTGAGGGCTCCATCCTCTTCTTGAGGGGACACTGAGAGCTTCATCCACTTTCTGAGGGGACACTGAGGGCTTCATTCCTTTCCTGAGGGGACACTGAGGGCTTCATCCCATTCCTGAGGGGAAACTGAGGGCTTCATCCCATTCCCGAGGGGACACTGAGGACTTCATCCCCTTCCCGAGGGATACTGAGGGCTCCATCCCCTTCTGAGAAGACACTGAGGGCTCCATCCCCTTCCTGCGGACACTGAGAGCTTCATCCCCTTCCCGAGGGACACTGAGGGCTCCATCCCCTTCCTGAGAAGACACTGAGGGACTCAGCCCTCTCCTGAGGGAACACTGAGGCCTCACCCCTTTCCCCAGGGCTGCTGGGCTGTGTGATCTCTGCCCCACCCAGTGGTGAGTCCTGAGTTTGGGGGCAGCCACCTGGTTGGAAGGGAGCCAGAGTATTGAAACTGACACTGCATGGCATAGTCAGACCATTTTTTAACTTGACTAGTGTTTATCTGGGGAGGCTCTGAGAGGTCTGATGGTGCTTATGGGGACCTGAAGGGCTCCCAAGTTGTGCCTCAGCACTGCTGACCACCTGGTGGCTCTCGTCCTATCTGACCTGAGACCTGTCCTTGCCCTCTTCAGGACAAGCTTCACAGCACAGCCATGCCCTCTTCTTGCATCACCCCTTCACCACTCCCATCAGCAGGTGCACCCATCCACATGATCTTTGCTAAGAAATGAGTTCCCCCAACCTGTGAGCACTGACTTTGGAGTCAAAAAAGCAAGGGGGTTCTTCTGGCTGTGTGGCCTTGCCTGAGTCACCTGACTCCTCTGAGCATCACAGGGCAGAGAACGCACTACCTACCGCTGGATGCCATGAGGATTAAACGTGGAAACTTAAGAAAGGTCTGGATTCAGCAGCAGGCCCTCAGTAAATGAGGAACATGCACAGGGGTATGGATTGAAGGTTTTCGTCCCCTCCCAAAATTCATGTGTTGAAAACTTATCCCCAATGCAACAGCACTGGAAGACGGGGCCTTTTGGGAGCTGTTTAGGTCATGAGGGCTCCACCCTCATGAATAGAGTGATGCTGTTATAAAAGAGTTTGCAGGAGTGTGGGTTCCCTCTCTACCGCTCTTCTGCCACATGAGGACACAGCAGGAAGGCCCTCGCCAGATGTCAACACCATGATCGTGGACTTCCCAGCCTCCAGAACTGTGAGCAATACATTTCTGTTCTTTATAAATTACCTAGTCTCAGCTATTTTGTTAGAGCAGTTTAAATGGACTAAGACACAAGCCAGGAAATAACACGTTTGCATTCTTCCCAGCCCTTCTCTTGCTTGCTTTCTAAGGGGGGTGCAGGCTTGAAGCAGAGAAGGCTGGGGAGAACCCAGGAGCGGGTGAGCCAGGCACCAGGCACGAGGCCCCAAGTGAGGCACTAGGGATACAACTGGAAATGAGACTCAGTTTTGCATACCCCCAGTAAGAGTATCAGGAAGGCCCCAGCTACACTCTGTCCTCTTTCTCTTCCCAACTGGGCCCAGTGTGTGGCCACTGCAGCCCACACATCCAAGCTCTGTCCATGTCCCCCAAACATAGGCTCCATGGCCACCTCCAGGCCTAGCAGCATAGTGGAGTCCACCCTCAGGAGAATGGGTCACAGGAAGGGAGCCACACAGGCCCCGGAGCAGGCTCAGGCCTTTGGAGCAGGCCATTCCAGCATCCAGAGTGTGCTCTACAAGCCGGGGTGGTCTGGGCTCTGGGTGGGCACCTACTCTTGGCCCCTTACCCTGTGGGACGGGGTGTGGGCCAGAAGTAACCATAGCCAGATCCAGGGTCAAAGCCTGGGCCCTGCTTGCCTTGATCTAGGGCAATTAGACACTGACTGAGTCCCTGTGCACTTAGAGTCGAACAGCAAGAACAGGCATTAAACAAAGAACTTGAAGAAGGTGAGATCCGTGATACAAACGCCAGTGGAGGGAGAGCCTGGCTTCCCCTGGGAGTGGAAGCGAATCCTCCAATGCCCCCAGCTGAGGCCCCTTCAAGTCCCTCCCAGCCCCCCAGACAGAGAGTTTAGGGAGCTGTGCCCACAGCTTAGCACCAGTCCTGCCACGCTCTGGGCTCTGAGTCCCAGGGTCCCTGGGGCAGTGTCTTCCAGCAGATGGCTTCCTGCCCAGTTGCAGATGCCTGCCCACCCCAGCCCAGGGATCCAGATGCTCGGCATGCAGTTAACAAGTGCGCTACCACATTCTCATGCACCTTGAAGTTGGAGAACCCCTGCTGGAGGGAGCACACCCTGTCTTTGCATTTGTTCTGCATTCTTATATTGAGCACCTATAGTATGCCTGGCACCGATCTGGGCACTGAGGATACACCTGTGCACAGACATGGCCCCCGCACCCACGGAGCTGGCCTCCTAGCCAGGGAGACAGACAGTAAGGCAAATAAATGCATGACGAGATCATTCCCACAGTGGTAAGATCCGTGAGGACAATAAAAAGGGCAGGGAAGGCCTCGTGGAGGAGGTGCTGTTGGAGCTAAGACCTGAAGGACTTACAGCCAGGTCTTTCTGTGCCACATCCTAACCATTGCGTGACCCTGCCTCCCTTTGTCCGGCTGGGGCACCCTCAGGCCTGAGGGGCCAGGAAAAGTGAGGGTGATGGTGGAAAGAAGGCCATGCCTCCTCCCCCTGGAGAAAAACCTTCACAAACTGAGCGTGGAGGGAAGTGGTGATATAAAACCCACCACATATAAATAGGCCCGTCCGCTCCAGAGTTGCCCGGGAAAGCTGCGGTCAGTTTGGACTTTGCTTAAGGCTGAGCTCCCGGCCACCGAGAGCCCAAAACGGCTGAACAAACTTCGAGCTTCACATGGGGCCGGCCCTCTGTGAGTTCAAGGCTGGAACATTTCTCCAGAGTCAAAACCGCAACAGGAAGACACAGAAACAGTCTTCCGAGGATGGCCGCCCTGGCGCAAGGGCCCTGGTCAGCTTCCCAAAGGTCACCGTGGAGGGGGGCCAGGGAGAAGCCAGGAATATCCGCTAGCTCCAAAACCTCTCCCCGGCCCAGGTGCCACCATGCCTGAAATTTCGCCATGAGAATTGAGGAGCTGGATTAAACATTGCTGCCCCTTTACTCCTGCAAGAAAGAACACACTTCGTCCCGAACACGGGGAGGGCAGGAAGAGGGGCTCTGGGTGGTGTGACTGTGCTGATGGTGTAGCCCGAAACCACCTTCATTTCTGATTTCAGATCTGATTTCAGATCATCTGTGCCCGTTTTCCATGGGAACCAACTGGTGTCTCCTAGGGACATAAGCCCATCCTCGTAGTTGTCTAAAGAAAGGAGTCCCAGTTGTTTATCTGCTGACATTCCCTCCACTATTGTCCTATGACCCTGCCAAATCCCCCTCTGCGAGAAACACCCAAGAATGATCAATAAAAAAAATAAATAAATAAATAAATAAAAGAAAAAAAAATTAGAAAGGAGTCCCAGGCAGGGAGTCCGGAGCTCTTGGTTCTGGCTCTGCCACTTGGCCAAGTTTCCCTTCCTATCCCTGGGCCTTGATTCACTGATCTCTACAATGGGAACTGTGACCTCATTCAAGTCCAGGGACCCTCAGGCTGATTCCCTTCCCTAACAAGAAGTAGGGATGTGGGCTTCAGAATGAAGGTGGCGGTGTCCCTGGTGAGGAGAGGAAAGAGGAGAAAAGGGCCCTGGGGAGGAAGGTGGAGATGCTGGGATGAAAGCTGCCAACTCTCCAGCTGTTGCCCACTAGCCAAATCCTGCCCCCTTCCTTGGACCCTTGGACCCCCAGGGAGCTCAACCAAGTCACCCCAGAGCAGATTTCAGCCTGCACTCTGGCCAGCATAGCCGCCAAAGCCACGCCCCAGGGCTCCCCTACTATGGGAGCAAGGAGAGCCTTTGCCAAAGCTGCTCAGACTGTCTCACTGGACCTCCACTGGTGCTGGGGAAGTGACCAGCACAGAGACCTGAGCACTGTCCGTGCAGGAAAGAGCATGGGAGTTGGGGCAGGCAGGGACCTAGGCCGGAATCTGCACTTCATCCTTAATTCACTCTGTGACCTCGACCAGTCAGTCCCTCAGCTTCTCTGAGCCTCAGTTGCACCATCTGTAGAATGGGGTTAATGATCCCTCTTAGAACCCATGGAGGCTCCCAGGACATTATGCACCGACTCTGCCTACCTCCATGCCTGGCAGACAGTAGTTTTACAGAAAAATAATTCCCTTCCTCTAAGAAATGTATGGGTTTTTTGTTGTTTGTTTGTTTGTTTGTTTATTGTTTTGTTTGTTTGTTTGAGACGGAGTCTTCCTCTGTTGCCCAGGCTGGAGTGCAGTGGTGTGATCTCAGCTCACTGCAAGATCCACCTCCTGGGTTCACACCATTCTCCTGCCTCAGCCTCCCAAGTAGCTGGGACTACAGGTGCCTGCCACCACGCCCGGCTAATTTTTTTGTATTTTTTAGTAGAGACGGGGTTTCACTGTGTTAGCCAGGATGGGCTCGATCTCCTCACCTCGTGATCTGCCCGCCTCGGCCTTCCAAAGTGCTGGGATTACAGGTGTGAGGCACCGCGCCCAGCCTGTTTTTTTGTTTTGTTTTGTTTGAGACAGAGTCTCGCTCTGTCGCCCAGGCTGGAGTGCAGAGGCACAATCTCGCCTCACTGCAGCCTCCGCCTCCTGGGTTCAAGCGATTCTCCTGCCTCAGCCTCCCCAGTAGCTGCGACTACAGGCACAGGCCACCATGCCCGGCTAATTTTTGTATTTTTTAGTAGAGATGGGGTTTCACCATATTGGCCAGGCTGGTCTCGAACTCCTGACTTTGTGATCCGCCCACTTCAGCCTCCCAAAGTGCTGGGATTACAGGCATGAGCCATCACGCCTGGCCAAGAAATGTACGTTTAACTGTGCAGTTGATCCTGGTCCCAACATTTAACCCAGGGGTTAAGCTCCTCCCACAAGGGGAGCTGGATTTATACAGTTGAGAAATATAATTGCCACCGCCACCCAGACTCCTGCCACCAGATCTCTGTATGTCACTGCGTAAGGTCCTGCCAGTGCAGGGCTACAACCATTGACAGTAACTGCAACTGAGTGCGCACCTACTATGTGCCGGGTGCTTCACACACTTTCACTGTCTCATCACATTCTCACCTCAAGCCTCCAACCTGAGGAAACCCCCCATTTTACAGATGTGAAAACTGAGGATCAGCTCAGGGATGTGAAGTTCCTCCTCAGGGACCACACAGAGGTGGAAGGGACTCAGTCTCACTGTCTGCCTGCAAAGCCCGTGCATTTACCACTAGGCTACCCTGCCTCTGGAGGATGAGCGAAGCCCCTGTTTCTCGGTACCCTAGTGAGGACTGCTGGGGAGAGCCCAGAGGAAATAGCAGAGGCCTGAGTGTCCCTCCTCCCCAACCAGCAGATGACAATTTCACTTAAACCCAATTTCCCCACATTAAGGGGAAGCCTGAACTGGGCTTCAGGGTGGACTCCCAAAGTGGCTCTGAATTCTGGAGGGGCCAAGAGTGCGGTTGTGATGCTGAGGGCACATTTCCAGGGTCATCACATTTACCGAGTTTAATATAGATACAGGAGTCTTGGTGACGGTCCCTAGATATGTGAACTTGGAGCCATTCTGGGCAATCAGGGTCCTGGGGTCACAGCTGGGAAATTCCCACAATGCCTCAGTTCTCTCTGGGAAAGTCCAGCTGTGCCTCCAGACTGGGACTCAGTCGCCACACTTACGGGCCAGCCACGGTGATCAGGGCTCTGTGGGTCTCTCCAGCCCCCCAGACACCCTGGCTGGGCCCGGGGACAGTCAGGGAAAGCTTCCTGGAGGAGGGAGGATGGAGCAGGCCTTTGTGGACGGAGAAGATTCAGGCAGGCAGAGAGAGGGGCATCTTCTCCAAAGAGTTGTCCTGGCACCATGGAGAGGGCCGGCCTTCCTAGTCAAGCAGACCTGGGTTTGAATCCTTGGATGGACAAATAAATAGATGGATAAATATATTTTGGAAAAGAAGGAAGGAAAGGAGAAAGGGAGGGAGGGAGGAAGGGAGGGCTCATTAGTACTCATTTGTTAATTCCAGGGCTGCAAGCCCTTGCTGCCCGCATTTGCCCCTCCGGCAGAACCTATAACATCAGTCAGGAGATGCTGGGTTACACACTGCAGCCACAAACAACTCCAAAGCCGGTGGCTCCACACTGTGAAGGGATTGCTCCTGTTCACACCGCATGCCTATGGATGGGAGAGCAGTGGGAGAGACCCCAAAGCCCCATCTGCTCTGTGTTGTCCCCACCCAGGTCCCAAGTCACCCCCATCCTGCTAGTTGTTGCTTGCTGTCACATTTTGCTGGCCGAAGCCAGTCACACAGCCACCTCTAACTTCAAGGGGGTGGGAAGTGCATTCCTACCTTAGATCTGGAAGGAGGAGAGCCTGGATATCTCGCTGCCACACAAACCGTGTCCCATTCCAGCTGCCTGGAGCACTGTCCCCCAGTCAGTGGGGTGGGGACTGGGCAGGGAGGGGAGACAGCAGAAAGACCCTGGCCCCATGGCCTCATTGCAGAGATCCCAGTGGCCTGCAAAGATATCCTCCCTCCCCAGCTCCCTGGCTCGGCTCGCTGTGGGTAGAGACTTCACCATCAGCCAGAGACCAAGTCTCCCAGCTGGGGCTGGAGCATGAGTCTTGTCCTGAACCACTCTCAGATGGATCCTTGCTCCCAGCTCTGCCCCCAGGGCCTAAAATGCTCTCTAGAGATCATCAAGTCCAACCCTTTCGTTTACAGAGAAGAACGCAGGCTCAGAGAGCATGCGCCGGATTCCCACAGCATTGTTGGTAAAGGGCAGAGCAGGGTCTCTAGTGACCCTGTCCAGAGTCCCTTCCACCCTCCAGCTGCAGACAGGGACCTTCTGAACGGAATGCAAGAGACGGGATAAAATGCCTGCCCTTCCCCTGGCCAAAGTCTCACTGCTGAGCTTGAAGGGGTCCTCAGGGGCAGCTGGGGCCTTGGGCCCTCTCCCACTGCTACAGGGGCCCCTTCTCACCTGCAGGGGAAGGAGCACTGGATTTGAAGTCAGACAGTCCTGTGTTCATGTCACGTCCTGACTGAGTGTCCTGGCCAAGACACCTCACTGGACCTCAATTTCCTGATCTGTAAAATAGGGACAATGATACCTGCCCTGCCTAATTCACTGGACTCATGAGAAGCTATGGGAAGATTTCTCCCATTGCGACATATTCTACAAGTGTGTATAAGGCAATGTTTTCATCCCCTTCTGCCCAGCCAGCCTGACCAGCCCTGGGTCCCCAGAGGCTCGCACAAGTTCTGCACAGAGGTGTATTCAGGGACTGTTTTGATGAACTGAATATATTAATATATGTTCTTTTTTTTTTTCTTTTTTTTTTTTTGAGACAGAGTCTCTCTCTGTCGCCCAGGCTGGAGTGCAGTGGCGTGATCTCGGCTCACTACAACCTCCGCCTCCCGGGTTCAAGCGATTCCCCTGCCTCAGCCTCCTGAGTAGCTGGGATTACAGGTGCCTACCACCACGCCCGGCTAATTTTTGTATTTTTAGTAGAGACAGGGTTTCACCATGTTGGCCAGGATGGTCTTGATCTCCTGACCTCGTGATCCACCCACTTCAGCCTCCCAAAGTGCTGGTATGTTCTTAATTCATCTCATCAGGTAGCAGCCAACTTCAAGGCCAGTGGTGTGGATAACAAAGTCCCTCGGTCCTACGAGGAGCCCAAGCACATCTGTCACAGATACAGGAGCCCGAGCGGTCGCAGTCCACGCTAGGCGCTCGGTGCTCGCTCGTCTCAGTATAATTTGGTTCATGGATTTCTAGCCCATCTCCCCCACCAGCCTGTGCACTCCATGGATGCAGGAAATGGGTCTGGCTGGTTTTCTGCTAAATCCCCAGCACCTGGGCTGGGGCCTGACATGTGGCAGATCTTCAGTGAATATTTATTGTCGGAATGAAGGATCTTGTGGATCTGGCTCTGTTCCTTCCAGCAGTGCCACCTCTCTGCGCCTCGGATTCTTTATCTGTAAGAGGTGAGGAGGTGGGAAAATCAGCTGAGATAACGAAGAACTCAGATAACAGTTTACAAAGCCCTTGGGTCACCAAAAGGCTCGCAGTGGGCCTGGCTGCTATTATCACCATTATCATCACTACCATACTGCAGAGATGAGACAAATCCCATAGCAGCTGCAGAGGGCTGGGGGAGGGCTCCAGCCGGGCCCCAACTTTGTCCTGAAATACCACACACATTGCAAGTCCAGTGCCAGACCCATGGTTCCATTTCAGCCTCCAGACAGTGGTTCTTCTCCCCATATTTTGGAAGAAGAAATGAAGAAATTGAGACTCAGGGCAACGAGAGAACTCGCCCAGGTCACACAGCGCCTAAGCACTTGATCATTTCCTGAGTGTCTCCAGGGTGCCTGTCCCTGTGCCAGCAGCGACACATGCCCTGCCTCATTTTATCATGCCCATCTTACAGGTGAAGAAATTGAGGCCCACGGAAGTCACAGGGCTTGCCCAAGAACCACAGCCAGTTAATAGCAAAGAAGCATCTCCCGCCCCCACTCGGGCCTCAGCCTCAGTTCCCGGTGCCCACTCCACCCCCAGGAGGCTGGGATCTGAGCAGGGCCCTGGCCACCCTCTGCCACTCCGGAAGTGCCCTGTGTCTGTACCTTGATCTCCACACCCACGGTGCCAGGAAACCCCAGCAGGGGCGGCAAACTGCGGGATATTTATAGCGAGCGTGCAGAAAGCTGCCACCCCCATCTGTTTACCCAACAACGCACTTCTCGCTGGCCACTTACAGCCCCGCCAGCCACAGACAGACCCTCTCGGTCGCCTCATCTATTTTTTCCTCCCCACTTAATTTTGCATCATCCCAGCTTCCAAAATAAACTTCCCCAAACCAGCCAGGCTCATTCTGGCCCAGAATCCCTGCCCAAGAGCCCCCTTCAGCCCCTGCCCCCACATCAGCCCATACAGCAGAACCACCAAACCCAACCCGGCCCCTTGGCTGCCTTTGGCCTTGATTTAGAAGCAGCTGCTCCTGCCCCGGCGGGTTTCCGACAAGGCAGTGCCGGGGCGTCTGCCTCTGTGGGGATACCGGCTGGGCTTCTGTGTGCATAGTTGCTGGTAGGAGGCTGAAGATACTGCCCCCTGTGCCCCATCCACCTCCCCAACACACATTCACACACACATGTATGCACACACACACATATACGCAGAGCCCCACAAGCGTCAGCCTCCTCCAAGGCTTCTCTTCCCTCGTTCCCTGGCCCAAGCTGGCCTCTTCCAGCTTTGCACGTGGCCCAGCCTCTCCTCACCTGCCCAGCCACCACTCTGAACTTTTCCTTCCTCAGTCCCACCCTGCCATCTCACCTCCAGGCCTTTGGACATGCTCTTTCCTTAGCCTAGAACACTAGAACAGTTTCCCCTCACCACCTGCCAAGCTCACCTTCCCAATCCCTCAGGCCTAAACTCTAGGTCACCTCTTCCAGGAAATTCCCTGTCCAGCGTAGGGGAGCAGGTCTGTCCTGGGCCATCCTACCTTCCACCAGCCCAAGAGAGAGTTCTAAGTCACACCTAGGGTGGAATGCAGCCCCCACCCCAGTTCTCCATGAATTTCTCAGCCCAGCCCTGGCCCTGCACACATAAGCAAACCAGCTCTCTCATCCCCAGGAGAAAGGACTCCTTCACCCCAGGACCAGAGAGGATCATTCAGCCCAACCACCAGTTGCAGAAGCTAGGGACGCCTCAACCATTCCAGAATTACCATTCCAACTTCATGTTCAATCCCTTGAGTTGCAGCTTTTTCAGGCTACTAATTCACAAGCCCATTTATTTCTTCTAAGTTTTTTTGCAAAGGTTGAGGATAGGAAAGGAATGAATGTTATGTCTATTCCCATTTAAAAGAAAGATACTCGTAGGCCCATTTTTGGATAAAGAAACTATAGCTTAGAGAATCCCGCTTCAATTATTCATTCAGCACTCATGCACTGAGCTCTCACCACATCCCAGGCACATCACAGCACCAGGGGCACAGCAGTGGGCAAAACAGCCACAGTCCCTGCCCTCCTGGAGGCCCCAAGCTGCGGGAAAAGACGCATTCAACAGATGATTGCGCCAATAACTATTGAATAACCATTTGTATTACGTTGACAGTGTTTCAAAGCTCAGGACTAAGACAGAATATGTAATCAGAAGCCCACAGAAGCCTTCTCAGACCTGTTATGGAAGTTGAGACCTGCAGCAAATTAGTCCACTAAAGAGCAAGTTGAGACCAGGCACAGTGGCTTACACCTATAATCCCCGCACTTTGGGAGGCCGAGGCAGGGGGATCACTTGAGCTCAGGCGTTCGAGACCAGCCTGGCCAACATGGTGAAACTCCAACTCTACTAAAAATACAAAAATTAGCCAGGCGTGGTGGCATGGCCCTATAGTCCCAAGCTACTCAGGAGGCTGAGGCAGGAGAATCGCTTGAACCCAGAAGGCGGAGGTTGCAGTGAGCCAAGATGATGCCACTGTACTCCAGCCTGGGCAACAGAACAAGACTCTGTCTCAAAAAGAAAAAAAAAAAAAAAAAGCCAGTGGAGGGGCATTCCCAGCAGGAGAAACAGCACATGGAAAGGCCTGGAGAGACCTCTTGACCTCCCAAAGTGCTGGGATTACAGGCACACGCCACCGCGCCCAGGGGTGCAAGCCTGTAGTCCCAGGTACTCAGAAGGCTGAGGATTGCTTGAGCCCAGGAATTCAAGGCTACAGCAAGCCATGATTGCATTACTGCACTCCAGTCAGTGACTGGACAGCAAGACCCTGTCTCTAAAAAAAAAAAAAAAAAAAAAAAGAGGAAGAAGGAAGGAAGAAAGGAAGGAAGGAAGGCAGAAAGGAGGGAGGGAGGGAGGAAGGAAGGAAGGAGACATTCAAGTGCAATTCAGCACCTCGTGCAATAATCCTTAGCTATCAGTTACATTCCCTGTTACCTTGACCTTGACCAAATACCGCTTCTAATTCACCTTGAATTTTTCTTTATCAGTCAGACCTTTTTCTGAGACTTCAGAATTGCTGGTGTCCAGATTGTCTGCCTCTCTCTTAATGGTCACTGCCAGACTAGCTTTTCATTCCTCCAAGTTCCTCTGATTTCTTCCCTTAAAGGTGATGTGCATTACCTTTGAGAAAAGTCAAGTTCACACTGCCCACCCCCAAGCTTCCCCAGGGCAATGGGCTGCATTAGAAGTCTGCCATTGTGGAAGGGATGGTTCTAACAGGGCCTTACCACTCCTGAATAGTGTGTTTCCCAGGTTGGGTCTTGTTAACTGCAGCTGTTCTCCTAACAGCAGCTTCAACACATGCTCAGATTCAACCTTCTGTTGAAGGTCCAGCACTAGCAAAGCCTCCACAACCCCCATGTGCCACTCTGCTTCCCAGAGGAGTGGCATCCCCTCCAGGTCAAGCCATTTTCAAAATTCAAGCAGGTGCCGGGTGCAGTGGCTCACGCCTGTAATCCCAACACTTTGAGAGGCTGAGGTGGGCAGATTGCTAGACCCCAGGAGTTTGAGACCAGCCTGGGCAATACAGTGAGACCCTGTCTCTAAAAAACACAAAAATTAGCCGGATATTGTGGTGCATGCCTACATTCCAGCTACTCAGGAGGCTGAGGTGGGAGGATCTTTCTGGACCAGGAGGTCGAGATTGCAGTTTGAGCTGTGATTGTGCCAGTGCACTCCAGCCTGGGTGATGGAACAAGACCCTGTCTCAAAAAAAAAAAAAAGATTCAAGCAGAACGCTCAGCTGCAACAAGTGTTTTCACCACAGTCTTCTGTTGCTAGAAGGAAAGAGCAAGCTCCCAGCTGACTCGGTGAGGTGACAACAGGATAAAGACAGAGAGGAGTCAGCATCCAGGATTCAATCCAGTTGGAAAGACCAAGCGAGGACAGGAGCCCTGTGAGGGAATCAGAATCACGACCTGAGGCTGGGCCAGTGGACAAGACCCCAGACCTGCTGGCCAGGCTGTGCAGGGGGATCCCAGGACGGCAGGTAAAGGTGAATGCCCTCCACCCTGATCAGTGAGAGCCCCATCCTTCAGGTGGGTGGAAAAGGGATACCTGCCTTCTGCTGGGCAGGGAGGGGCTGGGGCATAACAAGGTCTTACCCACTCCAGGGTGAAATGATGACTGCTGCAAGTACAGCCCTTGGAATCCCAGAATCACAGGACATTGGGGACTTTTTCTTCTCAGCATTACAAGAGGCTTGAGAGAGAGGAGGTTAAAATATCCCAGGGCTGGGCACGGTGGCTCACGCCTGTAATCCCAGCACTTTGGGAGGCCAAGGCAGGTGGATCACCTAAGGTCAGGAGTTCAAGACCAGCCTGGCCAACAGGGTGAAACCCTGTCTCTACTAAAAATACAAAAATTAGCCAGGCATGGTGGCAGGTGCCTGTAATCCCAGCTACTCAGGAGGCTGAGGCACGAGAATCACTTGAACCCAGGGGAGGAGGTTGCAGTGAGCCAAGATCGTACCACTGCACTCCAGCCCAGGCGAAAGAGCAAGATTCTGTCTCAAAAAAAAAGAAAAAAGAAAAGAAAAGAAAAAAGACATCTCAGGGTTCCAGGTGGAGAAAATGGGCTTCATCTAAAGCAGGAAAGACTGCAGTTAGACATGAGGTAGGAATACTGATCATCCAAGTGTCAGCATGTGGAATGAACTCCCGAAGGCGGCTATAGATTCTGCATTCCCAGGACCGAATGCAAAAGGACCTGCCCTGACTGGTGAGGCCCGACCAGAAGGGCCAGCTTTCCTGAGTCTGACGACCCCTCCTTCACGGCAAAAGATTCCATAATGAGGGCACTTTTAGTATGTGTTAATAGCAAAATAACAAAAAGCCAACATAACCCATTCAGACTTTAGAGCACATACAGGAAGTCCAGGAACAGAGGAACAGCCTGACAGCACAAACAGGCACTGTCGAGTGGGGGACCCTCTTACAAATCAACTTCATGTCTGCACCAGCCAAGGACATTTTATTTTTATTTATTTATTTATTTATTTATTTATTTATTTATTTATTTTATTTTATTTATTTTTGGGGATGGAGTTTCACTCTTGTTCCCCAGGCCGGAGTGCAATGGCGCGATCTCAGCTCACCACAACCTCCGCCTCCTGGGTTCAAGCGATTCTCCTGCCTCAGCCTCCCAAGTAGCTGGGATTACAGACATGCACCACCATGCCCAACTAATTTTGTATTTTTAGTAGAGACAGGGTTTCTCCATGTTTGTCCGGCTGGTCTCAAACTCCCAACCTCAGGTGATCTTCCCACCTTGCCCTCCCAAAGTGCTGGGATTACAGGTGTGAGCCACCACATCCGGCAGCCAAGGGCATTTTAAAAAGCCACAACTGGGAGATAAAGGGGCATGGCTCTAGATTAATAACAATCAGGAGACATAACAATCAAATATCATGGGTGAACCTTGTTTAAGTCCTGATTGAAGAAGCCATCAGTAAACAGACTTTTTTAAAACTATTGGGGACATTTGATTCTGATGTTGGTGTTAATTTCATTAGGTAAGATAATAGCATGGTGGTCATGTAAGAAACTGTCCTTGTGTTCGAGACAGTGGTGTACTGGTAAATGTTTAACAACCAGCTCTCTGGGGTGGGGAGATGGAGGGGAGCCCTGGTTTGTGGTGTGTGCCGATTCCCATGGTGTAAATATTCCCACCATGGCCGATTTCAAGCTACCAATATGATGTTTCTGAACACAGAATTAGGGAGAGATGCACCAGTCAGGTCTTAGCCACTAAAACCAGCAGCTCTGGCACACCCCTGGTCTTAGAGCTGCACATTGAAGTTTGTATGGGTGAAACGAAAAGGGATCTGGCATGTGTTTTGAAATAATTTAGTAAAGATTTTAAAAAGTAGATGAAACAGACCAGGCGCGGTGGCTCACGCCTGTAATCCCAGAACTTCGGGAGGCCGAGGCAGGTGGATCACCTGAGATCAGGAGTTCGAGACCAGCCTGGCCAACATGGTGAAATCCCGTCCTACTAAAATTACAAAAATCAGTCGGGTGTGGTGGCACTTGCCTGTAATCCCAGCTACTCAAAAGGCTGAGGCAGGAGAATCACTTGAACCTGGGAGGCGGAGTTTGCAGTGAGCTGAGATCATATTATTGCACTCCAGCCTGGGCGACAGAGCAAGACTCCATCTCAAAAAAAAGAAAAAAATGTAGATGAGGCAAATGGGGTGAAATATTGATAATTGTTGAATCTGGGTAATTCAGATATGGGTGTTTATTAATGCTATTATTCTTTATTGTATATATTTGAACATTTTCACAGTAAAACATTTAAAACTGTGATTATCTTCTATATAGAAGGAAGGCTTTTAGTCCAAGAATTCTGGGTGTTCACATTGATTTCTAGACCTCTACTCTAACTCCGCAGCCTCCCAGCGGTCTGAAGGTAAAGAATGAGAACCACACACCTACATCCATCTTCTGATCATCAATGGGTCATAACCAAGGTTACTCTACAGAACCGGCACTAGGTGATGGGTGGAAAGAAAGCCCTAAAAAGAAAAAGAAACCTACGTCCAGATTGGCAGTCCTGGGTGTACCACCTACCAACAGTGTGATGATCTTAGACAACTTAACTGGACTCTCTGAGCCTCTATTTCCTCACTGGCAAAATAAGGGTACTAACAGCTTATGGTAAAGATTAAATGCAATATGTAGGCACAGCTCTTGAGGTGTTCTGTGACAAACAGTAGGATGCTCAGTAAATACTGGCTTCCTTCCTTCCCATAGGGATCTGACAGGGGTTACGGGGGCATGAGTGAGCTGTTAAAAGTACAATCCCCATCTAAAGTCAAAGATCGCTCTTCACCCGAGAATGTGGGTCCCATGTTGCCAAATCTCCCATTTCTCAAGAGAAGCTGGAGATCTAGCTTCTCATGTGAAATCTCCCAATCTTGAAATAGTATCAGTAAATTCATGTACTTGAAAACACACTAGGCAGGCCAAGCAAAACACCTCCACAGACCACAGGTGCGCAACTTCTGGTTTCAAACATAGAACAAGATGAAGCGCTAACAATCACTGAAGCCTTACTCAACATTCACTGAAGCTGGGCCCTGTGCTCAGAAGCCTTTACACACCTTATCTACTGATTCCTCATGACATCGCTATGATCCCCTTGAACAGATGAGGAAACTGAGGCTCAGAGAGGCAAAGAGATCTGTCAGGGCCTGGAACAAATGCAGGTATTCCCCAGAACTTGCTGGTCCACTTCACTGCTTCTCTAGATCCCACAAGAGTCTTTAAGGAGCAAATGCCAGTCCCAGAGAGGAGCAAGGACTTGCCGAGGGCCGCACATACATGGATGGCTGGCTGGGACTGACCAGGTTTCCCGTTCCCTCCCTGGTCAGGGTGAACAGCCTTGGAGGAGACGCCTGTGCAGATATGCCCAGCCAAAGCCCAACACATGTAGACCAGAGTGGCACGGGAAGAAAGTACCTTTTATTTCCTTGCAAAGTGCACGGATAGGCATTAAGACTTTTCTAGACCCTAATTAGCTGGGCGAAGTGGCAGGCACCTATAATCCCAGCTACTCTGGAGGCTGAGGCAGGAGAATCGCTTGGGCCCTGGGAGGCAGAGGTTGCAGTGAGCTGAGATCGCGCCATTGCACTCCAGCCTGAGTGACAAGAGCAAGACTCCATCTCAAAAAAAAAAAAAAAGAATTTTCTAGACCCTGAGCCTAGTGCCCCCAGTTTCTTCACCTCACAAATCTGGGAAATTGGACTAGAAATCCTGGTCACCAGCTGACCTGACACTCCGTTACCAGGTGCTTCCAGGACTGAGCTGGAGAAACATCCAACCACGTTGCTTTGGGCCCACTCCCTAAGAGCTGGTGATAACTTAGACACACTGAATGTGATTCTTTCTGATTAAAAACTTGACTGGGTTTCCCTTCCTCAGTGAATTTTCATAGTTATTAAGGAGGGAGAACTAATTCCAAAAATGGGCCGCTCAGGAAGTTAAGGAATTGGTCCCTTCAAGAAAGATATGTTCCCATTCTATTATGTGTGAGGTACTCATGGTGCTGGGCACAGAGAGGGATATGGTGTGGAGGGCTCTGCCTTGGATTTTGAGGGTTTAAAGTAACCCCCAGGAAGAGTCTACAGAAACCCCATGAGCTTCCCCTTCTGAACACAGACATTAATTCTGACATGTGGAAGACTTTTGTCCATTGAACAGCTTTGTGCTCGCTCAGTGCCCAGACCACCTGCTTCCAAACCCTGGCTGTGCTGCTACCTGGGTGACTTTAGGCAATCCACTTGAACTCTCTGTGCCTCAGTTTCTCCATATGTAAAATGGGAATAACAATAATCTTAACCTATGTAATAGGGTTGTTAATATGTCTTATAGCAGTTTTAGAGCCACACATGGGCTTCCCCTCCTGTAAATGGAACTAAGAACAGTATCTACTTCCTAGAGCCGTGGCCAAGATTCCATGAGTTAATGCGAACAGGCAAAGCACTTGGAACAGTGGCTGGTATATATAGAAAGTACCAGATGCACTCTTACTACTGACATTAAAGAGCTATTGACAATTTGACTTTTTAGTTAATTTGCATTGATATCTTCACAGTTGGGCTGTTCTTGAAAGTTAGAAGAGCATTTCCTCCAAGAGACTTTCTCATTAAGAATTTCCGGCCAGGCAAGGTGGCTCATGCCTGTAATCCTAGCACTTTGGGAGGCCGAGGCAGGTGGATCACGAGGTCAAGAGATCGAGACCATCCTGGCCAACATGGTGAAACCCCGTCTCTACTAAAAAAATACAAAAATTAGCTTGGCATGGTGGCACGCACCTGTAGTCCCAGCTACTCAGGAGGCTGAGGCAGGAGAATCAGTTGAACCCGGGAGGCGGAGCTTGCAGTGAGCCGAGATCACACCACTGCACTCCAGCCTGGGCGACAGAGGGAGACTCCGTCTCAAAAAAAAAAAAAAAAAAAAAAAAAAGAATTTCCACTGACTCAGAGCAAAGGGCTCCTCCTCTCCATTATCACAGCACAGCTCAGGGAGACACTTTCTGATGGCTCCAGTTCTCTCCCTCCTGGGCTCAGCTTGATCCTGCTCGTGGGGCTCACACACACCCACTCATATGCATCTCCCAGCACCCCAGGAGAAGGCAAGCCAGGTAACATTGTTCCCACCTGATGGATACAGAAACTGAAGGTCCTGCAGCTTCCCAAAGGTCAAGTGTCATGTGCTTTGGGACAGGGGCTTAAGCCCAAACACCTGAGTCCCAGGCTCAGGATGGTATGGGAGCCGGGGATGTGGCTCTGGAGTCCCAGGTCCACCACTTTCCTTAAGCAAGTAACCTGGTGTCTTCATCTGTAAAATGAGGGTGATAACAGTACGTACTTCCTAGATTTGTTGCAACGATTGAATGAGTCAAAGCGTGTAAAGCACTAAGAACAGTGCCTGACATACCAGGGCACAACATTTGAGTGGCACAGTGCATCCTAGGTGGCCTGGCACAGTCTTGGTCTATGCCTGGTAGCCTGGCAAATCTTCCAGTTAGAGCCCCCCGTCACTCTTGAAAACATCCTGGTTTGGAAGAAAATTATATGGCCATCCTAACATAATTACCTGTTGCCATCTAAATTATTATCGTTGTTATTATTATTTTCCACCATACCATACTGAGTCTCCAGGAAGTGAATATGCTGGTTCAAAATAGGTCAGCACTTCAGTACCACCCTTAAACACAGGTGAGAGTGGCCCCTGCCCTGGGGACCCCCCCAGTCTGGCCCTCCTCCAGCTAACCTCTCATCACAAGGAGGGAAGACCATGGGACAAGGGGACATGCCCACCTGGAACTTGTGGCACCTCCACTAGAGCATACTCTGGGTGCCCAGGCCCCTGGGGTTCCCTGCAGAGATGGCCCTTAGCCCACTGCCAGGACCTGCGTGGGTCTCTTCCGCAGATCCAGCCCGAGGACAGAGTACACCACTGGCGTGCCCAGCCCTAAGCCTGAGGGGCTACCAAGGGGCTGAGCTTGCATGTGCAGGCTGAGATGTTCATGAATGTGCACAAGACTCTCGAAGGACAGGACAGAGGCAGAGGTAGGAAAAGGTAGGGGGCAGGGGCCCAGGCCAGGCACTAGGGGCCCCCTCTCCCTGTGCCACCAGCTCCAGGGCAAGGTCTGAGGAGTATGAGAATGCCACACTCAAAGCCAGCTTTCTGCCTTGTTAGGAAAGTGTATTTGTCAAGATAGAAGAATAGAACATAATTTATTTTGCATTTTGTTAGCTTGATTTATAGCCTGCAAATATTTGGACATATGGTATGTGAACCTCCATCTATACTCTTGCCCAGCCCCACAAATCCCTGCCACGTTCCACCCAGTCCCAATACCAAATGTTTACTGAGCCCTTCCTCTGTTCTGAGCCCAGGGGACCCCAGGGCACCATCCCAGCACCCAAACATGATGGCCTCTGTGGGAGCAAACTTCATACTCCAAAATCAGTGAAGAACTAAGATCAGGGGGTGAGGGCATAGACCTGGTCCTTGCCTCTGTTCCCAACCCCTAGGGAGGTGGGACAGGTGCCTCCCTTTCCGGGCCTTAGTTTTACTGTTTAGATAAGAGGTCCCTCTACCTGTGAGCAGCTGGGGGATGCAGCCTGGAGGATGAGTAGCACACAGAATCAGATCAGTGACCTGAGAGGGTGTGGCGTGGACTTGGGCAGACAATTCTTAGGGGTTACAGTGATGTGGAATTGAGCTCTCTGGACTAGCCAAGCACAGGCTGTTGCAGCCCATTCCATTCCATTCATTTATTCCTTCCACAAACATGGCAGGCACCGCCCTGTGCCCAAAACAAACAAGAGGCTGAATCTGCCTAGTATGGGAGGATAAATCGAACAAGCACATAGAAAACCAAATGCAAAGTAAGACTTGGTGAGTGAGCCAAGAGAGCTTCCCTAAACTCCTCCTGTCCTCCCAATCACAGCGTCTTAAGCCCACTTCCCGGATGAGAAAACGGAGGCTCAGAGTCAAGACCCTGCTGCCTGGGGCGCGCCCAGACCTTGTGGCTAGCCAGAAGCGAGGTTTCGGATTCCCACAGTCTCGGGCCACTGTCCCAAGCTGCCCAAAGCTGGGGAGGCCCCGTCCAGCTCCCGGAAGGCTGTAGGGAGGTGAGCGCCAGGGAGGGGCTGGGCCGCAGGACGCGGGGGCCAGGAGGCAGGGAGGGGCCGGGCGGGGGGCGGTCGGGAGACATCCAGCGCCCCGATGTGCAGCCCCAGGCACCCGGAGCGCCAGCGCCTGGGTGCGCGCGAGTGGTAGCCGCGCTCCGGTGGGTCCGCCGCGGTCGGACCGGGGTCTGGGCTCCAGGCGCCGGCGGGGGGCGGTGGGGGGGGTAGGGGGACAGCGAGGGCCGCGCTGCAGTGCCCGCAGCGGCGGGTTGGGGGAGCTGTGCCCGCCTGTCCCCTAGGCCCGGGCGGCGGCCGGGCAGCTGGGTCGCCGCGCCTCTAGCCGGGCCGGGCTCGGCGGCGCGCAGCCAGGCGTGCCTGGAGCGGGCTCGGGCCCCAAGTCCTCCGGAGCGCCCAGCCGGGGAGGCCCCGGGAGCAGCCCAGTCCCGCGGGCTAAGGCGGCAGCCGCCGCCGCTCCGGCCCGCCCCCGGGGGGGTGTCCCGGGCCGCTGGGCCCGCCCAGGTAACCCCATCCTCGGCCCGCCCCCGGCCCGCCCCCCCGGCCGCCCGCCCGCCCGCCCGCCTCCGCCGCCGCCGCCGCCGCCGCCGCCGCCGCATCCCGGCTCTGGGGCGGCGCTGACAGTCTGGTCCGCGCCGGGCAGCGGGCGCAGCAGCGGGCAGGCTGCCGGCAGGCACACGGAGGCAGAGCCCCGCCGCGCGCGCCCCGGCCCGCCCGCGGGCGCCCACCTGCAGCCCCGACGGGAGGCCCCCCGCGGCCGCAGCCGCTGCCCCGGGCCGGGCGCCCGCGGCGGCACCATGAGTCCCCGCTCGTGCCTGCGTTCGCTGCGCCTCCTCGTCTTCGCCGTCTTCTCAGCCGCCGCGAGCAACTGGCTGTAAGTCTGGCCGGGGCCGAGCGGGGCGGGGCGGGGCGGGGCAGGCCCCGGGGGCAGCGGCCGGTGCCAGGCGGCGCGGGGCAGCGGGCGCGGGGCAGCCCGGCAGGTGTCTCGGCCGCGGGACCGGAGGCTCGCTCGCTCCGCTGCCGCCGCCACGGCCCGAACGTCCCTCTGCACACCCGGGGTCCCCTCCTGCCCGGGTCCGGCTCCCTGCCCAGAGGCGTCAGGGGTGGCTGTGGCGGCGTCCGCACCGGTAGGCGGCTCGGGGCTCTCGAGGGCGCCAGGGGTGCGAGCGCGGGGCGGTGGCCCGGGAGGGGCGCCGGACGCGGGTTGCAGTCCAGCCGGGCTGACAGGTCGCTGAGGAAGCCCATTGCAGGGAAGGGCTCCGGGACATAATAGCAGGTTAATCCCGAGAAGTCCGGAGCGAGCTCCCAGCGCCGAGCTGCGCCGAGCTGCGCCGCGCTGCGGGCTGGGCTGGAGGCGTGCAGGGACCTGTTTCTGCTTGGGGGGCGGGAGCCGGAGACAGAAGGAAGGGACCAGGACGCCTGGTCTCCCAGGGCCCGGGGCTGGCGCTGGCGCTGGCCGGGCCTTGGTTTTTCCCCGGGGCAGGAAGAAACTCCGTCCAGACCTTAAAGAAGACAACGGCCCCCCAGCTCCCCGTGTCTAGCCTAAGGAGGAAGGGGTGGTAACCGCTGGTGACCTGTCTGTTTCTCCTTGACTGGATCTGCGCTCAGGGCGCTCCCTGGGTAGGGGCGGAAGGTTTGCTGCAGGGAGGGAGACTAAAGGGATGAGCTCCAGTGAGTGGGTGGACAGGGAGCAAGCGGACCCGCGCTCCTTTCATCCCCGCTCAGGGACAGTTCCCCATGCCCCGCGCTTAACCCTGGCCCCAGTTCCTCCTGCCCAGAGCTCTGCCACCATCCGCTGTGGGCAGCCAGTGGGGAGCCAAGCTCCAATATTGATCTGAAAAGCATGGGGTGGGAAGGGGGATCGCCAACAGTGTAGCTGGGGTTTCCATGGAGACAGGGAGAGAGGAAAAAATTCTCTCTGCATCAAGACCAAAGAACAAATATCTCCCATGAAATTGCCCCGAGTGTCCAATGGCTGTTGCTATGAGGTCATTGTGGCCAGCCAGAGCCCTCCAGGCTGGAAGGAGTGTGTTCGTTGGGGTCAGAGCCACCCAGGGCTTGGGGGACGGAGGTGATGTGGAATTCTCCCAGCTGTTCCGAGAGCAAACGACTCCAAGGCAGCCCGAAGTGGCTGCGGAGCTTTTGTTTTTCTTGGAGCCTTAATTTGATTAACACTTCAGGAGCAGTGGCAGAGTGTACAGAAAGCAAGGCACCACCACCTTCTCCCACTGCCCCCCTGCAGGCCACCCCCTGAATGGAGCCTGGGTCACAGAGCTGGGGAGGGAGCTGATTTGGACTTGGAGGACCCTGGGTGTCCCTGGAGCTGGTTCTTGAATGCATGGGTTCAGAGCGGGGGCCTCCAAAACAGATCTGAGCATCAGAAGGAGCAAGAACTGTGTCTCACCTGCCCAGCACCGCCAAAGCCACAAAAAACAAACAAACAAACAAAAAACAAAGAAAAAAAAGTGGCAGTCCAAGCGTCTGGCCCAGGCCTACATGGAAGACAGCGACATCTGCAGTGGAAAGTCCTTCAGGAACATCTCATCTTTGACTCAGATGAGGAAACTGAGGCCTAGGGAGTGGAAGCTACTTGCCCAAACTCAGAGCTGAGAACTGAACCCAGGTGTTCTGACTCCCAGGCAGTGACCCTATACCCCCTTCCCTGAAGCTGTCCCAAAGTGGAGCCAGCATGGCCCGGTGGCATCACCACTCACCTTCACCCATGTCCACCCCCAGAATCCCAGCCAGGAAGGCAGCCTCGGCTTTGGATCATGCAAACTGTGGGGAATTCCAACAACTCAGTTCTCCTGCCTGTGCTGTTGGGGGTGGGGTGAGGAGGGGCAGCCTAGGAGAAGAGAGGTTGGCAAACCTGTTCTCTGCAACGGTGATGGTTCAGGTTGCCACGAAGCAGGTCTCTGGATGACCCAGCTCACTCCTGCTCCACCCCCGGCTTCAAGCCAAGGGTCTCTCTGCTCCACCCAAGGCAAGAGGAACAAGAGGCTTCCCAGGACCCTCCCAAACCAGAGAGGCTATGAAGGAGAAGACACTGGGCACATACCAAGGTTGGTCCAATATTTATCAACCTCTGTCGAACAATCAGCTGGCCAGGAATGGCAGCTCTGGGGGAAATGGATGTCACAGCCTGGCCTCCCACAAGCCTGGAGTCTAGGTAGAAAGACATGATAAAACCACGACTGGGTGGAACAGGGCACATGCTCTATGGCTGTCAGAGGAAAGAGCTGAGTGTGAGCCCGAGCAGGCACAGAGGGGGACTTGGTCTGAAGACTGTATGATCATGACAATAATAATTATTATGATGACTCCCACAGCATGATCTAAATCCCAACAACGTTTCAATCCCGTTACAGATGAGAAGATTGGGGATCGCAGAGGTAACTGCCCAAGTCACCCAGCTGGTAAATGCCAGAGGTGTCCGACTGAAAAGCTGCCTCTAGAAGGAAAAGCTTCGGGGAGGCAGGTGTCCATGCAGGCATGATGGCTGGCACTGTGTCTTTTCAAGTGTGAGGTATGAGGAGGCCTGGCCCCGAGAGGATAGCTGACAGCACCTGCCAAGGAGCAAGGTCTAGGTTCCGCTCGCCTCCCAATACCCTGGAGTCCAGGGTGGGTCTGCTGGCCAGTGGCGAGAGCCAGGACTATCTGTTGTCTCAGAAGGGCAGGTGGCCTGGTGGGGAGGCCAGGTGTCCCGCCGCGTGCAGCTGTTGGGCAGGATGGAGCCTGGAGCTGGGAGGGCAGCCTGAGGCCTGGGCAGGCCCAGAGAAGCTGGGAGCTGTTGATTAGACTCTCGTCTGGCACCCGGAGGAGCCCGCTGACAGCTTGTGACGGCTCCCACCACTGAGGGAGGGCCCGATGGATGAAGAGTCCCTGGGGGAAGGCTGGGACTCTGCCCTTAAGGAGGCTGCCCTGCCACGGACCTGAGCTCAGAAATGTTTCTAATGTCCCCTCTTCCCTGCACTGAGGCTGTACCGGGAGTCAGGATACCTGGGTTCCAGTCCCAGCTCTGGGCCACATATTGGGTGTCCCCTTCCTCCCTTGGGGCCACAGTCCTCAGCAGATCGTTCTGAACCCCAAATGGAAGTGCTGGGGAGGGTTAGGGAATAAATAAGCTAAGGTTTCAGGACTGTGGATTTCTGAGGAAAGTAGTGGGGTAGCGGGGTTCTAGCAGAATCCCACGGGTGAGGGGAGGGGGACCACGCTGCACTCAGAGGCAGGCCGGCGGCATGGCCAAGAAGTGGGTCTTTGAGATCCAACCGAGCTCTGCCCTGCCCAGCTGAGTGACCTTGGACAGGTTATTAACCTCTCCGAGCCTCGGGTTTCTCATCTGTAAAATGGAGCCCACTGATGCAAATGGTGCACAATGGTGGTTGGGAAGAAAGAGCGAGCCCATGCGTGTGGCAAGCTGGCACTGGGCCAGGCACGCTGATGGAAATGGCAGCCCTGGCAGCTGCCGGAAGCAAGGGCTGCTGTCAGGGAGCTGCAGGGCTGCGTCCCTATTGATAGGGGTGGTGGAGAAAACGGGCCTTCAGGCTGCTGCTCCCAAGCCCTGTTTATCCCAGGCTGTCCCACCCAGATCCACTGATTTAACACAGGTAGGATCCTAGGCTGCAACCCCCTTGCTCAACAAGGGCCCCCGCAGGAGCCTCCCAGAGTCAGGAAGACCTAGCCTGGCTCACAAGCCAATCTTGCCAGGCAGAGGAGTTGCTGCTGGGAGCACCTTTCCGTGCCCTGGGGGCAGTGAAGGACGCATCATGCTTTCCATTGGCTTTGAGTCCCCACTGGTGTGCGACTTCCGGCCAAGCTCCCCTGAGCCTGCTTGCCCGGGGGCCGGGGGACAGTTTATATCTCCCTTGGCCTTGGGTGGAGTGAAGCCCAACACTCTGGGCACAACTCCCTGGGGCAGGGATGGGGCACGGCCAGCCCAGATGTGCAGTGCCAACCACACAGGTAAAGATGTGGCCCACCTCCTCCAGGAAGTGTGCCCTTGATTCCCAGCTTTAAAAGATCCCTCTCTCCCCTCTAAATAGTCAAAAATCCGTCTCCTTAGAGCTCCTCCGTGGCTCTGGGCAGTGAATTACAATCACAAACACCCCCACAGTACTTCACAGTTTACAGCAGGATTTCTCAGCCTCCGTATCACTGGTATTTGGGACTGGATGAGTCTTCTGTCTGGGTCTCTTCTGTGCATTGCGGGATACTTAGCAGCATACCTGACCTTTACCGGCTAGATAGCCAGTAACATCCCCCCAAGCGAAAGGACAAAATGTCTGCAGACTTTGCCAAATGTCCCCTGGGGGGCGGGCAAAATCATTCCCCCAGGAATCAATGGTTGGCAAAGATCTTTCACAACCATTACCCATTTGAACCACACACCATCCCCTCCATGCCTCACCACAACCACTTTCAGAGGACAGGAGTGTAGATTACTTTCAGCCCCACTTCAGAGGCCCAGACGTGCAATGACTTCCCCAAGGTCATCCTGCAAATCAGAAGCAGGACTGGAACTGCTCTCCCATGTCCAGATTTTACAGCTTTCATCCCCTGCCTATAGAACCGTTTCATATTATATATAACTCTAGTCTAATCATGTGGTTTCTTTACTGCTTCTACAAGGTTATAAACATCTGGAGGCCGTGGCTGTGGCATAAACACCTCTGAATATCTCACAGTGCCTGGCACGTGCCTGTCAGGTACTAGGTGCTCAGCCGATCTTTGATGGATGAATGAAAGGTGGGCTTGTTTAGAGGGTTCTCAGCTGTTGTCCAATGGTAGCCCATCTTCAAAGGCCTGCAGTAGGAGGAAGGCTCTGCTCCACTGCCCTGAGGCTCAGGTGATACTAAAAGGCACAGAGGTGGGTGGCAGGAAGTGTGTCTGTTGCCCCCCCGATCTGCTGCTCTGCCCCTCACTGCTGGGCCGGAACAGACCCTGAGAGCCAGGCTGAGTGTTTCTCCCCCAGCACTGCAGCACCCCAGGACCAGGCTCTGCCCGAGGGGGTTGCTCAGGCAGCAGTCACGACCCAGCTGTCTGCTATGGTTTGACTTTCTTCCCTCAGCCCTGGATTAGCAATTGAGCAACACAGCAAGCATCTGACAAGACAGTGCTCCCCAAACCTGTTGAAACTCGCCCAACTCAGGCTCTGTGGGTACACTGGGAAAGCTGAGCATTTGCACCAAGCCTCCTCCTCTTGTTCCTGCCTCTGGGAAGAGGGGCTTGGGCTTAGCCAGTGGGGCGCAGATTGGCCAGGGAGCCATGGGTGGGGTGACAGCTGCCTGCCGTGGGCCCTCCAGTCACCCCTTCACTGCATGGAGCAGGCGCAGCTGCAGGCAGAGCTGCGACCCCAGGGTTGCTCTCCAGATTTCCACAGGAGTTGCCAGGTTTTATCTCTGAGTCCTGAACTGCATCTTCTGTGATTCAGCCAAACTCGGGACGGCTCGCTCCCTGCCGTGACCCCACCAGCTCCCCCTCCCCCATGTCCTGGCAAACTGAAACCAAACTGTGTTCTGAAAGTTCCCTGCCAAGTCAGACCCCGCAGAGGAGGGGACCTGGTCTGAGGAGAGAGCGGGAGGGAGGTGGGAGGAGGAAGGGATGCGTCCTCCAGGGGAGAGGAGCCTCGGACAGCTCACATGTATCTTTGGAGAGGCCCATTAGAACAGCAGGAATGCTGATGGGCCTCAGGGCCCTTCCCCGAGATGACTGTGAATGGTCCCTTCAGACCCTATTTCTCAATCTGTTCACACACAAGCCCTGAAATCCCAGGATTGGGCCCTAGAGACCCTTCCCCAAGGGCTGGAGACAGCAGAATAGCCCCTCCTGAGTCGGGTGCCCAGCTGTTCCGGCAACCCAAGCTTCGAGGCATGAGTGTGAGGGGGTTCTTGGGGATTCTCAGTCAACCCCCTGGGGAACCTTCCTGCCAGGGAGGGCCTGGGATGCCCCCAGGCAAACATGTCGAGCACTTCCTCACATCAGGCCCTGTGCTGGGCACTTAGGACCATACAGCATGGCGGTGGTAGAACCAGGACTCCATCCCAGGTCTCCCAGAGCTGTTCCCGCAGCCGCTGACAGCAGCCCTGCAGCCCTGCAGCCCTGTACCCCCAGCCAGTTATTCTCTGCTGGGGGGATGAGCCCCACCCTGGTGGGGGTGGGAGTAGGGGTTCAGCCACAGGCTCTCCTAGGACTGGGCCTTTGGAAGGTATCCCCCAAGGCCGATGAACTCACTAGAAACCGGGAGCCTCACTCCAGGAGGCCAGCACTGGCTCTGGACAGTTCTGCTGGGGTTTCACCTGTCCCTCCTCTTTCCCCAACCCCAGGTTCCCTCAGCCCAGCAGGGAGGACAGTTCAATGGGTCAGTGGCCACAGGACATGAAAGGTTGTGGGGACACAGGTCGGATGGGTCTAGCAAAGGAAGAGCTCTCTGCTGGCAAATTGGGGGACAAGGTGAGGTCAGACCAGCCTTAAATTTGATACCCACTCCCCCCAACAACACACCTGCCTCAGGGAGAGAAGGCAAGTTCTCACCTGGCAGAGCTCTGGGGCCATCCAGGCTCAGGTCCAAGGGGCTACTTTGTGGCCCTGAGGCAGCCACCAGCTCGCTGGGAATACATACAGTGAGATGGGAAATGGGGTTGGGGGCTCCCAAACAGGAAGTGGGGGACACAGAGCCCTCAGGAGTGAAATGTAGGGGGCTAGGGTACCAGGATACTGGAAGTAATGAGAATTGGGAAACCAAGAGTCAGAAAATGAGGGCACTGAGGCTTCCAAGGATAGGAGATGGGAGCGAGGGGTCCCAGGAGACAGGAAAGAGGGAAAGGGGCCCAAAGGTGCAGAGTGGTGTGCACTGGCGGTGGAGGCCTGGGTTCCAGGGGAGGCCGTTCTCTCTCTCCGCCTGAGGAAATGCACCTGAGGCCAAGAGGACTTGGCCTGGGCCTTGAGAGACCTAGGACCATGCTAAGGCTGAGGGGTGAAGGCAGCACCCACTGCCCTGCAAACCACCATGAGTGTCTCCAAAGCCTGCCCCTCCAGGGGTTTTGGACCAGTGGCAGCAACCCTTCCATGGCCCCAACAGCTACAGAGACCACAGGCTTCCATACTGTCCAGGCAGTCCCGTAACCACCCAGACATCTGTCCCCAGCACCCCTTACTCCTGAACACAGCCCAGACACCTCACTGTAGTTCAGAAAAGACATGGGGCTCTAGAAAGACCCATCAAGGGAAGAATCAGGCCTCCTCCCTCAGGTCACTGTCTGTTGACTGCCAAACTTCATGCCTCAGTACCCTGGGTCATCTTTGGCTTAGGAGCCAGAGTGACCCGTTTTCAAATCCTGACCTTCCACTGCAGGCTGCATGGGCTCAAACACATGCTTCTCTGAGCTTCAGTTTCCTCATCTGCGAAACAGAGGGGAAGACACCTGCCTAGCCAGCCCTGTGCTGTTGCACTAAGGACATACTGAAGCACGTGACTATTGATTGCAGAGTATAAGTGAAGGTCCCATGCATCCACTCTGTGATGCCCACAAATGGTTTCCAAGTCCCCTTGACACTCCTGAGCTTGTCCTGCACACCACTGTCCCTGCCCTCACCCCAGTGTCCCAGCTCTTGATGTCCTAGCAGCACCATCCCCTCCACCCATCTCTCACACTCCCCAGCCTCAGAGGGTCTGACTGACAGTCGCCAGGAAACACATCCTCAAACTCTGCAGACTTCATCTGGAGACTCTGTCAAAAGCCTGCCATTGGGATGGCTGCTGAGGTCATCCACTGTACCCCGGGGGAGCGTGTCCCACCTCTCAGGCATGATCAGCTGAAAAAAAGACTGGGAACCCAGGACTAAGAGGGCCAAGAGACCCAAGCAAAAAAACACACACACAAATGAGCAGAAGTCAGCATGGGTCTGGTCTGGGGTGCAGCAGAGGGGTGGCCAGAGGAACTGGGAGAGGCTGTGGGAGGGGTGGTGACGGCACCGATGACAGTGAGCATCTTGAAGGTGCTGCTAGGACAATGCTGCAGCAGGGACGAGCATCTCCTGCACACAGATTTCATTCATTTAGGCCTCCTGCGTGCAGGAATTCCAGTCTCCCCACTTTACAGATGAACACGCTGAGGCTCAGAGGTGTTCACTAACTTGCTTCAAGCAACACAAGGATGACATTTGGACCCAGGAGTCCCTGGTCCATGTCCTTTCTGCACTGCCTGCCATGCCAAAAGACAAGGGTCTCCAAGGCTAGGGCACCATCAGGGGGAGCACAGCAGGATACCAAGACTGTGGTTATAGAAACATTCAAAGATGTAAAAGTGAGTGGGGGGTATGGTTAGGATCTTGGGAAACCAGGTACCATCCCCCTAAGAACACAGTCCTAGATGGGGACTGTGGTCACTTTCGCCCCCACTGGCCCGCATCCCCCAAGGCAGCTCTGTTCAGCAGCCACTCCGTTTTCTTCCGGCTCCCCCTCCCACCCACTTGGCCTCCTTCCTCCCTGGTATCGCAGGCACGACCGCTCCTGAGGAGGCTCTAAATGTGGCCCAGGCAGGCAGGGAGGCCAAAGGGAGGGGGCAGAGAGGCCTGCGCTGGCGTCCCAGCCCCCACCTGGACACCCGCAGGGCCGGGACCCACGACACTGATCTGCTTGGCCTCCCAAACGCTCCAGCTATTTCCCGTCCCCTCTCCTCTTGACTCACAGCGTAAGAGCTGGGAGGAGTCGCAGAGGTGCAGATTTTCCTCTAGGAATTTGTATATTTTTTTTAAAAAGCAAGCAAACCTGGAAAAGCTTGGGACAAGCCCAGCTAATTTTAGTTTCTAATGAAAACAGCAGGTGGCTGAGAGGATCTGATCTCCCTGGCAGGGCAAGGGCCCTCCAGCCTCGCAGGCTGTAGGCACGGGCCGGGCTCGGGGAGGGCCTCCTGGGAGGAGCCTGCAGGACCTGCAGCCCCCGTTGGAGAAGATCAGGGCATGAGCTGGCTGGTAGCAGCAGCAGGGGCGGTCTGGGCTGGTGGGGTAACCTGATCAACGGCATGGCCATGGCGAGAGTCCTGGGTGGCCAGGGCAGCAGGTGGCAAATTGCTAAGCCTGTACTCCGTGGTGGCAGGAAGGAGCCTAAATTGGGGCAATGCAGCCACGACAGGAGAAGCCTCAGGGATGGCCAAGGCCCTGCACAGCCTGGCCCGGCCCACCCATCACGCCCTGGCTCTCTGTCACCCCTAGAAAGGGCTGGTGCACTCCATTTTTGAGCCTGGTCCAGCTCCAGGGTCAGCGGATGGCACACGTGTCTCTGGGGTTGAGCCACCCTAGGGCACTGGGAATCCTGAGGTGTCCAGTACTAATCAGGCCTCGCCCTGATGGGTCTCCAGGCTCTCAGCAGATCAAAAGACCACAGCAGCCCCCACATTCCTCCCTCATCCTTATCTTCCCCATCCTGAGCACTCTGCCAGGAGGGAAGCAGAGGGAACCCCGTCAGGACAGAGCCCTCCATCCTGCTGCAGGCATTTATTAAACACCTTCTATGCACTGTGCCCTGTGTGAGGCACCAAGGGCAGTGTTAGCCCCCCTCAGCAGGTAAATGGGGCATATCCACAGCCAGGTACAGAGGAAAGAGAGTTGAGAGTTAGGGCTGGGTTTGCACTGCAGCTCGCCGCTCTAGCTGTGGGACTTTAAGCAAGTTGCTTTATCTCCGTAGCCTCAGTTTGTTCATCTGTGAAATGGAGCCAAATGCTAGTTGGATACTGAAACGGGCAAGCAGAAACATTGTGGATGAGGGCCTGTAATGCCTGGGGTTCTCACTCTCTAGAGCCGGTGCCCGGTTCCATTTCCAGCCCTGGCACCCAGCCCTGCCCGGGCGAGACCCTGGGGTCTGGGGGAACAGGGGTGGGGATGGGGCTGGGCCTCGTGTGTACGGAAGGGGACAGCTGCTGTGCCAGATGAAGGCAGGGGCTGGGGGTGGGCACTGGTGCCAACGGAAGAGGTTGCTCAGCTCCTTCCTGGAAGCTGGCCCAGTGACTCACGGCCACGGCAGCCCAGCAGCTCACCCTAAGCCCCTGCGACTGTCATTCAGCCAGTCTCCCCTTGCTGAGTTCTGAGCCTGGGTGGGGGGATGCAGGTGGCTCCCCTGGTCCATCTTACTACTTATTCAATGGCAGAGACACATCTATCAGCCTGGCATGGGGCCAGCAGGCCCCTGAGGCCCGGCCACTCCCCACCCTGCCAGTAGAAGGAGGCCCACCAACTCCGACAGTGGGAAAGGCCATATGGACCCACCGGTTTACTGTACCCATAAGGAGACAGGCTCCAAGTATGGCAGGGACTTGCCCAAGGTCATGGTGGGTCAGAGGCTGCCCCCCCTGCCCAGAGAACCCCTGCCCTTGGGTGCCTCCCTTGACCAGAGCCCAGGGCCCAGCACAGCCAGATGCAGCCTTCTTGGCTGCATGCTGTGGGAGCAGAGACTGAGTTGGGGATGGGCCAGCTCTGTGCCCCCACATCATAGAGCAAACAGGGCCCCCACCCTTCTCCAAGAGGCCAAGCCTCGGTCTGAGCAGGAAAGGATCCAACGTCAGGCTCAATTCCTTGTCCCCCCACCGAGGGACACCTGTGGCCTGAACGTGGACCTGGCCCACAGCCAGTAGCCGGGCTCTTGGCGCCCCCTGCAGGCCAAGAGCAACAGGTGGGACTGGCTCCACAGGCGACCCCTTGGCTGGGCACAGGCAGGAGAGCACCCAGGCAGGGCTGAGAAGCCGGGTGGGCCCCTCCCCTTCCAAATGCAGCCTCTGCTGCTTCTCAGCCCCCTTCCTGCCCTTGTCTTCCCTCCAAGGGGCTCCGAGCTCCTGCCTGGGCCTTGTCAGGACACCACCAGTCTGTGCATCCCCTGGGAACCACCTGGTAGATAGGAAGGAGGGGCGGGGAGGCCCCTGGGAGACCAGGAATGCAGGGGGTGGGGAGGGGAGGTTGGCCTTCTTCGGCCTGAGACCGCCTACTTTGCACTTGCCCCATGCTGTACACTTGCCCCCACAATTACCTGGCACCTAGAATGTGCCCAGCTGACAGCCAGGTGCATCACACAGCAAATCACGGGCATTCCTCTTGGCAGCCCTCTGGGTGAGAACCGTTATCTCCATTTACAGATAAGGAAAGCCAGGCTCAGGCTCCACAGCCACGGGGAAAAGGAAACATCCTGGGGATCAATGCCACAGTGAGGAGGACAGTGGCATCCCTGAGTCAGAGCTCCCTATGGCTGAGAAGGAAACATTACCCATACTTATGCAGACTGTTCTCCAGGCCAGTGCCCACCTAGCCTCCCAGGTGCACCTAAGGCACATTCAATTAACCTCAGAGGCCCACCAACCCCCACTGGGACTGGGGCCCAGGCACCTCCACCTTCAACAAACCCTGCACACGTTTCGATGCACAGCCAGATTCAAGAACCGTCACTTGGTCCAACCCACATACCTGACAAATAAAATTTAGCTGCCGCCTGCAAACCTCCAGGGATGGGGAGACAGCTCCCCAGCTGCACCCTGGCTAGCATCTTTGGGTTGAACAAACCCAGCTCCCAGCAGCTTCTGGCCACAGTGTCAATTCTAGTCTTTGAGCCACACAGAGAATACTGTCTCTGCCCAAGGCTGTGAAGCCAGGCAAATGCCAGGTTCAAGTCCTGCTCAACCTCACTGGCTGTGTAGCCCTGCACATGAGGTAAATTACTTAAAATGTCTGTGCCTCAGTTTCCTCCTCTTTTAAATGGCAGCTGGTTGGCTTTCTGAGAGGATTAAACGCAATAATGTAAAGTACTTAGCCCAGTCCCAAGTTCCATAGAAGTTTGATGGAACTTCCATAAGTTTCTTCTTATCATCAGAAAGAATTCCCATAAGTAGGACTTTCTGTGTGCTTTTCTATTTGGTCACCATTCATTCATTCCCTCATTCAGCAAACAAATGGCGACTTCCTGCCTCATTGCCTCGGGCCAGTGTCAGGCCATCTCTCACACAGATCCCTCTTGCTCCAGGTAGCAGTTCCTCCACTCAGACAGAACCGGTGTTCCCTTCTCTTACTACAGATGAGGAAACTGAGGCCCAAAGAGCAGTTACCTTCCCTTTATCCTTCTTCAACAAGAAATTTGTGCAGCTTCCTTTATAAGATGCAACAGCTTCTTCACAGCCAACCCCTAGAAAATCCCCAACCCTTGGGAGACTCAGTGTGCTGGGCAAGCCCCTGGGGGAGGGAGAGCATGCTGCACTTGGCTTTTGAAGCGTCCACACAGCCCACTCTCGCCACCACCACCCATAACCTGACCATCCCTAGACCTCTAGCCCATCACTGCCCTCATTGTCCCACCTCCAAAGGGTGGCAGCAATGACACTGGTCTCCATCTGGTGGTCCTAGGATGTGGCTGGCAGTGAGGATCTTGGTCTTGTGGCCAGAAGATCAGCCAAGGATCACTGGGGTTCCTGCCTAGGACAGGGAAGAGAGACCCTGGGCAGACAGCGGCTCCAGCCTCCTAGCTAGAAGGCATCTCGGCAGGGAACAGTGGGATCCCATAGCCAGGTCTGGGGTGACGTCCTGGCACAGACAGTGGCACGGGGGCTGCCAGGGCAGGGAGGGATCCCGTAGGGGCTCGATGAGCTTCCCTCCCACTGCTGCCACCTGCTTTGCTGAACTTGAGATAGAGGCTTTTTGCAGAAGACAGCATTTCCACTCCCTTGGTGCCCCTAGAGCCGGGCAAGAGGGCCTGTAACTGGATCCAGAGAGAAGTCGGCAGCCAGGCCCAGTCACTGGGACGAGTCAGTTCCCAGAGACCCGGGCTGGAGCTCAGGCCTGGTCCGGGGCCAGGAAAGATGAGGAGGTGGGCTCTGCATCACGTGTCACCCTCTCCCCAGGTACCTGGCCAAGCTGTCGTCGGTGGGGAGCATCTCAGAGGAGGAGACGTGCGAGAAACTCAAGGGCCTGATCCAGAGGCAGGTGCAGATGTGCAAGCGGAACCTGGAAGTCATGGACTCGGTGCGCCGCGGTGCCCAGCTGGCCATTGAGGAGTGCCAGTACCAGTTCCGGAACCGGCGCTGGAACTGCTCCACACTCGACTCCTTGCCCGTCTTCGGCAAGGTGGTGACGCAAGGTGAGGGAAGGGCGTGCGGGGCTGCAGGGGAGCCTGCGGTGCCAGGGCATGGGCCCAGCAGGAAATGAGACGCTCGTGAGCAACGGGACTATTGCAGGTCATTTCTGAAGCAAAACCAGCACAGGACCCAAGTGAGGGCATAAAGGATGCAGAGCGTTGGGGGCCCCAGGACAGGAGGATGATCCAGGTGGGATGTATGTGTGGGATGGGGGCCATCAGAAGAGGCGGCAGCTCTGTGTTGAGGCAGCACTCAAAAGAGCACCGTGTTTCCACTGCTGGCCTCCTGGAAGCGTAAGCAGGTAATTAAGGAAGAAACTGAGGCTCAGGCAGGGGACACCACTGACTTGCCCAAGGTTCCTCAGAGGAAGAGAAGCAGTCAGGGCTCAGACCCGAGGCTCTGGACCCCTGGCCCGCTGCTCTTCCCACCCCAGCACTTGGCCTCCAGTATCTGGGCCCATCCCATTCCTTGGTACACCTGAACAACCCTATTGTGCACCTCCAGCATAGCCAGCCCTGAGATACAGGGATGCACAGAAACAGGCACATGGAGGTTAAGTAACTTGCCCAAGGTCACAGAACTAGAAAGTGGCAGAGCCAGCTGGGCGCGGCAGCTCATGCCTGTAATCCCAGCACTTTCGGAGGCCCAGGCGGGCGGATCATGAGGTCAGGAGATCGACACCATCCTGGGTAACACAGTGAAACCCCGTCTCTACTAAAAATACAAAAAAATTAGCCGGGCGTGGTGGCGGGCGCCTGTAGTCCCAGCTGCTGGGGAGGCTGAGGCAGGAGAATGGTGTGAACCCAGGAGGCGGAGCTTGCAGTGAGCTGAGATCGTGCCACTGCACTCCAGCCTGGGAGACAGAGCTAGACTCCGTCTCAAAAAAAAAAAAGAAAAAAAAAGTAGAAAGTGGTAGAGCCGGGACTCAACCCCAGGCCGTCCCGCTCCCAGGTCTGTGGTCTTATCCTCGATGAGGAGACGCTGTGATCAATGGGCCAGGGGAGCCTGTGGAAGCACAGGGTGGACACCACCCCTGGCTGGGGCTGGGATGCTCAGGGAAGGCTTTTCCGAGGAGATTGGTCCTCAGCTGAGACCAGAAATGTGAGATGGCATTAAGCCAAAGACAGGGGGACCAGGGCATAGAGAACGGTCTATGGAACTGGAAGTCTCCTCCAGAGGTCGCCGGCCAAGCTCCCGCCCTCAAGGAAGTACTCTAAACCATGGGCCCCTTTTTCTACTTCCTGAGCATGAAACTGGCACTTCCGAGCCACTATCCATCGACAAGGCCCTTTGACTTGTTCAGGCAGCAGGAAGGGGTTGCCTGGGCCAACCCTTCTCCTGACACCTGTGGTCCTGGACGGCCGGGGCTGCTGGGCTTGTAGCAAACCATTTGGATGTTGCTAGAAACCAACTGTGATAGAAATTTGGAAGTCATTCTCCTAAGAGCTGGCAGGGGCCAAAAAGGCATGATCTCGCTTGGCATTGCTGAACATCGCTGCTCTGGAAAAGCAACAGAGACCCAGTGAGCAGCCTGGCAGTGGAGGATCTCCCAGGATAACAGGGCTGCCTGGTTGATGGAGCCCCAGAAACAGCCTCAAACAGCAGCCCATGAGCCTGGGAAGCCCTTGGACACAGTAGGTGTGTATTGGACAGATTGGTGGATAGATTGGCAGGGTTTCATATGGCAGGCTGTCACCCTCTCTCACTCCTCCCTTTGCATATGCAATGTCCTCCACCGCAAACACCCAAGCCCCCTTCTTGAGGGCTCAGCAGTTCCCTCCTCCACGACACCTTCTCAGCTCTTCCCTCTGGGCTCCAAAGCTCTTTGTTCTTGCTGTGGGATTTTTTTAAAATCATAATTTCAAACTTACAGAAGAGTTGCAAAAGTAGGACAAGTAATTCCTATATCCTTTTCACTTGATTCACCAACAGCTTACATTTTCACCCATTTGCTTTGTTATTCTCTATTTCTATATATAGACACACATTTTTGTCTAAGCCATTTGTGTTCACACTGCTTCTAGCACACCTTTTAGATTGAAATGCGTATCTCCTCACCCGACTCCACTCCCCCATCACTAGGACTCGGGCCCTTTGAAGGCAAGGTTCATGGCTCATTGACCTGTTTCTTGGCAGGTGGCAAAGCCTGGCATGGAGGAGACAGTGGATGTCATCTACTGACAGAAAGCAGGTCAGGGGAGAGGACTCAAAGGCGCAAGGAAGGAGGTAGCCTGGGGCAATGCTGGCCTGAAGCCATCGTGGGTACTCAGGACCCCATGAGAAGCCCTCCTTACCTTTGGGGGAGGAACCAAGGGGGCACCCACACCGGCTCAGCATCTGAGGGACACTGAGATTCCTACTAGGCCTGGGTGGTACCTGCTCTGGACTAAAGTCTGACTGGTGGAGTCGAACGTCCAATCCCCTTTGGAGAGGGACATGTCAAGGTGCCGAGACTAAGCCAGTCACACTCGGCAGGTGCCAGTCACACCTGGAGAAGGAGGCTGAGCTCTGCCCACTCATCAAACTCCTCCCTTTTACGTTTTTGGTTTTCTTCCCTAGTAAAATTCCTCTTGGAAACTTCTTAATTTGTCTCCACTGACTAAGAGGAAAAGGGGATTGTCCCTCCTGAGGTCTGAGAGGGAAGCACTGCTCTCAGAAGGTGCAGGGATTGGCTGGTGAGGCAGATGGAGGAAGGGTGAGGCCGAGGATGACCTGGGACAAGTGCCTGCACTCCCCTGAGCATCTGTGTCCTTGCCTGGCAACAAGGCCACACATAGGCCCACCTCATGAGGCTGTCACGAAGATACAGTGATTTCATGCATGGGAAGCACTTCGTGTAGACACGCCTCCCGTCACCAGCTGCTGTCATCTGCAGTAGCCTGTGTAAGCGGGCCTCACTCACATGCTCTCAGGACTGGGGGCATGGCCGGAGCCTGCATACATGAGCGGCCTGGCTGGGTTGTGGCGTCAGACATGGAAGACAAAGCTAGCAGGCCAGACCAGACCCACCCCGGGGTCTGAGAGGAGAGGAGCCCCCATTTGCTGAGGGCCTGTGGTGTGCTATCACGTCAGGTCATCCTCGTGACACTGAGTTTACAGTGCTGTTCTCCCACATCACAGCTGAGAAAGGAGACTTGGCAAGCAGAGGGTGGTAACATCCCCAGCCCTGGGCCTGCCAACTCTTGGCTGGGAGATTCTGGGGAAGGTCCGTGCCCTCTCTAAGTCCCAGTGTCCTCCTTGACCACTCCAGGACCAGCCTCCTAGGATTCCCGTGAGGATCAGAGAGATGATGCCTAGGAAGAGCTAACTGACCCCCACACGGCTCAGGGCTGGGGGGGCTCTCCCACTGCCAGCACTGCCCCAGGTCTCACAGCCTCCCCTGCTCCTGGCCTGGAGGCAAGATGGACAGTGAAATGATGATGAATGATGAGGCAGGTGTGTAATTCGGGGCAAAACTGTGTGTTCTAGGCTGAAAATCTACCAAAAATTTGGTAAAGATGGTATCTGGCACAGCCGGGAGGGCGGGGATCGGTGGTTCTTGGCTGAGCAGGTATTCAGGGCTAGATGAGGGATGGCCTCTGTATTTTAGTCACTACTTAATCCCAAGCCCTAGAACAGGACCTGCACATAATAGGTAATCAACAAATATTAAAATATTAAATGAGCAGGACCTGCACATAATAGGTAACTGATAAATATTGAATGGATCGTTAAATACTGAACTGATAAATATCAAATAAACCAACAAATATCGAATGAACCAAAGGGTGTGAGGGTGGGAGGGAGGCCATAGCGCCTGGCAAAGGTGTGCCTGGGCAGGTGGGAGAGGCAGGAAAGGCAATAAAAACTTCCCTTCTCCTGCTGTCCTCCATTTGTAGACAGCACCGGGCCTCCTCTGCCTCTACCGTGTCTCGTTCTGCGACCTTGAGCAAGTCCCTGTCCTGAGATGAAGGACTTGATGAATTCTGAGGCCCCTTCAGGGTCTGACTGCTGTGACTGGGAGGCCATGTGGTGCCCTGGCCATAGCAAAGTGAGGGTCCAAACCCAGGCCTGTCTGTCCATTCCCCATGTCTAAACCATCTAGGACACCTTCCTGACTGTGGCACCACCTGGACCTAAGAAGCAAATGCTCTGTGGTCTTGGGCGTCCCTCACTAGAACCTGTGCTCTCACCTTTATCCTCAATATTGGCATCACACCGGACCCAGTGATGGGGAGAACATTATTTTCTCCTGGGTTACCTCTGTGACCCAGCCTTTCGATGCTATAAGTTACAGAAGATCTGGGGAGGGGTTACCCCCGAGACATTCCCAGACTAGGAATGCCTTGAGGCTGCAGTGGCCAGACACACACAAGACAATTAGAAGATAAAACTGGGGGACATCCTGATTCTGACCGCATGGGGCAGGGAGGCAGAGAGGTGCGAGGTCTGGCCTGCCGGGGTGGCATTATTATCCCCATGTTAGAGTCGAGAACACTCAACTCAGGAAGGCTCAGAAAGAAAGGTCACACTGCTAGTAAGAATCCAATACAGCTTTGGCTCTGAAACCTTTGCTCTTTCCCTGATCCTATATTGTCTCTTAAATCCAAAGGGGCTTCCTGGAGGTGGTTTCAAGAAAAGGTAGGTTTCTGCACATCCAAGAGAGTAAAGGAATCTGGAAAGGCAGACTGGGCAGGGATAGAGGTTGGAGAATGGGGGATAAGGTTATCCTGGGAGACAGTGCCTGTCCTGCCCCACCTCCCCAGGACTCCAGCTGGCCTCACCTCCGACAAGATACGTGCCCTGGCACCCAGGGGATCAGCAAGCCTATGGCTTCATTGCCAGTCCAACTCAGCCTTAGCCAGTTCTCCAAACACTCCTAACTGCTTGAATATCCTTCCTTCTCCTGTATCTGGGAAAGACTTCACAAGTGATACGCTCTGAAAAGCACAGGCCTGGAGTCCGACAAGCCTTGGTTCTAATCCCCACTTGGCCATTTACTGCCTGAGGAACCCAGGACAAGCCACCAAGCCTCACCTTTTCTTCCACAGAGCAGAGCTGTAGAGAGCTCATTGCTAAGGCTGTCATGAGCCTTAGACAGCACATAGCAAGCCCTCAGAAAGAGTGGCTGTTAGTGGATTTACGGGTTAACTGAATTCCCAGCCCCAGGCAGCCTTAGCACCTTGGAAAAGGTGGCATTGAGGCTGGACCCAGAGGACACACAGTATTTAGGCCTGTGACGTCAGAGGCCAGGGGTGCTCTGGGAAGAAGAAACAGCAGGAAGAAAGGAGCTGGGTGTGAGAAGGGGCAAATGGCTGTGTGAAAACGGAAGAAGGCACCGTAGAGTTCTGCCTTACCCTGGCCCCTGGCCCAGGAAAGGACAAGGCGAGGATTGCCTTCGTCCCTTGGAAAGCCCCTGGCCAGGGAGCAGGATCTGCCACCTTGCTGGGGAACCCCCCCGCTGCTACCTGCCCAGGTGGACTACAGTTCTTTCTCTATATCTGAGTGGCCCCTGAGGAGAGTGCTCTGCCAGGTCCTCCTCGAGCGAGCAGGGCTCCAGCCTGGGAACCTGGGCAGAGATGAGGAGCTGGGAAGGGCCACCACCCTGGAGTCCAAGGGCTGGACACCAGAACCAGGTAGAGAAGGCTGGAGGAGCCGCCATCAGCTTTAGGGGCACAGATGCTTGCCCACATCTTCCAGGCTTTCTGGGGCCTCCTGTGCTGAGCCCAGAGGCCAACTGTTCACCATCCCCCAGTAAAGAACCCACAGAGGGAATTGGGCTTGTCCTACAGCATGTGAAGTTTGGGGTGGACCTAAGGAAGCCCTTCTTGGCTCCATATGTGGGAGGTGGAATCAACTGCATGTGTATTCCCAGGGGCTCAGAGCCTCTGGGAGGCAGAATAATGTCAGGTTTAAAAGCTCTGGAGTCTGGCTGCCTGGGCTCAAATTCTAGCTCCACCACTTCCTGGCTGGGTATTGTTGGACAAGTTGCTTTACCACTCAGTGCCTCAGTTTCCTCATCTGTCAAAGAAGGATGAAAAGTATCTACTTCATAGGGTTGTTGGGACAAGTATATAACACATGTGAAGTCCTTAGACAGAGCCCAGCACATGGTAAGCTGTCTGTAAGCTTTAGCTCGTTATTATTATCTTCCTTCCAGAATCTCTTCCTTCAGGACCACTCCCGAGCTGAGAAAACTCCAGTGTTCTTGTTCCCAAAGCCAGGGCAAAATGAACCTGGAGTCTCGGTGGATGAATGTTGGTTTGGGGAATGAGGCAGAGGTCTCTCTGAGCAACCTCCCTGGTGGCCCTGCACCCCAGGGACCACCAGTACACAGGGGAGATCAGCCTGGGGCTTGGGTTGGGCCGGGGTGGCCTGGGAGCCAAGACCAGCAGAGGAGGAAGGACCACGCGAGGCCAGGCTGAGGCGACCCGCCAGTCTCATCAGCCAGCCCCGTCTCCTGCTTTGACTTCCCTTCCCCCTTGGTCTTTGGGGCAAAGATTTGTGCTGGTTCAGGCCTGGAAATACCAGAAATACCAGAAACTGAAGTCGTCTCTCTTTGGGCGGCCACAGCATAAAACCAACCAACATGATCCTGCTATTAACCTCGATTAACTCGGAGAAGACTCTGTCTCAGGCTGTCGAGGCGCCATTGCTCCAGCCAAGCCCCCCAGTGCTGACCCAAAATGGCCAAGCCAGGGTGGAGAGTGGGCAGTGGAGAGTGGGTGGTGGGCACTATCGCCAGCTCAAGGGCCGAACCAAGAACAGGGCGTCCTGAGTGGTCGGGGACTGAGCTGCCTCCCACCCCAGTGCTCAGCCTCTACTGCCTCTGTCCACAGACAGGGGCACAGAGAAGGTGATTGTTTCCATCTGACCACGGTGACTGCTCCCTGGGGCAGCCGAGAGCACAGGCCTGGATGTCACAGAGGTAATTGCCAACCATGGGGCCAAAGCCTGCCCCCTCCGCTCCTGCGGACACAGACACTCAGGCAAGAGACAGAAGGACAGTCACAGCGTACAGAGGCCCTCCTCACAGGGCCCAGGAGGGGAGCATGGTCTGCTGTCTGGTCACACACCCAGCCGGCCATGCATACTCCAGCTCACACACTGCCCCCCACCTCCAGAAAGAGAGTCCACAACAGCTACACCCCCGAGGCACAGTTCTTAGGAGGATAAAAACATCCATTCAGGCGAGGGACGAGGGCGGGCACCAAAATAGAACCACTGAGAAGTCATGAGGCAGAGGCAGACAGACGTGTGCTTGAGTCTTGGTTCCATGGCTCTCTGGCTGGGTGACTGGGACCAAATCCCTTCCCCGGCTGATCCTCCATTTCTCCGTCTATAAAATGGGGGACAATGAAGCCCCCAGTGGTGGAGGGCTTATGCATAATAGGTATCTCCTAATTAGCCACAGTAGGGGTTGGGGGTTACGTAGAAGCTGTTGTTATTACGGTTTACTCTAAGGAAGCAAGACATTTTCAGAAACAGGCCCAGTCTCAGAGGAAGGGGCAAGATCATACATAAGGAAGGGCAACTCCTCAGAGCCCAGTGGGGCCAGCTGGGGAACAGGCCAGACCTGAGTTTATAGTCCAGGCCTTCTTTCTACCTGCAGCCTTGGCAAGCCAGTTCACCTCTCCCAGCCTGTCTGGTCTTCCATAAACCTTCACGAACCTTCTGGTGGGGGTAGTGAGAACGGCTTCCCACAGGAGCTGGGAACACAAGCTCTGAAGCCAGACTGTCTGCTGGCTCAGTGACCTCGGAAAAGCCCCCGAGCCTCTGTTTAAATGGAGATGGTAACAGTACTTGCCTCCTGGGGTGGTTGTGAGGATGACAGCATCTGCACGTTTGAAAAGCCCTAAGCCACGCCTGGTAAAGGAAGCAGATTCAGCTATTGGTGTGATAAGAACAAGCGCCGTGGGGTGCCTAGCACATGATTTCTGCCTGTCTTGCTCCCTCCTGGCCTCCAGCAAGCAGGAGGCTCCATATGCCCCTCCCCCTCTACAAAGGAGGGTGCAGGGAGGAGCCCTGGGACCCAGCTCTGCCCTCCCTCTGCCTCCCACAGGGACTCGGGAGGCGGCCTTCGTGTACGCCATCTCTTCGGCAGGTGTGGCCTTTGCAGTGACGCGGGCGTGCAGCAGTGGGGAGCTGGAGAAGTGCGGCTGTGACAGGACAGTGCATGGGGTCAGCCCACAGGGTAGGTGCAGGAGGTGGTCAGAGTGGGAGGGCAGGGGGCTTGGCCCTGGCCCTCACTCACCGCAGCCCTTTCTGTGCCCACCACACCCCAGGCTTCCAGTGGTCAGGATGCTCTGACAACATCGCCTACGGTGTGGCCTTCTCACAGTCGTTTGTGGATGTGCGGGAGAGAAGCAAGGGGGCCTCGTCCAGCAGAGCCCTCATGAACCTCCACAACAATGAGGCCGGCAGGAAGGTAGTGTGGCACTACCCCCCACCAAGAGCGGGGTAGGGATAGCATGGGCAGGGCCCCAGACTCTCCCACCCACACGGCCACTCAGAAAACATTTGTGCAGGCTCTCACCAGCACCTGGCACCTTCTGTAGGCCAGTGGGGTTCAGGACAGGCCAGAGGGGGGTACAGACAGGCAGGCAGGCGTTACAGAATGGGGTAAGTGGCCCCCTCCATACATATGGCCCCCCCACACACATACATATATGTGTCCATCCCTGTCTCTCACACACACTCATTCCCCAAAAGAGCAGCAGAGCTAGATGTGAACCTTTCTCTCCATCACCACGAAGATCATGTGCCTAACTGTAATGCCACCTGCCTTCTGGATGCCTACTCCCCAAGGTTCCCGTGGAGGTTAAATGCAGCAGTGTTCTCCCCACCCCACACCTGTCACTCACTGTTGATAGGACACCACCCTTAGTGCTTCTCTTTCTTCAACTCCCAGTGCCCCAAGTGCAGGGACAGTACCTCGTTCACCTGTCACAACACTGCTTAGCAGCCCAGTACCGCGTAATTCCTAAGAGGAGGCACAACGGCAAATCTGACTGCAGCGTCAGCCCCAGGGACCCCGATGCTCGGCTGTCAGCCTCCGCGGCCCTCCCCTGCCTTCCCTTGCCATCTCCTGATGGCCCCTCTCCCCCACCCTCTCCCACAGGCCATCCTGACACACATGCGGGTGGAATGCAAGTGCCACGGGGTGTCAGGCTCCTGTGAGGTAAAGACGTGCTGGCGAGCCGTGCCGCCCTTCCGCCAGGTGGGTCACGCACTGAAGGAGAAGTTTGATGGTGCCACTGAGGTGGAGCCACGCCGCGTGGGCTCCTCCAGGGCACTGGTGCCACGCAACGCACAGTTCAAGCCGCACACAGATGAGGACCTGGTGTACTTGGAGCCTAGCCCCGACTTCTGTGAGCAGGACATGCGCAGCGGCGTGCTGGGCACGAGGGGCCGCACATGCAACAAGACGTCCAAGGCCATCGACGGCTGTGAGCTGCTGTGCTGTGGCCGCGGCTTCCACACGGCGCAGGTGGAGCTGGCTGAACGCTGCAGCTGCAAATTCCACTGGTGCTGCTTCGTCAAGTGCCGGCAGTGCCAGCGGCTCGTGGAGTTGCACACGTGCCGATGACCGCCTGCCTAGCCCTGCGCCGGCAACCACCTAGTGGCCCAGGGAAGGCCGATAATTTAAACAGTCTCCCACCACCTACCCCAAGAGATACTGGTTGTATTTTTTGTTCTGGTTTGGTTTTTGGGTCCTCATGTTATTTATTGCCGAAACCAGGCAGGCAACCCCAAGGGCACCAACCAGGGCCTCCCCAAAGCCTGGGCCTTTGTGGCTGCCACTGACCAAAGGGACCTTGCTCGTGCCGCTGGCTGCCCGCATGTGGCTGCCACTGACCACTCAGTTGTTATCTGTGTCCGTTTTTCTACTTGCAGACCTAAGGTGGAGTAACAAGGAGTATTACCACCACATGGCTACTGACCGTGTCATCGGGGAAGAGGGGGCCTTATGGCAGGGAAAATAGGTACCGACTTGATGGAAGTCACACCCTCTGGAAAAAAGAACTCTTAACTCTCCAGCACACATACACATGGACTCCTGGCAGCTTGAGCCTAGAAGCCATGTCTCTCAAATGCCCTGAGAAAGGGAACAAGCAGATACCAGGTCAAGGGCACCAGGTTCATTTCAGCCCTTACATGGACAGCTAGAGGTTCGATATCTGTGGGTCCTTCCAGGCAAGAAGAGGGAGATGAGAGCAAGAGACGACTGAAGTCCCACCCTAGAACCCAGCCTGCCCCAGCCTGCCCCTGGGAAGAGGAAACTTAACCACTCCCCAGACCCACCTAGGCAGGCATATAGGCTGCCATCCTGGACCAGGGATCCCGGCTGTGCCTTTGCAGTCATGCCCGAGTCACCTTTCACAGCGCTGTTCCTCCATGAAACTGAAACACACACACACACACACACACACACACACACACACACACACGGACACACACACACACCTGCGAGAGAGAGGGAGGAAAGGGCTGTGCCTTTGCAGTCATGCCCCTGAGTCACCTTTCACAGCACTGTTCCTCCATGAAACTGAAAAAGGAAAACACACACACACACACCTGCGAGAGGGAGGGAGGAAAGGGCTGTGCAATAAAGTCCTCTCCCATTATCTTACTCAACACAATTTATTGAGCAAATACTACGTGTTCTAGGCCCTGTACAGGCCATCTCACTTGATGGCCACAACAGTCCTGGGAAGCAGACAAACCAAGAATGCTAATGCCCATCTGACATCAGAGACGGCAGTGCTCCCCAGACCTCTCACAGCAAGCTGGATGGACAGGCAGGGCCAGAAGAGTCCTCCAGCCAAGCCTCCTCCTTGGTTCTTGTACCCAAAGGTAGAGAAACTGCAGGTCTTCTTGGGTCTGAGCCTGGGGCAGGGGTTCTGGCTGGACGAAAAGGGGCAGGGAAGCAGCAGGAGCCAGAGACCACAGGCTGAGCTGGAGCCCACATGGTTCCTAAGGGCAGAACAGGCTCTGAGGAAAGATGTGAACAGCTGGAAGGCTGACAGTGAGGTCTCAGCAGTGTGGTGCACCCCTCCCCAGCACATCCGAGTCCCTGGGGTCCCAGGTACCATAGGTACTGCAAGATTTCCCAAGAGACAGCACCAGCAACCTGGGCCTGACCCTGTACAACCGCCAAACCATCACGAGCCCCGCCCAGGCTTGTGAGAAGGACATGCATGGATCAAGACCTTGCCCTTGACCCATCTGCTTCTCAGATGGGCTCCCAATCACCAGAGGAAGTTGCTGTAAGCCCACTTTCCAGACTGCCCCCACACTGGGGCTCTAAGTTTCAGGTCGGAGATTTTATGCTCTGTGATCCCCCACTTGGGGTTCCCAGACTCCAAGCTCCTGGCTCCTGTGTTCAGTGGCTGAATTCAACGTCCGAGATTCGGAATATGGGCTCCAGCCTGCAGAAACTCTTCTCCAGGCATTGTGGTTTGTGCCTCCTAGTGTTGGCTCCCTCATGAAAAGAGGGTCAACACCCTTGGCCCCCAGCCAAGATCTCTGCTCAATGTCCATACAAGGAGGAAGCCAAAACCAAGTGAGGTGCTGGAGCCACATTCAAATGTGGTTGATAATCTTGGGGCAGGCCAGCTCTGATGTGGATGAAAGCTGATCCAACTGTCGCCACAGCTGCCCAGCTGGGTCCGCTGCTCCCCTGGCTGGCTGTTCAGCTGTCTACTAAGCCCAAAAAAAATACTATGCCTCACTAGCAGAGGCTAGACCCAGAAAGAGGGAACAATGAGGACCCCTCCCCTCCCAGAGGAAAGAGCTGAGCCACTCTCCCCATCCAGGGAACAGTAGGTCCAGGCTGGATGCTGGTATGATGGGAACTGCCCTTTTCACCTGCCAGGGAGTTCCTAAAGCTGATCTTCCTGGGGTTCTGAAGGTTGCGACCTAGGTTAATGAGACCAAATTCTAGGAACCACTGCCCAGGCCAACCACCGCCAGTGCTGCAGAGATCAAAGAAATCCACAGCCACAGGAAAAGGAGCTTCTTTGGACATGCCCAGCTCCAAACTGTCCCAGGGGGAACTGGCACAGCCCTTACATAGCCCACCCCCTCTTGGCCTCACCGTGGCCTGGAAATTGGCCAGAGGGTCCACATCCTGCCCAAACCACTCTCCTCTCGTCCCAAGGCAAAGGTGATGCCCTGAGGCCTAGGGCTGGATAAAGCCCAGCTCTGGATGCTGCTAACCCACTCTGCTGCCCCACCCCATCCTCCAATTTTTATACTAGGCTCTTTGCCATTGTGACGTCCCATGACATAGTCTGATGCACGATAAAACAATTATTTCTTTATCTTGCAATTGTGACAGTGACTTTTTTTATAGAATAGGGAGAAGAGACTTGGAGAAGGTCATGGGAATAGCAGACAAATAGTAGCAAATTCTATATATAGGGGCCCCTTTGCCTTCTTAATAGGTGGTTTGAGGGCCACAAGGACCCACCTGCATGCTTTCTGAAACTTCACTGTTAACACACAAAGGCTTCTTCGTGTGCATTTCACTGGGTCATGACCAGCTACTTAAACCTTGGCCTAGTCAGATCTTTCAAGAGTATTGATGAGGGCCTGGTTGAGTAGAGGGCCTGGTAAACTGGGTACTGACATGGGAGGTAGGGGATGAGGGAAAAGGACTTAGTTTCTGTCCTGAGACATGGGAATCCAAGGACTATGGCTCACAGGTAAACTCCAGGATTAGAATCCAATTAGAATAAGGAGTCTGGGTGGAAAACTTCAAGTAACTCAAGTCTAAAGCCACAGCCAAGGGAACTCGTTGCTGATGGGAGATCCAGGGTGGCTTCTCAGGAACCTCCATTCTAACTAAGTGAAGTCCTTATTCTTACCAAGGTAGGCCATGGCCTATCCCCCACCCCCGCTGCAGCAAACTCACAGCAGCCGGGGAGTGGGTAGGCTGCTCTGTGCTCAGCTTTCCAAAGGCTTAGCAGGGTAAAGGGCTAAAGAAAAGTGCTTTCAGGACAGCAGGGGTGCTTATGAATTTGTGAAGAATCGGGGGCAGGGGCATAATAGACAAAGGGAGGTCCCGGACACGGTATAGAGTATGGGTGGACAAAAAAGGACACCTCATCCTCAGAAAGGCAGGGAGAGGGGATAGAGGGTACCAGAGCAGCAAATAAGTCAAGGTTAGCAACATAGTGAAACTCCACCTCTACAAAAAATTCAAAAATTAACCTAGCACAGTGGCACACACCTGTAGTTTCAGCTACTCAGGAGGGTGAGGAGTGGGGATCACTTGAGCCTTGGGGACAGAAGTTGCAGTGAACTGAGACTGCATCACTGCACTCCAGCCTAGGCAACAGGGCAAGACCCTGTCTCAAAACAAAACCAAACCAAGAAGTCAAGGTGACCATGCTGAACCATTTTCTAGCACTATGCAAAGGTCCCAGGCTTTGAAATCAGATAGACCTGGTTTGGATCCCAGCACTGCCACTTCTTCACTAGATAAAACCTTGGACAATTCATTGTCCTCTCCCAGACTCATTTCTTCATCTGTAAAATGGGCCTGTCCCACCCCCTTAAACACATACTTCAATGGGGCTAGATAATAATAGAATCTATTTATTGGGGGTGTTAAATAAGAGAACATTGGTAAAGTTCAACAACTCTTCTAGAAAACTGCTGGCTCCTTTGCCCAAATGCCCTCACCTCAGTTGCTGCCCTGAGCTCCCTCAGCATCTTCTCTAATTCTCCCTCTTCTCCTTGTGTCTACCCTCCCAGACAACTCTCACTGGAAATATTACTATTCCCTTTTCAGGAACCTAGGAGGCAGTTAAGGTCATGGCAGTTGAGGTCATTGTAAGTTGAAGAGAGCAGGAGGGGGGATGAAACGAGGAGTGGCTCAATCCCTCTAATTCACATGGAACAAGTTGAGGGCTGAGGCAGGTGCTGCAAGACTTTGACCCTACCCAGAGCTCAGAAGCAGGCAGATCTTTACCCAAAGTAGAAAACCCCAATAGGAGAGCAGAGAATCCCAGAGGCCAGGAGACCCAGGCAGCAGCCAACAAGGTTATAGCAAAGCTGTCCCTGGGCACCAGCTGGAGGGGCTGATTGAGATCCCAATGTCTGGGAAAAGCAGGGCAAGGCCAGAGAGCAGGGCCAAGTCGGAAGTGCAGACAGGAGTGCCAGAGCTGCAGGAAAAGGTGTAGTGGGCCCCAAGCGCTCTGCCTGTGGGGACGGAAGTAAGACTTTCAGGCTCCCAGGCTGGGTCCGCTTGCAGAGAGCCTGTGTCCAGGCTCTATCCTCGTAGCTGCCCTCAGAGCTTGGGCCTGAAGTTCTCTAGGAGAGCCGTGAAAATGCAGTGACAAAGTAGACCTCCTTCTCAGCCTCTTCCTGAGAACAACCAGTCCATGGGAAGTCTGGGGAGCAGTAAAGGCCAAGCAAAGGCCAGAGAACACAGGAAAACAGGACAGAAGGGAAGTCTAGGAACTAGACAACTGCGGGAGACTAAGAAAGGCTAGACACAGAGTGACGAAAAGGCAGAGAGGGAGGACAGACATGAGGAAGACAGGGAGAAAGAGACAAGAAGAGAGAAGATGCTGTGGGAGCTCAGAGCAGCGACTGAGGTGAGGGTGTCTGGGCAAAGGAGCCCAGCAGCTTCCTAGTAAGAGGAAAAAAGTGCTGAGCTTCAGGAGAAAGTGTCTGATTCAGAAGGGGAGCTGGAGAGGCGGTCTTAAGGCATGTGGGGGAGGGGTGTGTGGAACACAGCCTGGCCTGGCCCAGTCGATGACTTCATAAGCATCTCCCCCGATTCCTTCCTGAGCCGCCAGTCCTGGTGACCCCCTGCCCACATCTCAAGGGTCTAGGCCAAGCAGGCGCTGACAGGGGAGAGAAGGGGCCCTTCTGGGCCAGGCCCCCAAGCCTGGCACAGTGCCTGCTGCGGGAGGAGGGGACTGGAGGCCCAGCCCTTGTCAGCATCCCGGCCGGCACTTCGGAGGCAATTAGCAGCCCAGCTGAGCTAATCCCCCGCCTGGCGAGGCCAACACAAACAGGCCTAGACCGGGTGCACACTCACCTCCCTGTTTGCTGAGGGGCTCGGTGGTCCGCCAAGAACAACACCAATAACCCAGGGCCTTCTCTAGGTTAAGAGGAGGACCGGGGCCTGCTGAAGAGCTGACAGTGCCCGACAGAGCACACTCTGGCCAGGTGCCCTGGCTGCCCCAAAAAGGCAGCCACTGTTCCCAAGCCTTGGGCCAGTCGGGAAGAGGAAGTTGGACACAAGGAGCCATGTATTCCAATTCAGCACACACCCCACCTCCTCGTGCCACCTGTGAGGAAGAAGGCCCCATGCAAGCTTGTGCCACCTTGGCCAGTCCAACAACTGAGACCAGCAAGGGCTGGGCCCTCTGGTCAGGGCCCAAGGATTACAGGCTCAATGCTGGACAGGGAAAGGCCAGAGGCAACTCAGACCTGGCCCCTGCCCTCAAGGAGCTCAGTCAAGCCAGAGAACAGATTGTGTGTATGACCTTGGAGCAGTGCCAGTCTCTAGCCCCACCAGCACCCCAAGACTTGGGAAGGCTAAGGTAGAACCCTCAAAACAAAGAAGGGAAAGGGGGACCCAGGAGAAGGAACTGAGGCCCAGAAACTGATCACTGTGAAAGATGGTGCAAAAGCCAGTGGAAAGGACCCAGGACAGGTTTTGTCAGACTGGTCCTGGACCAGGCAGTGGCTCCTCTGGGCTTAATTAGCTCAATTCGGCAGCCACTGGGAGAACCCAGACCCCAGGCATGGCGCTTCTCATGTAGCCCCGCTTCTTTTAATTTTTGAGGCAAAGTCTCCCTCTGTCACCCAGGCTAGAGTACAGTGGCACAATAATGGCTCACCGCAATCTCTGCCTCGTGGGTTCAGGCAATTCTCCTGCCTCAGCCTCCCAAGCGGCTGGGATTCCCGGCGCCTGCCACCACACCCAGCTAATTTTTGTATTTTAGTAGAGACAGGGTTTCACCATGTTGGTCAGGCCGGTCTCGAACTCCTGACCTCAAGTAATCCACCCGCCTCAGCCTTCCAAAGTGCTGGGATTACAGGCGTGAGCCACCGCACCCAGCCTAGCCCCCCTTCTTGATTCCAGACCAACTCCACCTTCATCAGCTCTGATCCCCCTTTTGAGCCAAAGCCTCCATCCTCAATTTGGTTCCTCACCTACCCAAGGACTCCCTTTTTTTCTTAAGTCCTCACAGGCCTCCTGCCAGATATAAGGGTCAACAATGGACTTTGTAGCGACATCAGGAACAGTTGCCTCCTTGAAGCTTCTACTTGAGAAAGCAACAGACATGGCCTCCCTGAGAGAGTGATGCAGGACACTACTAATTATCAATACTCAACACCACACCATTTACTGAGCAACTCACTGACCGTGGGTCAGGCCTGCACTAAAGCACCATTTACTAGCATTATCCCATGTCACGTTCATAGGCAAGCAAGTGAACACAAACATTTCCTGTCAGATAAACCAACCAAGAGGCAGGTGTAGGCTTCATCGCTATTTTACGGGTGAGACTGAGACCTACAGAAGGGAAGAGACTTGCCCAAGGCCGGAACCTAAGGCTTCAGCCTGCTGGTCAGGATGGAATATGTTATCAGAGCCCCTCCTCAGTCCCACAGACCCTCCACTTCCCTCACTCCACTACTGGCGTAGACCTACCCTTGGTGCTTCCTGGCCAGAGGGCTTCAGAGCCTTGAGCCTACCCCTCCTCCCCATACAGGAGCATGAAATCTGTCTCTGGCTGGGCTAAGCTGAACTCTGTCACTCTGCTGGAGAATTACACATCGCTCTACAGTTTTCTCTTTAAGGCAGGGGATGAGGAAGCCTGGAGTCACATTGCTAGAGCTGACAAAGCCATAGCTGGAAACAGCAGCCCTCCCCCCACCCCTTTCCCTGGCTGGCGTGGCAGAAGAACTTCAGGCCCAGCTCCAGGCCTGTCAGATTGGCTGTCAGGTGCCTGCCTGCAGCAGGAAGGGGCTGACAATCCAGTCCAAACCCCTTTTGGGCTGCTCCCACACCTGGCTCTAGAGCATCTCGCCTGAACCAAGGTATAGATGAGTTGACGAGTCCTTTTCCCTTCAGTTCAGCCAAACAGGGAGGTATTTTTCAAAAACATCTTTTACTAGGAAATTGAAAGAAAACAAACAGATCGTAAGTACACAGAAACAAGCAGATTCCTAAGCAGGACTTTAACCAGCACCTAACCAGAGCTCTATAGATGCTTGCTTCTCCCTTCTTTCCTCATGAAGCCTCTTTCTAGGCATCAGAAGACCTGGGGTCTCATTCCTCATTGCTGGCAGCCTGAGGAATCTGAAGCAAGTTCATAAACCTCTCAACCTCATCTGTAAAGTAGAGATGAAGATACCGCAGGGCCAGGACTGGACCCAGTTCTAATTCTAAAGCCTCCACTCTACACAGGCTTCCTGACCTCACACTTCCACCATTACGGTTGCTGGAGGCCCAAGTGAAACACTGTATGGAGAAGTGCTATATGGACTGGGAAGGGCTATCAGGGATGCTGACGGTAGTCACTGGCCAGAACACTGGCTCTTTCCTTAAGAGTGAGGGAAGTATATACTGGGCATGTGGAGAATGGCATTCCAAGCTCCTGGTCTCATCAGGTTTAGGTGACACTAGAATTTGCTTGCTGGATCTCTCTTCTCCCATCTCTCCTCCTCCTTCCTTCCAGCACCTCCTGCAACCTGGGCCTCCTCCCCCATCCCCTTCTTGGACAGCAGCTAGAGCCACCTGGGAAGCTTCAAGAATGGCTGATGGTTATCGCAGCCAGGACAGGGCGAGCTGCTGCCCCTCTGATTCATCATAGAGCTGGAGTGGATCCAGAGAAGTGACCAAGAGGATCCAGGGCTGCTGCTATGAATTCAGACAGCTTCAACTGGGAAAGAGGGAGGCTGAGAGGAGCGGCTCAATCCCTCAAATCAGAAGGGTGTGAGGAGAGGGGACTTGAGACTTGCTCTCCAAAACAACAGGCAATAGTGTGGTGGGAAAAGCCTGAGAGCTGAAGTTGCACAGCTTCCCCATCTGTCCCATCTCAAAGGACTCCTGTGAGAACTGAACCATAATGCAGGTCGGCATCCAATGAATAGTTGCTCCCCCATTCCCTTCACTTCTGACCTGGGACACACACACTCACCCTTCCCACCTGGGCAAGTAAGCACAGCCAGATGCTTACTTTACACATCCTGACCCTCTCATCTCAGAATCTAGGATACACTCAATATGGGTGTGATTCCTGCTCCCCAAGCTGCTCAGGTACCCATTTCCAACCACAGCAGGCTTCGGTTTAATAGGGGGACCCCCAGTATGGCAAGGGGAAAGGCAGGTTACTCCCCTCCACTGTGCCCTCAAGGGTCACAGCTCTGTACAGCTCACCCAGTGAAGCAGCCACTTGCTGGCAAGCAAGAGATTCTCAACCTTTAACCTATGTCCCCTGCCTTTGAGAGACAAACCCCTGCCTTGTTAAATCTGTCATTTCTTTTTGTTTTTTTTTTTTGAGACGGAGTCTCACTCTGTTACCCAGGCTGGAGTGCAGTGGCCCGATCTCGGCTCACTGCAAGCTCCGCCTCCCAGGTTCACGCCATTCTCCTGCCTCAGCCTCCCGAGTAGCTGGGACTACAGGCACCTGCCACCACACCCGGCTAATTTTTTTGTGTGTTTTTAGTAGAGACAGGGTTTCACCATGCTAGCCAGGATGGTCTTGATCTCCTGACTTTGTGATCCGCCCACCTCGGCCTCCCAAAGTGCTGGGACTACAGGCGTGAGCCACCACGCCCGGCCTAATCTGTCATTTCAAAATAAATCTTGTGACTAAAAACAAATCAACACAATAGTGATTTTAAAATAAGCATTTCCTTTTTGTTGTTTTTTTTCTATTATTCTCATCTGATAAAATAAGCATTTCAAATTCTACACATCATTTGTCTACCAGCTATTCTATTACTGCCCCCAAGGGGAGCTGGTAGTACAAGTTCTGGAGTCAAAAGTTCAAGGCTGGCTGGCTTGTTCAAGTTCAAGGCACGGTGGCTCATGCCTGTAGTCCCAGCACTTTGGGAGGCCGAGGCAGGAGGATCACGAGCTCTGGAGTTTGAGACCAACCTGGCCAACATGGTGAAACCCCGTCTCTACTAAAAATACAAAAAAATTAGCCAGGCATGGTGGCACAGGCCTATAATCCCAGCTACTCAGGAGGCTGAGGCAGGAGAATCGCTTGAACTGGAGAAACAGAGGTTGCAGTGAGCTGAGACCACAACAATGCACTCCAGCCTAGGCAACAGGGCGAGACTCCGTCTCAAAAAAAAAAAAAAAAAAAGTTCAAGGCTACAGTGAGCTATGATTGCACCACTACACTTCAGCCTGGGTGACAGAGTGAGAATCTGTCTTTATAATTTTTTTTTTTTAATTTTACTGTAGAGACAGTGTTTCACCATGTTGCCAGGATGGCCTAACAGGTGTTAGCCATCATGCCCAGCCACACCTTACCACTTTTCTATAGAAATAAATACTGAACACCACTTTTCTTTTAACTGCCAGTTGACTAATTTCAGCTTAAGTAAACTAATAATTTAGTTATTGACATGTAAGGGACTTAATGTCAACTCTATTCTAGACATTTTTACATTTTCTGTAAGGCAGTTAGCCACAACAGCCCACCAATAGCACCAGCTGGATCTCAGTTACAAGAAAAAACAGCTCAGAACATTCTCAAAAATAATTTTTTTTTAAGTTGTGGAGTCAAATAACCCCAGCTCTACCATGGACTGGCTGTGAACCTTGGGCAAGTCATTAACTTGTTTCCTCAGTTATAAACTGGGAATGAAAAGAGTAGCCGTCTCACAGAGCTATCATGAAGATACAGCATGTAAAACCCTTAGCACATGGCTGGTCACACAGCCAGGGCTCAGTCATTAGCTATTACGGCTTTTAACATCAGAGAATGTTCCTGCCCCCACTTCCAATCCTGAGAATGCTGAGCCAGTAGATGTTTAAGAGTAGGCTCCCCAAGACTTCAGTTGGGCAGAGGACACACTTTAAAGAAAAAAGGGACTGATGCTCCTTTGACAGACCTGTGCTTCCCAAGGTACAAGCCACATGGTGTCATACATACTACTGCTTACACATGCATACCCCCCCACTAAACTGTGAGCACTCTCTGGGTGGGATCTGGAACTTCTATTTCATATCGAGGGTGGGAAGGATGCACTGAAGATCAAATGAACTGAGACATCCATGTTAGGGGAGAAAACATAACCATCTACTGACCATCAGAGAGGTGCAAGATAGACCGACTCACTGATGAACGGCCACACAAGAGTGGGCTCCAGCCCTTTTCCAAAATGCTACAGGTCTATGACTGTTACTCTGGACTCTTCCTTCTCCAGAATAAAGAAGTCAAGGGAACAATTAAACTATCTCTACCCATTACTATCCCTGGACTTCAAGGCCCCTTAGTGCCCCTTTCAGGGCCCCAGAGAAGAGCCTCAGCCTGGGTCCACAACCCATGGTCCCTGTGCAAGGCCTCCCTGGAGGGCCAGCCCACACGGCTTTGTTATAGATGACGGCCTGGACAGCTATCTCACCCACTGTCTTCTAGTCTCCTCATCTCCAAGTTCCTGAAGCCCCGGCCAAAGACAACAGTGTGGACTTGTTTTTTTGGGGCCCAAAGTAGAAGGCTTCTCAGCACCTGGGAGCAGCTGGAAGTTGGAACTCAGGACTCATCGCTGCTGGTCTCCCCATCCTGTGCCAAGTGCATCTGTAAACAAGCCTTCTCAGTGGTTCCCTGCAGCTGCTCCCCAAACGGGTCAAAAGGAAGAGAAACAGGCTAGAATTAGGGCAGCCCATGGCTTGCAAGTGAGAACTGAGCCAGGCAGGGCCTGGTCTGAAAGGTGGTCCCTGGATACAGCCAGGCCTGCACTGCTGGCCCTGTGCCCAAAGCCTTAGATGGGTTCAACATTGCCCATGACTGCTGCCCTATGCCAAGGTGTTGAGACCCCAAGAGCCATGGGGCCTGTGTCACACTGCTGTAGGTCCCACTGTTTTACAAGCTGGCGGGGAGAATGAGCTTGCTGGGGTGGAGATGCCTGGATGCTGGGCTGTTGTGCGTGATTCTGTTTGCTATAAAACAGCCAGACATTCCTAGGACCTGGAATCGCGCCGAGGCCATGGAGTTAGCCTTCCCAGCCATATATCTCCAGGCGGGGGACAGGCCTGAGACATCTGAGATAATAAAGACATGATTGTCTCAGCCCTGGGGCTTGTCTCCCCTTTGTCCCAGGGCCCAGCAGCCAGCAAAAAGTTTAAAGACATCCTCCCCCTTCTCCTGGGAAAATACAAATGCACCAGATTCTATAGCCCCTGGGGTGAACTTCCCAAAAACCAGGCCTCGGCCGGGATTCCTGCTCTCAGCACCCCAAAGCAGAAGGTAACTTGGAAGCACACAGTAGAGACATGAAAAGCTAGAACGTAAAGACACTCACTACATGCTGATCTCATGCACACATCTCTAATTCTCACCAACCCTACAACATAGCAATGATTTAATTTTAGGGATAATGAAACTAAAGCTTAGAGGTTAATGGATTTGTCCAAAGCCACAGCTATTAGATGGCACGAAGGGGTTTGAAACCTAGGTTTGTTTTATCCCAAAACCTGTAACTTCTCTGGTAACCTGAAAACTGCTTTTGAAAAAAATGCTCCTTCTTGGCCAGGCATGGTGGCTCACGCCTGTAATCCCAGCACTTTGGGAGGCCAACGTGGGCGGATCACAAGGTCAGGAGTTCGAGACCAGTCTGGCCAACATAGTCAAACCCCGTCTCTACTAAAAATACAAAAATCACCCGGATGTGGTGGTATGCACCTGTAATCCCAGCTACTCAGGAGGCTGAGGCAGGAGAATCGCGTGAACCCGGGAGGCAGAGGCTGCAGTGAGCTGAGATCGTGCCACTGCACTCCAGCCCAGGCGACAGTGCAAGACTCCGTCTCAAAAAAAAAAAAAAAAAAGAAAAAGAAAGTTCCTTCTTCCTTAACTTCTAGTTTCTCAACCCCAAAAAGGGTAGGAGGACTCCCTTTAACACATGAAGGGAAAAATTCGTATGATGGAGGCAAAACCCAGATTCCTTAATCTGGAACCCAAAGCAGCCACTGCCAGGCCAGTTTCCGTAAATCACTTCTACCTCAATCTGAGCAACAGCCTGTCTCAACGGTACGTGGCTTCATGGAAGGAAAACAGGGACCTGAGAGGTGCTAAGGATGAAATCCCTACATACTCCAAGGATGACTCTTACCCACTTTATGAATGAGTAGAAGGCCAGTTCTAGCTTTCCTAACCACAGAAAAGGGAGAAGAGGCACCACCCACAAAAGTAAGGTGTTTGAGTAGCGGGAACACTGGATTCAGAACCAAAAGACTCCAGTTCAATCTGTAAAATCTTGTAGAAGCTCAACTCTAAGCCAGTTTTCTCATTTGTAAAATAAACACCTGTTCTATTTGCCTCACAGGCTTTTATGAAGATGAACATGAAAGCATTTTCTCAGCAGCTTTATAAATACAATGTATTACGACCCATGCAAGCTTTTTCCCTGTTGCCTTCTTTTGCATTCCTGACTCCTCTTCTCCCTTCCTTCTGTTCATAGAACTGAACTATGTGCTCAACACCATGCTAGATAGGAGAGGCTCAAACACAAGTTAAGACAGCAGAGACATTAAGAAAATCAGGCAGTGTGAGACCAGAGCCATTTGGTTCCCAATGAACAAGAACCAGACCTGCTGAGGCCCAGGAACCGACCTCAGCCATATATTTCTGTCTAAGTTTCAGGCCTGCCCAAGACCCTCTCAGTTTAGCTGCAGGGTCTCAGGACTAGAGGTTTAGTGTCTTCCTAAGTCAGACATTCATTGCTGAACCAAGTGATCTTTTTCAAGGCTACTTCCAGCCCCAAGATCCTACCAATTTGCCCCTAACTCATCTGCTTTTTTTATCCTCAATTCACTGGCCTCTACAAACCAGGCAGCCTCAACTCAATTAGAAACACAACTGCCCTCCCTGGCAGCAAAAGGGGGCTGAGAGAAACCAAGAGCCGGAAGTCCTCCTAAATGGCCCAGGGAAAAGGTGAACCTTCCACTGACTTACCCATTCTGGGCACCTAGACTCAGAACTCTGGAAGAAGGGGGAGGTCATCTGGTATAACAGTCCCAATGGCTGCCCTCAAAAGTTCTCTGCTTGTACCTATTTCAAACAACCTAAACAGCCCTGAAATCGACCAATTTTCTCCAAGCATCATCCCACACACAGACATTTCACTATTCCCTGACAGTCTAACTTTAATTCTGCTTGTAGGGATGGAATATATCTGTCTAAAACAGAGGATGTCTTGGTCTGCAAGTTCCCCAACAACAGAATCTACAAGGCTTGACTCATGACCCAATTTAAGTAAAAAATAAAAATAAATAAAACAGACAAGGAGAACGAAGACTGATACTTGGCTGAAGGTTAACTGAAAGGCAATTTCATGACAGTCAAGCAGACTGGGGTCTAGGGAATTGGCAGCAATTATTTTAAGAAATGAGAAGCAAGATTATCGAATTTGGCGCACAGTAGTGTTTCTATATCTGCACAGGCTGCAGGTATGGGGTGATGACATTCTGTGGGCGGTGGGCTCTTTTCCCAGCAATGTGGGAGCCTGTACTCTCCTCTTAAGGACAATTAGAAAGAAGCTTAACAAACCTTACTAAGTTCCAGGTGCACAACCAGCCAGTCTTTTCTTGCTATTTCTCTGCCATCTAGTGGCTGCTCTGGATCATTACAGGCCCACCTCATCGTCATTTTCCTTGGTCCTTCCAGTAACTTCCTAAATGATGATACCACTTACACAGCTAGATCTGGTGGGTGCTTTACCTATGTTATTGCTAGTCTTCACAACACTGCAAGGTACATTATTAATTCCATTTTTCAAATGAGAAAACCAAGGCTTATAGAAGTCACCTGTCCAGGGTTACAGAGGCTCAGTAGAAAATGTGATACCAAAGTCCATCCTCATGCCATTGTATCACTCCTCCTGAAGGAACAGAAGGCCCTGAAACTAAACATAATTTCAATTCTTCCAGAAATGCCTACATGCTCCAAGCTCCTCACAGCTAGCTACGATCTTGGTCAAGCAGGTGGCACCACTGCCTCCTCCGGAGCCCCACAATGCATTGGAACCACACTGGGAACTGGGCAAATCACCCCACTACATTTACTTCATTTGAAAACTGAGAGATCATGTAAAAATGTGTACACAATGTTCATTGTAACCAAAAGGTAGAAATAACTCACGTGTCCATCATTTGATGGAATGAATAAGCAAAATGTGGTATCTCCATACAATGGAATACTATTTAGCCATAAAAAGGAATGAAGTAATGACACATGCTACCATACGGATGAACCTTGAAAACACGTTAAGTGAAACAAGTTGGTTAAAAAAGACTACATATTATAATTATACGAAGTATTCACAATGGGCAAATCTACAGTGACAGGAAGTGGTTCAGCGGTTGTTTAGGGCTGGGCAGATGGGGCAGAAAGTTTCAGGGTATGACAGCTAAAGGGTGTTTTTGAAGAAAAGAGTTTTTGAAGGAAAGAGAAAGTTCTAAAATTTATCAGGTGATAGTTGCACAATTTTGTGAATAAACTAAAAACCACTGACTTGTACACTTTAAGTGAATTGTATGGTACAGGAATTATATCTCAATAAAGCTGTTACACTCACCCCACCCCGCCAAAATTGAGAGGGCTAGTCTAAATAACCTCTAAAAGTCCTTCCCATTGTCTTTTTAAAGAGAGACTCACCTATCATTATCATTCCCATTACTGATAACTTGGCCTGAACCAAGTTCAACTAACTTGAACCAAGTAAGACTATAATATCCTCAAAGCAATTAAAATCAGAGAGGAAATAAACATAATCTGAATCTTCTAGCTCTTTAAAATACTTACAGTTCTACGATATATACAAAACCTAGATTTTGAGAAGCAGTTTTTCTTCCTTATAGCCTTTTAAGACTTTCAAGGATCTCCTTTTTTAAATCCGAGAAGTGTAAGTAATCAGACCTGATGGGACTGTGGAGTCCCGTACTTTCTCTCTACAGCACTTAACACCATCTCTGACATACACATTTTAATCATGTCTGCCTCCCCCTACTAGAATGTAAGTCCCGCCAGTTTAAGAATTTTGTCTTGGTCATCCTACTGCATCATGAGAGGTACTGATATGGTTTGGCTGTGTCCCCACCCAAATCTCATCTTGAATTATAGTTCCCATAATCCCCATGTCCCCACATGTCATGGGAGGGACTTGGAGGGAAGTAACTGAATCATGAGGGCGGTTACCTCCATGCTGTTCTCGTGATAATGAGTTCTCACAAGATCTGATGGTTTTATAAGGGGCTTCCCCCTACCCCCCACCACTTTGCTCTGCAATTCTCTCCTGCCGCCATGTGAAGGACGTGTTTGCTTCCCCTTCCACCATGACTGTAAGTTTCCTGAGGCCTCCCCAGCCATGCTGAACTGTGAGTCAATTAAACCTCTTTTCCTTTATAAATTACCCAGTCTTGGGTATGTCTTTATCAGCAGCATTGAGAACAGACGAATACAGGTACTAAGCAGACGTTTGTTAAATAAATGAATTTATGAACAAAGGAATGAACTGCATTGTTAGTGTTATGTAGGCAAACTAACTATACAGTACCTTCAGATCTATACCAGGTATACCACTAAGGCATACCAAAGAAAAATGCAGCATGTTAAGAAATAATGGCTGTAAATCACTGTAGGCAGTGACTGAATGTGGCAAAATAATCTACTGACAAACAATTAGATGTGTTCCCAAAGTCACTCCTAGTCACCCTCAATCGGGCAAATCACACTTTGTTTCTTCCTTTTATTATTACTATTATTCCCAGAGGTGCATCAGACCCACCACTGGCCCCACGGGGAAGTACCATTAGCTCCTCCAAGAGTTCTATGAGCTAAAAAGGCACTGGTTACGACTCTCAACCCCACAGTCATGATCCATAGATCACTGGTTACTACAAGGTAACAATTCCTTAGAACCTCTATCAGAAGAGAGCAGGACCAGGCTGGCATAAAAGAACACTGGCCTAAAAACAGAGGCCTGAAGTGTAGTCACCAAACAGCTGTACAACTCTAAGCAAATTGTTTTCCTTCCCAGAGACCATACCCTTATTTTAAAATGTAATGAATTATCACCCTTGGCCTATCCACCTCACAGACTGTGGGAATAAACTGAAAGAACGTGACACACTGTGCAAATGTAAAATCTTGGTCATTATTTTCAGGGAGGAAACACAGGCCTCACCACATTTCAGCACTAGCTGGGGTCTTATCCAGAAGGACTTGAGGGTTCATCAGAAAATACTACTGGGATTGCTTGACAGGTTTTTTGAACTGCATTCCTACCCATCTGAACTATTAAACACAGTCTACAGGAAATGCTTAATTCAAACATATTTGCCATTCGGGCTAGCTCTGTAAGTCTCAAGATCTCTAAGCAGCAAGCTTCCCTCAAGATAATCATACAACAGCTAACAATAATAACCAAACACTGTTGTAAGCACTTTACGCACATGAACTTGTCTAATCCTCATGAAACCCCGTGAGGTGATATTGTTACTATCCTCAAAAGAAAAACATCCAAGTTAAATATCTTGCCCAAGATCACACAGCCAGTAAACAGTGAACCCAAGATTCAAAACCAGGCAGTCTGGCTCTAGAGTCTATGTTTTTAATACTACTCTATACTGGCTCCTACAAAACAGACAAGATATAGATAAGCATTCCTGAAATGAATAAATGCCTAAACAAAAGTAAATCACAGTGACAAATTACCATTTTGTACCCACTACCATTATAAAATTGGCTGTTCTTCTATGAGAATTCCCTATCAGACAAAGCTTTGTCTATCCTCTTGTCCGAGTGCTTATTGGAGGAGAGTACCTTATCCCTAAATCCTAATGACAACTCTGCAGAATTGGCTCGATTTTACAGATGTGTAAATCAAGACTCAAAAACTAAAGCAGTTTGCCCAAACACAGCTAGTCATTAACAGAGCCAGATTCAAAGTTAGGGCCTTCTACTCCAAAATATATGTGCTTTTCCTACTATTTAATACAGTTTTTCTCTTTAAAATCAAAAAGTTCTACATAGAACTGGCACTAGAATGATTCCTGAAACATGAACAACAGGAAATATGCTATTTTATATAAATTGTAATGAAGAATGCCAGGATACTTACAAGAAGGGAAACAGATAAGTCTGTGTAAAGGGATCTAGTTTCACCACTGAATTATATTTATGCTTGGATCCTACTAGTATTCCCAAAAGGAAGTGATCCATAAGGTAGGAAAATATCCTGTCTGCCGCTGTTAAGAAGCCGTATTTGGCCAGGCCCAGTGGCTCACGCCTGTAATCCCAGCACTTTGAGAGGTCGAGGCGGGAGGATCACCTGAGGTTGGGAGTTCGAGACCAGCCTGACCAACATGGAGAAACCCCGTCTCTACTAAAAATACCAAAAAATGAGCTGGGCGTGGTGGCACATGCCTGTAATCCCAGCTACTCAGGAAGCTGAGGCAGGAGAACTGCTTGAACCTTCGAGGTGGAAGTTGCAGTGAGCCAAGATCACGCCATTGCACTCCAGCCTGGGCAACAAGAGCGGAACTTCGTCTCAAAAAAAAAAAGCAGCCGTATTTATCCTATAAACAAAAACCAACTCGGTCTTTACTGGTTACTGCTATACATTTTTTTTAAAACTACAGACTGAACCAAACTTAGAATCTCTCAACTATATCAGTAAAAATCTAAAAAGATTCTCCATATAGGGATAATAATCACAAAATTCTTGAAGACTCACTAGTCTACTTGTATATTTAGTATACAGGTTTTATAGATTTTTGTTAACTACCTGTCAATAGCTAGCAAAAAATCCTGAAACTTAAGAGGCTACAGAAATGAACCTGCACCAGTCGTGTTCAAATCCCTTGGCAACACCTTAGAGGTTACTAGGGCTGCACAAAGTTTATCTCTGTTTGCAACAAGGAGGCAGTGGGAAGAGTAAAGCTGCTGGGCCTGCATTAACTACAGCAACTCTGTTTCATACACCTTTTCTGTTTCTACAGTGGGGCTCTATATAAGCTTTTGTTTATGAAAAAGAAGGCCTACTGAAAAAAAGACACAAACCAAAAAGGAACAGAAACTCATTTTATTGAGATGAGGAAACCAAGGCCCAAAAAGGTATGGCAACTTGCCCAAGGAAACTCTGGTGCCTCAACTAGAACCTGGATCTTCAACTTCCAACTGAGAGCTCTTTCCAACAGTGTTATTACTACCATGGGAGAAATGAAGATATAGTATCAAACACCATAATGCAAGTTAGGAGCAAAAACAGGACTTGATTTATCACGCTATATGTACCAGGGTTCACGGAGTTTTCTAGCAGCAGAGGAGATAATCACAAACTCAGCACCCTCCAGTAAAGTCATTCTTACAAGAAGCCAGTGAAGAATTCACAGGTGCCTGCCCACCCTTCACAAGCTGCCAAGAGATGGACCTAACTCCTTAACACCAATAATTCCAATACAATTGTGAAATCCTCAAGTTATGGAGAAAAAGGAGCATTTCTTTAAGAGCTTCAGAATCAAGACAAAAAAAATCCCTCTCCCATCAAACTAGTGCAAACCTTACAAAGGAGGGCTAAGAAGCTAGCACTGGGGCCCCATGGTGGGTCTGGAACTCCATACACATTTCCAGCCCTATCAGAGTTGGTTAGAGATGAAATTAAAAGCCTTACTCTACTCCTGGCAATGAGTATGAGGAGGAAGCCCCTCACTGATACAGCAGTTTAAGACCCAGAAGTCAACAGGGTTTTCTGGTCCTGATTTGATGTGAGCCAACAATGATGACAGTGATGAAGACAGCTGCTATCTACCCCATTCACAGATGAGTACCTTCTACTTGCCAGGCACTATGCTAAGAACCTCACATATAGCAATTCATGTCACTCTCACAACTCTTGGGCAAAGTACAGCTATTTCCACTTCACAGAGAATGCAACACTCAGAGCATTTAAGTTACTTGCCTGAAGACATAGATCAAGTTAGTGGCAGAGCCAAACTCAAATCCAAAGCCTATGCATGTACTTCGCACAACACCAACAATGCCAAGTTGTTTCGCCTCAGTTTTACCATTTGACAAATGACATCATCCATCCCTGCCTCTTTTACAGAGTTGTACTGAGGTCAAGTGAAATCACTAATACAAACATGACTTGAAGTTTAGGAGTTTACTACTTAAACTCAAAAACTGCATGAGTATCCCTGACCGTTTGCAGAGAAGATGAAGGCAGAGCCCCAGTCATCTCCCTGTGCTTGGGTCAAGCTAATGAAAGAAGGGAGCCAGGTTGCAGAGCTGGCTCCAAGCCTCCCTCAGACCTTGGGTATTCACTAAGGTGCAACTTTCTCACCAAACAAACCCTGCTCTTCCCAACTCACAGGCCTATTATACAAAAAAAAAAAAAAAGAAGAAGAAGAAGAAGAAAGAAAAAAAGGCCAGCTGAGCAGACTCTAGAGACAGACTGCTTAAATTCAAATCCCAGTTCCCTCACTTACTAGCTCTGAATTCTTGGACAAGCTAGCTCTGAATTCTTGGACAAGCTTTGTATCATAACATGCCTCAGTTTCCACATATGAAAAAATGGGGGATTGCTGAGAAGACTGAGTTAATTCACACAAAGGCTTAAAAGAGTGCCATGTAGAGAATAAACACTCAAATTTTAAGAAGGACCAAATGACACAATGGGCAAAGGCACCCTACAATCCTCTAAAGCTACACCTTTAGATCCTCTAAAGGAAGAAGGTGTCATATTCTCTCATGCTACAACTGATCCTAAAGTCACCTCCCCCAAAAAGCTCCTACCCAACAAACCTACCCTTACAGATGAAGCCTTTTATGCTGCTTTGCTTGCCCTGTGCACTATATGATGCTTCAACTACGATTTTCAGCTTTGTAATTAATCATATACATTTTATTTCCACATAAGATATGTAATGGTAAGCACACAGTTTCCAAAATCAGACAGATAGGATTTCCAACTCTGGCTGCATATACCAAGCAATTATGATGTCTCAGAGTCCTGCTCCATAAAAAGAAGATACCTGTACTATCAACCTCAGAGCTGTTGTGAGTAGCAAGTGTGATAACACCATGTGCTTAACACAGTGCAAAGGCACACAGTAAGAGCTCAATTAACAAAGCTGTTATTTCGCCAGAATATGTCCCCATTTCTTTTATGATTCTCAGCAGTTAGGGCAGAGCCCTCCTGGATGTGATTAATATTCCTTCCTTAATGCACCAATTTATTTATGGGGGCCTTGAGGCTACCTTTCTTCCTACTGCACCCGTCCCTATGCCGTGGTGAAGCAGGGCCCCCAGCCACTCTGCAAACATGCCTGGGCCCTCCTTTGTTCACATTCCCTCCACTCAGAAATCCATACCCAGCTGGGCACAGTGGCTAATGCCTGTAATCCCAGCACGTTGGGAGGCCGAGGTGGGAGGATCAGCTCAGGAGTTCGAGACCAGCCTGGGTAAAATGGCAAAACCCCCTCTCTACACAAAATGCAAAAATGAGCCAGGCGTGGTGTCACACACCTGTAGTACCTTCTACTCGGGAGGCTGAGGCGGGAGGATCGCTTGAGCTGGGGAGGTCAAGGATGCAGTGACCCAAGACCACGACACTGCACTCCAGCCTGGGTGACAGAGTGAGACCCTGTCTCCAAAAAATAAATAAGTAAAGCTGTAATGACCTATAGCCCAGAAATACTCTAAAATTCATGTCTGACACAAATAAAACCTTAAGAAATCATCTCATGTCATGGTTTTCAAACCAATGGCACATTAATCTGATGGGCTTTAAAGAAGTGATGCCTCTAAAAAATAATTTATAAAAATTTAAATGGTGCTCAGATCCTATTTCAAAACAATATGGCCCTAAGCACTGCTTTCCTTTTTTAAAAATAAGCTTCTTAGGTAACATTACACAGAACCCTTTTAACTTTTTCAAAGTTTCAAAAAGGTTCTATCACCAAGGTGTGCACTGGTCCCTAAACATAGCTCAACAAAGTTCTATCTGGGAATCTTTTAGAAATTAGATTGATTCTCAGGTCCCATTGCATACTTACAGATTCAGAATCTCAGGAGTATTTTTTTTTTCAGCCTTCCCATCTAATTGTTCACCAACCAGGAACCCGAACTGCATTTGAGACCTCAATGATAACTAAGTATGCAATTTTACAGATAATGAGGCCAGAAAAGTGGAAGCTACCTGCCAAAGGGCACGTTGTTAGGAGTAATAATGCAAACTTCATCAAAATAAAAAGATGCTTGTTCAAAATGTAGGCTCCTAGTCTCTACCCCTAAAGATTGAGAGTAAATCCTACAGGGTCCAGGAATCCTGATGACTGAGACAAGTGATCCACAGTTCACACCGAGAAAAAGCACTGCTCTGCGGGACGCATCAGAGCAAACAGAACAGTTATGATCCTGTGCTCTATTGTAATAGGGTTGAGAAAATGCTATACTTACCTTAGCCTTGAAAATCTGTCACTTCTACTTCAGAGATGCATGGTGGACCCAAAATCCATCGAGCATTTATTTGCTTTTGGGGAAATCACCTATGAGACTATGACACTGCATTAAAATCAGGGCTCTCCTCCCATCCTGACCCCACTAATCAGCAATGTGCTTTTAAACCTTCCACTGTACTCCTTTATTAGACATACTTCACATTTTTCTATAACGTAGGGCTTTAAAGACTCACTGGATATGCCTCTAAGAGGCAAGTGTCTAACTTCACAGAAGTTTACCCATTCTGTTCCAAGCTAGTTCTAATGCACAAATTACCTGATGGCAGCAAAACAAGAAGTGCAGGGAGATTCTAGGAGAAACTTAGGTAGAGCCGCAAGAATGCAGTACTCAACTTTGAAAGGCGGACTTAAGAATACACATTTCAGGCCGGGCGCAGTGGCTCACGCCTATAATCCCAGCACTTAGGGAGGCCGCAACGGGCGGATCACCTGAGGTCAGGAGTTCAAGACCAGCCTGGCCAACATGGTGAAACCCCATCTCTACTAAAAATACAAAAATTAGCCAGGCACGGTGGCTCACGCCTGTAGTCCCAGCTACTTGGGAGGCTGAGGCATGAGAATTGCAGAGATTGCAGCAAGCCGAGATCACGCCACTGCACTCCAGCCTGGGCGACAGAGTAAGATCTGGTCTCGAAAAAAAAGTAATAATACAGATTTAAGAGGTAAAACTGGACCTAACACAGCACTGTAAGCACCACAAAAGGAGAGGCCAGGAATGCAGGTTTCACGCCCAGCTCTGCTACCATACAGCTGTGTGGTGACAGGCAAAGGTCATCTAAATGTCCTCACCTTTCCTCACCATGTGCAAGATGCAGGGATTTAAACTAGCTAGTCTCAATTCTGTGATTGTGACATATGAACTAAAAAGGATTACAAATTGTTCCCCACCCAGTTCTCCATCTTAGCCTATTTTCAATCCCACTATCTAAATAAATACAATGTAGAATAACAATCATCTCAATACAACATTGTGTATGAACTGTCCAAGTTGTGCACTGCACAAGGGTACCACATCCAAGGCAGTACTATTTGCTCACAAAATAGATCTGTGTATTTACTGTAACAGTTCTAGCAGGTAGCAACCAAATGCCTTGCTTTGGAAAATAAAATCACTAAATTATTACAAGTCGTTCATAAAGTATCTTTGGAAGGGCCTTTTCTAATTTGCACAAAGGCTCTGTGTGGCCTGGGCAGTGGCCCAGATACCCATCAGGGGTTCCAACTGACCACCTGCACCGCGGCACAGGCACACAGAATACAGTGAGTGGATGAAGCACCCTGTAGGCTATTGAGACCAAAGTCCTTACCTCTGCCTGCTTACATCTCTGCACTGCTTGAGACTGTCATTCTCCAATGTCTCCAGTGCCAGGGAAGGGAACAGGTTTTTGATAAATAATGACAAATGAATGTGTCATGAATATGCATGCACAGATAAAACTTTTACATTACTCTCTTGGGAGCAATGCAAAGTGGAAAGAGATGACATAGTTATTCAAGAGAAAGCAGCTATCAAAACTGTAAGGGAAAGAAAATTCCAAGTAGAAGTCAGGAGACATCTATTTTACTCTCTGTATATCCTCAGTGCCTTAATTGCTTTAAAAAAACCTATTTGTTGAATTTACTAATTCACTGTAAGAATGAATGAATAGGCCGGGCGCAGTGACTCATGCCTATAATCCCAGCACTTTGGGAGGCTGAGGAGGGCGGATCAGGAGGTCAGGAGTTTGAGATCTGTCTGGCCAACATAGTGACACCCAGTCTCCCTTAAAAATACAAAAAATTAGCCGGGCGCAGTGGCAGACACCTGTAATCCCAGCTACTCAGGAGGCTGAGGCAGGAGAATCATGTGAACCTGGGAGGTGGAGGTTGCAGTGAGCGGAGATGCCACCACTGCACTCCAGCCCGGGCAACAGTGCAAGACCCCGTCTGAAAATAAATAAATAAATAAATAAATAAATTTTTTTAAAAAAATGAATGAATAGCACTGACTTGGGATCGGCTATATGCCATCTCTGGGCAATGGAATACGAGAAAGTGTAAATGCGCTTTCCCTTGCCCCTCTTTGGCCCACCATAAGCAAGTCCACACTCAAGCAGCCACTGCTCTCTGGAACTAGGCTCCAGAATGACAAACACAAAGCCCACCTGAGCCCAATCTGAAGGCTAGAGACAAGTTCAGCTGACCCATGAATGAGAAAAATAAATGCTGTTTTAATAAGCTACCGTTGGCATGGTTCAAATGCAACATTATTCTGGCAAGTGAATAAAATAAGGAATTTTTTTTAAGGTGGAGGCACTTTGAAAAAAGACTCATAGTAGTAATTAAAAGTATTCATTCTGGCCAGGCGCGGTGGCTCACGCCTGTAATCCTAGCACTTTGGGAGGCCAAGGCGGGCGGATCACGAGGTCAGGAGATCGAGACCATCCTGGCTAACATGGTGAAACCCTATCTCTACTAAAAATACAAAACATTAGCCAGGCATGGTGGCACATGCCTGTAGTCCTGGCTACTCGGGAGGCTGAGGCAGGAGAATGGTGTGAACCCGGGAGGCGGAGCTTGCAATGAGCCGAGATTGCACCACTGCACTCCAGCCTGGGCGACAGAACGAGACTCCATCTCAAAAAAAAAAGTATTCAAGCATTCAAGCAGCCCTGGAAAGAAAACATGATTGGGCCATGTAATTAAATCACCATGATCTGAAGTCGGGTAGATACAGAGTAAGACTTACAGAAAACAAGTGTGACATAAAGCCACTTCCCTCCAATAATCATTCAGAGATGCCCTAACCATCAGCCCTTCCTGAAAGATGATGGAGTTGCTACTTCCTGGTGAAATGTTGTCCCTTGCCCCACAGTTATATAACAAATTTCTAAATTTGTACCCAGCAAGGACTAAGTTTCAATCCTTCTTGAGCAGGGCCCTTGTTTTGCGAGTTTCTTAGCACCCAGCACCAAAATAACCACTAATTTACCTCACAAATGGAAGAAGAAAAGGAAAATAGTCCAAACCTAACAAGTCAAAGAAGTACCACTATTTAAGCATTCTATGAAGGTAACAATTATGATAGCACAAATTTAGTGACAACTTGCAGGGCAAAAGGAGAAAAAGTACTACTACATTAAATGTACACCAATGTTAACAGGTATCCTAATTACAATATGAAAATGTGAGAAAAATACACCTCAGAATGAAGGAAATATTACAATTGTTCTTTTAAACCACAATCCTTTTCTTCCCCTTTAGAATACACTCCCCTTGTGGCATAAAGTCCAGCTTGAAGAACATCGCTTTAACTATAAAATCTATTTCTGGCCGGGCGCGGTGGCTCACGCCTGTAATCCCAGCACTTTGGGAGGCCGAGGCGGGCGGATCACGAGGTCAGGAGATCGAGACCATTCTGGCTAACACGGTGAAACCCCGTCTCTACTAAAAATACAAAAAATTAGCCGGGCGTGGTAGCGGGCGCCGGTAGTCCCAGCTACTCGGGAGGCTGAGGCAGGAGAATGGCGTGAACCCGGGAGGCGGAGCTTGCAGTGAGCCGAGATCGCGCCACTGCACTCCAGCCTGGGCGACAGAGCGAGACTCCGTCTCAAAAAAAAAAAAAAAAAAAAATCTATTTCTAGGATGTTCAGTAAAACACTTATAAATAGCAATAATATATTAACATCGTATTAAATACTATAAATTCTGACACAAACTAAGCCTGTAAGGACTATTTTCAATAACCCTTTCCAGCCTCTAAATCATACTCCCTGGAGAATATCACTCACCTTCTAAGCCACGACTATAAGCAAGTTTGTTACGTCAAATAGAAAACAATATTTAAATGGAAAACCTAAGCTGCATCCACTTGCTACCCAAGTTCTTCTGACATGCAGAAATCAATCTGAAAATATTTAAGAAAACATTAGCTTCAATCAATCCCCATCATCCTTGTTCTTCTGATACACGGATAATTCGTTGACACAACTGTATGACCTGCTTTATTTCACTTACTCATTTATAAAATAATATACCCATCCAATGACTACTTCTAGAGCCATATCATGTCAAGCATTGCTTTAGGACAAAGATATAGCAATAGTCAAGGACCTATACGCCCCTGACTACACTAAGGATACATATGTCCCTGCTTTCCAGGGTATCACATGATCCAGGTATCTCTCCCTAGTATAGTCAACAAGGAATAAATAAGATGCATTTCTTGGTTAGAACTGTTAAAGCTTACATCTGCCTCTTCCTAACCCCTTCTCAACCAACCCAGCTTAATTCTAGCACAGTATGCAAATCATGCCAAACATGACTCCATGCAGAGAACTATCAAAATGAGGCCACAGTGTACCAACCTTAACTGATTTTAAGGGTTCTTAGTTTCTAAGATTCTCATGCAGATCAGTATAATGTCCTAAAGGTAAATAAACCTTTCTTGCTACCTAAAGAAAATGTATCCCATATTCAGATTCGCAGCACAGAACCTGTATTCTGATAGTAGTAGTTTGAGATAACCAACTAGGTGTGGTGATTCCCAAACTTGGCTACATTTTAGAAATGCCTGGAAAACTTAAAAATCACATTGTTCAAGCTGCACTCCAGTTGGAGAACCACTGATGCAGAAAACTTGGGGGAAAATGAGCTGCTTTTCAATGATCTATGGATTAAAGGTACACTGACATTTCCTTCCACCATGAGCAGTGAGCTTCCTGAACACTGCTTCACTAAGAATTATTATGGACCTACTTGGTATTTAAGGGAAGGGTCAAACTTAGAGGAGAAAGCACAAACCTGAACATATAGAGGGCTAAATATTATCTCAAACTAAAATGCCAGAAAATAAAAATAATAAAGCTTTAAAATTTTATCCCAAAGTTTGTTAGAAATTGATGTTATCAAGAGTCAAATTCCCACTCCTCAATATCTGAAAAGTAAGAGACGGAGGGAAAATAACAACCCTCAGGCTGGCTTGTGAAGGGTTTTTGTTTGTTTAATACATCTGAAAAGAATGCATATACAAAGAATTGAGACATGAGAAAGCATTGGTTCAACACTAATGCATCTACAAGAATTAGGTTTGGGAAGGTGGGAAAGATTACCTCAACATTTTTAAAAATTGGAAACTGCAACCAAAATAAGCTGAAAAAATCCCTATTAACACTTAAGAAGAGTCTGCATTAAGAGTCTTTCCATGATTTTTATTAAACTAGAGAGCCTCACCTGGCTGCTCTAGGGTTCCTCATATGCAAAACAGAAATAAGGGGATTCCCCTGACTGGTCCCCATGTTGTTAAGTGTTCTCCCCACCCCCACCCTACCCCCAGCTTCTTAATGAAGCAGGCCTCCATCCTCCTAACTTGAGAGGATGTGAATCATTCCACAGATGTCTGTCTTCTAGCACCACCCCTCGTATTTCCTCTACATAACAGGTCTTCAGCTGCATTCTAGGAACACCATATACTACTGAGCTGCAAATCTATGCTAAGCATATAAGACAATGACTGAAAGGGAAAAAAATTTTTTTAATTACAAACTCAATTCATTTGGTGCATTTCAAAGGTGCAATACTTTTCTTCATTTATCAGTGAAAGAAGTTAGAAATTAACTTCCCAAAAAAATCAGCAAATGGCAAACAAATGTCCTTGAAAGTCACAGTCACATATAGTGCGTCCTAGAAAAGAGGAGGGGCAAGATGGGCTCCACCCACTTTCATGAGTTTCATCAAATACTGGATCTACTCAAGGGTGGAGAGAAAAGGCAACTTTCAAAAAGGAGTATGTTATTAAATGAGGCATTTACTATACTCCTTCCTAAGAGCACCAGATGGGGAACATGTTTTCTAAACTAGATCTAGGAAGTGGAATGTGGAATCAATCCGTCCTCCTCCCCTTAAGGGCTAACCACTGGTTAATGAATTAAAAAAACAAGACTAAAAAACAAACCCCACACACACTCCCCCCCAAAAAAAAGAGGAGGGAAAAAAACAAAACAAAACACTAAGATGTCCCAGATTACTCTCCAGAGTGGAACCAGGGAGCAGCTTCAACAATTCCAATTAGTCTGTTACAGAGTCATCCACAAGCATGCCTTGCTTTTAAACAACAAAAAAAAAAAAAAAAAAAACACACACACACAAAAATTTTTTTTTTGAAACAACAAAAAAAAATAGTACTAATCACTTTTCTGACAATACAATTACTCAAAATTAACTAGTACTGGGAGGGGGAAGGGGGGGGCCATACCTATGGGCCTTGTCTCACACGAGTGCATGTGGGTAGGTGCAGGGCATTTGTCATTATTGCAAAAACGAATTTTAATTTTTAATCTTTAGTTTGATTTAAACATTGCTTTTAGTATGATGCCGACACCAGCTGTGCAGAAAGGGCTCTGGAGAGATGTTCATAGCAGCACACACCTGCGGCTCTTCTTCGGTTCTGGAGGCTCCAGGGCAGCCAATATTGCTTCGTCAAATACATTCTTTAGGCCTTTCTGAAAAGGGGTAGAAAGAAAAAATGGGCGGTCTGATTTTCAGTATAATAAAGTTGGAGTTCAAATTTAAAACATTCAAACCCCCAAGAGTTGGCAAAGAAAGAAACATTAAAAACAACCCTGAATCTCAACACAATAATCTCACTTCACCAAGATTTGTCCAGGGCACTGGAAGGATTCAGCAATTCAGGAGCAGAGGAGCAGATATTCATGAGTGAGACAGTGGTCCTTTGAGAAAGCTTTGCGCAGACCAATGTATGTCACAAGAAGCAAACAAGCACATGTGTCATTTGCTCATTCAGTATGAGTTTTGTAATGTGCTGCTGAAACATTTTACATAAAAACAAGGGAAGCAGCTCTGCATTCAAATGAAACAGCTGGATATGAAACAGAGGACTGAGAGGACGGGCACGGGTCAGTGGCATCCTTATTCTATGGAAGGCACAGGCAAAGAGAGAGAGAGGGTGATTATGGTAGCTGCAAAGATAGTCACTTTGAACTCCCTTTATCCCACCAGTTAGACAGAGTCAAGGAGATTCAAGGGAGCAAAAATGTGGGTACCTGATACATACGTAAAATTAGAGCCAGTCAGTGCAACAGGAATAAAGCTTCATCAGGCATTTATACAAACGGTTGTATATTTTTAATTTCAAAATTTGAAGGTAACCACAATTGTATATTTCCCTCACAATAAAATCAGAAGCAGGAAAATATAAAGGTGGCAGCTTTACATCTCAGCATTAACAAACTGTAAGTCAACTGTTTAAATGGATGTTATTCTTAAAAGATAATGTAACAAATGAACTCATAAAGCAGTAGCAGATACATCAATATCTTCCCCACCCCAGACTGACAAATACTCCACTACAGCACAGACAGCCAAAGCAACAGCAACACAAAGTTTCACCGCACAAAGGAAAACCAGAAAAGAATCCTCCCTTCCCCATTACACTCTACTAGGTCACCCCTTTTCCATAAGGTTTGTCATGCAATTACAATTAACAATTGATCATAAGAGTAAAATGATGTTTGTGTTACTTTCTCCATCTAGAACTAAGATCTAGAAGTGTTAAAACTCTTGTTATTTTCTCCAAGAGGACATTCTTAAAGCCAGACCAAGTTCCCTTTTGCAATAGTAATCCAAACCAAAAAGCTCTGAGCATCAGGCAACTCAAGCAGCAGAACGTTAAAACAAGTCCAACTTGACTACTGATCACAAAAAATTTATATGATATTGCATTCTTGATCAAAAACTAATACAGAGGTTGCTCTAAGGTGGTGAGTAAAAAGACGCAGAGGCTTTCAAACAGGATGGTTTTATTCCTTTGTTTTTAAACGATCTTTCTACAGTAGTGGGACAGGAAGCAGCAGCAAAGAAGGGAAGGAGAAAACAGTTTAGAATATACAGCACTTCCTTTTGGGTTGAGTTTCCGGAGGCTCGAGGGCAGCTAGGATAGCCTCATCAAACACATTCTTCAGACCTCTCTACAAGACAGAGGGGAGGAGAGAGAATAGCAGCCAGGTTAGAGGATTAGAAAGACTAGCAGGTACAACAGCAGTCCGGATTAAATGAGCTGAATTCACAGAAGCAATGTGCCTTAAGAAAAACGCTAGAATGCTAGATCTTAAGCCCATTATAACCAGGAGAGTAGATAACTGACCAAAAACTTCACCTCAAGCAAGGTTAACTGAGCAGGAAAGCAATTTTTATTAAAATGCAATATGTTGACTTCTAACACATTTTGGAAATAAATCTATTACAATTTCAGGCTTATGTGAATTCAGCCCCTGAATAACTGAAGGACACAAATAGCAGACTAACAGGCATGCTATGTGTTTCTAGGTTCAATGACATATCTGAATGTGATTAATCAAGATTTCAGAGTAAACTGGTTTCCCAGAACGGAAAGGTTCAGACATTTAAAAAGTGTTAATTGTGCAACAGTACCAACTAGAAGGACTTTAAAGAACAGACTCTAAAAACAGCATACACTTCAGTTATTCAGCAATGTTATTAGAGCAAGTAACCACCACCCAAGTCATAAGAAAACAAAGAATGGGGTCCTAGAATGAGTTTTAGCAAGCAGTCCAGTGCTTTAAGATGTCTGCATGGGTATCAGAGCATAAAGCATGGAGTGAAAACGAAGAATATTCTCAGATCTTACGGGGATTAAGATACAGAAATACACTTACACCTCAGCCAGAAACTCCAACATGACAGTGTGACTCAGCATTGGTGGTACTTAGGACCCAGGTCTACAGACTCACCTAAAATCACCTAAATCTGAAGCCACAAGTTTACCACCCAAGGTTGTTTCACATGTTCTTTAGTTTGATCAGTTTGATCCCAAGTAAATATGTCCTAAAAGTCCCAGAACACAGCTCCAATTGTAAGTGCCAACCCCAGACCACCCCAAGTGTTCCCACCTCCACCCTGCCCCCATCCATGACATCCCACAGGACTGGTACCCACATGTCACATTAGACACAAAATAAATCAGAAACAGCAGTAAATTCTTTAAAAGCAGCAAAAGTTAAAAAGCCTTCCTCTTTCTACATCATTTACAAAGTAGAAATGCCACATAAAAGTTAAAATTCCACTGCAATTCTTTCTGCACATCTAGGAACCAACTCTGGCAGTAAAATATAAAAGGAAGGAAGGAGTACAGAAAGGGAAATATACTTTATAAGGAAAAAAAGAGGAGGAGGACTATTAGAAACTGGAGTGTATCCCTTAACAAGAAGGAATTCCTTTCTTGCTTACCATGGACGAAGATCAACAAATGCTCTATGAAACAAAACTAATCTTTGCTTGACCACCATCTGTTTATATTAAGACTTTAGTTTTAGAGGAATCAACAAACAGAATCTGTAAGCCTCAAAGTTCTAGCTCCCAAACACAACCACAGACCCCATTTTCTAACTTCCCCTCTTTTGACTTCTCCATACTTCAAACTCTGGTAAGAAAAATGTACCTGCTAAGACCTTTTAAACTTCATACTCTCTACAAACGGATTTACTATATACACCTGTTGATACTGTAAAAATCTTACATTAAAAGCATCCAATTATCTAAAGCATCACTAGTAACCTAAAAGTGAATCCACAGGGCCTATGTGTCTTCCCTCAAAGCAACCCATATCTAGAGAACAGAGGTATGCATCAGAAGCACACAGAATTAGTGTCTAACATGGACATGAGTGTTTCACACATGACTTTCCCTTGTCTCCCCCAATATACACACACAGGCACACTTTTCTGGGAATGTTACTAAAACACACAGAGAAGCACCAGGCATTTTTTAAAACTCTCAAAACAGTTGCTATGCATGAGAAGGTGTAAAATCTTCTAAACTTTTAAATAACTGCTTCTATAATAGCACTAAACTGCCCAAAAAAACGAGGATTAGAAGATTATGTTTAAATCATCTGATACTAGGCCTCGAAGTTATTTTGAGGGATATCCCAGTTAAGCATAAAAGTTTTATCTGTAAATATCCAACCAAGTACTAAACTTACTATTAAATTATGCACTAGGCCCTATAAACTAAATACCTAGTGCATATGTAATAAGTAATCATATATGCCATTTACCCTAGTATACACGTAGTTAAGAATCCAATAGTGTTTTTTAGAAACACAATAAAAATGAATGAATTACCTGAAAACATAAGCATAAATATAATGAGTTTAATATAATTATTAGAAACCTCCACCCTTCAATCTTGCCCTATTAGGCATGTCTGCTCAGTGTTCAAACTTCAAAGCACCAGTACCAGTAGAACATAAAACTTTTGTGCTAATTATTTCCATAACCTTTTCCTTTGCCCCCAGAACAGTACTCAAAGGACGGAATCAGCGATATCATGAAGGTGAAAAAGTTTAAACCATACACATCAGTTACAAGTCCCATTCCAAATACCCTAACATTGCTCCCTATCTTCAAAATCTGAGTTTCCCATCAAACTACAAAAGGAGTTCCAATTAAATCACTCAAAAACGGCCGGAATGCATGAGGAAGGAATACTTCCAAAAATATAGGAATAGGGACACTATATAAAGCACGCTTGAGAACTGTGGCAGAAATAGCCATGGCTGCCTTCTTTGACATTAAAGTCTCAATTATTATGACTAATTCCCTATCCTGGTTGAATTGCCCAAGAAACAGTATAGTATCAATTGTCAGAATTGGCAAGAAAAGATCAGACATATTCAGATGAAAATTTAAGTGTTTAGAAAAAAAAAAAATCATTCACATCGTCTCTTGCAAGTTTATGCTTATCTGAACCTTTCCTGTAAGGTTTTTGTTTTAACACAACCCTGACCACTACGAATCATTCAGTACAATACGAGAGCTTACCAACACAAGGGGTTTAGGAACTAATAATATTCTCCAAAAAACACAGAGGCCTCTAACAAAAGAACATACAATATGAAGCTGTTCATATTCTTGCTGGGCATCTTTGAGCACTGCTGATCACTGTTAGAAATAACTCCTGTATCCTAATGCTCTAATAAATGACTCGACCATAAATACACATGGGGTTTCATGCCATTCTTACCTGTGTAAGTGCAGAACACTCCACATACTTGACAGCCTTCAGGTCACGGGCCAGCTTTTCAGCAGTCTCTGGAGTGATAGGCTTCTGTTTGTTCTTGGCAAGTTTCTCAATAGTAGAGGGGTCATCTCTGAGATCAATTTGAGTCCCAACAAGCAAGAAAGGAGTCTTTGGACAGTGGTGAGTTATCTCAGGCACCCACTAAAAAAAGGTATTTTAAAATACACCTTTGTTAATCAACAAGCCTCTAATGCTATTTATAACAGGTCAGTAGAAATTCTGAGATGATCTTCTTAGGGCAAGAGTATCTGATCAGCTTACCTTTTCTTTCACGTTTTCAAATGAAGATGGAGAGACCACTGAAAAACAGACTAGAAATACATCTGTTTGTGGATAACTCAGCGGTCGTAATCTGTCATAATCCTCTTGCCCTAGAAAAAAGAAAAATATTGGAGAGAATTCAGCAACTGAATCTTGGTGTCCTCAAAGTGTTAAAAGCATGCTGGTCATTACTCAAAAAGCAACTTACTTATCTAATAAAATGTATGGCTTTGTAATATAATATGTGGGCAATATTCTCAATCAGCTAATTCTACAAACTTCAAGCACTCAGAACAGCAATGAATTTACTATTATGTTATTTGCTTTTATTACCAGTTTGTGGTGTTCAATCTTTGTGTCCATTAGAAACCCAATAATAAATGTAATAATAAACTCTTGCTACAGAAATGGTTAAAAATCAATCCTTGTAATCCCAGCACTTTGGGAGGCCGAGACAGGCGGATCACCTGAGGTCAGGAGTTCAAGACCAGCCTGGCCAACATGATGAAGCCTCATCTCTACTAAAAATATAAAAATTAGCCGGGTGTGGTGGTGCACATCTGTAATCCCAGCTACTTGGAAGGCTGAGGCAGAAGAATCACGTGAACCCAGAAGGCGGAGGTTGCAGTGAGCCGAGATGGCATCACTGTACTCCAGTCTGGGTGACAGAGTGAGACTCCATCTCAGATATGGTAAAGAAACAATCACAGTGAAATCATCTAAGGAAAGAAAAACCTCACTGAAACCCAGATGACAAAATCCACTGCCCATCATGACTACAAACAGAGGTTCACATATTTAGTTAATGCGTGTATATAAGACCGGTATCTGAAACTGATAAAGCCTAGAAAACAAATTTAGCAAGAATTAATCGATACTCAAAATAATAAAAATACTTAGAATTAACTTAATCAGAGGCAAAAGACTTGGATAACAAAAAAATTCAAAACTGCTGAAAGAAATTAAAGAAGACATAAATAAATGGAAACACATCCCACATTCATGAACTGGAAGACTTAATATTGTTGACATGTCAACATTATCCAAAGCAACCTACAGACTCAATGCAATCCCTATCAAAATCCCAACAAGGGATAGTAATCTTGAAACAAGGGACAATAGACAAAATAATCTTGAAAAAGAATAAAGCTGAAGCACTCCCATTTCCTGATTTCAAAACTTACTACAAGGCTACAATAATCAAAACAGTGCGGTATTGGCATAGGGAGATATATAAGACAATGGAATAGACTAGAGAACCCAGAAATAAACCCTTACATATGTGGGCAAATGATTTTTCTTTTTTTTTTTTTTTTTTAGACAGAGTCTCACTCTATCACCCAGGCTGGAGTGCAGTGGCACAATCTCGGCTCACTGCAACCTCCACCTCCCCAGTTCAAGAGACTCTCCTGCCTCCACCTTCTGAGTAGCTGGGACTATAGGCACACACCACCGCACCAGGCTAATTTTTGTATTTTTAGTAGACACAGGGTTTCACCATGTTGGCCAGGCTGGTCTTAAACTTCTGACCTCAGGTGATCTGCCCACCTCAGCCTCCCAAAGTGCTAAGATTACAGGTGTGAGCCACCGTGCCTAGCCTAGCTCAAATAATTTTTGATAAGGGTGCCAAGACCATTCAGTGGTAAAAGGACTCTTCAATAAATGGTGCTGAGAAAATGACATATTCACAAGCAAAAGACAAAGATGAAACCTTACCTAATACTATATACTAAAATTAACTCAAAATGGATAAAAGGTCTAAATGTTAGACCTAAAACTTTAAAACTCCCAGAAAACATAGGGCAAAAGATTCAGGTGGACTTGGCAATAATTTGTTTGGATATCACACCAAACCACCAAAAAATAGACAAACTTCATGAAGCTGTGAAAATTTTATACATCAGAAAATAGTATCAACAGAATAAAAACGCAACCCACAAAATAGGAAAAAATATATGCAAATCGTGTATGTGATAAGAGATTAATACCCGGAATCTACAAAGAACTCCTAAAACTTACCCCAAAAAAAAAATCCCAATTCAAAAATGGGCAAAGAACTTGATTAAACAGACCTTTCTCCAAAGATATATAAATGGCCATAAGATGCTCAACATCACTAATCATTAAGGAAATACAAATCAAAACCACAATTAGATACCACCTCACACTAATTAGGATGGCTACAATTAAAAAAAAAAAAAAAAAAAAAAAAACAGGAAATAAGTGTCGAACAGAAGAATGTGACTATATCAAACCCCACGTACTGTTGGTAGGAATATAAAATGGGACAGCCACTGTGGAAAACAATACGGAGGTTCCTCAAAAAAATTAAAAACATGATCCAACAATTCCACTTCTGGGTATATACCCCAAAAGAACTGAAAGCAGGGTGTCAACAAGGTATCTGTATACCCATGTTGATAGCAACATTATTCAAAATAGCTAAAACGTGGAAGCAATTCATAGCACCAGTATTAAAACTGGAACCCAAACATCCATCAACTTGTTAATGGATAAACAAAACTGTGATATATTCATAGAACAGAATAACACTCGGCAATCAAAAGAAACAACTACCAATACACACAACATGGACAACTCTCACAAACATTATGCTATGTAAAAATAGTCACACAAAAGACTACATATTGTATGGTTCCATTTATATGAAACCCTAGAAAAGCAAAACAGTAGAAACAAAGAAAGCAGATCAGTGGTTGCCTGGAACCAGGTCAAGGGACAGGGCTGACTGCAAAGGGAACCCAGAAATAAACACTCACATATATGGTCAAATAATTTTTGATAAGGGTGCCAACACCATTCAGTGGTAAAAGAACTCACCACAGAAAATTTGAGGGGTGATAAAAATGTTACACATTTTATTATGGTGGAGGGTCAGCAAAATGCATCACACTGAACACTTAAAACGATTTTTTTTTTTTTAAAGACGGAGTCTCACTCTGTCAGCCAGGCTGGAGGGCAGTGGCAGAATCTCGGCTCACTGCAACCTCCGCCCCCTGGGTTCAAGCAATTTTCCTGTCTCAGCCTCCCAAGTAGCTGGGACTTAACAGGCATACACCACTACACTGGGCTAATTTTTGTATTTTTAGTAGAGATGGGGTTTCACCATACTGGCCAGGCTGGTCTCAAACTCCTGACCTCAGGTGAACTGCCTGTCTCAGCCTCCCAAAGTGCTGCAATTACAGGCGTGAGCCACCGCGCCTGGCCTTAAAATGATTTTTATTGCACTACGCATCAAAAAAGCTTTCAAAAGTACTCGCCAGAAAATGTAAAGGCTTATAAATAATAAACTTTGAAATCTGAAAATACTAATTTTCAACCACAAGTAGCCATAAATTATCTTTTCTCGCCAGGCGCAGTGGTTCACACCTGTAATCCCAGCACTTTGGGAGGCCAAGGCGGGCGGATCACCTGAGGTCAGAAGTTCGAGACCAGCCTGACCAACATGGAGAAACCCTACCTCTACTAAAATACAAAAAAATTAGCCGGGTATGGTGGCGCATGCCTGTAATCCCAGCTACTCAGAAGGCTGAGGCAGAAGAATCGCTTGAACCTGGGAGGCGGAGGTTGCGGTGAGCCGAGATTGCACCATTGCACTCCAGCCTGGGCAACAACAGCAAAACTCCATCTCAACAAAAAAAAAAAATAAAAATTTTCTCTGTGCCTTTGGACACAAATGAACACAGAAGAAAACCCCTCATTTATCATGACATTATGGGTCATTGTTTTCTCTATATTCCAAATTTAATATACCATTACTTTTATGATTTTAATGTATTAAAAATTTCTCTAATCTTTACTGTCTCTCCATTTCACGTTCTCAATTAAATCCAAATAGTTCCTCGTGGTACACAGTGTAACACCACATTCCATGGAAGCAACATGTTAACTTGCAAACAGTAACAGTAACTCAAAGCACAAAGTTTAGAATTCCTACATTCTAAAGATACTCTAAAGGATATCTTTCTGAGATTTTCCTCTGGCTAACTGAGCTGATAATAAGACGGCACATAGAGAAAAGTCAGAAATTAAGATGTGCAGCCACTCTTGAAAACAAGAAATAGCACTGAGGAATTAGGTACATTTAAGGAAGAAAGTAATTTGTTCTTACAATTTGGATAGCTGACAAATGTCAATACTGTGAGCAGATAATAGTTCACTCTCAAAATATTTTCAGATACAGTTTAAAATAAGCTATCTATCGTAAGAAACTAAACATGTTATTAGACACATAAATTGAATATGCCTTCAAATATCAAGAGAGTAATAATAATAAATACTGTAAATGGCTTATGACCTTATAACCTTAGGCATATTTAGGAAACTCTAGGCTTTAAAAAGGAGCAGGTAGGGGTGAAGGGAGAGAATCAGTGGGCATGATTCCTATGAATTCATTCCCTTAGTCCCTCCCCAACCACTAATGCAGTCCCCAGTTCTCTGCAAGGTGCACGCATCAGGATTTTAGTTCAATTTGGAGCTTGTATGATGCACTCTAGTCTCACTCTACTTCATCTACTACACTGTTCACCCAGGGTACTCCAAACTCCTATTTGCCGACCCAGGTCTGGGACTGCTCCTTGGTCAAGCATCGACAATCATTATATTCAATCCTGCTAACTAATAACAAAAGGCAAGTACTTTGCTCATGTGCTAGTTTCTCAAAATGTCCACAAGAGACAGACAACTAGCAACTGTTAAAGATCAAAACAGTATAAAAGACATTAAGTTTTCACCTGCAGTATCAAAAAGTCCAAGAGTATATGGTTCTCCACCAATCATAACTGTGACTGCATAGTTGTCAAAAACCTAAAAACAAAAAAATACAACACTGTTAGTGTGCAAGGAGAGAGTTAAAATGGGACAGGACAACTCTTAAGCTAAGGCAGTGTTTCCTTGCTAAGACTTAATCGTCCCCTAGTCCATCCATCATCCTTATATAACCAATCTTGCCAACCAGTCCTTGCATGAGCTAAATGATTCCTGGAAAAAGACAAAGGATGTGTTCTGAGATTTCTGCTCTACCCCAGCAGCCTGGATAAAGAGCCAGAGAAGGTTTAGAGGTGTCACAGGAGCAGAGTCCTCTAGCTACACAAAATGAACCTGTTCAAGTTTGAAACTTTTCAGACAGTGGTCTACCTCAACATTCAATCTGATTCCTAAGAAACTACTTCTTCATAGACCATTTCCTTTTCATCTAGAAATAAAATATCCTAGATCCATGACCTTTCTTCCTTTCAGAGTCCTAGAAAAGATGAGCCTTGTTATAAACAAGCCCATTTGAGAGAAATAACGGTTCCCTCAAAGTACTCAAAGTGTCCAAGAAAAAGCTGGCAGATTATTTGCTGGGAAGTTTTTTTTTGAGACAGAGTCTCACTGCGTCATCCAGGCTGGAGTGCAATGGCATGGTCTCGGCTCACTGCAACCTCTGCCTCCTGGGATCAAGCGATTCTCCCACCTCAGCCTCCTGAGTAGCTGGGACTACAGGTGCATGCCACCACACCCAGCTAATTTTTGTATTTTTAGTAGAGACAGAGTTTCACTATGTTGGCCAGGCTGGTCTCAAACTCCTGACCTCATGATCCACCTGCCTCGGCCTCCCAAAGTCCTGGAATTACAGGTGTGAGCCACTGCACCCAGCCAGCTGGGAATTTTATGAGTAAAATTCATGTTATTGGGCACAAACTGCATGATCTAAGACATCTTCTTTAACAAGATGCTTAATATGTAAATAGACCATAAAACCCTTATCAAATTCAGTAAAGCATATGCTAATATCGGTTGTACGAAGTTATTTGTGAAAATGGGAGGTTTAACAATGCTAAATGGGAAAAGACCCAACACAAATTCTGGAGTCTTTAGAATTAATTTACAATTGAAAAGCAATGCTTTCATATACAACTATAATCTGTCAATTTACAGTAAAAATTTTAAAATTAAATGATATCTATAAAAAGAAAAGCAAAGCTTTCCAACTAGGAGAAGAATGCCACATTTTAAGACCAGCCCTACTTAACTTTTAGGTACCTACTCTGATTTTCTGACTTATGTTTTAACAGATTGTTCCAGAGCTTATTTAAATGTAAAGAAGAGAAGCAAGGGCATGAGGGAGATGACAGTTAAAGGAAAGTCGGTTCTTAAAAACAGGAACAAAGAAATTGAATGAATGTGGTTAAGCTCTCAAACCAAACAGATTATTTTCTTAAATCACACTTAAGAGACTCAAAAACAACCCTCCTTTACTAGATTGTTCATATCCAAAACTAGACTAAGAATCAGAAAAGCTGGCTTCCATTCCAAAGTCTACTTATGCTAGTGTAATTACGCTAAGTAATTAAACTTAGACTTCTAAGTCTCATCCCTAAATTGGGCCTGAGTACCCTCATCCATTAAGAGATGGGTAAGACAATATATATTGTCCCATCCAGCTCTGAATTTCTATTACTCTAGAAATGGCAAGCCCCAACTCATAGATGGGAACTTAAATGCATTCTACACCAAATCCATTTCCATATTAACTTCAACAGGTACCATGAGAACATTACTTGTGCCTCATGGTCCATTCATTTACCTAAATCGGTTCATTTAAAATTTTATTCTACTACTACTCTTCCTTCCACTCTATCACTTTTCCAGAGATGTACAACACAAACATACATATAAAACACCCACAAGCCCACTTAAAATATAACACCAGAAGATCAAAGTCATAAAAGACTCAGAAATTATGTTTACAAGTAAATAACTTCAATGGAGACTGAAACAGAAAAATTCTGATAGCTGTCCTCACTCTGAAACAAGATTCATGTACCTCTAAATGTCCCCTGTAAGTCCACTGAACCTCAAAACGTCTTCCATTTATCTTGTCTCCAAATGAGCCAATTCAAAATATCAATATGATTTTAGTGTTTAATAATACCTTCAAATTCTCCCCCCTTCAAAAAAAAAACTTTCCTTATTTTTGAGACAGGGTCTCACTACCTTTCACAAATGAGTGTTACTCTAACTCTTGTCTCTCTCTCACTTCAATATTTTTGTTATTCCCATCTTCCTTCTACCATTCCAAAGAGTTGATTTAAAAAACAGTTATGGGGCCAGGCATGGTGGCTCACGCCTGTAATCCCAGCACTTTGGGAGGCTGAGGCAGGTGGATCATTTGAGGTCAGGAGTTCAAGACCAGCCTGGCCAACATGGTAAAACCCCGTTTCTACTAAAAATACAAAAATTAGAAAGGCGTGGTGGCGGGCGCCTGTAATCCCAGCTACTCAGGAGGCTGAGGCAGGAGAACTGCTTGAACCCGGGAGGCGGAGGGTGCAGCAAGCCGAGATCGCGCTACTGCACTCCAGATAGAATGGACGATAGAGACTCCATCTCAAAAAAAAAAAAAAAAAGAAAAAAAGAAAAGAACAGTTGTGGGAGTGACCCCCAAAGGACTCTGTTGGTGTTCTCGAAACATAACAGGTCTTCTCTTCTCTGCCCCTAAGAACCAGTTTGGAGCTCCATTACTGCTAAGCGAACAGCTCCACAAGAAAAGTGGAGACACATACTACTTTCTCTCAAGTTACAGGACCTCAAATGGTATCCCAGGAGACCTCCAAGTACTGATCAATAATTGGCCAAAATATCAAAAAAAAAAAAAAAAAAGTCACCTCATTCCAAGATGTAGGGCATACTTCACCAAATTGAGACCACCACTCGTTAGAATCTTGTCTACTGGAGTTTTGCCTCCCAGCACTTCTTGCAAACCCTGTGTCACCCCTTCTGACTTTCCACTGATTTTTCAGCTGTTTAAAGTGTATATAATTTACCCATGAGAAGTCAAGATCTTTAAAAACAGGAAACAAAGGCAGACAACAGAAAAAAATTCAGTACACATAGAGAAAGCGTTTTCAAAAGGATATCAAATTTTACAACATTTTACTAACAGAAGGAAGCCTTTATACTTACAGTCGGTACATATTCCGATGGAAATTTGTTTGTTGTGTAGGATATCAGGAGACATGTTTTACCAACAGCACCATCGCCCACAACAACACACTTAATTGTCTGCATTGCTGAAATAGTTTTGTATCCACTTTAAATATTTCAAATCTGATGATGACCTGCAAAAAGATTAAAGACATTTGTTTATTTATACTTACATATGGATTTTTCTTCCTCACTTAGCAACAGGTTCAGGCACTCAGAGCAAGAAAAGAACTAGCACAATTATTATGGCTAAAAGAACCCAATAAGAGACACAATGACTTGCTATAAGTTACAATAACAAATAAGGTCCATTTCTAAGTTTCTGATCCCTGGCTATTCCAACTTCTTAAGTGTTATTTTTAAAAGGTCCAAAGTGGTGTGATAATCAGCGAATTTATTTTTATCATGAAAGAGAAGAGGCTGTATCAGAGAAAATTCCACAGTGTGCTAAATATTATTTTGTGAAAGCTGTTCTTCAGTTACACGTGCACACACACCTGTATGTATGCATGTATGTCAACTAGACTGCAATACAAAGGCCACTGCTTTAAAGAATGGTTCATGATCCAGCCTTATTCAGCCTTACTCAGGCTCTGACCAACAAGCAGCAGAGCACCACACGATCACACGGTAATTATATGAGTAACGTGAGGAACTGAACAAAGAACAGGGTGATCGCTGGCCTCAGCAGCTGTTTTAGCACCAGAATGCCTAGTCCAAAACCTACATTTTTATAATGAAAAAGTCAGATTGCTCTAAAGCATACTGACTTATAAACAGATACTATAGCTTCTCTTACTAGAGTCCTCCTCCATTTTAAGAAGCTATCAATTACAAGTACCAAAGAGTCATTAATTTGAGATGCTTTTTTTCATGTTAACATCTCTAAAGTCAGAATGTATCTTTGAGTCTCTTAGAATCATTATCAGCCATTTTTCCCCCACATTTTGACTTCTATGAAATTGGAATCTTAGATTCAATGAAATACTTTAACAGTTTTCTGAAAGAATAAAAAGAAACACCACCCAATATGTACCTAAATTTTAAGATTTATATTTAAATTAATTTAAATTATAATCCTAAAGGGGTTATAATTAAACATAAAAATACAGAACCACCTAACTCTTGGTCAGATGCCACCATGCTCCTATAGCACCATTCACAACAATTAATCATAACAATTTATAAATGCCTATTAACATCCCTGTAAATGAACCTATACTACCTCATGCACCACTATACTTCTAGCACTGAGCACTTCTAGACTGACACACTGTGAGTTGTTGATTGGATGCAAAAATCACGAAACAAAAGAACATGAAACTACATTAGTGTGAGTAACTCACATGAAATATACACTCTCCCGCTCCTCATCAAAATTATCTGCAGTATATTTTTCTTTTTTTTAGACAGGGTTTTACTCCCGTCACCCAGGCTGGAGTGCAGTGGCACAACCTCAGCTCACTGCAACCTCCACCTCCCAGACTCAAGCAATCCTCCCACCTTGGCCTCCCAAGTAGCTGGAACCACAGACGCATGCCACCATGCCCGGCTGGGTTTTTGTTTGGTTTTTGTTTTTTTAAGAGACGGGTCTCACTGTTACCCAGGCTGGTCTTGAATTCCTGGACTCAAGCAATCCACTCACCTCGGCCTCCCAAAGTCCCAGAGTGCTGGGATTACATGCATGAGCCACCGCAGCCAGCCATATTTATCCTTCTTTATTCAACTTCCTTTTATATCTCCTTTTTCCTTCTCCTTTCCCTTTTATGCACTAAGAAGCACCCATACTAACTAATACAGCATTAAAGATTAACAACCCTGATCCCTAAGATCAATCAATTACTGGTTAAATCTAAAAGCACTCAAATAATAATAGTAAGCAGCAAACACTCATACAGCATTTACTAAGTGCTATGTACTGTTCAAAACATATTACACATATTCACACATTTCATCCTCCCAAAAAGCCTATGAAGTATGTGCTGTATTATCCCTATTTTACAGATAAGAAGAGTGAGGCTCAGCAAGTAACTAAGCCAAGGCTATTCAGCCAGTAACTGGGAGAACTGTAATTTAAACCCAAGCAGTCTGACTCTCAAGTCCCTGCTTGTTGTGTGTGTGTGTGTGTGTATGTGTCAGTGCAGTGGCGTGATCTCTGCTCACTGCAACCTCTGCCTCCCGGGTTCAAGCGATTATCCTGCCTCAGCCTCCAGAGCAACTGGGATTACAGGTGCATGCCACCACGCCTGGATAATGTTTGTATTTAATAGAGACAGGGTTTCACCATGTTGGCCAGGCTGGTCTTGAACTCCTGACCTCAAGTAATCCAACTGCCTGGGCCCCTCAAAGTGCTAGGATTACAGGTGTGAGCCACCGTGCCCAACCTCAAGTCCCTGCTCTTGATAAACATTACATTACACTATACTGTCTGAGAAGTGACATTAATAAAAACAAATATAATCAGTGCTAGTGGAATGACAAGTATATATCCGTGAGTTACCAGCAATGCAAAGAGGAAAGCAAATATAAAGAAGAGGAAGCAAAAAATAGGGGCTAAGCTTATTTCCTGTTTTTCACCCTGCATATAACTACTGAATTTTATTGGGAGAAGGGAGTAAGATAAGAGTTTGTTCTTCCCCTTTCTATTTACCCACAAATCTTCCACTTCTTAGACTTCCCGACCTGACTGCTCTGCAATTTGTTACAAACTGGTTGGTTGTGAGTCCCCTGTTAAGCCTGGGTTCTGGAGTCAGAGTGGCTCTACCACACTCTAGCTATTCAACCTCTGTGTTATTCAACCTCTGTGTAGCTTGGTTTCCCCTTCTCTAAAAATGAAAACAGTACTACCTTTCTCATAAGGTAAACTAAGATAATACATGTAAAGAACTTGCAACAGTGCTTGGCATACAGTACATGCTTAGTACATGTTAATTATTAGTCTTTAACAAGTAATGGTAACTTTAAAGTCAATATAAGGAATTTTAAAACAGCAATTCCAAACTTCTTAGAAAGGAACTCATAACACTTTTTATCTCCAAGATAATTACAGTACAGTCAGCCCTCCATGTACACAGAGGCAGAACCCACAGATACAGATGGATAACTGTACTATGTAATTTTATATAAGAAACTTGAGCATTCCAGGATTGTTGTATCCTTGGAGAGTTCTGGAATCAATCCCCTGCAATATCAAGGGAAGATTATACTAATTGTTCTCAGCACAAATGTAGTCAAATGTAGAGTTACCATTACAAAGATGGTCATTTCAGAGTCAAGTTCTAATTAAGACTATTCTGCAAAGCATTTGGCATGTATTAATAATTGTTTCATGTGTTAAATAAAAACTATAGGAGGCTACCGTTGTGGACTAATCTCCTGCACTAGGCCCCAAGTGACCAGACTAAAAATCAAAACGGAGTTACTCATGCTAAAGTTTCACATCACTAAACTTAAATTTAGTTGTTATCTGACCTTCTGAGAAACAGGAGAGATGACAGCCAGTTTACCAAACAGGCCACTTTCAATCTTCAATTGGAATGATAATGAAGTTCCCTCTGCTTTAACCCTTACACAAAAAAAAGCAGCCTGAAGTAACCTGATATTAACTAATCAGTTATTTTTCTATTGTTCTGTCTTCTCCCTGTCCCTGCCTTACAAGAAAGGTAGCTCTGAAACAACTAATAGGCCCTTTGTTCTTTGCTTCCCCTTTCCTCAGCTCTTCTATTAAGCCAACCTCTTCTGCTCAACTCTGTTTTGTGGAATGAAGCACACTGCCCAACTCTAAAATCACAATAAAGCCAAGTGAGATTTAAATTTGTTGTAGTTTTGCCCTTTAACACATGTATTAAAGAGCACAGTGGCTCACCTGTAATCCTTGCACTTTGGGAGGCCAAAGTGGGAAGATCACTAGAGCTGAGGAGTTCAAGACCAGCCTGGGCAACATAGTTAAGACCTGACCTCTATTTCTTTTTTTCTTAATTTTTTTTCTTAATGTCACCAGATACTCCACAGATTGGGGTGGGTAAAGGGAGCAATCAGGGGAGAGACTTTGGGTTTTACAATATATATAAGTCAGACATGTTCATATACCCTATGTTAATCTCCTATTAAATAATGTCAAATCACTACGGCAGCAAAGAGGCCACATAGAAACAATTACCATTCTGCTAACCAGAAAAGTTATTCTGCGCTGGGCACGGTGCCTCATGCCTGTAATCCCAGCACTCTGGGAGGCCGAGGCAGGCAGATCACAAGGTCAGGAGATGGAGACCATTCTGGCTAACACGGTGAAACCCCATCTCTACTAAAAATACAAAAAATTAGCTGGGCATGGTGGCACGCACCTGTAGTCCCAGCTACTCAGGAGCCTGAGGCAGGAGAATCGCTTGAACTCGGGGGGCAGAGGCGCACTGCAGTGAGCCAAGATGGCGCCACTGCACTCCAGCCTGGGCAACACAGTGAGACTCCGTCTCAAAAAAGAAGAAAGAAAAAGAAAAGCTAAGTTATTTTGCACCAATAACTGAATCCTACCTCTTTTTAACAGTGAAGTTCATTTGTACCACAACTTAGAATTGGGGTTGGGCAACTTACAGCATAAAAAATGATTCTGCAGGGTCAGGCATGGTGGCTCACACCTGTAATCCCAGCACTTTGGGGGGACAAGGTGGGGAGATTGCTTGAACCCAGGAGTTTGGGACCAGCCTGGGAAACAGAGTGAGACCCCATCTCTACAAAAAAAAAAATTAGCTGGGTGAAGTGGCACACACCTGTAGTCCCAGTTACCAGGGAGGCTGAGGTGGGAGGATTGCTTGAGTCCAAGGCTGCAGTTGGCTATGATTGTGCCACTGCCCTCCAGGCTGGATGACAGAGCAAGACCCTGTCTCAAATATTTTTTTTAAAATGATTCTGCCAATCATAAGGAAATAAAATTGTGAAATAAGGTATATCTTCCTTCTGTCCTTCCTGGCATCTACCCCTCCAATACCCATATCTTCTAGGTTTTTTATTTTTCTTTTTTTTTTTTTGAGACAGAGTTTTGCTCTGTCACCCAGGCTGGAGTGCAATGGCGTGATCTCGGCTCACTGCAACCTCCGCCTCCAGGGTTCAAGCGATTCTCCCACCTCAGCCTCCCAAGTAGCTGGGATTACAGGCACGCACCACCATGTCTGGCTAATTTTTGTATTTTTTTAGTAGAGACGGGGTTTCGCCACATTGGCCAGGCTGGTCTCAAAATCCTGACCTCAGGTGATCCACCCACCTCAGCCTCCCAAAGTGCTGGGATTACAGGCACGAGCCATTGCACCTGGCCTCTTCCAGGTTCTTAACACTATGGGAATTCAAATATCCTTTAAGAATCTCAGAGCTATAGCACCTGAAATTTTAAGTCCACACACTACAGATTTTAAAAGGTTATGGAACCCTCTCTATGGTATCATTATGATTGGCTGGCTGCCATCTAAACTCCACCAGACAATCCCTGAGCAAACGATCTGTATGGAGGAAGGGGATACTCCCAGCTACAAATGCCCTATTTTCCCGTGCCCCATGGTTCATTCTAGGCACAGAGAGACAGCAACCTTAAGATTTGAGATTAAATATTTGCTAGTAAGTTTTACAAAAAATTTATATTCTCAATAAGATTACACCTCTTTTAAAACTATGTCAAGTATTAATAGTAACTGTGAATAAAAGGCAAGTCAAATTTTTGGTAATACACCAAATATTTGGCAATATTTGGTTTCCGTCCCCACTTCCTAGCAGAGAGCTCCTAAAAACCCTAGGAATTTCCTGAGTGCTGAGTGTCTCTTGTTTTTCATAACAAATTCACACCTGAATTTATGTTAATAAAGTGACAGGGTGGCGGTGGAAGGGATGCTAGGAAGCCTCAGGATGGGGCTGGTCACCAGAAAGGCAAAGTGACTAGAGGGATGTAACTTTCAGCCCCATGCACCAACCTCCAGAGAGGGGAGGAGGGCTAGAAACTGAGCTCTATGAAAACTCCAGAACAGAAGATTTGGAGAGCTTCCAGGTCTGTGAACATTTCAAGGTGAGGGGAAAGCAGGTCACCTGAATCCCTCCCCACCCACAACCGTGCCCTATGTATCTCTTCCATTTGGCTGTTCGTGAGTTGTACCCTTTATGACAAAGGCATAAAGGTAAGTAAAACGGCCAGGCACGGTGGTTCAAGCCTGTAATCCCAGCACTTTGGGAGGCCGAGGCGGGCAGATCATGAGGTCAGGAGATCGAGACCATTCTGGCTAACATGGCGAAACCCCGACTCTACTAAAAATACAAAAAATTAGCCAGGCGTGGTGGCAGGCGCCTGTAGTTCCAGCTACTCGGGAGGCTGAGGCAGGAGAATGGCATGAACCTGGGAGGCAGAGCTTGCAGTGAGCTGAGATCACGCCACTGTACTCCAGCCTGGGCAACAGAGCGAGACTCCATCCCAAAAAAAAAAAAAAAAAAAAAAAAGGTAAGTAAAACGTTTTCCTGAGTTCTATGAGTTGTTCTAGCTAATAATCAAACCTAAGAAGGGCCATGGGAATCCCAAAATTTGTAGTCTACTGGGCAGAGGTATAGGTAGCCTAGGCACTGCATTTGTAGCTGCTGCCTAAAGTGAGGGCAGTCTTCCAAGACTGAGCCCTTAAGCTGTGGGGTGGGAGTATCAGAATTAAACTGTTAGTATCAGAACTGAATTTTCTTTTTCTGACACCACATTCACTCTAATCCAAAACACACTAAAAGTAAAGTTGCCTTCATGTGAAATACGTTTGCCCCTGAAGTAACCCATTTTCATACTTAGGATACAAGAAAGAAGAGGCACTACAGGAATCAAGAGAATGACCCAATTTCACAATCTTCCTTATCAGTTCAACAGAAGGACTAGTCTGGTTGTAGGATTAAACAGAATAAAATCAAAACTACTTGTCTCTCCTGTCAAATCCAGCCACTTTGGAAAATGCAGCTTATATAACCTTCTGCTGTAAGTTATAGTAGCATATCTAACGTACAATTTTTTAAACACCTACCCATGCATGTGATTTTTAGGCAACCAAAAGTACTCAAACCACAGCAATGTATTCCATGCATTCACACACGTATGCAAGTGTGCTAACAAACTGTCTTGTTTGCAGAACTTCTTGTTTGCTTCTATATCACAGAAGACATGTAACAAAAAGCATACAGCTGGCCTTATATGTTTGTTAGAAATGCTTGTTCCGACCGGGTGCGGTGGCTCACACCTGTAATCCCAGCACTTTGGGAGGCCGAGGCGGATGGATCACGAGGTCAGGAGATCGAGACCATCCTGGCTAACATGGTGAAACCCCGACGCTACTAAAAATACAAAAAAATTAGCCGGGCGTGGTGGCAGGCGCCTGTAGTCCCAGCTACTCGGGAGGCTGAGGCAGGAGAATGGCGTGAACCCGTGAGGCAGAGCTTGCAGTGAGCCGAGACCGCGCCACTGCACTCCAGCCTGGGCAACAGAGCGAGACTCCATCTCAAAAAAAAAAAAAAAGAAAGAAAAAAAAAGAAATGCTTGTTCCTCAGTGCCGTAAAGAAATAGCACTTGAACATAAATTTAATTTTCTCAGCAAGGCCATTTATACCTTCTGCAGAAAGGATACACTTGCCAGCAGTTTTGCCACAAAAGTACACCGAGCAAAGGAGACAGGGTCATTTATAACCTGACGTGTCTATCCTACTGCTGTGTCCGGTTTTTATTGGCTGGAACGGGACCTCACGTTTTGTATTTGTCCTGATAGGCTAGCAACTTACAACTTTTAAAAAGAGGCAAAGAAGGCCAGGCGTGGTGGCTCACGCCTGTAATCCCAGCATTTTGGAAGGCCGAGGCAGGCGGATCACGAGGTCAAGAGATCAAGACCAGCCTGGCTAACACAGTGAAACCCTGCCTCTGTTAAAAATACAAAAAAATCAGCTGGGCGTGGTGGTGGACGCCTGTAGTCCCAGCTACCTGGGAGGCTGAGGCAGGAGAATGGCATGAACCTAGGAGGCGGAGCTTGTAGTGAGCCAAGATCATGCCACTGCACTCCAGCCTGAGCAACAGAGCGAGACTCTGTCTCAAAAAAAAAAAAAAAAAAAAAAAAAAAAAAAAAAAAAAGAGGCAAAGGCAGAGGACAACAAAGGAAGGAGGAAGTAACTTGTGGAATGCTGAGAAAGGTAAAAATACCTTTAAACAGGCTATGACCTAATGCTTGCTTGGACCAGTATAAGCATGCCAGGGCAAATATTTAGGCTAAATTGTGGGAGCTAAGAACATAAAGTACACTGATTTATTTATTACAGCTAGCAGATATTTAAGAATGTTAGCAAAGGTCTTTGAATAAATTTTGCTTTTAAGAGAAGTTACTATTTATTTCTGATTAGATGTGGGGGAAGTCTTTGAAGAGGAATCTCTACTTTACTTTTTACATGTTCAATTAAGAATACAACATTGCTTAGAAAATCCTACCCAGAGGCTGGGCACAGTGGCTCAAGCCTACAATCCCAGCACTTTGAGAAGCCAAGGAAGGTGGATTGCTTGAGGCCAGGAGTTTGAGAACAACCTAGGCAACGTGGCAAAACTGCGTCTCTACCAAAAATACAAAAATTAGCTGGGCATGGTGGCATGCGCCTGTGGTCCCAGCTACTTGGGAGGCTGAAGATCATCCGAGCCCAGGAGACGGAGGTTGCAAGTAAGCCAAGATTATGCCACTGCACTCCAGCCTGGGCAACACAGGGAGATGCTATCTCAAAACAACAACAACAAAAACAAACAAACAAAAAAACCTCTACCAAGGCTGGGTGTGGCGGCTCACGCCTGTAATCCCAACACTTTGGGAGGCCAAGGCAGGAGGATCACTTGAGCCCAGCAAATCAAGACCAGCTTGGGCAACATGACAAAATCCCATCTCTACAAAAAATTAAAAAAAAAAAAAAAAAAAAAAAAAAGTGGTGGCATGTGCCTGTAGTCCCAACTACTGGGGAGGCTGAGGGGAGAAACCACCTGAGCCAGGAAGGTCAAGGCTACAGTGAGCTGTAGTCACACCACTGCACTCCAGCCTGGGTAAGAGAACAAGACCCTGTTTCGGCCAAGCGTGGTGGCTCACGCCTATAATCCCAGCACTTTGGGAAGCTGAGGCGGGCAGATCACTTGAGGTCAGGAGTTCGAGACCAATCTGGCCAACATGGTGAAACCCAGTCTCTACCAAAAATACAAAAATTTGCCAGGTGTGATGGCGCTCACCTGTAGTCCCAGCTATTTGGGAGGGTGAGGCAGGAGAATTGCTTGAACCCAGGAGGCAGAGGTTGCAATGAGCCGTGATTGTGCCACTGCACTCCAGCCTGGGGACAGAGTGAGATTCTGTCTCAAAAAAAAAAAAAAAAAAAAAAAAGGAATAAAATGGAGATTACAATAAGATGTTTTCCTCAAAATACTCAAGACTTGTAGATCTACTCATTCATCTACTCATTCATTCAACAAGCCTTTACTAAGTACCTACCACGTGCCAAGCTTTGTCCTATACGTAGGCACACCCCACAATTCACATAACAAAGTTCACGCCCTCTTGGAGCAACAATTCCAGTGGGGTACACAGACAATAAACAAGCATCACCCCCTACATATTCTTCCTTCAATAATACTACCAACTGACATCCTTACATGTAACTTTCTCATTCTAGTCTCTTAACTAAGAAACAGCAGGTGGCCAGAACACAGCACAAGCTGAAGCCAGCATGGCACCTGAGCACAAGACCAAGTTCTCCAAGAACCTGCTGTACATGAAGTTCATGCAAAGAAGACTGGACTCAGAAACTAAGAAATGACTAGAAGAGGAAGAAAATAAAATTAGTTAAGAGCACTGGTACTCAGATTTGCCAGAGCTTAATAAGTAAAGAATTTCATAACAGAAGAGCAGCATCTCTTGTTATGTGAAGATCATTTCTATGGAAGGAATTTCATTCATCAGATTTACTCCTGAGGTTGAGAAATTAGTGCTTCAGGTGAATACTAAGAACAAAGCAGAAATTGAAGATGAAACAGTGGAATTTTACGTGTCAGATGAAGAAGAAATGGCTAGAAGAAATGGCTAGAATATGAGACCTTGGTGGGGACAACAGGAAAAAAGTCTGCCAAAAAGGGAGATCAAGCCAATTATGAAGACAATGAAAATGGAGACCTACAACTAATTAAAGCAAAGAAAATGTTCTTAAAGCCCCGGGATCAAAATACAGAACTTAAGAGATGGCTCAGAGATGCCTTGTGAAAGTTAGCAGCATGTTTTGTAACTAGTTCTGATGGTGCCTCTATAGTTATTAATACTATAACGTTTATTTGTAAAGAGATGTATAATTTTGGAAACATGCTGTTTTTGAAACAGATGTGTAATGGATGTCATACATCCTCTGCTAAATGGTACTGAGTGGATTTTTAGCCCTTGATCTTCAAATATACAGGTTTCCTAAAGATTTTTTTTGTTTTTGAGACAGGGTCTCACCCTGTCACCTAGGCCAGAGTGGAGTGGCTCAATCACAGCTCACTGCAGCGTCAACCTTCCTGGGCTCAAGGGATCCTCCCATCTCAGCCAAATCTTGGGTGTCTGGCCTTACAACTCACCCTATTTTCAAGCTACCCTTCCACTACAAAACCTCTCCTTCTCTGAGACCTTTCCTAACTAGTCTAGGTATTGAAACTGCCCCAACCGCCTGACCACCTGCTATGTTTGTGTCCCAAAATTCATAAGCTGACACCTGATCACCAGTGTGACGTTGTTAGAAGGTGAGACTGCTGGGAGGTGATTAGGTCCAGAGGGCAGAGTCCCCTCATCCCCAAATGGGATTAGTGGCCTTATAAGACACCCCAGAGAGCTCCCCTACCCCTTGCACCATGCAAGAAGACACAGCAAAAAGGAACAAACTGGTATGGGCGCAGTGGCTCAGGCCTGTAAACCCAGCACATTGAGAGGCCGAGGCAGGCGGATCATCTGAGGTCAGGCGTTCGAGACCAGCCTGGCCAACTTGGTGAAACCCTGTCTCCACTAAAAATACAAAAATTAGCCGGTGGCGCATGCCTGTAACCCCAGCTACTCAGGAGGATCGCTTGCTTGGGAGGTAGAGGTTGCAGTGAGCTGAGAGCACCAAAGCGAACTTGGGAGGCGGAGGTGGGAGTGAGCTAAGATCACCACTGCACTCCAGCCTGGGAAACAGAGTGAGACCGTCAAAAAAAGAAAAAGAAGAAAAGAAAAAACCAGCATCTATGAACCACAAAGCAGGCCCTCACCAAACATCAAATACGCCAGCACCCCAATATTGTCCTTCCCAGGATGCAGAACTGTGATAAGTTTCTGTCGTTTACAAGCTACCCAGTCTATGGTATTGTTAAAGAAGCCTAAACGGACTAAACAGAACCCATGGCAAGGCCCTTCTTCTTGCCTTCTCAAACCTTCTCATGCTCCGTTCCCCTGTACTCTCCATGCTCTAGCTACACAGGTCTCTTACCTCCCCAGACGTGCCAGGCTCTGTCCTGCCTTCAGGTCTTTTTTGGCCCAATCTCTGCTCACCACAACCTCCGCCTCCCAGGTTCAAGCGATTTTCCAGCCTCAACTTCCTGAGTAGCTGGAATTACAGGCATGTGCCACCACACCCGGCTAATTTTGTATTTTTAGTAGAGACGGGGTTTCTCCATGTTGGTCAAGCTGGTCTCAAACTCCCAACCTCAGGTGATCCGCCCACCTCGGCCTCCCAAAGTTCTGGAATTACAGGTGTGAGCCACTGCACCCGGCCATGCCTTGAAGTCTTTACCAACAACACTCCTGCCCCTGCTCTTAAAGCTTTTGGCTTCTCACTCTCCAGATCTCAGCTCGAATCATCATCTCCTCCAAAAGTCCTCCCCTGACCACATTATCCAGGGCAATAGTACCCTCCCTCCTTACACTCCTTTCATATTACCTTATTTCCTTTATTGTAAGGTCATAATCTATAATTATCTTGTTTATCTGTCATATGGCAGTAGAAACAGACTTTTAAAAATAAGGAAATCTCCATAAAGGTAATAACTGCTGTATGCCCACAAAATAGCTCAATACCAGTCACACAGGACACACTCACCGAATAAATGAATCACAGGAGTAATTAACCATGTTATTTTTAGTCACATATGCTTACTTTATTCTAATAGATTTTTTTTTTTGGAGACAGGGTATCACTCTGTCACCTAAGCTGCAGCACAGTGGCGCAATTTCAGCTTACTGCAACGTCTGCCTCCCACGCTCAAGCGATTCTCCTGCCTCAGCCTCCCAAGTAGCTGAGACTACAAGCATGCACCACCTCACCTCACCCAGCCCCTCTAATAGATTTTAAGCTCTCTGAGAGAACAACTAGGCTTATACTTCTTTATTCCCCGTCCCAATGCAGCCAATACAATACTGAACAGTATATTAAGGGCAAGAAAAAATAAAATTCTTAAATGTCTTTTACAACTTTGTTGACTAAAGTAGTAATATGAAAAAAACGCCCAGGCACAGAGGCCTGTAATCCCAACACTTTGGGAGGCCAAGGTGGGTCAATTATTTGAGGTCAGCAGCTCAAGACAAGCCTAGCCAACATGGTGAAATCCCGTCTCTGCTAAAACTACAAAAAATTAGCCAGGCATGGTGGCGCACACCTGTAATCCCAGCTACTCGGGAGGCTGAGGCTTGAGAATCGCTTGAACCCGGGAGGAGGTTGCAGTGAGCTGAGATCATGCCACTGCACTCCAGCCTGGTTGACAGAGACTCTGACCCCTCCCCCGCCCCCCAAAAAAAGACGAGATTTTTAAAGACAAGCAAATATGGGTTCCAATCTTAGCTCCACCTCAATGTGTACGATCCTGGCAAGTTACTTCACTTCTATGCCTTAACTTTCTCGTCTACAAATTGACATCTAATTCACAAGACCACTACAGAGAAATGAGGTAATGTATATAAAGCAACTGGTACACACACCACCTAGCAGAGAGTAAATACCTAATATGGCACCTTATTCTTACGCAAAATTAAAATCTGCAGAAACAGCCCTAAAAAGGTCAGAACAGTTGTTAAGTAAAAGCATCTAAATATCATGAATAAGAGGGAACTCAGAAAAATCCTTGCTTCTCCTAGGGAGGGTTATTTGCTAATTTTATCAATCCTTTCAGAAATCCCTTCATTCCAATCTCAAAGAGCAATTTAATTTAATAAGTGTCACATTTGTAGCCAAGAGATTCAAAATATTACAGAAAGGGCTGTAAACCACCTCGCCCTATTTTAAGAGACGAAATAACCTAATCACACAGCAAGTATTTCTCAAGTCTCTAACATGCCCAAGGAAGACGACAGAGTTGCAGTAAAGGGCATATGCTTTCAATCAAGCAGCCCTAAAGCTCAGATTCCCATTCTTGTGTGATTTTGGGCAAGCTACTTAAAACTCTTTTAAGCCTCGTTTCCTTTGTAAAACAGAGACAATAGTATCACCATCACAGGTTGTCAGTCACTCTGCAAAGAGCACTTAACACTCAACTATGAACTCTTACTATCAACGTGAAATAATCCAAATATGCAGGCAATTTAGCGGTGGCTCACGCCTGTAATCCCAGAATGCACGCCTGTAATCCCAGAATGCCGAGGTGGGTGGATCACCTGAGGTCAAGTTCGAGACCAGCCTGACCAACATGGTGAAACCCTGTCTCTACTAAAAATATGAAAATTAGCCAAGCGTGGTGGCAAGTGCCTTTAATCCCAGCTACTCAGGAGGCTGAAGCCAGAGAATTGCTTGAACCCCGGAGGCAGAGGTTGCAGTGAGATTGCGCCACTGCACTCCAGGCTGGGCAACAGAGTGAGACTCTCAAAAAAAAAAAAGAATCTTCTCTAGGCAATCTTCTATAGCAGGCTGTGTTCTAAACTCCATCAAAGTGAAAGTCAATTATACACCCCTGAAAACAAAATAAGAGCACTCACAAGGCCAGGCGCAGTGGCTCACACCTGTGATCCCAGCACTTTGGGAGGCCGAGGCAGGCAGATCTTCTGAGGTCAGGAGTTCCACACCAACCTGGCCAACATGGCAAAACCCGTCTCGACTAAAAATACAAAAATTAGCAGGCACGATGATGCACACCTGTACTCCCAGCTACACAGGAGGCTGAGACAGGAGAACTCCTTGAACCCAGGAGGCAGAGGCTGTGGGTGAGCCAAGATCATGTCATTATACTCCAGCTTGAGTGACAGAGCGAGACTCTATCTCAAAAAATTTTAAAAAAAGAGCATTCACAAGAGTATTTGATTAGAAGGGAAGAAAGATTACAGTAAGATTTTCCCTCAAAATATTAGGAAAACACAAGGTTTTTTGTTTTTTTGTTTTTTTAATGCCCTACACATACATTTCCACTTCAGGTAATTTATCCAAAAAGAAGGAAATACTTTATCAAGAAACAATGAGATGCTGTATCATCAAAACAGTTAATGTAACAAAAAAAAAACAAGTAATAATACACCACAGGATGAAATGTTATACATACTAAAGATGACTGTGAAGGCCTGGCGCAGTGGCTCACGCCTGTAATCCCAGCACTTTGGGAGGCCAAGGCAGGAAGATCATAAGAGGTCAGGAGTTCCAGACCAGCCTGGTCAACATGGCAAAACCCCATCTCTACTAAAAATACAAAAAGTAGCCGGTGTGGTGGCTCGCACCTGTAATCCCAGCTACTCGGGAGGCTGAGGCACAAGAATCACTTGAACCCGGGAGGCGAAGGTTCCAGTGAGCCATGATGGCATCACTGCATTCCAGCCTGGATGACAAGAGCAAGACTCTGTCTCAAAAAAAAAAGTTGTGAAGGTTACCAACAAAGTAATACAATGTTATTAAAAGCACATAACTGTTAAATCCTTTTTTTGTCCTAAAGGGGAAAAAAGCGCAAAAGAAATTTAACAGTAGTTGTGCTGGTATGTGTGCAGTTGAAGAACAAGATCCCAAGCACCTAACAGACCCTCTCTATCTAATTAGGACACAAGTTAGGACCTAAAACATCTGTTAAAATAGAGTAGGTTCTTGGAAGAACGAAATCCTATTAACTTATTACAAAAGTTATCTAAGTAAGATATCTAAATGCCTACTACAGCATTACACTGGGTAACAGAAATCTTGCCTTCAAAGGCCTTTAACACATTTCAATAATTTACTAAATGCCTACTCTGTACCAAATTCTATGCTAGAAAGTTCATCATACATCATCTAGTATACTTTACTGGTTATAAGGAGAAGAGGCTAACAACTGTAGTAGTCTCAGATTGCTACAATTTTACACTATGAAATATGAGTGCCACAGATTTTCAGAGTAAACATGGGAGAGTAATCTAAAATAATGTGAAAATAAATCTCTAGTTAGATAGGAGTATCAGGAGAAAAGGCACAAGCAAGCATGCAAAGTGGAAAAAAGAAACAAACAAAAAAAAACTATGAGTCCAAGTCATATAGACTCTAAAAGCTAAGCAGAACAGTCACTTCTTCCATATCCATGAACAGTGTTTTAGGAGTATCAATATTGTGCCTGTATTCCAAGGTGGGCTGCCAAAGACAACCAGATAGTCAAGGAAGTCAGCTAAGAAACTAGGGTAATAATCTAAGATTGAAATGGAGGATCTGCCCTGCGGTAGTAGCATAGAAATAGAGAATAGGTCATCAGGTTGGAGGTGGAGTGTTTAAGGACAAAGTTATAAAGACGTTTTTTGGTTTGAAAAATTAGAGGATAGGTTTGTACCATAGACAAATGGATAAGTTCGGAAAAAATCTTTTTTTTTTTTTTTTTTTTTTTTTTTTTTTTTTTAAATAGAGCCACGGTCTCACTATGTTGACCAGGCTACCAGGCTCGTCTCAAACTGCTGGCCTCAAGCAATCCTCCCACCTAGGTCTCCCAAACTGCTGGGATTACAGGCATGAGCCACCATACCCAATCAGAAAAAAACTCTTAAGATCAGGCAACTTATGTTCTTATACATGCACCAAAAAGACAAATCTTTTCAGAATCAGCACAGAGTAATTTGGTCGTAAGTCTACAAGAATGAAATCATGCCAGCCTATATCAGAAATCCTAAACAAGCAGACATTTGCAGCATAAAATAAGTCACTACATTACCTAGGCAGCAAACGTGACAAATTCAGAACCTTTCTTTTAAAAGTTATGAGGTGAGATGCCAACTACAAAACAAACTATGATTATTTAGACTTTCTTTGTTCTAGCTGATGAGGTAGAAGTACCTACATTCAGATTCTCAAACAATTTGTCTTATAAACCACAAGCCATTTTTTAAATGGGTCAAACAGCCAGGCATGGAGGCTCACGCCTGTAATCCCAACACTTTGGGAGGCCAAGGCAGGCACATCATTTAAGGCCAGGAGTTTGAGACCAGCCTGGCCAACGTGGTGAAACCCCGTGTCTACTAAAAATACAAAAATTAGCTGGGTATGGTGGCACATGCCTGTAGTCCCAGCTACTCGGGAGGCTGAGGCAGAATTGCTTGAACCCAGGAGGCAGAGGTTGCAGTGAGCCAAGATCACGCCACTGCACTCCAGCCTGGGTGACAGAGTAAGAATCCGTTCTCCAAAAAAAAGAAATAAATAAAATAAAAAAGGGTGTTCCATAGGGGTGATGGGGAGGATGAAACGTCATCAAACAAGTTTAAGAAACATCAAGTTAGGCCGGGCGCAGTGGCTCACGCCTGTAATCCCAGCACTTTGGGAGGCTGAAGGGGGCGGATCACTTGAGGTCAGGAGTTCGAGACCAGCCTGGCCAACACGGTCTCCACTAAAGTGGAGATGGCCAACATCTCCACTAAAAATACAAAAATTAGCCGGGCATGGTGGCGGGCACCTGTAATCCCAGCTACTCAGGAGGGTGAGGCAGGAGAATTGCTTGAACCCGGGAGGCAGAGGTGGCAGTGAGCCAAGATCATGCCACTGCACTACAGCCTGGCTGATAGAGCAAGACTCCATCTCAAAAAAAAAAAAAAAAAAAAAAAAAAAAAGAAAGAAACATGAAGTTAAACTGATTGACCGTCTAACTTCCCTAACCCTTTAAAATAAACTTATATACATTATGATTTCCAGGATGAAGATATAATAAAGGGTTTCTTTTTTTTTTTTTTTCCTGAGACAGAGTTTTGCTCTTGTTACTCAGACTGAAGTGCAGTGGTGCAATCTCGGCTCACTGAAACCTCCACCTCCCGGGTTCAAGCGATTCTCCTGCCTCAGCCTCCTGAGTAGCTGGGATTACAGGCACATGCCACCACACCTGGCTAATTTTTTGTATTTTTAGTAGAGACGGGGTTTCACCATGTTGGCCAGGCTGGTCTCGAACTCCTGACCTCAGGTGATCCGCCCGCCATGGCCTCCCAAAGTGCTGGGATTACAGGCGTGAGCCACTCTGCCCGGCTGGGTTTCTAATTTATCTGACACCCAAGCCCATGGAAATGTCTTTCAGATATTCTGAAACACACTAAGCCACACAGGCCTTACTCTAAAATTATCCCCTACCCTCATCTTTACTAGCTTATCAACTATTAGGATGATCTAACATTTCCTTTGCCCCTATGATGAACAGAGCAAATAAACAGCACGAATAAAATAGCAAAATAAAAAAACACTGATATCCATAGAACTATCCTTTCAAGTTATAAACCAAACTTTACACATTCTAAAATCTAATCACTTATTTTAAAATCTTGTTAATCTTAAACCCTATAATAAAAATGTTTTTTAGGCAAGCAAGTGATATGAATGTATTAATTCCATTTCAGAATTTATCTAAAACTGAGTTCTTCTCCAATAGTATTCAGCTAATGAAACAAATACTAGTAAAGTTGTAATGAAAATCCCTGAAACCAGAGATAAGTGTTATTCAAGTAACATTATTCTTTCACTTCCCACTCCTCTTCATCTGCTTTTATATAGATTAAAAACAAACTAAAAATATTACAAATACTCCTAAACTGTCTTCCAGCAAAGCAAATGAACCATAGCTGAAATCTTGTTTATGCTTTCTTCTACTAAATTTATCCTCTTTTCTCATACCCCTTAACACTAATTAACATAATATTCTTTTATTCCACCTCCATCTCCCTCTGGTTTAATCATCTGTTCCTCATTTGATCTGTTCTCAGACACCTCTCCTCCTTCCACATGGAGTAATGAATTGCAATAATCTTTTTTTTTTTTAATTTTTTGAGACGGAGTCTCAGCTGTCACCCAGGCTGGAGAACAGTGGTGCATCCCCGCTCACTGCAGCCTCTGCATCCCAGGTTCAAGCGATTCTCGTGCCTCAGCCTCTCAAGTAGCTGGGATTACAGGTGCATGCCACCATGGCTAATTTTTGTATTTTTAGTAAAGACGGGGTTTCACCATGTTGGCCAGGTTGGTCTTGAACTCCAGCCCTCAGGTGATCTGCCTGCCTCAGCCTCCCAAAGTGCTGGGATTACAAGCATGAGCCACCGCACCCAGCCTACTGATAATCTTTCAATTGAAAAGGACGTAGATGGCTTCAAATGGCCACTTAAGACACAGAGAATGGACACAGGTAATAAACACAGGTGTTCCTGAGACACTGATCCCCCAGCTCTCAGGGATAGTCCTGGAGAATTTCTCCTACACCATATAGTTAAAGAAGGAAAAAGGAAATATCAGAGAAATAAATTCAATCTGGCCCTTGAAAAATAACAGGCTGGGAGCCGTGGCTCACGCCTGTAATCCCAGCACTTTGGGAGGCCAAGGCAGGCGGATCACCTGAGGTCAGAAGTTCAAGACCATCCTGTCCAACATAGTGAAACCCCGTCTCTACTAAAAATACAAAAATTAGCCAGGCATGGTGGTGTGCGCCTGTAATCCCAGCTACTTGGGAGGCTGAGGCAAGAGAATCGCTTGAACCTGGGAGGCAAGGTTGCAGTGAGCCAAGATCGTACCACTGCACTCCAGCCTGGGCAACAGAGCGAGAATTCTCAAAAAAAAGAAAAGAAAAATAGCAATAATTTTTTCAGGCGGGTAGCTGAAAAAGATGATTTTGGTTCTTAACATTTTCCCTTGAAATTGGAAATATGATTTTAGCAAAGAAAGCAGAAAACATGTTTACATTTGACAAGCTAAATGCCAAGTCTGTATTTCACCTAAGTTTTCATAATGAATATGAATTATCCTAATCATATGCTTAGACCATTCCTCGTCACCACAATTAGTTTTCAATAAAATGTCACTTAAGTTCAAATGTATAATTAAGGCCCCGTGCTGTGGTGGCACATGCCTGTAATCCCAGCTACTAGGGAGGTGGAGGCAGGAGAATCACTTGAACCTGGGAGGCGGAGGTTGCGGTGAGCCGAGATTGCGCCATTGCACTCCAGCCTGGGCAACAAGAGCAAAACTCCGTCTCAAAAAAAAAAAAAATTAAGGCCCGGTGCAGAGGCTCACAACTGTAATCCCACAGCTCTGGGAGGCCAAGGTGGGAGGTCACTTGAGGCCAGGAGTTCAAGAACAACCTGGGCAACATAAAAAGGCCCCATTCTCTACAAAAATATATATATATATTTACAATTAGCCAAGTGTGGTGGTGCGTGCCTGCAATCCCAGCTACTTGGGAGGCTGAGGTTGGAGGATCCTTTAAGCCCAGGAGTTCAAGGTTACAGTGAGCTATAATCACACCACGCACTGCAGCCTGGTGACATAGCAAGACTCTATCTCTAAAAAATAAAAATAAAATTAAAAAATACGTAATTCGGCTGGGTGCGGTGGTTCACGCCTGTAATCCCAGCACTATGGGAGGCCAAGGTGGGTGGATCACCTGAGGTCGGGAGTTTGAGACCAGCCTGACCAGCATGGAGAAACTCCCAACATGGAGAAACCCCATCTCTACTAAAAATACAAGATCAGCCAGGCATGCTGGCACATGCCTGTAATCCCAGCTACTCGGGAGGTTGAGGCAGGAGAATCACTTGAACCCGGGAGGTGGAGGTTGCAGTGAGTGGAGATCATGCCATTGCACTCCAGCCTGGGCAACAAGGGCAAAACTCCATCTCAAAAAAAAAAAAAACTTTAAATAACACATTAGTTCCTGATAATGGGCAGACATGAGGCAATTCTACGTAATAGGCAGGAAGCAACAATTCCTTTAAAAACTAAATATGCTTCAGATTCATTTTCAGATTATGATCCTTGCAATAAATTGTGGTACACTGCCTAAAATAAACCAGGTTATGCTTCCATAGGAAAATAAAATGAAATAAAGCATTCACATTGTTTCCGAAATTTGAGACATCACTCTAGCAGTCCTGAAGAGGGTGCTTCAAGCCTTAATACACATAAAAATCATGTGGGGATCTTATTAAAATAAGATTCTGGGTCAGTAAGACTGGGATGAATCCTGATAGTTCTAATGAGCTCCCAGGTGACACTTATGCTGATGGGTCCACAGACTATACTGCATACCTGAGGCCTGACACCCTTGCTTCTATGACAACGGTAAAGGTAACGGATAAAAATGTAAAGGAGGCCGGAATGCAGCGGCTCACGCCTGTTAATTCCAGCACTTTGGGAGGCCGAGGCAGGCAGATCACGTGAGGTCAGGAGTTACAGACCAGCCTGACCAACATGGTGAAACCCCCCCACCTCTACTAAAAATACGAAAATTACCCGGGTGTGGTGGCGGACACCTGTAATCCCAGCTACTCAGGAGGCCGAAGCAGGAGAATCACTTGAACCCGGGAGGCAGAGGTTGCAGTGAGCCAAGATCATGCCACTGCACTCCAGCCTGGGTGACAGAGCGAGACTCTGTCTCAAAAAAAAAAGAAAAAAAAAAGGTAAAGCAATCTCCACTTCATTTAGAAATGTTTTTGGGCTAGACATAGTGGCTTATGCCTGTAATCCCAGTACTTTGAGAGGCCGAGACGGGCGGATCACCTGAGGTCAGGAGTTGGAGACCAGCCTGACCAACATAGAGAAACCCCATCTCTACGAAAAATACAAAATTAGCCAGGGGCGCTGACGCATGCCTGCAATCCCAGCTACTCAAGAGGCCGAGGCAGGAAAATTACTTGAATCCAGGAGGCGGAGGTTGCGGTGAGCCGAGATCGCGCCATTGCACTCCAGCCTGGGCAACAAGAGCAAAACTCCATCTCAAAAAAGAAAAAAGAAATGTTTTTGGATTCATCAGATTAGTCCGGGAGAAGGATGGTTATTAAAATGTTTATGTTTGAGAGAAACACAGCTTCTCAAAGATGGCGGGGAAGGGTCCTCACAGTTGTGCCAAGAGCAAAAATCTATACAGCACTCACTATGTGCCAGTGAACAGTCCTAAACACTTCATATATATTAATTCAATCTTCCTAACACTGCAGCCCTGTTAGGTAAGCACTACTGCTACCCCTATTTTAGAGGAAGTAAACCTGAGTCACAAAGACGTTACTTAGACTGCACATACCTAATAAGTGGCAGAACCAGGATCTGAACCCAGGCAGTCTGGTTCCAGAGTCTATGCTTTTAATCATTATAGTAGCAATATACCAATCAAGAACACACAGCAGAATTGAAATGGCAAATGGCAATGGCTTAATTTTACAGAAAAGGATGCAAGGTTAAAGTGTAAAGCATTACAGAACAACAGTAACAGAGCCTAAATCAGACTTTGTCTTAAGGTGATAGAGCACCAGTGCTTAGTGAATACCATGGCTGAACAATATAGTTTTCTGCTCTATTAGAAATTGTTCTGGACTTTAGTATAATGGCTAATGCCAAATCTTTGATTTAAAAAATATTTTTCTAAAATTGCAAAAAGGGACGCCACATTGGTGGCAGAAAGCCTGGTTTCACTTCACGGAATAAGCAGTTTGAGATCAATGTCCCAGAAGAGTTTTGACATTCAGGACTTAAAATAGCAGCAGCAGCAGCAGAGGTAGCTGAAATGGCAAGTAATGAAAATTGCTTTAGTAAAAATATTTTGGACTGAAGGTATGAGAAACTAAAAGTAGAAACTAGTAAGACACAAAGCATAACATGACCAGGAATCTGATACAGTAGTGAACAAGCGGTAAAAGTTATTTGCAAACAAAGAAATAAAGGAAGATAAGGAAACAAACATTAAGTGAATAATTTTTAGGAGAGTAAGAGAACTAGTAGTCATCACAGATTTTCTAAGTGATGGTAAATTGTCCAGACAGTGCAGCTGCAGAAGATACTGACCTAAACAGATGGAAAAAGTCAAGCAAGAGTAGATTAGTAATCACTACTTCAATGAGCCCAAATAAAGATATGGCTGACCAAGCACAAAAGCTGTCTCAGGAAACACAGCAAAAAGGCCCATGGAATATTAGGGAAAACGTTAACCCTCAGACATCATCAAATTCATTCACTTAAAAAATATTTCTTAAAACCTACTGTATGTATGGCAGTATTCTAGGCATTAGCAATGGGGTGACCATGCCAGGCCAAAGCCCTGCCCTCACAGAACTTACAATCTAATGAGGAAATCTATGTGGAAGAGAACACTGAATAAGGCATTACCATAAAATTCCAGAATGAAGCCTTTTAATACAGAGAGATATTTTCATGGAAGATATGTTAACACAATATTTAACCCTCTCTCCCCTTCAAAGGAAGCCCTGTAGCCTAAGGTGCTCATTGTTTCTCATCCTCTCAAAAAAAAAAAAAAAAAAACTCTAAAACAATAGAGAAGTGCATTTAAAATACATCTATAAATAAAAGCACAACTAGTCTTTTACTTCCAAGAAAGCCTGTCAGCGGCACAGCAGCTCATGCCTATATCCCAGCACTTTCAGAGGCCAACAGGAGCAAATAGCTTGAGTTCAGGCATTCCAGATCAGCCTGGACAACATGAGGAAACCCGATCTCTACAAAAGATACCAAAATTAGCCGGGTCTGGTTGCATGCACCGTAGTCCCAGCTACTGCAGAGGCTGAGGTGGAAGGATCAGTTGAGCCTGGGAGGCCGAGGCTGCAGTGAGCTGTGATCACACCACTGCACTCTAGCCTGGGCGACAGAGTAAGACCCTGTCTCCAAAAAAAAAAAAAAAATCACCAATTTTTTTTTTAACTCCCTATACTACTCTAGGCTATAACATCTGCCTTAGATTCCCAAAAAATTAAGTTTAATACGGACAGGTATTGGTTGTAACATGAAAACATTTTAAGAGTATAAACAGAGGATGTGATACCTTTCTGGTCTTGAAGAAATTACTGAAAACGAGCTCATTCAATACTTAGTTGATTACCAAACTCTTATCTCCATCTCAGTATAAAAACTATAAATTCAGGCCGGGCACGGTGGCTCACGCCTGTAATCTCAGCACTTTGCGGGGACGAGGCGGGCGGATCACGAGGTCAGGAGATCAAGACTATCCTGGCTAACACCGTGAAACCCCGTCTCTACTAAAAATACAAAAAATTAGCCGGGCGTGGTGGCGGGCGCCTGTAGTCCCAGCTGTTCGGGAGGCTGAGGCAGGAGAATGGTGTGAACCTGGGAGGCGGAGCTTGCAGTGAGCTGAGATTGCGCCACTGCACTCCAGCCTGGGAGACAGAGCGAGACTCCTTCTCAAAAAAAAAAAAAAAAAAAAAAAAAAAAAAAAAAAAAAAAAAAAAAAAAATATATATATATATATATATATATATATATACATAAATTCAAACTACTGTTACTTTCTAAAAGGAAAGATACAAATTGATATTATTTAAAATTATTAAAAATAGAAAGCTCAAGAAAATAAGGCAGATGTGTTCCAATTTTATATGCCTAAAATATTACATCAAGGCTAACAAATGTATTTCAGAAGATTCAAGTTCCACACCTATCCAATGGTCTGTAATGCCTACACACTACAGAAAGCTGCCTTGAACCTACACTCCTTTTAAGTGTTTACCAATCTGTTCTCTATAGAAATGAGAAACAGTGGGAAAGCACTTGTTTCGACATGAATTATCTTTACAACAATGCATTACACAATTGGATCTCATTTGCTTTACAGAGTCAACATTTTTGTGTGATACTATTGCAGTCGCGGAAGGATACAAAATTTAGAATGTAAACACCCTAGGGAACAAAAATTGTGATCTCTGCTTGACCCCAGGAGTCCGAGACCAGCCTGGGCAACATGGCGAAACCCTGTCTGTACAAAAAATACAAAAATTAGCGGGGCATGGTGGTACATGCCTGCAGTACCAGCTACTCGGGAGGCTGAGGTGGGAGGCTCACTTGACCCCGGGAGGCGGAGGCTGCGGTGGGCCAAGATCGCGCCACTGCACTGCAGCCTGGGAGTGCAATATCCATTATATTTAGTAACGTCTTTGAGACCCTGTCTCAAAAAAAATAAAAATTGTGATCTCAAAATTATGAAAATATTAAGTTTTTTGCTTAAAGATCGAAGTCTCGTTTTTAATAACAAAACTAAAATGTCTAGCATAGATCAGGCATAAACTGATCCTCTTTTCAACACAACTTCACCACAAAAAGTGCACTTGAATCAACCTAGGGAGATTCCCAGCATGCAGTAAGTCATAAAGGAGAATAAACAGTCTGGGAAAGTCATTTTGGACCGAAAAGTGTTCCCACAAATAAACCCACCTCATTCTAGTATAGTCAAAGGGACCTCTATTTAAAGTTAATGCCACGCAAGGGGCCGTGGACGGTGTTGTCTTACACTTTATTCCCTGACACAAACTAATCCTGGGATTTTAAACCTTCCTAGCTTTTAGGTGCACTGAAGGCGGTCATGAACACAAGTAACAAGCTTTCAAAACATCATCTGTGAATACGACGTGTTGGGAAGCAGGCAGGATAAGCCACTGGGTGACCGACTAAGGCTGCAAAATGCTGTTTGAATTTAAGTCCCTGACTTGTAGGAGTTAAGTCTCACTCCTTATACCGCGATGACGTAATCTTCCACACTACATTTATCTTGGACTTAAAGGGGAGGAAAAACAAACGAACAAAGAAAATTCCCCCCCGATAAGAGGAATTAACCAAGCAGCAGAACGACGGCTTCGGGAGGTAGTTAGGTAACTCCCCGAAAGGGAAGCTTCAGCTAAACCGGCAGGGAGCGGGCTGGAGGAGCGGATGGAAATGCTAGGAACTCGACCTCCGAAAGGAAGAGCAGCCTGGAGGCCGTGGCTCGGGGCCACCCCGCCCAGAGGACGCGGCCGGCGCGGAGGGGAGCTCGGACAGGCACCGCCGCGAGCAGCCAGCGAGCTGCCCTCCTGCCACCGCCCCGCCGCGGCCGCAACGCCACTCCCCTCCCCCGCCCCCCCACCCCCGCCGCAAAATGTCCGCGGCGGCGCCCGGCGAAGCAGGAAGTCCAGGCCGGAGCGCAGGGCACGGAACGCAGCCTGCCAGCACGGAAGACCGGCGCCCGGCCCGGCCCAAGCGCCCGCGAGTCGCTCTGAGGCCCCCGGCCGCCCTTAGGAGCCCGCCGGGCCGGGCTGGGGGGAGGGGAGCCCGGGCGCCCAGGATGGGTGTGACCCCCTTCCTTCCGCCGCTGCCGGTGACAGCCCGGTCCCGCTCGCGCCCCGAGCCCCGGCCGCGCGCCCCTCCTCAGACGGGCGCCCCCTGCCTCCCCGGCCGCGACCCCCGCCCCGGCTCCCCCACAGAACGCGGACCCGCGCCCGCCCGGAGGACGCAGCGCGAGCCGGGCACTCCCCCACAACCCGTGCTCCCGGGCCCCCCACGATCCCGCAGACGGGGTGTCCCCGAGGACTGGGAGAGGACGGAGACGGCGGGGATGGGAAGGTAGGGTGGCAGCTCCCGCGGGGAACCTCGGGCCCCGCACTCACCTCAGCTTCTCCACCGGGGCGTTGGCAGCACTGCGCGGGGTCTCCTCGGCTGCCGGACAGGGGCACGCACCTGACGTCAGCGCGCAGGAGACGCACAGTTGGGTGCCCGCGGAAGTGGGAGGAACAGGGAAGGGGAAGAGGCTGGGGCGGGTCAAGGCGGTGCCTGGACTGCCCTGGCTCCGCCCGCCTGTCGCGCACGCGCGGGCCGGCGCAGCTCGTGAGTTCGGGGCTATGCTCTGCATGTTTTCCTAATGGTTGTATTTGTAATAATACTGTGAACGATAGTATGCAAAGCGCTTCCTCTACCAGTTCTTTTTTGTTTGTTTTTTCTGAGACAGTCTTGATCTGTTGCCCAGACTGGAGTGCAGCGCGCGATCTCAGCTCACTGCAACCTCCACCCCTTGGGTTCAAGCGATCCTCCTGCCTCTGCCTCCCGAGTAGCTGGGATCACTGGCACCTGCCACCACGCCAGGCTAATGTTTGTATTTTTAGCAGACACGGGGTTTCACCATTTTGCCCAGGCTGGTCTCGAACCCGTGACCTCAAGTAAGTGATCCACCTGCCTCGACCTCCCAAAGTGCTGGGATTACGGGCGTGAACCACCGCGCCCGGCCCACTACCAGTTCTTTTGATCCTTGCAAGCTTGTGAAGCAAGGTATTGTCCCATTTTGCAGAGAAGACGGAAGCTTCTCTGAAAGGGCTGGTGACTTGCCCCAGATCACAGGGGTGGATGGTCTCTCACTCCCCGGGCCTGTATTCAGTCCGCCGTGATGTGAGAACTGAGTATCACTCTTCTTATCTCTACCTACACCCAGTGTCCCTCGCTGTAGCCACATGGGTCTTTTTTAGAGTTACAACCTTCCCCCAACCACAGGCCTTGTGTTTTTGTTGTTGTTGTTGTTGTTGTTGTTGTTGTTTTTTCTTTGAGACGTTCTTGCTCTGTCACCCAGGCAGGAGTGCAGTGGCACGATCTCAGCTCACTGCAATCTCGACGTCCCGGCGATTCTCCCACCTCAGCCTCCCAAGTAGCTGGGACCACAGGCGCATGCCACCATGCCTGGCTAATTTTTGTATTTTTTTGTAGACACAGGGTTTTGCTGGATTGCCCAGGCTGGTCTCGAACTCCTGGACACAAGCTATCAGCCTGCCTCAGCCTCCCAAACTGCTGGGATTACAAGGTGTGAGACATTACGTCTGGCCAAGGCCTTGAATTTCTTTGCTCTGCCTCCCTCCTCTTCCCCCAAATTTATATCACTGCATTCTTCAATCATCCTATCTTCGCAGTATCTATTATTTGTCTTCTCTGCTAGTATGAAAGCTTCAGGAAAATAGAGAACTTCCCTCTCTTATTCTTAGATGTTTCCCCATGTTAGAGAAAAATCGCTTAAATTGCTTATCCTAGGCCGGGCACGGTGGCTCATGCCTGTAATCGCAGCACTTTGGGAGGCCAAGGCGGGCGGATCACGAGGTCAGGAGATCGAGACCATCCTGGCTAACACGGTGAAACCCCGCCTCTACTAAAAATACAAAAAAATTAGCCGGGCGTGGTGGCGAGCTCCTGTAGTCATAGCTACTCGAGAGGCTGAGGCAGGAGAATGGCGTGAACCCGGGAGGCGGAGCTTGCAGTGAGCCAAGATCGCGCCACTGCACTCCAGCCTGGGCAACAGAGCGAGACTCTGTCTCAAAAAAAATAAAAAAAAATTGCTTATCTTAATAACAGCTCATTTATTGTCTACTGCCACAGCTATTTGGCCAACAAAGACACTTAATTCCAGTATATTGACTTATAGTCATATTTTCTTTTGGATTTTTTTTTTTTTTTTGAGACGGAGTCTCGCTCTGTCACCCAGGCTGGAATGCAGTGGTTCGATCTCGGCTCACTGCAATCTCCGCCTCCCGGGTTCAAGCAATTCTCCTGCCTCAGCCTCCCAAGTGGCTGAGACTACAGGTGCCCACCACCATGCCCAGCTAATTTTTGTATTTTTAGTAGAGACGGGGTTTCACCATATTGGCCAAGCTGGTCTTGAACTCATGACTTTGTGATCCACCTGCCTTGGCCTCCCAAAGGGCTGCGATTACAGGTGTAAGCCACCGCACCCAGCCCTCTTTTGGATTTTTTAATTACCCAAAAATAAGAACTACATTTTTTAGTGTTTACTGCAGGTATGGCTAATAGCTTTGCAGGTAGTAGTAGCTAATTTAATACTCACAGCCACCCTATGAGTTAAGAACTGTTACCCCCACTTTATGGTTACATGAACTGAAGCTCAGAGGTGTTAAGAGACTTGTCCATAGCCGCCATGCCAAGCAGTGGCAGAGCTGAGACTTGCACTCAGGAGGCTGGCTCTAGTTGACTATGACACTACCACACTATCAAGCAGGTTTATTATAGAGAAATTAGAAGATAAGCTTCAGGCCAGGCACAGTGGCTCACATCTGTAATCCCAGCACTTTGTGAGGCTGAGGCTGGTGGATCACCTGAGGTCAGGAGTTGAAGACCAGCCTGACCAACATGGTAAAACCCCATCTGTACTAAAAAACACACACACAAAAATTTGCTCGGTGTGGTGGCAGGTGCCTGTAATCCCAGCTACTTGGGAGGCTGAGGCAGGAGAATCATTTGAATCCAGGAGGCGGAGGTTGCAGTGACCCCGAGATCATGCCATTGCACTCCAGCCTAGGCGACAAAAAAGTGAAACTCTGTCTCAAAAAAAAAAAAAAAAAAAAGCCAGGTGCGGTGGCTCACGCCTGTAATTCCAGCACTCCGGGAGGCCGAGGTGGGCGGATCACTTGAGGTCAGGAGTTCAAGACTAGCCTGACCAACATGGTGAAACCCTTTCTCTACTAAAAATACAAAAATTAGCTGGGTGTGGCATGCACTTGTATTCGCAGCTACTCGGGAGGCTGAGACAGGAGAATCGCTGGAACCTGGGAGGCAGAGGTTGCAGTGAGCCGAGATTGCGCCATTGCACTCTAGCCTGGGCAACAAGAACAAAACCCCACCTAAAAAAAAAAAACAGGAAGATAAGCTTCAGCTGTAGTCCTACCTCTAATGTGGCTCACACCTATAATCCTAACACTTTGGGAGGCCGAGGCGGGTGGATCACTTGAGCCCAGGAGTTCAAGACCAGTCTGGGCAACATAGCAAGACCTGCCCCCACCCATCTCTACAAAAAATACAAAAACAAAACAAAACAAAAAAACTACATTGTGAACATCTTTCCATGTCAAATAAAGCATCATTTGTAAAGGCTGCATTTTACTCTCCGGGCATTGCAATATTTACCCAGACTCCTACTGTTGGAATTTGGGTTGTTTTGGGCTATTGTGAATTTATTACTATTGTAAAAATGCATAAGCTTCATTTTTTAAACTTGAGGGGAAAATGGTTGTTTCTTCCCTTCACAAGTCCAGCTGGCAGTGCCCTTTCCTTCATCCTGTCTCACAATCCCATGAATGTCCCCAGACAACGTCTGCCCTTTCCAGTAGCAGCAATATCTTGATGGGGTGTCACCCAACTGTTCAGCTTTTCCTGCCTTTATTCTGAGGACAAGGACTTACTTAGCACTATGTCTTTTATGTTGTCAGGTTTTTTGTCAGAAGAACCCTCCTAGACCTTTTCACAGCCCCAAACAGCAGTGGCAATGGTGTTACTATTACTTGACCCAATCTACCATGTCCCTCACTGCTGGCCCAGCCCCCAGCCTCCTAGTGCCTCCCCGCTACTGCCCCACTGCTATAGCTGCCTCATGTTAACAGGAGGGACAGCCTGTGGGACTCCGGCTCCCTTCCCGGTGGCTACCATTCCGGTGTCCATTCTTCCTTCTGGTAACAGCACTTCCATTTCTCCTAGAGCAGCCCCTGCCCCAACTCTCAATCCATGTGGCTCTAGAGATGACACTATCTCTAGTTGCGGGAATGGACACGTGACCCAGGCTTGGCCAATCACAGCATTATAGAGAGCCCTGTTGCCACACCATTTCAGCAACAGGCATGTGACCCAATGAGATTTAATTCTGGAACTTTGGTCACAACTATTCAGTTCAGTGAATCTCTGTTTGCTGAGAGTAGGATGTAATCGTGGCACTGCTGGCAGCCAGCTTCCCACTGCAAGCAGAGATGCTGCCTGAGAATGAGACCAAGACAGAGGGGGAAACAGAACTGAGAGATGGAGACATGAAACCAAGTCCCAGTGGCATTGCATGAGACATCAGATCCAGTCTTGCTTCAATCTTCAGTCACATTAGCAATAAATTCCCTCTATTGCCTGAACGAGGTTGAGTAGGTTTCTGTTGCTTATGACTGCCAAACTCTTGATGAATCACTGCCACCCCTGCCCTGCTTGTCTGCCCATGAGGTACTTGTCCCTACCCTCTAGGTAATAACTCCCAAATCTATACCTCTTCCAACCCCTATTCCCACCCCCAATTTTTTTTTTTTTTTTTTTTTTTTTGAGACAGAGTCTCACTCTGTCAACCAGGCTGGAGTGCAATGGTGCGATCTCAGCTCACTGCAACCTCCCCTCCCAGGTTCAAGTGATTCTCCTGCCTCAGCCTCCCGAGTAGCTGGGATTGCAGGCAACTGCTACCATGCCCAGCTAATTTTTGTATTTTTTAGTAGAGATGGGGTTTCACCATGTTGGCCAGGCTGGTCTCAAACTCCTGACTACAGGCGATCCACCCGCCTCAGCCTCCCAAAGTGCTGGGATTACAGGCGTGAGCCACCGCGCCCGGCATCCTACCCCCATTTTCAAATTTCCAGCTACTCAGCACCATCAAAATCATCTTCCAGCTCCCACCTACTCCAGGGTCTAAGCACCTATGTCTGCTTTTGGCCCCTACAGCCTTGTATATCCAGGAGTTCTCAACCTTTTCTGCATCACAGATCCTATACCCACAAAATTCATATCTAATTTCTAGAGGCTCCCTTCAAGCTCTCTGCTTTAGTCCAGGCATGGTGGCTCATGCCTATAATCCCAACACTTTGGGAGGCTGAAGCGGGAGGATCACTTGAACCCAGGAGTTTGAGACCAGGCTGGGCAACATACTGAGACCTCATCTCTACAAGAAATATAAAAACCGTGTGGTGGCAAGCACCTGTAGTCCCAGCTACTTGGGGAGGCTGAGATGTGAGGGTCGCTTGAGCCTGCGATGTTGAGGCTGCAGTGAGCCATGATCATGCCAGTGCACTACACTGCACTCCAGCCTGGGTGACAAAGCAAGACCCTGTCTCAAAAAAATAAATAAAAAGAATCTCAGCTGGGTGCGGTGGCTCACGCCTCTAATCCCAGCACTTTGGGAGGCCAAGGCGGGAGGATCACGAGGTCAGGAGATCAAGACCATTGTGGCCAACATGGTGAAACCCTGTCTCTACTAAAATACAAAAAATTAGCTGGGTATAGTGGCGCTCACCTGTAGTCCTAGCTACTCAGGAGGCTGAGGCAGGGGAATCGCTTGAACCCGGAAGGCGGAGGTTTCAGTGAGCAGAGATCGCACCACTGCACTCCAGCCTGGCCACAGAGCAAGACTCCGTCTCAAAAAAAAAAAAAAAAAAAAAGAATCTCTACTTTAACTCATTTGACAAAGCACAGCATTTATCTTCCTATATCATCGCTCTGATTAGGTCACTCCCTTACTCAGAAACCTTCAGTGTTTTCTCCTTTGTCTTCAGAATAAAATTTAAGACCTTTGGTTGGGTACAGTGACTCAGACCTGTAATCCCAGCACTTTGGGAGGCCGAGGTGGGCAGATCATGAGGTCAGGAGTTTGAAACCAGCTTGACCAACATGGTGAAACCCCATCTCTACTAAAAATACAAAAATTGGCTGGGTATGTTGGTGCATGCATGTAATCCCAGCTACTCAGGAGGCTGAGGCAGGAGAATCGCTTCAATCTAGGAGGTGGAGGTTGCAGTGCCTGGGTGACAGAGAGAGACTCCATCTCAAAAAAAAAAAAAAAAATTTAAGACTTTACCCAGACATTCTATGTCCTCTATGATCTTTGCCTTTCCAAAGTGATTTCCCTTTCTTTTTGTATTAGTCATAGTTCTCCAGAGAAACAGAACCAATAGAATGGTAATATATATTATTTATATATTACATATAAAACCATTCTGGCCATGTGCAGTGCCTCACACCTGTAATCCCAGCACTCTGGGAGGCCAAGGCGGGTGGAACACTTGAGGTCAGGAGTTCGAGACCAGCCTGGCCAACATGGTGAAACCTCATATCTACTAAAAATACAAAATTAGCTGTGTGTAGTGATGCGTGCTTGTAATCTCAGCTACTTGGGAGGCTGAGGCAGGAGAATCATTTGAGCCCAGGAGGTGGAGGTTGCAGTGAGCCGAGATCGAACAACTGCACTCCAGCCTGGGCGACAGAGGGAGACTCCATCTCGAAATAATAATAAAAATAAAACCATTCTCTATATAGAGAGTGGTTATATATACATATAGAATGGTCTATATATAATATATAAATTATATATTATATAATCATACATAATATATAAATTATATATAATAATCTCTATATATAAAATATACATATATATATATAGAGAGAAAGATTTATTATAAGAGATTTATTATAATTGGCTCACTCACACGACTATGGAGGACAAGTCCCAAGATACACAGGGTGAGTCACTGAGCTGGAGACCCAGGAGAGCCAATGGTGTAGCTCCAGTCCAAGCCTGAAGGCCTGAGAACCAGGAGAGCTGATGTTTCAGTTCCAGTCCAAAGGCCAGCAGGCTCAAGACAGAGGAAGAGCCAGTGTTTCTCTTTGAAGTCTGAAGGCAAGAAAAATTCTCCCTCAGTCAAGGGAGGGTCAGCCTTTTTGTTTTATGTTGGCCTTCAACTGATTGGATGAGAGGGCAATTTGTTTTGCTCAGTCTCCTGATTCAGATCTTAATCTCATCCAGAAACAAGTTTGCAGTCACACCGAAAATAATGTTTGACCAAATATCTGGGCACCCCATGGCCCAGTCAAGTTGACATATAAAATTAATCATCACACCTTCCACTACACACCTATGCTACAGCTAGACTGTATAATACTTAGTATCATACAGGCAGGAACCATGACTTCTCACCTCTCTGCCACTGCTCATGCTGATCCTCTTCCCTAAAACACCTTTCCTGCTTATCCATCCTACATGTCAAGTCCACTCTTCTTCCCACCATGAACTGTACATTTTGCCAACATCCACCTTGTGTCCTTTCCCACCTCTGTGCCTCTGTGGATTCAGTGGCTCCCTTCTCTGTCTGCCAAACTCCACTCTTCTCTCCTTCAAGGACTGGCCTAGGCCTTAGTTTTGAAATCTCCCGACAACCCCAGGCAACCAATCAGTCTTATATCACTTTGTATTTAAAGCATCTCATATTGGAATTATTTGTATCTATTTATGCTAAACTATTAGGCCATAAGCAGGCAGAGATCTTATTCATTTTATTTTTTTTTACCTAATTTCCTGGCACACTGCCATCCCTCAAAAATGTTTGATAAATGATGCATGAATGCATACACCACCACCTCTTACACAAAGCCAGCTCTGCTTCCCACTGCCAAAAGGGATTGCTGGCTCTTCTAAACCCCCAGAGCCCTTATCAGAGCCCCTCTCCAGGCCCTCTGTCTGGGCTATCATGTTTACCCACACTTTTTCCACCCTACTGCAAGCTCCCAGGGGCAAGCTTGGTTTTGGATGCATTGCTGTGCCCCTCACAGTCCTCTTCAGATCCCTAGAACACTTTGGCTGAATGAGAGAAGCCTCATACTGCATTCTCTGCCAAATGCAAGACTGCAAATCCACCACCATCTCCCCAAGGGCCTGCCAAGATTTACTAAAGAAGAAGAAGATCTACATTAAAGAGGCTCTCCTCCAAGGTCTTCAGGCTTGGGATTTGTGTGAGAAAATTCTAATTTAAGACTTTCTGTGTGATTCATAGGCAAAAACTGCGAAGAAAACCAAGGAAGTGATTATCATACAAATTCAGCTAGTGGCCGCCTCTAAAGGGGGTTAGAATCTGGAAGGGATGGGGGTACTGGGGGGGCAGTGTTGGCAGTGTTCTATTTCATGACCTGGGTGATGATTACATGGATGTTTGCCTTATCATTATTTATTCTATGGTACATGTTTTATTTGCTTTTCGTATGTGTAATAGTTCATTAAAAAATAAAAGGCCAGGTGCAGTGGTTCATGCCTGTAATCCTAGCACTCTGGGCGGCTGAGGCAGGTGGATCACTTGAGGTCAGGAGTTCAAGACCAGCCTGGCCAACAGGGCCCGTCTCTACTAAAAATACAAAAATTAGCCAGGCATGGTGATGCATGCCTGTAGTCCCAGCTACTTGAAAGGCTGAGGCAGGAGAATGGCTTGAACCCGGGAGGCGGAGGTCGCAGTGAGCCAAGATGGTGTCATTGCACTCCAGCCTGGGTGACAGAGCAAGACTCTGTCTCGAAATAAATAAATAAATAAATAAATAATAAAAGTTAGGGCCAGACACAGTGGCTCAAGGCTGTAATCCTAGCACTTTGGGAGGCTGAGGCGGGCAGATCACTTGAGGTCAGGAGTTCAAGCCTGGCCAACATGGTGAAATCCCATTTCTACTAAAAATACAAAAACTAGCAGGTGTGGTGGTGGGTGCCTGTAATCCCAGCTACTTGGGAGGCTGAGGCAGGAGAATCACTTGAACCCAGGAGATGGAGGTTGCAGTGAGAGGAGATCATGCCACTGCACTCCAGCCTGGGCAACAGAGTGAGACTCTGTCTCAAAAAAAAAAAAGTTAAAGCCTAGGCAACATAGCAAGACCCTCGTCTCTACAAAAAAAATACAAAAATTAGCCGGGAATGGTGGTGTGCGTCTGTAGTGCTAATTACTCAGGAGGTGGGAGGATCATTTGAGCCAGGAGTTCAAGGCTGCAGTGAGCCAAGATCACACCACTGCACTTGAGCCTGGGCAACAGAGTGAGACCACCGTCTCAAAAAAATAAATAAAAATTAATTAAAGTTGAAAATAAATATATTAAAGTATCTCTGTTGTTGCCAAAAGGTTGATGTGTTGTATAATTCATATCACTGAGACCGCAGCCCACCCCTCTTTCCTGATTCCCCTGGCTGGTCATGGCCCAGACCTCTCCAGGAGCCCCCCAACCCTACTGCCAGGACTCCAGCCGTGTTCCTGGTTTACCTGCTGCACCACAAGGGGTTACAGCTGCTGGGGCTGCCTCCACTAAGGGATCTGCTCCCTCTGCAGCCCCTCCAGCTGTTCAGCCTCCCTCCTCCACTTATGCCCACATCATTATGCTTGTCTAGGGACCTGAACCCTTCCTGGAGGCAGAGAAAGGGGAGGAACTCACCAAACCTGTTTCCTTCTTGCCTTTTCTCTAACTGGCCCAGGCTTGCCTCCTTCATCTTGCTTACACATCTCTGGCAAAGATAATCTGGGTCACTGAACAAGGGTGGATGAGAAAGGATAGGGGAAAGAGTAAAGTCCAGAAATAACTGAGCAACTCTGTCCCCATCGTGTAGGCCCTTGTCCATCTCTCCAATCTCATCAGGACCACGTACTCACTCACTGGGCTCCGGCCATGCCGCCCTGGTTGCTGTTCCTCGGACACACTGAATTTATTCTGCCTAGCTCAGAGGCTTTGCTCTTGCTGTTCCCCCTGGTTATCTGTACACACCTGCTCCCTTCCACCCCACAGGAATTTGCTCCAATACCACCTCTTCAAGAAGACCTCTTCCTTCTCAGCTTAACTAGCACCCCCCACCTGCTATCACACGCAGCTTTGCTTCCCTCATAGTGCTTATCTCTATCTGAAATGGTCTCAGTTCTGTATTTTTCTTACTGTCTCCTCCCATTAAAGCCAAGTAAAACCCAGTAAATCCAAGGACTTGCTTCATCACTGTACCCTCAGTGCTAGAATATAGTGCATACTCAATAGAAATCTGTTAAAGAAATACAATAGGCGGGGCGCAGTGGCTCACTCCTGTAATTCTAGCACTTTGGGAGGCCTAGGCTGGCAGATCACAAGGTCAGGAGATCGAGACCATCCTGGCTAACACAGTGAAACCCCGTCTCTACTAAAAATACAAAAAAATTAGCAGGGCGTGGCAGCGTGCGCCTGTAGTCCCAGCTGCTGTGGAGGCTGAGACAGGAGAATGGCGTGAACCCAGGAGGCGGAGCTTGCAGTGAGCCGAGATCGCACCACTGCACTCCAGCCTGGGCGACAGAGCAAGACTCCGTCTCAAAAAAAAAAAAAAAAAAAGAAATACAATAAGACCATAAGACCAATCCCTACTCAAGGAATTAAGGACTCCCAGTGGGACAAACAATAATTAAAACGAGGCTGGGTGGGTGCGCTGGCTCACACCTGTGATCTCAGCACTTTGGGAGGCTGAGGCAGGCAGATCACCTGAGGTAAGGGGTTCGAGACCACCCTGGCCAACATAGTGAAACACCGTCTCTCCTAAAAATACAAAAAAATTTAGCCAGGTGTGGTGGTACGCGCCTGTATAGTCCCAGCTACTCAGGAGGCTGAGGCAGGAGAATCACTTGAATCTGGGAGGCGGAGGTTGCAGTGGGCCGAGATTGCGCCACTGCACTCCAGCCTGGGTGACAGAGTGAGACTCCATCTCAAAATAATAATAATAATAATAGTAATTAAAACAAGCACTAGGACAGGGTATATATAAGGTGTAGAGGAATTGGAAAAGCAGACTATCCACAATAGTTCTAGCTAACATTTGTTAAGCACTTCCTACACTCCAGGCACTGCTCTAAGTATTTAGTATGTTATTATCTCACTTGAAATTCACAACAGCTCTGAAATATATAAATTATCAGCAAAAGTCAGGCATGGAGAGGTTAGTAATGTTTGCACAAATTCATGCAGCTGGTAGGTGGAAGGGCTGGGATTCAAACTCAGAGCTGATCATGGAAGTTTTCCCAAAGGAGCAAGGTCTGATCTGCATCTGGAGGAGCTGCCCAGACTGGCTGGGCCAGGATAGAGCATGCTGTGTCCTGGCAGAAAGAACAGGCGTGTTCAGGTACACAGGCATGGAAAAGCAGGATGCTCAGGGGATGGATGATCTCACAGACAAAGTGTTCAACATAAGAAGACAGACACTAATGACTCCCTTTGGTTCAGAAACAGACAACACTAGGGCAATAATATTTTGGAGGTTAATAATTGGGAGAGGGCCTGAGGAAGGCTTCTGAGGTGCCTGTAATATTCTGTATTTTGATCTGGAAGGTGGTAATAAGGGTATGCCCACTTCGTACAAATTCATTAAGCCATACAATTAAGATTTGTACACTTTTTAGGATGCATGTTATATATATATGTGAAATTTATTATATATTCTTATGGTTTTTTTTTTTATTTTTTGATATGGAGTCTCACTCTGTAGCCCAGGCTGGAGTGCAGTGGCGCGATCTCAGTTCACTGCAACCTCTGCCTCCTGAGTCCTGGTCAAGCAATTCTCCTGCCTTAGCCTCCCAAGTAGCAGGGATTACAGGCACACGCCACCATGCCCAGCTAATTTTTGTATTTTTAGTAGAGATGGGGTTTCATCATGTTGGCCAGGCTGGTCTTGAACTCCTGACCTTGTAATCTGCCCATCTCAGCCTCCCAAAGTGCTGGGATTACAGGCGTGAGCCACTGCACCCGGCCTATTTTTTATTTTTTTGGAGACGGAGTCTCATTCTGTCACCCAGGCTGGAGTGCAGTGGCACAATCTTGACTCACTGCAACCTCCGCCTCCCAGGTTCAAGCAATTCTCCTGTCTCAGCCTCCCGAGTGAGCGATCTGGGCTCACTGCAATCTCTGCTTCCCGGGTTCAAGGGAAGCTGGGATTACAGGCACGCGCCACCATGTCCGGCTAATTTTTTTTATTTTTAATAAAGGCAGGGGTTCATCATGTTGGCCAGGCTGGTCTTGAACTCGTTACCTCAGGTGATCCACCCCCCTCGGCCTCCCAAAGTGCTGGGATTAGAAGCATGAACCACTGTGCCCAGCCTTTATTTATGTATTTATTTTCTTTTGACTCAGGATCTGACTGTCACCGAGGCTGGAGTGCAGTGGCACAATCTCAGCTCACTGAAGCCTCCACCTCCTGGGCTGAAGGAATCCGCCCACCTCACCCTGCTGAGTAGCTGGGACTAAAGGTGTGCACCACCATACCTGGCTAATTTTATTATTTTTTGTAGAAATGGAATCTCGCTATGTTGCCCAAGCTATCCTTGAACTCCTGGGCTCAAGCGATCCTCTTGCCTCAGCCTCCCAAACTGTTGGGATTACAGGCGTGAGTCACCATGCCTGGCCAAGAACAGGATTTGACGTATAGAAATTTGACATAAGATGGAGCTGCCTGCAGAGAGAGGGTCAAAAGAACAAGATCCAAGGGACAGCTGAGAAAAGGTCACTCACTGAATCTTCCCCTAATTAAGCAGATTCAGATTCAGATACAGTAGCATTTACTGAGTATTTGTGGACCTGGGCTGCTGTGCTAGGGTAACCCTGCCTGAGAATAAGCCAGGACCAAGACAGGTATAGGAGCTGAAGCTCAGAAAGGTGGCATGACTTGTCTGACATCACACATCTAAGTGGTAGAAGTTATTGTTGCTAGAAACCTTCCATTTGTGTTTCTAAGACAGGGCTCAAAGCAATAAGTATTGGCCCCAATTGGAGGCGGAGTTTTGGCTCAGAGGAAGTGAAGGGGAGGCCCTGGCTGCTCTGGCGGTGTTGGTGGCTTCCTGCCCAGGAGACCACACCCAGCTTCAAAATCACCATTCTGGGTAGTCAAGTTGTTGCTAGGCACCTAAAGAGGCCCCTGCGCTTTGCAGAGCCAACTAAGGGCAGTTAACCTCATCTCACTGCAAGGTCAGATGCAGAACAGAGAAGTGAAGCCTTCCCTTTGTAGTTTTTGTTTTTGTTTTGTTTTGTTCTTATCTCCATCCCTACTTCTTCTACAGGAGACTACTAGTCTCACTCCTTGTTTCCTCCACAACATAGCACCTAGTGGTCACTGATGAACCGTGGATACTTGTGTTTGCTAAAAGGAAATATCTTAAGAAGTAGCAACCGTGGCCAGGCACAGTGGCTCACACTGGTAATCCCAGCACTTTGGGAGGCCAAGGTGGGCGGATCACGAGCTCAAGAGATCGAGACCACCCTGGCCAACATGGTGAAACCCCATCTCTACTAAAAATACAAAAATTAGCTGGGCGTGGTGGCACGTACCTGTAGTCCCAGCTACTTGGGAGGCTGAGGCAGGAAAATCGCTTGAACCCAGGAAGCGAAGGTTGCAGTGAGCCAAGATCGCGCCATTGTACTCCAGCCTCACAACAGAGAGAGCCTCTGTCTCTAAAAAAAAAAAAAAAAAAAAAAAAAAAAAAAAGCCAGGCGCATTGGCTCACACCTGTAATCCCAGCACTTTGGGAGGCCGAGGTGGGTGAATCACGAGGTCAGGAGATCGAGACCATCCTGGCTAACACGGTGAAACTCCGTCTCTAATAAAAACACAAAAAATTAGCCAGGCGTGGTGGCGAGTGCCTGTAGTCCCAGCTACTCGGGAGGCTGAGGCAGAAGAATGGCATGAACCTGGGAGGCGGAGCTTGCAGTGAGCCGAGATCGTGCCACTGCACTCCAGCCTGGGTGACAGAGCGAGATTCTGTCTCAAAAAAAAAAAAAAAAAAAAAGGAACAACCATGTCTCCCATGTCTCCCACAAAAGTCAAAGTGCTCCTTGAGGATCCCCCAGGTGCAGGCCCTGTGTTCAATGCAAAGAACATAGAAAGTCTCCCTCTTCATGGAGCTCACAATCTGCCTGGGACACAAACAAGATGCTGCACTGCAGTGTGATGCTTAGAATGGGGCATGGCACGTAACATCTATTTGCTGCATGAGCAAGTACCAAGAACTAAAGCTAAGGTGTTGTAGGAGCTCACAGGGGGGCTTCAAGTGCTAGTTCAAAGCAGAAATCAAAGAAGGCTTCATGAAGGTGACCGTGTCTATCTGCATCATAAAGAATGAACAGTTTGGGAGGCCGAGGTAGGCAGGTCACTTGAGCCTAGGAGTCTGAGACCAGCCTGGGCAACATGGTGAAACTCCTTCTCTACTAAAAATACAAAAAATTAGCCAGGCATGATGGCGCACATCTGTACTCCCAGCTACTTGGGAGGCTGAGGTGGGAGGATCACCTGAGCCTGGGAAGTCAAGACCACTGCACTCGAGCTTGGGTAACAGGAATGAGATCCTGTCTCAAAATAAATAAATAAATAAAGAAAGAACGAACAAACAGGAGTAGGCTGGCAAAGATTCAGGGAGGGGCATTCCAGGCTGAGGGAAAATGTCCAATTGTCTAATACATGCGTAGCAGTGGGTGGAAAGAGAATGCTTAGCAAAAGAGTCAAGTCATTGTCAAGCGCATTGTACTGAGCTGTCTAGGGAAACTGACCCCACGTGATGCTCTGGGAGGACCAGCTGCACTTGAATTCTGCAGCCACCACCATCACTACCACAGTCGACTCCTCGTGGCCCCCACACCCACTGGAGCTGGCCTCCTCTCTGGCAGCCAGGGCCTGGCACCCACTCACTGCTCAGGGAGTAGCTGCCCAACAGATGACATGTTTTTCCATGGCACAAGCCAGTTGCTAGGGATCTCATATTACCTTGTGGTCCTAACACTGGTTTTTCCCAGCAGCCATCTCGCAGGAGCACTTTTCAATAACTAGATGAAAGTATTATCTTGTGGAACTTGCAGTCAAAATAATCACAAAGGGGAAATAGACATCTTAGAAATACAATATGGAAGTATTTTACATTGACTTCCTCCTTCCCCCAAGATTCACGGACAGAGTTTTTAGGGTTCTTTAGAACTGAGGTCTAGATTGATTCAAGAAACAATGACAGACACAGGCACCATCTCAGAGGTGTGGCGACAGAAATGGGGAACTCCTCTATTCCCGAATCCTCACAGAGCCCTTCAAACAGTGGAGCTGCTCTATTCTTTGACATTCAGGTAGTATGACCTTGTGGCAAGGCGTGAGGCTAGGGCCAGATGAAACGAGAGATGAACTGTAGCTTCTCCACTTACTAGGTTTCTTTGGGACAATCTAATCTGTAAATTCATTTCCATAACAAAGAACTGGTACCACGGGGTTGTTGGGAACCAAAGCTGGTTTCAGAACGTGAAAGTTGAGCCCTGGCTCTGTCAGTTACCTCTCTAAACCTCACTTGTGCCTCAGTGGTTTGAGTCCATACCTAAATCCTCTACCTTACACTTCTTGCTGGAAAGTAAAAGGCCAAGTACAGCCATACAGCTGCCAAAAAAATTTTTTTTACTTTTTTTTTTTTTTTTGAGACAGTCTTGCACTGTTGCCTAGGCTGGAGTGTGGTGGTGTGATCTCGGCTCACTGCAACCTCTGCTTCCGAGGTTCAAGGGATTCTTGGGCCTCAGCCACCCGAGTAGCTGGGATTACAGGCATCCAAAACCACGCCCAGCTAATCTTTGTATTTTCAGGAGACAGGATTTCACCATGTTGGCCAGGCTGGTCTCAAACTCCTGGCCTCAAGTGATCCACCTGCTTTGTCCCCCCAAAGTGCTGAGATTACAGGCATGAGCCACCACACCCAACCAATTTTTTAAATAAAGTAAATCTCTGTATGTTGATAGCAAAAGGCCTCTAAGACTTATTGAGTAATGAAAAAATATGCACTAAACATGCATATTTTTATGTAACTTCTAAAGGAATATATATGTGTATCTGCTCACATAATTTGTATTTTCTGCTCACATATATATAATTTGTATTTTCTGGAAGGATACATAAGAAACTGTTAATAATGAGAAGAGGGCCTTTAAGTTTTCTTTTTATATCCTTCTATTCTCCTGGACTTTTCTATCCATATGCAAATATATATTTTTATATATATTACATATATATACATTTATATAAACTAAACATTTAAATTTATATATAAATATGTAAATGTATATATGTATATTCTTTTTTTGAGACAGGGTCTCACTCAGCCACCTAAGTTGGAGTGCAATGGCACAATCACAGCTCACTGCAGCCTTGACCTCCTGGGCTCAAAGGATCCTCCCGCCTCAGCCTCCTGAGAAGCTGGGAACTACAGGCATACACCACCACACCCAGCTAATTTTTTTGTAGAGACAGGTCTTGCTATGTTGCTCAGGCTGGTCGTGCACTCCTGGCCTCAAGTGATCCTCCCATTCTGGCCTCCCAAACTGCTGGGATTACAGGCATGGCCTCTACTGACATTTTGTTTTGCGACAGTCTCACTCTGTCACCCAGGCTGGAGTGCAGTGGCATGATCTCCGCTCACTGCAAGCTCCGCCTCCCGGGTTCACGCCATTCTCCTGCCTCAGTCTCCCAAGTAGCTGGGACTACAGGCGCCCGCCACCAAACCGGGCTAATTTTTTTTGTATTTTTAGTAGAGACGGGGTTTCACAGTGTTAGCCAGGATGGTCTCAATCTCCTGACATCGTGATCCGCCTGCCTTGGCCTCCCAAAGTGCTGGGATTACAGGCGTGAGCCACTGCACCCGGCCTCTACTGACATTTTTTAAAGGTAAAAGAAATACTTGCAGGACAGGTGTGGTGGCTCACACTTGTAGTCCCAGCTAAGAATGAGACCCAGGCTCTTAAAAAAAAGTCAATAGGAATTACCTGGGCAGTGAGATTATGAACCATTTTTTTTCATACTTTTTCTGTATCAAATGAATCTAAGAAATGTTATTTTAAATTGTAAAATAGAGATTTTTAAAAAGCAAAAGAAGGGCCAAGCACGGTGGTTCACGCCTGTAATCCCAGCACTTTGGGAGGCTGAGGTGGGCGGATCACAAGGTCAGGAGTTCGAGACCAGCCTGGCCAAATTGGTGAAACCCCGTCTCTACTAAAAAATACAAAAATTAGCCGGGCATGGTGGCAGGTGCCTGTAGTCCCAGCTACTCAGGAGGCTGAGGCAGGAGAATCGCTTAAACCCGGGAGGCGGAGGTTGTACTGAGCCGAGATTGCACCACTGCACTCCAGCCTGGAAGACAGAGCAAGACTCTGTCTCCAAAATAAATAAATAAATAGCAAAAGAAGAAACACTGTGCATACAGGAGATTCTCAAATGTTAAATTAACATTTCCATACATGAGGGATGAAGGCCCACGCCTTGGATAGACATCTAAGGCTCAGATCCTAGCTCCACACTTATTAGCCATTATTGCTTAACTGCTGGACCTCAGACTTCTCCTCTGTAAAATAGGTAGATTTACTATTTACCTCACATGACTGTTAGGATTCAATGAATCATAGATGCATCAGTGCAGACTTTGGCACACAGTAAACCATCCCAACTGAATGTTCTACAGGTTGACGATTGGGAGGTATAGCATTTAGTCTTCACATCAAAGAGCTGCTTTTTTTTTTTTTTTTTTTTTGAGATGGAGTTTCGCTCTTGTTGCCCAGGCTGGAGTGCAATGGCACAATCAAAGCTCACAGCAACCTCTGCCTCCCAGGTTCAAGCAATTCTCTTGCCTCAGCCTCCCGAGTAGCTGGCATTACAGGCATATGCCACCATGCCCAGCCAATGTTGTATTTTTAGTAGAGACGAGGTTTCTCCATGTTGGTCAGGCTGGCCTGGAAATCCCAACCTCCAGTGATCCGCCCACCTTGGCCTCCAAAAGTGCTGGGATTACAGGCATGAGCCACTGCACCCGGCCAAGAGCTTTTTTAAGATTTGCCAGAGTGGGTGGTATTACTCAAGCACATAATAGGAATTTTTTTTTTTTTTTTGAGATGGAGTCTCACTCTGTCACTTAAGCAGGAGTGCAGTGGCGTGATCTCTGCTCACTGCAACCTCCACCTCCCTGGTTCAAGCAATTCTTCTGCCTCAGCCTCCCGAGTAGCTGGGACTACAGGCATGCGCCACAATGCCTGGCTAATTTTTATATTTTTAGTAGAGACGGGGTTTCACCATGTTGGCCAGGCTGGTCTGGAACTCCTGACCTAAAGTGATCCACCCACCTTGGCCTCCCAAAGTGCTGGGATGACAAGCATGAGCCACCGCGCCCAGCCATATAATGGGGATTTGAAGACTAATTTATTATATATCCCACTCTTCCTACAGCATTCTCAGTTCAACGTTAAGCCTGAGGCCAGGGATTGGAGGGCTGAGTTCCATGACCCCCTCAAATGGCCATGATGAACTCTCCTACATAATCAGTGGTTCTCGACCAGGGGCAATTTTGCGTACACCCTCACCCCCACCCCCAGGACATTTGACAATGTCCAGAAACATTTTTGGTTGTTACATCCAGACAGGTGCTACTGGCATCTGGCAGGTGGAGGTTGGGGATGCTGCTAAGCATCCTGCAATGCACAGGGCACGCCCCTACAACAGAGTTATCTGGCCCAAAATGCCAATAGTGCCAAGGCTGAGGAATTCTGTGCTAGGGTCACTCAATTCAAGAAACCTCAGCTGACCAGGCGGGGTGGCTCGTGCCTATAATCCCAGCACTTTGGGAGGCTGAAGTAGGAGGATCATTTGAGCACAGGAGTTCGAGAACAGTCTGAGCAACATAGCAAGGCCCTGTCTCTACCAAAAAAATTTAAAAATTAGCTGGGTGTGGTAGCACACAACTGTAGTCCTAGCTACTTGTGAGGCTGAGGTAGGAAGATCGCCAGAGCCCAGGAGGTCAAGGCTGCAGTGAGCCGTGATCCTACCACTCAACTCCAGCTTCAGTGACCAAGTGAGACCCCGTCTCAAAAAAAAAAAAAAAAAGCTCGCCTCGGTGGCTCATGCCTGTAATCCCAGCACTTTGGGAAGCCAAGGCAGGCGGATCACTTGAGGTCAGGAGTTCAAGACCAGCCTGGTCAATATGGTGAAATCTTGTCTCTACTAAACATACAAAAATTCACTGGGCGTGGTGGCACGCCTGTAATCCCAGCTGCTTGGGAAGCTGAGGCAGGAGAATCGCTTGAATCAGGAGGCAGAGGTTGCAGTGAGCTGAGATCGTGCCATTGCACTCCAGCCTGGGTGACAAAAGCAAAACTCCGTCTCAAAAAAAAAAAGAAAAGAAAAGAGGCCAGGCACCGTGGCTCACACCTGTAATCCTAGCACTTTGGGAGGCCGAGGTGGGAGGATCACTTGAGGTCAGGAGTTCGAGACCAACCTGGCCAACATGGGGAAATCCCGTCTCTACTAAAAATACAAAAATTAGCCAGGTGTGGTGGCATGTGCCTGTAATCCCAGCTACTCAGGAGGCTGAGGCAGGAGAACTGCTTGAACCTGGGAGGCAGAGGTTGCAGTGAGCCAAGATGGCGCCACTGCACTGCAGCCTGGGCAACAGAGCAAGACTCTGTCTCAAAAAAAAAAGAAAGAAAGAAACCTCAGCTGTTGTGTCATAAAATCTGTGAGTCCACCTGTAAAGCCAGGTCCTTTACTTGCAGACCAAATCCTAGATCACTGAAGCAGCTGAGAAATTGATGGAGGCCAGGAAATTCCTGAATGCCAGGAGTTCCAGATCCCTGCAGACTAAAGGAAGTATCTTCAGAATGATTCAAAATACTACAACCCTATCAGTGATACTAACTCCTTTGCCAATGTTACATTTTACTATTCAAATTAAGGATAGAAAACCTTACCTTACAGTGGCCGGGCACGGTGGTTCACACGTATAAGCTTTGGGAGGCCAAAGCAGGCAGATCACGAGATCAGAGACCAGTCTGGCCAACATCCCGTCTCTACTAAAAATACAAAAAATTAGCCAGGTGTGGTGGTGGATGCCTGTAATCTCAGCTACTTGGGAGGCTGAGGCAGGAGAATCATGTGAACCCTGGAGGCAGAGGTTGCAGTGAGCCGAGATCATGCCTTTGCACTCCAGCCCAGGTGACAGTATGAGACTTCGTCTCAAAAAAAGAAAAGAAAAGCTTATCTTAGTTACCAGAAAGCATAATTAACTAATCTTACGGTCACTATTCCCTGAACACTACATACGATTGCATTCCCATGCTTTTGCCTTCTGTCCAATGATCTCCTACTTCCCTTCCAGAATTCCATTAAAATGTCACTTCTCCACTTTGACTGTCCTCTCTCCTCTGCTTATAATTTTTTTTTTTTTTAAGACGGAGTCTTGCTCTGTCGCCCAGGCTGGAATGCTGTGGTGCGATCTCGGCTAACTGCAAGCTCTGCCTCCCAGGTTCACGCCATTCTCCTGCCTCAGCCTCCTGAGTAGCTGAGACTACAGGCGCCTGGCTAATTTTTTTGTATTTTTAGTAGAGACGGGGTTTCACCGTGTTAACCAGGATGGTCTCAATCTCCTGACATCGTGATCCGCCCGCCTCAGCCTCCCAAAGTGCTGGGATTACAGGTGTAAGCCACTGCGCCCAGCCTGTAATTTTTTTTAAATTAAAAAATATTTTATCTTGGTGCTATTTCAAACGAGATACCAAAAGCAAGGCTGGTTTTACTCCAACATTTTTTTTTTTTTTGAGACAGAGTTTCACTCTGTCGCCCAGGCAGAGTACAGTGGCGCGATCTCGGCTCACTGCAAGCTCCGCTTCCCAGGTTCACGCCATTCTCCTGCCTCAGCCTCCCGAGTAGCTGGGACTACAGGGGCCCACCACGGCGCCTGGCTAATTTTTTGTATTTTTAGTAGAGGTGGGGTTTCACCATGTTAACCAGGATGGTCTCGATCTCCTGACCTCTTGATCCACCCGCCTCGGCCTCCCAAAGCGCTGGGATTACAGGAGTGAGCCACTGCACCCGGCCAACATTTCTAACAATGTATTTTTAATGCTTTTTCCTCTCTTCAAAAATGACACACTTCCTTAAAAGTGGGTTTTACATTTCCATTCTAGAAGAGTCGGAGGCACAGGAAGTACTCAACAAACCCTAGCAGAATCAACAAGAGTTCCAGCATGCAGCTGACCACTCCCTATACCAAAGGCTGTTTCTGAAGTGGCACCAAGTTTGTTAGAGAAGGAGCAGAGCTACAAGTCCCGGAGCCAGACCACAGAGGCAGACAGGTTCCTCCGAACTGGGTTGTGCCGGGAAGGCAGCTGCTGTTTACCCTGCCTGTCACAGACACAGCTACTGCTCTATGTCAGCTGTCAGCCACAGAACAGGTCTCCACACACAGAAAAACAAGGATGACCTCTGTTGCAGAAAAAGCAAAACACAGTAGTGTTGGGGAGCTTTACAGTAAGTTCTCTTGCAGAAAGGCAAGCTATAGAACAAAGGTGATGGACATGGTGAAACAGCCAATCAAACAGCTCTGTGTACAGGTTACTTACCTCTTATGACCGTTTGACCCCTTTCTCAGTTCTGTCCAATCTAAATCTTGACTTTGAATACAAAGGCCAGGACTGTTCCTATTTCCCAGCACAATAAACACCACAGCCATAGTTCTTATCGCTAGCTCTCATCTACACCTGATAATTATCTCACCTGTCTCCAATTGCTGACTACTAAGCGCTAACCTGATTAATCACCACAGCACATATTTATTGAGGACCAAACTTTAATATTTCAAGGGCACCCCAAATGAGTTACTGGTGGGGTTACATAACCTTTCATTCATGCCACCAAACCAAGATTCATGAATTCTGAAAGTTAAAGTTGATTACCTCTTTGGATACATAAAAAATATATATATTAAAGCATGTCACACAGTGCAAAAAAAAAAAAAAAAAAAAAAAGAGGCATCCAGCAGATGAAAAATAGGCTCTTGGAAAAGCCCAAAGCAGCAGGCTGATTGTCCTAACAAGAGGACAGAGAAACTCTTTCTGTAGGAAATAAAGCTGCCTCAGCCAAAGAGAGATCCAGACATGGGTTTTGATGGATTCTTATTACAACCAAAGACAAGCTCAAAGAAAGTGGAAGTTCAGATTTCCCATGGGTGCAGTTGGATCTTGCATCCAAGAGAATGCTTGGTTGACTTCTCATATGCAGGCTGAGCAAGAAGCAAGCAGCAAGACTTAGCCAGTGATTCTGATTCCAGGCTGACATCTCTGTGCTTGAGCTCTGAGCTCCTCGGGCAGGACAGCCTGGAATTGCTCCTGCACCAGCATTTCCACAGTCTGCTCCTTTGTGTGGATATCAGGTCTCAGCCACCACCGTCCAGCAAGGTCCTAGAGATGCCTGAGGACATCCCTGGGGCCAGCTGCATCCTCATAGCAGAACTTCCTGAACCTCTGCCGGGAGGCTTTCTAGCATGGTCTTAAAGTCTTCAACAGAGTCTTCACTGAGGGTCTCTGGTGGGAGCCCAGAAGGCTCTCGTGGAATCTGGACCTGGAAAGCAGGTAGTAGGACAACTTCTGGCTCCTCGGCCCATCATTTCATTGGGTAGTGATCTCATTTGATCATTCTGGACTTCTGTATTTCTTTGTGTCTCTGGGTACACTTCAGTCTCAATTCTGGAACTCTAAGAAAAAACGTTCCAGACTTCTAGGCACAAACAGAAAAGTAAGAATCAGCAAAAACAGACCATAAAAGCTGTTAAACCACTCTGATCTCACGGATCTGGTCCAGACCCAGGTTCCATCAGCCTTCCAATCTTAACAGGGTTTCTTAATAAAGGTACTAGAAACTCATTTTTGTCTTCTTCCTGGTAGATCAATTAACACAATTGAGGAAACATGACAGTAGTTTACCAAAATAAGAAATGTAGGTTCTCAAAGCTGATTGAAGAATACTGGCCTTGCTAGAGAATCGTGCATTCATTTTGTCTCTCACTATGAAGTGTTTTACATTATGTTGAAACAAGAATTGCATATGCACATGATTTGCTTGGGAGAGGGCTTTAAAATCATGGGTGTTTGCTTCCTCCAACCATTTTTGTTTCTTTTTTGGAGACAGCGTCTTGCCGTCATTCAGGCTGGAGTGCAATGGCATGATCTCGGCTCACCGCAACCTCTGCCTCCCAGGTTCAAGCAATTCTCCTGCCTCAGCCTCCTGAGTGGCTGGGATTACAGACACGTGCCACCACCTCCAGCTAAATTTTGTATTTTTCATAGAGATAGGCTTTCACCAGGTTGGTCAGGCTGGTCTCGAACTCCTGACCTCGTAATCTGCCCCCATCAGTGTCCCAAAGTGCTGGGATTACAGGCATGAGCCACCACACCCAGCCCCTCCAACTATTTTTATATAACATTTGTTATGTCTACAAAGCAATTTATGAAGAGGAGCTAAAAGAGGAGAATAAGGTCAGTTCATTTATATCTAATCTACTGACTTTCCACCTCCCTCCATCTCTTTCATCATGATTAAAGAATAGCAAACATTAACAAGTACTTCAAAGGAGCAGTGCACTATGATTGCACCTGTGAATAGCCACTGCACTCCAGCCTGAGCAACACAGCGAGAGCTCTTAAAAAAAAGAAAAAGAAAAAGAAAGCCAGGTGAAGTAGCTCACGCCTGTAATCCCAGCACTTTGGGAGGCCAAGGTGGGTGGATCAACTGAGGTCAGGAGTTCAAGACCAGCCTGGCCAATATGGTGAAACCCCATCTCTACTAAAAATACAAAAATTATGGCCAGGCATGGTGGCTCACGCCTGTAATCCCAGCACTTTGGGAGGCCAAGGCGGGCGGATCAACTGAGGTCAGGCGTTCGAGACCAGCCTGACCAACATGGAGAAACCCCGTCTCTACTAAAATTACAAAAATTAGCTGAGCATGGTGGCGCGTGCCTGTAATCCCAGCTACTCGGGAGGCTGAGGTAGGAGAATCGCTTGAACCCAGGAGGCAGAGGTTGCTGTGAGCTGAGATCGTGCCACTGCACTCCAGCCTGGACAACAAGAGCAAAACTCCATCTCAAAAAAAAAAAAAAAAAAGGTGGCTCACTTGAGCCCAGGAATTCGAGACCAGCCTGGGTAACATGGCAAAACCCTGTCTCTACAAAAAAAAAATTATCTGGGTGTGGTGGCACATGGCTGTAGTCCCAGCTACTGGGAGGTAGAGGCTGCAGTGAGCTGTGATCACGCCACTGCACTCCAGCCTGGGCAACAGAGTCCTTGTCTCCAAAAAAAAAAAAAAAAGAACCCAGGTTAAGATCAAGAATGAAGCACCTCTGATCAGTGTATGGGACTTGTCAAAATCCTAATAGAGTACACTTCCAACTCTTTGGATATTTGAGAGCTCCAGGATTATCAAACCAGCTATAGCCGTGGGGGGCGGCGGGGCGGGAGGCAAATTAAATACCTGTAAAATGCCAGAAAAAAAGCCTTTGCTTCATTTGGGCTAGGGCCCCAGTTCAAAAGAGGAGTTATTTACAGGAAAACACATCCTATGTTAATTAACTTTAAAACAAGAGAGTTCAAATAACAGAAATGACTAAATTAATTCTCACATTAGGATACAGCCCCATGATGCAGTCACTTTTCAAGGATCATCATTTTCTTTTTTTTTTTTTTTTTTTTGAGACGGAGTCTTGCTCTGTTGCCCAGGCACAATCTCGGCTCACTGCAACCTCTGCCTCCCAGGTTCAAGCAATCCTCCTGCCTCAGCCTCCTGAGTAGCTGGGACTACGGCACGTGCCACCAGGCCCAGCTAATTTTTTTTTGTATTTTTAGTAGAAATGAGGTTTCACCATGTTAGCCAGGATGGTCTCGATCTCCTGACCTCATGATCCACCGCCCTTGCCTCGGCCTCCCAAAGTGCTGGGATTACAGGTGTGAGCCACCGTGCCCGGCCCATTGTTTTCTTTAATACTCTCTTCCCTCAAAGAACTAATCCCTTCCAGACATATAATACATAGCAGGAGAGCTGACATTTAAAATCCTTCCCACCTCAGAGAATCTCTCAAATCTGTTTCCTGAGCAACAATTGACAGAAGCCAACAATCACTAACGCTGACTAGCTGCCGTGCACCCAGCACCTAGTCATCCCTTCTCTAAAGGTTCCCTGACCCATTTCTTAGGAGACTTTAATTGATTCTAGACCCAGCACCTTGGATATTCTTGGGAGTACACCAATTCTTCTCACATTATCTTGGTTTTTGCTCAGTTAATAAGGTGTGCTCATCCCCCAAAGTAAGCTGTTACTAACCTAGGGTGGTGAATAGGGAAAAGCAGAATCACTTAGGGTGAGTTGGACTAAAATATTTCGTCCAAGAAAGGTTGGGTGAAACACTGTGGGAAAGCAAAATCTTGGGAACAACCTAAGTGACCATCAACAGGGAAATGACTGAAGTACCGTCAACCACTCAGTGGTGCCGCCACGTAAAAAATGAAGCAGGCTTATGAGTACTGGTAAGAAAGCTGTCCATATCACAACATGACTAAGGTCCCGATCGATGTGTAGTATGACCCCCGATCTGAGGAAATTAAAAATACATAAATACAGATACAAATAAATAAAACCTGATATATCCAAATAATAGATAGAAAGTTATCAAAGAAATTAATTGTATTTACTTCTGAAGGGCAGAAACAGTAGAAGGGGGAAACACTTTTCATTTTACATCTTTCTGCATTGTTTTCTAACTACACACATGTATTACTTTTATAACAACTCAAGAGGAAGAAAACTTCTCAGGCTTTCCCCTCCTGCCCAAAAACCTTTCTGAGTGAAAACCCCTAACCCACTTAGGAAAACACCCTTTTATTACTTCTTCTAGCTCCCAGCACCCAACGTCTTTACAACCCAGGTTTCTAGGAACAGACTGTCAGTGGGCCTTTTTCTTTCCTTTTTTTTTTTTTTGAGACAAGTCTCACTCTGTCGCTCAGGCTGGAGTGCAGTAGTGTGATCTCGGTTCACTGCAACCTTTCCTCCTTCTGGGTTCAAGCAATTCTCTGCCTCAGCCTCCCGAGTAACTGGGATTACAGGTGCCCACCACCATACCTGGCTAATTTTTATGTTTTTAGTAGAGATGGGGTTTCACCATGTTGACCAGGCTGGTCTCGAACTCCTGACTTCGGGTGATCCACCCGCTTCGGCCTCCCAAAGTGCTGGGATTACAGATGTGAGCCACCACGCCCAGCAGTCAGTGGGCCAATTCTTAAGGCTGGCTCTCAAAGATGAACCAGCACCACAATTTACCCGGCTTATAAATCCTGTCAGCTTCAGAAGACGACTTACCAAACACAAATTTATCCTCACCAGTTAATAACTCCTTTTCTTTGCTCAAAAACCCAGTGAGAAAAAATAACTCCAGGCCAGGCACAGTGGCTCATGCCTATACTTCTAGCACTTTGGAAGGCCGAGGCGGGTGGATCACCTGAGATCAGGAGTTCAAGACCAGGCTGGCCAACATGGTGAAACCGTCTCTATTAAAAATGCAAAACATTAGCCAGGCGTGGTGATGTGCGACTGTAATCCCAGTTACTCGAGTGGCTGAGGCAGGAGAATCGCTTGAACCCATGTGGCAGAGAAGGTTGCAGTGAGGCGACAACGCGGCACTGCAACTCCGGCCTGGGCGACAGAGCGAGACTCCGTCTCAAAAAAAAAAAAAAGAAAAAATAACTCCAGTGCACTGCGCCCTTACTTCCTATCTAACATTGTGCCGAACGTTATACACAGATCCTCCTCCGTATGATCCTTAGTTCAGGATCATAAACTCTTGATAAATTACTGCCCCAGGAACCTCCAGTGACATCAACCGCTGCTACCATTTGTGGAATTCTGCCGGCCAGACACCCCACACTGCATTCCCTCACAACTGATCCTCCCGATAGCCCATGGGGTAGGCACTGTTATTTCCATTCACAGATAAGCAAAGTGAGGCTCGGAGGGCGGGGACTTGCCCAAAGCCACAAGGATGAAAGGTAGTGCGATGACTCAACCGATAAAAATAATCCCGGTTGTGGTGGGGGGGAGCTGAGCCCGACTCCTCCCACTATGCTGCCGCGGCTCCGAAGGCCTAGCCCGAGTGCGGAAATGGGCTTCTAGGGTCCCAGGACGAGGTCCACCTCCAGAGCTGCAGTGAGGTCCAAGTCAGCCCGAGGAGCCCGCAGGTCCCACATTTCAGTCATTTCCCTACCCCAAAGGCAGGGACTCCCCGCTCCTGGGGCAGGCAGCCACTGTGGCCGCGAGCAAGCGTACTCGGGTTAGGAAGGAGAAGGAAGGGGACAGGGGGAACGTTCACCTACGCAGCTGCCACCTCGGAGGACGGGGGAGCGGGGGACGAGGAAAGATCAGGATAAGACCCTAACTCCCACAAATGACTCCAGGAAAGGGAGACCACCACTCCCCGAGCTTTGGAGCGCCGCGCGGGAACCGGAAGTCATGCCCCGCCCGGAAGTTAAGAGGAGGGGCATAGGTTGGAAGGGGTGGGCCGGGTCTCTCTAGCCTCCGCGGTACTACGCAGCTTCATGGTTTTAACTCTTGGTGGTCTTTTGACCGTCCTCAGTCCTTACCGTGCGGAGTTTTGGATACATTCTTAGCAGCTTTTTCGCTCCGGAGAAGTTCTTTATCTTTCTGAGCCGCAGTTTGCCCAACTGCAAAATGGAAAGAGATGAAGCAGGAATTAAGATACTCTAGGAGCTCGCCCACAGCTGATTCAGGGCCCCATTCTGAGGTTACACCCTTAAGCCTTTGCACCACTCAAAGGAAGGAAACCAAGAGAGAGGGGTGGCTGGCTGCTGTTTGGAGACAGTGGTCCTTGTATTGGCGCCCCGCGGAATCACTCCAGATGAGTCAGTGGATACAGTCTATAGGTCCCGCCTCATTGTACGCAAACAGCAGTGGGCATATGGCCGTGGGGGGTTGATACAGCCTGTCCGGGGTGGGACTCTGTGTGTATGGGAGGCTAAATCTCAGCAGGACTTTTCCAGTTGCTACCAGACTACGCACTGTCGCCTGATGGTTAAGAACTGAAGCTTTAGCCGTGCGCGGTGGCTCACGCCTGTAATCCCAGCACTTTAGGAGGCAGAGGCGTGTGGATCACCTGAGGTCACGAGTTCGAGACCAGCTTGACCAACAAGGTGAAACTCAGTCTTTACTAAAAATACAAAAATTAGCCGGGCGTGCTGGCAGGCGCCTATAGTCCCAGCTGCTCGGGAGACTGAGACAGGAGAATTGCTTGAACCCGGGAGGCGGAGGTTGCAGTGAGCCGAGATTGCGCCATTGCACTCCAGCCCGGACGAGGGAGCAAGACTCCATCTCAAAGATGAAGCTTTGAAGTCATACTGATCTGGTTTGCGTCTGATCACACAGGTTCAATGACACAGCCGGCTAGAGGAAGCAGAGATGCTAACCACTGCAGCCCCGATCTTAACCCTGAAGGGGAGGGATTGAGCTGTTAGAGAGAGGTACTCAGTTGACTTCTCCCTCTCTCTTTCCAGCTGGCATATCCGAATGGGCTGAGCTACCGGATTAAGAGGGACACCCCAAAGCCCCCATTGCTGGGTTATTGCTCCAGAGCCAATGTTCTTGGGGAAAGGAAGATATGCCCTTTGTCAACATTGCCACTGCTGGTCTGTAAACTCCTAGACGGCCAGCTGGTGGTTCACAAACCAGGACTCCTTGCTCTGGCCCTACCCCTACCTACCAGAATGACCGTGAACCCTTCCCCACTCACTCCTACAACCAGGTTTCCATCTCCTCTCTCAGCTTAGGTTTCCCTAACTGTAAAATAAAAGGGTTGGACTAGGTTAAGGACTTCCTGCTATTTCTCTCTCCCACACTCTAAGGTTCCTTAGGAATGCTTCAGAAAACAGCAGGGGTTGGGGCAAGGATGCCGCTTGAGTCCCAGAGCAACTCCAATTTCATAGGCACATAAATTTATGTGAAAGTATATACGTTTCGGCTTGTGTAAGATTATTTTATCATCCCAGGTAAAATTCAGCCTTTGTGCTTCATCTTTCCCCACCCTCCTGCTCACTCAGTTTGCTCCAAGAACACTGACCTTCTGGCTATTTTGCAAATCTGACAATCTGACAAGCTCATCTTCACTTCTTTTTTTTTTTTTTTTTTTTTTTTGAGACGGAGTTTCGCTCTTGTTGTCTAAGCTGGAGTGCAATGGTGTGATCTCGACTCACTGCAACCTCTGCCTCCCGGATTCAAGCGATTCTCCTGCCTCAGCCTCCCGAGTAACTGGGATTACAGGCACGAGCCACCACACCCGGCTAATTTTTTGTACTTTTAGTAGAGACGGGGTTTCGCCATATTGGCCAGGCTGGTCTCGAACTCCTGACCTCAGGTGATCCGCCCACCTCAGCCTCCCAAAGTGCTGGGATTACAGGTGTGAGCCACCACGCCCAGCCTTTTTTTGAGGCAGAGTCTCATTCTGTCACCCAGGCTGGAATGCAGTGGCATGATCTCAGCTCACTGCAACTTCCACCTCCTGGGTTGAAGTGATTCTCTTGCCTTAGCCTCCCAAGTAGTTCAGATTACAGACTTGCACCACCCTGTCCAGCTAATTTTTGTATTTTTAGTAGAGACAGGGTTTTGCCATGTTCCCCAGGCTGGTCTCGAACTCCTGACCTCAAGCGATCCACCCACCTCGGCTTCCCAAAGTGCTGGGATTACAGGCGTGAGCCATCGCACCCGGCCTCATCTTCACTTCTTTTGCTGATCTCTGCTTGCAGTGCTCTTTCCTGAGATCTGTTCACCCAGGTTCCAGTTCAACTGTAGCGTCTCCTTTTCTGCCCACCTCCTCTATCCCCCGACCCCGGGCACCCTTCCAATTCCTTTATAACCTGTTACTTTGTTTTTGTGATTACCTAGTTATTTTCTATCTCATCCACTAGAGGCAGTGTCCACAAAGCTAAGGACTTTGTCTGCCCTGTCACCACCATGACCCCAGTACTTAAAACTGAGCATAGGCCGGGCACGGTGGCTCACACCTGTAATCCCAGCACTTTGGCAGGCCGAGATGGGCGGATCACAAGGTCAGGAGATCGAGACCATCCTGGCTAACACGGTGAAACTTCATCTCTACCAAAAATACAAAAAAATTAGACGGGCGTGGTGGCGAGTGCCTGTAGTCCCAGCTACTCGGGAGGCTGAGACAGGAGAATGGCGTGAACCCGGGAGGCGGAGTTTGCAGTGAGCTGAGGTCACGCCACTGCACTCCAGCCTGGGCGACAGAGCAAGACTCTGTCTCAAAAAAAAAAAAAAAAACAAAAAAACAAAAACTGAGCATAGGAGCCAGGCGCAGTGGCTCACGCCTATAATCCCAGCACTTTGGGAGGCCGAGGCAGGCGGATCACCTGAGGTCAGGAGTTCGAGACCAGCCTGGCTAACATGGTGAAACCCCGTCTCTACTACAAATACAAAAATTAGCTAGGCATGGTGGCAGGCGCCTGTAATCCCAGCTACTCAGGAGGCTGAGGCAGGAGAATTGCTTGAACCTGGGAGGCGGAGGTTGCAGTGAGCTGAGATCACGCCATTGCACTCCAGCCTGGGCGACAAGAGTGAAACTCCATCTCAAAAAAAACGAACAACAACAACAAACTGAGCATAGGCTGGACAAACACTGAATGAATGGATCAATGAGTGAGTAAAGGAACAGAGCAGCTGGGCGTGGTGGCTCACACCTGTAATCCCAACACTTTTGGAGGCTGAAGCAGGAGGATCCCTTGAGCCCAGGAGTTTGAGACCAACCAAGGCAACATAGTGAGACCCATCTCTACAGAAATTTTTTAAAAATCAGCCTGGTGTGGTGGTGCACATCTGTGGTCCCAGCTACTTGGGAGGCTGAAGTGGGAGGATCACTTTAGCCCAGTAGATTGAGGCTGCAGTGAACTGTGATTGAGCCACTGCACTCCAGCCTGGGCGGATAGAACAAAACTCAGTCTCAAAAAAAAAAAAAAAAAAGGTCTGGGCATGGTGGCTTACGCCTGTAATCCCAGTACTTTGGAAGGCTGAGGCGGGTGGATCACCTGAGGTCAGGAGTTCAAGACCAGCCTAAGCAACATGGTGAAAACCCATCTCTACTAAGAATAGAAAATTAGCTGGGTGTGGTGGTGCATGCCTGTGACCCCAGCCACTTGGGAGGCTGAAGCAGAAGAATTGCTTGAACCGGGGAGGCAGAGATTGCAGTGAGCCAAGATTGTACCACTGCACTCCAGCCTGGGCAACAGAGTGAGACTCCATCTCAAAAGCAAAAAAAGAAAAGAGAAAGCCTGAATTTTATGACAAATCCAATCTGAAAAAGACCACTAGGGATGTAGCTGTAGTTTAACAAAATTAGGCTTATTAACTTGATGTAGCAAGAGAGACAACACACCAGAGAAACTGTGGAGGGTCTCACCAAACAAAAGAAGAAATGGGATTATCATAGGATTTGGAGGAGGTTGGAGTTTAGGTGAAATTGAAATGAAGCCGTGTTGATAGGTGCAAAGCAAAGCTGGCAATGTGTAAAGGGGTTAACATCTGGCGTGGGCTGAGAATCAGACTCAGAGTCTTGTTTCCTTGGACACCACAAAGGTAAGACAAATATAGACTATTGTGTCCAAAAACCCTTTATCTGAAGCTCTGCATCTGGGTAGATACAGGCTATGTCTCTGTATCAAACCTGGCTCTTCTGACCCACTAGAGAAGCGTGGGATGTTCTGCTCTCACTGATGTGATTTCAAACAGCAAAGTTTCTGACAGTCTCTGATTTTAGAGAATGAGATTCCTTTTTTTTTTTTTTTTTTTTTTTTTTTTAGGTGGAGTTTCACTCTTGTCGCCCAGGCTGGAGTGCAATGGTGCGATCTCGGCTTACTGCAACCTCCGTCTTCTGGGTTCAAGCAATTATCCTGCCTCAGCCTCCTGAGTAGCTGGGATTACAGGTGCCCGCCACCACACCCAGCAAATTTTTGTATTTTAGTAGAGATGAGGTTTCACCATGTTGGCCAGGCAGAGAACAAGATTTCTCAGCACTGTCTTTTTTTTTTTTTTTCTTTGAGACAGTCTCGCTCTTTGGCCCAGGCTGGAGTGCAGTGGCGTGATTTTGACTCACTGCAACCTCTACCTTCCTAGTTCAAGCAATTCTCCTGCCTCAGCCTCCAGAGTAGCAGGGATTACAGGCATCCACCACCACGCCCAGCTAATTCAGCCTCCCAAAGTGCTGGGATAGCACTACGTCTTTGATGTTAATTGACAAAAGAAAGTTTGACAGATTCACCTTTTTTTTTTTTTTTTTTTTTTTTGAGACGGAGTTTTGCTCTTGTTGCCCAGGCTGGAGTGCAATGGTGTGATCTCGGCTCACTGCAACCTCCACCTCCCAGGTTCAAGTGATTCTCCTGCGTCAGCCTCCCTAGTAGCTGGGATTACAGGCATTTGCCACCACGCCCAGCTAATTTTGTATTTTTAGTAGAGATGGGGTTTCTCTATGTTGGTCAGGCTGGTCTCAAACTCCCGACCTCAGGTGACCTGCCCACCTCGGCCTCCCAAAGTGCTGGGATTACAGGCATGAGCCACTGCGCCCGGCCTCACCTTTTTTTTTTTTTTTTTTTTTGACAGAGAGTCTTGCTCTGTGTCCCAGGCTGGAGTGCAGTGGCATGATCTTGGCTCACTGCAACCTCCACCTCTCAGGTTCAAGCAATTCTCCTGCCTCAACCTCCTGAGTAACTGAGACTACAGGTAAGTGCCACTACACCCAGCTAATTTTTAAATTTTTAGTAGAGACAGGGTTTCACCCTGTTGGCCAGGCTGGTCTTGAACTCCTGACCTCAAGTGATCCACTTGCCTCGGCCTCCCAAAGTGCTAGGATTACAGATGCAAGCCATTGCGCCCAGCCCAGATTCACATTTGATCTCAATCATCTGACCTATGTCCAGAATATATAAAGAATTCTACAAACCAGCCAGGCGGGGTGGCTCATGCCTGTAATCCCAGCACTTTGGGAGGCTGAGGAGGGCAGATCACAAGGTCAGGTATTCAAGACCAGCCTGGCCAACATGGTGAAACCCCGTCTCTACTAAAAATACAAAAATTAGCCAGGCGTGGTGGTGGGCCTGTAATCCCAGCTACTCAGGAAGCTGAGGCAGGAGAATCGCTTGAACCTGGGAGGTGGAGGTTGCAGTGAGCCAAGATTGCACCACTGCACTCCAGCCTGGGTGACAGAGTGAGACTCCGTCTCAAAAAAAAAAGGAATTGAAGTATTGACATTGTGCCTTCTTGAAAAATGCATTGCTGGCTTTTCATGATTTAGAAATCAAAAGCAAAAAATTATTGGCCTTGACATTCTAATCATTATTCAAAGAATTAAGTTATTGACTATATGGGTTTTAAAAGACTTGAATTGATAAGACTTGGAGATTTGAACAAAGGAAAATTGAATGCTGGCAGTTTTAGGCAAGATTCCCTGACTCTCTGCTGCCCATGTGTGGAGAGAACTGGGTCATCACAGCTCCCAGCCTCCCTCTGAGGATGGGTAGAGGTCCCTTGGGGGCCCGCTGGCCAGCCACATTATGAAATTACATATATCCCACTGCCCTTTACTCTGAAACTATTTTGGAGAATTATCCAAGGGTTCTTCCTGACTCATTGGGAGGAAGTGGACACTCAGCCTTTGCAACCCTACTGTGCCTTGGCAACGCCTGACAGTTACATGTCAGCAGGCACTGTCTGTCTGACTCAATAACAATGATAAATGTGTGTGGTTTCAGAACTTCCTCCCCACCTCCCACCACCCTCATGATGCGGAAGTCTCTGTTCAGCTTGACTCCATTTCTTCCCTGCTCTCACTCTGCCCTTGCCATACCAGTTCTCAGGCTTTGCAAGACCTGGAGCTTGCAGGCAGATCACCTGAGGTCAGGAGTTCAAGACTAGCCTGGAGAACATGGTGAAATCCCGTCTCTACTAAAAATACAAAAAAATTAGCCAGGCATAGTGGCGTGTGCTTGTAATCTCAGCTAGTTGGGAGGCTGAGGCAGGAGAATCACTTGAACCCAGGAGGTGGAGGTTGCAGTGAGCCGTGATTGCGCCACTGCACTCCAGCCTAGGAGACAGAGTGAGACTCCGTCTCAAAAAAAAAAGAGCTGGAGTGAGAGTAAGGATGGGAAGAGAGTTGTAGGGGACGGCTGAGATGCCAGAAGTGGTTTAGGAGAAAAATGGGGCCAGTTTGTAACGTGTAGGGGCAGTGGATGGGAAAAGAAAAAAAAAAGAGAATTTGAAGGAGTATTGTTGATACAATCACTTTGGAGAGCAATTTGGCAATTGGTAAAGTTGAAAATGAGCATGTCCTCCCAGTCAGCATGTCCATTTCTTGGAATATACCCTAGAGAAACTCTCCTACATGTGCACCAGGAGACATGTCCAAGGACATCCACTGAAGCACTGTTCACAATCACAAAAAATTAGCTCTGCTTTAAATATCCATGAGGAAGGAATAAAGAATAATAAAAATTTAGGCAATGGGATATGCTACAAACAGCAGCAACGAACTAGAGATAGACCTCAAAAACACAACATTAAGGCCAGGCGGGGTGGCTCATGCCTATAATCCCAGCACTTTTGGAGGCTGAAGCAGGCAGATCACTTGAGGTCAGGCATTCGAGACCACCCTGGCCAACATGGTGAAACCCCATCTCTACTAAATATATATATATATATATGTGTGTGTGCATATATATATATATATATATATATATATATATATATATATATATTAGCCGGGCATGGTGGTGGGCACCTGTAGTACCAGCTACTCAGGAGGCTGAGCCAGGAGAATCACTGGAACCCGGGAGATGGAAGTTGCAGTGAGCCGAGGTGGCACCACTGCATTCTGGCCTGGGTGACAGAATGAGACTCCATCTCAAAAAAAAAAAAAAAAAAAAAAAAAAAAAAACCCACAACATTGAGTGAAAGAAGCAATTTGCAGGACAGTCCATACAGCATGAAGCTGTGCATGTATTTTTAAAAACCAAAACAATGCAATATATTGGTTTTGGATATTTATATATATGATAAAAACATAACAGCACAGAATAGAAGGACAAACACCAAACTCATATTATCAGTTAGGATAGGTTAGGTCCATGCCTCTGTGATAAATAACACCCAGTCTTAGTGGCTTATAACAGAGTTTATTTCATGGTTGGGCTACATGTCCATCAGGGGTTAGCAGAGCCTCCAGTTCACATCTCACTCTGGGACCAGGCTGACCAGCAACAACCAGATGTCACAGCAGAGAGAACGAGAGCCTGACAAATTGCTTTGTCTCTCAATATTTCACCTTGGCAAGCCTAATGGCCAGACCCAACTTTTTTTTTTTTTTCCCCAGATAGACAGGGTCTCACGGTCACCCAGGTTGGAGTACAGTATGTGAGCACCACTCACTGAAGCCTCAACCTCCCAGGCTGAAACAATTCTCCCACTATAGCCTCCCGAGTAGCTGGGACTACAGTCAGATGCCACCATGCCTAGCTAATTATTTTATTTTATTTTTAGTGGAGACGAAGTCTCATTATGTTGTCCAAGCTGGTATCAAACTCCTGGGCTCAAGCAATCCTCCTGCGTTGGCCTCCAAAGTGTTGGCATTACAGGCATGAGCCATCCCATCCAGCCAAGGTGATAGATGTATTATTATTATTATTTTCTTTAAGACAGAGTCTCCCTCTGTCACTCAGGCTGGAGTGCAGTGGCATTATCACGGCTCACTCAATCCTCAATGTCCTTGGCTCAAGCGATCCTCCTACCCTCAGCCTCACAAGTAGCTGGGACTACAGGCATGTGCCACCATGCCTGGCAAATTTTTTACTTTTTGTAGAGACGGCATCTCTCTATGTTGCCCAGGCTGGCCTTGAACTCCCAGGCTGGTCTTGAACGCCCAGGCTTAAGTGATCCTCCCACCTCGGCCTCCCAAAGTGCTGGGATTATAGGTGTGAGCCACTGTGCCTGGCCCAAACCTAACTTTAAGGGGGCAAGAAAGAGGTATCCTATTATGTGCCCAAAAGCAAAAGCAGTAATTGATGGATAAAAACCCTCTGTCCATCATGGTGATGACTTTTGGGAAGAATACAAAGGTGCTTCCACCTTAACTGTGAAAACTGGAAATAAAATCCTAAGCCCTCTCAACCACTGAATGGGCCTCCTCTTGGCCAAGAGGACCCCAGAGAAATCTTAAAATTTGAGTTCCCAGCCATGACAGGATGGGAGTCAGGCACACCTCATTAGACTTCCTTTTGGTGGTGTAGACACAACTGACCAGCATTAATGTTAAAAATTAGGCCGGGCGCTGTGGCTTATGCCTGTAATTCCAGCACTTTGGGAGGCCAAGGTGGGCGGATCACCTGAGGTCAGCAGTTTGAGACCAACCTGGACAACATGGCAAAACCCAATCTCTGCTAAAAATACAAAAAATTAGCCGGGCATGGTGGCCCATGCCTGTAATCCCAGCTACACAGGAAGCTGAGGCAGGGGAATCACTTGAACCCAGGAGGCAGAGGTTGCAGTGAGCCGAGATCGCGGCATTGCACTCCAGCCTGGGTGACAGAGTGAGACTCCGTCCCCAACCCCCGCAAAAAAAAATTAATGTTAAAATAGAGATCTTACAACTGACAGAACAGATTCTCAGTGGCAGTAAGATACCAAATTATAACAAGAGCTAAGGTCATGCCAGATAAGGGTTAAGACCCCTACACTTAAAAAAATAAGCTATGTTCTAACTGCCACAAGATTTTTCTTTCTTTGTTTCTTTTTTTGGAGACAAGGTCTCAATCTGTCACCCAGGCTGGAGTGGTACAGTGGTGCAATCACAGCTCACTGCAGCCTCAACCTCTCGGGCTCAAGTGATCTTCCCACCTCTGCCTCCCAAGTAGCTGGGACTACAGGCATGTGCCACCCCACCCAGCTAAGATGGGGTTTTGCCATGTTGCCCAGGCTGGTCTCAAACCCCTGGGTTCAAGCAGTCCTCCAGTCCTCCTACCCTAGCCTCCCAAAGTGCTGGGATTATAGTCATGAGCCACCGTTCCCAGCTGCCTGAGATTTTTCCTTTTCTCTAGCAGCTCAACAAGCACTGGCCTTGAGATCAATAATATTAAAACAACTGCAGCTCATCCACCACCAGACCCTAACAGACCCCCTGCTCCTGCTCCAAAGCCATAACTCCAGCTTTGATTGGTAAGGACACAGATTTCAGTAACTTTCTCCTGATAAGAAGACCACAGAGCATGGACTGGTTCTGTCTGGTTTACAGAAGCTGCACTTGAGTACCTTCATGTTCCTGCTTCACCTTTTGATGCACAGGGTCTTGTTTTCATGCTTAAAGAGGTGGGGTCTCACTATGTTGTCCAGGCTGTAGTGCAGTGGCTATTCACAGGTGCGATCATAGTGCACTGCAGCCTTGAACTCCTAGCTTCAAGCTACCCTCCTGTCTCCACCTCCTGAGTAGCGGGGACTATAGGCACATGCCACCATGCCCAGCAGTAATGCATTTAAATGTCAAGTCTCCACCCCACAGTGAACATGGGACACATGTAACATACGTTTGTTCAGTACACATGTGTCAGGACCCCCTTTGTTAATATTTACAGCTCCTTTTTTTTTTGAAACGGAGTTTTGCTCTTGTCACCCAGGCTGGAGTGCAATGGCACGATCTCAGCTCATTGCAACATCTACCTCCCAGGTTCAAGCAATTCTCCTGCCTCAGCCTCCCGAGTAGCTGGGATTACAGGCACCCGCCACCACATCTGCCTAATTTTTGTATTTTTTAGTAGAGACAGGGTTTCACTATGTTGGCCAGGCTGGTCACGATCTCCTGACCTCAAGTGATCCACCCACCTCAGCCTCCCAAAGTGCTGGGATGACAGGCATGAGCCACTGCGCCCAGCCCACAGCTCCTTCTATAACCTGTTGAATATGTATGTTTAGCCAACTCTTTCAGCTTCAAGCTTCCACTCCAATCCCTCCTCCTTTGGAGTGCCTGTTTCTCCTCTTTGCAGGAGGCTACACTTCCCAGCCTGTCAGCATGGCCACCATGCAGGCTGTAACCCTTTATAAGATATAAAATCCCCTTTCCAAATTTATAGACCCTGGCCAGGTACAATGGCTCACGCCTGTAATCCCAGCACTTTGGGAGACCAAGGCGGGTGATCACTTGAGGCCAGGAGTTCGAGACCAGCGTGGGCAACATGGAGAAACCTCATCTCTACTAAAAATACAAAAATTAGCTGAGCGTGGTGGCGTGCGCCTGTAGTCCCAGCTGCTTGGGAGGCTGAGGCAGGAGAATCGCTTGAACCCGGGAGGCAGAGGTTGCAGTGAGCTGAGATTACACCATTATACTCCAGCCTGGGCGACAGAGCGAGACTCCAACTCAAAAACAAAAAAAATAAGCCAGGCATGGTGGTGGGTGACTGTAGTCCCAGCTACTCGGAAGGCTGAGGCAGGAGAATCGCTTGAACCTGGGAGGCGGAGGTTGCAGCGAGCCAGGATTGTGCCACTGCCCTCCAGCCTGGGTGACAGGCTGGATCTAAAAAATTATAGATCTCTTGATTTTTTTTAGTGAATGATTGTAATTAATATTTTTTAGAATATGAAGCAAAATGTGAAATTTGTTAATTCTGAAGGGAGGATACCTATCTGAGTCTCTGCTATATTATTCTCTATGTTGCATCTTTTTCAGTTGTAGCTGAAAGTATAAAGGGAGGCTACAAATGGGCCATTAATATCAAAGTCATTTGTGTGTGTCCTTGCTGGGACAATCTTCCCTTTCATGGTGTTCAAAGAGAAATATGAGGAAAGAGATTCCGTTGAATTTTTTTTTTTTTTTTTTTTCAGACAGAGTCTTGCTCTGTGCCCAGGCTGGAGTACAGTGTCACAGTCTCAGCTCACTGCAGCTTCTGCCTCCTGGACTCAAGTGATTCTTCCACCTCAGTCTTCCGAGTAGCTGGGACTACAAGTACCCACCACCACACCTGGCTAATTTTTATGTTTTTTGTAGAGATGGGGTTTTACCATGTTTCCCAGGCTGGTCTCAAACTCGTGGGCTCAAGTGATCCACCCACCCTGGCCTCCCAAAGTGCTGGGATTACAAGTATGAACCACCAGGCCCAGCCAGACTCCCTTGTTTTATGTTGCTTTTGTCTGTGTAACAGCATTCTTTTTTTTTTTTAAGAAGGAGTTTCGAACTCGTGACCTCAGTTGATCTACCTGCCTCAGCCTCCCAAAGTGCTAGGATTACAAGCATGAGCTACTGCACCTGGCCAGCGTTCTTCCTTTCAAAACTCAACTGTTTGCTGGCTCTGGGCTCGTGCGCAGCATTGTGTGTACCTGTGTGTGTATACCTGTGTACCTGTGTGTGTGTCTTCTCCCCCCTTCAGTAAGGGCTCTTCCTAGGGTTGCCTGACTTGTCTCTGTTTTTCCAGCCCTGAACTTGCCACAAGGCAGGTACCTAATACATGTTTAATGAATGACCGTGATATGCTCATGACATGGTTAGGCTTTGTGTCCCCACCCAAATCTCACCTTGAATTGTAATCCCCATAATCGCCATGTGTCAAGGGAGAAGGTAATTGAATCATAGGGCGGTTCCCCCATGCTGTTCTCATGATAGTGAGTGAGTTCTCGCCAGATCTGATGGTTTTATAAGGGGCTCTTCCCCCTTTGCTAGGCAATTTTCCTTCCTTCCACCTTGTAAAGAAGGTCCCTTGCTTCCCCTTCATCTTCCACCATGATTTTAAGTTTCCTGAGGCCTCCCCAGCCATGCTGAACTGTGAGTCAATTACACTTCTTTCCTTTATAAACTACCCAGTCTCGGGCAGTTCTTTATAGCAGTATGAACACAGACTAAGAGAGCTATCTTTAAATAATGAGCCACTTCAGGGCAGGAACCATGTCTCCTTACCCCTCTGAGCCCTCCTCTAAAACAAGGAATAAGTGTTTGTTGAATGGACGAATACCAAAGCCCCCAGCCCATCAGTGGAAGCAGAACACACATTGTCCTTCCCACTCTACCATGAGCCTCCTCAAGGGCTGGCAGGGTCTGTTTATCTGCAGAGTTTTACCATGTTTATATGCCTGCATTGAAAAGCTACTGACTTATGTGCGACTATATACTAAGGCGACCAACTTGTCCCATTTTTCCTGGTACCTTCCCAGTTTTAGCATTAAATGTCCAGTGTCTTCACTCCTGAAGTTCCAGGCAAACCAGGATGGTCAGGTCACCGCACAGCAACTCCCTTCTCTCCCAGCATCATTTTTCCCTCATCTTCGTATGAAAGGGTTGGACCTGGTCCTGTCTCTGCATATGAGATCTAAGATTTTAGGAACAGGCCAGAGGGGAAGAGGTGAGTCAACAAAGAAAGAAAGATTCAACTTGGAATTTTCTGAGAGATCTTTATTCTTTATTCAGGATGTGGGATCGATCAGCACTGCCAGCTGGGCCTTGGTTCTAGTGGCTTGCTATGGTCTGGAAAAGTTGGGGGGGCAGACAGAATAGTCAATTTAGGAGCACAGGTTCTGGAGTCAGATGAAACTGGGTTCAACTTCCAGCCCTGCTGTGTGACCCTGGGAGAGGGATTGACCTCTCTGAGCCTCAGTTTCCTCCTCTATGTAGTAGGGATAGAACTTACCTCATGGGGGGGTTCTTGATTAAATTGTTAACTAAGGTTCTCTTTACAATGCCCAGCACAAATTTAGATGGGATGTGTATGTATATATATATGTATATGCATGTGTGTGTATATGTGTGTGTGTATATATATACGTATTTGTGTGTATATATACGTATGTGTTTGTGTATATATATATACGTATGTATGTGTATATATATAAACAAAATCTATATTTTTTTTGTTTTTTTGGTTTTTTTTGAGACAGAGTCTCACTCTGTTGCCCAGGCTGGAGTGCACGATCTCAACTCACTGCAACCTCCACTTCTTGGGTTCATGCCATTCTCCTTCCTCAGCCTCCCAAGTAGCTGGGACTACAGGCGTACGCCACCATGCCTGGCTAATTTTTGTATTTTTAGTACAGATGGGATTTCACCGTGTTAGCCAGGATGGTCTCAATCTCCTGACCTCGTGATCTGCCCACCTCGGCCTCCCAAAGTGGTGGGATTACGGGTGTGAGCCACCACGCCCGGCCTTTTTTTTTTTTTAAGACAGAGTCTTGCTCTGTCACCGAGGCTGGAGGGCAGTGGCACAATCTCAGCTTACTGCAACCTCTGCCTCCTGAGTTCGAGCAATTCTTCTGCCTCAACCTCCCAAGTAGCTGAGATTACAGCGACGCACTACCACGCCTGGCCAATTTTTTTATATTTTTGTAGAGACAGGGTTTCACCATATTGGCCAGGCTGGTCTCGAACTCCTGACCTTGTGATCCACCTGCCTTGGCCTACCAAAGTGCTTGGATTACAGGCATGAGCCACCGTGCCTGGCCTTATATATATATTTTTTTAACATGGGTCAGGGAACCAAGGGATTAAATGGTCTATAAATCATCACTGTTTTTTTGTTTGTTTGTTTGTTTTTGTTTTTGAGATGGAGTCTTGCTCTGTCACCCAGGCTGGAGTGCAGTGGCGTAATCTCGGCTCACTGCAACCTCCGCCTCCCAGATTCAAGCAGTTCTCCTGCCTCAGCCTCCTGAGTAGCTGGGACCACAGGCATGCACCAATACGCCCGGCTAATTTTTTGTATTCTTAGTAGAGATGGGGTTTCACCATGTCGGCCAGGCTGGTCTTGAACTCCTGACCTCAGGTGATCCATGGGCCTTGGCCTCCCAGAGTGCTGGGATTACAGGCATGAACCACTGCACTCGACCAGAAATGTTTTTTTATTGGAAGGCTTCATGACTTTGCATGTCATCCTTGCGCAGGGGCCGTGCTAATCTCTATATCATTCCAATTTTAGTACATGTGCTGCCAAAGCAAGCACTACTGTTTTATTTTATTTAGTTTATTTTCATTTTTTTAAGAGAGAGGCTCTTGCTGTGTTGCCCAGGCTGGAGTACAGTGGCTATTCACAGGTGTGATCCTACTACTTTTCAGCATGTGAGTTTTGACCTGCTCTGTTTCTGACCTGGGACAGTTCACCCCTCCTTAGGCCACCTGGTGGTCCCCACTCCCAGGAGGTCACCACATTGATGCCAAACTTGGTGCAGAACCTGATGGGTATAGCGCACTATGGCCCAGAACTCCAGGGCTCAACCGATCCTCCTGCCTCAGCCTCCCAAGTAGCTGGGACTACAGGTGGGCATCACTGCACCCAGCTAGCTATTACTCTTTTTTTTTTTTTTTTTTTTTTGAGACGGAGTCTCGCTCTGTCACCCAGGCTGCAGTGCAGTGGTATGATCTCGACTAACTGCAACCTCCACCTCCCAGGTTCAAGCAATTCTCTGCCTGAGCCTCCCAAGCAGCTGGGATTACAGGCACCCACCACCATGCCCGGCTAATTTTTGTATTTTTAGTAGAGACAGGGTTTCACCATCTTGGCCAGGCTGGTCTTGAACTCCTAACCTCGTGATCCACCTGCCTCTGCTTCCCAAAGTGCTGGGATTACAGGCATGACTATGCCATGCCCAGCTATTACTCTCTTTTTTTTTGTTGTTTAGCTATTACTGTTACCATGAGCGTTATTAGTCCTCTCTGATCACCCATCCCCAGATGAAGTCTGGGGCCTGGACTCCCCTCTCTCGGCTCTCATCAGACTGCATCGTTCTCATTCATGTAATCACCTGTCCCCCACCAGGCAGCCTCTTGTCTGGCATGTCTCTCTATCCTCCCTGACAAGAGAGGACAAGACCAGAGGAGATACTTTATAAATACTTGTTGAAATAAGGAAGTTCAGCTGTAGTTCCAAGCACCACCCAGAAGCCATCAAGTTCCTGGGGTCACACTGTATCAGAAAACATCCCCAAGCCTTTCTGGAATGTCCCCAAGGGCCCTTCCCCACTGAGCTTCTAGGATCCTTTCAGGCCCTCCCCAGGATCCGATGTTTCTCACCTGTCACCTCTCAGAAGAGCCACCACCCTAAAGCCCTCCGGGCCGCCCTGCCCTCCTCACCTCCTCAATCCAGTCGATGAAGGCGGAGACTCGAGTGAACACCGTGGGCTTCCAGATGAAGTTGCAGCCAAAGGCAGAAACAAAGCTGGTCACACCGTGGACCTGCCAGCCACCATCCTCTGTGGGGCAGTTGAGGGGTCCTCCAGAGTCACCCTGGAACCGTCAGAGAGGAGTGGGTGGCTGAGCCATGTCTGAGGTTTACGGAACTGGTTCTGAATTCTAGGGATTTCAAGAAACTCTGACATTACTTGACACCTCTGAGCCTTAGCTCGCTCATTTTTTTATCATTTATTATTTTTATTTTTTTAGATGGAGTCTCGCTCTGCTGTCCAGGCTGGAGTGCAGTGGCGCAAGCTTGGCTCATTGCAACCTCCGTCTCCCGGCTCCCAGGTTCAAGTGATTCTCCTGCTTCAGCCTCCCAAGTAGCTGGGATTACAGGCACCTGCCACCACACCCGGCTAATTTTTGTTTATTTATTTATTTATTTTTTATTAGAGACGAAGTCTCACTCTGACGCCCAGGCTGGAGTACAGTGGCAGGATCTCAGCTCACTGCAAGCTCTGCCTCCAGGGTTCACGCCATTCTCCTGCCTCAGCCTCCCAAGTAGCTGGGACTATAGGTGCCCACTACCACGCCCGGCTAATTTTTGTATTTTTCGTAGAGACGGGGTTTCACCGTGTTAGCCAGGATGGTCTCGATCTCCTGACCACGTGATCCGCCCGCCTCAGCCTCCCGAAGTGCTGGGATTACAGGCGTGAGTCACTGCACCCAGCCATATTTAATAGAGATGGGATTTCACCATGTTGGCCAGGTTAGTCTCAAAGTCCTGACCTCAGGTGATCCACCTGCCGGGGCCTCCCAAAGGGATTATAGGTGTGAGCCACCACGCCCAGCCAGCTGACTCATTTGTGATAGGGAATAGTAGTATCTGTCCAAGAGCCTAGGGAATTACATGAGATGATGCACGATCTTAGCACGATATCCAGTAGAGAAGAAGCACTCGATAAACATAGTTCTTATTAGTGGCACCATAGTTAATTATTAATTCATACTCAATTACAATACAATGAGGGTATTTGATAGTATTTTTTTTTTTTCTGAGTCAGCGTCTCGCTCTGTCACCCAGGTTGGAGTGCAGTGGCGCGATCTCGGCTCACGGCAAGCTCCAACTCCTGGGTTCACACCATTCTCCTGCCTCAGCCTCCCGAGTAGCTGGGACTACAGGCGCCCACCACCACACCCGGCTAACTTTTTGTGTGTTTAGTAGAGACGAGGTTTCACCATGTTAGCCAGGATGATCTCGATCTCCTGACCTCGTGATCCGCCCGGCTCGGCCTCCCAAAGTGCTGGGATTACAGGCGTGAGCCACCGCGCCCAGCCTTTGTTTTTTTTTCTTAGACAAGGTCTTGGCCAGGAAAGTGGCTCACATCTGTAAACATAACACTTTGGAAGGCCAAGGCAGGAGGATTACTTGAGCCCAAGAGTTAGAGACCAGCCTGGGCAACATGGTGAGACCTCATCTCTACAAAAAATTTAAAAATTAGCTAGGCATTGTGGCACACACTTGTACTCCTGGCTGCTTGGGAGGCTGACATTGGAGGGTTGCTTGAGCCCAGGAGGGCAAGGCTACAGTGGGCTATGATGGCATTACTGCACTCCAGCCTGGGCAACAGAGCAAGATCCTGTCTCAAAAAAAAAAAAAAAAGAGACAACGTCTTGCTGTGTCGCCAGGCTTGGGTGCAGTGGCAAAAATCATAGCCACTGTGAGCTTGAACTCCCAGGCTCAAACAATCCTCCCACCTCAGCCTATCAAGTAGTTGGGACTACAGGCGAGTGCCACCATGCCTGACTAAGTAAAAAAAGTTTTTCTGTAGATGGGCATCTCACTATATTACCTAGGCTGGTCTCAAACTCCTAGCCTCAAGCAATCCTCCCACCTCAGCCTCCCAAAGCACTTGGATTATAGGCAGGAGGGACTGTGCCCAGAACAATGATGGTATTCTTAATGGTTAATTATAACTTTAGAACCACAGAATTGACCTGCGTTAGAGGTCATGGGACCAGTATCTCCTGCTGTGCTGATGCGGAAGCCTGAGGACCAGGGAGACACAGTGACTTGTCCCAAGTCATGTCAGTGTGTGAGCTGAGACTGCAACCCGGGGGTCCTGACTCCCAGGCCTGGGCTCTGTGTCTGGACTGCGCTGATTTCCTCCAAGTCCTGCCTGGCCTGGAGGCTGAATGGGGCAAGCAGGCAAGATCCTTCCTCCACCTTCCAGGCAGTTGGCCCCATTCCAAGGTCCTGCACACCCAGCACCACCTCGGGCAGGTAAGAGCTGACTCACGTTGCAGCCGGAGCGGATGTACCCTCCAGCACACACCATGGTTTTCTTCACGGTGGAACCCCACCAGTTCCACCTGGAGCAGTGCTTATAGTCCACCACGGGCAGCCGGGCCTGCTGCAGCTTGTCTGGGAGTGGCCCATTGGCTGCAAGGATAAAAAGCACCGAGTCAGGGGTCTGGGGGCACACCGCTAGGTGCCCCAGAGGAAGGGGGCATTCAAGGCCCACAGTTCTTCTGCCCTGATGAGGACTCTCCTCCCACCCGCTAAATGGTCCTGCATGCTTTGTGCACCATTACATCCCTAGCACGTGGCACACAGAAGATACCAAAACATGTGCAATTGACCACATTCGTGTTTTGGAGGTTGATGGAAGAAGGCTGCAGCTGGAGAGAAATGGGAGAAAAGTACAAGGTCCGGTCTTGGTGTTACCTTCAACCTGCAGCCCCCAGGCCCTGTCTTTCTGCCACTGTCTCTGTGGCCAGCTAGAGAAGTCAGCACGTACTATAGAGACGGCCCCAGCCGGTGATGTAGCAGGGTGTCTTGTTGGGAAGGATGTCACCAGCGGGAGGGAGTGAGGCGAGCTGGACGGCATCTCCCAGCTGGGCGCTGCGTGAGAGCTTGATGAGGGCGATGTCATTGCTGGGGAGGAGGGAACAGTCACGGGGCCTGGTCCTCCAGCCGGCCCAAGTCCTACCTTCTAGCCGTTGCTCCAGGCTATTCCACCTCTGAGATGCCCCAACTTCTTTACCCTCCAAATCCACTCTTTCATCATCATTATTATTATTATTATTATTATTATTGAGACAGAGTCTCGGTCTGTTGCCCAGGCTGGAGTGCAGTGTCACAATCATAGCTCACTGCAGCCTCCTGGGCCAAGGGATCCTCCTGCTTTCACCTCCTGAAGTGCTGGAATTACAGGCATGAGCCACTATACCTGGCCCAAATCGTTCTTAAGGCTGAGGAATTTTATTTATTCATTTATTTATTTTTGAGTCAGAGTCTCGCTCTGTTGCCCAGGCTGGAGTGCAGTGGCATGATCTTGGCTCACTGCAGCCTCCGCCTCCCGAGTTCAAGTGATTCTCCTGCCTCAGCCTTTCCAGTAGCTGGGATTACAGGCTCATGCCACCACGCCTGGCTAATATTTGTTAAGATTTTTTCATACACTTGAAAGGCATAAGATTGTCTCCTTGGCCTTCACACCACCCAGGAAGCCCAACTTCATGGTCACCTTTTGACAAATGGCAAAACTAAGGCCCAGAGAAGGCCAGTGACTTGCTCAGGCCATACACAGAGTTAATGCCAGAGCCTGACTCTCAGCCCAGTGCTCCTCCTTTTGCCCATAGTGCTGGGAGCCCAGGATGCACTGGGTGAGCCATCTATTGAATGGAGAAACCCTCGGATATGGGGGAAGGATGCCAGAGGAACCCTGAGCTCTGAAGCCACTAGCCAAGTGGCCTTGGCAGAGTTCCTGCCCCTCCCTGAACACTGCCATCCCCTCTGTAGGGAGACAGGTTTGGTGGTGATGGTCCTTAAAGGCTCTGCTGGCTTCAATCCTCAGTGTGTGGGACCTGGGCACAGGCTGCTGGACTCAGCTCCCCTGTCCCTATGTCCCTATGTCCCTACGTCCCTACTCAGAGTTGGAGCCTACTCAGACTTGGCTGTGGGTCATGGAGGGACAAGTAGAGGAGCCCCTGGGTTCCAGACCGGAGCATTCACTCACCCACAGGCCACACACGAGCGGTTCCAGAGTGGATGCACAAACAGCTCCTCAGAGTTGATGGGGATCACCTGCTCGGGGCCCTCCTTCACAGCAAGGTTGTACTCACCCAACACCACCTGGTAGGTCAGATCCCTCCTGCAGGCAGAGGTGAGGTCAGTCGGGGCCTGACTGGCTCACCTCCCTCCTTCCCCATCATCACCCACTCTCCCCCGCTGCCCAGGGCCACAGGCAGGGACAGGGTAGAGAACTCACGAGATGCAGTGGCCGGCAGTCACAACCCAATCGGGGGCGATGAGGCTACCGCCACACGTGTGGTAGAAGCTTCCACTTTTCTCATACTGCAGGGAAACCTGGTGGCCCAGGAGGAAAGGGCCTCAGTGGGCTGGGCCCCACCATGAGAGTTGCCACCAATGGCTGTATAGGTTGTGCACTGTGCAACTCTAGAGGGCGCCATTCACATGGAAAACGAGAGCACCCACTGAAATATGCAGCATACAACCTGCGACCTGGGCAGCTGCCCGTGGTGGCCCTATCACTTTTCCATGGGGGTCACATTCTGATTCTCCAAAGCCTCCCCACACCAGCACTATGACCTCCCTGGGGACCCCAACATTCTCTACCTTCTGTCTCTTAACAGCCCTTGAAGGCCCTCTGTTCTATCACGCACCCCTCGCCCTGTGAGTTTTTTTTTTTTTTGAGATGGAGTTTTGCTCTTGTTCCCCAGGCTGGAGTGCAATGGTGGCAATCTCAGCTCATTTCAACCTCCGCCTCCCGGGTTCAAGCGATTCTCCTGTCTCAGCCTCCACAGTAACCGGGATTACAGGCACCTGCCGTCGTGCCTGGCTAATTTTGTATTTTTAGTAGACACGGAGTTTCACCATGTTGGCCAGGCTGGTCTCGAGCTCCTCACCTCAGGTGATCTGCCCACCTCGGCCTCCCGAAGTGCTGGGATTACAGGCGTGAGCCACCGCGCCCAGCCCCCCTGACTCTTTTGAACCTCAGCTCTTTCAAGGCCTCTTGAGCCTTCTGAAGCACAGCTCACCCTGATGAGTTCTTTGCCTCTCTTCCCATTTCCTACACATTCTGATTTTCAAAAGCTCCATCTAGACCAGGGTTAGCAAACTGTGGACAGTGGGGCACATCAGGCTTCTGGTCTGTTTTTGTAATAAAGATGTCCTGGAAATAGTCACATTCATTTCTGTATTGTTTGTGTCTGCTTTCATGCTACCATGGCACAGTCAAGTCATTACTATCCAAACCATCAAATAACCTAAAATATTCACTCTCTGGCCATTTACAGAATAAGCCTGCTGACCCTCTCCGATAAAACTTCCCATAATCATGGGAATGTTCTATATCTTTGCTGTCCAATATGGTAGCCACTAGCCACATGTGACTATTGAACATTTGAAATGTGGCAAGCAGGCCAAGCATGGTGGCTTACGCCTATAATCCCAGCACTGTGGGAGGTCAAGACAGGAGGATCACTGGAGCTCAGAAGTTCGAGGCAAGCCTGGGCAACATAGTGAGACCCCATCTCTACAACAATGTATAAAAATTAGCTGGGCATGGTGGCGCATGCCTGTAGTCCTAGCTACACAGGAGGCTGAGGTGGGATTATTGCTTGGACCTAGGAGGTCAAGGCTGCAGTAAGCTGAGATCACACCACTGCACTCCAGCCTGGGCAACACAGCAAGACCCTGTCTCAAAAAAAAAAAAAACAAAGAAAAGAAAAGAAAAGAAAAAAGCACTGAGGAAATGAATTGTTAACATTTTTAATGTAAGTAAATTTCAGCTGGGTGCAGTGACTCACACCTGTAATCCCAGCACTTTGAGAGGCCGAGGCAGGTGGATCACCTGAGGTCAGAAGCTCCAGACTGGCCTGGCCAACACAGTGAAACCCTGTCTCTACTAAAAATACAAAATTAGCCGGGCTTGGTGGCGCGTGCCTGTAATCCCAGCTACTTGGGAGGTGAGGTAGGAGAATTGCTTGAACCCGGGTGGCAGAGTTTGCAGTGAGCCAAGATTGTGCCATTGCACTTCAGCCTGGGCAACAAGAGTGAAACTCTGTCTCAATAATAATAGTAATAATAATTTAATTTAATTTTTTTTTTTGAGACAGAGTCTCACTCTGTTGCCCGGGGCTGGAGTGCAGTGGTGCAATCTTGTCTCACTGCAACCTCCAACTCCCAGGTTCAAGGGATTCTCCTGCCTCAGCCTCCTGAGTAGCTGGGATTACAGGCGTGAGCCACCGCACCTGGCCTAATTTAATTAAATTTAAATAGCCACAGCACATCAAGTCCAGCCTTCTGAGCTTCCCTCCACTGGCCTTACAAGATCCCTCACTCCCTTATTGCTTTCAGACCTCAAAGCCCTGTAGTATCATCCTAGGAATCTAGAAATGAGTCTCTCAAAATCTCACTTCGTCAACACAGTGCCTGAAATTCCACCATCAGTGTGCCAACTCCTTGAGTTTAGCATTTCCTTCACCCCCGATTCCAATTTTAAGTTGCAAATAGCCCAGTGAGGGTTACAGATGAAACGGGCAAAACCTCCCCGTGAAGTAGATGGTCCAAGGGCTGCCTGGTCTTTGGAAGCTGAAGTGGACATTGCAAAGGGAGCAATGGTGTCAAGGCTGGATGCCACGCCATTAGAGCTTAGGGTCCAGAGCCCACGGTGGGAATGAGGGCAGCTGCTATTGCTCTTACCTGCCAGGGCCAGCTGTAGGGGACCGCATCCTCACCATGGACAACGCGGCTGGAAGAGTGAGAGGAAGGTGGGCCATAGCCTGAGGCTAGAGGGGAGAGGAGAGCTGTCAATCAGCTGGAGGGTCCCCAAAAGCAAAGAGGAGGCCAGGGTCCCAGTCCAAGCCATGCCTTCAACTGGCTGTGTGACCCCATGCAAGCCCCTTTCGCCCTCTGGACCTCAGTAACCACATATGAACAGTGAACATTTAAACTAGAGCAGGGCTTTCCAGAATCCCAGGAGTCCAGGGATAGAGATTCAAATGTGGCCTCCTTCATTGGGAGGATTGAAGAGCTTGATACACTTAGAACAATGCCTGGCCCTCGATGAGCCCTCAAAAAGTGAGAGCTATTGTCATACAGAGTGGAGGCTTTAAAGAAGGACTTCCTGGGTTCAAAGTGCAGCTCTGGGCTGTGTGTGGTGGTTCACACCTGTAATCCTAGTGCTCTGAGAGGCCGAGGCGGGAGGATCGCTTGAGCCCGGGAGTTTGAGACCAGCCTGGGCAACATAGCAAGACCTCATCTCTAGAAAAATAAAGTACAATAAAATAAAGTAGCCAGGTATGGTGGCATGTGCCTATAATCTCAGCTACTCAGGAGGCTAAGGTGGTAGGATTGCTTGAGGCCAGGATTTTGAGACCAGTCTGGGCAACAAAGCAAGACCCCATCTCTACAAAAAAAAAGCAAAAAATAAAAACATTAAGTGCAGCTCTGCCTTTTGTTCTATGATAAGCTACTTTACTTCCTTGAGGGTCAGTAAAATGGGGGATAATGATAGTACTGATCTCCTGAGGCTGTTGTGAGAATTACATGAGAAAGTATAAGAAAATCCCTAAACATTCTGCCTGGCATAGTAAGCACTCAATCAATGTTATCTGTTACCATTATTGTCAGTCAAGGGAGGCTGTTTGGAAGAGGTGGCCCTGAGCTGGAATGTAATATGGCAGAGAGACCAGGAAAAGGCCAGAGCATAGAATATGGAGCCAGGTAGGGGGAGTGAGAGGAGAGTTGGAGTGGTAAGTAGAACTGTGGAAATTCCAACCCAAGAAGTCCAACCACACAGTCCAAACTCTTAACCGTTTGACTTTGTTTACTGCCCCCATCAAGGACTTCCACCACAGCCCTTTGGGGGTCTTTCACCATCCACAGCTTCCCCTCCACTCTCCTGCTCCATCATAAGCTGAAAGCCCCTACAGTCATGCCCCCGGGTACAAGCTGAGACCCCCTCCTGTGGAACCAGGCATAGCATGTCATGGGACTCAGAGCGAGTGGTAGATTTCAAGGATTCCTAGTCCAGGGCAGCCCAGGGAGCACACAGACAGGTTGGGGTCTTACCAACGGCCACAAGGAGGAGGGAACTGAGCAGCCGGAGCATCATGAGTTTTGTGATGATAGGAAAAGGGCACAGAGCCTGGGGCTCTAATATAGGGCAGAAGGTAAGCAGGGGGGCTGATTGGGCCCCACTCCCAGAACAGGTGGTGGAACTCCAGGTCTCCCATGGTCCAAGGCCACAGTCCTCGCCTGCTGCAGATGGACAAGTGACAGCCAAAGGGAGGACCTAGCGTTCCCTCCAACAGGTGGCTGGACAGGTGGTGTGGAGTGGCCAACTGATAACAAGAGTTCAGGAAGAAAAGCTCATGTCAGGACAAGACCTCCTCTTTCGGAAAGAACAGGGGCACTGGAACCGGGCAGACCACGGTTCAATCCTGGTTCTGCCACCTTCAAGCTCTGCGACTTTGGGCGCATGGCTTAACCTCTCTGAGTCTCAGTTTTCTGCTCTCTAACATGAGATTTATATTAGTACCCACCTCCACAAAAAAATTCTTGTTGAGCACTTTTTCTCTATGTATCAGGCACTGTTCTAGGGGATACAGCTGTGAAAAATGCATGGTCTCAGCCCTTCTAGAGTTTGAGTCTAGGCCAGGAGCGGTGGCTCACACCTGTGATCCCAGCGCTTTGGGAGGCCAAGGTGGGAGGATCACTTGAGGTCAGAAGTTCGAGACATGATGAAACCCTATCTCTACTAAAACTACAAAAATTAGCCAGGTGTGGTGGTGAGCACCTGTAATCCCAGCACCTGTAATCCTAGCTACTGGGAGGCTGAGGGAGGAGAATCACTTGAACCTGGGAGCGGAGAGGCAGAGGCTACAGAGAGCCGAGATCATGCCACTGCACTCCAGCCTGGGCCACAGAGCAACACTGTCTCAAAAAACAAAAACAAAACCAAAAAAAAAAACAGAGAAGAAAAGAAAATGAAACATAGGTGATTGGGGTAGGAATGGGAGTAAGTCATTTAGATGGGGGGGACAGAGAAAGTGACATTTGGGCTGAGGAGGTCATATCTGATGGAGTCCTGAGGATAAGTAAAAGCCAGCCACGGGAATCCCTGAAAGAAACGCGCTCTGAAGGGAGGCGACAGCAGGTGCGAAGTTCTGGAGGCTGCAATGGGCTTGACTTGTTCAAGGAAGGGGAGGCCAGTGTGACAGGAGCTTGGTAGTCAAAGTAGAGAGGGGTGGGAGATGAGGTCAAAGAGCAGGCGACCCCGAAAGTGGAATTCACAGGTGATCCAGCCGTTTCCCTCCTAGGTCTATACCGTGAGAAAACCTTAGGCATGTGCTCCAGGAGGTGTGGATGAGATTGTTTGCCGCAGCCCCTGTTCTCAAAACTCAACAGCAAAGACCTAGAAACAACTCCCACGTCCATCAAGGTTCATAGGTCAATATGTGTAGCATATTCACACAATAGATTTTTTTTTTTATAGTGGTGCGATCTTGGCTCACTGCAACCTCCACCTCACGGGTTCAAGCGATTCTCCTGCCTCAGCCTCCTGAGTAGCTGGGATTACAGGCGCGCACCACCACGCCCGGCTAATTTTTGTATTTTTAGTAGAGACGGGGTTTCACCATGTTGGCCAGGCTGGTCTCCAACTCCTGACCTCTGGTGATCCACCCACCTCGACCTCCCAAAGTACTGGGATTACAGGCATGAGCCACTGCATCCGGCCAGACGGGGCAATTTAAATAGATCCCTCCTGGGGGAAAGTCAGGCATCTTGCTGAGCAGGTTTTGTTTTAGGAGTGAACCCCCTCCAATCACAGCCTAGCCACTCTGATAGCCTGGGTTCGTGGAACGTGTGTGGACACAAGGGAAGCAGCTGTGAAAATCCTTTATACTGTGATAAAAATAGCCATGCCCTCCCCTACCCTCTGTTCCCTATGTGCCCGGACATGTTTGCTCAGCTTGAAAGCTCTGAGCCATTCCCCAGACCCTACGCCAGGGAAGAAGGAGGGAGGGGCCCAGGAGGTGGCTGGGGAGAGATAGGGTTAGGTCCGATAAGCCCAGATTCCACTGTAGAGTGTCTGAAACCCACAGGGCCTAAAACGCGATCTAATCCAACCACTTTTATTTGACAGAAGGGAAAATGATGGGCCAGGCACAGTGGCTCACGCCTGTAATCCCAACACTTTGGGAGGCCGAGGAGGGTGGACCACCTGAGGTCAGGAGTTCGAGACCAGCCTGACCAACATGGAGAAACCCCATCTCTACTAAAAACACAAAATTAGCCGGGTGTGGTGGCACATGCCTGTAATCCCAGCTACTAGGGAGGGTGAGGCAGGAAAATCGCTTGAACCTGGGAGGCGGAGTTTGCGGTGAGCCGAGATCGTGCCATTGCACTCCAGCCTGGGCAATAAGAGCAAAACTCTGTCACAAAAAAAAAAAAAAGAAGAAGAAAATGATGACCCAGAGAAAAGCCAGGACTTGGTCAAGTTTCCCTGGTTTGTTACTGCTTGGCCTGGTGAAGGGTAGCCCACGGACACGGGAGGGTCCACTCTCCCTCCCCCAACTTCAACCGAGAAGCCTTCCCGGCTTCTTACCCAGGTGACCTTGAGCAAGTCCCAGCCTCTCTGTCGGCTCTGCTGGGTCCCCAGGGAGAGGGGCTCCCTGACGCCAACTGTCCCACCACAACCCCTGCCTGATTGGTTACTTCAAGGCCTTATGGACTGACACTGGCAGTTGCACGGCTGATTAACTCTCCGAGGGTTTTCTGGCCTAGGAGTAGCTTGAGTGAAATCCCTGAAGATGAACCTCCTTCCAACACCTGCCCCGCAAGAGGGAAGATGGAGGGGTTAGATCTACTTTAGGCCTCAGCCTGAAGCAAAGCAAGCCATTTCCTGAATGGGAGGTGGAGGTTAGGTCGGAGAGTATGCAAAATTAGGAGGTCAGTCTGGGAAGGAGAGGGAGGGCGGGGAAGCTGGCGAGGGGACGGAGGGGAAGCTGGTGAGCCTTTTTCCCGGGACTGGGGGAGTTCCATTCTTTCCAGTTCCCACCCCACAGGAAGCTCTTTGAGGATCAAAACTTTATCTTATTCATCTTCCGATTCCCAGTACCTAGAAGGGAGCCTGGCACATGGTAGGTTTTCAACAGCATTTATTCAAGGAGACAACAAATGAATGAAGGAAGGGAAAGGACTCTTCAAATGCCCTCCGCTTCCTACCCTGAAAGCACGGTTGAGCCTGATATTCATGCAGGATGCACCTGGAGGGTGTCCCCTCTGTGTGGCCTGGAAAAGCGCAGCAGCATCTGGATGGTGTCCTGATGGGCACATTCTAGAGATATTAATAGATGTTTGATGATAAATGGACCCACTAGAACGGAGCCCCCATGGGGCGGGGGGTTTTGTGTGCTTTGTTCACTGCTGTGGCCTCGGCTCCCAGAATATAACCCAGTGGGCACTCAGTGAAGAACTAAAGGTCAGATGGGATTGGAAAATATGAGCTCAAACAAAGTTCAAATTGTCCTTTCCTACAGGACTTCTCAGAGCCTTTAATATGCCAGTGTTCACGGTGAATCACACACAGTGGTCCTAAGTCCGGGACTCTGGTGCCTTGTTGCCCTGTAGTTTCTGTGAAAATAAGATATTCAAAATCTAAGCTGTTGGAACTTTAAAATACCTTAGACTTAAGGGAATGAGATTATGGGACCTGAGTAATGTAAACAGGAAGGCATAACTTTTGTTTGTGTTATCGATTAGCTTTTCCTTAACTACATTGTTTTATAAAATGTTGTAAATGACTAAAGGGTGACAGGGCAGACTGTTTCCCTCTCAACAGTCAATCTTCATTATAGATTAACTTCCTTCTTTTCTCTCTCACACAAAGACTTCATGACTATCACATTATCTAAGATAGAATGTTAAATACACAAATTGGAAAGGAAAATAAAACAAAGTGTATGGAAAAGAAGACAAATTTTAACTAGCTATATTGTTGTAACTCATAAACCAGCCTGGTATAGAAATGTTATAGTCCTACTAAATTTGTTTCCTGCCTGTATGAGCAAGATCATAATTTTTTTTTTTTTTTGGAGACGAAGTCTCACTCTTGTCCCCCAGGCTGGAGTGCAATGGCTAGATCTCGGCTCACTGCCACCTTCGCCTCCCGGGTTCAAGTGATTCTTCTGCCCTCAGCCTCCCAGGTAGCTGGGATTACAGGCACCTGCCACCACACCAGGCTAATTTTTGGATTTTTAGTAGAGGCAGGGTTTCACCACATTGGCCAGGCTGTTCTCAAACTCCTAACCTCAGGTGATCCACCCACCTTGGCCTCCCAAAGTGTGGGATTACAGTCGTGAGCCACCACGCCCAGCATTTTTTTTTTTTTTTGAGACGAGTCTTGCTCTTGTCTTGCTCTTTTTTTTTTTTTTGAGATGAGTCGTGCCAGACTGGAGTGCAATGGCACGATCTCAGCTCACTGCAACCTCTGCCTCCCAGGTTAAAGCAATTCTCCTGCCTCAGCCTCCCAAGTAGCTGGGGTTACAGGCATGTACCACCACGCCCGGCTAATTTTTTGTATTTTTAGTAGAGATGGGGTCTCACCAGGTTGGCCAGCCTGGTCTCAAACTCCTGACTTCAAATGATCTGCCCGCCTCAGCCTCCCAAAATGCCAGGATTACAGGCGTGAGCCACCACGCCCGGCGGGACTTTAACTTTTAACTTTGGAGCACTTACTCCTCTTCTCTGGAGCCCATGTTTCTGGATGACTATTCTCAGATTTTTGCTGGAATAAATTCTTAAAAACCGGATTCTGATCTCTTTGATGACTACAGGTCAACATTTCCCAGCTACCAGCCCCAGCTGTCTCAGATGGGTCAGCAGTGTCAGGGATGGGGAAGGAGGCCCTGCAGGTGCCCCACCTGTGGTACAAAGAAGCCACCATGGGAACCCAGGGCTAGGACAGTATGCAGGTATCTCTTGTCCCAGGGAAGGCATCATCCCGGCTGGGATCCAAGGAGGTTATTGAGCAATGGCAGTGGGGACAGGCACAGCCCTTTCCCCACGGCCAGTGCCATACCTTCCCGATGTTACAGGAAAGGGGTCCCAATCTAGATGCCAAGAGAGGGTTCTTGGATCTTGTGCAAGAAAGAATTCAGGGCGAGTTCGTAGAGGAAAGTGAAAGCAAGTTAATTAAGAAAGTAAAGGTATAAAGAATGGTTACTCCATAGACATGCCCTTTTTTATGGTTATTTCTTGCTGATATGCTAAACAAGGGGTGGATTATTCATGCCTCCCCTTATTTTAGGCCATATAGGGTAACTTCCTGACGTTGCCATGGCATTTGTAAATTGTCGTGGTGCTGGTGGGAGTGTAGCAGTCAGGACGACCCGAGGTCACTCTCATGGCTATCTTTGTTTTGGAGGGTTTTGGCCGGCTTCTTTACTGCAAACTGTTTTATCAGCAAGGTCTTTATGAGCTGTATTTTGTGTGGATCTCCTATCTCATCCTGTGACCTAAAATGCCTTAACCTTAACTGGCTATCTGTCTGGGAATGCAGCCCAGGTCTCAGCTTCATTTTACCTGGCTGTCGCTCAGGCTGGAGTACAGTGGCGCGATCTCGGCTCACTGCAGCCTCCACCTCCCAGGTTCAAGCAATTCTCATGCCTCAGCCTCCCCAGTAGCTGGAACTACAGGCATGTGCCACCACGCCCGGCTAATTTTTGTATTTGTGTAGAGACCTCATTTTGCCATGTTGGTCAGGTTGGTCTCGAACTCCCGACCTCAGGTGATCTGCCCGCCTCAGCCTCCCAAAGTGCTGGGATTACAGGCTGAGCCACTGCGCCCAGCCTGACTGGCGTGCTTATATAAAGTGGAAACTGGGACACAGAGAAACTGCGGAGAGGGAAGGTGGCCATCTACAAGCCAAGGTGAGGGAACAGAACCTTTGCTCGTAGCCCTCAGAAGGAAACAAGCTGCTAATACCCTGATTTCCTTCTTCCAGCCTCAGGATTGTGAGACAATCAGTTTCTGTTGTTTAAGCCACCCAGTTTGTGATACTTTCTTCTGGCTTCCCTGGCATTAAAAGTGATGGCAAAAACTGCAATTACGCTTTTACACCAATCTAAAAATAGAGCATGAAATGGCTCCTCCAGGTCAACCACATTCCAGATGAAAAAAAGGGAAGGGGATAACTTCACCTTTACATGGTCAACCTGAAATTTGTAGGCATCTCTTCTGCCACAGCCAGAAATCAGCACACAGCCTCACCTGGCTTCCTGGGAGACAGGCAAGTGTGGTTTCCATTCTGCACAGCCCCTGTACACAATAAAAAGTCCTCTTAACAAGCAGGGTGCAGTGTCTCATGCCTGTAATCCTAGCACTTTGTGAGGCCGAGGCAGACAGATCACGAGGTCAGTAGTTCAAGACCAGCCTGGGCAAAATGGTGAAACCCCCGTCTTTACTAAAAATACAAAAATTAGCCAGACGTGATGGTACACACCTGTAGTCCCAGCTTCTTGGGAGGCTGAGGCTGCAGAATTGCTTGAACTTCAGAGGCAGAGGTTGCAGTGAGGTCATGCCACTGCACTCCAGCCTGGGTGACAGAGCAAGACTCTGTCTCAAAAAAAAAAAAAAAAAGAAAGAAAAGAAAGGGGGAGAGCCAATATTGGGGACAGCCACCACAGGTCTCTTCCACAAAATACAAATATTTTCAGATGCAAACAACAGGACACTCTGCCTAAGTGAAACAATTAGGATTTTTTTTTTTTTTTTTTTTTTTTTGAGACAAGTCTCACTCTGTCGCCCAGGCTGGGGTGCAGTGGCATGATAGGAGCTCAGTGCAGCCTCAACTTTCCTGACTCAGGCGATCCTCCCACCTCAGCCTGCCGAGTCGCTGGGACTGCAGGCACGCACCACCACGCCCAGCTAATTTTAAAATATTTTTTGTAGAGAGAAGGTTTCGCCATGTTGCCCAGGCTGGTCTCAAACTATTGAGGTCAAGTGATCTGCCTGACTCGGCCTACCAAAGTGCTGGGATTACAGATCTGAGCCACCATGCCTGGCCACAACTAGGAAATGTACAGTCTCACAGGACTTCACTTTAAGTGGAGAGGCAGGGGAGCTGAAGAGAGATGCACCCGAGCTCAGGCTTAGGATTTCTGCCGTTCCACTGGCTCTGCCCCACACCGGCTGCTGGCTTCCTCCTCAGGATGGAAGTCTGCCTTTGTCAGTCAGAGTCAAACCAGAAAACAGAAATCTCAAGTATTTGAAGTATAGGGAATTTAATCTGGGGAATTGGCTGTCTCGGTGAGGGAGGTGCAGAGAAGCCAGCAGGGAAGATGTGGGAACCCAGAGATTAGTACAGCTCCCTCCCAAGATGGTAGGACAGAGAGAGGAGATGCTGGTAGCTGGAGCCCAGGAGCAGAGGTCACCTCGCCAAAGCTGGGCCCAGCCCAGGCATGTCTGGTGGGAGCAGTGGAGGAAGTGTAGGGAGAGAAGTACCTTTTGGAGGATAGGAGGGAGGTTTCTCTCTCCCTCCAGCCTTTCAATCTCCCACTGGAAGTGGGAGAAGCCTGCTGTCATAGGTGCCTGGGAAATCCAGCCTGCCCCTGCCCAGCCACGATACAGCAAGGAATAAATCTAAGGACTGGAGCTTCTCTGGGATGGGAGCAGAGAAGTGGGGCTGGAGATTCCTGCAGGGCAGGCACACAAGGCCACAGGAGGCCTTTGAAGGGTTTTCCACAGGAGAACATGATCCAGCTTATGTCTTGAAGCATGTCTCTGGCTGCTGAGTGGGAAACGGTTTGAAGAGGAGCCAGAATGCCATCAGGGAGGCTAGTGTGGGTTCTGCAGAGGTTCTCCAGGTAACCAGGGTGGGGGCAGTGGAGGAGCGGATGGGCTGAGGTCGAAGGAGGTTTTCAAGAAAGACAAAATCTGAGTCCAGGTGCAGTGGCTCACACCTGTAATCCTAGCACTTTGGGAGGCTGAGGTAGGTGGATCACTTGAGCCTGGGAGTTCAAGACCAGCCTGGGCAATGGGGTGAAACCCCATCTCTACAAAAAAATACAAAAATTAGCTGGGCATGGTAGCATGCACCTGTAGTCCCAGCTACTTGGGAGGTTGAGGTGCGAGGATCACTTGAGCCCGGGAGGTCAAGGCTGCAGTGAGCAGTGATGGGGCCACTGTACTCCAGCCGGACAACAGAGCGAGACTGCGTAGAAAAAAATTTTTTTTAAAGAAATTCAGAAGTATTTGGCTTTGAAAAATAAATGAACAAATACAATTTCTTTTCTTTTCTTCTTCTTTTTTTTTTTTTTTTTTGGAGAGGAGGTCCTTTCTGTTGTGCAGGCTGGAGTGCAGTGGTGCGATCTCAGCTCACTGCAACCTCCGCCTCCCAAGTTCAAGCAATTCTTCCACCTCAGCCTCCAAAGTAGCTGGGATTACAGGCACGCGCCACCATGCTCAGCTAATTTTTTGTATTTTTATTAGAGACGGGATTTCGCCATGTTGGCCAGTCTGGTCTCGAACTCCTGACCTCAAGTGACCCACCTGCCTCAGCCTCCCAAAGTGCCGGGATTACAGGCATGAGTCACAGTGCCCAGCCATAAATACAATAACCTTTTTAAAAGAAAATTTAGTATTTTGTTGATTTAAAGAAAATTATCCTTGGTATTTTAGTGCGGAAATACATCAAAGCATGACTGTAACTGTCTTAAAAGCGGATATTGTGATGTGGTATCAGGACACCTGGACATCCTGCCATTAGAACTATGTTCTAACTGCCACAAGATTTTTCTTTCTTTTTTTTTTTTTTGGAGACAAGGTCTCAATCTGTCACCCAGGCTGGAGTGGTACAGTGGTGCAATCACAGCTCACTGCAGCCTCAACCTCTCGGGCTCAAGTGATCTTCCCACCTCTGCCTCCCAAGTAGCTGGGACTACAGGCATGTGTCACACCACCCAGCTAAGATGGGGTTTTGCCATGTTGCCCAAGCTGGTCTCAAACCCCTGGGTTCAAGCAGTCCTCCAGTCCTCCTACCCTAACCTCCCAAAGTGCTGGGATTATAGGCATGAGCCACCGTTCCCAGCTGCCTGAGATTTTTCCTTTTCTCTAGCAGCTCAACAAGCACTGGCCTTGAGATCAATAATATTAAAACAACTGCAGCTCATCCACCACCAGACCCTAACACACCCCCTGCTCCTGCTCCAAAGCCATAACTCCAGCTTTGATTGGTAAGGACACAGATTTCAGTAACTTTCTCCTGATAAGAAGACCACAGACCACGGACTGGTTCTGTCTGGTTTACAGAAGCTGCACTTGAGTACCTTCATGTTCCTGCTTCACCTTTTGATGCACAGGGTCTTGTTGTCATGCTTAAAGAGGTGGGGTCTCACTATGTTGTCCAGGCTGGAGTGCAGTGGCTATTCACAGGTGCGACCATAGTGCACTGCAGCCTTGAACTCCTAGCTTCAAGCTACCCTCCTGTCTCCACCTCCTGAGTAGCGGGGACTATAGGCACATGCCACCATGCCCAGCAGTAATGCATTTAAATGTCAAGTCTCCACCCCACAGTGAACATGGGACACATGTAACATACGTTTGTTCAGTACACATGTGTCAGGACCCCCTTTGTTAATATTTACAGCTCCTTCTTTTTTTTTTGAAACGGAGTTTTGCTCTTGTCACCCAGGCTGGAGTGCAATGGCATGATCTCAGCTCATTGCAACATCTGCCTCCCAGTTTCAAGCAATTCTCCTGCCTCAGCCTCCTGAGTAGCTGGGATTACAGGCACCCACCACCACACCTGCCTAATTTTGTATTTTTTAGTAGAGACGGGGCTTCACCATGTTGGCCAGGCTGGTCACAAAGTCCTGACCTCAAGTGATCCACTGGCCTCAGCCTCCCAAAGTGCTGGGATGACAGGCATGAGCCACTGCGCCCAGCCCACAGCTCCTTCTATAACCTGTTGAATATGTATGTTTAGCCAACTCTTTCAGCTTCAAGCTTCCACTTCAATCCCTCCTCCTTTGGAGTGCCTGTTTCTGATCTCTGCAGGAGGCTACACTTCCCAGCCTGTCAGCATGGCCACCATGCAGGCTATAACCCTTTATAAGATATAAAATCTCCTTTCCAAATTTATAGATCCTGGCCCGGCACAGTGGCTCACACCTGTAATCCCAGCACTTTGGGAGGCCAAGGCGGGTGGATCACTTGAGGTCAGGAGTTCGAGACCAGCCTGGGCAACATGGTGAAACCTCATCTCTACTAAAAATACAAAAATTAGCTGAGCGTGGTGGCATGCGCCTGTAGTCCCAGCTGCTTGGGAGGCTGAGGCAGGAGAATTGCTTGAACCCGGGAGGCAGAGGTTGCAGTGAGCTGAGATTACACCATTGTACTCCAGCCTGGGCGACAGAGCGAGACTCCAACTCAAAAACAAAAAAAATAAGCCAGGCATGGTGGTGGGTGACTGTAGTCCCAGCTACTCGGAAGGCTGAGGCAGGAGAATCGCTTGAACCTGGGAGGCGGAGGTTGCAGCGAGCCAGGATTGTGCCACTGCCCTCCAGCCTGGGTGACAGGCTGGATCTAAAAAATTATAGATCTCTTGATTTTTTTTAGTGAATGATTGTAATTAATATTTTTTAGAATATGAAGCAAAATGTGAAATTTGTTAATTCTGAAGGGAGGATACCTATCTGAGTCTCTGCTATATTATTCTCTATGTTGCATCTTTTTCAGTTGTAGCTGAAAGTATAAAGGGAGGCTACAAATGGGCCATTAATATCAAAGTCATTTGTGTGTGTCCTTGCTGGGACAATCTTCCCTTTCATGGTGTTCAAAGAGAAATATGAGGAAAGAGATTCCGTTGAATTTTTTTTTTTTTTTTTTTCAGACAGAGTCTTGCTCTGTGCCCAGGCTGGAGTACAGTGTCACAGTCTCAGCTCACTGCAGCTTCTGCCTCCTGGACTCAAGTGATTCTTCCACCTCAGTCTTCCGAGTAGCTGGGACTACAAGTACCCACCACCACACCTGGCTAATTTTTATGTTTTTTGTAGAGATGGGGTTTTACCATGTTTCCCAGGCTGGTCTCAAACTCGTGGGCTCAAGTGATCCACCCACCCTGGCCTCCCAAAGTGCTGGGATTACAAGTATGAACCACCAGGCCCAGCCAGACTCCCTTGTTTTATGTTGCTTTTGTCTGTGTAACAGCATTCTTTTTTTTTTTTAAGAAGGAGTTTCGAACTCGTGACCTCAGTTGATCTACCTGCCTCAGCCTCCCAAAGTGCTAGGATTACAAGCATGAGCTACTGCACCTGGCCAGCGTTCTTCCTTTCAAAACTCAACTGTTTGCTGGCTCTGGGCTCGTGCGCAGCATTGTGTGTACCTGTGTGTGTATACCTGTGTACCTGTGTGTGTGTCTTCTCCCCCCTTCAGTAAGGGCTCTTCCTAGGGTTGCCTGACTTGTCTCTGTTTTTCCAGCCCTGAACTTGCCACAAGGCAGGTACCTAATACATGTTTAATGAATGACCGTGATATGCTCATGACATGGTTAGGCTTTGTGTCCCCACCCAAATCTCACCTTGAATTGTAATCCCCATAATCGCCATGTGTCAAGGGAGAAGGTAATTGAATCATAGGGCGGTTCCCCCATGCTGTTCTCATGATAGTGAGTGAGTTCTCGCCAGATCTGATGGTTTTATAAGGGGCTCTTCCCCCTTTGCTAGGCAATTTTCCTTCCTGCCACCTTGTAAAGAAGGTCCCTTGCTTCCCCTTCATCTTCCACCATGATTTTAAGTTTCCTGAGGCCTCCCCAGCCATGCTGAACTGTGAGTCAATTACACTTCTTTCCTTTATAAACTACCCAGTCTCGGGCAGTTCTTTATAGCAGTATGAACACAGACTAAGAGAGCTATCTTTAAATAATGAGTCACTTCAGGGCAGGAACCATGTCTCCTTACCCCTCTGAGCCCTCCTTTAAAACAAGGAATAAGTGTTTGTTGAATGAATGAATAACCAAAGCCCCCAGCCCATCAGTGGAAGCAGATCACACATTGTCCTTCCCACTCTACCATGAGCCTGCTGAGGGGCTGGCAGGGTCTGTTTATCTGCAGATTTTTACCATGTTTATATGCCTGCATTGAAAAGCTACTGACTTATGTGCGACTATATACTAAGGCGACCAACTTGTCCCATTTTTCCTGGTACCTTCCCAGTTTTAGCATTAAATGTCCAGTGTCTTCACTCCTGAAGTTCCAGGCAAACCAGGATGGTCAGGTCACCGCACAGCAACTCCCTTCTCTCCCAGCATCATTTTTCCCTCATCTTCGTATGAAAGGGTTGGACCTGGTCCTGTCTCTGCATATGAGATCTAAGATTTTAGGAACAGGCCAGAGGGGAAGAGGTGAGTCAACAAAGAAAGAAAGATTCAACTTGGAATTTTCTGAGAGATCTTTATTCTTTATTCAGGATGTGGGATCGATCAGCACTGCCAGCTGGGCCTTGGTTCTAGTGGCTTGCTATGGTCTGGAAAAGTTGGGGGGGCAGACAGAATAGTCAATTTAGGAGCACAGGTTCTGGAGTCAGATGAAACTGGGTTCAACTTCCAGCCCTGCTGTGTGACCCTGGGAGAGGAATTGACCTCTCTGAGCCTCAGTTTCCTCCTCTATGTAGTAGGGATAATGATAGAACTTACCTCATGGGGGGGTTCTTGATTAAATTGTTAACTAAGGTTCTCTCTACAATGGCCAGCATGAATTTAGATGGGATGTGTGCATAGATATATATACATATATATGTGTGTGTGTGTATATATATACGTCTGTGTGTGTATATATATGTATGTATGTATGTATGTATATAAACAAAATATATATTTTTGGAGTTTTTTTTCTTTTTGAGACAGAGTCTCACTCTGTTGCCCAGGCTGGAGTGCAGTGGCACAATCTCAGCTCACCGCAACCTCCACCTCTTGGGTTCATGCCATTCTCCTGCCTCAGCCTCCCAAGTAGCTGGGACTACAGGCGTACGCCACCATGCCTGGCTAATTTTTGTATTTTTAGTAGAGACAGGGTTTCACCTTGTTAGCCAGGATGGTCTCAATCTCCTGACCTTGTGATCTGCCCACCTCAGCCTCCCAAAGTGGTGGGATTACAGGCATGAGCCACCATGCCCGGCTTTTTTTTTTTTTTTTTTTTAAGATGGAGTCTTGCTCTGTCGCCCAGGCTGGAGGGCAGTGGTGCAATCTTGGCTCACTGCAACTTCTGCCTCCCGAGTTCAAGCAATTCTTCTACCTCAGCCTCCCAAGTAGCTGAGATTACAGCCATGCAGCACCACGCCCAGCCAATTTTTTTATATTTTTGTAGAGACAGGATTTCACCATATTGGCCAGGCTGGTCTCGAACTCCTGACCTTATGATCTGCCTGCCTCGGCCTACCAAATTGCTGGGATTACAGGCATGAGCCACCGTGCCTGGCCTTATATATATATTTTTTTAACATGGGTCAGGGAACCAAGGGATTAAATGGTCTATAAATCATCACTGTTTTTTTGTTTGTTTGTTTGTTTTTGTTTTTGAGATGGAGTCTTGCTCTGTCACCCAGGCTGGAGTGCAGTGGCGTAATCTCGGCGCACTGCAACCTCCGCCTCCCAGATTCAAGCAGTTCTCCTGCCTCAGCCTCCTGAGTAGCTGGGACCACAGGCATGCACCAATACGCCCGGCTAATTTTTTGTATTCTTAGTAGAGATGGGGTTTCACCATGTCGGCCAGGCTGGTCTTGAACTCCTGACCTCAGGTGATCCATACGCCTCGGCCTCCCAGAGTGCTGGGATTACATGCATGAACCACTGTACTTGGCCAGAAATGTTTTTTTAATGGAAGCCTTCATGACTTTGCATGTCATCCTTGCGCAGGGGCCGTGCTAATCTCTATATCATTCCAATTTTAGTACATGTGCTGCCAAAGCAAGCACTACTGTTTTATTTTATTTAGTTTATTTTCATTTTTTTAAGAGAGAGGCTCTTGCTGTGTTGCCCAGGCTGGAGTACAGTGGCTATTCACAGGTGTGATCCTACTACTTTTCAGCATGTGAGTTTTGACCTGCTCTGTTTCTGACCTGGGACAGTTCACCCCTCCTTAGGCCACCTGGTGGTCCCCACTCCCAGGAGGTCACCACATGGATGCCAAACTTGGTGCAGAACCAGATGGGTATAGCGCACTATGGCCCAGAACTCCAGGGCTCAACCGATCCTCCTGCCTCAGCCTCCCAAGTAGCTGGGACTACAGGTGGGCATCACTGCACCCAGCTAGCTATTACTCTTTTTTTTTTTTTTTTTGAGACGGAGTCTCGCTCTGTCACCTAGGCTGCAGTGCAGTGGTATGATCTCGACTAACTGCAACCTCCGTCTCCCAGGTTCAAGCAGTTCTCTGCCTCAGCCTCCCGAGCAGCTGGGATTACAGGCACCCACCACCATGCCCGGCTAATTTTTGTATTTTTAGTAGAGACAGGGTTTCACCATCTTGGCCAGGCTGGTCTTGAACTCCTGACCTTGTGATCCACCTGCCTCTGCTTCCCAAAGTGCTGGGATTACTGGCATGACTACTCCATGCCCAGCTATTACTCTTTTTTTTTTTCTTTTTTTTTTTTGTTTAGCTATTACTGTTATCAGGAGTGTTATTAGTCCTCTCTGATCACCCATCCCCAGATGAAGTCTGGGGCCTGGACTCCCCTCTCTCGGCTCTCATCAGACTGCATCGTTCTCATTCATGTAATCACCTGTCCCCCACCAGGCAGCCTCTTGTCTGGCATGTCTCTCTATCCTCCCTGACAAGAGAGGACAAGACCAGAGGAGATACTTTATAAATACTTGTTGAAATAAGGAAGTTCAGCTGTAGTTCCAAGCACCACCCAGAAGCCATCAAGTTCCTGGGGTCACACTGTATCAGAAAACATCCCCAAGCCTTTCTGGAATGTCCCCAAGGGCCCTTCCCCACTGAGCTTCTAGGATCCTTTCAGGCCCTCCCCAGGATCCGATGTTTCTCACCTGTCACCTCTCAGAAGAGCCACCACCCTAAAGCCCTCCGGGCCGCCCTGCCCTCCTCACCTCCTCAATCCAGTCAATGAAGGCGGAGACTCGAGTGAACACCGTGGGCTTCCTGCGGGTGTTGCAGCCAAAGGCAGAAACAAAGCTGGTCACGCCATGGACCTGCCAGCCACCATCCTCTGTGGGGCAGTTGAGGGGTCCTCCAGAGTCACCCTGGAACCGTCAGAGAGGTGTGGGTGGCTGAGCCATGTCTGAGGTTTATGGAACTGGTTCTGAATTCTAGGGATTTCGAGAAACTCCGACATTACCTGACTCCTCTGAGCCTTAGCTCGCTCATTTTTTTTAATCATTTATTATTTTTATTTTTTTAGATGGAGTCTCGCTCTCTTGTCCAGGCTGGAGTGCAGTGGAGCTAGCTTGGCTCATTGCAACCTCCGTCTCCCGGCTCCCAGGTTCAAGTGTTTCTCCTGCTTCAGCCTCCTAAGTAGCTGGGATTACAGGTACCTGCCACCACACCCAGCTAATTTTTGTATATTTAATAGAGATGGGATTTCACCATGTTGGCCAGGTTAGTCTCAAAGTCCTGACCTCAGGTGATCCACCTGCCGGGGCCTCCCAAAGGGATTATGGGTGTGAGCCACCACGCCCAGCCAGCTGACTCATTTGTGATAGGGAATAGTAGTATCTGTCCAAGAGCCTAGGGAATTACATGAGATGATGCACGATCTTAGCACGATATCCAGTAGAGAAGAAGCACTCAGTAAACATAGTTCTTATTAGTAGCACCATAGTTAATTATTAATTCATACTCAATTATAATACGAGGGTATTTGATAGTATTCTTTTTTTTTCTGAGTCAGTGTCTCGCTCTGTCGCCCAGGTTGGAGTGCAGGGGCGCGATCTCGGCTCACGGCAAGCTCCGCCTCCCAGGTTCACACCATTCTCCTGCCTCAGCCTCCCGAGTAGCTGGGACTACAGGCGCCCACCACCATGCCAGGCTAATTTTTTGTATTTTTAGTAGAGACGAGGTTTCACAGTGTTAGCCAGGATGGTCTCGATCTCCTGACCTCGTGATCCGCCCGGCTCGGCCTCCCAAAGTGCTGGGATTACAGGCATGAGCCACCAAGCCCGGCCATTTTTTTTTTTTTCTTTAACAGACAAGGTCTAGTCCAGGAAAGTGGCTCACATCTGTAAACACAACACTTTGGAAGGCCAAGGCAGGAGGATCACTTGAGCCCAAGAGTTAGAGACAAGCCTGGGCAACATGGTGAGACTTCATCTCTACAAAAAATTTTAAAATTAGCTAGGCATTGTGGCACACACTTGTACTCTTGGCTGCTTGGGAGGCTGACATGGGAGGATTGCTTGAGCCCAGGAGGGCAAGGCTACAGTGGGCTGTGATGGCGTTACTGCACTGCAGCCTGGGCAACAGAGCAAGATCCTGTCTCAAAAAAAAAAAAAAAGACAACATCTTGCTCTGTCGCCCAGGCTTGAGTGCAGTGGCAAAAATCACAGCCACTGTGAGCTTGAACTCCCAGGCTCAAACAATCCTCCCACCTCAGCCTCTCAAGTAGTTGGGACTACAGGCGAGTGCCACCATGCCTGGCTAATTTAAAAAAGTTTTTTTTGTAGATGGGCATCTCACTATGTTACCTAGGCTGGTCTCAAACTCCTAGCCTCAAGCAATCCTCCCGCCTCAGCCTCCCAAAGCACTTGGATTATAGGCATGAGGGACTGTGCCCAGAACAATGATGGTATTCTTAATGTTTAATTATAACTTTATTATTATTTTTTTTTTAGACAGAGTCTCACTCTGTCGCCCAGCCTGGAGTGCAATGGTGCGATCTCCACTCACTGCAACCTCTGCCTCCTGGGCTCTAGTGATTCTCCTGTCTCAGCCTCCCAAATAACTGGGATTACAGGCACCGGCCACCATGCCTGGCTAATTTTTGTATTTTTAGTAGAGACGGGGTTTCACCATGTTGGCCAGGCTGGTCTCGAACTCCTGACCTCAAGTGATCCACACGCCTTGGCCTCCCAAAGTGCTAGGATTACAGGCATGAGCCACCATGCCCAGCCATAATTATAACTTTAGAACCACAGAATTGACCTGCGTTGGAGGTCATGGGACCAGTATCTCCTGCTGTGCTGATGCGGAAGCCTGAGGACCAGGGAGACACAGTGACTTGTCCCAAGTCATGTCAGTGTGTGAGCTGAGACTGCAACCCGGGGGTCCTGACTCCCAGGCCTGGGCTCTGTGTCTGGACTGCGCTGATTTCCTCCAAGTCCTGCCTGGCCTGGAGGCTGAATGGGGCAAGCAGGCAAGATCCTTCCTCCACCTTCCAGGCAGTTGGCCCCATTCCAAGGTCCTGCACACCCAGCACCACCTCGGGCAGGTAAGAGCTGACTCACATTGCAGCCGGAGCGGATGTCCCCTCCAGCACACACCATGGTCTTCTTCACGGAGGAACCCCACCAGTTCCACCTGGAGCAGTGTTCATAGTCCACCACCGGCAGCAGGGCCTCCTGCAGCTTGTCTGGGAGTGGCCCGTTGGCTGCAGCGATAAAAAGCACCGAGTCAGGGGTCTGGGGGCACAGGGCTAGGAGCCCCAGAGGAAGGGGGCATCCAAGGCGCACAGTTCTTCTGCTCTGATGAGGACTCTCCTCCCACCCGCTAAATGGTCCTGCATGCTTTGTGCACCATTACATCCCTAGCACGTGGCACACAGAAGGTACCAAAACATGTGCAATTGACCACATTCGTGTTTTGGAGGTTGGTGGGAGAAGGCTGCAGCTGGAGAGAAATGGGAGAAAAGTACAAGGTCTGGTCTTGGTGTTACCTTCAACCTGCAGCCCCCAGGCCCTGTCTTTCTGCCACTGTCCCTGTGGCCAGCTAGAGAAGTCAGCACGTACTATAGAGACGGCCCCAGCCGGTGATGTAGCAGGGTGTCTCGTTGGGAAGGATGTCACCAGCCGGAGGGAGTGAGGCGAGCTGGACGGCGTCTCCCAGCTGGGCGCTGCGTGAGAGCTTGATGAGGGCGATGTCATTGCTGGGGAGGAGGGAACAGTCACGGGGCCTGGTCCTCCAGCCGGCCCAAGTCCTACCTTCCAGCCGTTGCTCCAGGCTATTCCGCCTCTGAGATGCCCCAGCTCCTTCACCCTCCAAATCCACTCTTTCATCATCATCATCATCATTATTATTATTGAGACAGAGTCTCCATCTGTTGCCCAGGCTGGAGTGCAGTGTCACAATCATAGCTCACTGCAGCCTCCTGGGCCAAGGGATCCTCCTGCTTTCACCTCCTGAAGTGCTGGAATTACAGGCATGAGCCACTACACCTGGCCCAAATCGTTCTTAAGGCAGAGCAAATTTTTTTATTTTTTTTTTTGAGTCAGAGTCTCGCTCTGTTGCCCAGGCTGGAGTGCAGTGGCATGATCTCGGCTCACTGCAACCTCTGCCTCCTGGGTTCAAGTGATTCTCCTGCCTCAGCCTCCTGAGTAGCTGGGATTACAGGTACATGCCACCACGCTTGGCTAATTTTTGTTAATTATTTTTAGTAGAGACGGGGTTTTGCCATGTTGGCCAGGCTGGTCTAGAACTCCTGACCTTAGCTGATATGCCCGCCTGGGCCTCCCAAAGTGCTGGGATTACAGGCATGAGCCACCGCGCCCAGCCAAGGCTGAGCAATTTTAAGAAACCCTTCTAGTCCCTTGGGTCACTCTGACCCTTGGCCTTCAGAATTGTCCGCTCCTTTGACCCTTTAACCCTCCCAGTTCAGCTGTATCAGAATCACCTGGAGGCTTGTTAAAACAGACTGCTGCGGATCACGAGGTTAAGAGATTGAGACCATCCTGGCTAACACGGTGAAACCCCATCTCTACTAAAAATACAAAAAAAATTAGCTGGGCTTGGTGGCGGGCACCTGCAGTCCCAGCTACCCGGGAGGCCGAGGCAGGAGAATGGTGTGAACCTGGAAGGCAGAGCTTGTAGTGAGCCAAGATTGCGCCACTGCACTCCAGCCTGGGTGACAGAGCGAGACTCAGTCTCAAAAACAAAACAAAACAAAACAAAAACAGACTGCTGCATCCCACCCCAATTTCTGATGCAGTGGATCTTGGCTAAGGCCCAATAATTCACTTTTTTTTTGAGACAGGGTATGGCTCTGTTGCCCAGGCTGGAGTGTAATGGCACGATCTCGGCTCACTACAACCTCCACCTCCTGGGTTCAAGCAATTCTCCTGCCTCAGCCTCCAGAGTAGCTGGGATTATAGGTGCGCGTCACCACACCTGGCTAATTTTTTTTAATTTTTAGTAGAGATGGGGTTTCACCATGTTGGCCAGGCTGGTCACAAACTCCTGAGCTCAAGTGATCCACCCACCTCGGCCTCCGGCAGTGCTGGGATTACCGTGCCTGGCCAATAATTCACATTGCTGCAGGTTCCCAGGTGATGCTGATACTGCCAGCCCAGGTACCACATTTTGAGAACCACTGCCCTCTGTCTTCACCTGCCTGCGTGTCACTCCAGTCCTTTTGTCTGGGTCTCCCTTTTCTCTCTACTCACCCCAGAAGCCCTGTGAAGATGGGTTGAGGTTTCCATCATATTGTGCTTCACTCCTATACTGCATTTGCAGGAGTTCTGCACCCGTCTTTGACCCTCTCGCCAGAAAAAACTCTGAGAAAAAAGTCTTAGCCACTCAGACTTAAGAATTTTTCATATGGCAGGGCGCGGTGGCTCATGCCTGTAATCCTAGCACTTTGGGAGGCCGAGGCGGGCAGATCACGAGGTCAGGAGATCGAGATCATCCTGGCTAACACGGTGAAACCCCGTCTCTACTAAAAATACAAAAAATTAGCCAGGCGTGGTGGCGGGCGCCTGTAGTCCCAGCTACTCGGGACGCTGAGGCAGGAGAATGGTGTGAACCCGGGAGGCAGAGCTTGCAGTGAGCCGAGATCGTGCCACTGTACTCCAGCCTGGGCGACAGAGCGAGACTGCATCTCAAAAAAAAAAAAAAAGAATTTTTTGTACACTTGAAGGGCATAAGATTGTCTCCTTGGCCTTCACAACCACCCGGGAGGCCCAACTTCATGGTCACCTTTTGACAAATGGCAAAACTAAGGCCCAGAGAAGGCCAGTGACTTGCTCAGGCCATACACAGAGTTAATGCCAGAGCCTGACTCTCAGCCCAGTGCTCCTCCTTGTGCCCATAGTGCTGGGAGCCCAGGATGCACTGGGTGAGCCATCTATTGAATGGAGAAACCCTCGGCTTTGGGGGAAGGATGCCAGAGGAACCCTGAGCTCTGAAGCCACTAGCCAAGTGGCCTTGGCAGAGTTCCCGCCCCTCCCTGAACACTGCCATCCCCTCTGTAGGGAGACAGGTTTGGTGGTGATGGTCCTTAAAGGCTCTTCTGGCTTCAATCCTCAGTGTGTGGGACCTGGGCACAGGCTGCTGGACCCAGCTCCCCCGTCCCTACGTCCCAACTCAGAGTTGGAACCTACTCAGACTTGGCTGTGGGTCATGGAGGGATGAGTAGAGGAGCCTCTGGGTTCCAGACCGGAGCATTCACTCACCCACAGGCCACACACGAGCGGTTCCAGAGTGGATGCACAAAGAGGTCCCCAGAGTTGATGGGGATCACCTGCTCGGGGCCCTCCTTCACAGCACGGTCGTACTCGCCCAACACCACCTGGTAGGTCCGGGAGCTCCTGCGGGCGGAGGTGAGGTCAGTCTGGGCCTGACTGGCTACCTCCCTCCTTCCCCATCATCACCCACCCTCCCCAGCTGCCCGGGGCCACAGGCAGGGACAGGGTAGAGAACTCACGAGATGCAGTGGCCGGCAGTCACAACCCAGTCGGGGGCGATGAGGCTACCGCCACAGGTGTGGTAGAAGCTTCCGCTTTTCTCATACTGCAGGGAAACCTGGTGGCCCAGGAGGAAAGGGCCTCAGTGGGCTGGGCCCCACCATGAGAGTTGCCACCAATGGCTGTATAGGTTGTGCACTGTGCAACTCTAGAGGGCGCCATTCACACGGAAAACAAGAGCACCCACTGAAATATGCAGCATACAACCTGCGACCTGGGCAGCTGCCCGTGGTGGCCCTATCACTTTTCCATGGGGGTCACATTCTGATTCTCCAAAGCCTCCCCACACCAGCACTATGACCTCCCTGGGGACCCCAACATTCTCTACCTTCTGTTTCTTGAGAGCCCTTGAAGGCCCTCTGTTCTATCACGCACCCCTCGCCCTGTGACTTTTTTTGTTTGAGATGGAGTTTTGCTCTTGTTCCCCAGGCTGGAGTGCAATGGTGGCAATCTCAGCTCATTTCAACCTCCGCCTCCCGGGTTCAAGCGACTCTCCTGCCTCAGCCTGCACAGTAACTGGGATTACAGGCACCTGCCGTCGTGCCTGGCTAATTTTGTATTTTTAGTAGACACGGAGTTTCACCATGTTGGCCAGGCTGGTCTCGAGCTCCTCACCTCAGGTGATCTGCCCACCTCGGCCTCCCGAAGTGCTGGGATTACAGGCGTGAGCCACCGCGCCCAGCCCCCCTGACTCTTTTGAACCTCAGCTCTTTCAAGGCCTCTTGAGCCTTCTGAAGCACAGCTCACCCTGATGAGTTCTTTGCCTCTCTTCCCATTTCCTACACATTCTGATTTTCAAAAGCTCCATCTAGACCAGGGTTAGCAAACTGTGGACAGTGGGGCACATCAGGCTTCTGGTCTGTTTTTTAATAAAGATGTCCTGGAAATAGTCACATTCATTTCTGTATTGTTTGTGTCTGCTTTCATGCTACCATGGCACAGTCAAGTCATTACTATCCAAACCATCAAATAACCTAAAATATTCACTCTCTGGCCATTTACAGAATAAGCCTGCTGACCCTCTCCGATAAAACTTCCCATAATCATGGGAATGTTCTATATCTTTGCTGTCCAATATGGTAGCCACTAGCCACATGTGACTATTGAACATTTGAAATGTGGCAAGCAGGCCAAGCATGGTGGCTCACGCCTATAATCCCAGCACTGTGGGAGGTCAAGACAGGAGGATCACTGGAGCTCAGAAGTTCGAGGCAAGCCTGGGCAACATAGTGAGACCCCATCTCTACAACAATATATAAAAATTAGCTGGGCATGGTGGCACATGCCTGTAGTCCTAGCTACACAGGAGGCTGATGTGGGATGATTGCTTGGACCTAGGAGGTCAAGGCTGCAGTGAGCTGAGATTACACCACTGCACTCCAGCCTGGGCAACACAGCAAGACCCTGTCTCAAAAAAAAAAAAAAAAAGAAAAGAAAAGAAAAGAAAAAAAGAAATATGGCAAGCACTGAGGAATTGAATTGTTAACATTATTTAATGTAAGTAAATTTCAGCTGGGTGCAGTGACTCACACCTGTAATCCCAGCACTTTGACAGGCTGAGGCAGGTGCATCAGCTGAGGTCACAAGTTCCAGACTGGCCTGGCCAACATAGTGAAACCCTGTCTCTACTAAAAATACAGAATTAGCCGGGCTTGGTGGCGCATGCCTGTAATCCCAGCTACTTGGGAGGCTGAGGTAGGAGAATCGCTTGAACCCGGGTGGCAGAGGTTGCAGTGAGCCAAGATTGTGCCATTGCACTTCAGCCTGGGCAACAAGAGTGAAACTCTGTCTCAATAATAATAATAGTCATAATAATTTAATTTAATTTTTTTTTGAGACAGAGTCTCACTCTGTTGCCCAGGGCTGGAGTGCAGTGGTGCGATCTCATCTCACTGCAACCTCCACCTCCTGGGTCCAAGGGATTCTCCTGCCTCAGCCTCCTGGGTAGCTGGGATTACAGGCGTGAGCCACCGTGCCCGGCCTAATTTAATTAAATTTAAATAGCCACAGCACATCAAGTCCAGCCTTCTGAGCTTCCCTCCACTGGCCTTACAAGATCCCTCACTCCCTTATTGCTTTCAGACCCCATAGCCCTGTTGTATCATCCTAGGAATCTAGAAATGAGTCTCTCAAAATCTCACTTCTTCAACACAGTGCCTGAAATTCCACCATCAGTGTGCCAACTCCTTGAGTTTAGCATTTCCTTCACCCCCGATTCCACTTTTAAGTTGCAAATAGCCCAGTGAGGGTTACAGACGGAATGGGCAAAACCTCCCCGTGAAGTAGATGGTCCAAGGGCTGCCTGGTCTTTGGAAGCTGAAGTGGACATTGCAAAGGGAGCAATGGTGTCAAGGCTGGATGCCGCGCCATTAGAGCTTAGGGTCCAGAGCCCACGGTGGGAATGAGGGCAGCTGCTATTGCTCTTACCTGCCAGGGCCAGCTGTAGGGGACCGCATCCTCACCATTGACAACGCGGCTGGAAGGGCGAGAGGAAGGTGGGCCATAGCCTGAGGCTAGAGGGGAGAGGAGAGCTGTCAATCAGCGGGAGGGTCCCCAAAAGCAAAGAGGAGGCCAGGGTCCCAGTCCAAGCCGTGCCTTCAAGTGGCTGTGTGACCCCATGCAAGCCCCTTTCGCCCTCTGGACCTCAGTAACCACATATGAATAGTGAACATTTAAACTAGAGCAGGGCTTTCCAGAATCCCAAGACTCCAGGGATAGAGATTCAAATGTGGCCTCCTTCATTGGGAGGATTGAAGAGCTTGATACACTTAGAACAATGCCTGGCCCTCAATGAGCCCTCAAAAAGTGAGAGCTATTGTCATACAGAGTGGAGGCTTTAAAGAAGGACTTCCTGGGTTCAAAGTGCAGCTCTGGGCTGTGTGTGGTGGTTCACACCTGTAATCCTAGTGCTTTGAGAGGCCGAGGCGGGAGGATCGCTTGAGCCCGGGAGTTTGAGACCAGCCTGGGCAACATAGCAAGACCTCATCTCTAGAAAAATAAAGTACAATAAAATAAAGTAGCCAGGTATGGTGGCATGTGCCTATAATCTCAGCTACTCAGGAGGCTAAGGTGGTAGGATTGCTTGAGGCCAAGATTTTGAGACCAGTCTGGGCAACAAAGCAAGACCCCATCTCAACAAAAAAAAAAGCAAAAAATAAAAACATTAAGTGCAGCTCTGCCTTTTGTTCTATGATAAGCTACTTTACTTCCTTGAGGGTCGGTAAAATGGGGAAAATGATAGTACTGATCTCCTGAGGCTGTTGTGAGAATTACATGAGAAAGTATAAGGAAAACCCTAAACATTCTGCCTGGCATAGTAAGCACTCAATCAATGTTATCTGTTACCATTATTGTCAGTCAAGGGAGGCTGCTTGGAAGAGGTGGCCCTGAGCTGGAATGTAATATGGCAGAGAGACCAGGAAAAGGCCAGAGCATAGAATATGGAGCCAGGTAGGGGGAGTGTGAGAGGAGAGTTGGAGTGGTAAGCAGAACAGTGGAAATTCCAACCCAAGAAGTCCAACCACACAGCCCAAACTCTTAACCGTTTGACTTTGTTTACTGCCCCCATCAAGGACTTCCACCACAGCCCTTTGGGGTCTTTCTCCATCCACGGCTTCCCCTCCACTCTCCTGCTCCATCATAAGCTGAAAGCCCCCACAGTCATGCCCCCGGGTACAAGCTGAGACCCCCTCCTGTGGAACCAGGCATAGGGTGTCATGGGACTTAGAGCAAGTGGTAGATTTCAAGGATTCCTAATCTAGGGCAGCCCAGGGAGCACACACACAGGTTGGGGTCTTACCAACGGCCACAAGGAGGAGGGAACTGAGCAGCCGGAGCATCATGAGTTTTGCGATGATAGGAAAAGGGCACAGAACCTGGGGCTCTAATATAGGGCAGAAGGTAAGCAAAGGGGGCTGACTGGGCCCCACTCCCAGAACAGGTGGTGGAAATGCAGGTCTCCCATGGTCCAAGGCCACAGTTCTCACTCACTGCAGATGGAGGAGTGACAGCCAAAGGAAGGACCTAGCGTTCCCTCCAACAGGTGGCCGCACAGGTGGTGTGGAGTGGCCAACTGATAACAAGAGTTCAGGAAGAAAAGCTCATGTCAGGACAAGACCTCCTCTTTCGGAAAGAACAGGGGCACTGGAACCGGGCAGACCACGGTTCAATCCTGGTTCTGCCACCTCCAAGCTCTGCGACTTTGGGCGCATGGCTTAACCTCTCTGAGTCTCAGTTTTCTGCTCTCTAACATGAGATTTATATTAGTACCCACCTCCACAAAAAATTTTTTGTTGAGCACTTTTTCTCTATGTATCAGGCACTGTTCTAGGGGATACAGCTGTGAAAAATACATGGTCTCAGCCCTTCTAGAGTTTGAGTCTAGGCCAGGAGCGGTGGCTCACACCTGTGATCCCAGCGCTTTGGGAGGCCAAGGTGGGAGGATCAATTGAGGTCAGAAGTTTGAAACATGGTGAAACCTTATCTCTACTAAAACTACAAAAATTAGCAGGCGTGGTGGTGGGCACCTATAATCCCAGCACCGGTAATCCTAGCTACTGTGAGCCTGAGGGAGGAGAATCATTTGAACCCAGGAGGCAGGGAGGCAGAGGTTGCAGTGAGCCGAGATCATGCCACTGCACTCCTGCCTGGGCCACAGAGCAAGACTGTCTCAAAAACAAACAAACAAACAAACAAAACAGAAAAGAAAATGGGGCGGGCACGGTGGCTCACGCCTGTAATCCCAGCACTTTGGGAGGCTGAGGTGGGTGGATCACGAGGTCAGGAGATCGACACCATCCTGGCTAACACGGTGAAACCCCGTCTCCACTAAAAATACAAAATGTTAGCCGGGCGAGGTGGCGGGCGCCTGTAGCCCCAGCTACTCAGGAGAGTGAGGCAAGAGAATGGCGTGAACCCCAGGGGGCAGAGCCTGCAGTGAGCCAAGATGGCGCCCCTGCACTCCAGCCTGGGCGACAGCGAGACTCCGTGTCAAAAAAAAAAAAAGAAAATGAAAATGGGTGATTGGGGTAGGAATGGAGTAAGTCATTTAGATGAGGGGGACAGAGAAAGTGACATTTGGGCTGAGGAGGTCATATCTGATGGAGTCCTGAGGATAAGTAAAAGCCAGCAACGGGAATCCCTGAAAGAAACGCGTTCTGAAGGGAGGCGACAGCAGGTGCGAAGTTCTGGAGGCTGCAATGGGCTTGGCTTGTTCAAGGAAAGGGAGGCCAGTGTGACAGGAGCTTGGTAGTCAAAGTAGAGAGGGGTGGGAGATGAGGTCAAAGAGCAGGCAACCCCGAAAGTGGAATTCACAGGTGATCCAGCGGTTTCCCTCCTAGGTCTACACCGTGAGAAAACCTTAGGCATGTGCTCCAGGAGGTGTGGATGAGATTGTTTGCCGCAGCCCCTGTTCTCAAACCTCAACAGCAAAGACCTAGAAACAACTCCCACGTCCATCAAGGTTCATAGGTCAATATGTGTAGCATATTCACACAATAGATTTTTTTTTTTTATAGTGGTGCGATCTTGGCTCACTGCAACCTCCACCTCACGGGTTCAAGCGATTCTCCTGCCTCAGCCTCCCGAGTAGCTGGGATTACAGGCGCGCACCACCACGCCTGGCTAATTTTTGTATTTTTAGTAGAGATGGGGTTTCACCATGTTGGCCAGGCTAGTTTCCAACTCCTGACCTCTGGTGATCCACCCACCTCGACCTCCCAAAGTACTGGGATTACAGGCATGAGCCACTGCACCCGGCCAGACGGGGCAATTTAAATAGATCCCTCCTGGGGGAAAGTCAGGCATCTTGCTGGGCAGGTTTTGTTTTAGGAGTGAACCCCCTCCAATCACAGCCTAGCCACTCTGATAGCCTGGGTTCATGGAACGTGTGTGGACACAATGGAAGCAGCTGTGAAAATCCTTTATACTGTGATAAAAATAGCCATGCCCTCCCCTGCCCTCTGTTCCCTATGTGCCCGGACATGTTTGTTTGCTCAGCTTGAAAGCTCTGAGCCATTCCCCAGACCTTACGCCAGGGAAGAAGGAGGGAGGGGCCCAGGAGGTGGCTGGGGAGAGATAGGGTTAGGTCCGATAAGCCCAGATTCCACTGTAGAGTGTCTGAAACCCACAGGGCCTAAAACGCGATCTAATCCAACCACTTACATCTGACAGAAGGGAAAATGATGGACCGGGCGCGGTGGCTCACGCCTGTAATCCCAACACTTTGGGAGGCCGAGGAGGGTGGACCACCTGAGGTCAGGAGTTCGAGACCAGCCTGACCAACATGGAGAAACCCCGTCTCTACTAAAAACACAAAATTAGCCGGGTGTGGTGGCGCATGCCTGTAATCCCAGCTACTAGGGAGGGTGAGGCAGGAAAATCGCTTGAACCTGGGAGGCGGAGTTTGTGGTGAGCCGAGATCGTGCCATTGCACTCCAGCCTGGGCAATAAGAGCAAAACTCTGTCACAAAAAAAAAAAAGAAGAAGAAAATGATGACCCAGAGAAAAGCCAGGACTTGGTCAAGTTTCCCTGGTTTGTTACTGCTTGGCCTGGTGAAGGGTAGCCCACGGGCATGGGAGGGTCCACTCTCCCTCCCCCAACTTCAACCGAGAAGCCTTCCCGGCTTCTTACCCAGGTGACCTTGAGCAAGTCCCAGCCTCTCTGTCGGCTCTGCTGGGTCCCCAGGGAGAGGGGCTCCCTGACGCCAACTGTCCCACCACAACCCCTGCCTGATTGGTCACTTCAAGGCCTATGGACTGACACTGGCAGTTGCACGGCTGATTAACTCTCCGAGGGTTTTCTGGCCTAGGAGTAGCTTGAGTGAAATCCCTGAAGATGAACCTCCTTCCAACACCTGCCCCGCAAGAGGGAAGATGGAGGGGTTAGATCTACTTTAGGCCTCAGCCTGAAGCAAAGCAAGCCATTTCCTGAATGGAGGTGGAAGTTAGGTCGGAGAGTATGCAAAATTAGGAGGTCAGTCTGGGAAGGAGAGGGAGGGCAGGGAAGCTGGCGAGGGGACAGAGGGGAAGCTGGTGAGCCTTTTTCCTGGGACTGGGGGAGTTCCATTCTTTCTAGTTCCCACCCCATAGGAAGCTCTTCGAGGGTTAAAACTTTATCTTATTCATCTTCAGATTCCCAGTACCTAGAAGGGAGCCTGGCACATGGTAGGTTTTCAACAGCATTTATTCAAGGAGACAACAAATGAATGAAGGAAGGGAAAGGACTCTTCAAATGCCCTCCGCTTCCTACCCTGAAAGCACGGTTGAGCCTGATATTCATGCAGGGTGCACCTGGAGGGTGTCCCCTCTGTGTGGCCTGGAAAAGCGCAGCAGCATGGATGGTGTCCTGATGGGCACATTCTTGAGATATTAATAGATGTTTGATGATAAATGGCCCCAGTAGAACGGAGCCCCATGGGGCAGGGGGTTTTGTGTGCTTTGTTCACTGCTGTGGCCTCAGCTCCCAGAACATAACCCAGTGGGCACTCAGTGAAGAACTAAAGGTCAGATGGGATTGGAAAGTATGAGCTCAGACAAAGTTCAAATTGTCCTTTCCTACAGGACTTCTCAGAGCCTTTAATATGCCAGTGTTCACGGTGAATCACACACAGTGGTCCTGAGTCTGGGACTCTGGTGCCTTATTGCCCTGTAGTTTCTGTGAAAATAAGATATTCAAAATCTAAGCTGTTGGAACTTTAAAATACCTTAGACTTAAGGGAATGAGATTATGGGACCTGAGTAATGTAAACAGGAAGGCATAACTTTTGTTTGTGTTATCGATTAGCTTTTCTTTACCTACATTGTTTTATAAAATGTTGTAAATGACTAAAGGGTGACAGGGCAGACTGTTTCACTCTCAACAGTCAATCTTCATTATAGATTAACTTCCTTCTTTTCTCTCTCACACAAAGACTTCATGACTATCACATTATCTAAGATAGAATGTTAAATACACAAATTGGAAAGGAAAATAAAACAAAGTGTATGGAAAAGAAGACAAATTTTAACTAGCTATATTGTTGTAACTCATAAACCAGCCTGGTATAGAAATGTTATAGTCCTACTAAATTTCTTTGTTTTCTGCCTGTATGAGCAAGATCTTCATTTTTTTTTTTTTTTTTTTTTGAAACAAAGTCTCACTCTTGTCCCCCAGGCTGGAGTGCGATGGCAAGATCTCGGCTCGCTGCCACCTTCACCTCCCGAGTGCAAGTGATTCTCCTGCCCTCAGCCTCCTAAGTAGCTGGGATTACAGGCACCTGCCACCATGCTGGGCTAATTTTTGTATTTTTAGTAGAGGCGGGGTTTCACCATGTTGGCCAGGCTGTTCTCAAACTCCTAACCTCAGGTGATCCACCTGCCTCGGCCCCCAAAAGGGCTGGGATTACAGGCACCTGCCACCACACCAGGCTAATTTTTTTTTTTTTTTTTGAGACGGAGTTTCACTCTTGTTGCCCAGGCTGGAGTGCAATGGCGCAATCTTGGTTCATCACAAACTCCACCTCCCAGGTGCAAGCGATTCTCCTGCCTCAGCCTCCCGAGTAGCTGAGATTACAGGCATGTGCCACCATGCCCGGCTAATTTTGTACTTTTAGTAGAGATGGCATTTCTCCATGTTGGTCAGGCTGGTCTCAAACTCCCGACCTCAGGTGATCCACCCTCCTCAGCCTCCCAAAGTGCTGGGATTACAGGCGTGAGCAAGGCGCCCGGCTTTTTTCTTTTTTTGAGACGAGCCTTGCTGTTGTCACCCAGGCTGGAGTGCAATGGCACGATCTCGGTTCACTGCAACCTCTGCCTCCCAGGTTCAAGCAGTTCTCCTGCCTCAGCCTCTCAAGTAGCTGGGATTACAGGCGCCCAGCTAATTTTTGTATTTTTAGTAGAGATGGGGTTTCGCCATGTTGGCCAGGCTGGTCTTGAACTCCTGACCTTGTGATCCACCCACCTGGGCCTCCCAAAGTGCTGGGATTACAGGCGTGAGCCACTGTGCCCTACTGTGTTTTTTTGTTTTGTTTTGTTTTGTTTTTTAAGAGAGGTAGTGTTTCACTCTGTAGCCTAGGCTGGAGTGCAGTGCTGTGATGATAGCTCAGAGCAGTCTCCAACTCGGGATCATGCTATCCTCCCACCTCAGCCTCCTCATAGCTGGGTCTACAGGTTCACGTCACCACACCTGGCTCCAAGACCTTAACTTTTTTTTTTTTTTTGAAATGGAGTCTCACTCTGTTGCCCAGGCTGGAGTGCAGTGGCACGATCTCGGCTCACTGCAACCTCTGCCTCCTGGGTTCAAGCAATTCTCCTGCCTCAGCCTCTGGAGTAGCTGGGATTACAGGCATGCACCACCACGTCCGGCTAATTTTTTGTATTTTTAGTAGAGATGCGGTCTCACCAGGTTGGCCAGCCTGGTCTCAAACTCCTGACTTCAAATGATCTGCCCGCCTCAGCCTCCCAAAGTGCTGGGATTACAGGCGTGAGCCACCATGCCTGGTGGGACTTTAACTTTTAACTTTGGAGCACTTACTCCTTTTCTCTGGAGCCCATGTTTCTGGATGACTATTCTCAGATTTTTGCTGGAATAAACTCTCAAAAACTGGATTCTGATCTCTTTGATGACTACAGGTCAACATTCCCCAGCTACCAGCCCCAGCTGTCTCAGATGGGTCAGCAGTGTCAGGGATGGGGAAGGAGGCCCTGCAGGTGCCCCACCTGTGGTACAAAGAAGCCACCATGGGAACCCAGGGCTAGGACAGTATGCAGGTATCTCTTGTCCCAGGGAAGGCATCACCCCGGCTGGGATCCAAGGAGGTTATTGAGCAATGGCAGTGGGGACAGGCACAGCCCTTTCCCCACGGCCAGTGCCATACCTTCCCGGTGTTACAGGAAAGGGGTCCCAATCCAGATGCCAAGAGAGGGTTCTTGGATCTTGTGCAAGAAAGAATTCAGGGCGAGTTCATAGAGAAAAGTGAAAGCAAGTTTATTAAGAAAGTAAAGGTATAAAAAATTGTTACTCCATAGACATGCCCATTTTTATAGTTATTTCTTGCTGATATGCTAAACAAGGGGTGGATTATTCATGCCTCCCCTTATTTTAGGCCATATAGGGTAACTTCCTGACGTTGCCATGGCATTTGTAAATTGTCATGGTGCTGGTGGGAGAGTAGCAGTCAGGACGACCCGAGGTCACTCTCGTGGCTATCTTTGTTTTGGAGGGTTTTGGCCAGCTTCTTTACTGCAACCTGTTTTATCAGCAAGGTCTTTATGAGCTGTATTTTGTGTGGATCTCCTATCTCATCCTGTGACCTAAAATGCCTTAACCTTAACTGGCTATCTGTCTGGGAATGCAGCCCAGGTCTCAGCTTCATTTTACCTGGCTGTCGCTCAGGCTGGAGTGCAGTGGCGCGATCTCGGCTCACTGCAGCCTCCACCTCCCAGGTTCAAGCGATTCTCCTGCCTCAGCCTCCCCAGTAGCCGGGACTACAGGCACGTGCCACCACGCCTGGCTAATTTTTGTATTTGTGTAGAGACCTCATTTTGCCATGTTGGTCAGGCTGGTCTCGAACTCCCGACCTCAGGTGATCTGCCCGCCTCAGCCTCCCAAAGTGCTGGGATTATAGGCTGAGCCACTGCGCCCAGCCTGACTGGCGTGCTTATATAAAGTGGAAACTGGGACACAGAGAAACTGCGGAGAGGGAAGGTGGCCATCTACAAGCCAAGGTGAGGGAACAGAACCTTTGCTCGTAGCCCTCAGAAGGAAACAAGCTGCTAATACCCTGATTTCCTTCTTCCGGCCTCAGGATTGTGAGACAATCAGTTTCTGTTGTTTAAGCCACCCAGTTTGTGATACTTTCTTCTGGCTTCCCTGGCATTAAAAGTGATGGCAAAAACTGCAATTACGCTTTTACACCAATCTAAAAATAGAGCATGAAATGGCTCCTCCAGGACAACCACATTCCAGATGAAGAAAAGGGAAGGGGATAACTTCACCTTTACATGGTCAACCTGAAATTTGTAGGCATCTCTTCTGCCACAGCCAGAAATCAGCGCACGGCCTCACCTGGCTTCCTGGGAGACAGGCAAGCGTGGTTTCCATTCTGCACAGCCCCTGGACACAATAAAAAGTCCTCTTAACAAGCAGGGTACAGTGGCTTATGCCTGTAATCCCAGCACTTTGGGAGGTCGAGGCGGGCAGATCACGAGGTCAGGAGTTCGAGACCAGCCTGGCCCAAATGGTGAAACTCTGTCTCTTCTAAAAATACAAAAATTAGCCAGAGGTGGTGGTGTGCACCTGTAGTCCCAGCTTCTTGGGAGGCTGAGGCTGCAGAATTGCTTGAACCTTGGAGGCAGAGGTTGCAATGAGGTTGCGCCACTGCACTCCAGCCTGTGTGACACAGCAAGACTCTGTCTCAAAAAAAAAAAAAGAAAAAGAAAAAGAAAAGAAAAGAAAGGGAGAGCCAATATTGGGGACAGCCACAGGTCTCTGCCACAAAATACAAATATTTTCAGTTGCAAGCAACAGGACACTCTGCCTAAGTGAAACAATTAGGATTTTTTTTTGGAGACAAGTCTCACTCTGTCGCCCAGGCTGGGGTGCAGTGGCATGATGGGAGCTCATTGCAGCCTCAACCTTCCTGACTCAGGCAATCCTCCCACCTCAGCCTGCCGAGTCGCTGGGACTGCAGGCACGCTCCACCACACCCAGCTAATTTTAAAATATTTTTTGTAGAGAGAAGGTTTTGCCATGTTGCCCAGGCTGGTCTCAAACTATTGAGGTCAAGTGATCTGCCTGACTCGGCCTACCAAAGTGCTGGGATTACAGATCTGAGCCAGCAGGCCCGGCCACAAATAGGAAATGTACAATCTCACAGGACTTCACTTTAAGTGGAGAGGCAGGGGAGCCAAAGAGAGGTGCACCCCAGCTCAGGCTTAGGATTTCTGCCGTTCCACTGGCTCTGCCCCACACCGGCTGCTGGCTTCCTCCTCAGGATGGAAGTCTGCCTTTGTCAGTCAGAGTCAAACCAGAAAACAGAAATCTCAAGTATTTGAAGTACAGGGAATTTAATCTGGGGAATTGGCTGCCTAGGTGAGGGAGGTGCAGAGAAGCCAGCAGGGAAGATGTGGGAACCCAGAGAGTAGTACAGCTCCCTCCCAAGATGGTAGGACAGAGAGAGGAGATGCTGGTAGCTGGAGCCCAGGAGCAGAGGTCACCTCGCCAAAGCTGGGCCCAGCCCAGGCACGTCTGGTGGGAGCCGTGGAGGAAGTGTAGGGAGAGAAGTACCTTTTGGAGGACAGGAGGGAGGTTTCTCTCTCCCTCCGGCCTTTCAATCTCCCACCGGAAGTGGGAGAAGCCTGCTGTCATAGGTGCCTGGGAAATCCAGCCTGCCCCTGCCCAGCCACAATACAGCAAGGAATAAATTTAAGGACTGGAGCTTCTCTGGGATGGGAGCAGAGAAGCGGGGCTGGAGATTCCTGCAGGGCAGGCACACAAGGCCACAGGAGGCCTTTGAAGGGTTTTCCACAGGAGAACATGATCCAGCTTATGTCTTGAAGCATGTCTCTGGCTGCTGAGTGGGAAACGGTTTGAAGAGGAGCCAGAATGCCATCAGGGAGGCTAGTGTGGGTTCTGCAGAGGTTCTCCAGGTAACCAGGGTGGGGGCAGTGGAGGAGCGGATGGGCTGAGGTCGAAGGAGGTTTTCAAGAAAGACAAAATCTGAGTCCAGGTGCAGTGGCTCACACCTGTAATCCTAGCACTTTGGGAGGCTGAGGTAGGTGGATCACTTGAGCCTGGGAGTTCAAGACCAGCCTGGGCAATGGGGTGAAACCCCATCTCTACAAAAAAATACAAAAATTAGCTGGGCATGGTAGCATGCACCTGTAGTCCCAGCTACTTGGGAGGTTGAGGTGCGAGGATCACTTGAGCCCGGGAGGTCAAGGCTGCAGTGAGCAGTGATGGGGCCACTGTACTCCAGCCGGACAACAGAGCGAGACTGCGTAGAAAAAAAATTTTTTTAAAGAAATTCAGAAGTATTTGGCTTTGAAAAATAAATGAACAAATACAATTTCTTTTCTTTTCTTCTTCTTTTTTTTTTTTTTTTTTTGGAGAGGAGGTCCTTTCTGTTGTGCAGGCTGGAGTGCAGTGGTGCAATCTCAGCTCACTGCAACCTCCGCCTCCCAGGTTGAAGCAATTCTTCCACCTCAGCCTCCTGAGTAGCTGGGATTACGGGCATGCGCCACCATGCTCAGCTAATTTTTTGTATTTTTATTAGAGATGGGATTTCGCCATGTTGGCCAGTCTGGTCTCGAACTCCTGACCTCAAGTGACCCACCTGCCTCAGCCTCCCAAAGTGCTGGGATTACAGGCATGAGTCACAGTGCCCAGCCATAAATACAATAACCTTTTTAAAGGAAAATTTAGTACTTTGTTGATTTAAAGAAAATTATCCTTGGTATTTTAGTGTGGAAATACATCAAAGCATGACTGTAACTGTCTCAAAAGCGGATATTGTGATGTGGTATCAGGACACCTGGACATCCTGCCATCATAGGAGTTTGCCTTGCAGGAATTACTAAACCGCTTCCTTCGCCAGAAACATCTCATGGCCGTGAGTTGTGACTGGCTAGGAGCGTGTCTTGTTAGTTTGAAGATGCAGTTCATTTTATTATTTTATTATTTTATTTTATTTTTTGGGACAGAGTGTCACTCTGTCACCCAAGCAGGAGTGTAGTGGCATGATCTCAGCTCACTGCAAACTCTGCCTCTCAGGTTCAAGCGATTCTCCTGCCTCAGCCTTCCGAGTAGCTAGAATTACAGGCGCCCGCCACCACACCCGACTAATTTTTGTATTTTTAGTAGAGAGGGCATTTCTGCATGTTGGCCAGGCTGGTCTCGACCTCCTGACCTCAGATGATCCACCCGCCTTGGCCTCCCAAAGTGCTGAGATTATAGGCGTGAGCCACTGCACCCAGCCACAGCTTATTTTAAAATGGTGTCAGCCTGACTCTCTTATTCTCTGTTTCCCTAACAGTGTCACCGTGGACCCGGGCTCTTGCCATCTTTGCACTCTGCCAACCTCAGTGTGTTGCCCGCCCCGGGCTGCCTCCTTCATCTCCCAGGAGAAGACTCTGAGGCAGGATTCGAGCGCAAGTGATTTATGTGGGAGGAGATCCCAAGAAGCATGTGTAGGGGAGTGGGGAAGTGAGACAGGGAGGAGAGGGAAGCCAGAACAGGGGACGTTCATGGACAACTGGCACCAGATCCCACTAGGGAGCTCAGAGTCAAAGCCTCAGAGCTGCTCCATCTGAGGTGAGAATGCTGCCCATGCGCCTCCATGCATGTACTCAGTGAACACCTAGTGTGCGCAGGTAAGGACTACTCACACGCACTTCTCCATAGCACCAGAGCATGCCTGTAGGCAGATAGCCTGTTGCATGGCAAGAGTGACATCATCATGAAATGAAACTGCCATGATGACCGATGTCTGACTCCAGCATACCACAGTGTTTTGCAGCAATTTTATTACTTTTTTAAGACAAAGTCTCGCTCTGTCACCCAGGCTGGAATGCAGTGGTGCAATCACTGCAGCCTTGACCCCCCCAGACTCAAGTGATCCTCCCACCTTAGCCTCCCGAGTAGCTGGGACTATAGACACACACCATCACACCTGGCTAATTAAAGAAAAAAAAAATTTGAGGCCAGGCACAGTGGCTCACGCCTGTAATCCCAGCACTTTAGGAGGCCGAGGCAGGCAGATCACCTGAGGTTGGGAGTTCGAGACCAGCCTGGCCAACATGGAGAAACTCCGTCTCTACTAAAAATACAAAATTAGCTGGGCATGGTGGCATATGCCTGCAATCCCAGCTACTTGGGAGGCTGAAGCGGGAGAATCACTTGAACCCTGGAGGCAGAGGTTGCAGTGAGCTGAGATCGCGCCATTGCACTCCAGTCTGGGCAACAAGAGCAAAACTCTGTCTCAAAAAAAAAAAAAAATTTGTACATACAGGGTGTTACTGTCACATAGTGCTGGGATTTAGGCATGAGTCACCTGCCTGACCAGCAAGTTCTTAAATTCTGCAGCAAGTTCTTAAGACAATGGCTGTAGCATAGATAACCCTTCATAAAAACGCTAATCACGATGCTGGGACGGTGGCTCACGCCTGTAATCCCAGCACTTTGGGAGGCCGAGGTGGGCAGATCATGAGATCAGGAGATCGAGACCATCCTGGCTAACACGGTGAAACCCCGACTCTACTAAAAATACAAAAAAATTAGCCGGGCATGGTGGTGGGCGCCTGTAGTCCCAGCTACTCGGGAGGCTGAGGCAGGAGAATGGCGTGAATCTGGGAGGCAGAGCTTGTAGTGAGCTAAGATCACGCCACTGCACTCTAGCCTGAGCAACAGAGCGAGACTCTGTCTCAAAAAAAAAAAAACGCTAATCACGGCCGGGGCGTTGTCTCTCACACCTGTAATCCCAGCACTTTGGTAGGCTGAGGCAGGTGGATCCTGAGGTCAAGAGATCGAGACCATCCTGGCCAACATGATGAAACCCCGTCTCCACTAAAAATACAAAATTAGCCAGGCATGGTTGTGGGCACCTGTAATCCCAGCTACTCGGGAGGCTGAGGCAGGAGAATCGCTTGAACCCGGGAGGCAGAGGTTGCAGTGAGCCGAGATTGTGTCACTGCACTCCAGCCTGGTGACAGAGTGAGATTCCATCTCAAAAAAAAAAAAAAAATGCTAATCTGGACTCCCCAGTGGTCAAGAGCTTCAGAATATCTGAGGCATGACCAGCTGCACATGTCTTTACCCTAAAAGCTTGCTATAAAAATAATGTTTTCTGGAAGGTAGGTGCAGGGGTGCACCATCTTGCAATTGCTTGACGGTGTCGCTATGGATAGATCTCAAAAGCACTTTATTGAGTAAATGAATTTGCAACTTCTGTTTGCAAGTCCCTATTTTCTTTCTGATAAACTGCACTTGTCAGCCTCTTTCTTTGGCCTCTCAGCTCCCTCGGTCTTTGGTGGTGGTTTGCATAGGCCTGCTCACCGCAGGACAATGATACACAAGCACAAACTCAGAATGTGCACCCAGGCACCCCCGTGTACAGACCCCTCCCGTGTACAGCACTGGTGCACACACATCCATGATGCACACACACATTCCAGAGCACCCATCCCGTCCCCCCTTCCCAGTACAACAAACATACATCTGTCACTGCTTCTTACTCTGGCCTTTGGCTTGGGCCTGACAAAGCCTAGGGCATTAGGCCGGGCACAGTGGCTCACACCTGTCATCCCAGCACTTTGGGAGGCTGAGATGGGTGGATCACTTTTGAGACCTGCCTAGCCAATATGGTGAAACCCCATCTCTGCTAAAAAATACAAAAATTAGCCAGGCATGGTGGCACACACCTGTAGTCCCAGCTACTGGGGAGGCTGAAGCAGGAGAATCACTTGAACCCGGGAGGCGGAGGTTGCAGTGAGCCAAGATGGAGCCACTGCACTCCAGCCTGAGCAACAGAGTGAGATTGGTCTCAAAAAAAAAACCAAACAACAACAAACAAAAGGGTAGGGCACTAAACATTTATGACAAGGACTGCACTCTTAGAAACTCCTAGAATGGAACTGCTGGCAGAAGTTGCAGTGCACCAGGAGTTTGTGGGGAGCCAGGGCAGCACCTTCCTAGGGTCACACTTGGACTCTCCAGCCTAGGATGCAACATCCCAAGTTACCAGCAAGGGGCGCCCGAGAGCCATGATTGCCTCCAGGTGTTTTCTAGGAAGTTGCTAGGTGTGAGGGTGTGTTTGTCTCTGGGTGCGTCTGAGGGACAGGGCAGATCTCAGAGCCTCCTCTTAGGGGTTGAGTTGAGTGTGGTGGACGCACTCACCACCAATTCTGGGGACTGCCTCACTCAGGTTCCAATGCCCTGGCACAGAGCTGGTGCTCAGTTTGTGTTAGATGAGTGGATGAATTAACAAGTGAATGAATGGATGACTGGGGAATGAGGAGATAGGACAGAACTCAAGAGAAAGAAGGTAAAAAGAGAAGGATGGACCCCAGAGATCAGAGGGGAGCTGGAAGAAAGAGAAATGCAGGGAATGGCAGGGAGGAGTCAAGGGGTCGATGAGTGATTTGGGGGCAGGGGCTCAGTCGGCCAGCCTCCAAGCCTTGGCCCAAATGTCTCCCTCCCAGATGCCTCCCACTGCTGCCCTCTTCAATATTCATCTTTCTAGGCTGGTTGGGACTGTCACCTCCCCCAGGAAGCCCTCCCTGAGCACCTCTCCGTTGGGACCCGTCCTTCCTGCCTTTGTGCTTCCACAGCTCTGCGGCATCGTACCAGGGACCCTCTGCTCTGGTTGAAATGTGGGAAGTTGTATCAGACAGACGTAGATTTGGTTTGAATTCCTGTTCAACCATAATTGTGTGATCTTTTTCAAGACACCTAACCTCTCTCTGTGTTTTTTTTTTTTTTTTTTTTTTTTGAGACGGAGTCTCGCTCTGTCACCCAGGCTGTAGTGCAGTGGCACAATCTCAGTTCACTGCAACCTCTGCCTCCCAGGTTCAAGCGATTCTCCTGCCTCAGCCTCCCAAGTAGCTGAGATTACAGATATGCACCACCATGCCCAGCTAATTTTTGTATTTTTATTAGAGATGGGGGTGTCACCATGTTGGCCAGGCTGGTCTCGAACTCCTGGCCTCAAGTGATCCACCTACCTCAGTCTCCCAAAGTGCTGGGATTACACGTGTGAGCCACTGCACCCAGACTGAGACGCTTAACCTCTCTGTGCCTCAGTTTCTTCACCTAGGGTAACACCAATAGCTCCCTCACAAGGTTTCTGTGAGAATTCAAGGAGATAAAGCACTGAACACTGGGCTTGGCCCATAGGAAACACTGAACACAGGGCAGCAATGATTGCTTTCCTGTCCCAGAGAGTCCCAATCTTAAGTGCTCCGTCCCATTGTCAAGTCGTTTGCTGTAGTTTGGGCTCATAACATATTGTCATCAGAGCCTGTAGTGAATACCCCGGCTCAATGAATATGTGCTCCCTGATAACACTCATCTGTAATTCATTTTTTTTTGACATGTATGAGAATATTCATTTCAGTGTTGCTTGAAATAATGAAACATAATTGGAAACAACTTAAAAGTATGCATATTGACAGGAGAATGGATGAATTGGGTATATATAGAATGCAATGTTAAGCAGTGAAAATGATTAAATTAGAGTCATATGTGTCGCTATGGATAGATCTCAGAAGCATTTTATTGAGTAAAAAAGCAAATTACAGAATAATGCATTCAGTATAATGTCATAGTATGTAAAACATTTGAATCCATGCAGACCAATGCTATGCCATATACAGCAATGTGTAGGAATAGAATAAATACACGTAGCAAAGATAATCAGAGATTAGATGGTGCCACCCTCCAAGAAGAAGGGGTGTGAAGTTGGCCAGGGCTTCAGCTGTATCTGGAAGCTTAACTTGTTTTGAGTTCCTTGAATATGGTAAAGGAAGAGAATTCATGTGAGACCTTCTCTATTTTAATCCCTAAGCGTGAAATAGGATGAAGCAACTGAGGCTCAGGGAGGCGTGGCAAAGTGCCCATGCTTTCCCAGACACTGAGAAGTAGAGGTGGGAACTGAACCCAGAGCTCCTGACCCCAGCACCTTCCCTGCCAGGGCAGGCTGCTTGGAACTGCTGGTGGTGGTTTCAGAGGCAAAGACTGTCCCCAAGTTGCTACAGCAGAGCAGCTCTGCCAGGCTGAGCAAGAAGGGTGGGCTTTTTGGTCCACTGGGTCCAGGCAGGGCTCAGCCCATGCCCGGTAGGAGCTTGGGTCCAGGCCAAGCCCAAGGAAGGTTTCCGGCCTTAAGGTCTGTTTCCTGGCACTCTCCTGGTGGAGTCAGAGGTCAGGGCTGGAGCCAGGCTTGGGCAGGGTCTCCACTGCAGGAAGTGGAGGCCTCTGAGCCTCTGAGCCTCCAATCCAGTTACCCTTTACTCCTGCCACCTCCCTCACCTCTCAGGGCATCCAGGGGCACAGGCAGGAGGAGGTGCATGAGTGGGCACCAGTCTCAAGGAGATCCAAGGCTTCCTGTTCCTGTCCAGGAACCCCAAACCCTTCAGGGGCAGAGGTGTTCTGAGACACAGGCTGGCAATCATTCATCTGTCCTCTCCTCCTTCCATGAACCCACAAAGTGCCAGGGCCTGTACCAGGCTCTGGGGAGACAGCCCCTACCCTCTAGGGCCTCAGTGGCTGGTGGGAGGAGATTTGATATGTAAATAAACAGACATCTAGTAGATAACACTTGTGTGGATTGAAGTCAATGAAAATTATCTAATTAAGTATGAGCTCTGGAAAGGCCAGTAGAGACTGGCTAGTGTGGCCCAGAGAAAGGCTGGGACTTGTCAATGTCATAGAGTGGTTCAACGGCATAGCACTGACAATAGAACCCAGGACTCCAGACGCAAGCCAGGGCTCTTTCTGCTGCATCCTACCCCTGCATTTTCTATTCAAGTGTATCACTGTGAAAAAATTCAAGTGAACAGAAAAATTTATTTTGTTTTGTTTTGTTTTTTTTATTTGAGATGGAGTCTTGCTCTGTCGCCCAGGCTGGAGTGCAGTGGCGCGATCTCGGCTCACTCACTGCAAGCTCCGCCTCCTGGGTTCACGCCATTCTCCTGCCTCAGCCTCCCAATAGCTGAGACTACAGGCGCCCGCCACCACGCCCGGCTAATTTTTTGTATTTTTAGTAGAGACGAGGTTTCACCATGTTAGCCAGGATGGTCTCAATCTCCTGACCTTGTGATCCGCCCACCTTGGCCTCCCAAAGTGCTGGGATTACAGGCGTGAGCCACCACGTCCGGCCGTGAACAGAAAAATTTAAACAGAACCGTGCCTCTTGGGAAGCCACCAGCAGGCTTTGTCACATCCTCTCAGTGATCATGGCTGGTGCCTTCCCACTCTGAACAAGATGCTCTCCTTGTTTCCTGGGACACATTTCATTTTGCGGGTAGGAACTTCTTTCATTAATTTTATTACTATTATTTTTTTTTTCTCACCCAGGCTGGAGTGCAGTGGTGCGATCTCAGCTCACTGCAGCCTCTGTCTCCCGGGTTCAAGTGATTCTCCTGTCTCAGTCTCCCAAGAAGCTGTGACTACAGGCACGCACAACCACACCCAGCTAATTTCGTATTTTTAGTAGAGACGGGGTTTCTCCATGTTGGCCAGGCTGGTCTCGAATTCCTGACCTCAGGCGATCCGCCTGCCTTGGCCTCCCAAAGTGCTGGGATTACAGGCGTGAGCAACCACGGCTGGTCTTCTTTCATCAATTTTAATTTTAATTTTAATTTTTGTAAAGTACTGTTTTTTGTTTGTTTGTTTAAGACAGAGTCTCACTCTGTCACCCAGGCTGGAGTGCAGTTGTGCAATCTTGGCTCATTGCAACCTCTGCCTCCCAGGTTCAAGTGATTCTCATGCCTCAGCCTCCTGAGTAGCTGCAATTACTTGCGGGCACCACCACACCCCGCTAATTTTTGTAATTTTTAGTAGAGACAGGGTTTCGCCATGTTGGCCAAGCTGGTCTCAAACTCCTGACCTCAAGTGATCTGCCCACCACAGCCTCCCAAAGTGCTGGGATTACAGGCCTGAGCCACTGTGCCCAGCCTAAAAGAATTGCTTTTTTAAAAAAATTTTTGTGGAGACAAGGTCTCGCTCTGTTGCTCAGGCTGGAGTGCCGTGGTGCAATCATGGCTCACTTGCAGCTTTGAACCCCTGGGCTCAAGCGATCCTCCTGCCTCAGTCTCCCAGGGGAAATGGTTTTACCTCACAATGTTATTGAAAGGCAGTGCTTGTCTAAAGCATCCTCCCGCCTTGGCCTCCCAAAGTGCTAGGATTACAGGCAATGGCCACTGCATCCAGCCTCAGCCTCCCGAAGTGCTGGGATTACAGGCATGGGCCACCGCATCCTGCCATGGCCTCCTGAAATGCTGGGATTACAGGCATGGGCCACCGCATCCTGCCATGGCCTCCTGAAATGCTGGGATTACAGGCATGGGCCACCGTGCCCGGCCTAGAGCTTCTTTAAGTGGAGGCTGGGAGGTGTTTTCTGACACCAACCACTTTTTCATCTATTTGACATCAACTGGGTATGCAACAATTCAATTCATTTCTGACACTGTCTACCTGACTTTAGCATCAGATCCCACAATTTAAAGGGCTCGGGGCTCAGCCCCACAAGACTGTCCCCCTTCAGACACCAGTTGAAAGTCCTGGGGCCACCTCACCCCCATAATTCTGACCAACCAGCTATAAATTGGAGACTCCCACAACTCCCTCCTCAGGTTTAATAATTTGCTATTAATAGAACAGCTCACAGAACCTAGGAAGGTGATTTACTTACATCTACTGGTTTGTGATAAAGAATACAAATAGCCAGGCACAGTGGCTCATGCCTGTAATCCCAGCACTTTGGGAGGCCGAGGTGGGAGGATCACTTGAGTCCAGGAGTTCAAGACCAGCCTGGGCAACATAGTGAGACCCCATCTCTACAAAAAAGAAACAAAATTAGTCGGGTGTGGTGGTGTCCACCTGCAGTCCCAGCTACTCTGAAGGCTAAGGGGGGATAGGGTGACTTCAGCCTGGGAGTTTGAGGCTGCAGTGAGCTATGATCATGCCACTGTACTCCAACCTGGGCAACAGAGCAAGACCTTGTCTCAAAACAAACAAGCAAACAAAGAAACAAAAAGGGTACAATGAACAGCCAGCTGAAGAGGTCAGGAAGGGTCCCGAGACTGGAGGATGCCATTACTGAGACCAATAGGACTGGAACAGGCTTTAGAGACCATTTGGTCCCCTATTTGGTCCCCCAAACTCCTCCTTTTCCAGTTGGGCAAACTGAGGCCCAGCTCATTCAGCAAATTAATAACAGAGCCGGGTCTAGAACCCAATTTTCTCAACTGTCAAATAATGGTGGCAACAGCTAGTATTGATTGAGAGCCTACTACATTAGGGATAAACCTGGTGGAGCAGATATTATCTCAGGTGAGGAATTTGAGTCTCAGAAAAGAGAAATAACTTACCCAAGGTAACCCAGCTGGTACAACTGGTACAAAGAAGAACCTCACTGCCAAATTCCTCTCTTGGGAAAATGACTCTTTTTTGTTTGTTTGTTTTTGAGACAGAGTCTTGCTCTGTCACCCAGGCTAGAGACAGAGTCGTGCTCTGTCACCCAGCTGACGTGATCCCAGCTCACCGTAGCCTCCACCTCCTGGGCTCAAGCGATCCTCCCACCTCAGCCTCCTGGGAGAAATGGCTTTTACCTCACAATGTTATTGAAAGGATGTTGTCATCTAAAGCATATTTGCAGGAAGGAAGAAGTTGTCATCTGTTGCTCCCACATCTTAGTGGGGTTGGCAGAAGGAAGTCTGCTCATTTGTCAAGGAAACCCCCCACCCCCCACCCCAGCTGAGAATCAAGATTGCCAGGAGCCACTCTGCTGGGTACAAGAAAGAACAGGGAATATTGGCTTTTCTAGTCAACAGCTGAAAGCCATCCATTTTTCAGGCTCAGCAGCCAGAGGGTGGGAGGACTACGGGGGCAGTGGGAGCCACGCAACAGGGGCAGGCGGAAGAGAGAAGCTGGAGAAAGGTCTCCTGTGGAGTAGCAGTCACAGAGCAGTGTGGCAGGGGCTGCGACTTTGCTGACAGAACATGACAGTCACAGAAGGTGGGGCAGCAAGAGGGGCTGAACACTGACCCAGAAGCAGAGATTCCGAGTGAGGGGTGACAAAAGGCCATAACAGCCTTCTGGGCTCCTTGAAAAATAGCAGGGAAGGCTCTGGACTTCCCACAGCCCGCGGGATGGAGACTTGAGCCATTATATCTGACGATTAAAGGAAAGGGGCTGGGCGCGGTGGCTCATGCCTGTAAACCCAGCACTTTGGGAGGCCGAGGCGGGCGGATCATTTGAGGTCACGAGTTCAAGACCAGCCTGGTCAACATGGTGAAACCCCATCTCTACCAAAAATACAAAAGTTAGCTGGGTGTGGTGGCACGTGCCTGTAATCCCAGCTACTCGGGAGGCTGAGGGAGGAGAATCACTTGAACCTGGGAAGGAAGGTTGAAAGGCTGAAGTGAGCCGAGATTGCACCACTGCACTCCAGCCTGGGAGACTCGGTCTCAAAACAACAACAACAACAGCAACAAGTCCTAATGTGTCATATCTGCCAATTCCTGTCGTCCAAATATTTTCCTTATGGCTGATTTCAAGCTACCTGTGTTTTAACAACCATTCACCACATTTCAGAACATTTAACAGTTGGCTCTTGTGGGCCAGCACACGGCTGCAGCCACTCGTAAGGTAATCAAGCACTCGGAAGTGTGCCTGGGACACGGGGAGCACGTTGTGAACACTCGCTGTGATTGCGAGCCAGTCAAGTCAACAGTGTTCCGGAAGTCCCCTCCCCACCTCCACTTCACAGAACAGGAGATTGAGGTTTGGAGAAGTTCACCTGTTTGCCCCAGGTCACAGCACAAGCCTCTTACTTGCCGTCCTACCTTCCGTGGGCGCTGTTCTCTCAGCAAGGTTGTACATAAGCCTGCCTGTGACCGTCCTCCTGCACCCTCCTTACAGGGACTTTCCCGGGCCCCATCAAGATGGGAGCCCTGCTGCCTCCCAGATTGGCTGCTCTACCTGCAAAGCCCTCAGGTAGCTTGGCGGGCGGGAAGCTCTCCCTGGCAGGGACTCCTGCCAAGACACTCCTGCCCAGTGCTCCTGAGCTCAGATCTGCCCTGGCTTGTGCCTGCCACATGTGGACTTGGGGAAGTGCTGTTTTTGGCAGTGGGTGAGCAGGGGCCCCATATCCTTGAGGGTGTTAGGTGAGGAGGACGCGTGACTCATTGTGCTCTGGTGGGTATAAGGCTGCAGCCGGGGGAGGGCCAGGTCCAGGCCCAGGAGAGATTTTCCAGTCTGGCAGGCAAGTTGGCTCAAGGCCAGGTATAGGCTCAGGACACAGTGCCAACAGTTGCCTGAGGCTGGACACAGATGCCCTTCGGGCAGGGTGGAGGGCTCTTGGCTCTAGCTGTCCCCTGAACTGACCTGGGTGTCACAAACATGTGGCTGCTGAGCTGGGCTTATAAGAGCCATGTGGCTGAAGGGATAAGGGGGCACTTCCCACTCTCTCAGGCCCCAGGGAAGGAGAGAAACTGCTGAGCGGCAGGTGAAGGCTTAATGGGCAGCACCTGTGCTAATGGGTCAGGGTCCTCAGGTCTCTGGAGAAGGGAGCTGCTCCCCCTACCCAGGGGAGCACAGAGAATGAGATGCCTTGGAACTTCTGTGCTTGGGGTTGGGGAAGGGCCCCTAGTGTTCTTGGTGAGCACAGGATGGGCAGAGGATGTTGGTGGGACTGTGGCCCTTGGTGGGTGGGAGGGGGGATAGGTGAGAATGAGGAGAGCCGGTTGGGGGTGGGTGCAGGGGGAGGGCAACGGATGATGCAGAGCTACTTTTCAGCCAGTTTATCCTTGGCAATGAAGCCAAGGATCCAATGCTGGAGGTGGTGGAGAGGGGCCAGGTGGGGCAGCGGGTACCACTGTGGCTGGAGATGGCAGGACAGGGCACCCCACCACCCAGGACCTTCTGAGACTCTGCATCTTCTCTGCAGCGCTGGAAGCGGGGGCAGCTGGGCTTGGCTGGGGAGTGGAGAATGGGGCGAGTGGGGGATGGGACTGTTGCTGTCCAACATCCTGGGTCTCCAGACTAGACCCCTCCCAGTGCTACTCAGTTCACAGGGCCACTTCCTGAGTCCTCACCGAGTGGGAGGGACAGCCTACCCTCTTTTGCACTTAAGAAGGCCAGGTTCTCACTCAAGCCTCCTGGGCAAGCTTGGGCAAGTCTCTAGCCTTCTCTGAGCCTCGATTACCTCATCTGGAAAACAAAATACCTCTTAGGGGTGCTGTGAGGATTAAATGGGAGGGAAGGAGGCTGAGAAGGGCCTGGGACCCACAATATCATGTTCTATGGCACATGATATATGCCTCACAAATATCAGCTTCCCAGGGTTGAGCCTAGGAAAGAGGTGGGGCAGACCTCTTCCCCATATCCTTCCCATCATGCGCCCCGGGCTTGGAGTCAGCTGGACTCCAGCCGGCCCAGCCTAACTCCAGCCTGGGCCCTAAGAGCCCAGGATCGAAGGCCAGAACTTCCCCTCCCCCACCAGGAAAGGGGCCTCTCACTTCCCACTCTTGACTCCCAGCCCCTTCTGGCTCTGAAGGCCTCTGGGGCCTTCAGTGGGGCTGGAGGTTCCCCTGAGGTGGGAGGCTGCAGAGGGACTGTCCTGATCTAGGACACAGCCTGGCTTTCTGGGAAGATGGAGGAATAGCACATTCTTCCTGAAATAATTGTCCTAGAGCTATTTCCAGTGCCTCTTAGGCCAGAAATGGGTAGTGATCTCGATGCCTGGGACCTTCGGGACAAGCATCCTAGAGAGGCCCAGCCCTCTTGCTGGGTGCCTGCCCACCCGGCCCCCCCACCCAGAGCTGAACCAAGCCCTGGCTCAGGCCCCACAAGGGAACTGTGGACACCGCTTCCCTGGTCCACCGAGCTCCCTCGCACTCCTCTTCCGCTGGCTGCGGGCCGCCCTTCTGATCCCTCCTCCTGGCTCCCTGTTTCAGCAGCTGAAACTACCCAACCCAGGCAAAAGACTCCTAGTGACTGTGGACTGTGGATTGTGACGGGCCCGCACAGGAGTTTCTATTGCTAAAGAACTTCGTATGGCCGGGCGCGGTGGCTCACGCCTATAATCCCAGCACTTTGGGAGGACAAGGCAGGTGGATCACAAGGTCAGGGGTTCGAGACCAGCCTGACCAACATGGTGAAACCCTGTCTCTACTAAAAATACAAAAAAATTAGCTGGGCACGGTGGCAGGCACCTGTAATCTCAGCTACTCAGGAGGCTGAGGCAGGAGAATTGCTTGAACCCGGGAGGCGGAGGTTGCAGTGAGCCGAGATTGCACCACTGCACTCCAGCCTGGGCGACAGAGCAAGACTCTGTCTCAAAAAAAAAAAAAAAAAAAGAACTTTGTAATCCTGGATCTGGTCATTAGCAAACATCAGATAAACCCAAATTGGAAAACATTCTCCACAATAACTGGCATGTACTCTTCAAAAATGTCAAAGTCATAAAAGACAAAGAAAGGCAATGATTCCAGGTCGAAGGAGCCCAAAGAGTCATAAGAACTCAATGCAATGCCTGATCCCGAAATGAATCCTGAATCAGGAAAATAATTGCCATGAAGGACATTAGAGGGACAATCGGTGAAATTTGAATATGGGCTGTAGATTTGATAATAGTACTATAGTGAAGTTCAGTGTCCTGAATTTGATCATTATGGTGTGCTAGAAAATGTCCTTGTTGGCCAGGCACAGTAGCCATGCCTATAATCCCAGCACTTTGAAAGGCCAAGATGGGTGGATTACCTGAGGTCAAGAGTTCGAGACCAGCCTGGACAACATGACGAAACCCTGTCTCTACTAAAAATACAAAAATTAGCTGGGCATGGTGGCTTGTGCCTGTAGTCCCAGCTACTGGGGATGCTGAGGCAGGAGAATCGCTTAAACTTGGGAGGCAGAGGTTTCAGTGAGCCGAGATCACACCACTGCACTCCAGCCTGAGCAACAGAGCAAGACTCTATCTCAAAAAAAAAGAAAAAAGGCTGGGCGCGGTGGCTCACTCCTGTAATCCCAGCACTTTGGGAGGCCAAGGCAGGTGGATCACCTGAGGTCGGGAGTTTGAGACCAGCCTGGCCAACATGGTGAAACCCTGTCTCTACTAAAAATACAAAAAATTAGCCAGGCATGGTGGTGCATGCCTGCAATCCCAGCTACCTGGGAGGCTGAGGCAGGAGAATTGCTTGAACTCAGGAGGCGGAGATTGCAGTGAGCTGAGATTGTGCCATTGGACTCCAGCCTGGGCAAGAAGAGCGAAACTCCGTCTCAAAAAAAAAAAAAGAAAATATTTTTGTTCTCCCAGCATGAGATACACATGGAAGTAACGGGGTGAAAGACCCTGTTGTCTGCAACTTACTCTCAACATAATAAGTATGTGTGTAAGGGAGGGGGTGATAAATATGGCAAAAGTTATAATTAGGGGATTTGGATGAAGAGTATATGGGAGTTCATTGTCTTATAAGTTTTCAGTAAGTCAACATTTTTCAAAATAAAAACTACAACTGTATATATTCAACATTTGAGGGAAGCAAATGATGGGGAGAGTCTTTTCCTGGCACCTATTATGAGACCTCAAATGAGAATCTTGTTCATTCGTTCAACAAATATGTACTGAATGCCTCTTATAGACCAGAGGCCCCAATGAGAGGCACTGGGTTTTGAAAGTTCTGAAATTTGCTCCCTGAAGAGTCCTGAGATTGAGGCTGACCGGAGTTATATTTGAGCTAGCGTAGATCTTCCTGGCTCTTGGCATAATTAAACTGAGAAAACCAATAGCAAACACTGGAAGACAGCCACTCCACCCTTGTTTCAAAAATAGGGCCCATCTGTCCTGGCAGGCTTAAAGTGGCTCTGGCCCTGAGGCAGGGGCCTGACCAGGATGACCTCGAAGGCCCCTCCCAGCTCTAGGATTTCATGATTCCATGACATGGTCAGCAGTCCAGAGTGGCAGCATGAGGGCATCCCTCGAGGAGAGCAAGAGGAGGTCTAAATCATCTACCTCCTAAAACACAGAGTGAGAAGGGAGAGGCCCCTGGTGGCAGGCGGGGACCAGGCAGTAGGAGAGGGAAGGGCAGGGTCCTGCAGGGATTAGCCCTCCCTGGCCTCTTACTTTTCCAGAGGAGGAGATCTGGTGGGGTTGGACCAGGCAGGAAAGAGGCAAGGGTCTGGACATTCCACCCATATCAGACCCAAAAGACAAGGGCAGCTGAGGGGCCCGGGCTGGAAGGAGGGCAGGCAGCTGTTTGATGGGTGGGATGTGCTTAAACACTGCTCTCTTTTCACTAGGCAGACATGGAAGATCCACATCAAGCTGGTAGCAGTAGGGGAGAGAAGTCAGAGCCTTCCTTCTGGCTAGGGGGGTGGGGTGGAGTGAGTCCTGGGGAGCCAGGGGACAATGGGGACAATGGGGAATGGCACTGCTTCTGGCTGGGCCCAGGGTCAGGAGGTGGGGTTAAGTGGATGGGACATCTCTTTGGCTTGGTCAGGTCTTTGTCTCTGAGAAGTACCCACGTTTGGGCCAGGAAGAGTGGGAACCCCCATTCCCTCTCCCCTTGTGGGGTGGGTGAGGAGATTCTGTACTTTCAGAGAGGACCCAGGCTAAATCCCTCGAAAAGTTCTGATCTCATAATCCAGCCCCATCAGCGGGCTTATCACACCACCTGGCCCTCACCCTCATTTGGGGTTCTTAAAGTCAGGATCCACTTATTAGCAGGGTTACCTATAGCCCCTACTTCTCACCAAGGCCCCCATCTATGCAGGCAGAGCGGGTGTGGTGAGAATTCATCCTTAGCAGGCTACGGGGGAGGCCGAATTCACTGTGATGACGTGACATTGTCTGTTAGGGGTCAACAGAGACACCCAAGATGCTATCCTGACCCCACCACTTACAAGCTGTGTGATCTTAGGCCAGTCCCGTCATCTCTCTGAGTCTCACTTTCCCCATCAGCTAGGAATAGAATAGTAACTACCTCCTTGATTTGTAGCAGGAATTAAAGGAGTTAGCCCACAGAGGACACCCAGTGAGGAGTGTGGCACACAGTGAGAGTGTGTATAGCATTGCATCCATGCTAAGATACAGTTTTTAGTATCAGGGTGCATCGCATAGTTGATGGTTAGCTTTTTGATATGACCTCAAAAGCAGGTGTGTCTCTGTTGGAATTTCACCATTAGAGATTCAGTCCTTGGCCTCTGTGGTCTTCTGGAGTACCTGCTTCAAGGGGGAATGGGAATTTCCAAATGTGGGCTAAAGCTAAAAGAAAAAGAAGGCACTGCCCCACTTCTAGGCGGGCCCCTTGGTCTCAGTCATCATGATGGTCTGGCCTTATGCCCCATCTCTCATGCTTTCCCTGGTGCATTCTGAAGAAGAGGCTGTCGGTTTTCCAGTTTGAGAACTCCTGGGCCTGGGAGGAGGATGGCAAGAGGAGCAGGACATGGAGCCCTGGGGGCAGAGGGAACACCTGGAGAGAAAGCCTGGAGGGTGGCGGCAGGGAGAGCAGCTGAGCTGAACTAACTCTGTCCCTGCCAGGCCCCGGTAACCAGTAACCAATCTCCAGACACTGTCACCGCTCAGCCACAAAGCTTTGTCCACCCAGCCAGGATGATGTCTGGATACCAGGCGAGCCATTCCAACACTCACGGCCGCTTGGGCCATCCCAACAACACATCCTTTCCAGCCCAAATTCCAGGCTGGACCAAACGCACCCTCCTGAATGAGGCCAAGAGCCTCAAGCGCCTCCACACCCGGAGTGGCTCTGGCTTGGAGTCCAGCAGCTGCAGCAGCTGCTCTGAGCAGCCCTTCAACCCCACTAGGCTTCCACTGGGGAGAATCTGCATGGGCCGGCCCTGCTACTCCAAGTAGGTAGAAACAAGTCACCTGGTGAACCCCAAGGTGGCCAGAAAGACCGCTTTCCAGGGCAGCCCCTGCTGCCTGCTCTGTAAGGATTGTCCCTCGGACTCCTCCAGCCCCACTCCTCCAGCTCATCAAAGGCATCAACTACCTGGACCAATCCACCAATGCCTATAACAGCTGCCACAAGACATTGCAGAGCCTGCCAAAGCTTGCAGCCAACTACCTGGAAAGGGCTGCCAGCTCCCTCAACCTAGACCACCAGGACCACCCCTTGCCCCAGAGTTACTCCAGCCCCAGCACCAGCGTGACCATCCCAAACAACTCCACCACCAGCACCTGCATGGTGCTGTCCCTCAGGGGTGCCAGTGCCCTGCAGTGCCTGGATGACTCCACCAACACGAGTTATCCGTGCAGGTCTCATTGCCAGAACTTCACTATCGCGCTGCCACGGGGTCCACGTACAAAGCTGCCTGAGCTCCCTTTGCTTAGCAATGGGCTCTTTGCCTTAGGTTGTCTGCCCAAGGTCTGGGAAGCAATCTGCTCAGGCTGGAGTGACCCTGAGCCCATCTCCAAACCCCCAAGCTGGTGGTGACACTGACGCCAACTGTGAAACGTGCACATGCCCCTCAGGCCACAGTTGTGGAAAATAAATCGTCTGTGGCAAAATACTTCTTCTAAGACTTTGTTGGAGGGGAATGGCCATTTAGATTAGGGTTATAAACTCAAGGGCCTCTGGGGCCAGGCAGGGAAAAGTGAAATGAGAGAATTTCAGGCAGGGCAGTAGCAGGGAATGATAGACTGTGGATGGGTGGAGAGGGACTGCCTAGTCTCAACCCGCCTCTCGAACAGGTTGAGGCCTTATAAGAAAATCCAGGGAACTGATTTTTTTTTTTTTTTTTGAGTCTGAGTCTCGCCCTGTTGCCCAGGCTGGAGTGCAGTGGTGCAATCTCAGTTCACTGCAACCTCCGCCTTCTGTGTTCAAGCGATTCTCCTGCCTCAGCCTCCTGTGTAGCTGGGATTACAGGGACACGCCACCACGCCCAGCTAATTTTTGTATTTTTAGTAGAGAGAGAGTTTCACCATGTTGGCCAAGCTGGTCTTGAACTCCTGACCTCATGATCTGCCTGCCTCGGCCTCCCAAAGTGCTGGGATTACAGGCATGAGCCACCGTGCCCAGCCTCAGGGACCTGATTTTATATGTCAGCGACAAATTCAAATATGTCAGGATGCTCTGTGGGCTGAAAAAAAATACTTGCAGGCTAAATGTAAAACCCACAGGTCTCGGCTTGGAATCTCTGGTTTAGATCCTGAATGGATCACTGAGGAGGTTGCTGTCCTCCCTTAGCCTTGGTTGCCCCATGTGAAGAAACAGACTGGCTGTCCATTCCCAACTCCTATGCGTATTCCTCTCTTTTCAGGATTGTTGATTTTAGCACAGTCCCATGTGAGCAGAAATGTTTAATTAATACGAATTATAAGAAAAATAACAAGCACTCATAGAGTACTTATTATATAGCAGGAACTGTTCTAAGTTCTTGATATATGTTTATTCTTTTAAAGGTGTGATTTTAATGATCAGGGCCTAGGTTAGACATAGAGTAAAGCTTCCTGGTGGCTAGTGTGAGAGGCACTGGAACAGTCCACGAGGCACAGTAGCAGATAGTGGGATGGCCCTTTTTGGGAAATCTCTGCAGAGTGGTTCTGTCTGTGCCAGGGGAGGGCTGGAAGGATCAAGATGAGCTGGTCCCCTTTTCCCACTACGCTGAATTTCTTGCTGGGAATATCTGGGAAAATGTTCCCTGGGCCACCAAGAACTCCAACTGAGCTCCTTCAGAGACCCAACTGAGTCTGGTGCTGGAACATAGGGCATTCAGCAACCCACCATCCTGCTGGCTAAGGGACCCTGGAGACAGGGATTCCAGCCTAGTCCCACCACTAACCTGCCCTGAGATCTTGGATATACCACTTCTCACTCCAGTCCTCGGATTCCCCATCTGTAACAAGGGTGCAGTAGCTCTGATGATCTCTAAGGGCCCTTAGACTCTGATGTTTCTGAGTGTCTTCTCTTGGGAACCAGGCCAGGCCTGGAGCCTCTCAGGCTGAGGATTGAGAGTACCTGCACCCAAGAACTCAGGCCTCCTGTACCCTGAGCCATCTTCCCAGGCTAACCAGGTGCCGTTTCAGGCCTCAGGGCCCATTTCTATATGGTGATGAACTTCAGGCTTCAGGTTTCTTATTGCTTGAGCTCTCCTCATCACCCTGGCAATGTGAAGGCCAATAGCAGCTCAGACTTCAGAATGGGGCTGACCTTGAGATAATGCAGAACCTGGAGGCCCACCAGGTTCCACGGTGTTTGGAGGCAGTGGCCAGTCAGAGAAAGTGACAAACCTGAGTATCCCCACCATGAGATCACCACAGTGGTCCCAGGGCAGGAGGAGGGAAGGGGCCAAACTCCTGGCCCACTGAATTCACCCTCCCTTCTATTCCATCTCTGGAGGACAAGGGCAATCCTCCCTGGGCCCACAGTGGAGCATGTGGCATACTCCTTTCTCTGTTGCACCCCTTCCCTCCTCAGGGAGAAGACTTTGGCTTTAGTCTGGTGGGTCCTCATCTTGCCAGAGACCCATTCCCCAGGTGAACATTCGCAGGAACACAGCTTGTTAGAATCCATTTGGCCTAGTTCAAGAGACAGTTCAAGGGTGTCCCGACTCCCAAAGCCTCTGTCTGGCCATCTAAAGCCACCCTTCTCATTCCAGGGCTGTATTTTCCTGGCTCTCAGAGGCCTCAGAGCGGTCTGTCCCTGACTCTCCTGGAGATGCTCACCTCCAAAACGGTGCACTTTCTCCCAGTGAGAGTGTAAGATCCTTGCCTAGGGTGCTGCTCTTAAGGTCTCCAGTATCTAGCCCGCTTCTGGCTCATGATAGGGACTTGAATATTAGATTAATGTTGATTACAAGCCTTGCACTCAATAGGTGCCCAGTAATAATAACTACTATTATCTTAAGGATGATTACAGGGTCTCATGTAATGGATGTTCAATAATTAACAATAGTAATGATGACAGCCAACATTAATTAAGCTCTTGGTTTTGGTTTTTGTTTTTTTCTTTTTTTTTGAGATGGAGTCTCACTCTGCTGACCAGGCTAGAGTGGTGGCTCAATCTTGGCTCACTGTAACCTCCGCCTCCCGAGTTCAAGTGATTCTCATGCCTCAGCCTCCTGAGCAGCTGGGATTACAGATGTGCACCACCACATCAGCTAATTTCTGTATTTTTAGTAGAGATGAGGTTTCATCATGTTGGCCAGGCTCGTCTCAAACTCCTGACCTTGTGATCCACCCGCCTCAGCCTCCCAAAGTGCTAGGATTACAGGTGTGAGCGACTGAGCCCAGCCTGTTTTTTTTTTTTTTTTCTGAGACGGTGTCTCGCTCTGTCGCCCAGGCTGGAGTGCAGTGGCACAATCTTGGCTCATTGCAACCTCTGCTTCCTGGGATCGAGTGATTCTCCTGCCTCAGCCTCCTGAGAAGCTGGGATTACAGGTGCCTGCCACCATGTCTGGCTAATTTTTGTATTTTTTAGTAGAGACGGGATTTCACCGTGTTGGCCAGGCTGGTCTCGAACTCTTGACCTCAAGTGATCCACCCGCCTTGGCCTCCCAAAATGCTGGGATTACAGCATGAGCCACCGCCCCCGGCCGCACAGCAACTCTTTAAGGATGGTACCATTATCCTTATTTTACAGATGAGCAAACTGAGGCACAGAGTGGTCGGGTATAAATGAGTATGATAAAGATGATTAAAGTGCATAGAACACATTGGCTTTTCAGAAAATATTCGGTATTAACATTACGGAGTACTATATGCAGAATAGGTACACAATAATATAATTATCTTCACAGGGACAACATCTTGCAAATGCAAGGTGTTCTGCAAATGCACACAGTAGGTGCTCAATGAATGGTAGATGTCATTATAGAGCCTCGTACTGAGTAGGTGCTCAAATGAGGTTTTCCCATTGGTTGGGGTTTGGATTGTATCCCAGAGAGACAGGATCTCAGCCCTTTGCCCAAACTGCTTCTCAGGATAGATACTTACTGTTCACAAATCCCTTCCACAAGTTATTCAGCCAGAGTTCAGGGAAAATAAGCCTGTTAGGGAAGGTCCTCTGCTCCACCTGGCCATGCAGAGGCCACAGGAAGCCTCCCAGGTCTACAGTTCAAGCCATGCATCTGCAGGGTCCATGTAAACAGGAAGCAGCATGCTGGCTGCAGACAATGCCACAGCCTGCTGTACTGTCCCCCTTGTGTTCAGGAGTGGCCTTGGTGTCCCCGTGGCTGGGAGTGGCCGAGGAAAGTCTTTCACACTTGCAGAAGTACGTCGCTCATTGAGCACTCACGCTGTGTGCCAGGCATGCTGCCGAGGCCTGAAACGCAGGCTCTCAACCCTCCCCAGCTTGCCAGGCTAGGTTTCAGTGCCCCATTTTGAAGAGGGGGAAACTGAGGCTTAGTGAGAGGAAGTGACTGCCCAAGCGCCTGCAGCTGATTGCAGAGCTGGGATTTCAACCCAGGGTTCTAACTCTCGGCCAGTGTCCTTTTCATCCAAAGTACAGCTTCTTTTTATTTATTTATTTTTATTTCAATAGTTTTGGGGAAGAGGTGGTGTTTGCTTAGCTGCATAAGTTCTTTAGTGGTGATTTATGAGATTTTGGTGCACTCATCACCTGAGCAGTGTACGCTGTACTCAGTGTGTAGTCTTTTATCCCTCACCCCCCTCCCATCCTTCCCCCTACCAAGTCCCCAAAGTCCATTATGTCATTCTTATGCCTTTGTATCCTCACAGCTTAGCTCCCACTTTTTTTTTTTTTGAGATGAAGTCTCACTCTTGTCGCCCAGGCTGGAGTGCAATGGCGCGATCTCAGCTCACTGCAACCTCCGCCTCCCGGGTTCAAGCGATTCTCCTGCCTCAGCCTCCCCAGTAGCTGGGATTACAGGTGTTTGCCACCACACCTGGCTAATTTTTGTATTTTTAGTAGAGATGGGGTTTCATGATGTTGGCCAGGCTGGTCTCAAACTCCTGACCTCAGGCGATCCGCCTGCCTCGGCCTCCCAAAGTGCTGGGATTACAGGCATGAGCCACCATGCCCGGCCAGCTCCCACTTATAAGTGAAAACATATGATGTTTGATTTTTCCATTCCTGAGTTACTTCACTTAGAATAATGGTCTCCAACTCCATCCAAGTTGCTGTGAATGCCATTATTTCATTCCTTTTCATGGCTGAGTAGTATTGCATGGTCAAAGTGCAGTTTCTTTTCTTTTTTCTTTTTCTTCTTCTTCTTCTTCTTCTTTTTTTTTTTTTTTTTTGAGACAGAATCTTGCTCTGTTGCCCAGGCTGGAGGGCAATGGTGTGATCTTGGCTCACTGCAACCTCTGCCCCCCAGGTTCAAGCGATTCTCCTGCCTCAGCCTCCCAAGTAGCTGTAAATACAGGCATCCACCACCACGCCTGGCTAATTTTTGTATTTTTTAGTAGAGATGGGGTTTCGCCATGTTGACCAGGATGGTCTTGAACTCCTGACCTCAGATGATCCACCTGCCTCAGCCTCCCAAAGTGCTGGGATTACAGGTGTGAGCCACCGCACCTGGCCCAGTTTCTTTCTTACTATTTATTAAACAAATTCCAAGAGAAAGAGGAGTAAATCTTGGTCTCCAAAATATGTAGTAAATTAGGAAAAGCAAGGATGGTATTTAACATGAGTTTGGGCTGCCCCACAATACCAGTGTTCTAAACAGGGCAGAGTAAACCTGGAACATGCTCTTTCCAGTAAATAGTAAGCAAAGGGAGAAATTTCCTCAAAGGTCATCTATGGTATCAGTTGCCCAGTCCAATGGTCTCTGCATCCTTTGGTATCATTGGGTATAGCTGCATGAAATTAAATTTTTTTGTATATTTAAACAAATCTGGTGTGGTCCTTTTCAAACAGACAGTTTGATGTCACTTCTGTGACTCTAGAAAATAAATGCAGCTTTTTGGCTGGGCGTGGTGGCTCAAGCCTGTAATCCCAGCACTTTTGGAGGCCAAGGCGGGAGGATTGCTTGAGCTCAGGAGTTCAGAACCAGTCTGGGTGACATGGCGAAATCCCGTCTCTACTGAAAATACAAAAACTGGCTGGGCGTGGTGGCGTGCGCCTTTCGTCCCATCTACTTGGGAGGCTGAGGTAGGAGGATTGCTTGAGCCTGGGAGGTCGAGGCTGCAGTGAGCTGAGATTATGCTACTGCACTCCAGCCTGGGAGACAAAGTGAGGCCCTGTCTCATAAAAAAAAAAAAAAAGAAAAGAAAAAAGAAAATGAAAAGAAATGCAGCTTTTTTATTACCAAGGTGTGTGTGCCAGAGAGAGACGCTCATGCTATTCCTCATTCTCACTCCACCCCACATCTTTCCTCATGGGCCTAACTCTCCTAAGCCTCAGCCCTCCCCGTCCCTCACCCCATTCCTGGGCCCTCCTTTATCCCTTACTGCCTCTTCTGTCTACACAGGACTGGTCCTGCTTGCTCTACCTAAGAAACATAAAAAGGAGGCCTGAGTGGCAACCCTCCCGCACCTCAAAATGCACCCGCACTGCCCTCTCTCAGCTGAAATCTGCAGGAGCAGCAAAGAGGCTCGGCCATGTGCTGTGCCTGAGCGGGTACCACCATTTTTGGCAAACTCTTTAACAGCCTCCCAGGCCCCTCCCAACAGGGCAGGAATTTCTGGTGAACAATTGAACAAAGCCGGGAACTCGGAGAGAGAAGGCACAGGACATTCCAAAAGGATTTCTCTCAAGCTCCAAAAGACAACATGCGGGAACACTGCAGAAAGCTCACGGCCAAGCAAAGAAAATCATGAAAGGGACGGAAAATCCGTCTGGGAGGAAGGGCAGTGCAGGCTGAAGGAAGGAACAAGGGACTGGGGGTGGTCAGGAGGCCTGGGTGGGAGGCCTTTCTCTGCCACTTGTATCCCTGCGGAGGCCATTCCACCTCCCTAGCCTTGGATTTGTGGTCCTTAAAAACTGAGGGAGCTGCAAAGTGAACACACGGACCCACACACAGCCATTCATAGCAATGCCCTTGTGAATAACAAAGACCTGGAAACAGCCCAAATATCCAACATTTCCATCATTCACATAATGAATGGCAGTGTGTTGATAAGACATGATACCAAATGATTATCAAAAATATTGTGTGCAGGCCGGGCGCGGTGGTTCACGCCTGTAATCCCAGCACTTTGGGAGGCCGAGGCGGGCAGATCACCTGAGGTCAGGAGTTTGCGACCAGCCTCAACATGGAGAAACCCCGTCGCTACTAAAAATACAAAAATTAGCCAGGCATGGTCGTGCATGCCTGTAATCCCAGCTACTCGGGAGGCTGAGGCAGGAGAATTGCTTGAACCTGGGAGGCAGAGGTTGTGGTAAGCTGAGATCACGCCATTGCACTCCAGCCTGGGCAACAAGAGCGAAACTCCATCTCAAAAAAAAAAAAAAAAAAGAAAGAAAGAAATATTGTGTGCAAAGGCAATGTCTTTTTTTGTTTGTTTGTTTGTTTGTTTTGAGACTGAGTTTCGCTCTTGTTGCCCAAGCTGGAGTGCAATGGCACGATCTCGGCTCACTGCAACCCCTGCCTCCCGGATTCAAGTGATTCTCTTTTCTCAGCCTCCCGAGCAACTGGGATTACAGGCGCCTGCCACCACATCCGGCTAATTTTTTATATTTTTAGTAGAAATGGGGTTTCACCATGTTAGCCAGGCTGGTCTCGAATGCCTGACCTCAGGTGATCCGCCTGCCTCGGACTCCCAAAGTGCTGGAATTACAGGCATGAGCCATCGCAAAGGCAATGTCAATGCTATTCAAAGTAGCTGGCCCAGGAATTGTTCATGGCACCATCCGTCACAAAGAGCTTGCACCAGAATATAAATCTATGTGCTGCTTCCAATATGGGACAAGAATGGCCAGGAAAAAAAAAATTTCAACTGAGCTAAACCGTCACTAAGCTGTGCTTATTGAAACAGTTGATTTACACCTGGAGCAAGCTCTTTATCTCATCTCAGACTGGTAATAAACAGTTTGGGGGCTGGCACCACAGGCTCATTTTTAAGTAGCTCTGTTCCTTCCTGACACATAGAACGTGTTTATCTAAAAAATGTTCAGTGAGAAAGGCCGGGCACGGTGACTCACGCCTGTAATCTTAGCACTTTGGGAGGCTGAGGCGGGTGGATCACGTGGTCAAGAGATCGAGACTATCCTGGCTAACACGGTGAAACCCTGTCTCTACTAAAAATACAAAAAAATTAGCCGGGCTTGTTGGCAGGTGCCTGTAGTCCCAGCTACTCGGGAGGCTGAGGCAGGAGAATGGCGAATGGCATGAACCCGGGAAGCGGAGCCTGCAGTGAGCCAAGATCACGCCACTGCACTCCAGCCTGGGAGACACAGCGAGACTCCGACTAAAAAAAAAATGTTCGGTGAGAAAAGCAAGACATGAAATCGTACATATGCGTGGAAATATACACAGTGAGATCAAATGCGTAATGTCTACACTGACGAGGGAAGGGAAAGGAGCATTTATGGAGCTCTAACCACGAGCCTGGCAGAGAAGTCTTCTATAGCTGAAGTAGGGGCTAGTAGGCAGGAATGTGAGAGTGTGTACGGAGCCGTAAGAATTCCAGCCTGGCTGGAGGGGAGGGGTGGGAGTGGAGAGCCATGAGTGCAAATTCAAATTATAAAGACCATCTATGGTCAGCTCAGGAGCCAGGCTCTGGGGCAGCATTCGCAAAGTGTTATGAGAAACCTCAGCCCTATAAGATTTTAAAAGGATTTTCCATAAAAACCACTGGGTTCCGTTCTCAAAGAGGTTGAGGAAGGCTGGATTAAACACAGTTGCACAGGCGACTTCACTGGAGGCCTATTCAAAACCCTTCCTGCTTTGGTGTCCCTTGAGGTGGTCAAAGTGTGGGAAAGAGTGCAGGGTACCCAAACTTCTTTGGCCAAAGAACCTCTTTTTCAAAGAGCATCTCAGATTGCAGGTGACCCATGAGGCACAGTGTGGGAACCCTGCCTTGGGCCTGGGACCCCAGTCCAAGAAAGCAATTGATAATGATGAAGGGTAGTGGGGAAACATCAAGTTGGGGCAGGGGGTCAAATACAAGAGCTTTCAGAAGATTCACGCTTCTGCCTGAGCTGGGAGAAGCGCACTTGTGCCTGGCCAGAGTTGAGAACAGCCCACAGGGAGGCAGAATGGGTGTGGTTGAGAATGGGAGTTTGTAGAATCAGACCGACATGGACATGAATCCTGGTTCTACCTCTTACTGACTGCATGACCTGGGCAAGCCACTTCATCCCCTGGGCCTCAGTTTTCCCAGCTGGAAAGGGAGGGGAATAATAAAATGTACTGCCTTGCCTGCTCCCCAGGGTTTATCTTTGTTCCAAGCACAAACCAGAACAGGGACATTTACACTGTGTGCCACGTTTGAACTAATGTCTTGTTCTTTCATTTAAGTAACAATTATCCAAATGCCAACTCTGTGCCACACACTGTGCTCTTCACAGGGGATATAATTGGGACCAAGACAGAAACAAGACCTTCATGCCCTCTGCCTTCATTATGCCTCATAATATTAAATGATCTTCCAAATAATTACAATGGTCAAAAATGCTACAAGAAAAGCATGGCGGGGGGGGCGCTGTGGGAAAGTGTGGTGGGGAACACGACCTCGCTTGGGAGGTCAGAGAAGATTTCTGTGGTCATGTGATGTTTGGACTCAATCTTAAGGGAGAGTAGAGTGAAGGGGGATGGGTGTTAACTGGGAAAAGCACTTAGGAGAGGGAACAGCATCTGCAAAGACTATGGTGGGGAAGGGCTGTGGCTGGATTGATGGGCAGGACTAGATCATGCCAGGCCTTGTGGGGTCCCCGCCCTCTCCATGGGAACTTTTGCTGCCTGCTTAGACCCACCTCCTGCCTCCTCTTCCTCCTCTTCTTCAGTACTATCTTCTTGTTTTTTCTCCTCCATCTCAATTCTCTTTCACACCAATTTCTGACTCTTCATTTTCACCCAAGGACATATTGTTACTCTATTAGCATTTGTTTTCCCACATGGACATAGAAACTCTCGTGGGCAGTGTTTAGTTTCACTATTGAATGAATATAGGGCCACAGCTAGCCTTACAGTGCCTTCACTCATATCAGCAAAAAGTACCCATTCTGGGCCGGGTGCAGTGGCTCACGCCTGTAATCCCAGCACTTTGGGAGGCCGAGACGGGTGGATCACTTGAGGTCAGGAGTTCGAGACCAGCCTGGCCAACATGATGAAACCCTGTCTCTACTAAAAATACAAAAAATTAGCCAGGTGTGGTGGCATGTGCCTGTAATCCCAGCTACTTGGGAGGCTGAGGCAGGAGAATCGCTTGAACCCAGGAGGCAGAGGTTGCAGTGAGTTGAGATCGTGCCACTGCACTCCAACCTGGGCAACAGAGCAAGATTCTGTCTCAAAAAGAAAAAAAAAAGTACCCATTCTGGGCAGATGTAGCCCCACAACAGGGCCCATTACAGTTCCTATTTACCCACTTGGCTGCACACCTTTGTTCAGTGAACAACCTGCGCAACTGTCCACTGCAGCCCTGAATGAATGAATGAATGGACAAAGGAATGTGATTAAGATGAATGATAAGCTCTCAGGCAGAGAAAAGATTTGGAATGGGAGTGGAAGCCAGAAGATGAGTCCTACTGAATTTGGAGGAGTGGACAGGTAAGCCACAAACTCCAGCTGCTGGTTCCAGAACCCCCAACACCTATTCTCAGAAGTCAAGCTGTTTGACTATTTCTGCCTATCCAAGCTGTTGTAGTCTCTCCGTGCCCAGGGAACCTTGTATGAGACTTGAGTTGTTTCTCTCCTCGAGTGTGACCAGCACCCTGAACTCTGTGTACATACAGTGAGATTATGGGCGCCTCCAAGGTTTTGCCAAGCCCAGAAGGCCTTGTGCCTGCTCCTCTTCTTAGCCATATGAGGAGATAGCCAGGCTCTAGACAAAGCAACTTGAGAGCATTTGCTAAAGATATCAAGGACTGCAAACTAAAACAGACCCAGGCAAATCCCTTAGTGGGAAGGAGAGGACACAGAATAAATAGGTGGATGACCAATCCTCCGCTGCTGGAGCCGCCCTGGAAGACTTTCTCAACATGCCATATATTCCTGCTTTCTGCGTGTCAGCCCAGCTCCTTCCAGTCCCTAGTCGGCCTTACCATCTCTTTCCTCAACCCCTTTGAGGAAGGAAGACTTATAGCTCTGGGTTAGTCTTGACCAAACATCTACAAAGGGTTGCTTGTTTCCCTTTTTTTCCCCCTTTGCTCATGAGCAAATCATCCAAGAAGCCAAAGCTCTGGTACTTAAAGGGCCCGAGGTAGGGAACAGACACTGAGGCAGCTCATGAAATGCGATTTGTCACGGATGCTGACAAATCCATGGACAGGCAAGGCCTTGGAAAAATCCTGCCACTAGGGCTGGCCACCTGCCAGCTCTGAAGTCAGTGGAGTTTTGAAGCCTTTCTCATCGGACAGGGAGTTTCCAAGTGCAAACCTGGTGTACTCTCCCCTCAAATGGGAGGTCCCTGGGGTGGCTGTGGAGGCTGCTCCTCTATCAGACCTCAGCTCCCCAAGGGCCAAGTCATGTCTCTCTCTTTAGATTGGGAGCACACCAGAAATAGTAATAAGAGAAATGGCTACCACTTATTTCATGCTTACCAAGTGTCTGAAATGGCTGTGTTTTTTAAAAGAAATATATTAATTTATCTTAATTCTCATAACAACACTAAGAGAGACGTCTTAACGTTATTCTCATTTTCTACATGCAGAGACTGAGACATGGAAGTTGAATCATGTGCTCAAGATTGCACGGCTAGGTGGTGGAGGCAGGATTCTCTATCAGACTGAGAACAATACCCGGACAGGGACTATTCTTCCCCACACCTCTATCAGATTAAGAGTTTACTGAGGGCCAAGATTGGGCGTCCCTCCTCTGTCCACCCCTATCTCCCTGTGCGGATCAGAGATAGACCTTATTCAGTGCTGTGCCTGGAGCCTGGGTTGGGGCCAGGCAGTTGGCCTGACTACCGTGGATGCAATTTCTGTTCTTTACAACTCTGAGCTGGTCCCACAGAAATATGCCCCACAGGGCATATTTTGGAGATATCTTTTGGAGATAGGGGATCTATCTGGGATGGGGGTCAGGATGCCAGTGTTTTTTCAATCCCCCAGATGCCTGGATGAGAGGCCCCAATGTGCTTGGGAGCCTGCGGACCCCTATCACAGGGAACATAGCTTCCGGAGCCAGGCCTGGTGCCGCCCAGTGAGCTGGGCATTTCCTTCTGTCCACAGCTCACCTCACTCCTGGCTGCAAACCCAGCCATGAGTTTCTGGAACCTAGCAACTCTCACAGGAAACAATGGAAACTTCAGTTTTATTCTCCTCCTCTATCATTACTCAAAAGGTTTTCCTCAAAGCTACACACACATAGTTTTCCTCTCCACCCATCAGCCTCGGGCTGCCCTGGAAATTTCAGGCAGAAGAGGGGAGCTGAAGAGTAGGCAGTGAATAGGTCTGGGGGCTTGGTGCTGTTTGCTGCCTGCGGTTGGGTCAGAGACAGATCATGGGGCTGTGATTTTACCACCCACCCGAGCATCTGTGATGGGGCTTTGGCAGGGTCTGTCTGTCTGGGCCTGAGTGTGTGAGTTGGTGTGGTTCTGGCTCTGGGGCTGTGATTTATGTGACTCAAAGTTGGTGTGTGAGTGATTTACATGGAAAATGGTGCAGGTGGGGTGGGCAGCTCAGTTCAGTACCCAGTGCCCACTATGAGGCACTGTGATTAGTGGGTGAGAACAGGTAAAAGATACAGGCTGAGGCTGGGTGCGGTGGCTCAATGCCTGTAATCCCATCACTTTGGGAGGGCAAGGCGGGCAGATCACAAGGTCAGGAGTTCGAGACCAGCCTGGCCAACATGGTAAAAACCCCATCTCTATTAAAAATACAAAAATTAGCCAGGCGTGGTGGCACGCCTGTAATCCCAGCTATTCAGGAGGCTGAGGCCGGAGAATTGCTTGAACCCGGAGGCGGAGGTTGCAGTGAGCCAAGATCCCACCACCGCACTCCAGCCTGGGGACAGAGCGAGACTCCTTCTCAAAAAAAAAAAAAAAAAAAAAAACAAGCTGGTAAGCATGTAGGCAATGATGTGGGCCTGTGTGTGAAATGTGCGTGCCTGCGAGGAATCTATGTGAAAAGGCGTCCTCCCGCTCCGTGACTTGTTGGGATGTATGCGTGAGTGAGGGGCTGAGTGTGGTGTGAGGGCTGTCTCCTGTGTCCCTGGTGGAGGTGAGAGTTTGGAAGCGAGTTAAGTGTGCATGTGAGCCGGTGAGGATTGTTGGTACTTCAGAGTTGGGTCCAGAGTGTGAAAGTGTTCCCGGGTAGCGCACAAGTGTGTTCGTGCAGTAAAGTTATGGTGTGAAGGTGTTCTTGGGTGTGGAAGTTGGCGTGCACGTGTGGCGCGGAGCGGCAGCTGCGTGCGTGTGAGCGTGGGAAGGAGATCCCGGGATCTTCAAAAGCTGCGCGAGTGGAGTCGGCCGTGCGGGGCGTGCAGGGGCGTGGAAGTCGGCGGCGCGCGCGGGGAAGCGGGGGAGCCGGGGATCGGGGAGGCGAGAGCGCCTGGCCCGGCGGCCCCATCCCATGCCCGGGCCCGGGCCCCCGGTCCCCCGCCCCGTCCCATCCCATACTCCAGGCCGGGTTTGGCGGGGAGCCGGGCCGGGCCGCGGCCCGCGCGGAGGGGGCTGGGGGCCCAGACAAAGGCCTAGTAGGCTGCGCGGCCGGCTGGGGCGAGCAGAGCCCGCGGCCCGGGGGCGGTCCGTGGGCGGGGCCTGGCGCTCCGGGGAGGGGCGGTTCGGGGGCGGGGCCGGCGCTGCGGGGGCGGGGCGGGCGGGGAGGAAAGGGGGCGGTGGGGAGAGGGCCGCGCTGTCCCGAGCTGGCCGGCGAGCGGGCGGCTGCGGGCGGCGCGGAGCGGGCGGCGCGGAGCGAGCGAGCGAGAGAGCGGCGCGGGCCGGGCCATGGGGTGGCGGGCGGCGGGCGCGCTGCTGCTGGCGCTGCTGCTGCACGGGCGGCTGCTGGCGGTGAGTGTGCGGGGCAGAGGGGCGGGGGGCGGGGGCGGAGGGGCTAGGGGCGCCCCGGTCCCGCTCGCCGCCTCCCGCCAACTTGGCTGGGGCGCCCAAGGCTGCGCGGCGGGGACTCTGGCCCGGGACGGCGGCGCCCGCCGGGGACCCCGGGCCGGCGCCACCCTGCGGCATGGGGCTAATCCAGGGGGGCCACCAGTCAGGACCCTTCGTGGGGCTGGGGGCGGGGCTGGCCCGTGTGGGAGCCCGTGGGTCTCTCGGCCACGTTGCCGAGTGCTGGAGTCTCGCTGGGCATGGTCCGGCCTACCATTCCTGGGGACCAGGAGGGGAAACTTTGAGCAGGGTGGGAACTTGGCAGGACGAGGGAACCCTTCTGCGCCAGCTTGGCAGAACGGCCACTCAGTGGTGATGGGGACCCTATGAGTCTCGCTGAAACTTTACCACACCGTCTATCACCTTGGGGAGCTTGGACCCAGGTAGGCACAAGCAAAACTTTTGGGACAGAACTGAAGCTTGTGTGGAACACCCACGGGCCTTGGAGTCATACAGCCGAAGAGTTGAATCAATCCCTGCCTTTCACTGAGTAACTGTGTGACCTGGGGCACGCTAGTTAACCTCTCTGAGGCCAGCCCCACGTGGGTCAAGGGAACTCAAAATGCACGGCCTCAAAATGCATAGCTGCAGGGCGTTGCTGGACTGCGTGGAATGAGCTGCAAAGTGCGTGGTGCGGGGATGCAGTGCACCCTTGGGGGACCCGAGTTCCCCAGCTTTCCTCTTCCCAGGTCTCCAAGAGGCAGGGAGAGGCCTGCCCTTGCAGTCTAGTCCCCTACTCTGAGCTTAGGTGGAGGAAAAGGGAATTCTACGGTCAGGAATCCCGAGGCTTAGAAGGCACTTGGCCAGCAGAGGCCCTGAGGACCTGAGTGAACTTGAGGAGGACTGGGTGGGGTCGGTGGGCAGGGAGCTAGTGGCAGATGTGGGTGGGGGCACATCTGGGGAGCCGAGCCTACCGTGGGGAGCCACAGAGCCACCCCCACTCTCTCCGAGGTGCTCCTAGGCAGTCCCCATACCTGCCTCCCTGTTCTCTGAGCCAAGAGAGGGACTTTTCTAACCAGGCTGGTGTTTACCCAGGAACTGCCTGCCTGGCCTCACCTTCCTGGCTTCATCGCACCTCTACCCTCCTGAGTCACTCGTCAAGCCCCCACCCAGACCTGGCTCCTCACTGCTCTTGCCCCACCCACCCAGCACTTCTCCTCCCCCATCCCCACTCTGGGCAGCCTCCTCTGTCGTCCTCCTGTTTCAGCCTCTCACCCCAAAATATTCAGCAGGGCCATCCAGTAGCTCCCTAGTCTTGACCTGAACTTGCACTCCTGGCACTGACTTTTACTTTTCCCAACGCACCAACCTAGCACGTGGGATGTTTTCCGAGGCCCAACAGTCTTTCCTGACCTTCCCCCAGCTCTGCCCCCGATGAGGGGCTCCTCCATGCCCGGGTGCGGTAGGATGGCGGTGGGTGGAGTTGTTTGCTGTGTGCATGAGGAATTTCCACAGACATTCCTGGACCGTGGCAGATCATCTCATTCACTTGTTCATTCAACAGATCATCACTGAGCGACATTCCATGGCAGTCACTGGGAGTACAGAGGTTCATTCTTTGGGCAGATATTTGCCATGCACCTACTGTGTGCCAGTGAACCAGTGAACCTCGTGTGGTGCTAGGGGCTGGGGTGGGTTGGACCAGCAAGGACAGGCCCTGTCTGTGCCTTCCCAGCACTCACAGGCTGGTGGGCGGTAATTTAGACAAATAAACAGGCAGCTCCAATCCTGTGGGATTAGAGAGCCTTCTCAGCAACACATGGAGGGTCGCTGTCCCACCCCAGGCTGCTGGTGGTGGGCTGGAAAGAGCTTGGCCCCTGAAGTCTCTTTATAAAATTCTTTTTAAAAAGTTTTTCAGGCCAGGCGCGGTGGCTCATGCCTGTAATCCCAGCACTTTGGGAGGCCACGGTGGGCGGATCACGAGGTCAGGAGTTTGAGACCAGCCTGGCCAACATAGTGAAACCCCATCTGTACTGAAAATACAAAAATTAGACGGGTGTGGTGGCGCATGCTTGTAATCCCAACTACTCGGGAGGCTGAGGCAGGAGAATCGCTTGAACCCAGGAGGCGGAGGTTGCAGTGAGCTGAGACCACACCATTGCACTCCAGCCTGGGTGACAGAGTGAGACTCCGCCTCAAAACAAACAAACAATAAAAAGTTTTTCGGGGCCAGGCGCGGTGGCACACGCCAGTAATCCCAGGACTTTGGGAGGCCGAGGCGAGCGGATCATGAGGTCAGGAGTTCAAGATCAGCCTGGCCAGCATAGTGAAACCCTGTCTCTACTAAAAATGCAAAAAGTTAGCCAGGCATGGTGGCACGTACCTGTAGTCCCAGCTACTCCGGAGGCTGAGGCAGGAGAATGGCGTTAACCCGGGAGGCGGAGCTTGCAGTGAGCCGAGATCGCGCCACTGCACTCCAGCCTGGGCGACAGAGCAAGACTCTGTCTCAAAAAAAAAAAAAGAGGGCATCACACTTTGTTGCCCAGGCTGGTCTCAAACTCCTGGCCTCAAGCGATCCTCTCGCCTCGGTCTCCTAAAGTGTTGGGATGACAGGCATAAGCCATCATGCCTGGCCTGTCTCTGAAGTCTTACAGACCCAAGTATGAGTCTCTGGGCTGCGGTTTCTGGCTGTGTGATCTGGGGCGAGTTCCTCTCTCTGAGCCTTAGTTTCCAAATCTGTACAATGGGGTTGAGGAGTTTGTTGCAAGTCAAAAATGAGATCAATTCCTAGCCCAGGCTCCCAGCACACCTTGGACCCTCTTTGCCTGCTACCCTTGCTCTCATCTGCCCTTCAGTTTGGTCCGGAGCCAGTGGCTTATGGGGAAGGGTTGGGCACAGCAGCAGGGTGAGATGGGCCTTAGGGAGCTCCAGGCTTCCCCGGGACGGGGGACAGGACCACAGGAAGCTGATCTGTGATTAAGTGTGGGTGTAATTTCAGCTGTTGGGAGGTGAGGAGGCTTGCTGGAGGAGGGGGCTGGGCCTGGGTGACTCGGCAGGCCTTGGCCTGCTGACCCCTTTAGGGCGGCCCTGCAGGGGACAGGCGTCTTGAGGGAGCCTCGGTGGTGATTAAGGTGTTTTCCAGGGCCTAGGAGGGAAGTCGCTGAGATACCTGTTTCCTGCCTCAGCTGGATTTCCTCACTGGGGAGGCTGCCAGCTGAACTGCAGGAGCCTCCCCTTCCTGGCGGTCCCTCAGCCCTCCTCCACGCAGCCAGCTGCTCTGTCACCTGACACTAGCCTACTTGTTCCGTACCTGCAGCCGGCACAGGATGGGGTTTTGAGTGTGCCCTGGACATTCCCGGAGGGAAGGAGGGCAGGCTGCAGGTCTGTCTGCAGGGTAGAAGCTGGAAGGGGCAGAGATGGACCACCCCCCCATCCCTTAGGCCCATTTCCCCCTGTCTGGGGAGTTGTGGCCCCTGCCTGGCTTGGCCCGGGCCTGCTCTCAGGCTGAGCGCAGACAAGTTAGGATCTGTGGGTCTGAAGCCCTGCCCGGGAGACGGTGGAAAGAAGGTGGCAGGAGGTGACTGGGTTCAGGGCCCGGAAGACGGGTGAGCAAAGTGGAGGGGAAGGAGCTCTTGGGGTGCCAGGCTGGATGATGACACAGTAATACGGGTACTTCAGACTTACCCAGTACCCACTGTCTGCTCTGAGTTTCTCAGTGAATCCTCCCATTCACCTGTGTTTCCTGCTCACCACCTCCCTGCGGTGCTCAGAATTAGGTCCCAGCCCCTGACTTAATATAGCCTACGAGGCCCTGCAACACCCGGCCTCCTGCCACCTGCTCCTCTCAAACTCCTCCAGCTATACCAGTCTTTGTTTCTTTTTCTTTTCTTTTTTTTTTTTTTGAGACAGGGTCTCACACTGTCACCCAGGCTGGAGTGCAGTGGCACAATCACAGCTCACCGCTGCCTCAACCTCCCACGCTCAGGTGATCCTCCCACCTCAGCCCCCTGAGTAGCTGGGACTACAGACACCCTCCTCTACACCTGGCTAATTTTTGTATTTTTTATAGAGACAGGGTTTTGCCATGTTCCCCCAGGCAGGTCTCGAACTCCTGGGCTCAAATGATCCACCCCCTTCGGCCTCCCAAAGTGCTAGGATTATAGGCGTGAGCCACTGCACCCAGCCTTTTCTTTTCTAATGAATATAAAAATTTAAAACAAATAGAGATGGGATCTTGTTGTATTGCCCAGGCTGGTCCCAAACTCTTTAACTCAAGCTATCCTCCCACCTCAGCCTTCTGAAGTGCTAGGATTATAGGCATGGGCCACCTCGCCTGACCAAGGCTTTGTTTCTTGAGCATGTGAAACACACTCCCACCTTAGGGTCTCTGCGTCTGCTGTTCCTTCTGCCTGGGACATTTGTCCCCGTAATATCCATATGACCCTCTCCCTCTTTCTGGTCCTTACCACTCTTCCCATAATGGCTGTCTCCTTAAACTGCTTTATTTTTGTTCTCACAATTGTCTGGCCTGTATTTGTCTGTATTTGTTTATGTGTTTATCTGCTTCCTCCTGCTCAGTTTAAGTTCTACGAGAGCAGGACCTCATTTGTTTTTGTTCACTGCTGTATGCTTAGCACCTGGCAGGTAGTAAGTGCTTAGTGAATATCTTTGTCGAATGTTTTAAGCTGTAGCTACTAGCCTGATCCCCATTCTCTAAGCAGAGGACATTGAGGCACTGAGAGGTTACGTAACTTGCCCAGTGACTTACATATCCACACACTCAGAGATGCTGCAAGCCAAGTTTTGAATCCAGACGAAGCTCTCCTAATCACGCCACGTACTGCCCCATGTGCTTGTCGTGGGCAGTCAGTAGATATTGCTACAACTTGTCACAGATGTTGATTAAGAACTCTGGTCCCAAGTAGTACAGGGGCTACCTCAGGCAAGGAATATCAGGGATTGGCTCGGGGACAGAAGCTCTTAGGTTGGGTATGCCTCAGTGTCCGTGGGGTCTCCTAGGGACGCCTGTGCCTGGAGGGGAAGCCTAGGAACTCTAGGGTGGTCATTTTTAGGTTTGTTAATTCATTAATGTTCTCATCAGATATTTCCTGGGACTCTACAGGCAGTTGAATTTATCCAGGGACTTTTAGGCCTGAGTGGGCCAGGCTGGCCCTGCCCAGTGTGGGAGGTCAGGGGCCCCTGCCCCTGCCATGCTGCTAGTGGGGGAAGGGGAAGAACACCCTCCTGGTTGTCCTGTGTGGAGCCTGCGCTGTTTTTTTCTGGCTGTTCCCTGGGGGCTCAAGGTTTAGGGTGAGTCTGCAGAGCTTCAAGGGCTGCCTGGCCTTGGGGTGAGAGGCTCAGGAGGGAGGGCAGGAGGGCCTGCCCAGGCTATGGAAAGATCTGGAGCAATGATTCAGAGGCCACTTGGAGGCCAGAGGTGTGGGCTCTGCACCCTCAGACTACTTGGGGTATATGGGAAGGGTTCCCAGCCCTGGCCTGTTGCCCCCCTCCCCTTCACCCAATCCAGTCCCAGCTATGAGGGGTCAGACTGGAGGAGGAAGTGAATATGACTTGGTTCCCCGGCAGCTTCCCAAGTATCTGCTGGGCCTACCTCTCCCTGTCCCAGGGCCTACCCTGGCCTTTTTCTCCTCTCGCTCCTGCTCCTGCCAAGAAGAGGGAGGCTGCGCCGAGGGTCCCGGCCCTGCTGGAATGTTGCTTCCGCCTGGGCCTTGGCCTCTTTGGCCCTGCCACCCCCTCCTGCTCCCGGGGCCAGCTGCCCCAGCACCCAGAGCTGGCTGACTGAAACCCAGAAGTATGTGTGGAACTCACTTCGCGGGGAGCCGCCGGCCTCACTGCCCAGCCTGGTGGCGTCAGGGCTGTGTCAATAGCAGCCTTGAGAGGGGTGTGGCTCGTGGCTGCTGGGGTGGCCGGGTCGGGGGTGCTGTCATGAAAGCCCTGAGAACAAGGTGGCTCTTTGAGGCCTGGGAATGTGAGGCCTTTGAGTCTTGCTGCCCCCAGAACCACTCTCCCTTCCCTTCCATGATGCTCATCTGTGCCAGGCCTGCAGGAACCTCAGAGCATCCCTGGAGGCATCTGTGGCATCCTGAGATAGCCTTAGGACCAGCTCCTAGCTCCTGACCAGGGCCCATTCCCTGAGCCATGAAGGAGGGTGTCCTGTTGCTCTGGGTTTTAGGGGAGTATCTGGTGCGCAAAGCCTTGCAGAGTGTGTTGAATGAATGAATGAACAAATGATGTATGTGATTAAGCGTTTTTTAAAATTCATTTCACAAATATCTGTGGAGCATCTTCTATGTATCTGACTGTGTTCTAGATCTTTTTTTTTTTTTTGAGATGGAGTCTTGATCTGTTACCCAGGCTAGAGTGCAGTGGTATGATCTCGCCGCACTGCAATCTCTGCCCCCCAGGTTCAAGAGATTCTCCTGCCTTAGCCTCCCAAGTAGCTGGGATTACAGGAACACGCCACCACGTCCAGCTAATTTTTGTATTTTTAGTAGAGATGGAGTTCCACCATGTTGGCCAGGTTGGTCTTGAACTCCTGACCTCAAGTGATCCACCCATCTTGGCCTCCCAAAGCACTGGGATTACAGGCGTGAGCCACTGCACCCGCCCTGTTCTAGATCTTGAGGTTACCGCAGAGAATAAAAATGTCAGATTCCTTCCTCTCATGTCACTTGCGTTATAGCTAGTGCAGGAAGACAGACAATAAATGAAATACATCAGGTGGTGATAAGTGCTCAGAAGAAAAAATAAAACAGGGAAGAGGGCAGTGAGTGATGAGGCGGGGTAGGTAGGGTGGGGTGGTAGGAAAAGCCTCTGATAAGATAAATTTGAACTGAAGGAGACCTGAAGTAAGTGAGCGGGTGAGCCTCGCAGATATCAATGGAAAGGGCATTCCAGGCAGAGGGCACAGCTAGTGCAGAGGCCCAGAGGTGGGAGTGTCCTTGGCATGTCTGTGGAAAAGCAAGGAGGCCCGTGGGGCTGGAGCAGCATCAGTGAGGGGGAGCATGGTGGATGCAGCAGGCAGGGGGGTGGCAGAGGGTGATCAGCAGAGCTTTGGCCATGGGAAGGACCTTGGATTTGCGTCTGAGTGAATTGAGAAGTCACTGAAGGGGCCCGGTGTTCCATAGGATTGCTTTGGCTGCTGTGTGGAGAGGAGCACGGGGAGGGTCCAGAGCAAAGGCAAGGAGGCCGTGACCCAGGACAGACGATGGGAGCTCAAGCTAGGACCACGGAGGTGGGAGATGGTTGAATCCCCAGTACATTTTGAAGATGGGTCACCAGGATTTGCTAGTGGGTTGGATGTGGGGCGGGACAGAAAGAGAAGAGTCCGGGATGCCTCCACAGTCTTTGGCTTCAGCATCCCGAAGGATGGAGCTGCCACTACCTGAGATGGGAAAGTTCCAGGAGGAGTGGGCAGGAGGTGGAGTCCAGAATTCTCAGAACAGTTAATTTATTTGTGTCTTCTCTTACGATCTCTTGTTTGGACAATAAAAATTCCTAAAAAAAAAAAAAAAAAAACCGGCAGGTGGGCCAGGAGTGGTGGCTCACACCTGTAATCCCCACACTTTGGGAGACCAAGGTAGGAGGATCACTTGAGCCCAGGAGGTGGAGGTTGCAGTGAACCATGATCTTGCCACTGCGCTCCAGCCTGGGTGATAGAACGCGATCCTGTCTCTTAAAAAAAAAAAAGAAAAAAGAATGGCAAGTGATGGAGGGGACAGCATGGGTGGGGGTTGGACTGGCTCACATGCCTGGCAGTCATCCCCCTACCCATCTCCAGCCAGGAGCTCCCCCGTCCCCACCCAAGCTGGGGCCTCTGCATTGGCTTATGGTGTAGGCGGAGGGGATCTTGCTGAGTGTTCATTTGTGGAGTTGCAGACTCTGCCTTAGAACTCCACAGCCGGAGCTCATGGCTTGTAGATTTATTCTTACCCCCTCATCTAGAGTGGAAGCTGCATGAGGGCAGGGACTTGGCTTTGTTCATTGCTGTTTGCCTGGTGCTAGGCAGATAGTAGGTGAACACATTAAAACTTCAAGTGAGGCTGGGCACAGTGGCTCACAACCTGTAATCCCAGCACTTTGGGAGGCCAAGGCGGGCGGATCACCTGAGGTTGGGAGTTCGAGACCAGCCTGACCACCATGGAGAAACCTCGTCTCTACTGAAAATAATAATAATAAAAAAATCAGCTAAGCATGGTGGCACATGCCTGTAATCCCAGCTACTCAGGGAGGCTGAGGCAGGAGAATCACTTGAACCCGGGAGGCGGAGGTTGTGGTGAGCTGAGATCGCGCCATTGCACTCCAGCCTGAGCAACAAGAACAAAACTCCATCTCAAAAAAAAAAAATCAAGTGAATAAAGGATGGGCGCGGTGGCTCACGCCTGTAATCCCAGCACTTTGGGAGGCTGAGGTGAGCAGATACTTGAGGTCAGGAGTTCGAGACCAGCCTGGCCAAGATGGTGAAACCCCGTCTCTACTAAAAATACAAAAAAGTTAGCCGGGTGTGGTGGTGCATGACTGTAGTCTCAGCTACTCAGGAGGCTGAGGTAGGAGAATCGCTTGAACCTGGGAAGCGGAGGTTGCAGTGAGCTGAGATCATGCCATTGCACTCAAGCCTGGGCGTCATTGCGAGACTCTGTCTCAAAACTACAAACAAACAAACAAATTCAAGTGAGCAAATTAATGGCTTTGAGGAAGCCAGCAGGCCAAGAAGGCCCAGGCTCCTTGCTGAGATTGGAAAGGGGCGTGCTCTGGCCCCTGCACTTGGGAGCTGCCTGCCCAGCCATGCTCTCTGCAGGGCCCCAGAAGATGTGGGACAAGCTGGGATGTCCACTCTGCCCTTTTTGACTTGTCTGTGTCCTCATTGGTCTCAGAGCCACTTCCCTGGGCACTGTGGTCAAGGGAAAGATGTGGGCTCAAAAGGCCCTGCCTTCAAGTCTTGGCCCAGCCCTGACTGGCTCTGTGACCTTGGGCAAGTTGCTTTACCTCTCTGAGCCTCAGTCAAATGTGAAATGGGGAGGCCTGCTTCCTGGTGGTTATGAAGTAACCAGGTGGATGCACCTTGCTCAGTGCCTGGAATGTGGCAGGTATTTGACAATCCGTGATTGCACTAAGTCTCGTTCCTGCTAAAGACAAGGCCGGTGGAATATCTGAGGCAGGGTTCCCAGGGCACAGCCGGGCACGCCTTCTCTATGACCCAGGTCCTGTACTGGGCTTGTTGAATGAATGGCTGTGTAAGGGGATTGTCCATTCCCTGGGCCTCTTTCGCAGTCTCAGAGCTCCGGGTGTAACTGCCTCTGATCTGTCACTGCCCCTCCTTCGCCTACCGAGGCCGCAGCTGTAGGACAGAGTCCATCCTTCCACCCTGATTGCTCCTTCCTGGACTGGGAGAAGGAGGGGGGCACACCCCAGGGTGTGGCCTGGGAAAGGCTGGAGTCTTTGGACGCCTTGTCCCCTTCCCAGATGTGTGCAGTTGGTGGGCTCTGAGCAACAGGAGGTGTGGCCAGGGGCTCCCATGGGTGCAGAAAGGATGTTCGTGCATCCTGAGGGTAGTGACAGTGGGGGGGGTGGGGGATGTCCTGGGACCCCATCCTAGCCCTGTCCCCCCCTGGCCTACACTGGAGGAGGCAGGACCTTGCCTGGGGAGCTCTGGGCCAACCTGCAGTTGGTCCTTACTTGGTGGGATGTGGGGCTGCTCGACTCTAAATCTGGCTCCCGTGGCCTCAGAGAAACAGCAGGACTCAGGAGAGAGAGACACACAGGCCTGGGGATCTCACCCCACCCCACCCTATGCTTTGGGCTTGGGCTGTTGGGTAGAGATGTGTCCCCCCTCCCCATCAGGCGGGTCACACCTAGGTGTTTTGTAACATTTGGCCTCTTTCCCCATCTTTCTCCCATCCCAGTCGGTGGGGAAGGGGAGGCCTGGCTGGGGCCTGAGCCTGGGGAGGACTTCAGAGGTGGCCTCGGGTCACTCCACAGATGCTTCTCCACGGGTGGGGCTGGGATTCCCAGCTGCCTCTGGCCCCTTCCCAGCCCACCTCCGGGTCCCTGCCACCACCTCCCCACTCCCTGCGCCTGCCCATGGCTCTCTCCCAGGAAGCCGGCTCCGGCCCCCACCTCCTGGTCCTGGCCTCCCCCTCCTAACTAACCCCAGCTGACTCAACCCTCTCCTTGTTTGGCGTTTCCAATTTTCAAATAGTTGGGAACTGGGATCATGCCTCTTCTTGGATCCCTTACTGGGCTGGATGGATTGAAATTCTGGCCTGATAAATCCCAGCCCTAGTGGCCTCTACTCTATCATTTTCTTTCTCTCTTTTTTTTTTTTTTTTTTTTTTTTTTTGAGACTGAGTCTCACTCTGTCTCCCAGCCTGAAGTGTAGTGGTGCGATCTCGGCTCACTGCAACCTCTGCCTCTCGGATTCAATAGCGATTCTTTTGCCTCAGCCTCCCTGGTAGCAGGGATTATGGATTACAGGCATGCACTACCACGCCTGGCTAATTTTTGTATTTTTAGTAGAGACAGGCTTTCACCAGGTTGGCCAGGCTGGTCTCAAACTTCTGACCTCAGGTGATCCACATGCCTCAGCCTCCCAAAGTGCTGGGATTGCAGGTGTGAGCCACCACGCCCAGCAGCCTCTATCACTTTCACGGCTCTTCACCCTTTCCTGCCTTTTGCCTTGCTATGACCCTTAGGCCAGAGGAACAGAAACCCAGGAGTTTCCTGGGGACAGACCAGTCTCTTCCCTGTCCTGGGACCTGCAGGTTCTCCTCCCCAGTGGCCTCAGTCACATAGGTCACCAGTCAATGTTCCCTGAGTGCTGACACCTTCTCATTAAAACTGCCACCCTCTTTAGAGCCAGGCCTCCCACTGGGCTCTTGCCAGGCATTATCGCATATAATACTCACAGCAATCTTTTGAAGTTGGCATTATATCTCCATTTTGCAGGGCAGGAAACTGAGGCATCAGGAGGGGGAGTTGGGGGCCAGATTCTCACTTGTAATCCCAGCACTTTGGGAGGCCTAGGAGGGCAGATTGCTTGAGGCTAGGAGTTCGAGAGCAGCCTGGCCAACATGGTAAAACCCCATCTCTACTGAAAATACAAAAATTAGCCGGGCGTGGTGGCTCATGCCTGTAGTGCCAGCTGCTTGGGAGGCTAAGGCAGGAGAATTGCTTCAACCCGGGAGGCGGAGGCTGCAGTGAGCCAAGACTGTCTCAAAAAAAAAAATAAAAATAAAAAAATAGAGGGAATGGCTGGCCCTTCATCCATCCAGTACGTGCCACACCTGGGAATGGAGCCCAGGTTGTCAGACTCCCAAGTCATCATTGTTTTCCTCAGTGGGTCCTGTTGTGTCCAGACAGAGGAAGTCTGGGAGGGCTGTGTGGAGAAGGTGGGTCCAGGCTGGCCTTGGCAGAGGGTTATAGGAGGCTGCATGTCTGCCACATGGGCTTTGCCAGTTCCTGCTTCACAGACTCGGGTGTCTTTTTACCCTTTGGCTTCCATTTCAACCCAGTGATAATGTTCCCCAGAGAGATGGATGTGACCTTCCCTGTGACTGAGACCCCTGGGAACCCTGATTCTTCTCAGTCAGGTCCCAAGCTCCCTGTGGGGCCTGCAGGTTTTGCCCTGTTGGGAGTTCAGTGAGTTTTGCTGAGCGGGGCCTGCTCTGAGCCAGCCCTGTGTCCCCCTCATACTGGGGGCTTGGGTGAAATGCAAGGCAGAGAAGCACATGGCTCAGCTGCGAGATGAAATCTACATCCAGGTCCCGCGTTGTGTTGTTTCAACAGCCCTGTGCAGTGGAAGCTTCAAGAATCCTTCCATCCATCCCTCTGTCCACTCATTTGTTCACATATTCAGCTAGTGCTGCCTGAGGACCTGCTGTGCGCCTGACATCGCGCTCATTGTTTGATCTGTGTTATCAATCCCCCTGTACATCTGGGGTTATGCCTCCATTTCCCAGATGAGAAGTAGCTCAGAGAGCAGGGAATAGTCAGGCGCAGAGGAAGGTAGAGGCTGCCTTCAGCGTCACCAGACCTCCTGGAAGAAATTGGAGGCATGGTCCCTACTCTCCGGATGCCTTGGATCTTGTTGGAGAGGCAGGACTCGTAAGCTATAAGTGCCCAACACAACTCAAAGTCCAGACAATAGCAGAGTGTCAGGGGAAGGAAAAGACTGATTGGGCATGAGTTATCTGGAAAGACTTTCTAGAGGAAATGGGGCTTAAAGAGCAAGTCTGATTTGGCTGGTAGAGGAGGAAAGCATTGTGGCAGGGGTCCAGGAGTTGTCCCCATTGTCCCTGGACTCACATTGTCCACATTGTTGTTGCATGTGCAAGAGCAGGAAGACACTCGCTTGCTGCCAGAGTCGTTAAGGTTGGGAAAGAATAAGAGGAAGTCCCCAAGATAGCTGAGGTGACATTCATTGCTGGTCAGACCAGGGAGGCAAGAGGTTAAGGCCTGGGCCTCCACTTGGTCACCAGTCAGCTACCATCTCTCCTCCCCGGGCCTCAGTTTTCCTACTCACAAGATGGGCTCCTTTCTTGTTTGTTGGCCGTCTTCCAAGCAGAAGAAAGGGACCCTGAGTTCTTGGAGAAAACTGCTCACTACCCCCCAAAAGTTGGTGGTGTTCCATTCTCTGGGGCCTGAGGGTGGTAGGCACCTCAAGGAGCCCACCATATCACCAATCCCATGTCTTCCTTCATTGACGCTATTGATTCCTTCCCCTGACACTGTTATTTTCTGGACTTTGAGTTGTGTTGGGCACTTATAGCTTACGAGTCCTGCCTCTCCAACAAGATCCAAGGCATCCGGAGAGTAGGGACCATGCCTCCAATTTCTTCCAGGATGTCTGGTGACGCTGGAGGCAGCTTCCACCTTCCTCTGCGCCTGGCTATTCCCTGCTCCATGAGCTACTTCTCATCTGGGAAATGGAGGCATAACCCCAGCTCCCAAGTGCCAGGCTCTGGGCTAGGGAAGCAGATGAAGGAGATGGCCCCTGTGCCCTAGACCTTGAAGCCTGTCCTGTCTTCTTGTGTAGCCCCAGAATCTCTCCTGCCGTGCTCTGTCCATGTCAGTTCACCTCTGCTCTTGGGTACCTGCTGCTAAGCTGACATCAGGGGCATTCATTGTAAATGTCTGTTTAGAAAGTGTGACTAGGAGTCACAAGATTCCTAAACTCTTACGTGATCCCAAGCCATTGAACTTCTTTGAGCTTAATTTTCCCCAGAAGCAAAATGGGACCGTTCATTCATTCGGCAAACATTCTCGGAGTGACAGCGGTATGCGAGGCCTTGTGTTGGATCTAAACACCACCGTGGGCTTATGGAGCTTGTGGTCTGATAGGGGAGAGAGGCTGAGTGGTGGGCCAGCTGGTAAAGGAGTAGGGAGAAGGAGGCTACATTCAAGGAAGACACTCGAGGACTATAGCAGGATTTCAGGGCCACCAGACCTCTGGGAGATCTCTTGAGTCTTTGTGACTTGGTCTCAGCACTCATTTGTGAGTCTGTTTCCCTTGCAGTGAGCCTGTGGGAGGAGAGGACCTGGGAGCCAGCTCCCCTGGGTGAGGGCAGGGGGAGGGCCCACAGCAGCAGAGAGAAGGGCAGGCCGATTTTATCGTGAGTCTCAGATGAGCTCATGGATGTGCAAAATAGCGAGGGCTATTTATGTTGAGTCTGGTTATTTTATTTTATTTTTTTTTTTGAGACGGAGTCTTGCTCTGTCGCCCAGGCTGGGGTGCAATGGCATGATCTCGGCTCACTGCAGCCTCCGCTTCCTGGTTCAAGCGATTCTCCTGCCTCAGCCTCCCGAGTAGCTGGGATTACAGGCGCCCGCCATTATGCCCAGCTAATTTTTGTATTTTTAGTAGAGATGGGGTTTCACCATGTTAGTCAGGCTGGTCTCGAACTTCTGACCTCAGGTGATCCGCCTCCCTTGGCCTCCCAAAGTGCTGGGATTACAGGTGTGAGCCACCGTGCCCGGCTGAGTCTGGTTATTTTCATTTAGGAGAAATGGAAGCTGCCAACAGAGCCCAGGTTTGGGGTTCCCTGGCATTGAGTGGGTTAAATGAAGGGCGCAGTCTTGGGGTGCCTGCTTTTCACTTTCCTCCCTCTTTTTTCCCTCCCCGCCTTCTGGGGTCGGGGTGGGGGCGGGATGGGGGAAACATCAGCTCAAGCCTGGATTCGACTTGAGGAAATGGGAGGAAAGGGTTAATTAAGTCAGTCTGGCTTCCCACCTCCCTGGTAGGGGTCGAGGAGGGGGTACTGGGATGGCTAGGGCAGGAATGTGTGATAAGATCAAAGCTTTCAGCCGGCCTGGGCCCCACCTCTGGTTTCACCTGAGCAATTGAAGGGAATTCTCTAGCTGGGAGGACTGTGGCCTCCTAGGCAGGGGGGTTTTAGGCAGGGCCACCTTCCTCCAAGAGGCTCCACCTTACGTTGGCTTCAGGTGCTTCCTCCTTCCCCCCACACCTCCACCTCATCTCCCAGAAGACCCACCTTGTGCCCTGACAGGTACTAGAAGCCCCAGGGGCCACCTTTACTTCATACTTCAAGTGGTGGGGGGATGCACCCTCTCTAGCAACAGGACTCTCTCCTGCTCCCTCCACTGCCCTCTCATAGTTTGGGTTTCTAAGCCCAGGACACTTGGTTTTAGAAAGACCAGGAGGACCCTGGCTAAGGAGCTGAAAGGCTTCAGACCGCCCAGAAAAGAGCCCAGAGCCGCCTTGCTGTGGCTGTTAGCTCCCGTCCATCAATTCCGCACCGTTTCATTCTGCAGGTTGCACTTTGGGACAGTGTCATAGGCAGGAGGCATAGCCCTGAGGCCTATCCTAGCTTCATCACTGATTGCTGTGTGACCCTGGGCGGGTGAGTTCGCCTCTCTGAGCCTCCTCTGTCAGGTGGGAATGGCAATTCCTACACTGCAGGGTTTTGGTGAAGATTAGAGATCATATAAATAGCCTACAGCTGGAATGGGCAGTTGATAAATAACGGGAACTATTATTTTGTGATTTTATCTTTCCTCCTTCGAGAGAGCCCCTGGTACTTGGTCCTAGATAAACCTCTGGGTCTCAGTTCTATTGTGTCGTCCCCCTGCAACCCCACCTGCCACCTCACCCCCGCTATGGGAAGGCCCTAAGTCCCAGAGTCCATCCTCTCCTCCAACACTCTTTTCTTATGGGATCTTCATAATGTTGGGAGGGGAGCAAGGTGGGAAGGAGTGTGAGTGCAGGGGGCCGAAGGCTCTGTAAATGCTCTCAGGGACCTTCCCTAGGGATAGCAGGTTGAGCCTTCCTGGACAGCTGGTGGTCCAAGCTTTCCCTCTCCACTGCCAGAGGCCTCACCAGGCCAGCTGGGCTTAACAGAAGTGGCCCCAGGACACACTCAGTAGGGAGGAGCGGATGCTGGGGGTGCCGCAGCCCGGGCTTCTGCCTGCTTTCCACACTGGCTCTGCGCTGGTTAATGATTACTCTGAGTGAGCAGGAGAGCAGCAGAGGGGACCCTCCCAGCCCCTTAACCACTGGTTGCACCCGAGGTATGTCAGTAGTCCGGTGTTCCCTGCTTTAATGTGGCAGCCTGCTCTGGGGTATGCGGGGCAGGGAAGCAGGGGCTTGGAGTCACATATTGACAGGTAGCTTGTGCACCTGGGGTCCCGGAGACAGTCTTAGGGCCCACAGGGTCTAGGTGCAATGTGAACTCTGGTATAGTAACAGGCCCTGTGGTTTGGTGGCAGCTGTATGAACAGATCCTGCAATAATACACAAGGCAAGGAAGCCGCTTCTAGCACAGAAAATCCTGCACTCCTCCTCTCCCAGGCTCAGACCCTGCACAGGAGTCCTGATGATTAGGGCTTTGGGGCAGCTGAGCTTGGCTTCCAACCCCCAACTCTGCCAGTTCTGGGCTGTATGACCTTGGGCAAGTCACTTTACCTTTCTGAGTGGCTGCTTTCTTATCTGAAAGAAGAGAATGCTAATCCCTACTTTGCAATGGCAGCGAGCCACTGGGAGGGAGGTATTTAGTTCACAATTAATACCTGGGGAATGGCAGCAATTGTTATATTACTGTTATAGTTTTTGTTATTAGGAGAAAGGGAAATTGAATCTTCGTCTTGGGTAACCAGGGTGACAATGGCCGTTGGGGATGAGCTGGAAGATCTGCCCGGGGGAGGAGGCATAGGCAGATCCCAGACACATGTTTGAAGAGGGCATGTAGGAAAGGGCTGGAAGGATGAAGAGAACAGGGGCTTAGCAGAGATCTCAGCCACGCTAGGCCCACCTCAGACCTCTCAGCCTGGATTCCTCCCTGGGCTGGGTCCTGCTGCTGGCGAAGTCCAGGAGTGGGGGAGGAGGGAGAACTGTTTTATTTTGATAACATTAGGGCATTTTCCCCTACTGGCAGCTGCTATTTTGAGAGCCCCGGAGAGCAGGGGCTATGGTTAAATTAGGTAATGTTGCTCCAACAGGAATGTGTGAAGCAGGCAGGCTGAGGTTGCAGAGAGAGTACGGTCAGTTCACTCCATATAACATTAAACTGCAGCCTGGAAAAGAGCAGCTTGGACCACTTTATAAGGCGATGTGGGGGGAACCACTGGAAGCTGCTGCTAGTGGAGTGAAAGTGATGGCCCAGCGCCTCTTTTTAGGGAGCCTGGGCCTCTGCCCGGAGGCCTGGCTGACCCAGCAAGGAGCCGGTGACTGGCCTGAGGGGCAGAGCTGGGGTGTCTTCAGCTCCACGCCTGTGGCTGCTACTCGAGGCGGGTGGGGTTTAGGGTGGGGTGATGCATGAGAAGGGTGACTTGGCAGACTTGGCCTTGAATCCTGCCTCTGCCTCTTTCTAGCCTTCTGTGCTTGGGCAAACCCCTCAACCTCAGTGGACCTCAGTATTAGCAGCAGTGGAAAAACAGTTCCAGCCACGCACGGTGGCTCACGCCTGTAATCCCAGCACTTTGGGAGGCCAAGGCTGGCGGATCACTCGAGGCCAGGAGTTCGAGACCAGCCTGGCCAACATGGTGAAACCTCATCTCTGCTAAAAATATGAAAATTAGCTGGGTGTGGTGGTGCATGCCTGTAATCCCAGCTACCTGGGAGGCTGAAGCAGTAGAATCGCTTGAACCCGGGAGGCGGCAGTTGCAATGAGCCAAGATTGTGCCACTGCACTCCAGCCTGGGCAACAGAGCGAGACTCTGTCTCAAAAAAGAAAAAACAGTTCCAGTCCCTTAGGAGAATTTCTTATAGATCAAATCACAAGAAACAAAGGCATAGCTCACTTTTACGGAGGGCCTACTGTGTGCAGTAATCCCTTTATGTTCTTATAACTCCGAGGATGGTCCAGGCACTAGCAGCCCGGGCCTCAACTGGGAGCTTGTCAGAAATGCAGAGTTTCAGGCCCCCTTGGACCTACTGACTCAGAATCTGCACGCCGACAAGATCTCCAAGTGACTCATGTGCTCGTTAAAGCTGGAGAAGGGCTGCTTTCCGTCTGCTGTCTCATTTCATCCTGAAAACCACCCCTGGAGAGATGACTGCCATAGAAACTCCATCAATGCTCATACTCTTCCCAGATTCTTCCCTTCTTCCCTTTCTTTGGTCCAGGTGGGGGTTCAGTGAAGAATAGGGTGTCAAAGCCCCTGACAGGACTGAAGAAAGTTGAGAGTATTACTTGCTTTTGAGACTTTTTTTTTTTTTTTTTGAGACAGGGTCTTGCTCTGTCACCCAGGCTGGAGTGCAGTGGCACAATCTTGGCTCACTGCAACCTCCGCCTCCTGAGTTCAAGCGATTCTCCTGCCTCAGCCTCCCAAGTAGCTGGGATTACAGGTGCACACCACCACACCCAGCTAATTTTTGTATTTTTAGTAGAGACGGGGTTTCACCATGTTGGCCAGGCTGGTCTCAAACTCCCGACCTCAAGTGATCCGCCAGCCTTGGTTGCTCAAAGTGCTGGGATTACAGGCCTGAGCCACTGCGCCCAGCCCCTTTGAGACTTAATCAGACTCTCTTGTTTCCATTCACCTGCAGGCTCGGCACAGCTGGACAAAGGTCATTTCCCCAAAGTCATTCCATGCTGCCTGCCTTTGGGGAAAGATGGGGGCAGGAAAGCGGTTCTCTACTGACATGGCCTGTAGGGCGGGCAGCAGCAGCCACTGCCCTATAGATCAGAGGAGAGGGGGAGGAGCCCAGTGGGGAGGGGAATCAGAGAGGGGTGGCCCTGGACTTAGTTAGGGTTCTCCCATCTATCACTGGTACATCTGGGACTGAGACGGTCTAGGAGCAAATATTTGGAGAACGCTGACTATGTGCCCAGCCCTGGGGAAGTATCCTCAATTTCCCCTAATTCTGTAGACCCTTTATTATTCAGAAATAAAGCTCCACAACTGTTAATACAATTTATTTAGTATGTAGCATGTGCCACACACTATACTGAGCACTTGAGTTGCATTAGCTCTTTGATCTATTTAATTTCACCATCACTTCCCTCCTCTATAGAATGAGGGTGGTAATAATAATACCGATCTTGTGGGGCTGTTGGGAAGATAACTCAATGTTTGTCAAGTATATGGCACATAGTGTTAAATAAATATAGTAAGTACAAATAATCTCCCAATAAGGCAGGTACTATTATTGTCCCACCCCTCCTTTTTTTTTTTTTTATTCCCACAGAGTCTCACTTTGTTGCCCATGCTGGAGTGCAGTGGCGCCATCTTGGCTCACTGCAACCTCTGCCTTCCAGGTTCAAGTGATTCTCCTGCCTCAGCCTCCCAAGAAGCTGGGACTACAGGTGTGCGCCACCACACCCTGCTAATTTTTGTATTTTTAGTAGAGACAGGGTTTTACTATGTTGGCCAGGCTGGTCTCGAACTCCTGACCTCAGGTGATCCGCCTGCCTCGGCCTCCCAAAGTGCTGAGATTACAGACGTGAGCAACTGCACACGGCCTGTTGTCCCATTTTACAGAGGTACACATTGAAGTTCAGTGCAGGGAAGGGTCTGGACTCCTCTGCTGGGATCACAGGAGGCTCGGGAAGAGCCATAAGAAATTGAGTCCTCAAACTTATAAGCCAATATTATAATTCAGTTCAACATAGTAAGTATTTGTTTATTATCCCCTAGCTGCTGGACATTAGGAAGTATCTAAAGGTTGAATATATACATATGTTTAAAAGATGAAAAAAAAAAACTTGGTGTCTGTCCCCAAGGAGCTTTGGTTCCAGCAGGAGAGAAGAGACAGTAACTCAAGTGATTATAATTAAGACTGAATCTCTAGTGTTCTGAGGTAGAAATTAAGTCCACATATTTGTAGGGAGAAGGATGTCTTTATAGGGGTTCCAAAAAGTCTTTAGAGTGGAGGTGGTGATTGAGTGGGCCTTGAAGGATGGATGAATAGATTAGCTCGAAGGGCATGGGAACAGCATTCCAAGAAGAGGGAACCACATGACTAAAGGCCTAGAGGCAGGCAAATGTGCCCTGTGTTACCCTGAGTGGGTGTCGTCCAGTTCTTAGGAGCCTCAGGGGGCTGATGGGTGGAGAAGTCCAAGCCCAGCTTTTTTGCCATTGAAGATTCTCAGTGTTCTTAAAGACATGGCTTCTCGACCAACTGGGACTGTTCCATCCCCATTCTGCCCTGTCTTTTATTTTTATTTATTTATTTATTTATTTATTTATTTATTTATTTATTTATTTACTTTTGAGACAGGGTCTTGCTCTGTCACCCAGGCTGGAATGCAGTGGCACGATCATGGCCCACTGCAGCCTCGACCTCCTGGGCTCAAGTGATCCTCCCATCTCAGCCTCCCGAGTAGCTGGGACCATAAGCACACACCACCACACTTGGCTGATTTTTGTATTTTTCATAGAGACGGGGTCTCGCCATGTTGCTGAGTCTGGTCCCAAACTTCTTGGGCTCAAGCAATCCACCTGTCTCAGCCTCCCGAAGAGCTAGGATTACAGGCATGTGCCACCGCGCCCAGCCATTCTGCCCTTTCTTAGTGTGAAAAAATCAAAGACCTTTGTAAACAGGCGGTCAGAACTTCTGGTCAGCGTGTGATAACTGGTGTAGCTGACAGAATTCAGGCCAAAAGCAGACAGACTTGATATCTTGATTAACGAGGCAGCCTTATCACCACACATGTTCGATTTCCGTTAGCCGTTTCCAGCCTTGACAATAACCATGGGTGGGGAGCCCTGTGGCAGAGCCAGGCCTGGTTCCGATTTTGCCTCTGCAGCCTACAGCTGTGCAGCCTTGGCAAACCTCAGTTTCCTCCTTTGTAAAATGGAGATAGCTCCATCTCCAGCCTTGGCCTAAGGATCAATGATGGTATAATCTGCACTGTCTGATATGGTAACTGCTAGTCACACGTGACTATTTAATGCAAAATTTAAAATTAAATAAAGTTTTAAATAAAAATTCAGTTTCTTTTTTTTTTTTTTGAGATGGAGTCTCGCACTGTCGCCTGGGCTGGAGTGCAATGGCGCAATCTCGGCTCACTGCAACCTCTGCCTCCTGGGTTCACGCAATTCTCCTGCCTCAGCCTCTGGAGTAACGGGGATTACAGGCACACACCACCACACTGGCAATTTTTTTTGTGTTATTTATTTATTTATTTTTATTTTTTTTAAGACAGAGTCTCGCTCTGTTGCCCAGGCCGGAGTGCAGTGACACAATCTCGGTTCACCGCGAGCTTTGCCTCCAGGATTCATGCCATTCTCCTGCCTCCTCCTCCCGAGTATCTGGCACTACAGGTGCACGCCACCACGCCTGACTAATTGTGTTTTTGTATTACTAATAGAGACAGGGTTTCACCGTGTTAGCCAGGATGGTCTCGATCTCCTGACCTCATGATCCACCCGCCTCGGTCTCCCAAAGTGCTGGGATTACAGGCGTGAGCCACCGCACCCAACCAAATTTTTTGTATTTTTAGTAGAGATGGAGTTTCACTATGTTGGCCAGACTGGTCTCCAACTCCTGACCTCATGATCTGCCCGCCTCAGCCTCCCAAAGTGCTGGGATTACAGGCGTGAGTCACCGTGCCAGGCCTTTTTTTTTTTTTCTTCTTCTTCTTTTCTTTTTTGAGATGGAGTCTTGCTCTGTCACCCAGGCTGGCATGCAGTGGTGTGATCTCGGCTTACTGCAACCTCTGCCTCCCAGGTTCAAGCAATTCTCCTTCCTCAGCCTCCCGAGTAGCTGGGATTACAGGCACACACCACCACGCCCAGCTAATTTTTTTTATTTTTAGTAGAGATGTGGTTTTACCATGTTGGCCAGGCTGGTCTCGAACTCCTGACCTCAGGTGATCCGCCCACCTCGGCCTCCCAAAGTGCTGGGATTATAGGCGTGAGCCACCATGCCCGGCAAAAAATTCAGTTTCTTGATGGTACTAGCCTCATTTGAAGCGCTTAGTAGCTATCTTATTGGATGAGTGCAGGCACGCAACATTTCCATTGCACCAGAAAGTTCTGTCGGAAGCGCTGTGTATGTTAAGTGCTGGGTATTGCTGGAAGGAGTTGCTGTGGTCATTATCCCTGGTTCCCTGTCCCATATTGGAACCGTTCCAGCTCTCATTGGTTCTTCTTGCTGCTCCTCTCTCTGCTGGGCTCTTCCTGCTTTCTTCTCGGCAGCCTCTCACTCTCCCTTTGCCTGACCACACCCATAATGTGAAAAACTCCATGACTTGCCTTCATCCAGCTCCTCTGCCCCTGTTATTTTCCCACGTGCTCCCTGCAGCCTGTCTGCATATCTGCCCTTTCAGCTGCTGGCATCTGGAATCTCCATGTCCGGGCTCCGAAATTCCCACTACCCATTCCCAGTGGGAGAAGGGGAGGAGGCCTCCCCTGGCAGTCCCTAGTCCCCAGCTCCCAGCAGAGGTGCCGGCTGCCTGGGCCCCTTAGCGGTGTAGAGATGATGGTTTGTTGTGACGGGGGCACCCTGCCCGCTCTAACGCGCCCGTATCAGGGCGCCAAGTGTGCTGTTTGCACTTGGCTGGGCCTCACGATCTGGCCGGGTGCCCGTGAGGGCTGGCCCGCTGGCACCCTTGGTAACAAAGGTAACAAAGGCCAATCATGGACCCTCCGCCTGGTCAGGAACATAAGGAGCCGGTCCTGGGCTGGGCCCTGGGGGTGAGGGACGTCTGACACCCAGAACCAGAGTGCAGGACAGAGGCCGTGGCTGTGGCTGGGCTCTGGGTGCTGAGTGGGACAAGGCCCAGGCAGGCATAGGCAGGATGTGAGCTTTTGGGGGTCAGGCAGGTGGTTGCTCTGGGCAGTTCAGGTGGGCAGGGTCTGCACCTGGCATTCACACCTGCCCGGGGAGGAGCTTTGGCCTGAGATGCCAGAGAAGCTCAAGGTCACCTCCCAGCACCATCCTTTCTCCTCCCCTTCCTTTTGGGGAGGAGAAAGTCATCTGCGAAGTGGATGGAACAGGCATCTCTAGCCCATGAGTGACAAGGACATTGAGGCCCTGCAAGGAGCTGCAGCTGGTCTGAGATCACATGGCCAATCCCTGGAAGAATCAGAGCTTGGACTCAGACACCTGCGCTTTTCTACCTTTCTGCTCCTCCCCATGGGAGTTGTGAAGCCAGTCGTCCCTGGACACCTGGCTATGGAGGGTCAGATCCTGGCCCTGCCAGATTCTCCTCCGGGGGATAGAGACAATTACACCTAGCTCTCAGGGCAGTCATGGGGGTTAGATAACCGGCCTCCTGGCTGTTTTCCAAAACATTCTGAGGCTCCTCCTGCCTCTGGGGTCTTTATAGATGCTGCTCCTGGTGCCTGGGTGCTCTTCCTCTAAGTATGCACCTGACTTGCTCTGTCAGCATCACCCTCCATACCCAGGGAAATAGCAACCCTCAACAGGCCACTCCCCGTCCCCTCACCCTGCTGTATTTCCTTTTCAGCACTCTCACCATTTGACATGTATATTTGGGGTATTAATTTATGGTCCATCGGTCTCCAAGTAGACGGTCAGCACCAGCAAGGGCAGAGAACATTGTGTGGCTCATAGTACCTGCTCCTATAATGATTACTGTTTTTTCCCCCTTCTCTTTCTAATACTTCCCAATACCTAATAGCCACTGTTTACTGGGCCCTCTCTACACACCAGATCCTGGGCTAAATGACTCACAGCTTAGCGCCACAAATTTCACAGGTTCCTGTCACAGGCTGCTGTCACTTTTGTATTAGAATTGAGGGCGGAAGGCACTGCAGTGCCTTACCCAGAGCCACCCAGCTGGCAAGCGGCAGAGCCATGCCTCCGGCTGGGTTAGTCCCACCCAGAACTCACACTGTACTGCCTCTTGTGTTGGGTTTATGAGATCAGAGCCTTCATCCAAACTGGGGACTCAGAATCCACGTATGATGGGATTGGATGGATCAGATTTGGGGGTAGCTCTCAATCTTTTGGGGGTTCCCCTTCTAGCCTTCTCCTCCTTCCCTGTGCCCAGCACACATTTCCTAGGATGGCTCCTTCCCTGGGATTGGTCAGTTAGTTACAGCCGGGCTCACTGCCCCAGAATGACAGGTACCCTTTGGCTGGGGGGACCCAGCAGCTAACCTAAGGCCTGGGGGTTGGGCAGGGAGCAGAGAGTGGGTCCAGGTTCCTGGCTGTCCGTGGGCTGTCTGAGGGCAGGTGGACAGGATGTTCCCTGGGGCAGCAGACATTCCTGGTCGAAGGTGACAGGCAGCGGGGAGATTTACCATTTCCGGTAACCCGAGTCCCTGGGATGTCGCATTCTCTTTGCCAAGGACACGGCATCCCTCCCTTGCCAGCCCTTCCTGCCATTTCCTAGGCTGGGCCTGTCTGACTGGGGCTTGAAGACAGGCTGGAGGGACCAGCTCTGGGTGCCAGAGGTTGAGACTGAGGGCTCTGGCCCTGATTAGCACCCCCACAAAGACCTAGCCCATTGCCACCCTCCCAGAGGCCTCATCTGTGTAGCCCCTTATCCTGGCCTTTGAGAATCCTTGCCCCAAGGAGAGGAGGAGGTGGCTTCGTGAAAGGTAAATGACCCTTTGTTAGGAACCAAGAGGCTGGGTCCTGGATCTGCCTCTGCCAATCGAGTTGCTGGGAGGCTCCTCTCTCTTCTCACGGCTGCCCAAAAGCACCATTCTTAACACTCTGTATACATAATCCAGCTTTTTTTTTTTTTTTGAGCTAGAGCCTCACTCTTTCGCCCAGGCTGGAGTGCAGTGGTGCAATCTCAGCTCACTGCAACCTCCGCCTCCCGGGTTCAAGTGATTCTCCTGCCTCAGCTCCCCAGGTAGCTGAGATTATAGGCACATGCCACCATGCTGTGCTAATTTTTATATTTTTAGTGGAGATGAGGTTTCACCGTGTTGGCCAGGCTGGTATCAAACTCCTGATCTTAAGTAATCCGCCTGCCTCGGCCTCCCAAATTGCTGGGGTTACAGACACAAGCCACTGCGCCCAGCAATAATTATTAATCCAACATTATGGGGGTATGGGAGGCACAAAAATGAGGCTCAAAGTGATAAAGTTCCCCAGCAGCCGGAAGTGTCAGAGATGGGATTGAACCCAGGCCCTCCAAGTCTGGTTGGTTCCCCATAACATGCTCACTTCCCTTCTTTGGGATTTGGTTTCCCCATCTGATAAGTGAGGGTGTTGGCTAGGTGATCCCTCCCAGCTTGGACAGTACAGGATCCAGGAATGCATTGGAACCTTTTGCAGGCAGGTTTCTCTTGTGTCTCATTCTCCCCGGGGGTCTTTGGAGAGCTCACTCACTTGGTGTGTGAGCTCTGGGGTGGATAGGACTGGGAGAGAAGGAAGAAGTGGTACTTACACCTCGTAAGTGCCTGATACTAGCACTTAGGTTGTCCTGTTGAATTCTGACGGCAGCCTTGTGAGGGGGTCATTTTTATTCCCATTTTACAGATGAAGACACAGAGGCTCAGAGAGGTCAAGTGATTTGCCCAGGGCCACACAGCTAGGAAACTGCCAGGCTAAAGTGTCCAGTCAACAGTTAACAGTGGTATGGGGTGGCATGTGCCCAACACACATTTCCTAGGATGGCTTTGACTTATTAATAAAATATGATAGATATAGTAGTCATCGCAAAAAACTATCAACGTGTCTCAGAGATTTGAATACCTCTGCATCCAAACTTCACCTCCCAGGCTGCCTCTGACACTCAGAAGTAGCCCAGAAATCCTTTATTTAGTGGTTTCTTGATTTCTGCTTTGGAAAATATGGTCAGTTGTAATTATGGGTATGTGAGAGTTCAGAGGAGAGAGAGCTGCGTGGGCTGGAGCGGGCTGGAAAGGCTTGGCACCGAACTGGGAGTGGAGCTGGGCTGGCCGGCAGCTGAGGGGGCTGAGATGGGCTGGGGTGGGCCAAGCTCACAGCCTCCAGGGACGTTTCCTGAAGGGCCTGCAGTGGGGCTGTGCACCAGGGAAATTGCAAGCCTCTTCAGGACTCCCTCCCTCCCGGCCCTGCACCTCCCCACGGGGGCCCTGGAGCAGGCCAGGCTCCAGTTAAGGCATGTTCAGCCCCAGACCTTTGCTCCGGCCTCTCCACCCAGGCTTCCCAGGGAACTGGGTAAAGGGCTGTGCTATGGGACAGCGAGGCCAGGCACCCTGAGGCTTGAGCAGTTGACAGCATGAGGACTAAGATGACCCCAGCCAGCCCGCCCACCCCCTCCACACCCCCACTCCCTGCCTGCTCTGGGGCCCTTGGCCCTGAGGCCTCAGCAGCTGTCAGCAGGGAAGGGTGACAGAGGAGGGCCAGAGGTGACTTCCCAGCCTGCCCATTCTCCCCCTGCTTGGGCCAGGCCCAGAGCTCTCCCCAGCTGTTGTCAGCAGCTGTGGAGCTTTGTTCTGGGGCCAGCTCTGGGTAGCCCCCTCCTCCCAGTACATCTTCCCACCATCCTTCACAGCTGCTGCCCTTGGGGAGGGGCTGGGGCTAGTGTGGGAGACAGAGTCACATCTTTGGTTCCTTTGATCCTACCAACGACCTGAAGAAGAGGAATTCATGCCCTTGTTTTTATGGAAGAGAAAACTGATTCAGAGAGGCCAAGCAACTTGCTTGAAGTCACACAGCTTAGTGGCTGACTTCAGGCTCCTGGCTCCCCACCCAGTGCTCTCCGACTGCCTTTCTTCAATGTGCATTTGGCGCAGGATGCCAGGGGCTTCAGGGCTCCTGGGCTTGACTCCCAGCTTGGCCATTTGCGACCTCAGGCGAGCTGCTTAACCACCTGGACTGGAACTCCCGTTTTCTTGCTTGTGAAATAAGATAATGGTACCGACCTCTTGGGACTGTTGAGCAAATTAAATCAGATAATTAACATCAGGTACTTAGCATAAGGCTTGATGTGTTCTTTGTGCTCAAGCTGAGAGCTGGCAACGTTACCATCGAGGGTATTAACCACCTGTGTGCCTGGCATTCTGGGTGGTTCTATGGAGGCTACAGACACATTCTTTAAATATTTGTATCAGTCAGTAAATATTTATTTGGCACCTACTGTGTGCCAGGTGCTAGAAAAAGGGCAGCGACAAAACAGACCAATTCCCGTTCCTGCTTATATTCTGCTTCACAAAGTGGCTGGAGAGACACTACTCATCCTAACCATGGAAGCCTCTGGAGTGCTTTCACACACTGGGATTCACATCCATATTTTGCAGATGAGAAAACTGGGACCCAGAGAAGATCGATGGCAGAGTTGAGCCAGGACCCAGCTTTTCTGAGGGTCTCAGGCAGTGCTGCTGAGCACAGGAGGCAGCCCTGTGGGCTTCCTGGAGGAGGCATTTTGTGCTGAATCTTACAGGGCCTCAGGGCCTGGCAGGGGAGGTGGGGAACAGTACAGGATGCAGCCACCACAGTCTGGGCAGGAACAATTTCAGGAAGGTCTTACGGAGGGCAAGGCCTTTTGTTCCCCAGGGAGGAGGCCCAGTCAGAGCTTTAAATACCCCGTGCAGCCCAGAATAGCCCCCATTGTGTTGGTCTGCAGCTGGGGGACCCAGGGAGGAACCAACATCGCCATGGAGGATCCTGAGGGGGCTGATTCTGGCAGATTCTGGAGGTGGGGCGGGGAGGTCTTCAGGCACTTCCCTATATGGTGCGGTGGCATTTCTGTGGAAGGCTTTTCTAGTCTGGCTCAGGCAGGAAGGCCTGCTTTGTGGGAAGGGTGGAGCAGCAGCTCAAGTTCTGCGTGAGCAACGTGCAGCTGAGGGGGGAGCCTGGTGGGTGGGGGACTCCCAGGGACGGCTCTGTGCCTGACTGAAGGTGCCTCTTTGTGCACCAGAGGTATGTGTGCATTGGCCCACTGGGCCCTCCTGTAGGTGGGCCTAGCCCAGGCCCTTGCCAGGGCCTCTTGGCACCCTCTCCTGCTCTAGCTATTTTGGGCACTGGCTGTGTTCGGGTTTGGGGAGTGATGGGTAATCCTGCCTAGACCAAGGCTGCTGGGGTGAGGTTGGTGGGGTACTGACTGGACTGCCATTCCAGCTCCCTGAATCTTTGATCACTGTAGCCTCTGCCCCTGGCTTCAGCTTCAAAGGGTCATGGTCAGCAGACTCTGAGGGGATGCCAGCCCCACTGATGAGGCAGAGAAGGGTGCCAGACAAGCCTGTCCCTTGGGACATTCCCTGCTCTCAGTATCAGGGATAGTTGTGCTTTTTCTAAGCAACTGGTTTGTTTTTACATTGTGAGACATGGAATCTAGGGACTGGTCAGGTTTCCTTCTTCCCATTGGCTGCTGGCAAGCTCAGGGCCACATGAGTTGTCCCTTTCCTAGATCTCTGGGATTCAGCATGTGCTCTCTGTCTGCTTGCCTCACTCCAGGCTCCATCTGCCTGCCCTGCCTGAGTTTTTCTTATATTTCTTTAGTTAATATTCTCTTGGCTGTTAAGTGTGCATCTTTGTAAGCTGTCTGCAGCCTTTTTGGAACAGGGCAAGAGGGGAGGTATAAATGAATGATGAGGATGATGGTGATGATGACCCTTTGCTCAGCGGGTCTCTGCAGCCTGACTCCTTCTGGCTCTGTCCTGACATTGTTTCTGTTTTTGTTTTTTGAGATGGAGTCTCACTCTGTCGCCCAGGCTGGAGTGCAATGGCGCCATCTTGGCCCACTGCAACCTCCACCTCCCGGGTTCAAGCGATTCTCCTGCCTCAGCCTCCCAAGTAGCTGGGATTACAGGCATGTGCCACCATGCCCGGCTAATTTTTGTATTTTTTAGTAGAGACGGGGTTTCACCATGTTGGTCAGGCTGGTCTCGAACTCCTGACCACCAGTCCCAAAGTGCTGGAATTATAGGCGTGAGCCACCGCACCCAGCCTGTCCTGACTTTGTAATCCCCTCCTTTAGCCCTGTTCCTTTTGCAGGTGGGACACAGCCTAGAATTTTAGAATCCTAATGTTTTAGAGTGTCAGTGCTCTAAAATATCAAAACCAGAGGAAGCTTTGGGGTCGTTTAAGTTGATGGCTTTCAAACTCATTAAGCAGTGAGACCCTTATTTTAATCAAAATAACAAAGATAATCACAGCAAACACTTTTTTTTTTTTAACAGCCCAGAGGTCTTTTTTTTTTTTTAAATACCTATTATGCCGTGAATTCATAGAGAATAGGTTCCAGCAGCTCAGGCTCCTTCCCATTGGTTCTCACAAAGTGTGCTTTGCTGGGTGGAGCAGGCTGGCGCTTTAGTTGAACCCAGGTACCTTTCTCTTTGGCTTCTCTCTTTTTCTGATCATTCTCCTTCACGCGTTTCAGGAAGCTATCTCGGCTCTCAGAGTGCTTAATGTGCTCAATACGCACATTAATTCTCTTGGCAAGAATCTTGCCCTTAACTTGTTTGTTTACAACAATGCTAGCAGCATACTGGATAACATTGTAGACTCTTCCAGTTTTGCCATGGTAACACTTGTGGGGCGTTCCTTTTTGAACAGTACCCATTCCCTTGATGTCTACAATATCACCTTTCTTATAGATTCGCATATACGTGGCCAAAGGAACAACTCCATGTTTTCTAAAAGGCCTGGAGAACATCTATTGGGTGCCTCTCCTCTTTCCCTTTGTGTTCGTCATTTTGGCGAATTACTGGAAGATGGCGGTTCCGGCCGAAAGGCAGCAAACACTTATAGAACATTCACCATGTGCTGTGTTATCTGTAGCATTTTACATCTGTATTTAACCCTCACAACAGCCGTATGAGATAGATATTATTACTATGAATGATCGTGCCCATTTTACACATGAGGAAACGGAGGCACAGAGAGGAGAAATGACTTGCTCATGGCCTCACAGCTAACCAAGGGCTGAACCAGATATTTATGTAGGTGAGAATATAGAAAGGAAAGAGGTGGATTTGTAGCCGGGCACAGTGGCTCATGCCTGTAATCCCAGCACTTTAGGAGGCCGAGGCAGGAGGATCGCTTGAAACCAGGAGTTCGAGACCAGCCTGGGCAACATAGCGAGACCTCATCTCTACAAAAAATAAATTAGCCAGATGTAGTGATGTACACCTATACTCCCAGCTACTTGGAAGGCTGAGGCAGGAGGATATCTTGAGCCTAGGAGGCTCTGAGGAGGCCCACTGCCCTCCAGCCTGGGCGACAGAGCAGAACCCTGTTAAAAAAAAATTGGATGTGTTTTGATGAAAGTGAGTGTTTGGGAAGGGGCCCAAACTCTAACGGTGCCCCGCTTCCACCTCACTCCTGTCCAGAGTGGCCCTGAGGCTGCTGAGGATGGACTGGAGAGCCATGACCTAGGGCTGCTTCATCATCGGACAGAGGGGAGTCTGAGGCCCAGAGAAGGGAAGGGACCAGCGAGCAGAGCTGGTTGGGAGCCCTGTTCTCAGTCGCTGCCCTGAAGAGCACCAGCACCCCCTTACCTGCATGGTCGCCGGCCCTGGGAGTGAGCCCCTGCCCCGGTCTCTGCACTCAGCAGCTGAACGAAGCTCTCTTTCTCTCTGGGGCACAGGTACCTCCAGACTTTCTGGAGGGTCCAAGCGGACCAGGAATGACTGGGTGCTGGGCCACCTTCTCTTTCACCTCCGACAGGAGTCACCCCCTGAGAGAGCAGACTGATGGCCAGGGAGGGAAGGCTCAGGCTGTGTCTGGATTTCTCAGGTGACAGGTGTCAATCACCCTGAGGAGAGAGAACACACCCCTCCTACTACCAGCTAGCCGGCCGCCAGCCCGCTTTTCCTTCCATGGGGCCTTGCGGCTTTTCTTATCTTCAAGAGCCTCCTTTACAGAGCCCCTGGGTACTGGGGAGCATATCTTACGTCTAAAATCTTACTTAAGGCTAACTTGAGGGAAAGGCGGGATGGTTGGGGTGGTGTTCCCAAAGTGTGTTCTGTGGAACCCTAGTCTAGTGAGCCTTGCATACATAAAAGGTTCCAAGTTAAGCAACTTGGGAAACACCAAATAGTTGCACGTGACCCCCCCCCACCCCCCAGTCCCATCATGTTGCTTCAGTCATTTAGGACTTAGGGAGGCAGCTCAGCTTTGTGTAACCAGCCTTTCCCAGATGTGTTTGTCTCCCCCGCGCCTATTCCCATCCGAGAGTTTCTGTGTCCAGGAAAGGACATGAAGAAAGCAGACATGGGGCGCTTCAGGACGAGGACCCCTTGCTCTGATTTCCAGCTCTGCTCTCCACAGGCCTATCTCAGCCATGGGCCTGGCCCTGCCTGCCCCTTCCTCTTCTTCCTTACAGCAGATGAGGAAAGCCCAGCCTGGGGGCAGGGGGAGCCGACCTCCTTGGCCACAGCTGCCGGGCTGTTCCAGCCTGTTTTTTCCTGTTGCCGATGCCCACGGGAACAAGCGCTGAGTACAGTCACTGAGGCCTGGCTGTCTGGCTGTGTTGCGCAAGGCCCTGGAGCCAGAGTTCTGGCCCCTGCTCGCCTCCGAGGCCCCCACCCACCCCTCCGGGATGCTCTTCAGTGACTATGGGCAGCCTCTTGTCACCCCAGAGATGGGCTTCCCAGCAGGAAAGTCCCAGGCATCATCGGCGGGACCAGGTGGTATGGAGTTCCTTCCAGGTGTGGAGCCAGGGGTCTTAGGTTCAAGTCTTGGTTCTTCCAACCCTGTGACTATGGGCAAGTTAGCTCTCTGAGCCTCAGGCTCCTCACTTATAAACCCCATTAATTAATTAACTAATTAATTGTTTTTAGAGACAGGGTCTCACTCTTTTATCCGGACTGGAGTACAGTGGTGCAATCATAGCTCACTGCAGCCTCGAGCTCCTGGCTCAAGCAGTCCTCCTGCCTCAGCCTCCTAAGTAGCTGGGACTACAGGTGTGCACCACCACAACGGGCTGATTTTTAATTTTTTTGTAGAGACAGAGTCTCACTATGTTGTCCAGGCTGGTCTTGAACGCCTGGCCTCAAGTAATCCTCCTGTCTCAGCCTTCATTAATTAATTCAACAATTTATTTTTTTAGATGGATTTTCACTCTTATTGCCCAGGCTGGAGTGCAATGGCACAGTCTTGGCTCACTGCAACCTCTGCCTCCTGGGTTCAAGTGATTCTCCTGCCTCAGCCTCCCAAGTAGCTGGGATTACAGGCGCCTGCCACCACACCAGGCTAAGTTTTGTATTTTTAGTAGAGATGGGGTTTCACCATGTTGGCCAGGCTGCTCTCGAACTCCTGACCTCAGGTGATCCACCCGCCTCGGCCTCCCAATGTGCTGGGATTATAGGCGTGAGGCACCGACCATGCGCGGCTGAAAGGTGACATTGGAGCAAAAACTGGAAGAAGTGGAGCGAGTGATGGAATATGTGGGGACAGTGTCCCAGGCAGGGGGCTTGGTGTGTTTGACGACTATTGAGAGGATGCATGTGGCTATTTTAGAAGGCAGGGAGTTGGGGGAGCACAGTAGCAAAAGAGGTTGGAGCGTGGCGTGTGTGTGTGTGTGTGTGGGTGTGTGTGGGTGGGTGTGTGTGTAGACAGATTACATAGAACCTGGTTGACCATGATTGTGTGTGTGTGTGTGTGTGTGTGTGTGTGTGGGTGGGTGGTGGGTGTGTGTGTAGACAGATTACATAGAACCTGGTTGGCCATGATAAGGGCTTTTCCTCTCACCCGTTGGTGAGTCAGGAGTCGTGGGAAGGCCTAACCCGACAGGTTCAGGAAGCGGCCGTGGTTGTTAGTGGTGTCTCATGGCAACATAACTTTGTGGAACATTCCGCCCATCCTTCCATAGTCCTGGCACTGTGCAAGGGGCATCATTCATGAAATCTGTGGGCAGTGACCCAGGAGGGTATGGGCAGGCCCAACCAGGTTGGTGTGCCCTTGAAGCCCCACAGACCTGCCAGGGCAGCAGGGCAGCTGGGAGCCGGAGAACCTGAGAACCAAGCCAGGCTGCATGCAGGAGGCTGGCACGTGAACGCTGCAGGTGTTGCCGGCAGCCGTGGTGCCTGGCAGATAGTGTTCGACCCCCAGGGACCTTCTTGCTGGGCAGCCCAGTCCAGAAGCTGTTCCCGCTTAGGCCACCCCCACCGCCTTGGCCACACCTGGCACATGGGTGAGGCAAGGGCATTTCCCGGTGGCTTCCTGGTTCCCTGTAAGCTGGCAGGCAGCTCATTCAGCCACCAGGGGAGACCTAATCTTGGGGTGTCTGTGGGGGACGGAGGAGAGTGCAGGGACTCTGGGGGTACAGGGGAGACTTGGCCTCTGTGACTAGCACCGGGTCAGCAGCACAACTGAGGGGCGGCCCTTTTAAATGGAAAAGCCCACTCGTGCCGCCCTTTGACTCCTCTGCCACTCACACGCGTGTCCCGCTGCACCAGGCTTCCTCCCACCCCGCGAACGTGCCGTGCCCTCTCCAGCCCTGGCCTCAGCGTGTGCCCTTCCCTCCACCTGGTCCGCACTCTTCCCCTTCTCTGCTTTGCTTAGGTGAAGTCATCTCTCAGGCCCAGCTGAGTTAGCATTTCTTCTGGAAATCTTCCCCAGCCTCCCAGCCACCTCCCTAAGTGAGGGGACCCTCCCCTGGGCTCTGCCGGCCCCCTTCCTTCCCCTTCAGCACTCTCTTCGCACGGTGTTGCCAGCACGTGGTTCCGTGGCCTGTGTCCCCCAGGAACATGGAGTTCTGTGTCCATTTCACATTTTGTCCCCCGGGCCCAGCACATAGTAGGTACCCCGTAAGTCGAGGTTGAAGTGACTTGAATTGAACCAAATGGGACAGATCTGATCGATTCTACTTTTTTTAAGGATGAGGAAGCTGAAGCCCCCTAGCTAGAATATGGCCAGGGTGGCCCGGACTTGGAGGTGTCTGACAGCACAGCCTGCTCTGCCCCACCGGCTGGTGGTCAAGTGTTCTCGCCAGTCCCCTGCCTGGTCAGTGCCAGACCGGGTTGGGTGCCCACCCCTAGCTATGTCATAGGAGCCTCCAAGGCAGAGACCACATGGGGCCTGCCTGGAGAAGGGCCAGGCAGATTCAGAGATTGGGACTGTGCCTCTCAAAGAGATCACCGCCTCATTCCACATGCCTCTCCCAGTAGCCCCAGGAAGGAGGCAAAGCGGGGACCTTTTTTTGCTTCCATTTTATTTATTTTTATTTTATTTTATTTATTTATTTTTTGAGATGGAGTTTTGCTCTTGTTGACCAGGCTGGAGTGCAGTGGCGCAATCTTGGCTCACTGCAACCTCTGCCTCCTGGGTTAAACGATTCTCCTGCCTCAGCCTCCAGGGTAGCTGGGATTACAGGCGCACGCCACCACGCCCAGATAATTTTTGTATTTTTAGTAGAGATGGGGTTTCACCATGTTGGCCAGGCTAGTCTCGAACTCCTGACCTCAGGTGATCCGCCTGCCTCTGCCTCCCAAAGTGCGGGGACTACAGGCGTGAGCCACCATGCCCGGCCTTTTGCTCCCATTTCATAGCGGAGAGAACTAATTCTTGGAGGGATTGTTCTGCAGGGACAGGGGTGTCTTGGAACGGATTTCAGGGCCCGTGTGACCTAGTCCCCTCTTTCCCTTAGGATGAAGTGTTATGGCCTCTGTCGTATTAATGGGAACTGAGGACTAGAGGTAATTCTGGCACTTTCAAGCTGTGTAATCTTGGGCAAGTCTCCTTCTGAAGTTAGCTTTCTTCTGTCAGGTGGGTTAATTTCCACCTCAGGGCTGTTGGGCAGGTTCATTCATTTGGTTTGTCCGTGAGTCCGCAGATTTATTAGTACCTACTGTGTGTTTTCTGTTGTGGAGTTGCAGCAATGCTCAAAACAGATCAAAGTCACTGCCTTCCACGTGTTGTTCACATGGACTGAGATGGTGGGTGTGGATGCCCAGTGCATACAGTAGAGACTCACTAAAGTTAGCTAAAAGGTAAAGGAGGCAGGGGCTTGTCCAAGGCAACGTGGTGAGTGCGGGGCTAAGCTGGGACTAGAAACTCCAGACCCCAGCTTCCTGCCCTCTGGGCCTCCGCTGAAGGCCCTGACCTGCCCCAGCGCTCCCGAGAAGCCCTGGATGGAATGCAGCTTTTCCAGGTTGCAGGCCTTGATATGAGCTTACAGAGGGCAAGGGGTCAGAGGTCAGAAGCAGGGCCCTGCTGGCAGCTGTGCCTCTGAGCTAGCCAAATACAGAAGCATGAACCCAGCAGAGGGGAGTCCTGGTTTCAGACTCCGTTCCCATTGCCTTTGCTGTGTGACCTGGAGCAGGTAACTGTACCTCTCTGAGCCTGGTTTCCTTATCTATCAAATGAGTGTGCCTCCAGTGTCTCCCTCGTGAGGTTGTGGTGGATCTGAGTGACGTAAGTCTTGTGAAGACCTTAGCTCAGCCCCTGGCACAAAGAAGCCCTGGATGCGTGTTGGACCCTCTCCTTGTTTGGGGGCGTCCGTATTTCTCCTGGCTGACTGGCTGGTGAAGTTCCTGCCACCTTGGGGGCCCCTGTGTGAGAAGCTGGCAGGCCTCCCGAGTGGCACGGGCAGCACAAGCATGCCAGAGGAGGCTGTGGCCACCTCCCTTCCGGCCCGGCGCCCCTCTCAGACTGCCAGGGGATTAAAGGCCTTTTGGCCTTTGTGTCGGGCTCTGAGCCCCTGGCAGTTTGTACAACAAAGTGCTGCCCCGACAGATTCCTTCCTGTGTGCTGTCTGTCGCCTGTGGACAGGGCACTGGGTGGCCTGGGGGTGGGGCAGGGCACCTTGATCCTGTGTCTGGGGCCTGGGTTGCAGCCGAGTAGGGGAAGCACTTGTTTTGGGGTTACCTAGGAGCCTGCATCCTGGCAGAGGGGGATGGGGACCTTGTCTGGGTTCATGTCCCTCCCCAGAGATTTGGGGACCATGGGTCACATTGTCTGCTGGTTCCTTGGCAGTGGGCAGGGGAAGGGGCACTGAGGCAGAGCCTGTGGTGACCGTGGCAGGGAGGCAGGTGGGCAGGCAGGAGCTCTTTTGTCCCCCCGCCCCTGCACTGTCTCTGGATTTTGATGGGGTGAGCTCACTCCATCCCCACATGCCTGGAGCCTGGCCCTGGGCAGCTGCAGCCGCCCTGGGGACTGTGCAGTGCTCAGACCTTCCTGCCTAGCTGCGGGGGCAGTCGGGGGCTCAGTCCCAGGCTTGGGCTACAAGGAGGGTGGGGTGGACTGGCTGCTGAAGGCATGTGAACAATGTGTCTGGAGAAGCCCAAAGCCCTGGGTTGGTCCCAGAGTCAGCCTCTGAGCAGGCAGACAACTTTGAGCCATAGGACCCAATTCTATTGCCCACCCCTTGCTAGGGTCCTGCCCACTCAGCCAGGCTCCTCCCTTCATCCCAGATCTGGAGGCGACCCCAGGCCTGAGCCCACACCTCACACTCCGCATGCATCACCCCTCAACCACACCTACCCCTCACCCCTACCATGCACCCTCTGCATGATACTAATCCTAATGCTTATTAAGCACTTACTGTATAAGTAATTCTAGTGCTTATTAAGCACTTACTGTATAAGTAAACGCCTCACTAAGTGCCTTACCTGCTTGATCCCATTTACCCAGCCGATTCTCTCTGAGCCTCAGTTTCTTCATCCAGAAAACGGAAATAATAATAACACAAGCTCACAGTTTCTTGACCGAAAGCCTCAGAGTCAGATGTGTTCTGGAATTCAGAATTTTTCAAGTTTGAGAAGGTGACATAGAGCATGTGCCCAGCCGGCATGTGACATCCCCATTGGAGTCTGGGGGTCACACCCCATGATCAAACAACGGTAATATTGCTACAGTGAAACACAGGACTCTTCCCTCTGAGTGGAGTGAACACACTCTGAATAGCTTCATGTCGGTTCAGTTCAGGGCTTGGCACCCAATGAGCTTGCTATAAACTTTTTTTTTTAACAGAGTCTTGCTCTGTCGCCCAGGCTGGAGTACAGTGGTGCAATCTCGGTTCACTGCAACCTCCGCCTCCTGGGTTCAAGCAATTCTCCTACCTCAGCCTCCCGAGTAGTTGGGACTATAGGCATGCACCACCGCGCTGGGCTAATTTTTGTATTTTTAGTAGAGATGGGGTTTCACCCTGTAGGCCAGGCTGGTCTCGAACTTCTGGCCTCAAGTGATCTGTACCTGCTCTCCGTATCTGTACCTCTCCCTCCTTCTCTCCATTCTGTGCCCCACTCCTGTAGTTTTCTCCTCCGTTCTTAGTCCTTTCCTAGGCAGCCTTGTCTGCCTCTTTATCCTCACCCAGGCCAGGAGAGGAGGATCCAGCCTGCATTCATTGTCCCTAATGACACAACTTGGACCTGGAGTTCCATGTGACCCTCGTTCTCACCAGGAGGGCCTGGACATAGCCCACCTCTGGGATTGGGTGCCTCCCAGAAGCCCTCGCCCACAGTCCTGCCAGTGTTCAAGGAATGCCTGCCCACTGGGGGTCACCCTGCCTGCATCCCAGCCCCAAGCAATTGTTCTCAGCCTGTTAGAACAATTCTCTGGCCTGGGCCCGGTTGAGTCAGCTGCCTGCACACCGCCAAACCAGGAACTGCAGGGTCTGGAAAATCCCCCTCTCTGCTTAGCTCCTTCCTCTCTGGCCGAGGTCTGACCCCTAGACCCCTCCTCTCCAGCTGCCCGTCTGGCTCCAACACATGCCTGAAGTGCTGGGTTCCTCTGGGAGGAAGCCGGGCTCCCTCACCGCCGGAGACGGGCTGGAGGGCAGGAAACCTGGGTTCTATTTCTGACCTTGGAGCTGCTAATGGCCCTCCTTGGGACCTGAGGCACATGCTGCACAGTCCCAGGCCACTGCCAGCTCAGGCATCCCATGGGGCCATTCTGAGAGCTGGTCAGGTTGGGGACAGGGACTGGCCAACCCTGGGCTCCCTGGTATTGCTCTCTGCTTAGGCCTCATGGCCAGCCCAGAGGTCCAGCCCTGCCTCATTTCCTGGTGAGCAGAAGGCTTGGGGTGGGATGCCAGCTCCTCACCTGTGGTCTGGGCAGACACGTCTCCCGGGGCTCACTGGGGAAGGGGAGCATTCATACCTCCTCAGCCTCCTCCAAGGGTCACTGTCAACTCAGGTGATACTAGGCTGAGGAAATGCATTGCAAAGTGGCATGCAGTGTGGCTGAGAGGCTTTGCAAGAGTGACTCCCAGTGATCTCATATCTGCTTCATTGCATACCCCTGGTCACAGAGGTGATATAGCACAGTGGTAGCTGCTTAGGTATTGGAGCCCGACCACCAGGGTTCAAATCTCAGCCCTGCCACATGCCAGTTTCCACGGGTAACCTGACTTTCTCTGCTCTCTTTGCCCCCTTTCTCAGTGGAGCCCCATAAGACCTATAACCTGGTTTAGGAGTGCCTGGTGCATAGTAAGTGCTCAATAAATGTTAGCTGTTATTATTCTTCAAGCAGATCCTGGTCTTTCCCTTTCTGGGTCCAAGGTCCTTCTATGGTCAAGTCCCAAGTTCCTTTTGGCTCTTTCTGGGAGCCTCTTTCCTGTCTGGTTCCATCTGCTCTCCCAGATGTGAAATACAGAGCTCCTGGAACCTTTTGATCTTCAGCTTTTTACAAATGAAGTCTCTGCTCTTGCTGACTTATTCCTTGCTATGGGCCCTTATCTGACCCTGGATCCTCAGACCCTAGGGTGGGGGCTGCAAGCAACAGCAGACTGGCAGATGGAGGGACCCGTGCTCTGGAGTCCTCTGGTGGAGTGTGGGGCACTTCTGTCCAAGTCCCGACGTGCTCTGGCCTCTCTTTCCCCTCTCCCTGCAGATGTGTGTTCCTGGCTTTCTTTCCATGTTGAATCTCACTTTGCTATTTCCTGTCTGGTCCCAAGGCCACCCCCGCCGCCACCCGCTGACCAGCTCCCTGCTCCCTGGGAAAAGCTCTGGACCTTGCTCATCATTCACCGCTAGGTTTTCCTTTCCAGACGGCAGTGTCTAGGAGATGCTGGGAGTCGCAGTGCTCCAGGCATGCCCTCCATAACCTTGGTTGCAATGAGAGGGGGATTGGCATTGACAGAGCCCCCCACCAGGTTGAGGGGACCCCTCAAATCTCCTCTAACCAGAGTCAGTGCCCCTGCACCAGCCCCAGCCTCATACCCACGTTGGGTCAGTCAGGCCTGCTCCAGCCAGTGGGAACACTGCCCTTTACCCCACCCAGGGAAGGAGGCAGAGCGCCTGGTAGGGGCTGGTCTTACGGTTCTAACCAGGGACTGTGGGAATCCCCTGGACATGCACAACTAAGACCACCCTCCTGGGATGGAAAAACCTGACTCACTGTCTCTGAGAAGGAGCCCAGGAATCTGCATTTCTCACCAGCTCCTGGACGTTCTAAAGCACACTCCTGAATGCGCATCCCACGGGCACAGCCTAGAAGTCCACAGGCCAGCACTCAGGAGGACAGGGAGAGGGCAGGGAGAGGAGAAGGAACAGGAGGCAACATTTGCCGCTGGATTGTTGGGGGTAAGGGCTTTAGGCCAAAGCAGGAATAAGATGTGGACAACTCAGACCTTCCCCAAGGTCTGAGAGCACCGCAAACACAAAGATGAACAAATGGCACCCAGCCACTCCCCCATCCAGGGAGCTCACAGCCTAGGACAGGAGATGCTTATAGATTGCACAGAGGTAGGTAGTGCCTCCCCAAAGCAAGTCATCTTCACAGAGTGACTGGAATTCATAGGTGATGAATTCCGTTTTTGTCCGTTCATTTATTCATTCATTCAAGTATTTATTGAGCACAGGGTGCAGAAAAGGTGGAGATGAATTCATCACAGCCCTTGCCTTCAAGGTGCTTCCATTCCAACGGAGGTACAGACAATAACCTTGTGAGCCCAGAACCAGACTGGGGTTGAGGTCACTGTGAACAGCAAGGAGTCGGGACAAAGAGAGTTTCTTTCTAGTCATCCTTATTTAGGCATAAATACACACAACAAAATATACCCATTTTCAGGGTACAGTCAGTAATGAGATATGTATGCCCAGGGAACCATCACCCCAGAAGTGTCTCTTGTGCCCCCTTCCCAGTCACCCCCAGCCTGCCCTTGGTCCCAAGTGACTACTGATCTTTCTGTCACTATGGATTAGACTTTCACCCCTAAGGGTTCATATAAATGGAATCGTATAGTTTGTAGTCTTGTGTGTCTGGCTTCTTTCAGATCCACACCTATCAATCAGTGGTTTGATCCTCCTTATTCCTGAGTAGGTGGAGGAGGTGGTATTTAAGTTGATTTTGGAGGATGCATTGGAGTTCGCCTGAGAAACAAAGAGAGGAAGGGCATTCCAGCAGAGGGCCCGGCGTGAGAGATATGGACTGTGGGAGCAGTAGGGGTGGGGAGGGAAGGGGGCCTGGCTGGCTCTTTGTTTTTTTCTCCTCCTTGGCCTTTGCTCTGGCTTGGACCTCACTACCTTGTCTAGCCCTTGTGGGTTTGGTTTTCAAAAGCGAGACCATTTCCTTCTGGCTTAAGGCCAGGGCAGGGCCTGAGGCCCTCATGCCAGGCCATTGCCAGTCTGTGCATACTTGTGCTTGTGGAATCTGGGGTCCAGCCATCGTGAATCTGCACACTTGAGGGCCACGGGGTTCCCTTGGGCTCCCCTGGGTTTGTTTTCCTCTAAGTTATTTGGTAAAACTGCTTTGGAATCATCCGGATCTTGTCTAGGGGGAAGAGGCACTCATTGCCCGGACCCACACCTGAGAAGGCAGGTGTTATGGCTGCTGGGGCCCTTCTGCTCCGGCCCACATAGTTTGCAGGCCCCAAGGTGGAGCTTATCCTGGGCTCGGCAGCAGCCTGAGGTCACGTGGAGTTGACACCACGCCTGTCCCCATTCAGCCCAGATACTGAGCTCTGCCTCCGCGCTGCTGGGCCCAGGGATGAGCCTGTCAGTGTGGCTGCATGTGCCAAAGCTAATTCTCCAACACAGTGGAATGTGTTCCCTGCAGCCTGGAGACGGGCAGGCCAGAGTGAGGCAGGAAGAGGAGCCAAATGGCCTGGGGAGGAGCTGCCTGGGGAGGCAACGGCTTTGAGCAGCTCGCCCTTGACTTCTGCCTGTGTCCCCACCCATGCTGACCCTGGCCAGCCTTCCACCTGCCTGTGCCCCCCATCTGCGCTGCCCGAGGCCACCCCTTTACCCGCCCGCATCCCCCCATCCACTCACTCATGTCCTGGGTGTCCCTTGCCTTCTCCAAAGGAAAAGGAGTCTTTACTTACCAAAGTGATTTACATTTTATTGTCTGCTTTATTTGAGGATTCATTCGGAAATAGCAGGGTTGGGCTCTGAAGCCTCCAGGGGCTAATGGGACTTGGGGAAACTGAATCAAAAGGGTTCAGCCCCAGCCTGGCTCACTGAGCCATACTAAGTCAAATTTAACCACTAAGGGGCCTGAAGGTGGGATTCTGGGTCCCCCTGGAAGTGAGGGGAAGGACCGTGGGGCTCAGTGGGAGCTGGAGAGAGTGACTCAATCAGCTCTCGTTTGCTTACAGGTGACCCATGGGCTGAGGGCATACGATGGCTTGTCTCTGCCTGAGGACATAGAGACCGTCACAGCAAGCCAAATGCGCTGGACACATTCGTACCTTTCTGATGATGAGGACATGCTGGCTGACAGCATCTCAGGAGGTGAGCCAAGGATCCAAGGCTGGGAGCAGAGGGGTGGGGGGTGAGACTGTGCTTCTTCCCACTGGCATGGGGGAGGAGGGTGACCGACCATTCCGAGCTTTCTCAACCCTGTCCCACTGTATACTAGGTGCCCAGAACAGTGCCTGACACCCAGTAGGTACTCAACAAATACTTGTTGTTGCTGATTACATCTCTTTTTTGCTTATAGACGACCTGGGCAGTGGGGACCTGGGCAGCGGGGACTTCCAGATGGGTAAGTTGCTGCAGGCCTCCTGCAGGTCTCCCTCCTGTCCCCCAGGGAAGCCCCAGAGCCAGTCTCCTGGGCTGAGGGCTCCTTGGGCCTGCCCTGGGGTACAAAGCAAGAAGAAGTGGGTGTGATCTCTTAACCTGCTGAGTGACAGTTGTGCAGACTGATTGGCAGGTCCCTGCAAGGCTGGTGTGGCCAGGTCCTGTGCTTGCCCATGCCACAGGCACAGGTATCAGGGCACTGGGCAGGTAAAGCCCAGTTCTGCTGGGGACTGACAGCCAGTCAGCTGTTTCACATTCAAAGCAAAGTTCTCACCTCCCAGGGCAGCTCAGCTGTTGAGTCCTTCCCCAGAGCCCTCCTGGGGGCACAGAGCTGGGGATCCCAGGCAAAGACAAGTGGAACAGAGGGGCTCTGTGGAATCGGGCATTCAGGCAGGCAGCAGGGCATGCAGAGCACAGATCGAGCCTGACGCTAGGCTTGGGAGAGAACCTTGCCTTAAGGTGGGTCATCGGCTGGGAAGCAAGGGTTCCTAGCTTAGGGAGGCAAGGCTAGGCTCTTGGAGGGAGGAGAGTCAGCCCCCACCCTGGTCAGACTGGCCCAGCACTGGGATGGGGACTTATAGTCCCTGCTTCCTTCCACTCTGGGATACTGGGTGGAGAAGGACCTACCCCAGGACAAGGCCCTGTGGCTCTTTATGGTTCCTACTGCCCTCTCTGGGAGGCAGCTCCTGGGACAATCTGTGACCAGGGCCAAGGATGGAGCAGGTGCTCAGGTCAGACCAACTACTGGGCCATCCCGTGGCATCCAGGGCTGCCTTCACCCTAGGCAGGCCTTGGCCAAATCTGGCCTGGGCCTACTTCAGGGGTGGAGTCACCTCCCTTTAGCTGACATATCCGGGGCCTTCAAATGCCAGTGGGTAGCATCCTAACTGGGTCAGTGTAGACAGGAGGGTAGGTCACTGGGTAACCTGGTCCTGACTGTGACCTCCCAGAGCCTGGACTTGGGGCTCTGCCTGAAGGTTTTCCATTTCCATGTGTAGGTCTCCACGAGGCTGCAGGATGCCTGGGAGCTGGGTGGGGCTTGGGAGAGGGAGTGTCAGGTGGGCCCCAGGCACACATGGCACGTCCCGTCCTGGAATGGCCTATGCTAATGTGTCCCTGGAGCTGCCTCTGGCCAAGCCAGGCTTGCCTCTGAGATCACCCTGTCCATTCATGAACCATCTCCAGCCCCTCCCCGGGGGCTGCCCACTGCAGCAGCTCTGCCCCAGCTGGGCAGTCCTGGCCAGCCCACCTGCCCTTCCTGAGAAGCAGCTGTGAGGGCAGACGAGGCCAGAGGGGGAAGAGGTGGGGAACAGGGCACAGCAGCTGTAGGGGGCCCAAGACCAGGGTAGGTGCCTTTCCTCGCAAGTGGGAACAGGTGGGGCCTCAGACCCTCCAGGCCAAACCCTGGCTCCTGCCAGCTGCCCTTGGGGCAGGTCCAGGCAGCTGGGCTGAATGCCAGTCAGGGAGGCAGCAGGTGTGCCTCCCTGATCCTGGGGTCCCAGGGTGCCCACTCAGACTTGACCAAGGGCAGTGCCCCCACTGCGCCCATGAGCCAGAGCCATCCTGCCTGTCATGGGGCCATGCCTAGCCTCTGGCCCAGTCCCAGACCCTGGACTCCAGCCCCTGAGATGGCTCTTCCCCTCCTCCCCCTGGGCATGGCTGTGGCTCCCTGGCTCAGCTCCAGCCCCCTGTGTGTCAAGACCCGTCCCTGATAGCCTCCCCTCCCTAGGACCCCTTCCCACGTCTCCTCCCCCAGTTTCTTTCCATGTTCTGACCTGTCTCTTTCTGTCTTCCCCCATGCCCGTGTGTCCTGCTCTGACCCTTGTCGGCATGTCTGTGTGTGTCCCCTGTCCTCCCTGCCCTGGGCCCTCTTCCCCACTCCTTGAGTGTCTGTCTCTGCGCCTCCTCCCTCTGCCTCATCCTGTTCTTCTCCCTCTCTCTGGCTCACCATCTCTGCTTCTGTCGCCCTCTGTCTTTCCCTCTCTCCCCTCTGCCTGTTCTTTTTTTTTTTTCTTTTTCCCTCTGCCTTTTTCTTCACCTTTGTCTTACCTTTTCTCTCTCATTCTCCCCCGCCCCACTTTCTTTATCTCTGTCTCTGTCTTTCTGTCTCTTTGTGTCTCCCTCTCTCTTGCAATGTCTCTGCCTCTCTCTCTGCTTCTCTCCATCTCGTCTCCCTCGCTGTCAATGTCCCTTCTTGCCTCCTTCTCTGTCTCTACTCTGCAGGCTCAGGGCAGCCCCTGGGCCGCCCGCCCGTGGCTGGCATGATGGTCTCGGAGCCTGATGAGGAGTCCCCTCTCAGTAAGTGACCCAGGCCCTGGCCAGGTGGGAGCGCTGCTCTCCCTCTGCCTCCCTCCCCATCCTCTCTCCCCACTCTTCCTTTTCTCTCCTTTCTCCCTGTTCTCTTCCTCCCCAACCTGCACTTTGCTGCGAGTCACACAAGAGGCTCAGAGGCACCTCCCTGCAGAGTCCAGGGGCTAGGCCAGCCACTGCCCCTGCCCAGGACACAGCCAGGCCCACCCTGGGCCCACAGATCTAAACACAGTGGGCTGGAACCCTGGCGGGCGTTCTTCCCCATGGGGTGTTGACGGGCAGAGATGGGTGCAGCAGCCCTGCAGGGACCAGGCCCTGCATTCCAGAGGCCACTTGTGTCCACCCCAGCACAGGCCAATCCTGGGCCCACCCGAGGGACCCACAGGGACCCAGGGCTGGAGTTCGGGGGCCTGGGTGTGTTGCAGAGAGTTCTGTTGAGCAGGGATGGGAATCAGGAGTTGGTGAGTAGCCTGCTCCGGGGCCAGGGCTAGTCAGGTGTGCAGCCCCCACTTCTACCCTGAGTGCAGGGCAGCTGTCTCCCTCTCCCGGCCTCTGGCTCCAAGGGAACTCACCAGATAGGGTGAGAGGAGGGAGAGGACTGGCCAGAGAGCACCCCTATTCCAAGGCAGCCTCGCCCCTGCTGGCTGCACCAGTGTCCTTGGCTCTGGAGGCTGGTTCTTTTTTCCTTTTCTTTTCTTTTTTTTTTTTTTTTTTGAGATGGAGTCTCACTCTGTCACCCAGGCTGGAAGGCAGTACAGTGGCACAATCTCGGCTCACTGCAACCTCTGCCTCCCTGATTCAAGCAATCCTCCTGCCTCAGCCTCCCGAGTAGCTGGGATTACAGGCATGCACTACCACGCCTGGTTAATTTTTGTATTTTCACCATGTTGGCCAGCCTGGTCTTGAACTCCTGACCTCAAGTGATCTGCCGGCCTCGGCCTCCCAAAGTGCTGGGATTACAGGCGTGAGCCACTGCACCCAGCCCGGGGGCTGGTTCTTGAAATAGAGGTGGCCTCACCTTCTGCCCCAGTGCTCAGGCACCAGCTGCAGGGTGGGAGATGGGAGGTGTTCACCCAGACCTGCCCTTGGTCTCGAAGAACGAAGCGGGGTGGGGTCAGGCTGAAGGGCCTGTGCCCTTCCCAGGCCCTAGTAGAAAGGGGCTTTGTGGAGCTCCAGTCCCCTTCCCCAGGAGCGGGCACATTCCTGGGCAGAGGCCCGGCCTCCTCGCCCGCGCTGGGCCGTGGGGCTGAGGCCAGGGGCTTGGGTGGGGGGACTCTCAATGGGCCTCTGTGCTGGCTCACAAGGGGCCTCTGTGGCTGAGCCATGGCCCCCACACTCCAGCCCACAGAGCCCCGCCCACCCGGCACCCAGGAGCCTAGCCCAGCGGTTCAGGGCAGGCAGCGCCAGGGCTTTCTTCACCTGAGCCACAGAGCAAGAATGTCCTGTGCACCTGCGGGCCTGATGGACAGAGTAAAGCGGGAGGAGGATGGGCCTGGCAGTAGCACAGACAGTGCCACTCCCTGCTCTGCCACCTACACACCGGATTTCAGATTTTTGGATTAGGGATGCTTGGCTTGTATATGACTCATTTGTCACTCTTATTCATTCATATCTATCACATACATGAATTCACAAATATTGTGAAACGTAATGAGCATAAAATGTCTCATATATAGTCGGTGCTTAAGAAACGATAGATGTACTTTGGGAGGCCAAAGTGAGAGGATTGCTTGAGCCCAGGAGTTTGAGACCAGCCTGGGCAACATAGCAAGACCCCATCTCTATCAAAAGTCAAAACATTAGCTGGGCATGGTGGCATGCACCTGTAATCCCAGCTACTCAGGAGGCTGCAGTGGGAGGATAGCTTGAGCCTTAGAGTTTGAGGCTGCAGTGAGCTGTGATTTTGCTACCGCACTCCAGCGTGGGTGACAGAGCAAGACCCTGCCTAAAAAAAAAAGAAACAACAGATGCATGTGTATGTTCACACCAGTCTGAGATGAATTTATTCAGCCATCACTTTCAAGGAACCCGCTGTGTACCAGGCACGCGGCAGGCACTGGGGATGCGGGCGTGAATGAAATCCCAGGTTCCCCTCCATCAAGCCTAGAGTCTGGTGGTGGAGAGAGGACCACAGCAGCTTCGATTCTTGGGCGGTTTGCTGTGTGCCAGGTGATGCATCTGAGTACAAGGGCCTGGTGCATGTGAGCACAATGTCATGCACTCCTCGCAGCAACCCAGGTGGTACATGCAGTCAATATCCCCATTAGGAAACAGAAACTCAGAGCCGAGGTCAGTGCCTGAGGCATGGCTGACCTTAGAACTCACAATTGTTACTGTGATGTGAAACCTGGCAGAATCTATGCAGTACACGGTGGAAGGTGCTCTGCTAGGGAAAGCAGGGCACTGTGGGAGCCCAGGGGAGCGGTCTCTACCCCAGCCAGGGCAGATCAGGAAGATCAGGAGACAATGGCTGAGCCAAGTCCTGAGGAATGAGTAGGAACTGACCGAGGAAGGCTGGCAGAGCCTTTCCCAGTCACACGCAGGTAATCCCTGTGCCAGGCCAACTCCCTCTGGGAGCCACCCCTTCTTGTCCAGCCTTCCTCTGAACTGTGGGGGTCTCCTCTTTTGCACTAGCACTTGGTTTCTGGATCAGGCCATTTCCCCTGTTAGTTAAAGCCCCTCAGTCAAGTTGGGGCCTTGGCATTGACCCCTGAGCATGTATACCTACAGGCAGTCCTGGGTGTAGCAGTGGGCACACAGGTGTCAGCCTCGAGGGAGGCCTCTGGGGGCCATCCCCCCAACTCTGCCTGAATGGTCCAACTGCCTAAGGCCACTAGATGCCAGGCTGGGGCTCTCAAAATGATCCTCCTTCGATTTTCCAGTTTATTTCCGAGCCCTGGTGAATTTCACTCGCTCCATCGAGTACAGCCCTCAGCTGGAGGATGCAGGCTCCAGAGAGTTCCGAGAGGTGTCCGAGGCTGTGGTAGACACGGTGAGGTGAAGGGGGTTTGGGAAGCTCGCGGGTGTGGCGGGGCAGGACCGAGGATGGGGTGAAGGCCTCTGGGGCTGATGGCACTGTGTCCCTCCCCAGCTGGAGTCGGAGTACTTGAAAATTCCCGGAGACCAGGTTGTCAGTGTGGTGTTCATCAAGTGAGAAGGGGCTCCCTGGGGGCTGCTGGGGGACTTGAGCGGGTAACCTGGAGGGGGCTGATGAGGATGGGAAGGAAGCCTGGCACCGCGGAAAGGCCTATGGGATGAGTCGCTGTGGGTGGAAATTCAGGAATTGGTCGGGGGATCATTGGGACCTTTAGTTGCCCTTCTTTGGGTACAGGCTGTCCCGGAACAGGGCCTGAGCGTCGGGGCGGGAGCCTCATGGAGGAGCTGAGAACACAGGTGTCTCGCTGACCCTCCTCTCCTGCCTGTCTCCATCCCCAGGGAGCTGGATGGCTGGGTTTTTGTGGAGCTGGATGTGGGCTCGGAAGGGAATGCGGATGGGGCTCAGATTCAGGAGATGCTGCTCAGGGTCATCTCCAGCGGCTCTGTGGCCTCCTACGTCACCTCTCCCCAGGGATTCCAGTTCCGACGCCTGGGCACAGGTGAGCCTATCCTGGTGTCTGGGATCGCCTCCTCCAGACTCGTGGGGTCCCCTTTCAGTGTCTCTGCCATAGGCTCCCAACTTGGGCTTGCACACCACTAGAAACAGGGAGCTCACTACTCCTGAGTCTGCCCCATCGATCTTTACACAATCTTGGCTTGGTAGAGCACAGACTGTTTCCTCTAGCACATACCCGTTAGACCCGAGTTCTGCTCCTTCCTTCTAGACCTCTGCACATTGACAATAGGTAATCAGGCCTTTATTTATCCTGTACTTCCAAGTCCAAAACACATTAGTACTTAATAATAATGAGCAACTGTTTACTGAGCACTGACTGCCTTTATTTCCAGCCTCCGGGTCAGTCTTCACAGCAATTCCTATGAAGGAGATGTTATTCCTCCTGTTTCAGAGACGAGGGAACTGAGGCCCAGAAAGGAAAATCTAAATTTGTCCAGAATCAGATGGGCAGATAGTGAAAAGGCGAGGATTTCAAACAAACTCGGTGTCTGTGACAGTCTTGCCAGAACCTGTGATGACAGAAGCAGGAGAAACTGAGGCACAGAGAGACTAGGAAACTGGTCCAAAGCCACACAGCGGTTAGGTGCAGAATCCTGGCCTTTGTACTCTGGGTCAGCCCAGATTTCCTTCTACTGTGCCTTTGGTCTCCTGTTTTAACCTCCTGAGTCTCTTTTTTTTCTCTAGACCGAACAGCCCTAGTTCATCCTTCACAGGTGTGGTTCTCGGCCCTGTCTCCATCTCAGTTCCCTGTCTCTGGGAAGACCCTGACTCAGTGGAACTCAGAATGGAACAAACTCCATCCCCTACTATGGTGTAGCCCAATTAGGAAAAGACAGTGAAACCATCACCTCCCTTGTTCCGCACCTCAATTAAAGCCAAGCGTGGTGGTGCGCGCCTGTAGTCCTAGCTACTCAGGAGGCTGAGGCAGGAGGATCACCGGAGCCCAGGAGTTTGAGGCTGCAGTGAGCTAGGATCATGCCACTGCACTCCAGCCTGGGCGACAGAGCAAAACCCTGCCTCTAAAACAAGACAAACAAACAAAAACCCTTAATTATTGCACCCAGAGATCAAGCTTGCTCTTCTGCATCATCAGGCCCAGGTCTAAAGACTGCTGGGGGTCCAGCCCTCCTCTCTCACTTTTCAATAAGTCCTCCTGGCTAGGGATGGTGGAATGTGGCCCAGCCCTGCAGCCCTCAGCTCCCGGCTCCCAGGTGGAACAGCCACTGATCACATCTTCCTTTCCAGCACAGACCCCCCCACCCCCGCCGGCCGCTGTGGCGGTCGCAGTGACACCAGGTGAGAGTGTAAGCCAGGCCGAGGCCCAGCCAGGTTCCTAGAGAAGTTAAGGTTGGAGAGGAGGCCGGGTGCAGGGGCTCACGCCTGTAACCCCAGCACTTTGGGAGGCCAAGACGGGAGGATTGCTTGAGGCAAAGAGTTCGAGACCAGCTTGGGCAACGTAGCAAGACCCTGTCTCTAAAAAAATAAAAAAGAAGAGAGAAAAAAATTTTTTAAAGGATGGAGAGGAAAGAAGGGTGTGGGCAAGATGGCTGGCTGGGCACAGCCCAAGACAGCTGGGCACTCCCTTCTCCCCTCCTTCTTTGTCCTCACTGGGCCAGGCTGTGGCCTGCATGTGTGTGGTGTGGTGGTTGCATGCGTGTGGCATGTCAACTGTGTGTGGGGTCTGTTTTAGAGATGGGGGAGGCCACTGCCGCATGTCCCATGCCCCACGTGTGCTGTGGATGTGTCTAGTGTGTGCTGCTTGCCCTCGTTGTGCCTGCCAGAAACCGAGCTGCCTGACACAGGGCCCTGGAGCCCACTCCAGCCACACAGCACCTACAGCTTCCCGCACCTGCCTCCTGCCGCCTCTGACTCCAGTCTGCTTCCTTTCCACCTGCAGTGCCCCAGTTCCCAAGAGCCTGCACGGAGGCCGAGTTTGCCTGCCACAGCTACAATGAGTGTGTGGCCCTGGAGTATCGCTGTGACCGGCGGCCCGACTGCAGGGACATGTCTGATGAGCTCAATTGTGGTGAGGGGATGTCCGGGGCCACGAGTGGTTTGGGTGCCAGGGGAGGGCCAGGGTCCTACACCTGGGTCTTGGAGCCCATCAAGGACTATGAGGGTTTGGTGCAGGCAGAGGATGGGGGCATAGGAAGGGTGATGACAGAGCCAGGCAGGGGGTGGCAGGGAGTGGTGTTGGGGAGTACAGGGTGGGCCTGGGGAGGGTTGGGGACAAGGAGCAGGTGAGGAGCCATCTGCTTCTGCCAAATGCCAAGCGGAATCTATCCACAGAGGAGCCAGTCCTGGGTATCAGCCCCACATTCTCTCTCCTTGTGGAGACGACATCTTTACCGCCCCGGCCAGAGACAACCATCATGCGACAGCCACCAGTCACCCACGCTCCTCAGCCCCTGCTTCCCGGTTCCGTCAGGCCCCTGCCCTGTGGGCCCCAGGAGGCCGCATGCCGCAATGGGCACTGCATCCCCAGAGACTACCTCTGCGACGGACAGGAGGACTGCGAGGACGGCAGCGATGAGCTAGACTGTGGTGCGCACCGGCAGGGGTGCAGGTGGGTGCGGGGAGCAGGAAGCTGGCCCGGGAGGATGCTGCTGACCCCTGCCCGGTCTCCTAGGCCCCCCGCCACCCTGTGAGCCCAACGAGTTCCCCTGCGGGAATGGACATTGTGCCCTCAAGCTGTGGCGCTGCGATGGTGACTTTGACTGTGAGGACCGAACTGATGAAGCCAACTGCCGTGAGTATCCGAGGGTCCAGCTGAGGCCCCCTTGCCCTGCCCAGGCCGCTTGCTCCTGCCCCGCCTTCCACTCCTGCCCCGCCCCTACCCTGCCCCTCCGCTTTCCCCCCTCCCCAGTCCCCCAAGCCTGTTTGTTTGCTCTCCCTGGCTGAGTGCGGAAGGCCCTGGAGACACACCCCAAGGTTTATCTCTAACCAGAGCCGTAAGGCCCCTTGGCCCTGAGCTGGCCTTTGGTGAAGCTGTGTGGTTAGCCTGCCTGTGGTTCGTGTCTCGTCATTTCTTTCCTTTATTTTTGTTACCATGAAGCTTCTCTTTGTTTTGTATGTGGGTCGGATGAATGGCTAGGAGGGTTCTATGTGCCAAGGTCCCTTGGTGATGGGTCCTTGGTGTATGTATGCAAGTCAGAGCCTTACCCACCCATCTGTCCAACTCCCCAGCCACCCATGCACCCACCTATACACCCATTATCCATCCACCCAGCCCTTCATCCATCTATCCACCCATCCATCTGTCGTCCTTCTTCCCTCCCATCCATCCTTCCAGCCTCCCACTTCCCCACCCTTGTGGTATCCATCTTTTCCAGTCATGGACATTACGGGCATCCTGACAGTTAAATAGGAGGGGGAGGCTGGAGAGGCAGCGACCACATCAGGTGGTATCCTGTATGTCCTGTCCCGCAAGAAGCCTGATGCTTGTTAGTGCAAGATTAAGGATAATCTTCAGGCTCTTCTCTGTGGTCCTGGGTGGTGTGTCTGGGCGCGTGTCCATGTTCCTGCTGTGAGCTTGTCCAGCTTCTCCTTGCCTTCCTTCCCCTGCCCACTCCACAGCAAGCCCCGGGGGAGAGGCTGCACCATGCCACAGACTGGCAGAGTTTGCGAACGCCTTTCTGTGGCTCTAAGCTTGCCTGATAGCACCAGCCCCTTGGGAGAGATAAAGTAATTGGGGGCTTTAGTTGGAAGGCCCTTCTCAGGGGCCTCTCCTGGGGAAGTCAAAGGAAGGACAGGTCCTTGTGGACAGCACAGAAACAGAGAACATGAAAGCTGAATGGCCTCGTGGGCTCCTGAGAGTGTGGGGAACAGAAGCGCCTGAGCTGCGCCCACGGCTACCTCCTGGTCTCCTCTCGCACCTGCTCTGTGGATGCGCGGCTTCCGCTCCTGCATGGCTGTGACTTCTCTGTCCCTGTCTGTGTCTCTCTCAAGCTCCATCTCCCTGAGGAAGAACATTGGTCACCAGCCACTAGAGAGGCCTAGCAGGGCCCAGCCCTTGTCCCGGGCCACTTCCAGCCTCTGGCCACTCCATAGAGGGCCTGTCAGTGGGAGCACAGACCGTCGAGCCCCTCAGGGGACCACACTGTGCCAGGCATTCTGGTAGAGAAGGGTGGGCGGGGCATTGCTGGCGCCCAGAGATGCCAGCCCCACTGGTGGTGCCTTTGACATGGGTCTTGTCCATGTGAGCAAGATAGCGCTTCTGTGCCTCTGAGCGTGGCTGGGTGATGCTGTGGTTGTGACAGTGATGTGCCAGCCATAACTGGCATGGGGAATGCAGGTGGAGTGAGGGGTGGGGGCCGGGTAATGTGATGAGTGGTTCGATGACAGCTGGTGGCCGCATCATGCTGGCTGTGAGTTGGACAGTGTTGTGCAGCAGGGGCTAGGCATGGCGAGGGCCGCTGTGGGTTATGTGGGCAAGATGAGAGAGTGGCCCTGGGGATGCCCAGGGAGGATGGACGGGGTGGGCTATTGGGAACCACCTGGCTTTGTCCCCAGCCACCAAGCGTCCTGAGGAAGTGTGCGGGCCCACACAGTTCCGATGCGTCTCTACCAACATGTGCATCCCAGCCAGCTTCCACTGTGACGAGGAGAGCGACTGTCCTGACCGGAGCGACGAGTTTGGCTGCAGTGAGCAGGGAGCTGGGGTCGAGATGCGGGCCCTGGGCTGGGTTCTAGGGGTTCTGTCCACAGCCTCAGCCTCCACCCTTCTCCCTCCTAGCCCCTCGGAGCCCTCCTTCCGCTCCTCCTTCCTTTGCCCCCGACCCCTCACTCCTGCCCTGGTCTCCTCAGTGCCCCCCCAGGTGGTGACACCTCCCCGGGAGTCCATCCAGGCTTCCCGGGGCCAGACAGTGACCTTCACCTGCGTGGCCATTGGCGTCCCCACCCCCATCATCAATTGGAGGCTCAACTGGGGCCACATCCCCTCTCATCCCAGGTGCGGCTCTGGGCCCAGGTGGTGGGGTGGGAATGAGGGGCAGCTGGTCCAGAGCCCTAGGCCAGATCCTACCACTTGTCTTGGGGCTCACCAGGGTGACAGTGACCAGCGAGGGTGGCCGTGGCACACTGATCATCCGTGATGTGAAGGAGTCAGACCAGGGTGCCTACACCTGTGAGGCCATGAACGCCCGGGGCATGGTGTTTGGCATTCCTGACGGTGTCCTTGAGCTCGTCCCACAACGAGGTACTGCCGGAGGGCAGGTGTCACCGGGTGTGGGGGCAGAGCCGGGCTGCCCACCACAGCCGGCTGCAGCCCCCGCCCATGCCGCCCAGCAGGCCCCTGCCCTGACGGCCACTTCTACCTGGAGCACAGCGCCGCCTGCCTGCCCTGCTTCTGCTTTGGCATCACCAGCGTGTGCCAGAGCACCCGCCGCTTCCGGGACCAGATCAGGCTGCGCTTTGACCAACCCGATGACTTCAAGGGTGCGTTGGCGGGCGGGTGAGCGCTGCGGGAGGTGGGAGGTGGGTACCTCTGTACCCAGGGGGCACAGAGGATAGATGCGGACAGAGGGGGCCAGGTTTCGGGAAGGAATGTGAGTCGCTGAAGAAACACTGAGCCCTGTCAAAAAAGCATTTCGGGGGGAAAACCAAGATGTTTAGGAAGAGCCAAATCCCCCCTTGCTACCTACCTGCTTCAGGTTACGGCGAGGACGGGCCCTGGAGCCAGCTTCCAGCTTCAGATCCTGACGTGGACGCTGTCCACCTGTGTCCTGGGTCAAGTTACCCACTATCTCGTGTCTGTTTCGTCATCTGTAAAGTCGGGGGGTGTGGAATAATAACTACCTCCTAGGGGTTGGTAAGGACTTAGTGGAGTCACGTATGTAAGCCTCTCAGAATTGTGCTCAGCGCATTTTCAGCACCCAGGAGGTATTTGCTAACGTCACAGTCATTGTCCTCATTCTGAGAGACAGAGGTGCCAGTGTACCCAGATTATAGGAGCCCAGGCTTTGGCATCTCCTTGGCCTGAGGGTGGCCTCCAGCTATACCACTTACTGCCGCTGTGTCTTTGGGCAAGTCTCTTGGCCTCCCTGGTCCTATTTTCCCAAAGATAGAGGCAGGCAGATGGACTCAGTTCTTTCTGGCACTGAGAGGCAGAATGGCAGGATGGCTGAGGGCATGAGCCCAGGCACTGCCTGGACTGGGGCTCAGGTCCCAGCTCTGTCGTTTTCCACGTGGCATCAAGCAGCCCTCACCCTGCTGAGTCTCACTTCTTCGTTGCAGAGGATTAAATGCATGTAGAGAGTTAGCTCCAAAGCACTCAACACATTTTATGCCCTTTTGTTGGTTGAGGAACCTAAAAATGACTTGTATAAAACTTAGTTACCTGGCCAGGCATGGTGGCTTATGCCTGTAATCCAAGTACTTTGGGAGGCTGGGGAGGGAGGATTGCTTGTGGCCAGGAGTTCAAGACCAGCCTGGGTAACACAGAGAGACCCCATCTCTACAAATAATTAAAAACAAAAAATCTAGCCAGGCATGGTGGCTTGCACCTGTAGTCCCAGCTACTTGAGAGGCTGAGGCAGGAGGATCTGTTGAGCCTAGGAGGTTGAGGCTGCAGTGAGCCATGATCACACCATTGCACTCCAGCCTGGACAACAGAGTGAGACCCCATCCCTAAAAACAAAACAAAACTTAGTTACTTCCCAAAGTTGTCCCCCAGTATATTTACAATGCTAATGGCCGTGGCCACCATTTGGTGAGCAGGCAGTTGGCCCTGTGGCTTGACGTGACAGTCAACGAACTGCCAAAAACCCTTGCAAGGTCAGGGCTGATTTCACAGTTTTAAGATGAGAGCCCCAGGGCTCTGAGATGTTGTGGGGCTTCCCTGGGTTCACACAGCAGTTTAGAGGGGGAGCTGAACCCAGGGCTGTCTGATTGGAATCTGGGTGGTCCAGGGGAGGGAGTGGTGGGAATTCCAGGGTGAGCAGGTGGCCTGTGTGTGGATGGTGACCAGGAGGGAGGAGGCCTGAAGACATCCCCGGAAGGCAGGGAGGAAAGAGGATTGAGTAACCTAGACCCGGGGCTGTGCTCGGTCATTCTGCGGGTGAGGAGCTGGATTCCCCTGTGGTTGCAGGGGGTTAATTCAGGATGAGGGGGAGAAGCTATTGGCAGACAGATGTGGACTCTGTATAAGGAAGAACTTGCTAAGAGTCAAAGTTGTCCAGAGCCGGGAGGGACGGCCTTTGGAGGTTGTACGCTCTCCATCCATGACGGCTGCACCATCCAATGTGGCAGTCACTGGCCCTGTGTGGCTCTTTAAATTGAAATACAATGATTCATTCCTGAGCAGCACAAGACATGTCTCCAGTGCTCAGTGGCCACATGTTGCTGGTACCATTACTTTTAATGGCAAAACCAAACCAGCAATTACTTTTTCACCAACCTAACAGCTACCGTAATGAAGAGTGTAGGTACAGGATATTTTCACTCCACCGAAAGTTCTCTAGGATGGAGCTGTCCTAGAGATCTGGGAGGATGCTGTCAAGGGAATTCCCATGTAGGGTGACTGTGTGTGTGTGTGTGTGTGTGTGTGTGTGTGTGTGTGTGTGTACATAGAAGAGGGTTGGACTAGACGACCCATCATAACAACAGCAACAATAAGAGCTAGCCATTTTATATCAATGTGCTCATTTTAGCTTATACCTCTAGGAGGCAGGCTACTTTAAGCACCATCTTACAGATAAGGAAACTGAGGCCCTTGCCCAGGCTTACAACACACCTGGACTTGGTCTCCTGTTCCTCAGCCCTGTGTAGCTCTCCTGCCTGCAGGGTTGTTCCAGCCCTGAAAGTCTGTGGGTCTCTTAGCAAGAAAGACCCTGAGAAGTCTGGCTGCAAAGAATCCCCTTGTCCTTTCTTTACCCTGTGGTTCCCAAATGGTTCCCAGCTATCATTCCATGGCATTGACTTTCCCAGAGCATGCTTTGGGAAATGCTGCTCCAGTATTTGGGAAGGAGGAAAAAACTGCATTTTCTTTTTCTTTTCTTTCTTTTTTTTTTTTTTTTTTTTTTGAGACAGAGTCTTGCTCTGTCACCCAAGCTGGAGTACACTGGTGTGATCTCAGCTCGCTGCAGCCTCCGCCTCCCGGGTTCAAGTGATTCTGCTGTCTCAGCCTCCTGAGTAGCTGGGACTACAGGCGTGCACCACCATGCCTGTCTAGTTTTTTTATTTTTAGTAGAGACGAGGTTTCACCATGTTGGGAAGGCTGGTCATGAACTCCTGGCCTCAAGTGATCTGCCCGCCTCAGCCTCTCAAAGTGCTGGCATTATAGGCGTGAGCCACCACACCCGGCAAAAAACTGCATTTTCTTCACTTTGGAAGAGAGATCAAAGTTTTCTCGAAATCAAATTTCCACTAGAACTTTCCCACCTTTCTGGATTGCTGCCCCTCAAGATGGGTGTATCAGGCAGGCCCAGGCTGCAGCCCTCAGCCTCCCCCTTGCCACCCACAGGTGTGAATGTGACAATGCCTGCGCAGCCCGGCACGCCACCCCTCTCCTCCACGCAGCTGCAGATCGACCCATCCCTGCACGAGTTCCAGCTAGTCGACCTGTCCCGCCGCTTCCTCGTCCACGACTCCTTCTGGGCTCTGCCTGAACAGTTCCTGGGCAACAAGGTGAGGGGCCTGGGCTGCCACCCTGGGTGGGGAAAGAATTCCTGTGGGCTCTGCTCCTTCTGCAGTTGGTGGACAACAAGGCAGACTTGGAGGGAAAGGTGTTACCATGCCCCGATGCAGCCCCCTGTGGCAGCGGCTCATCCATTCAGGGCAGGACCTCTCCCCTGCACTGTTGGCTTGGGAAGAAGAGCTGGCCTCCCCTCCTCCCGGGAGCCCTCCCTGACCACTCCCCCATGCCTGGGCTGGGTTCTGTGCCTCCGCACTGGCTTCCCTGGGTACCCTGTGCACTGCATGATTCCACACCCTGCCATGGACCAAACACCCTAGAGTCAGGGCCTGAGTCTCGCCCATCTCGGTTTCCCTGTGCCTAGCTCAGTGCCTGGCACACAGTAAGTCTCAGGTAGGCAGAGTGAGGGAGGAGCTGGAAGACTATAGGCACCTCATAGGCACGAGGTGTCAAGTGTGCCCACAGCTGCCCGTGCTGATCCACCCTGTTGTGCCAGGTGGACTCCTATGGCGGCTCCCTGCGTTACAACGTGCGCTACGAGTTGGCCCGTGGCATGCTGGAGCCAGTGCAGCGGCCGGACGTGGTCCTCATGGGTGCCGGGTACCGCCTCCTCTCCCGAGGCCACACACCCACCCAACCTGGTGCTCTGAACCAGCGCCAGGTCCAGTTCTCTGAGGTGGGTGGCGCCTGAGCCCTTAGGGCTGGGAGCAAAGGGGGATTTAGGCTGGGTAGGCACTGATGTGTGACCCCTGCCACCTTCACCCATACCCAGGAGCACTGGGTCCATGAGTCTGGCCGGCCGGTGCAGCGCGCGGAGCTGCTGCAGGTGCTGCAGAGCCTGGAGGCCGTGCTCATCCAGACCGTGTACAACACCAAGATGGCCAGCGTGGGACTTAGCGACATCGCCATGGATACCACCGTCACCCATGCCACCAGCCATGGCCGTGCCCACAGTGTGGAGGAGTGCAGGTGCCTGAGCCGGCAGGGCTGGGAACCACAGAGACCCTAGCAAGGATAGAGGAGAAACGGCAGGGCCTCACCGTCCTTGCAGCGACTCTTTTGGTCCTGTCCCCACAGATGCCCCATTGGCTATTCTGGCTTGTCCTGCGAGAGCTGTGATGCCCACTTCACTCGGGTGCCTGGTGGGCCCTACCTGGGCACCTGCTCTGGTTGCAATTGCAATGGCCATGCCAGCTCCTGTGACCCTGTGTATGGCCACTGCCTGGTGAGTAGTGCCAGCAGACACTTGAACACTAAAATAGGAGAAGGGACAATGTGTGAGATTCCCTGTGTTCATGAGCTCAGCACAAGCCTCCAGAATGACTGTCATGACTGCCAGATGAACTATCATGACCTCTGGATGCAATAACAGAAATATAGGTCAGGCGCAGTGGCTCATGCCTGTAATCCCAGCACTTTGGGAAGCCTAGATGGGTGGATCACTTGAGGTCAGGAGTTTGAGACCAGCCTGGCCAACATGGTGAAACCCCATTTCTACTAAAAATACAAAAATTAGCCAGGCGTGGTGGCGTACGCCTGTAATCCCAGCTACTCAGGAGGCTGAGGCAGGAAAATCGCTTGAACCCGGGAGGTGGAGGTTACAGTAGGCCAAGACCGTGCCCCTGCACTCCAGCCTGGGCAACAGAGCAAGACTCAGTCTCAGAAAAAAAAAACAACCCAGAGATACAGCATCCAGACAAGGGAGGTGTTGGCCCTCCTCTCCACCCTCATCAGACTAATCCTGGAGAGTGCCAAATGAAGAAGCATGGCCTGCAGAGGGCAACTCTAGGGGGAAGAGCCCTTGGGGTGGGACCTTATTTCTTAGGAATAGTGGCGAGAGCTGGGATTGTGGAGCTGACAGAAGAAAAGGCTCAAGCAGGGCAGCATTGTCATCTCCAAATCCCTGCAAAGGTGTCGGGTAGAAGAAACAGACTCTGGAGAGCAGAACTGGCCAGTGGGTGCAGATTGGAAGAGGGTGGCAGGTTTAGGTCAATAAAAAGCAGGCATTTGGAACCATCTATGGGACAGGCTGCCGTGTAAGATGATGAGCTCCCCATCATCTATAAGTGGTTGCAGTTGATGCTCCCCTGTCTGCAAAGCTGTGCCTCCAGCGTGATGGGGAGGCTGAGCTAGACAGCCTCCAAGGTCCCCCGCAGCATCTGGCCCAGTTCTGCTCTAGAAGTTGAGCCATACCCTCCTCCTTCTTCTAGAATTGCCAGCACAACACGGAGGGGCCACAGTGCAACAAGTGCAAGGCTGGCTTCTTTGGGGACGCCATGAAGGCCACGGCCACTTCCTGCCGGCCCTGCCCTTGCCCATACATCGATGCCTCCCGCAGGTCAGCCCCAGCTCCGGGTCAGGGGGGGTTTGGCTGGGGACAGTGCAACAGGCCAGAGAATATTCTGGGCAGGGAGGCAGGAGACTTGGATTCAGATCTCTACCTGATCACTAAGTTATCCCATGCTCCTGGACCTCTCTAGGCCTCTGTTTCCTTTTCTGTATAATGGGCCCCCTGACTTCCTACAGTTGCTGTGAGGCTGCCGGGCAGGGAGATGGCGTCATGCCTCGTGGCACACTGTGTCTGTGTAGACAGCAGTCATTTCCCAGGGTGGGAGGAGAAAGCCTGACCCCAGCCCTGCCCCATGCCCTGTCCACTTGATACCTGCAGATTCTCAGACACTTGCTTCCTGGACACGGATGGCCAAGCCACATGTGACGCCTGTGCCCCAGGCTACACTGGCCGCCGCTGTGAGAGGTGAGGGAGAGCCTTGGGGGCTGCAGGAAGGGGGCTCCTGGGTGGGGTCATGGAAGTGCTGATGGCGGCCCCCTCTCTCCCCTAGCTGTGCCCCCGGATACGAGGGCAACCCCATCCAGCCCGGCGGGAAGTGCAGGCCCGTCAGTGAGTATGGCTGCCACCATCCCCTGACACCCACCTCCCAACCCAACCTGGGCTGCACACCAGGCACCCTCCCTCCCTGCCCCAGCTCATGAACCTTGGGGAGCCACTGTTCCTCTATCTGCCCGGACCACGTATATCCCATTCCCACCTGCCCTGCCAACACTCGTTTTGTGTCCCAGACCAGGAGATTGTGCGCTGTGACGAGCGTGGCAGCATGGGGACCTCCGGGGAGGCCTGCCGCTGTAAGGTACGCGTGCCATCTGCCACCCACCCAGGGGCCTTGGGCCCAGCACCACAGCTGGGAGGAGGAAGAAGGAAGCTCCGTCCTCTCCATAGATCCTTGGCCAGTGGGTGGTAACCCAGTCAGAGGCTGGTGGACCTGGCCCACCGGCCTTCCGTACCAGGACAGGTGGCCTGGCGTTGGGAAGGAGCACTGGTTAGGGAGTCAGGTGACCACAGTTCAAGTCCCAGTCATTCTTTATGCAGCCTTTGTATCTGCATTGTACCTTTGCTTTTGCCATACTTTGTCCATTGTCACATTGATACAATGATATAGATATTAGTGTCCCCAATTTGTGAATGAGGAAATGGAGGCTCAGAGAAGGGAGGTCACTTGCGTTAGGAATGGGAGCATCGGCCGGGCGCAGTGGCTCACGCCTGTAATCCCAGCACTTTGGGAGGCTGAGGTGGGTGGATCACTTGAGGTCAGGAGTTCAAGACCAGCCTGGCCAACATGGTGAAACCCCATCTCTACTAAAAATGCAAAAATTAGCCAGGCGTGGTGGCGGGCGCCTATAATCCCAGCTACTCAGGAGGCTGAGGCAGGAGAATCACTTGAACCTGGGAAGCAGGGTTGCAGTGAGCTGAGACCGCACCACTGTACTCCATTGTAGGCAACAAGACTGAAACTCCGTCTCAAAAAAAAAAAAAAAAAAAGAATGTGAGTATCAAGTGTCGGTGTAAAAAAGAATGGATGGATTCTGGAGTCAGGCACTCCTGGTCTTAAATCCCAGAGTGGATGGGCAAGCTGAGTAACTTTGTGCAAGTCATTTCACATCCCTGAGCCTCTGTTTCCTCATGTGAAGGATGAAGGTATCACCTACCTCTCAAGGTCCTTAGGGGAGTTAAATGAGGTGATGTCGAATGGAAAGCAGAACAGTGCGTGAAACACTCCATAAATAGAAGCAGCAATTATTTCAATCAAGTCGCTGTATTTCAAGTCTAAATTTATTGGTGAACCCCCTGGCAGCCAAAGAGAAAAGGGAAAAATGCTTGCCTAAGTGCTTGTTAAGTGGGAATTACTATTCAGATGGCAATGACGCCTCATACATGTGCTCTTTCTTTTCTTTTCTTTTCTTTTTTTTTTTTTTTTTGAGATGGAGTCTCGCTCCCATCGCGTAGGCTGGATTGCAGTGGCGCGATCTCGGCTCACTGCAACCTCCACCTCCCGGTTTCAAACAATTCTCCTTCCTCAGCCTCCTGAGTAGCTGGGATTACAGCTGTGTGCCACCACGCCAGGCTAATTTTTGTATTTTTAATAGAGACAGGGTTTTGCCATGTTGGCCAGGCTGGTCTTGAACTCCTGACCTGAGGTGATCCACCCGCCTTGGCCTCCCAAAGTGCTGGGATTACAGGCGTGAGCCACCGCGCCCAGCCACATGTGCTCTTTCAGTGGCTCCCCTGGGTCTTGGGTTCTTATCTGGACTGAGGGTGGATTCGGCCAGAGCTCCAGGCAGCCTCTCCCATGGGCTGTCCTTCAGCTCCAACTCTGTGCCTGCAGAACAATGTGGTGGGGCGCTTGTGCAATGAATGTGCTGACGGCTCTTTCCACCTGAGTACCCGAAACCCCGATGGCTGCCTCAAGTGCTTCTGCATGGGTGTCAGTCGCCACTGCACCAGCTCTTCATGGAGCCGTGCCCAGGTACCTCTGCAAGGTGGGCGGGCAGGACCGCCAAGCCCTGGGCCGGATGGACCAAGCGCCAGTCCCAGGCCACGGCCCCCATCCCAGCCCTTTCTCCTCCTCCCAGTTGCATGGGGCCTCTGAGGAGCCTGGTCACTTCAGCCTGACCAACGCCGCAAGCACCCACACCACCAACGAGGGCATCTTCTCCCCCACGCCCGGGGAACTGGGATTCTCCTCCTTCCACAGACTCTTATCTGGACCCTACTTCTGGAGCCTCCCTTCACGCTTCCTGGGGGACAAGGTGGGTAGTGGGTGGAAAGGCAAAGGAAACTCCAGGCAGCAGGAACAGCGCAGGCAAAGGCTTGGAGGCGGGAGGGTCGTGGTGCCTTGGGAGAATAGTGAGATACACTGCATGGAAAAGGTGGCTGGAGCAGTGACAGGGCCCGAATTCAGGCCTCCGCAAGCTCCTGTCTAACCCTGGTCCCAGGTGACCTCCTATGGAGGAGAGCTGCGCTTCACAGTGACCCAGAGGTCCCAGCCGGGCTCCACACCCCTGCACGGGCAGCCGTTGGTGGTGCTGCAAGGTAACAACATCATCCTAGAGCACCATGTGGCCCAGGAGCCCAGCCCCGGCCAGCCCAGCACCTTCATTGTGCCTTTCCGGGAGGTGAGCAATACTGTCCCCTGGGGGTAGGGGTGCGGGCAGGCCCTTGCTCCTGCCTCTCCGGCATTCAATACTCCAGGACGTCAGGGGCTGAGCACATGTGTCCTCTCCTTGGCAGCAAGCATGGCAGCGGCCCGATGGGCAGCCAGCCACACGGGAGCACCTGCTGATGGCACTGGCAGGCATCGACACCCTCCTGATCCGAGCATCCTACGCCCAGCAGCCCGCTGAGAGCAGGTGTCTGGAGCCGGGGCAGGAGGACCAGCATGGGCTTGGGGAGGGGCTCCATCTAAGCGGTGCAGTACAGCACAGCCACTTACAGACTGTGTGACCCTTTTGTGCCTCACTTTCCCTGTCTGTAAAACGGAGAGTCTTAACAATGTCTCCCATACAGGCTGGTCTGGGGCCAGGCTCCCTAGAAAGAAGCCTGAGACGGGGATTGGGGTGCATGTGATTCACAAGGAGAGGGACGCAGGAGGGGGGAGGGGCCATGCAGGGATATGGTTTCAGGTCAAGTCTAGCCCCAGCCTCAGCCCACAGGGAGCTCTGGAGAGTCATTCGCCGGAGAGTGATCGTTCTTTCAGGCCCGTGGGCTCTTGTAGCCTGTATCAGCCTGTCATTGGGGACCCCAGGGGAACGAGGTGGTATAACCTCTCCAGGTGAGGAAGGGTGATGGTTTGGAGTAAGTTGCAGGTAACAGCTGTTTGCCACGGTCCTCGCAGCCTCTGGAGATCTGGACAGGGCCCCAGCAGCACTGTGACAGGGCTGTCGGGAGGACTAATAAGACCCTGCCAGTGGAGGACTCCAGGCGTGCCTGGCACAGAGCCAGCACTCCTATTCACGCTGGGTCTTGTCACGCCCAGGGTCTCTGGCATCAGCATGGACGTGGCTGTGCCCGAGGAAACCGGCCAGGACCCCGCGCTGGAAGTGGAACAGTGCTCCTGCCCACCCGGGTACCGTGGGCCGTCCTGCCAGGTGAGTCCTGGGCCCCACGCCAGCCCAGCCAGCCCCCTCCATGGTGCTTCCCGCTCCTTCTCCATGAGCCCTCCACACCTCCCCAGCCCTGGCCATCCAGTGCCCCTACCTGAATGGGCCGTGTTCGGAAGTCCCTCCCACTGCCATCTTTCTGCCCCCAGGACTGTGACACAGGCTACACACGCACGCCCAGTGGCCTCTACCTGGGTACCTGTGAACGCTGCAGCTGCCATGGCCACTCAGAGGCCTGCGAGCCAGAAACAGGTGCCTGCCAGGTAAGTCCCGCCCTCCTTCCGCCCACCCCAGCAATCTGTGGCCTCTGGAGGCCCAGCCTCAACTCACATCCTGCTCCTCCAGGGCTGCCAGCATCACACGGAGGGCCCTCGGTGTGAGCAGTGCCAGCCAGGATACTACGGGGACGCCCAGCGGGGGACACCACAGGACTGCCAGCTGTGCCCCTGCTACGGAGACCCTGCTGCCGGCCAGTGCGTCCAGTCCCTGCCTGCACCTGCCCTTCCCTGAAATGTCTACCACCCGCTCCCACACCCGCTTCATCCAGGGCCCTTCTGAGAGGCAGTGGTTAAATCCTGGCCTTACTGCCTGCTCAGTGTCACTTGGTGTGAGATACACTTCACTTTCAGGGCCTCAGCTGCCTCATCTGTGAAATGGGGTAGTCCACCCTCCTCAGCCCCTTGTGTGAGAGTTGAATGAGGCTATGCATGTGGAACTCTTAGCACAGTGCCAGGCATGCAGTGGCACTGAGGACACATGAGTTCACATGCCTGTTCTTCCCCTCCCCTCTCCCCTGGTCCTGAAGGAGGATCGGGGGAGAGGAAGGAGCCACTGCGTTCCTGACTAGAAATCTGCCCCCACACTCAGGGCTGCCCACACTTGTTTTCTGGACACAGACGGCCACCCCACCTGTGATGCGTGCTCCCCAGGCCACAGTGGGCGTCACTGTGAGAGGTGAGGCAGGGGGTGGAGAGGGTGGGGGGATGCGCACAGGGGGTGTCCCTGGAATCCTCAGGCAGGGCCCAGCGCTCCCAACCCAGAGGAATCAGGGATGCCTCTCGCTCTTAACCTCGCACAGGCCCCAGAAGACAGTCAGCTCCCCTCCTCGGGAGACTCAACCTCTAGCCCAGAATTCAAGACCCTCAGACACACATCCTAGCCTGCGGTTCACCTTCAGCCCCCTGGCCCCCTGCCCCAGCCAGGCCAGAGTCTTCCCACAAAACCCCTGCTTCTTTCTGAAACTCCTGGGTTCCTACCTGCCCCAATTCACTGGCTGTGCGGTCCAGGGCACGTCCCTGCTCTTCTCTGCCCAGTTTCCCCGTAACATGGGCGAGTCAGGCTCTTCTTTTCTTCCAGTGCATGAGGCCATTGAATTCAATATGGGGCCCTCAGCCCAGCCCTGGGGTTCTGCTTCCCTTCATCCAAAATTCATCAGAGGCTTTTTCTCTCTGCAGGTGCGCCCCTGGCTACTATGGCAACCCCAGCCAGGGCCAGCCATGCCAGAGTGAGTAGGATTGGGGAGGTCATTGGGGTCGGGTTACCCAGAGTCCCTAGGGCGGAGCTAGGACAGAAGCCTTTACTCCCCTTTGGCTTTGCCTGTCCGAGCCTGTTTCTTCATCTGTAAAATGGGGATAGGAGAAGGCCCCACCACCTCCGAGGGCTGTCGTGAGAGTGTTGAGTACTCACATCAGAAATCAGAGCTCCCGCTCAGTGGTGAGCAGAGTGGAGGGAAGAGGGGTGCTGGGTGGCGGGTTTGGGGCTCCAGCCATGGCTTTCTTCCACCTCAGGAGACAGCCAGGTGCCAGGGCCCATAGGCTGCAACTGTGACCCCCAAGGCAGCGTCAGCAGCCAGTGTGATGCTGCTGGTCAGTGCCAGTGCAAGGTCAGTCCGAATCCCTGTCCCTGCGGGGCCTGCTCTGCCCCGCTGCCCAGACCCTGCGGGGAAATCAGGCAGCATCTGGTGGAAGCCGAGACCTGGGCATGGGGGGCAGGGCATGGGGGACAGGGCAGGGGCTGCCCGGGGCTGCTGGAAGTGGCCAGGGAGGCTGGCCTCAGGCTGCTGGGGGTGCAGGAGACCCACTGAGTCCCCTGCCTGCCTCCTTCCATCCGTCTACCCAGGCCCAGGTGGAAGGCCTCACTTGCAGCCACTGCCGGCCCCACCACTTCCACCTGAGTGCCAGCAACCCAGACGGCTGCCTGCCCTGCTTCTGTATGGGCATCACCCAGCAGTGCGCCAGCTCTGCCTACACACGCCACCTGGTGAGAGCCTGTGCTGCCCAGCCCCAGGCGGTGTTGCCACCTGCTGCCTGTTACTGTCCATCTGAGCACTGAGCCCAGCGACCCTCATCCCCGCCTCAGTACCCTCACATGCCCCCATTATTTCTCTCGCAGTCCTGATCTCAACAGGACCCCATTCCGCACCTTAACACCCTCCCGTGCCCCATCCCCCACCAAGGCACCCCGGTGCTCAGGCTGACGCCCCCTCCTTTTTCCCCTGCCAGATCTCCACCCACTTTGCCCCTGGGGACTTCCAAGGCTTTGCCCTGGTGAACCCACAGCGAAACAGCCGCCTGACAGGAGAATTCACTGTGGAACCCGTGCCCGAGGGTGCCCAGCTCTCTTTTGGCAACTTTGCCCAACTCGGCCATGAGTCCTTCTACTGGCAGCTGCCGGAGACATACCAGGGAGACAAGGTGGGCCCCAGCCAAGCACCAGGGTCAGCCGTGACTCAGACATGAGTTCACCTCTGCGCCGTCTCTCAGCAGGCAGGCACCTGCCACCTGCATGGCCATATCGTGGTTAGGCACGTGGCTTTTGCAGTCCCATAGACATTGGTCTGAACCCCAGCTCTGCCGCTTGCCAGCCAGACACCATTTGATAAACCTCAACTTCATGGTGGCTGAGGGGATTGGAGATCGTGCCTGGCACATAATAAGTGCTCAGCTGTTCATGACTTTTAGCTTTCATGCAGTTATTCTACAAACAGATCTGGGAGAGGCCGGGAAATATAAAGACAAGTGAGACACAGTTTCAGTGTCATTCACGTGCCCGCTCCGACTTCACTCATCCACACTGCTGGCTCTGTGCTTGTGTTGGACACAGTAATTCTCATGATAGGTCATGTGTGTTGAGCTCTCACTATGTGCTAGGCAGCATCCTTTACAAATCACAAATCACAACTGTGTGAGACAGGTCCTGCTACTGCCCCATTTCATAAATAAGGCAAGAGGGGCTTGGTAACTTACCCAAAGCCCCGCAGCTGGGAGGTGGGAATGCCGGGATCCAAACCCAGGTCAGAGGCTGCCCTTCAAATGCTCTGCCAAAGGCCAGAGCCCACACCTGTAATTCCAGCACTTTGGAAGGCTGAGGCGGGAGGACCACTTGAGCTCAGGAGTTTGAGACCAGCCTGGGCAATGTGACGAAACCCCGTCTCTACAAAAAGTACAAAAAATTAGCTGGGCGTGTTGGTGCATGCCTGTAGTCCCAGCTATTTAGGGAGGCTGAGGTGGGAGGATCGCTGGTACCCAGGATGGGGAGGTTGCAGTGAGCCATAATTGCACCATTGCACTCCAGCCTGGGTGACAGAGTAAGACCCTGTCTCAAAAAAAAAAAAAAAAAAACAAATACTCTGCCAGTCAGAGGTGAACCTGTCTTTGCTACTCCAGAACAGGGTCTGGTGGAAAGGTGGTGATGATGGTGGTGGCGATGGTGTGATGGTGTTGTGGGGGGCAGGGGCTCAGGGGTGGGCTCTGGGACAACCTGCCCAAATGTGTTCTTGAGCAGCACGGGCATCCGGTGGCACCCACGCTCTGGGGTTGGGGTTGCCCTATCCCTGTTCGTTGGACACAGCCAGGTACTCCAGGCTTCTCCCGGGGCTGGCTGCCTTCTGGTCCCTTCTCCCCTCTCCCTTCTGGGGTTCGCTATCTCCTGGCCTCCCTGCTGCCCTGTCCTGCAATTCTCAGACCTATCTCTGTCTCCTGTCCTGGCATTTCCCTGCGCCCCACAGGGGGAGGCGTACTTTGCGCGGATGCGCCGGGCTCACCAGGTAGGCCCAGGACGTGCGTGGTGTGAAGTTGGTGTGGTGGGGCGTGGTGCCTTCTCGGGTGCTCCCAGCCCTGCGTGGGGAGATGCGCAGTGCCCAAGGCATTGGGGGTCTGCATGAATCCAGGCGGTGTCCCATGACCCCAGGGTTGGAGCCAGGAGGGTATGTGCCTCACCTTGCCTCACCTGCTGTGTGGTCTGGTCCTGGTGCCAACTGTCTGAAGTCAGAATGGCAACTGAGGTAGCAAGGAGACTAACCCGATGCTAATCCACATGACTGTATCTAGCCCCCCGGGTTCCCCTGGCCTTGCCTCTCAAGCAACCACCATGAACCCTCTGTGTGCATGTGGGCGGCCTGGAGTTAACCCTTGGGTGCCAGCCTGGAGAGGGGGGGCATGCATCTTTCTTCCTAATTAGTGTGGGCCTTTCTGACTACCATGTCCGTGGGTAGAGGACCCTGCCCATGGCTCTAGCTCCAGGACTTTGGGAGGTCTTAGCTCGCCTGCTCCCTCCATTTCATCAGAACCGCACATCCCTCTCAGAGGAGCAGTTGCGGGCAGCCGTGACAGCTGGGAGGATCCCAGAGCCCCCAGAGGGCAGGGACTGGGCACAGCGGGCATCACAGGTAACTGAGGACCTGGCTAGGACAGGTTGTACCTAGGGCCACAGCGAGGAGACCAGAGAGCTGAGTCCAGGCAGGCACCTGAGCGAAGACTCCAGCTTTCCTGGGCCATTTCCCCTATGCCAGGCCAGGCCCCAGCCTGATGCCTGGTCTGCTCTGGTGTCTCCCCTGGGAAACATTCCAGAACCATGAATGGCTTGGGCTGTTGCCAGGGCACACAAAGAGAGTCAGGCCGAGGAGCAACAACCCCGTCCAGATGCCCCTGGGGCTGCCTCCAGCACTTCTGCCCCTCCCTTGCTGGGCACCCTTTGTAGGGCTTCTCCCATCAGTCACGGCCCATAGGCAGCCAAACCCATCCCGGGATATCCCCGCCTAGCTCAGGAGGAACAAGAGGGCAGTGGGTACAAGGGCCAGAGTGCCAGGTATCAGCACTTGTGAGCAGACAGTGCAGAGCGGGTGGCTGGCTGGGCCCGTGGGGAGGTGAAGCCTCACGGACGTCCTTTCTGTCCCTCTCTGCTCCCTTCTGCCGCTCTTCGGCTCCTGGTCCCCCAGGTGGACGAGGCTCAGAGACGGATGGATGCTGAGATCTGGCAGCTCCTGTCCAGCTTTGCTGCCCAACCCCAACCCCCTCCCCAGGGGCTCTCTCCTCATCCCCAGCCTGCAGCTGCTCTGCGAGCAGCACCTCCTCCTTCTTCTTCCTCCTCCTCCTCCTCTTCCTCAGCTTCTCTGTCTTTCTCACCAGGCTCTCAGGTATGTGCCAAGGTGCCCATCAAGGGATCCCCACCCACCATGCTTTCTAGACTTCAGTCATTTCTGAACCAACTTCACCAATTTCTGTGAACTACTTGGACTATTATTTCTTTCCAATTTTCTCTTAAATCAATCATGTACCAACTCAGGCTGGTTACTCTCTTTCAAATACATATGAAAGGAGCCATCCCATTGAAATTGTTTACTGATGTGCTGTGTAAACGTTGGTCCACAAAAGAGACCCACCAGATGGGAGGAGAAGCCGACCCAGGCCACGCCCAGAGAGAGCAGCTGGGGACCTGGGCCGGGATTGGGAAGAAAGTCGTCCAAAGAGCAAGGCCAGGACCCGCACTGTCGGGTGGGAGTGGGGGGCTCTGTCTCTCTGCCCTGCCACCAGGCCTCCCTCCCATGACGGTCCACCCCTGCCGGAACCACCTCCGCCCTCCCACCCCCACCCCTGCTCCCCTCGGCTCTTACCACCTGCCCTTCCCTCCTAGTTCTCTCTCTCCTACGAAGGCTTCTCTCTGCTTCCTGGAAGCCTCTATTACTGGCAGCTGCCCCGGGCCTTCCTGGGGGACAAGGTAACAAGGATTTGGGGGGATTATAGGGGTGTCATAGAATCCCAAAATATCAGAGGGCCCTTTGTCAAGGCCCTTTATGACACAAATGGGGAGACCGAGGCTCACGGTGGGTAGAGACTTGCCTGGGGTCTCATGTTCAGGTCAGAGCACAGCTGAGACTGAACTCAGCTCTGCCCCTGTCCTTCAGCGGGCCCTGACCCCTGACCCCTGGCCCCTGACCCCTGTCAGAGGAGCTGTCTCGCCTGGGAGGGTTTCTCTAGTGCCTTTTCTCTGGGCTTCCTTGACCTTGTGTCTAGATGCTGGCCTAGTTTTTGGTACTTCACTCAGTCATTCAAGAAGCATTAATTATTTACTGTGTGCTGCGTCGTGTACAGGCCGAGTGGGCCCTGGCCTCCCAGAGCTCCCTGTCCATCCCATTATCATTCCTGTCACCATCAGTATCATTATTATTATCATCATGAGTGCTGGCATTGGCCTTAGATGAGTATTCATATTGCCTCTATTTTGTTCCAACAATTTCAAGTACCTCTTAAGAATACACATAGCAGGCTGGGCGTGGTGGCTCACACCTGTAATCCCAACACTTTGGGAGACTGGGGCAGGCGAACACCTGAGGTCAGGAGTTCGAGACCAGCCTGGCCAACATGGTGAAACCCTGTCTCTACTAAAATAACAAAAATTAGCTGGGCGTGGTGGCGGGTGCCTGTAATCTCAGCTACTTAGGAGACTGAGGCTGTAGAATTGCTTGAACCTGGGAGGCGGAGGTTGCAGTGAGCCTAGATCATGCCACTTCACTCCAGCCTGGGCAACAGAGCAAGACTCCATCTCAAAGAAAAAAAAAAAATTCAGCTTCCTGGCTGGGTGCGGTGGCTCATGCCTATAATCGCAGCACTTTGGGAGACTGGGGCAGGCAGAACACCTGAGGACAGGAGTTTGAGACCAGCCTGGCCAACATGGGGAAACCCTGTCTCTACTAAAAATACAAAAACTAGCCGGGTGTGTTGGCAGGCACCTGTAATCCTACTGCTTGGGAGGCTGAAGGGGGAGAATCACTTGAACCCGGGAGGCAGAGATTACAGTGAGCTGAGATTGCAGCACTGTACTCCAGCTGGGCAACAAGAGTGAAACTCCATCTCAAAAAACAAACAAAAAAAAGAATAGGCAGTCACAAGGTACATTCAGAGAAGTGAGACAGGGAGGTTGAGGGGTGAGGATAAGAAGCAATCTGCTGGAGCCGAGGGTGGAGCTGGAGTACTGCAGGGTTATCAAGCGTGATATGCATTCTCAAACTGTGTGGAGTACATCACCATTTGTGTCCTATATTACTTAATCCTCATGATACCCTTCAAAGTGGGTATTACTTTTACTTCCATTTCCATGTGAGGAAAGTAGGGCTCAGAGAGGTGAAGCGACTTGTCCAAGGCTGTATAGCCAGTAGAGCTAGAGTTTGAACCCAGGTCATTCAGACTGTGGAGTCTGCCGTTTTAATCACTATGCTGGATCTGGGTACAATGGCTCACACCTATAATCCCAGCACTTTGGGAGACTGAGGCTGAAAAATCGCTTCAGGCCAGGAGTTGAGACCAGCTTAAGCAACATAGCGAAATGCTGTCTCTAAAAAAATAAATCGGCCGGGCATGGTGGCTCATTCCTGTAATCCCAGCATTTTGGGAGGCTGAGGCAGGACAATCGCTTGAGTCCAGGAGTTTGAGACCAGCCTGAGCAACATAGGGAGACCCCATCTCTATTTAAAAAAAAAAAAAAGTGCCTGAGCAACATAGGGCGACCCCATCTCTATTTAAAAAAAAAAGGTGAAAAAAAAAATAAAAAATTTTTAAAAATCACTGTGCTGTACACACCTGCAACTTGCCAGAAAGTCAGTCCCAGAAATGGCTGTGAACTTTCTGGCATTCAAAGCAAGCAGGAAACCAGTTATTTTATGGTTATTTGGTTCCACTCCAAAATTCCTTACCATGCCTTGAGCTCATGGAGAATATCCCTGTAGCCATGTAGCCCAGGGCCGTGTGTGTAATCAGCAGGTGTTTGATAAATGCTGGTTAGCTGAGTGAACACACAAATGAACAAAGAGGTAGGCTTGATGCAGTTTGGTATTGAGATGAATGTCTGCCCTGGTGGCAGAGGAGAGAAAGCAAAGTCCTGTGGGACAGAGCTGGGGAGCCTCAGCTGTCCACGTGAAGGTCCTCTGCAGCAGAAGTAAGGACTCCCCAGTCATGAGCAACACAGTGCCCAAGTCCAGTGGGCTTGTCTGCAACAAAGAATCTATCGGCTCATGCAACTGCAGAGTCTAAGCATGTATGGTGTCAGGCATGGCCTTATCCAGGGGCTCATTAGGGCTTTATCTTGGTTCTCCAGCTTCTCATCTGACTGCAGAAGGGACTTTCTCTGGCCTGGTAGAAAGAGCATAAGTGCACGGGTTACTTGTCTATCCCTGATGGGGTGGCAAAGGGCAGTGGTAGGTTATGCAGATTGGCCAGGCCTGGCTCATGTCTCCACTATAGAGGAGGAGGGGATCAGGGCCCTCAGACCACATGGTCTGCATGTGCGGAGACAGTTGTTCTTTATAGAAAACCACGGTTTAGTTTCTAGAAAGCAGGAACTGGATACTGGGCAAACAAAAACCACCTGCCTAGGAGGCAAGGCCTCCGAGGGGCTGCCGTCAGCCCCACCCCCATGGCTGAGAACTTTTGAAGCTTCCGCAGCCTCCCCATGGTGGTCATTGTCATTACACTTGTCTGCCTTATGGGAAATTCCTGTAAATGAAAGCAGACCTGGAGTTTGTTCGCCGGCACCGTCAGGCAATGGGGAATAGAGAACCTTGCAGAGCAAAGAGGCTGCTCAGCATCATCACCACCATGTCTGGGGCTACAGAGGAACTGAGAAATGTCCTGTTTCCCAGGCAACCATGCACCCTGGCCTCTTGGTTTGGGCAGGGAGGGGGGTGGGGGAGTGTGGCACAGGTGCAAAAAGGCCGCCAGATGCTCCATCCCTCACCTATATGGTCCAACACTCACACCCCAAGGTCAGCCTGTGACCTCTGGGCTTGCCTCTTTGCAGGTGGCGGCCTACGGTGGGAAGTTGCGATACACCCTCTCCTACACAGCAGGCCCACAGGGCAGCCCACTCTCTGACCCCGATGTGCAGATCACGGTGAGCATTTGGACACCATGCTGGGTGGGCAGAAGGGCAGGATGGAAGCCAGGGGCACCCTCGGCATTTGTCCTTTGTCCTTTCCATCCAGCACTCAGTTTTCTGGCACAGGCTGGGGGAGTTAGGCCCATGCCCCCACATCCCTGCCTGGTTGGACACTACCCAAGCAGAGGATCCTGCTGCTGGGAGAAGGGGGCAGTGGGCATGTGCCTGACTCCTTTGGGCGCATGAGCTTGGGAGAGCAGAGAGGTGGGAGGCTGGGGGTTACAGAGAATCTAGGACTGGTGGAGGACACCCTGGCACCCCAGGGACCCCTCGGCTCCCCTTCCAATCCTGCTGGTGTCTTTCCAGGGCAACAACATCATGCTAGTGGCCTCCCAGCCAGCGCTGCAGGGCCCTGAGAGGAGGAGCTACGAGATCATGTTCCGAGAGGTAAGGGGCACCTGGCCATGCTGTGTCTAACCCCACCCCACCCTCCACCCTGACTCAGAGCCTGGCTTTGATACCCACCCTGTCTCTCGCTCCCCAACCTTCACCTGGCAGCCCTCAGTCAGTGCCTGTAAGGCAGGATTTGGGGGGTGGTAACTGTAGGAGCAGCCCACAAAGCCCACTGCCCCCGCCCACGTTGCCACCCCCAACCCAGGAATTCTGGCGCCGGCCCGATGGGCAGCCGGCCACACGCGAGCACCTCCTGATGGCACTGGCCGACCTGGATGAGCTCCTGATCCGGGCCACGTTCTCCTCCGTGCCGCTGGCGGCCAGCATCAGCGCAGTCAGCCTGGAGGTCGCCCAGCCGGGGCCCTCAAACAGACCCCGCGCCCTCGAGGTGGAGGAGTGCCGCTGCCCGCCAGGCTACATCGGTCTGTCCTGCCAGGTGAGTGTGTGGCCAGCTCCACCACCTCTGCACAGGCACAGAGGCATCAGCAAGCAAATCAGCCGGCGTCGCCGCAGCCTTGATTACCATCATAACTATAATGACCCCTGCATCTGGGCCCTGCATGTATTCCTCCCGACAGCCCTGAGTTACATATCATTATCCCCTTTAACAGGTAAAAAAATAGAGGTGCTGAGGGGTGAGTGTGTCCCAAGGGCACACGGCTAATGTGTGGCAGAAACTAATTTGAACCTGGGTCTGATTGACTCCAAAGCCTAGCATGTCCTAACCACTGGGCAGTGCAGCCTCACGTTTGGGCCACACTCTCCGGGGGTTAAAACCCAGTTCATGCCCTTGAGGGGGCCCACCAGAGACAGGGAGCCAATTCAGAAACACAGATTACTCCGGCCCAAAGCACAGCATAGAGATGCCTCCCAGAGGTGAACAGTGTGGACTGGGAGAGGGCCGTGGGTGGGAGGACAGACTGAGCAGAAGTGGGGAAGGAGGGGCGCCGGCCTGTGATGTTCCAGGGTCACCCCTGGGAGGACACTGGAGGGAGGGGTTCTGGGTCTGCTGGCTGTGGGTGGGGCACGTTGGGAACAGAGGCCAACCTTCCTCTCTGCCCCTAGGACTGTGCCCCCGGCTACACGCGCACCGGGAGTGGGCTCTACCTCGGCCACTGCGAGCTATGTGAATGCAATGGCCACTCAGACCTGTGCCACCCAGAGACTGGGGCCTGCTCGGTGAGCTGCAAGCGAGGCCAGGACAGGGGGTCAGCTCAGCTGGGCCTGGGTGGGGGACCAGGGCTGGACAAGGCAGGCATCAATCCAGGGGATCAGGATCATGGGGCATGGCCTGTGGTTCAAAGCACCTGGGTCAGCAGGCCAGGTCACCGGGGATGGTGGGGTGGCCAGAGCTATGGAATAACATCCTTCTGTGTAAAGAAAACTTTGGTTCTTTACTATTTTTTTCTTTTTCTTAAAAAAATTTTTTTTATCTAATACAGATGGGGTCTCACTTTGTTGCTCAGAAGGTCTTAAACTCCTGAGCTCAAGCAACCCACCCGCCTCGGCCTCCCAGAGTGCTGGGATTACAGGCGTGAGCCACCACACCTGGCCTTTTTACTTTTTTTTTTTTTTTGAGACAGGGTCTCAGTCTCGTTCTGCCTCCTGGGTTCAAGTGAATCTCATGCCTCAGCCTCCCGAGTAGCTGGGACTACAGACATGAGCCACTGTGCCTGGCCTCATTACATATATTTTTTATACCTTGACTTTTCAGAGTAGCATGTATATAGCCCCCCAGGGTACGCAGTGAAGGGGCAGGTGGTTGACAGCCATAACCTAAACTTGGAGCAAGGAACACCCTATTGTTGATACCACAAACGTGAATCTCTTTGGAGGAGAATCTGTAACCCACATGTTTTTATGAGGATGCACGTATTTTCTTTTTCTTTTCTTTTTCTTTTTTTTTTCAAGACAGTCTCGCTCCGTCACCCAGGCTGGAGTGCAGTGGCGCCATCTGGGCTCACTGCAAGCTCCACCTCCTGGGTTCACGCCATTCTCCTGCCTCAGCCTCCCGAGTAGCTGGGACTACAGGCGCCCGCTACCACACCCGGCTAATTTTTTGTGTTTTTAGTAGAGGCGGGGTTTCACCTGTGTCAGCCAGGATGGTCTCGATCTCCTGACCTTGTGATCCACCCGCCTTGGCCTCCCAAAGTGCTGGGATTACAGGTGTGAGCCACCACACCCAGCCTCTTTTTTTTTTTTTTTTTTTTTTTTTTTTGAGATGGAGTCTCGCTTTTGTCACCCAGGCTGGAGTGCAATGGCACAATCTCGGCTCACTGCAAGCTCCGCCTCCTGGGTTCACGCCATTCTCCTGCCTCAGCCTCTGGAGTAGCTGGGATTACAGGCACCTGCCACCATGCCTGGCGAATTTTTGTATTTTTAGTAGAGATGGGATTTCACCATGTTGGCAGGCTGGTCTCTAACTCCTGATCTCAGGTGATCCACCCACGTCCTGAGATTACAGGCGTGAGCCACTGTGCCCGGCTGACAATACACATTTTTAATGCTCTGCCCCCAAATACCTGAGTGTATACCTTTCCTTTGCTATCACAGGTACTTAGGGAGAAAATAGAATTAGCATCACCCTTTTTGACAGCTATTTGGATGGATGTACTTTTTAATTTATCCAATTCCCTATTCATGGATGTTTAGGTTTGTTTCTAGCTTTTTTTGCTTTTTTCTTTTTTTTTTTTTTGAGATGGAGTCTCGCTCTGTTGCCCAGGCTGGAGTGCAGTGGTGCAATCTCGGCTCACTCCAACCTCCACCTCCTGGATTCAAGCAACTCTCCTGCCTCAGCCTCCTGAGTAGCTGGGACTACAGACGCACACCACCATACCCAGCTAATTTTTGTATTTGTTAGTAGAGATGGGGTTTCACCGTGTCAGCCAGTTGGCCTTGAACTCCTGACCTCAGGTGATCCACCCGCCTCGGCCTCCCAGAGTGCTGGGATTACAGGCATGAGTCACTGTGCCCAGCCCATTTTGCTTTTTATAAACACCACGGAGATGAGTGTCCTTGTAATGAAATCTTTGTGCCCTTCCATGATTCTTTCTTTAAGATGAGTTCACAAACTTGGAATTTCTAGATCAAGGGATTGCAACCCTGAAAGGCTTCTGGTAAATTTGGCCTAATGGCTGGTGCCTGCCCTCCTTGTGCCCTGCAGCAATGCCAGCACAACGCCGCAGGGGAGTTCTGCGAGCTTTGTGCCCCTGGCTACTACGGAGATGCCACAGCCGGGACGCCTGAGGACTGCCAGCCCTGTGCCTGCCCACTGACCAACCCAGAGAACATGTGGGTACCCTAGCTCAAGGCCCAAGGACACACTTCCACTGGGGAATGAGTGGAAGGCGTTGCACTGGCTTTTGGGGCAGAAGTGAAGGGAGCAAGATGGAGATTGGGCTTCCCATGACCTGACCTTTGCCTCCCCGATCCCAGGTTTTCCCGCACCTGTGAGAGCCTGGGAGCCGGCGGGTACCGCTGCACGGCCTGCGAACCCGGCTACACTGGCCAGTACTGTGAGCAGTAAGTTTGTAAACAGAAGTAGGGGGAGGGTGGAGGACAAATGGTGGACTCCCAAGTGAGAGCCTTAAAGGGTGTTGCTCAGAAAAGTCTCTTCTAGGATTATGCTCCTTCCCTGCCTCAAACACTTCTAAGACACCTCATTGCTCTTGGGACAAGCCCACCCTCCTTAGGCAGCTTTACTGTAGCAGTCTCATCCCACTTCTGACACCCAACTCTGTACTTTAGCTGGGCTTAACTTTTTAAATGCTTTTTCTTTCTTTTTTTTTTTTTAAACTGAGACAGGGTCTCACTGTGTTGCCCAGGCTGGTCTTAAACTCCTGGGCTCAAGCAGTCCTCCTGCCTCAGTGCTGGCATTACAGGCGTGAGCCACCATGCCCAGCCACTTTTTGAATTCTTGATGTTCAGGCCTTGCTTATGCTGTTCCCTCTGCATGGAACAGTCTTCACCCCTAAACCACCCGTTCCTGGCTAACTTCCCCTTAGCCTTCAGACCCAGCTTCATTCACTCATTCAGCAAATTTTTATCAAGCAGCTCCTGTGTACCATGCTGTGTGCTGAGGTGTTGGAGATAATGGAGTGAACAGAACAGATTCCACCCCAGCCCTTACGGAGTCTGCCACCTAATAAGAGATCAGCCCTAATGGGAGATAAGACAGGGAAAAAGTAATTGTGCAAATGTGTATTTACAAACCATGTTAAGTTATCTGAAAGAAAAGTACAGCCTGCTCTGAGGTAATACGAGAAGTCCCATCCTCTTGGAAGCCTCCCTGGCTCTCCAGGCTGGGCCAGTGCCCTCCTCTGCACCCGCACAGCCCTGATATGCTTCCTGCACTCTCATTTTCATGTAGAATTTCCATGTTGGGTTCCCAACTAGTAAGTCCCACAGACCAGGGACTTTATCACATTCATTGTTGTATTTCCAACACCTATAGCACATGCCTGGCATTCAGTCATTGCTTAATGGACATTTGCTGGCCAGGCGTGGTGGCTCATGCCTATAATCCCAGCACTTTGGGAGGCTGAGGTGGGCGGATCATGAGGTCAGGAGATCGAGACCATCCTGGCTAGCACATCCTGCCTCTACTAAAAATACAAAAAATTAGCTGGGTGTGGTGGCGCACCCCTGCAGTCCCAGCTAATTGGGAGGCTGAGGCAGGAGAATGGTGTGAACCCCGGAGACGGAGTTTGCAGTGAGCCGAGATCGCACCACTGCACTCGAGCCTGGGTGACAGAGCGAGAATCTGTCTCAAAAAAAAAAATGGACGTTTGCTGAATGAATTTCTCTGGAGAATAGAGACCTTACCTCTCTCATCACCCAACCTGCTAACACTCCCTTACACTCCCCTTTCTCAGTTCACCAGCACCCTGCGTTGGGGCCTGTCTGGTCCCCAAAGTGCTTCCAGAGCTCCGAGCCTCCTCACCTGACATTGGGTGGCCTGCTGAGCTTCTGGCTCCCCAAGTCCACCATGAGGCACTGGGGCCCTTGAGGCCTGACATTGCCGGCCCTTGTTCCCCCTTACAGGTGTGGCCCAGGTTACGTGGGTAACCCCAGTGTGCAAGGGGGCCAGTGCCTGCCAGAGAGTAAGTGGGACCATGGCCCAGGATGGGGACGATGGGCAAGGCAGGGAGCCCTGGGAATTTGGGGGATACTGGGTCTGGGGACAGGGCTGAGGGTGGGGTACCCCAGCTTTTGGGAGAGCAGAGATATTGAAGACAATGCTGAAAGGCCCTTCCTGTCCCGGCCCCCACCCCCAGCAAACCAAGCCCCACTGGTGGTCGAGGTCCATCCTGCTCGAAGCATAGTGCCCCAAGGTGGCTCCCACTCCCTGCGGTGTCAGGTCAGTGGGAGCCCACCCCACTACTTCTATTGGTCCCGTGAGGATGGGCGGCCTGTGCCCAGCGGCACCCAGCAGCGACATCAAGGTACCCATGGCCCTAGGCTCCTCAGCCCCAAGAGCCATCCCAGTGGGAGGGGAGGCAGGGGCCTGTCCCTGCCCTAGTGGGATGCTGTCCTTGTGCATGGGGCTGGATGTGAGAAAGAGTGTATCTGCACCAACAAGCTCTTGTCTCCTCCCCACCAGGCTCCGAGCTCCACTTCCCCAGCGTCCAGCCCTCGGATGCTGGGGTCTACATTTGCACCTGCCGTAATCTCCACCAATCCAATACCAGCCGGGCAGAGCTGCTGGTCACTGGTGAGTCCCTACGCCCCCTGTAACCAAGACTGCCTGTCCTGGGCTGGGCTGCAGGCTGCAGATTCAGGCAGATGGTGCATTCACCTGCTGGGAGGGGGCAGTGGTTGCCCGAACAAGGTCAGCAGCCATGGAGATGAGGAGAGGTGGCAGATTCAAGACTCATTTTAGAGGTAGGATCAGCAGGACTTGACTGGTCGGTGAGGGCAAAAGAAAAGGGTGGGCCGGGCACGGTGGGTCACGTCTATAATCCCAACACTTTGGGAGGCCAAGGTGGGCAGATCATGAGGTCAGGAGTTCGAGACCAGCCTGGCCAACGTCGTAAAACCCTGTCTCTAGTACAAATGAAAAAATTAGCTGGGCATGGTGGTACACACCTATAATCCCAGCTACTCGGGAGAACTGAGGCAGGAGAATTGCTTGAACCCGGGAGGTGGAGGTTGCAGTGAGCCAAGATTGCGCCACTGCACTCCAGCCTGGGCAACAGAGCAAGACTCTGTCTTAAAAAAATAATAATAATAATGCACCTCAGAGTCACCCTGCCCTGTCGTCCAGGGAAAAGTGAGACAGGGATGGGAGGGCGTCCATAAAGGCTGTGTCACCAAGCAGATTGCCACCGTGAGCAGTTGTTGCTTAGTACAACCGAGGAAGCTTTTAAAGGGAGCCGGTGTAAAACACGCACCTCAAAGTCACCCTGCCCTGGGGTCCAAGGAGCTGCAGTATGTCTAGGCCAGCTTCTGTCAGTCATTGACTGAGACCTATTCTGGGAGCATCAAGTCCCCTGCACATCTGTCCCACCCATGGGTGTGCACTGTGGGCTCCAGTGGCCTGAGAAAGCCCTCAATGCAAAGAAGTGCAGTGGCTGGCAGAAGTCAGGCAGGTGGGCACGGGGGGTGGGAAGCGTGGCTAGGCCACCAGCAGCACAGGCTACAAACAGGTCAGAGAGAATCGCAAGTTTGTTTTGGACGTGTTAGAGTCTGAGATGTTTGGGAAGATATCTCATTGAGTCCACCAGGCAGGCATTTGGGTATGTGAGTCTGAACTCCAGTAAGAGGCCCCAGCCAGAGAAATGAGTATGGTTGCTGTTGGCACAGGGATGGTGTTCAAAGCTATGGGACAGGATGAAGTCACCTAGGGAGAGTGTGGCCCGAGGACAGGGCCCCAGCCCAGAGTCCTGAGGAGCTCCAGTGTGAACATGTCAAATGGAAGAGGAAGGGCAGGAAGAGCCTGAGAGAGTGCAGCCATGAGGCAGGAAGAGACAGGGGGCATCATGGGAATCAGAGGGAAAAGGGCTTTCAGGGCAGCCTCCCTGCTGGGAAGTCACATAAGGGCAGAGAAATAGCCCTTGGAGGTCATGCTTTGACAAGAGCGGTTTTCAGTGGAGAGAAGGGATAGAAACCAGATTGGAAGGAGGCGACACATGGGTGGGAAGGCAGCGAGTGTGGACAACTCCTGCAAGAGTCTTGGCTCTGAAGGGAGGCCAGGAAGTGGGTCATTGACTGCGAGAGCATGAGGTCAAGGGGGAGTTTTCGGAAATGGGAAATCCTAGAATGCACTCTGGACCGAAGTGATCGCATGAGAAGGAGGAGACGCTGATGTTGCGAGAGCAGAAGAAGCCCCGGGGAGGGGTGGCACTCAGGCGCAGCAGTGGGATGGGGTGAGGGCAGGAGAAGGGGCCTGTCCTTCAGGGACCAGTATCTAGAGAGCTGGTAGATTTGAGAGGCTGGGAAAACTCCTGACTTGTCGTTTCTATTTTCTCCATAAGTGTGTGTCAGCGCCACTAGCTAAGAAAGTGGAAGGGTGGTTGGAGAGGCTGGAGGAGATGGGAGGAGGTGTGAAATAGTTGTTTTTGGGGGATAGAAACTCAAACCAGACGGAGAAACCCAGTTGGAGTGGGGTGTGATGTGTCAGGAGCTCATTGTGGTCTGTGATCAGGAACTGGAGCCAAGTGGACCCATGGTGTGATGTTCCCCAACCACATCCTGTGGCCACTCTGTGCTGGCAAGGAGGGTGGGGATGGTGGGGTTCAGCCAGAATGGGGGAGGGAGGTGCCAGGGGGTAGAATGAGAGCTAGGCTGGACCAGGAAGGAAGTGATGCCTAGAGGTTATGGAGAAAGACAAAGTGGCCACAGGACCGGGGCCTAGCCAGCACCGGCTCACAGGGGGGCTTCCCGTCCCTGCAGAGGCTCCAAGCAAGCCCATCACAGTGACTGTGGAGGAGCAGCGGAGCCAGAGCGTGCGCCCCGGAGCTGACGTCACCTTCATCTGCACAGCCAAAAGCAAGGTGTGCAGGTCAGGGAGTGGGGATGGAGGAAGTCTGTCTTCTGGGGTCTCTGAGCCCCACCCATGACCCCCTTTCGCCTTGCCCTGCAGTCCCCAGCCTATACCCTGGTGTGGACCCGCCTGCACAACGGGAAACTGCCCACCCGAGCCATGGATTTCAATGGCATCCTGACCATTCGCAACGTCCAGCTGAGTGATGCAGGCACCTACGTGTGCACCGGCTCCAACATGTTTGCCATGGACCAGGGCACAGCCACTCTACATGTGCAGGGTACACCTCCCATCTATACCTGATTCTCCCCTCCTGTCTCTCCCCCATTCCCACCAGAATTAGCACAGCATTTCTTCATTCTGCTGATCATTTCTGAGCACCTGCTGCATGCCTGGTCCTGGTCTAGGCTCTGCAGAAGCAGGGGAGAGAAGCATGTACAGTATCTCGGTCCTCCTGAAGTACACGTCCTAGGCAGGGAGACCATAAGCATGGGAATAAATGAACAAGCAAGATAACTACACATGGCGATGAGTGCCAGGCTAGGAATGATGAGAAAGCAAGAAACAAGGTGGGAGAAGGCCAGGAGCGGTGGCTCACACCTGTAAGCCCAGCACTTTGGGAGGCTGAGGCAGGTGGATCACTTGAGGTCAGGAGTTCCAGACCAGCCTGGCCAACAGGTGAAACCCTGTCTCTACTAAAAATACAAAAACTAGCTGGGTGTGGTGGCAGGTGCCTATAATCCCAGCTACTCAGGAGGCTGAGGCAGGAGAATCGCTTGAACCCGGGAGGCTTAGGTTGCAGTGAGCCGAGATCGCGCCACTGCACTCCAGCCTGGGTGACAGAGCAAGAATCCATCTCAGAAAAATAAATAAAATAAAACAAGGTGGGAGAGGCAAGGGCTACTCTAGATAGGGCAGTCAGGGAGGGCCTCTCTGAGGAGGTGACACCTAAGCTGAGACCTGAAGGAAAGGTAGGCATTGAGCAAGTTAGAGAGTTGGCAGAGTGTTCTTGGCAGAGGGAGCAGCACATGGCAAGGCCCTGAGGCAGGAGCACGTTGCTATGTTTGAGGAACAGCAGAGACCACGTGGCTGGGGCTGTGGGAGGGAGGACGGGTGTGGGCAGACGGGAGAGCATGGAGTATGTGGTGGATCAGGGTAGGAATTTTGGATTTTATTCTAAAAGCAACAGGGAGTCATGGACAGGTCTCAAGGTGGGAGGTCACAAGGTCCTGTTGACATTTCCCAAGCTCCCTCTGGCTCCTGTGTGCACAGATGGCCGTGGAGGGCTAGCCTGGAAGCAGAGAAAGTAGGCAGCAGGACTGTTGTGTGAGTCAGACGACACTCCCCACCCTGAGTGCATGTTCCTTTTCCTCCCTTGTCAGCCTCGGGCACCTTGTCCGCCCCCGTGGTCTCCATCCATCCGCCACAGCTCACAGTGCAGCCCGGGCAACTGGCGGAGTTCCGCTGCAGCGCCACAGGGAGCCCCACGCCCACCCTCGAGTGGACAGGTGAGGCCGTGATGGGAATGACATTCAAGGCCTGACTCTCCTGGGTGTGGGAGGGGAGGGGCAGGACTCTGAGCAGGCTTGGTGGGTGCTGACCCCACGTCTACTCGTCAGGGGGCCCCGGCGGCCAGCTCCCTGCGAAGGCACAAATCCACGGCGGCATCCTGCGCCTGCCAGCTGTCGAGCCCACGGATCAGGCCCAGTACTTGTGCCGAGCCCACAGCAGCGCTGGGCAGCAGGTGGCCAGGGCTGTGCTCCACGTGCATGGTGAGAGGCCGGGCTCAGGGTGGGGGCCGGGAGTGTGCTCAGCCCAGGGCGTGTTCTCACAGGACTCTGTCTGCAGGGGGCGGTGGGCCCAGAGTCCAAGTGAGCCCAGAGAGGACCCAGGTCCACGCAGGCCGCACCGTCAGGCTGTACTGCAGGGCTGCAGGCGTGCCTAGCGCCACCATCACCTGGAGGAAGGAAGGGGGCAGCCTCCCACCACAGGTGAGGAGATGGGCCCACCCAGGAGGAGGAGGCCCACAGGCTCTGCAGAGAGTCCCAGCCACCTTCCCTCCCCCTTCACGCCCCACCCCACCTCCTCCTCTGTGGCTCCCTTCACCTCCAAGATGGTGGTCTCCTGCCCCTGCATCCCAGCAGGGAGCCCCTGCCGTCCTCTTGGCTGCCTGGCGTTTGTCCTCCTTCATGCCCCACTGGGCCCTAATATTGGCCCTGCACCTGCCTCTCCCTTTTATGCCCTATCTGTCCCCCTGGCCAGCCGTTGTCCAGCTGCCTCTGGGGCAGCTGACCCATCTCACCCACGGCAGGCCCGGTCAGAGCGCACAGACATCGCGACACTGCTCATCCCAGCCATCACGACTGCTGACGCCGGCTTCTACCTCTGCGTGGCCACCAGCCCTGCAGGCACTGCCCAGGCCCGGATCCAAGTGGTTGTCCTTTCAGGTACGGACTCTCTGGGAATGGAGGGGTGGGGAGGGCAAGCCAGGGCTCCCCTGGGGCCTGCTGACCCCTACTCTGGCCCCAGCCTCAGATGCCAGCCCACCGCCGGTCAAGATTGAGTCCTCATCGCCTTCTGTGACAGAAGGGCAAACACTCGACCTCAACTGTGTGGTGGCAGGGTCAGCCCATGCCCAGGTCACCTGGTACAGGCGAGGGGGTAGCCTGCCTCCCCACACCCAGGTATGTGGGCCCTGAGCCTATGGCAGGGGACCCAGGGTGCAGGGGCTGTGGCGGAGGCGGGGCCTGTACGCTGGGCGGGGGAGGCGGCACACTGCCCCACACGTTCCACCAGCAGAAGCCAGGCCTCATCTCCCTCCCTCCCAGTTTCTAGCATGGGATGGCTCGGAGCAGAGCCAGTGAGAGTTTGAATGAATCACTGAGGCTGAGGGAGTGGTGACAATAGCCCCCGTCCCTGTCCTCACGTACCTCTGGCTCCTCCTGGCCCAGGTGCACGGCTCCCGTCTGCGGCTCCCCCAGGTCTCACCAGCTGATTCTGGAGAATATGTGTGCCGTGTGGAGAATGGATCGGGCCCCAAGGAGGCCTCCATTACTGTGTCTGTGCTCCACGGCACCCATTCTGGCCCCAGCTACACCCCAGGTGAGGAGCCAGGTGTGGCTGGGCCGGGGCTGAGCCCTAGGAGCTCCCAAGGAAGATGCCTGTGGCTTCTTCAGTGGGACCAGGACAGGGGGGCATTCCAGGCAGGCTTTGACCCTTCAGCGCCTGCTCAGAGAGAGAAGGAGGTTGAGTGGACGGGAGGGAGGTTAAGGCTGGTCCAGCTTACCTGGGCTCCCTATGAGTGACTGTTTCAGAATTTGTCAGGAAGCAGCAGAATGTCCAGGTTGAATACTAAGCTGGGAGTCGGCTGACCTGGTTCAAATCCCAGATCTGCCCCTTAGCAACCTTGAACTAGCTTTTAACTTTTGGGGCCTCAGATTCATCTATGAAATGGAGCAGTACTGCCCACCTGCTTGGTCATGGTGTGGTTTTTTTATTATTTTATTTTATTTTATTTTATTTTATTTTATTTTATTTTATTTTTTTGAGAGAGAGTCTCGCTCTGTCACCCAGGCTGGAGTGCAGTGGCGCGTGATCTCGGCTCACTGCAAGCTCCGCCTTCCGGGTTCACACCATTCTCCTGCCTCAGCCTTCTGAGTAGCTAGGACTACAGGCACACCCGCCACCAGGCCGGCTAATTTTTTGTATTTTTTTTAGTAGAGACGGGGTTTCACCGTGTTAGCCAGGATGGTCTCGATCTCCTGACCTCGTGATCCGACCGTCTCAGCCTCCCAAAGTGCTGGGATTATAGGCATGAGCCACCGCGCCTGGCCAGTCATGGTGTGGTTTAAATGAGACAGTGTCTATGGAAAGTACTTGTGAGCACACGGAAGACGTCCTGTAGAAGGGAGGTGTCTCACTGTCATCCGCATCCTTGGGCGCAGCCTGGGTAGTAAAGCTTGCTGGTTCCCTATGGGCCAGAGGAGCTCATCATCAAGAAGTCATGGGTGGGTCAATGGGCCTCCAGCTTGTGGTTAGAGGCTGGGGAGGGAAGAAGCCATATTCGGCTGGCCATGTGGAGGCAGAAGGGTGTGGCCCTAGTCCCAGAAAGGCCACCTGTCGGCCGTCCCCACTAGGGCCTGGTCACAGCCCAGAGCCTTCTGCCCCAGGGCTACAGGTTACAGCCCAAGAGTTCAGGCCTCTGAGCAGCCGCTCTGTGTCCAGTGCCCGGCAGCACCCGGCCCATCCGCATCGAGCCCTCCTCCTCACACGTGGCGGAAGGGCAGACCCTGGATCTGAACTGCGTGGTGCCCGGGCAGGCCCACGCCCAGGTCACGTGGCACAAGCGTGGGGGCAGCCTCCCTGCCCGGCACCAGGTATGGCAGCCCCCCGGGACCACCTTGCTGGAGGGGCTGGATGGGACTGTTCCAGCCCCCTCCCAACCCACCCCATTTGCACACAGACCCACGGCTCGCTGCTGCGGCTGCACCAGGTGACCCCGGCCGACTCAGGCGAGTATGTGTGCCATGTGGTGGGCACCTCCGGCCCCCTAGAGGCCTCAGTCCTGGTCACCATCGAAGCCTCTGTCATCCCTGGTGAGTGACTCCCAGTGACATGGAAAGCTGGAGGAGGCAGAGAGGCCTCCGGGGTGGTGAGATCCAAGGGACCCCTCTTGCTGACAGGGCAGAAGGCCCACACCGGAGCTGGCTGCAGGGCCCTGCCCAGGCCGACTCCACCTGTCAGAGTAACCACCGCCTTCCCGTCACACTTTGCTTTGGCCACATGACTCCTCAGGCGTCCCCTCCCACCTCCTCTTCCTCTCTCCAACTCATCTCTGCCCTCATCTCTCTCACTTCCTCACTCCCCTCTGCAAGGCGTGGCCCATGCCCTGGTCCTCCCATCAGGGTTGCTGAGCTGAGGGCATCAAGTCCAGGCCCCCAGATGCCTGAAAAGCTGGATCTGGCCTTGAAACCCTGGGCTGAGCTAGCTGCAGGGTGGGCAACCCCTGCCCTCTCATCTCAGGAGCATCTACAACTCTCACTCCCATCCCCACTGCTGCAGGACCCATCCCACCTGTCAGGATCGAGTCTTCATCCTCCACAGTGGCCGAGGGCCAGACCCTGGATCTGAGCTGCGTGGTGGCAGGGCAGGCCCACGCCCAGGTCACATGGTACAAGCGTGGGGGCAGCCTCCCTGCCCGGCACCAGGTACAGGGCACCAAGAATGTGGGACGGGGCCATGGACAGTGGGTTGCAGGATCCTGGCCCCTAGGCTGAGGGGCTGGCACTTCCTAGATCGGGGGGACAGCGGTGGGGCATTTGCTGGCCTCCGGGAAGCCCCCCTCACACCTCTGCCCACGGCTGCCCAGGTTCGTGGCTCCCGCCTGTACATCTTCCAGGCCTCACCTGCCGATGCGGGACAGTACGTCTGCCGGGCCAGCAACGGCATGGAGGCCTCCATCACGGTCACAGTAACTGGGACCCAGGGGGCCAACTTAGCCTACCGTGAGTGGGGCCACCAGGCTGGGCTGGGATGCAGAGAACAGGCTGGAGTGGCTTCAGAGAACAGGAGTGACCGGTGACCATCTTATCCCTCAGCTGCCGGCAGCACCCAGCCCATCCGCATCGAGCCCTCCTCCTCGCAAGTGGCGGAAGGGCAGACCCTGGATCTGAACTGCGTGGTGCCCGGGCAGTCCCATGCCCAGGTCACGTGGCACAAGCGTGGGGGCAGCCTCCCTGTCCGGCACCAGGTATGGGACTGGAGGACAGACAGGCCAAGAAGAGGAAGCGGGTCCCTGGGTGGCGGAGGTTATTGGGGGAGGGCTAGAGGCTCCCCTGAGATCAGGAAGCCCTGGACCCCATTGCACAGATGTATAGTGCAGTGGTTAGAAACCAGAATCTAGGACTGACTAACCTGGGTGTGAATTCTGGCTCCACCACTTAGCTTGTGACCTCGGACAAGTTACTTAACCTCTCTGTGCTATAGTTTCAGGGCCTATAAAATGGTAACAATGGTACGTACCAGCCGGGCACGGTGGCTTACGCCTGTAATCCCAGCACTTTGGGAGGCCGAGGTGGGCGAATCGCCTGAGGTCGGGAGTTCGAGACCAGCCTGGCCAGTATGGTGAAACCCCATCTCTATTAAAAATATAAAAATTAGCCGGGCATAGTGGCAGGCGCCTGTAATCCCAGCTACTCGGGAAGCTGAGGCAGGAGAATCGCTTGAACCCAGGAGGCGGAGGCTGCAGTGAGCCAAGATCACGCCATTGCACTCCAGCCTGGGCAACAGAGCGAGACTCAGTCTCAAAAAAAAAAAAAAAAGTACCTCACAGAATTATCTTAAAGATTAAAATATATGCAAAATCCTCAGAGCTTAGGCTCACAGAAAGTACTCTAAGCTGTTAATATTTTACTATAATGCCATTAGCTATTGTTGTTACCATATTTTGTAGAATTTAGGATACCACTGATTGCGAGATCCGCTATGATTTTATGTACCTCTAAGAAAAAGCTTCTATTTGTAAGGTTATTCATTGTAGATGCATCTTGATTTTGGAGACATCGAAATGTGTGTCTAGAATTGATGGGATGTGGTGTGAGTGTGTACCCAGCTCACTGGGGCTCCTCTGGTCTACCACCCCGCTGCTGGACAAGAGTCCCCCTTCCCCATGTGAAGGACAGGGAAACTGATCCAGAGCTGATGGCCAGGCCTTGGGGGTCAGAGTGAGGCAGGGTTGCAGGTTATAGGAACAGGGGTCTCCTGAGGGCTCCCTCTGACTCACCCCCATTCTGGCCAGACCCACGGCTCCCTGCTGAGACTCTACCAAGCGTCCCCCGCCGACTCGGGCGAGTACGTGTGCCGAGTGTTGGGCAGCTCCGTGCCTCTAGAGGCCTCTGTCCTGGTCACCATTGAGCCTGCGGGCTCAGTGCCTGGTGAGTAGCTCTCAGGGAGGGCAGGGCTGGGGACCCAGGGTGGGAGGCCCCCCACTCTTGCAACGGCAGGATCAGGAGGCCAAGCCGCAGACTGCACCTGCCTTGAGACCAGGAGCCCCATCTCATCTCACCTCCTAGCCGGCTATTGACCCTTTGCCCTCTGTCCCCAGCACTTGGGGTCACCCCCACGGTCCGGATCGAGTCATCGTCTTCGCAAGTGGCCGAGGGGCAGACCCTGGACCTGAACTGCCTCGTTGCTGGTCAGGCCCATGCCCAGGTCACGTGGCACAAGCGCGGGGGCAGCCTCCCGGCCCGGCACCAGGTAGGAGGCAGGAGCTCAGGAAGCCTGAAGGACCCTGTAGCTGCAGTACAAGAGCATAGGCTTGACCGGGCGCAGTGGCTCACGCCTGTAATCCCGGCACTTTGGGAGGCCAAGGCAGGAAGATCACGAGGTCAGGAGTTTGAGACCAGCCTGACCAACATAATGAAACCCCATCTCTACTGAAAATCCACAAATTAGCCGGGCGTGGTGGTGCGCGCCTGTAATCCCAGCTACTCGGGAGGCTGAGGCAGGAGAATCGCCTGAACCCAGGAGGCGGAGGTTGCAGTGAGCCGAGATCGTGCCGTTGCACTCCAGCCTGGGCGACAGAGCAAGACTCCGTCTCAAAAAAAAAAAACCACAGGCTTTGAACTCAGGCATGTTCGAGTTCAGACACTGTTCCGCTACTTGCATGCTGTGTGACTTTAGGCCAGTCACTTGTCACTTGATTCTCTGACCCTCAGTGTCCTATGATTTTATGTACCTCTAAGAAAAAGCTTCCATTTGTAAGGTTATTCATTGTAGATGCATCTTGATTTTGGAGACACTGAAATGTGTGTCTAGAATTGATGGGATGTGGTGTGAGTGTGTACCCAGCTCACTGGGGCTCCTCTGGTCTACCACCCCGCTGCTGGACAAGAGTCCCCCTTCCCCATGTGAAGGACAGGGACAGTGATCCAGAGCTGATGGCCAGGCCTTGGGGGTCAGAGTGAGGGGCCAAATGGGCTCATGCTGCCTACCTCATCTCCCCTGTAGCATGTCAACAAACACTGGTCCCCACTTTTCTCTGGTGCCAAGTCTCAGTCGTCCCTGGCATGGGTGAGGTGGGACGCTAGACCCAGTCCTGACACTGGGGCGGTAGATAGGAAGGGAGAAGGTG